>NC_000011.10:68383447-69669571 GCF_000001405.40 Homo sapiens | reverse complement strand
TCGGGTTAGCATACAGCCACCTCCCACGTTTTGGCATCTCCCTTTGGTTTCCCTGGAAACCAGGTGCTTTGTTGCTAAAACTGACTTGCTTTGACCTTTCACAGTTTTGTATTTTCTCAGAGAGGTAGCCATGGTTAGCTCTTGTAAACTGGATGCTGCTGGCAAACTTGCTCTTCTCTGTATCCAGGAGCACCAGCTGTTTGCAAGTACACAGGAGGTCTTGGTTGCTTTGAATTGCTGTTGATTCATCCTAACTGTCAGTTCTTTAAAATGCCCGTTAATCGAGTATCTTGCCTACTCTGGCCACTCACATGGTCCAATGCGGCATAGAGGCAGCATGCTTCTCAGGACCACCTGTGGTTCATTGAAAAGACCTGGCCCCACGAGATGTACACATGTGTGGATTATTTTTAAACCCCTGCAGGTGAGAGCCCTGATCTCTAGGATCCAGAGGAAACCAAGAGACCAAGAGACTAACATTTATTGAGCACCTACTCTGTGCTGGAGTCCAAGCTTCATGTCAATTTTTTTTTTTTTTTTTTTTGAGACGGATTCTCACTCTGTCCCCTAGGCTGGAGTGCAGTGGCACAATCTTAGCTCACTGCAACCTCCACCTCCCAGGTTCCAGCAATTCTCCTGTCTCAGCCTCCCGAGTAGCTGGGACTACAGGCACACACTATCACGCCCATCTAATTTTTGTATTTTTAGTGGAGACAGGGTTTCACCATATTGGTCAGGCTGGTCTCGAACTCCTGACCTCAGGTGATCCACCCTCCTCGGCCTCCCAAAGTGCTGGGATTACAGGCGTGAGCCACCGAGCCCGGCCCATGTCAGTTATTTAATCCTCTTGAAAGTCTGTGAGGTTGCTGTTACTCTCCCCATTAAAAAAAAAAAAACAAAACAGAAATTAATTTCTCACCATCTGGAGGCTGGGATGCCCCCCATTTTACAGATGAGGCCAGCAGGGTTGAAAGCAGGTAGAGAGGTGTTGGGGAGATGTCATGCCCAGGGCTGCTGTCTCCTGAGTGCACAGCCTTTCTGCAGAACCTCCTTGCCTCCCCAGCAAAGCTGTTTCCTCCCTGGGGAGGGGACAGTACTGATTTCCGCCTTTGGAGGGAGGGGTTTGCTGGTTTACCTGCAGCTGAACTTTGGAAGGCTTTGAGCACAAAGAATCCAGATCCTGGAAAATCCCCAGACCCAGAGCAGGCCTGCTCGTGCCCAGCCCCAGTCCCTCTTGCCCAGTTCTGTCTGTTTCTGCATGTGTGACCTCGAGAGTCAGCAGGGCTTCTGGCTGCCTCAGCCCCTTGGCCCCGTGGTCGGAATGGAGGCGTGTCTGTAAGCTAGGCACACACTTGCTGTCGAGGCACTGGGTATGGGCCTAAGCTCGTTGCTAGGTAAATAAATATGATTTCGTGTAATGAGAAAATAATCATCCAGCTTTTGAACGAAGGCATTCTTAGCGCACCTGCTGGGTTTCAGGAAGCCAGCAGCATAGCTGTTGTGTAAGTTGAGCCTGTTGTGTGCACATGACTGAGAGTCTGTATTTCTGTGCTTTACAGCAGAAAGATGAAGGTCTTAGAATCATTGATTGGAATGATCCAGAAATTCCCTTATGATGACCCTACTTACGATAAACTCCATGAAGACTTAGACAAGATCAGAGGAAAATTTAAACAGGTGCGTGCACTGTGTGTTTCCTCCTGCTAGGAGCACCTGATTGCGCCTTTCCCAGGCGGGGCAGCGCACTCCCGGGGCCGCTGCGGCAATGGCCTGGGGCTGCGTGCGCCGCGGAACTGTCCGTAGAGGCGCCTCATCCTTGAGTCGCAGTGCAGGAAAACTGAAGACAGTCCAGAGAAAAGGAGTTAGAACTCATTTATGGGCTGGCCACATAGACAGGAAAAGCTATAGCTAGAGATAGAGTTATCTTCTCATTTTTCAGTAAAAATGCACAAGATTAAAAATACCATCTCTTTTGTGTTTTCAGTTTTGTTCGTTACTCAATGTTCAGCCAGACTTTAAAATTAGTGCAGAAGGTTCCGGACTTTCATTTTGAGGAGGATGGATGAACAGAGACCGAACGTCGAGGAACAGATGTGTGTGTGACGTGTTTAGAAATGCGGTGAAGGGCCAGACGGTGCTGGGAAGGCAGTTGTTCATTGGGAGGGTGAGGGTTCCGGTTCGGCCGTGGGAGGGCTTCCTTCCCTGGGGTTTTCTGCCTGTGTCACCTTGGTGCCCGTCTTGGGGCCTCGCCACACATGCCCTTTGTTGGGCTGAAGCCGTCCCTGGCAGAGCCCTCGTGCATTGACTTGACAGCCTCTCCGGCAGCACAGGCCTAGCTGGTTCTGGGTTGGAGTTGGCTCTGGATAGGGTCAGTCACCAGGCCTGGACTGAAGGCAGTTATTTTTATTATTATTATTATTTGCAATGAGAGAGATGGTTGGCCCCGAATGAGGCTCATGGGAGGTTTGGACGGGTGCTGTGCCGCATGTCGAGGCCGATTGTGTGCCAGGCGGTGCGGGACGTGCCTCCCGTGTGTTATTTAATCCCTTCAGGAGCCCACAAGATGGGTGTTATTCTCATTTTACAGAGGAGGGAGGGGAGACGCGAAGGGATTGCCTGGTCTAAGGGCACCCAGCAGCAGAGCTAGGACTTCCGCCCTAAGGCTGTGCCTCACTGCCACCAGGCACAGCCGCCTCCGGAATGCACAGGCGAGTCCCTGCCCTCCCTCCCAGGCCGCACAGGTCCTGCCAAGCCTCACGGAGCACGGGGGAGTCTGTGGTGGCCAGTTTACCTGGGCATCTGGCTGAGAGGAAGAAAGGCCAACCTGATCCTGAGGGGACCCAGACATATCCTTTGCACTGTCCCTAGAGGGGCGATGAGCTTTGCAGCATTAAAAAATGGTGAAGGGGGGAAATATTTTGAACCAAAGACCAAATGTTAGGCCGCCGTTATATTTGCAGAAGCTTTGAGAACCATGCGTATAGCCTCCTGCATTCTCCCCTCTCCTAGGAGCTCTTTTGTCTCTGTCCTTACGAGGCGTCATACAGAGGCAGTGGGGTGGGCACAGATGAGCAGAGTGGATGGTTCGGTGGGTCCCCACGAGGCGAGTGGTGGTCATATGTGATGGCACGTGTTCACACACCCTCCTGTGTACCCCCCCAGGGTCACCGAAGTCCCCACACGCTGGCTCTCCACACCCCTCCTGTTCCAGAAAGCATGTCCGAAAGCAGTCCAGGAGATTATTAAGGGGTCGCCATGAATCCACTTTGGTTTTAAAACCATTCCCGAATGTCCTAGTGGATTGTGTTGTGCTGCCTAAGCTGCCGGCTGCAGGAGCCAGAGAAGTGACCCCCGCGGGAGCAGCGGCAGGTGGATCTCCACGGTGGCTCGCTTTGTTTTTGTTTTGTTTTTTCTTTTAAGACGGAGTCTCACTCTGTCGCCGAGTTTGGAGTGTATTGGCGCGATCTCGGCTCACTGTAACCTCCGCCTCCTGAATTCAAGTGATTCTCCTGCCTCAGCCTCCCTAGTAGCTGGGATTATAGGCGCCCCCCACCACGCCCAAGTAACTTTTGTATTTTTAGTAGAGATGGGGTTTTGCCTTGTTGGCCAGGCTGGTCTTGAACTCCCAGCCTGAAATGATCCACCCACGTCCACCTACCAAAGTGCTGGAATTGCAGGCATGAGCCACCACTCCCGGCCTGCTTTTTGTTTTTGAAGACAGGACTTAGGTCTCCTCCTCCCGAACTCTAAACCTGCGTGTGTGGCTGTGCACCGCTCGTTTGTAGCGTCACCTCAGGTCTGGGGAAGTCTGTGCTGGCATCTCCTCATTGTGCCTTCATCAGAGCTGGTGCCTTCGGGCCAGAAAGACTCTCGTTCTTTCTAGATGGTGGGATCAGGGGCCTTTGCTGTGTTTCCCTTGGTGGATTTTTGTGTTTTGTAAGTTGTCTATTTTGATAATGTATTATTTTTATAACTGTAAAAAAAGTAAATAGCATATTTTAAAGTGAAAGTTTGGGACCATTTATAACACAACGTCATTTATAACACGGCATCATTTATAACACAACATCCAGCCAGTTTATTTCTTCCTCCAGGGCATTTAGGATCTGGATATGAAGGAAGACATGGGCCTTAGATTTCTGCCAGCTTGTCTCCTTAACCTAGCGTAGACACAGCCACTGCGAGAGTGCTCCCATTGTGTTGGGGACTGGTCAGCTCCTGCTCACCTGGCCCAGCCACCTGTCAGCAGCTATTACTAATCCACCCTCCCCGAGACATCTCTATGCCCACTGTCCCCCACCTTCTCTCCCTTCCTCTCCTCTTTTTTCTTCTCCCGTCTCTGTCTCCTGTTCTCTCTCCCTACTCCCTCTCTGCCTCTTTGGCACAGCTGGCTGAGCAGCATACTGCCACTTCCTCCTCTGGTTTGCCTCACATGGGAGCCAGGGCTGCCTCCTCATCTTCAAGATTCTCACACACTCTGCTGACCTACGCCTGCCTGGCCCCTTTCTAGAGGACGAGACCCAGTTTCCGGGAGCCCTTGGTCACCGCCAACATTGCAGTATGGACAGAGCCCACTGTAACAGGTGCTTCCGTCGTATCCAGGCAACGCCATCCTCAGCTTTTACACTGGGAATGAGCATGTCTGTGTCTCCTCTTCTGCTAATGAGGTGTTAGTAGAGGGTCCGACCAGTCCCCAGCACAGTGGCCCACTCTTAGAATGGCTGTGTCTGCTGGGTTAAGGAGATGAGTTGGCAGAAGGTCCTCCGGGGGCTTCTGGGAAAGGTTACGTCATTCCAAAGAAAAGGTGCTGGTGCTATTTTGGACATCATCCTGTTGGGATGCGGCAGCTAGAACTGCTCCAGGCATCTTGCAGGCTGGCTACAGCTGAAGCCACCCCTGAGCCTGGCAGAGTGAAGAGCTAGGAAGAACCTGCGTCCTCGGTGCCACTGCTTGCTGTTCCCACCAGCCCTGAGCCACCTTGCTCACACCTGTGAGCGCTACCCGTCCCAGTCCTGCAAGGCTGTGGCCCTGGGTGTCCGCTGTTTGCGGACAAAGTCTGCTTGCTGTCTTCCCCATCCCTGCCAGGCCCATCCCGTCCCGCTAGTTCCAGACATCAGCCTTTGTCCAGAGTGGCTTTGAGTTTGGGAGCTCCTGGGGTTGGATTGCATCCCTTGCGGTTGGTTTCCCAAGGCTCTGGCCTGCTCCTTCCTTCCTGTCAGAAGCTCCCAGCGTGTCGTCTGCCACTGTCTCAGCTCAGGCTGCCACCACAGCACCACTGATGGGTGGCTTCAACAGCGGTCCATCTTCTCTCGGTTCTGGAGGCTGGAGTCCGAGATCAAGGTGTCACAGGGCTGCTCCCTCCTGAGGCCTCTCTCCTTGCCTTGCAGACAGCTACCTTCCCCCCGTGTCCTTACGTCTTTCCACTGTGTGTGTCCTCATCTCTTATAAGGACCCCAGTCAGATTGCATTTGGGCCCACCCTTACAGCCTCATCTGAACTTAGTTACCTGTTAAAGACCTCACTCTCCAGTCACATTCTGAGGCACTGGGGGCTAAGGCTTCCACACAAGTTTTGTGGGGACACGGTTCAGCCCCTCACAGGACCCTGGCTGTGGCTGCTGGATAGACTGCTGAATTGGGACTCGGGAGAAGAGAAAGCCATTTCATGTAAAAGTTGAAGTTATTTCAATTAGTTTTTTCTAGAATGTTAACATCTAGGCACAAGCAAGAGTAGTCAGTCCTCCACTGAACTCTCCACTTTGGAATCACCTCTCAGAGTCACTGGATGGCCAAAGGGAACTGCCCAAGGGCCACACTGCTGTCCTAAAACACGACCACATTTCACTTTATTTTACATTCACCCCTTGACATTTTTTTCTCTAACCAGTGGCAAGAAAAGAATGATGAGATATGGAAGAAGGGACAAGAGGCCTATTTGCTGAGTGGCTGCTGGTGGCCTGCCCTTTACCAGGATTATCCACCAGTGCTGGAGGCAGGGCTACCACCCTCACTTTGCAGAGATATGAGGCCCGGCTGAGAACAAGTCTAGTGGTCACAGTAAGTGGCCAACTTCAGGCTTGATGGGGCGCAGCAGGGCTTGAGCAGGTTGCATGAACGATTCGCTTCCTGAGGCCGTTATTTTAGACATGTCTTCTTCGTCAATGCAGAGGCTTGTTTTTCTGGGAATTTGCAGCCTGTCTTCAGGACCAGTCTTGCATCTGGCACAGCAGTCCCCAGCCTTTTTGACACCAGGGACTGGTTTTGTGAAAGACAGTTTTTCCATGGACAGGGCTTGGTGGTGGGGGATGGTTTGGGGATGAAACTGTTCCACCTCAGATCATCAGGCATTAGATTCTTGTAAGGAGCACGCACCTTACATCCCTCACGTGTGCAATTCACAATAGGGTTCCCGCTCCTATGAGAATCGAATGCCGCTGCTGATCTAACAGGAGGCGGAGCTCGGGCGGTAATCTTCTCTTGTCTGCTGCTCACCTCCTGCTGTGGGGCCCGGTTCCTAACTGGTCATGGACTGGTGCCGGTCCACAGCCTGGGGATGGGGGACCCCCTGATCTAGCAGACTGAGGCCAGATTGAGGCAAAAGCAGATGAATTTATGGAAAAGGATCCATGCTGGCAGCCTGTAGGAGAGGCAGTGCCTGGATGGGTCTTTAGCTGCCCCAGACCCCGTGAGCAGGTCTCTCCTAGCGACGCCTCTGGCACTTTGGGAGCCCAGGGGAGGGGAGGGAATGAGAAGGTGGGCAAAGGAGGAGATGACCTTCGTACTGAGCTTTGCGAGCGTTCATCTGGCCTCACAACACCGCGGAGAAGTCTCTCCCACTCTACCTGAAAACGCCAACGTAATCTGGAGATACCAAAAAGTGTCATGATCACGCAAGCTTATCCTAATTCCCACCGTTATTCTGGTCCTTAATGAATCAAATGAGGAACTGGTTTGTGACTCAGGAAACTGAAGTCACAGAGTTCTTAAGATCTGAGAAAAATGGGTCACTGTGTTTGGTGCTTCACAGGACACGGGGCCTGCAGGCGAGGAGCCAGGCCTCAAGGGTTCAGTGAGTTGTCCAAGCCAGCGTGACTAAGGGTTCCGCTGGGACCTCTCAGATTAACTTCCAAGAAGGAAAGCCGCTCCTTGCGCATACACTTTTTCTTAACTCTCCCCGGCTGGTAAACTCAGGTGGCATCGAGGCCTTGGCGTCTACCCCTTGGTGACACCCCCATCAGGATAACGCCTTGGCTGTGTCTCTCTGGCACCCTTTACCAGAGCAGCTGGGCTTGGGTTGCAGGGATGGAAGCCTTTATCTCAGGCGATACCTGAACATGTAGAGTATGTGATGCTTGCTGAGCTAGAGGCTCATGGATTGATGTCCCTCTGCTGGTTCCAGTGAGTATGTGCCCCTGAAATTCGAGGGGACTGTGGAGGCTGCTTCCAGGCTTTGAGAGCCCAAGTCTGTTGCAAATTGAATTGTATCCGCAAAAGGAAACGTTGAAGTCCTAGCTTCTGGTACTTTAGCTTCTGTGACTTTACTTGGAAATAGGAAATAGGGTCTTTGTAGATTTTTTTAAGATGTAAATTGGGCCAGGCGAAGTGGCTCACGCCTGTAATCCCAGCACTTTGGGAGGCTAAGGTAGGTGGATCACGAAGTCAGGAGTTGGAGACCAGCCTGGCCAACACAGTGAAACCCTCTCTCTACTAAAAAGAATAATAATTTAAAAATTAGCCAGGCATGATGGTGGTGCCTGTATTTCCCAGTTACTCGGGAGGCTGAGTGAGGCAAGAGAATCACTTAAACCCGGGAGGCGGAGGTTGCAGTGAGCTGAGATCACGTCACTGCACTCCAGCTCAGGCAACAGAGCAAGACTTTGTCCCCCCCCAAAAAAAAAGATGTAAGTTAAGGTGAGGTCATACTAGAGTAGGGTGGCCCCTTCGTCCAATATGACTGGTGTCCTTTTAAGGGGACGGGAGCCAGTGGCACAGAGGAGAGACTGCCACGTGAAGACATGGGGCCGATAGCCCTGTGAGGACAGAGGCCGAGTTTGGAGCTGCGCATGGACCAGCTGAGAAGAGCCGAAGGTCGCCCGAAACCACCAGAAGCTGGGAGAGAGCGGGCACTGCAGACACTGCTGGCCTCTGGAACTATGAGAGAAATGTTGGTTGTTTTAAGCTGCTGAGTGTGTGAAAATTCATTACAGCAGCCACAGAAAACTACAAGGCCCCTCTCCCTGCCTGGGCTTCGTTTGCTGGTCTGGAGGGTAAGGGTGCCGGCCACACCATCCAGACACTTCTGGCCTTGCATGTGGGGCCTCCTCAGGGATTTGCCTGGACTCCCCCAGGTCTCAGCCGCCACTGAGGGCAAGTGGCGGGAGCCCCCGAAAGGCGCTGTGACCGCAAGGCTCACTCTCCAAGAGGCCTCTGCCTTCTGGGAGGCGCAGCTGCCCTGCACAGAGGACTGAGTCAGGGTCCACCAGAGAAGGCTGGCTTGAGCCTCTCCCCTGGTCTCAGCCCCTGCAGGCACTATCCGGCCTCAGAACTTGGGATATGGATGTGGTCAGGCCCTTTCTCCAGGTCAGTTTGGTCACACGTGTGCTCTGTTACACACAGAGTGTGTGCCATGGAAGAGGGACCTGTCCCTTCAGACAGAGCAGTTCTAGGCATACTTCTGGGCACTGGTGGCCCCAAGAGGAGTCATTCCCTGACCCTGTGGAACTCCCAGCTAAGCAAGACAGGCATGTTGAAATTCCAAGATCACATGGTAACTTTGTCAGTCGCTCCTGTTGTTTATATCAATCATAACATGTTAGATCTAGAAGAGGTAGAAAACACACACAAGCGGCCGGGTGCGGTGGCTCACGCCTGTAATCCTAGCACTTTGGGACGCCGAGGCGGGTGGATCACGAGGTCAGGAGATCGAGACCATCCTGGCTAACACGGTGAAACCCGGTCTCTACTAAAATACAAATAATTAGCTGGGCGTGGTAGCGGGCGCCTGTAGTCCCAGCTACTCGAGAGGCTGAGGCAGGAGAATGGCGTGAATCCGGGAGGCAGAGCTTGCAGTGAGCCGAGAGCAGGCCACTGCACTCCAGCCTGGGCGAGAGTGAGACTCCGTCTCAAAAAAAAAAAAAGAAAACACACACAAGCTGTAATAGTTAAGTGTCTTTGAAAACCAAATGACACAGTGCCCATATCAAACTGACTTAATGAAGGACAATGATTGGCTTCTGGAACAAAAGGGGGATGACTTCAGGAGAGGCTTGATCCAGCAGTTTGTCTGGAGACCCATTCCCTGCTTTCCCTCAGGGCTGGCCTTACGCTCAGCCTCCCCTGTGAGGTCCTGGGAGCAGCTCAGTCTTCCCTTAGGGCTGCAGGGGGGCAGTGCCACCCCTGGGCTTGTGTTTCCCTGCTGGGAATCCTAAGGAAGGGGGAAGCATTATCTTTTTCAGAAGCTCCAGAAAATGTCTCCTCAAGACTCAATGGCTCTATTTGATTTCTCACCCATCCATTAACTTGCTGCTCTTCTGGTGGGTGTGGATGTGCAGTTGGGTTTCAGCCTATGAAGACCTGGCCTGGAGCTGGGGATGGGTTCGGTCCCACTCAAACCACAGATCTGGGAATGGTGGTTCCCTGGAGCAAAGTCTGGGTGCTGTCAACACCAGGAGGGGGCATCCGTGGTGTCAAGAAGACCCAGAACTGTCTACTTAATGTGCCAAAGGAGGGAAGTAAGATCGGCTTTGGTGCCACCACCCAGGCGGCCGCCGTGGCATGGAGGCCTGTGCTTCCAGACCTGGGCAGTGCATGGAATGCTGATGGTGATTATGCGGATGCGCCGAGGGGATGATGGCGTTCCCTGAGTGATCACTGCACCCCAAGCTCGGTGCTCAGCAGTGCTTCACACACATTGAGCCATAGAATCCTCAGCACCCCAGAAAGAATTCAGTTATTGACAGAGATTTATGGAGCCCCCGTTCTGTGCTGGTCGTTGTCGTGAGTAGGAGATGGAGACGACTCCCCATCATGGGCTGTGTTCTTGCAGGATTTCCCCATGTTATAGGTGTGAACATTGAGGCCCAGAGAAATGAGGCCGCACAGCTGGAAAGCTGCAGATCCGAGATCCAACCCCAGGGCCTTTTACTCCAAAACGTGTGTGCTTAATGTGTGCCTATACATGCCGGTGAGTTTTCTTTTTAAACAGCTGGTCACCCTCAGATGTCCACTGCCGGCCTGTTTGGCTGCCCTTCTCCAGGCCAGCAGCCAAGACACAGTGCCGCCCGCAGGGGCAACCTACTGGGAGCCTCGAAACAGGTGGAGCTGGCGAAGCAGGGCCCTGAGCTGTGTGCGTGGGGCCTGGCTGCAAATGGCCCAATGAAGCCTCCGTGCATTTCCCTTTTTGAAGCTTGAGCCTTTTCTTCTCCATGAGGCTGACCCACCAGGCTGGCTTGGTCACACACTAGCTGTGCAGTCCTGGCTCAGTTACTTTACCTCTCTGGGCCTCGGTTTACTCATCTACAACAGGGGTCGGCAAACTACCACCCTCAGCCTGAATCCAGTCTGCTGCCTATTTTTGTAAATAAAGCTTTATTGGCACACAGCCATGCTCACTCATTCACAGAGCGGCTGCAGCTGCTTTTGCACAGGGCAAGAGAACCTGTGGCCCACAAAGCCTGAAGCCTCTCTCTGTGGCCCTTTCCAGAAAACCTGCCAATCCCTGACCTAGCAGATGGGATGATTGTGTGCGGGAGAGTGTAGGCTCTGGGAGGGCAGGGCTGTGTCTGTGGCTGCCACCAGAGTGTCCCCTCCCTGTCACCAACCCATGGGGTCGTTGCAAAACTCAGAGAGAAACTGTGTTCGGTGTTGAGCACAAGGCACACAGTGCGTGCTCAGTAACCTCCAGCTGCGATTCCTCCCGTGATTAAACAAAGGCAAGGAGGACTGCCTCGACAGGCTCAGAGGGCCCAGGGTCTGGAATAGGAGCTGATCCTCGGGTTAGACCACTCAGCTCTTAAAGTGGCTGCCGGTTGAGAGGCTTGTCTCAGCTGCCGCTAGGTGCAAATTAAAAGGATTAATGGACACCGCCGTCTTTGAAAGGCTCAAGGCCCACCGAAGCCCCTTCAGCAGAGGGCTCTGCATTCTCTCTTCCCCAGCCCTCCTTGTGTGCCCTCGTGAGTGGCGGTGACAATGCTCCCGGATGTGGGCCCCAAGGCCAGCGGCCCCAGAGCTGCCCGCCCACCCGTCCGCCTGCTATTGTCTGCTCAGGCCTGGCGGTGTGGCGCTGGGCTTGTGGGGCCCTGGCGGGCAGGGGACTGTGGGAACGGATTAGAGGTCCTGGGCTTGCTTTCCTCGTCTTGCATAAACTCTTGATCAAAGACATTCCTGGGATGACAGAGCCCTGTGAGCTGCGAGGCTGGCCCAGAGTGCGGGACGCACACCCCACGCTGCAGCCCCTGCACAGGCCTGCCCTTGCTGGCCCTCGCTGGCCCTGGCTGCAGTGCTGACTTTGGGGACTAGCCTTATGGTGGGACTGGTGATAGAGCGGGTGCCAGCAGGCAACACAGCCTTCCCCACCAGATTCAGAGGCCAGGCCCCCAATGCTGGGCAGAGCGAGGCTGTGACTGCTTCCTGGGGTGCTTCAAGGAGGGTCACGCTGCATGCAGGGTAGCCGGAGGGATTGCCGGATGCATGCCACTGCCACTGGACCTGGCTTCTCTGGACTCCCATGGGCAGTGCACCACCCTCTGCACAGCCCTAGCCACTGTTATCCCACAAGCGCGGTCCGAAGTCCACGTGCCCACTCTGCCCAGCCTCCTTCCTCTGTCCCCTCAGGGCCTTTCACTCCTTGTGACAACTCTAGGTGCTGTCTGGGCTCCTGGGGAACCCCCGACCCTTCCAGCCATGGAATCAGCTCCCGGCATGCGGGTCAGGCTGGACCCATGGCTCTGCACCTCAGCCCAGCAGCTTGGGGCTGCCCTGTAGGAGCCGACACGACCTCCCTTCCATTCGGCCCCCTTCCTAGGACCCACTGTATGCCAGGGTGGGGAGACGGAGGCAGAGAGAAATCTGGGAGATTTCCGTCCTGGAGGGGCTCAGCCAGAGCAGGAAGGTGCCCAGGCATGACAATCCCAGACTCCCAGAACCACCTGCCTGCTGTGGGGTGGGGAAGCCCTCAGAGAGCCCATCCTTACAGTCAGAGCAGAGATGAAGGTTCCTGTGGACCGAGGCGGTGGGCCAAGCGCAGAACAGGAAGCTGGATGCAGTCTGGTGTGTCAGGAGCTCCTGGGCAAAGACATCGAGCTTATTGGGGTCAAGGCTGGGGAGAGATGGGGCTGAGTCCCAGGGACCTTGGACGGAGCTGAAGGGAGATAGGAAGGCTGGGGGTTGGGGGCAGAGGATGAAGAATGGATGAGGACTGTCTGGCTGCAGGGAGATGGGCCAGGAGGCAGGGCAGGTAGGGGTGGCGGGCGTGTGAGGACAGGCTTCTGCGAAGGGGCTGCAGGGAGAGCTGACTGCGGAAGGCTTTGTCTCTGAAGTTCCTCAAAGGTCAGTTTTTACCATCACCCTCTGGGTAGCGCAGATACTCCAACAAGGGACGAGGTCTCCACTGAATCCCAGGAGGGGTTGCAGGCACAGAGGTGATGTCAGTGGAGTTTGAGAGTTGGGAACAAGGGCCTAGAGTGGCCAGACGATGCCTTTGATATGGTTTGGCTGTGTCCCCACCCAAATCTCATCTTGAATTGTAGCTCCCATAATTCCCACGTGTTGTGGGAGGGACCCGGTGGGAGGTGATTGAATCATGGGGCAGTTTCCCCTATACTGTTCCCATGGTGGTGAACAAGTCTCAGCAGATCTGATGGTTTTATAGGGGTTTCCCCTTTCACTTGAGTCTCATTCTCTCTTGCCTGCTGCCATGGAAGACGGGCCTTTCGCCTTCCGCCGTGATGGTGAGGCCTCCCAGCTACGTAGAACTGTGAGTCTATTAAACCTCTTTTTCTTTATAAATTACCCAGTCTCGGGTATGTCTTTGTTAGCAGTGTGAAAACGGACTGATACAGCCTTGGAGCTCGTGGCATAACCACGATGTATAGACCCACCCATCACTGGGGGATGTACAGAACCCCCCATCGTGGCACAGCCAGGGATGGGGGGTGTACAGACCCCCCCATCGTGGCACAGCCAGGGGTGAGGGGTGTACAGACACCCCCATTGTGGCACAGCCAGGGGTGGGGTGTGTACAGACCCACCCATCACGGGATGCCACAGATGCCGAGACAGAGAGAATGGGTTGTGGGAGAGCTTGCAACTGCTTCACTCTGGGCCCAAGCCCTCTCTACACACTTGGCTGTGAACCCACCTGACCCACCCAGGGCCCCGGCCCTGCCCTGCCACCCTGCCTGAGCCCCGCGCTCAGCTCCATCTCTCCCAGTAGACATGTCGCTGCCTTTTGGCTCTGCCAGACCTATCAGCCTACACATCCCTCTTTCATCTTAAAAAACCTTCCAAACACTAAAGTAGATCCCTAGACCCATGTGCTCCTCTCCCTGCATGGCAAAGTGGCTCTCCAGCTTCTTCCCCACATCCTTGCTCAAACCTAACAGGATCCGATGGCTCCCTTGCCTGCTCCGTGAAACAACCAAAGGTGCCCTGTGCGATGGTCGGAGCTCTCTGCACAGGCCTCCTGCTACACCCATGTGCTCTCGGGGGATGAATGTAAACCCAGCTGCAGGCCGGGGGTGGGGACATGGCTTCCCTAGGACCCCAGCCCTGACACAGGACCTGGCCATTGCCTGGAACTGGAGAGCCGCAATGGTGCAGACCTGGTCCCTGCCTTCAGAGTAATTTGCCCAGGAGCAAGGAGGAGCTGGGCCTTGTGAGCCACCCGAGTGGCCACCAGTGTCACCTCTGGCTCCGACTGTCCCTTGAGCTCTTTCTGATGTGACCTGTCAGGGGCACCTTGCAGGCTCCCCCACCCACTCAATATAGGACTCCCTCGAGGAAGGCTCCCGGAGCCCCCACCCTCAGGGGAGAGGCTGGTGGAGACCTACAGGGGCCAAGCGTTTCCCTCCACACCCCACCTTCCTCCCAGGGCAGGCGCCTGTGGAGCCAACACACCGACCACCCCGGCCCCACTGTTGAGCCCTGGGAGGAGTGCTCTACAAGGCAGGAAGGGTAGACAGCAGGTGCTTCATAAAGGCCACGGAGATTCAACCTGCAGCTGACAAGTAGCACCCATCGGTGGCTTGGGACCTGAGCTTCCACTTAGCTTGGGATGAGGACAAACCAGCCTCACAGATGGGTTCAGGAGCAGTGACCAAGGTCCGAGGACACCTTCCCAGGGCACTCCCACTACCTGCCTCCACCCTGGGGTTTGAAGTTAAGTCCAGTCACGTGCACCTGAAATCCAGAGGTGGGCGTCATGGGTGTCCTATAAGGCGGCCTCCAGGTCCCCACGATCCCAGTGAAAGGCCACCCCGGATCATGGCCCTGACACGGTGCTTTGCTCTCCCGGAGCCTGGCGTCGCCAAAGGACCATGATTCATCCAGAGCAAACAGCAGTTTGCGCCAGAAGAGGGTTAACGAATGCCGGCTTTATTTATTTTCCTATCTGCAAATAACCCGGGAAGACAAACTGGTGGGGCAAGGAAGAGGGGGAAGATGTTCCCCATCAATGGGCACCGCTCACGTCACCCAGGCCGGAGCTGTTGTCTCGCGTGGTTGGAGGTGGGCTCACCCAGCCAGGCAGCCTGCAAATTATTCTCTGGAGCCTCCCGGGGACAGGACACCGCCTCCCACCTCACACACCTGTGCTGAGGGCTTCCTCCCAGTTGGGAGGGGTGTGCCTGCTCCTGGCTGGATTCTGTCCCCACCCCCGGGGATGTGGCAGTGTCAGGAGACATTCTTGGTTGTCACGGCGGGTGGCGTGACTGTCATCCCGGGGATGGAGGTCAGGATGCTGCTGAACTTCCCACAGCGCACAGGACAGGCTGCGGCCTCCCACATCCGCCAAGCCTGCCACCCTGCCCTGGTTCTAGGGCACCAGGACACGCGTCCCTGGCTCACGGCCAGCCCAGGAAGCAAAGAGGCAGGCACCACGCTGGGGTTTTACCAGTTTTATTTCTAGACTTTCATGTTTGTCTTTTTGTCTTCTGCTGGAAACATGCCGGTTACATGTTGGTGCTGGGAAGCGCCGCGGTGCAACCAGAAATGCACAGACCCAGCCGCCCGCCGCCCAGACCCTCAGACTTGCGCGTCACAGGACAGACTCCGCTGTGCCCCGTGCACTTGCCACCAGCCTTTGGCCTCTCGATACACACAACATCCAGGACTTGTGCCCTTGCCCCATCACGACAGACAAAGCGTCCCTCAAGGCCCCCGCGTGGTTCAGACAGACGCCGCAGCCAGGATGGTTGAGGTAAGCGTGAGCCGTGTTCTGGAGGGGTGGGGCGGGGTGGGCCTGTGCCCGAGATGGCCTCCGAGCACAGGATGACCCTGCCAGGGCAGGGCCCCAACCACGTGGGCCCGCAGCGGGGTGCAAATTCTTTTGGTTCGGCAGCTTGCTAGGTGACCGGGGCACACAGCACTGTGAGCTGGCTTCATTGAGATTTGGAGTCTCTTTAAATTAGCATTATGGTGTAATTAACAAAACAATAACAAACAGAACACTAGTACATAACAGATTAAACATACCCAAAACTTGAACAAATTCCAGAAGCTATTCCAATCATCCCGAATGAGAGTCCTACAGGTACAACGCCGTGGTGGCACGTAAGACACACTTGTTATAATAATAATAATAATAATTATGCAACTTCCATAGCTACACGCAAAGAATAACACAGCTGTAAAAACTACTATGATGCTACGCCCCCGATCAGATGAAGTGCCCAGCATCACAGGCGCAGGGAAGAGAAGAGGGACACAGCCTGGTCTCTGGGGACACCGGCGCGGTTCTCACGCACGCGGCCTCGGGGCCGGCCCCCGCCAGCCTGTGTGGGATCGCGCCCGCGTGTCTGCCCGCCAAAGCAGGCAGAACCTGCCCGCTGGGTCCACCATGGCTAAGTGAAGCATGAGGTATTGTGAAACAGCAACCTTTTTGGAATAGAGCAGTAATCACATTAAGTCAAAATTGATCACATAAAAAAAAAAAAAACTACAAAAAAGGCATCTGTAATACAATGTTCTAAGAGAAAACTAAAACTAGTACATGGCAGTATATGACATTGTAAAACAAAAAACTGATCCTCCAATAGCAGCAAACAATGTGAAAGAGATACACAGAAGCGATGTGAATATTTCCAAACCGTGCCTGGAAGTCAACGGTAGCAGCGCAATAAGAAAATGGAGCTGCGGCCTGTCCCCGGTGTGGGCACCGCCCCTTCCCCTCGGGAGCCTCCTCCTCACACCTCCTCCCGCCTGTCCTCCCTCACACGTCAGCCTCCACACTCTTGCCACCTCCCTTCAACACTTCCTAAATAAAAATTACAAGAATTACATAGCCAAGATGTGCAAATTGTCTATTTTGTCACTAAGTTTTTTAAAGGAAGGGGCAGGGGATAAGAATTCATCGGAACCGAACTTAGGTTGAGTACCCTAATTTTCCTTGCACCCATGCCTGTCCAATCAGATGACTCTGGGAAACGCCAAACAGGCTGAATCAATGTCTTTGTGTGGTTTTTTTCTTCCAGATTGTTTTTTTCTCACCTATAAAAGGATCTATCTTTAAAAATAAACTGTATTAAATCTGTAACATCAAAGGCAGAAGGTTTGTGTGTGTGTGTGTGTGTGTGTGTATCTGTGTGTTTAAATCAAGGGGAGATTGCATTTATAAATCATACTGGCCTTATGAACATCCTCTGCAATAAATATACTTTTTAGCCTTAACTATAAATTATATATTTTAGTGTTTAAAAACCTTCCGGTGTGAAACATCTAAGATAACCCTTAAAAACCACCTGTTCTCTAGGTAAACCTCTGAGGTCCCTACTTTCAAACACCAGTTGGCACCAAAGGATTCCTAAACTTCAACTTCTTTAAAGAAAAGGAAAGGAACTTATCATCCTGGCAATGTGAGAATGCAAACCTTTTTCTTCTTGACTGGCACGCAGCCTCCCAAACACCCCACCTCCACTGCCACCACAGTGGCCCACACTTGCCTCAAAGTCCTGCTTGCAAACAAGTACATGGATATTCCCAAACCATTCCATTAGAAAACTGCCCTCCCTGCACACACAACAAAAACAGCGCTATTTCCTACACCTATTGGACTGAAAGTGCTTGGAAATGGAATGGTTTTAGAATATGAAGAAGAACACAAACCAAGTAGCTGTGGGTTGAACCTGGACGTGAGCTGGCTGCAGGGCCGTTGGGTAGAAAACCAGCATCTCATAAACAGGTCACTACAAAAATAGGAAGAGTATAAAAATAGAATATATTATGTCACTATTTCGTCTTCTCTTTATAGTAGCGTATCGTAGGAGTGGGACAGGTGGCCTTTCCCGACCCTGCTACGCTGGCTGGTGCCCGACAAACCTCCACTGGATGGTTTGTCACTGGATGGTTTGTTGGGGTGGTGGTCACAGGCGCAAAGGACATGCACACGGGCACGCTACGCTACTGTAACCAAGAGGTGACTTCAGCCATGAATAAGGTGAAGAGGTTACACATCTACCTACGGAATATAATAACATACAATGACTTATAAAGTGACTACATGCATATGAGCAAGCAAAGTACAGAGATGCCTAGAACCCCACTACAGCTGTGCTTTATCAGGAAAAGCACAAGAATATGTTTTTCTACCTAAAACCCTCTTCTACTTTAAAAATGGTTTGCTGAATTTTTCTATGTTTTTAAAATGTTTTTATGCTTTTTTTTAAACACGTAAAGGATGGAACCTAATCCTCTCCCGAGACGCCTCCTTTGTGTTAATGCCTATTCTTACAACAGAGAAACAAGTACATTAATATAAAAACGAGTTGATTATTGGGGTATAAAATCCTCTATCATCTGTAGCACAACCCTCCTCCCCCACCGCTCAGGGTTATGCAAATACTATTTTTTTTTTCTCTCTCTCTCTTTTAAAGACAGTTTTTGGGTAATCTTTTTCTTTTGCTTAAGTCAGAGATGGAAGGGGGAAAGAGCAAAGGAAAAAACAACCAACAACAAGGAGAATGAAGCTTTCCCTTCTGGTATCAAAATGCTCCGGAGAGGAGGGACTGTCAGGGGAGCACCTGGGGCCGGCTCCGCCCTCGCTGCGGGTGGCGGTGGCGCCCGCCTGCCTGGCGCCCTCAGATGTCCACGTCCCGCACGTCGGTGGGTGTGCAAGCCAGGTCCACCTCCTCCTCCTCCTCTTCCTCCTCCTCGGCGGCCTTGGGGTCCATGTTCTGCTGGGCCTGGCGCAGGCTTGACTCCAGCAGGGCTTCGATCTGCTCCTGGCAGGCCCGGAGGCAGTCCTGAGAGAGAGAGGGTGGGGAGAGGTGGGAAGAGGGGGTCCTTAGAAGGGGCCTGCAGCGAGGGCCCCTTCCCAGGTGCCATGACCCGGAAGCCTTTATAAGAGCAAGACTAAGCCAAAAACTGTCCCTCGGCCCATGCTGCCTCCTCTGAACCTGAGCGAGATGTGGGAGCTGCCATCACCTGTCAGGACACTCAGGACCAAATGCCTCCACCTCCCACCTGGTCTCTGGAGCCACAAGACACCAGATGCTTGCCCGCCCACCCTGCACACCCCCTGCCCGTCCCCATGTCCAACAGCGCCTTCACCGCCTGTTCCCACTGGCCGTGCCAGCTCCCTGGGGAATTCAGTGCCATCTGATCTGGACAGGAGGCCCTTTGAACCCTGCCTTTTCAGCCTTTTCAGACTTAACCTCTCCATGTGGCAGCCCTTGAGGTGAACCTGGCCTTCCATGATCAATGGCTGTCGAAGCCTTGGGCCGTGCATGACTGAGGATGAATGCTGGGTGGCCAGGGGGACCTGGACCATTGATCCCTCCCCTCCATCCTCTCCCGCTCAGGCCTGTGCCCCGGGGCCAGCCATCAGCCTGGCACAGCATGCATCCACCCACTGCGGCCACTGAGGTGCTCGCCCTCGGGTGGAGTGCGACGGACGCTCCTGGAAGTCCTGCACCTCCACCCTCTGGGGCTCCAGACTCCCTTGGCAGCGTCCACACCACACTGTCAGTGGGAAAGAGCAGCCGTGAAATCTGGAACGCCACGCCCAGCCAGGGGCCTCTCCTAGGCTCCACCACGGGCAAGTCCCACGCAGCCTGAAGTGGCTGCTTACTGCCCGGGGGCTTCTGGATGGAGAACCGGCTCCATGTGTTGGGGCTGTGTGTGTCCCAACTGCCAGGAAGCCACGCTAGGGCTTCAAGCCAAGTCTCTAGGCAGCCCAGGAAACAGACCTTCCACAAGGAGCAGGGCTGGGCCACAGCCCCACCACGTGCCGCACAGGTGCCACTTAACTCCCAACCAGAAGGGGCTGGACAAAGGCATAGCACGACAGGCGATGACCCAGGCCAGAACGACTTTTAGGTGGACCACTGAGGTCACGACATTTTAGCGCCTGTACCTTTATAGGGAGGGCTTTCCTCTCCCGCCCCTCAGATAAATTCTCATCATGGCAAATGAAGCTGGCCGGGCTGGCTGCACAAACAGTCCCACTGTACAGATGGGGAAACTGAGGCCAGAGGCCTGGGGTGAGATACAAGACTCCTGACGTTCAACCTAAAACACCAGCCAGCTTCAATTCTCAGCCCCAGGGGCCTGGCAGCTCCATCCAGGGATTCTTCACCTGCGGCCCGTCCCTCGCCCATGACCCACTCCAGGGTCACACATGCAGCTAGACTCCAGGACCTTCCTTCATTCCTCTGGCCCCACAGCTGCCTGCAAGGCTACCCCGGTGGACAAAGCTGTTCTCCCACAGCCAGAAGCTCCAAAAAGGCAGCACGCTCCTCCGCGAAAAGTCACTGGTGTGTGGCACTGCGCACCCGATTTGCACAGATGGACATTCCACCCACCAAAGAAAATTCTAGAACACGCCCTAGAAAATGCAGGGGCCTCTGCTGTGGACGGTTTTTCTGAGTCTGGGCTCAGCTACGTTGGTCACTAGCTGATCAGGCAGAGTGGACTCCGCCTCGGGTAACTTCACCCCGTGTGTCTGTCAGCTGTGAGACGTGTGCCTCCAATCTAGTTAAGATGGTCTCTACTCAAATAAGGGCCAGCGCCCAACTTCCCACAACTGCCCGAAGACAGCAACATCCCAGGGCAGTCACCCCTGGCGGGGAAGCGGTTTTCACTCAGGGCGTGGAGTTCGAAATGAAAAGTGCAGACGCGAGTTTCATTTTGATGGAGGGGCTTTCTCTTTGCTGGGCTTCTGGAGGCCTCGATGGTGTTTCTGAGCCATTTTCCTGAGAGAGCTGCGGGCTGCTGGCCTCCACCCTACAGCGGGTGAGGACACCTCACCACCCCCAAAGGATAACACGGGGCAGGGTGCAAGGGAGGCCATGGCCGAGAACACAGAAGGGAGGCCCCTGCCAACTTCGGTGTCCCACGGCAAAAAAGCTTCTTCCTCTTCCGAGACACACATGGGCTGGGCAGCCGCTACTCCCAGTGTCCCCGGGACAGAGGCACCACTAGGCAGGGGACAGGCAGGTGGACCCTAGATAGCATCTGCTGAGACCCGTGCGGAGTCCCCGGGAGGCTCGAGGGCAGACCACCAAGAGGCGGCCCAGGCCAGAGCCAAAACGGGTCTTGCAGGCCCACCCAGCCCCAAGCTGGGGTCAGGCGGTCACTCCCTCACACACCGCGGGGCCGGCGGCTGACCCGGCCACCTCTCTGGTCTAATTTGGTAAATGCCACAAACCCTTTTGATTGTCATTTTAATTCTTTCTTTAAGAAAAGACTCGGGAATAAAACAATGGCATTTTTAAGAAGAAAGACACAGTCATCCCAGGGTTTAACAGCAGCAGCCTCTCAAAGAGGCCGTAAACAACAAGGCTGTCTCTATCCGCCCGTTGTCCGGTGTCTCGGACCTCACAGGAGCCCTTTTCAAGCATCTATTTATTGGCCACGCACATTGTGGCCCAAACAAAGCTCGCCTGGGCCTAACCCCACACACCATCACCACACAGACCATTGGCTGGGGCCGCCTGGGGCCTCCGTCCCGGACGCTTCGCCCAGAAACTCTACGGCTCCTGGAAGCCCCAGGGGACGTGAGAAGGCTGTGAGGACCTCCCAGCCAGTCAGTAAGTTCTAGGAGCAGTGGAAGAAGCCGGTGCCCTGTCAGTCTGTGGCCTGGGGTCCGAGGGGCCCAGCCCCAGCCCCAACCTTGTCACCCTTGGGGGCCTTGGCACCAGCCTCGGCATTTCCGTGGCACTAGGTGTCTCCCCCTGTAAGCCCCGGCAAGGCTGCCTGGGACATCACCCTCACTTACCGGGTCACACTTGATCACTCTGGAGAGGAAGCGTGTGAGGCGGTAGTAGGACAGGAAGTTGTTGGGGCTCCTCAGGTTCAGGCCTTGCACTGCGGCCACCACGCTCCCCGCTGCCACCATGGAGGGCGGATTGGAAATGAACTTCACATCTGAGGCAGAAGGAGAGAGGGAAGGAGGCTGTGAGCAGGGGACCCTCTCAGGGCCCCCGTGATCCGGGCATCCCTGTGTGCTGGCTCTGAGCAAGCGGCCCGGCCTGAAGGGAAGCACTCGGTATCTGAGGCTCCACATCCAGGCCCTCCTCAGCCTCCAGCCATCCCTGGGCACTCGGAGAGCAAGAGCCTGGCCCACGGACCCTCCTGGAACGTCAGCCCCACTGTTGACTCAAACATAACCAAGGAAAGAGAAAGCCACGGGAAGACACAGGACAGGTGATGGGGACATCACTGCCTTCTCATCCTTTTAGCATCTTGAGCCTTGTGAATGTTATCACGTATTCACAAAAACAAAATTAGATGACGCAAATATGAGGACGTAGAGATGTCGCTTCTATGACCCTAACCCTCACCCCAAGTACCTGCCACCCCCCAGCAGCAGGGATTGCAGACAAGTCATATTCTGAAGGGACATCGCATGGCTGAAGCCTAGGCCTCCACCCGGGCCAGGCCACGGGGCTGCAGGGTACTGATGAAGCCATTCCGTGTCCCTTGAGGGGTAAGCCCTGGCCGGCAGCCTTCAGGGCGGCTGTGGTGTGGCTGCGGCTCAGGCCCTGGCGCCAGGAGAGCCCGGCTTGGCTCACTCGGGAAGGAAGAGCTCTTCCAGCAACCCATGCCCCTTACCATGGGACCATGACTGTCACAGTGACCTTCAGAGCACAGACCAAGTACACCCCAACTCCACCCGGGCCCTCTACTCACAACTCTCCTATTTCTGGCCGATGACAAAAACACTTTTCTGGGCCGTCTGATGTAGCCCAACAATTCCAGTGACTTCCCAAGTAAGGGAAGAGGTGTGGGGTTCCTAGCACCAGTCACCATGGGACACCCCTGGAGGACTGGGCCGGGAGCCGGGCCCCAGGAGGGAGCAGCTTTCCCAAGAGGGCACCAGTGCCCTCACCTGGGGCTTCCTGGGGACTGTCCCGCACATCTGGGCCCACTTCCAAGAGGGACACCAATCTAGGGCGGCCCATCAGCCTTTGTGGTCTGCACAAAACTCCCTCTGGTCACTGCCAGATACTGGGCTCATCCGCCTGCCAGGCTGCAGTAGTGGGCGTCTCGGGGCCTCTGTGACTGACCTCCTAGACAAACAGCAGACTGGCTCTTTCCACAGAGAGCCCTGCCACCAATTACGTCCTGGTTTGTGGCGGGGAATGCCGGCCTCCCCTCCTCAGGGCAGTCATGCGCCTACCGTGGACAGGTGGGCCAGTGTGGGATGTGCCTCTTGGCCTGGCCCCCACCCCAGCGGAGCCTGGGGGCAGCCTTTTGTCACACCCACGAGGAATTCTGCACAGGAACCAGGGGCCCTGGGCTGGGAGCCGGACGTCGGCAGGGATGAGTGTGGCATCTTTGTCGGCCCCATCGCCTCATCTCGCGCCACTGAGCGCCCGGGAACAAGGGGGGTCGGGGGAGCTGAATGGGAGCCGACCCAGGCACAAAGGGAGAGGGGCCCCCACGGGCCGCCAGGGGTGTGGCGGCCCATCCGAGACTTCATCCCGAGAGAATAAACAACTTCGGCCTTGTTAAAGAGAGGGCCGCCGGCGAGGGGCCGGGAAGAAAGGCAGCCACCCTGAAGGGGAGACAAAGCCGGCTGCTGGGCGCCGTAACAACTTAGAAAAAGAAATCCTTAACGAGCCGAGCCACCTCTTTTCCCCTTTAAATGGGAGCAGTTCCACCCAGTCTGAGAGCCGGGAGCCATGAATGAAAACCTTCTCATTGAGGCAAATCAGAACCGCACACAGAAACCGCTTCTGCAGGGAGCGACAGGTTCTAGCTGGCTCCGCACCTTGTGCACCCCCCCGTCTCCAGGGGCACACACAGCGTGGAGTCACTGGGGCCACGTTGTTTCAGAAGCTCGTGCCCCCACCCCAGTGTGTGGTGCTGTCTGTGCTTAGATTAGGAGCCACCCAGAATTAGACACCAAAGCTCCAGGATTTGACCCTATCCGCTGCCTGGTTGTAAAGGGAAGTGACAGCTGTCCCGGAAGCTCCTTGGCACTGGACGTTCCTCACCTGGCCTCCCACGGAGCCAAGGGCGCACCTGCCCTGAAACCCCCATGCGTGAGTGTATGCAGCATGTGCACACCTGCTGGGGACCTGGGGCCAGGAATGCCTAGTGCAGGGAGAACACCCAGCATCACCTTTAAATGTAACCTTTGCCACGTGGAGGGCAAAAACACCTTCCTAGACTCTTTCCCACGCCTCCACCTCCTTCAACCTGTTTCTGACTTTAAGCAGCCGTAAGTCACTCTTGTCTCCACAGATGTCCAGCAGGAACAAGGCACTGGCTGCTCAGTTACGTTCCATGGGGTGGCCACGGGTCAGGACCCGGAGCACTTTGCAGGGGTGGGTCCCCTGGTCTCCTGCCCCTCCCTCGGGACCCACCCTGGAGTGGACTCCACAGTCACTGAGAGCACGTGCACAGCTGGGTCCCCAAGTGTCCCTCCTCCTTCACCCACCGCTGGGGGCGCCTTCGCAGACAAAGGGTGTGCAGTAGTGGGAAGGACGAGAATCTGCACCTGCCCACTGCCTCCCACTAGCACCCAGGGGTCCTGGGAGGGGAGCTCCACTGCTGGAGCCACCCTGTAGGGAGGCTGTGCAAGAACCACGCCCCACGTTCTCTCCAGGAAACTTTGCATTTCTCTGAAGCCACTTTCAGCTCCATAAAAGGCTGTCTGGAGTCTCCGGAGGCCTCTCTCCTCTGAGGAGCACCAGCCAGAGAATGCCTCCCTGTCTGCCGCATGCCCCCCCACCCCAGACCCATCCAGACTGGTCGACATCCTTGGCATCTTCATCTGCCCACCTTGGGGACTCGCTTGGAAACGTGGGGGAGGGGTTCATGCCCCAAGCAGGTGGAGGAGGTGGGGGAGGCCTCACGCCTAAACCAGAACCCATTCTGGAATACCGGCTGCGGGCTACCGGTGTCAGAAGGGAGCTCTGAAGTAGGCTTGGGGGGCTCTGCCCTCTGGGGAGGGGAGAAGATGCTACTGCCTCTTTGATGCCCCGTGGGCCTTGTGGCCTAGGTCACCCAGAGTGAGCCCCCAAACAGATGTGACAACTGAGGCTTGACCAAAGGTGGGCCACAGCAGAGCTGGGTGGGATGGGGCCATGCTCCCCCATGAAGGTAACCAGGCCTCCTGGGCCAGGGAAGGAGGCGGTCACAGGGGGGTCAGAGGCAGGGCTGGGGACAGCAGGAGGCGGCACCCTGTGTATGTGCGAGTCTGTCCCCACTGGGTTCTGGGGCCAAGGCCATGTCAGGGAGGGGCCTCTGGGGCCATGCCAGGGGAAGTGAGGACTGGGTGCTTCTGCTGCCCACGGTGGCGGCCCAAGCTGAGAGTGCTCTGAAGCGCCCCCTCAGGGCTCAGCTGAGCCCGGCTGGCTGCCGGCACCCCTGGCAGGGCCTCAGGCAGCCGAGCTCCTCTGCTGGACACCCCTGCACTCGGCTGCCCAGAGCACGTGGTGCAGGCAGGCCGACAGCTCTCCCCGCCCCTGGAGGCGCCTCTGGCAGGTGGCCCAGCCTGGGAGAGGCCAGGAGGGGGCCTCTGCAGCTCAGGCTCCTTAAGGACACAAGAAGGGCTGGAGGTGGGTGGAGAAAGGAGGCGGCCCTGTGGCCAAGGTAAACCCCTTTCAGCATGGAGTGGCCACAGGCTGCCTGGCCTGAAGGACGAGGCCAGAGTAACGGGACACAGGCAGGCTGAGCCGTCCACACCAATGCCCAAGGTACTGCATGGTGGCCGTGAGGGAGCAAATCTCCCTCCATCCAGCGCGACAAACAATCCAGGGCCTCTGCTCACCAGAGCTGGAAGAGCGCTCTCCAGCGCAGGAGGGGGTCTGGGGACATCTTCCCAGACAGCACCCAGGTGGAGAGCAAGAAGCCGGCCAGGGTCACCTAAGGAGCCGGCTCTCAAGGGGAGGCCGGGGGCTGCCGGGCCTGCCCTACCTGTGGCACAGAGGGCAACGAAGGTCTGCGCGTGTTTGCGGATGATCTGTTTGTTCTCCTCCGCCTCTGGCATTTTGGAGAGGAAGTGTTCAATGAAATCGTGCGGGGTCATTGCGGCCAGGTTCCACTTGAGCTTGTTCACCAGGAGCAGCTCCATTTGCTGCGAACACAGGGTGAGCGGCCATCAGGGGAGGTGCGGGCCAGCCCGGGGGCGCGGGGAAGCCGGCAGCACGGGGGCCGGGCCACGCCGCACCTCCGGCTCAGAGCACTGGCCCCTGCGTCTCGTGCGGTCCTGGATGTTGGAGGGGAGGGCTGGCGAATGCTGGGGACTCAAGGGAGCTGGGGCAACACGCAATCCCAGATCAAAACAGAAAAGGCGCCCGCCGCGTGAAAAGACTCTGCAAGTGGAAACAAAAAGACCTCCCACCACCTGGAACTGGAGGCTCAGCGCCGAGCGCGGCGCTCCTCGTGCAGCCGCTGGAGGGCGCGCGCCGCCCACTTTTCGGCCACACCGCGGGGCGCGAACGCGGTGGGAGTCGCAGGCAAGCGCACACAGGGCGGCGGGACGAGGGCGGCTAGGATCCCGCCCGCTCCCCGGACAGGGACGCCCGGCGGCGGGGCCGCCCTCCCTCGGAGGAGCAGATATGTCAGAGGCGGGCCGGCCGCCACCGCCTGCACCTTCCCCGGCCCCGTGGTCCTGCGTGCGGCTCGCGGGGGGCGGGGGGCGGCGGGGTCCAGTGGTTACCAGCAGCTCCTCGGGCCGGATGGAGTTGTCGGTGTAGATGCACAGCTTCTCGGCCGTCAGGGGGATGGTCTCCTTCATCTTAGAGGCCACGAACATGCAAGTGGCCCCCAGCAGCTGCAGGCGGCTCTTTTTCACGGGCTCCAGCGACAGGAAGCGGTCCAGGTAGTTCATGGCCAGCGGGAAGACCTCCTCCTCGCACTTCTGTTCCTCGCAGACCTACGGAGGCACGGGGCCCGTGACCGCCGCCGCCAGGTCGCGCCGCCCCCCCGCACGCCCCCGCACCCCCCATCGCGCTTGGCAGGGCCGCCAGGTCTGGAGGGCGCCGAGGGGTCGGGGCTGGGGGCGGCAGGAGCTTCCCGTGATGCGCCCCCTCCCCCGCGCGTCCCCAGTACCCACCCTCCCCGAAACTGAAAGGGAAAGTCCCCGCGAGGCTGGCACGGTGGGGGCGGGAGCGGGCACAGCTGGGCGGCGTGCGCGGCGGCGCGGGCTGCCGGCCCCCGGGACCCTGGCCCGCCCTGGAGCTCCGTGGTCCCTCTGACTGGGGGTCGACACCAACTGGGGTGCGGGGCCGCGGAACGGGCCGCGGGGTTGGGCGCCGCGCCTGCGAGACACAAAGGTGGCGTCCCAGGCCGCCGCGCCGCATTTCCCCAGACGTCATCTTTTCAAAAAATATTTAAAAATATTAAAAAAATAACTAAGTGCATAAAAAAACCCTGAAAATGACCCTCGGGCGACCCTTTACCCAGGCCGGGGGTTGGGAGTTCGTTACAGGCTCCGGGGGGAGCCCCAGGAATTCAAACTCCGGGGCCCCCCCTTCCCCCTGGGCGCGGGCGGCGTTTCCCTCTCGCAAGGGCACCACGCCGCACTTTCAAAAATTATTTTAAAATACTTGCGGGCCCCTCAGGCGCCCACCGAAGGTCTGAAAATGTGCTCCCAGGCCCCCGGCTCGCTCGGAGAAGGTCCTCCAAGCCGATATCCCTGCAGACGGGGATCAAGCCCTGGCGTCTTGGGGGCCACGCGACCTTGCAGCTCGCCGTGCTCTCCGGCCCAGGCTGCCCGTTCGGGGCGCCCCGGGACTCGCTGCTTGAACAAAGGCCCCCCCTTCCCTAGCGGCGTCCCCCCAAAACTACCCATGCCGCGTCCCTGCGCCCCTCCCGCGGGCTCCCGGCAGCCGCGCGGCCCTTAGCTGCGGCCCCAGCGCCCGGCGGCCGCTCCCCGCCCCCACCCTGCCCCCAATTATTAATAAACACTTTTGCTTTGCAATAAAAGAGCAAAGATGGCGCATAATACTGGCACGAGCGGCCCTTGCATACGTGTCCATGGATATTAATTTAAAAATCAAATCTATGCCCCCTCCCCCCGGAGTTGGCGGCTCCCGGCCGCTGAGGCGCAGCCGGGCTGGGGCGCAGGCGGGGGACACAAAGCGCACCCAGCCTGCCAGCCCGCACCCTCGGGCCCATTGGGGTGCCCCTGGCACTGGCTTCTCCCGAAGGCACCCCTCCCGGACCCCCTTCTCCCCTCCCACGAAACGCTACTTCTAGCACCCCCACCCCCACCCCTTCCTCCTTCAGAAAATACCCGCAATTTTTATTTTGAAAATACGGATCCCTAGAAACACCACGGCAAACTTCAAAGTTCTAGCGGGAGAGAAGGGAGGGGGGTGAGTAGCAAAGAAACGTGGGTCTGGGCAACAAGTTGCAGGGAAGTCTTAAGAGAGCCGCCCGAAGCCCCGCACCTCCAGCATCCAGGTGGCGACGATCTTCCGCATGGACGGCAGGACCTCCTTCTGCACACATTTGAAGTAGGACACCGAGGGCGCGCAGGTCTCCTCCGCCTTCAGCATGGCCCGCAGCACCCGGTCGTTGAGGAGGTTGGCATCGGGGTACGCGCGGCGGATGGTTTCCACTTCGCAGCACAGGAGCTGGTGTTCCATGGCTGGGGCTCTTCCTGGGCAGCTGGGGAGGGCTGTGGGTCCTGGCTGGGTCCGCGCTCGGCTCTCGCTTCTGCTGCCCCGCGCTCCCTCGCGCTCTTCTGCCCCTCGCCGGAGCGTGCGGACTCTGCTGCTCGCTGCTACTGCGCCGACAGCCCTCTGGAGGCTCCAGGACTTTGCAACTTCAACAAAACTCCCCTGTAGTCCGTGTGACGTTACTGTTGTTAAGCAAAGATCAAAGCCCGGCAGAGAATGGGAGCGGGAGGGGGGCGGGGGCGGGCGCAGGGGGAGGGGGCGCGGGCGCCAAACGCCGGGAGCAGCGAGGGGCAGAGCCCAAAAGCCATCCCTGAGGCGCCGCGCCTGCCCTGCGGCGGAGTTGCCCCTGTAGTCCGGTTTTCATAGAAATGCAAATCGCCCCGCTGCAGCCTTTCTCCCCGCCAGGGAAGAGGGGTGCAGGGGGCCCCGTCCGCCTCGAGTGGGTCCCCCGGGATTTAGGGGGTGAGGTGGAGGTGGCTCTGCAGTAGGGGACAACTAGGAAGGCCGGCAGGCCACACGCAGCCTGGGGAGACCACGAGAAGGGGTGACTGGGGCGCGGCGACACCCCATATCCAAGCCGGCAGAATGGGCGCATTTCCAAGAACGCCACGAGGGCACCCACGGGCGGACAGACGGCCAAAGAATCTCAGCGACTGCATCTTCTTTCATTTTCATTAACACGTGTAAATTGCAAGAACTAATTTAGCATGCAAGGACGGGGAGGACCGGGCACACAACCCCTGTGCAAGTTTCATTCCGGCGCACAGGGGCGTCGTTGCAAATGCCCAAGGGGGTAACCCTAAAAGTTAAAGGGATTTCAGCTTAGCATGCGCTCGCTCAAAAAATAAAATAAAATAAATGCCCGAAAATTCCAGCAGCAGCCCAAGATGGTGGCCAGCATTTCCTTCATCTTGTCCTTCTAGCCTGGAGACTCTTCGGGCTGCCTTCCTACCTTGACCAGTCGGTCCTTGCGGGGGTCCCCAACTGCACCCCCTCCCTTCCCGTGCCGGCAATTTAACCGGGAGAAACACACCTCTGAATGGAAAGCTGAGAAACAGTGATCTCCATTCTGACTCATTTTTTTTAATTAAAAAAGAAATTAAATTGCTGGAAATATTAGTCCCCTCTGCCTGGGACAAGACCACCGAAGGTTCCTAATTGGTTTTGTTGGGGGTGTAGACGTCCCTTCACCTTTAGAATTTGCCCTGGGACTGAATTCGTGAGCGTGAGGGGGCTGGCAGGAGCCGGCATAATTCAGAACAATTATCAATTAAACAAACGAGTGTACTGATCTGATTTTTAGCAAAATCGATAGGTGTTCGTGGTTACATGAGAGGGTCCCCAATATTATCGCAAACTTAAGCAGATGTAAATTAAAATACACAGTTTTTAAAATTACAGGTTCTGTCTCTTTGGTGCATTAAAAAATAAAAGGACATTTTACTGTCTTAACTTTTGTTTTTATTTTTACAGTACCTGCCCCAAATTAAGAAAACTGTTCATTTACTTCCTTTTGAATATAGTTCAGTGTCATCAAACCACCGTACCCTCTTAACAGTAAAAGCTCAAAGAAAACTGATAGAAAAAGCCCTCTCCCCTTCGCCAGGGTGCTCACAGCAAGATGCGACCCCCCCCACCCCCACCTTTCAGGGTGAATTCCTCCCGCGCCCCCTCCCCCGCCGGGAATTAGGATTACTAATATTCCGGGTCCTGGGGGGGTAATTACCCCCGGATTCCGCATGGGGAGCGATGGGTTGCCCCAGCAGGGAGCACCTACGGTCGTGCCCCCCCCCACTCCCCGAGCACCCACAATCGCGTTGGCCCCCGCATAGCCAAGCCTCAGAGCATCAGCCCGCGCACAAGGGCGGCCCAGCTGCTTTTTCATTCATAAAATCCCGACCCGGCGGCCGCCTGGATGATTTATGGGGCCCGGAGCTATCACCCGGCCTCTCCCATCCCGTGGGGCGAGGGGCCCCGAGCCCCGCGTGCGCCCTGGCCCAGCCCGAGGCGCGAAGCGGGCCGAAGTCGGCTAGGGGCAGCAGGGCATAAAGAGGCTCGCCCACTCCGGCACAACCGGCTCTGGGTCCAGGAGGGAGCTTCACCCCCCCATCCCGGGCGCAAGACAGAGGAAACTGGAATTAGCATGAGCCAATGGGGGCGCGGCGCTGTTACTAGGCGGACCGGGCAGATCTCGACTAGGAACTTCGTTGATTTCCCGGCTCAGGGACGAGCGCAAAATTGCAAGCCCGGTTAGCGAGCGTAAAGAGCCGTCCAGGAACCCGCGGGGGAGGCGCTGGAATTTGGGGCCCGGCGCTGGAATTTGGGGCCCGGCGGGGAGCGCCAGCTGCCCAGCCCCCACCTGGGGGAACCCTGCTTGGCGGCCCCCGGGTCCCCCGAGGGGGCCAATACCTCTGGGCTTTTGAGGGTCATTGCTTCAAGAAGCGCAGAGAAAGCATTTTGATTTTATTTTTTCCAAAGAGAAAAGCAACTTTAAAAAACTTTTCGGTTGCAGTTTTACTTTACACTGTCTTCTTAAAACCCACCACGAAGCAGGAACTGCGGATTCTGGGCTCATTTAAAGTGCTCTGTTCTTATTTCTTGGTGACCATTTGGAGACAAAGGGCAAGTGGCCCAGTCGGGAGGGTAACCACGTTGTTTGAAAGAAAATCCAAAATTAACTGAAATCACCTTCACGCTTTCCTCGCCCCCTGGCCCCCGCCCCGGTGACCGCGGCCTGGGCGGATGGTCGGTCAGGAGAAAGCGAATTCCGCTGCAGGCGCGTGTTCGCCACCGTCCCTGGCTGTGGGAACCTTCATTCAGGCGGGGGAAGGGAGCGCGTTCATTCAGGAACCGGCGCGCCGCGACGCAGACCCCGGGACTCAGCGCGGCTGCGCGCCGCGGGGCTCGGGGCTTGGGTTGGGGGCGGGTGGTGCAGGGACCAGTCCCGACCTTTCGCCAGCGACCTCCCGCACCCGCTTTTCCACCAGGGCGGCTGGCGGGCGGGCGCACCCAGGTGGGGTCACCTGCAGCCGCATACCTGGCGGCGACTTGAAAGGACTTGGCTCAGGCTCCGCGAGTTTTCCATTGTTAAGCCCTTAAGTCGCCCGGGAAAACGCTTCCGAAAGCCGGCCCCTGGGCTCCGAAGGCGCTCGAGCTCCCCTTCCCCCCACACTGCTTGCTTTTGGGGTGCGCGTGGCGGCCCACGTGCTATGGCAGCTCTGCTTCGCTTACGTAGCGCCGATCCCAGGCGCCCCAAAACTGCGAGGTGGGCCGGGGCGAACTCCGGCCCCAGTGCCCACCCGAGACAGCCACACGCTCGGCACATGGACAGCCGCACCGCCCCCCCCATCGCCCCAACCGCAGACGTGCGTTTCCGCTCCAGATCAATTAGTTTCAGCCACACACAGACCACCCTGCCACCGCCCCTCCCGTGCCCCAGTCGTCTGTCCGGCGGGCTGCGGGGAAACGAGACCCCTCCCCTAGCTCCGAGGGCTGCCGGCAAGGTGTGCGCTGGAGTTAAAACGCAAACCCAACAGGTAGGGGGGCGGCCCTGGCTCCAACGACGCATCTGGGATCCCGAGGCTGAAGGCGCAACTCTTGAGGGTTAAAGGCGATTCTAATTCCTCGACTCCCGCCCCTCAAAACGCATCGGCTGGTACCCTGAGCAATATGAACCCCCAAATCCACCAGAGATTCCCTGGCCTTCCGGCCCCAGCCCCTCTCAGACCAAGTGGTGGGGAGTAGGCGCCCAGATCGAGAAGAAAACCACTTCCGACCACAGGAGAGAAAGCTGGCTGGGGGTGACCTCGGAGGTCACGTTCGGCCCTCTCCCCCGCAGTCAGGCCTGGCCGCGGCCCACCCGAGGCTGAGCAGACCCCCGCGTCGGACGGAGACGCAGGGCTTCGCTGCGGGACTCGCGGGGCCTAGGAAACCTGCGGCGGCGGCTCGCGGGAGCCGGTTTTCCGGCGGAGGATCCGCGCTGAGGCCCTCGTGGGCTCCCACGGCATGCCCCACTCCGGAACTTGCCGCGCCCTCCCCCGCCCTTTCCGGAAGACTGCGGGGAGGACCCCGCATCCCCGCGCCTCTCCAGCTCGCTCCTCAATGCCCTTGGAACGCTTGAAAGCGCTTCCATCCCTCGCTTTGGCACTTGGGGGTGGGTGGAGGGACAGCGGGGTCGTTATTACGGGGCGCCTTAGAGTTCTGGTTATCCGGACACTCAACAAGCAGGGGAGGGGAGGGAAAGGGAGTTTTTTTCCAGGTGCGGGGAAACGGGTTGCGTACCTAATGCCCCGCGCCCTTCCCCTGGGGTCCCTGGAGCCCGTGCCTTAAGGGCTGGGGGCAGGACTCGGATTCGGACCCCTTAGGGAATTCTGGGTCCTCAGGGTCTGAGGGACTGATGGGCCGCGCTCGGTCCCCAAGCCCCTTCTGTGTGTTCACGCGGGGCACGACTTGCCCAGCGAGTTCTGGGCGGCAGGGCCAGGGCCGGGGTGCGGCTGGGAGAGGTGAGGGGAGGAGGCGAGAGCGCGCGCCGCCGGACCCTGGGCCGTGGCTCGGGAACCGCGCGAGGCCGCGCCGCGCATTCCGCGCATTCCCGCCGGGCCTCGGTTCCACCGCCACGTGGTTGCCCTGCGTCCGCGTTTACCGTAAGGCTTAGAAAAAGCGCGCATTACGGTTCCGGAGCGCATGCGGACCTCCCAGGACGCTTAACTCGAGCACCAGTCCAGCTGTGGTGCCGAACATACTCCTTCCCTGCGGGTAGATAGGGGCTGCTTTTTTACGTAATAAGGCGGGTTGTACTGCTGGAGCGATAGCATGTTCATCTGTAAAGACGGGCAGGAAGGAGTGTGCTCGGCCCTACTGGAATCCGTAATAAGGCGACTGTCCGGCTGAAGAAAGTGACAGAACCGGGCCGTGACCATTCCACCTTCTCAGCGGTGGTAAAGCACCAAATAGCAGCTGCAGCCTTCCGATGGCGTCCAGTGCACTGTGGCTGGAAAGCTCGGAGCAAGAAGGTGCTTAACAAATAGGAAAACGTCCAGAAACTGCCTATAGCTACATTTTATTTTTTTTTTCTTGAGGGTCACTTTAAGATAAAGAATCTAGTGCATCCCTGGACCCTGAGGCCGACCTTAACCAACAGGATGCCTGCCTGGGCTCATGAGGTTCAGGGCATGATTGGGGCCCCCTGAGACACAGGCTAGGTTGTGTTGCCTCCCCAGGCTTGGATAAGTCAGAGGAATCCTTAGGCCCCTCCTGGACCATCTCGCTGAATCCTGACTTAGAGAGCTGTCTCTGCTATCCTATGGGAGAGAGACAGGTTATGTGCCCTAGGGTGGAGGGGGCTGCATTGGTCCCCATGCTTCTAGACACACTTCTAGCCCTGAGCAGCACCAGTTCACCCAGTCTAAGGGAAGCATGGCCATTTGCTTTGAGGTCCATCTCCTGTAGGGTTTGGAGAAAAAGCCTTCACTCACCACCCATCCTCATCTTCTCACTTCTATGAGGTGTTTCCTCCAGCCAACTTATAGTTTCACACACTTAATCTCAGGGAAATGCGTTTAATGGTAAGGAAACCGAGGCACAGAGAAACCAGGTGCCTTGTTCAGGTTCACAACATTGGCAACGGTGATGGTCTGTAGCCATTTCATGGACACTGTCAGAATAAATCCAGCTTGCTTAGAAGCTGGTAAAGATAAAAATCTACTTTTTCAAGAATTCATGCAAAGCCAAACCACTTTTTTTTCCCTCAAAATTTCAGGCAGGTGGCAGCCACATTTATGAAACTGAACAAGAATGTCACATACAGACCTACATCTGCCACTAGTTGTGTGGCCTTGGACAAATCTCTGTCCCCATCTGTAAAACGGGCTGTGATCGTTTTCTTCGCAAGGCCACGGTGAGGAGTAATTAAGGTAATATGTAGAAAGCATTTAGCACAGGGCCTGGTGAGTGTCAAGGCCTGCTCGATTTATTCATTCATGTATTTGTTCTTATGCAGGATGAAGGCCATGTGCCACACGCAGTATGTGGAATTAATTACACATTTCAGTTTATATGCAGAAAGAGGATTTTACAAATGACTTTATAATCTGTCAGCTTGCTTCTCTATGCTGACTTCTCCTGAGCTGTTTGTGGACATGAGATTTAAATCACGGAACAAACTTTTACATGAAAAAAAAAAAATAACCCCATGAATCCTTCCTTCTTTCTTCTCCCCTAACTCTTCTTTCTCTTACTCTGCAAAAGGAGTAGAAATGTTGATTTTAAAAAGAAGCACTTTAATTAAGGGCACAAGTGTCAATGCCAGGATGAGAGGCAGAGCCATAGGGAGGGTTTCTGCTGGCCCCAGAGGGTCGGTAGCCCAGGGCTCTGCCCTGTCTCTGGATGGACTGGCCAGGTTCCTGGCACCCATTGTGTAATAGGAGCCATTCTGCTCAAGCGGGAGGGGGCAGTCACAAGGGACGCTGGCCAAAGGTGTGGGTCAGTGAGTGTCACTGCTGGAAACAAAAAGACACGACTGTCAAGAAGCTGCCAAGGCCATGTGAGCTCAGGGCCTCGACACGGCCTGCCAGGCCAGCCTCTGCTCTTAGTATCTTGCTATAGGGAAGGGAGAGGGGGCTCCTGGGACCGCCAGCCTGGAAAGCATTCCTTGGGCCCCCAGGCTCTGAGCATTGGTTCTCTGCTGGCCCTCCGGGCTGCGGGTTGGTATACTTCCAGGCAAAGGCAAAGGAAGCCTGAGGCCTTCCCTTAGCTGCCTTGTCCTGGGCACATATATCGTTTACTCCCTCCCTTTTGAGTTATTGAAAAAAAAATCTCTGGAATCCCTTTTGTAGCATCCCAAGAGGGGAATTATAGCTGCAAGAAGGGAGCCACTGAAGGTTATTGAGGGCCAGGGGCGTGGGGCCGGAGCAGCTTGCTGGGAAGGTGAACCTGGGCTTCTCCAAAGGGAGACAGATCCTGGAGCTCCCTTGCCCCCCCAGGCCTCTGCCTTTTAGTTGTCATCTGATGAAGCCAAGCTTGGAATCCACCCACCCATGAATTCCCATGCGAGCTCCAAGGTGCTAGACAGAGGCTGTTTGGAAAGAAGAGATGAGAGATAACGACAGTAACTGGGGAGATGCAATGTAGGGGAGTCACGGGAGGAGGCAGCGAGTCACACTTCCAGGAGTAAGGGGTGGGCAGGGGAGAAACAGGGAGGAGATGGGAAAGTTAGGAGCCTCCACAGGGAAGCAGCCCTTCTCCCTAGACCCTGGCTGCTCCCTAGACCCCGGCTATTCTCTGGGCAAAGATACTGGTGAGCCCTGCTGGCGGTGATGGCGTGGCCCCCCGAGACGCTTACTGTGCTCTCCACCTGCCCTGCATCTTCACAGAGGGCATCTAATTCAATCTTCATGGCAGCTCCAAGGAGAGGCCCTTTATCCCCATTTTACAGATGAGGAAACCGAAGCCCAACACATCATTCAGCTGTGGTAGAGCTGAGATGCCTTCTCACTCTGACTCCAGAATGCAAGGAGAAAAACGGTAAACTCCAAAGCACCTAGAAATGGTAGGGTTCACCTTTTTATTTTTTTGAAACCACTTTATTGAAAAATAACTTACATACCGTAAAGTTCACTCGTTTAGAGTATATAGTTCGATGGATTTTGTTATGTTGGACAGCCACCATCACCATCTGAGAACATTTTCATCATCCGCCAAAGAAACCCTGTACCCATTTGTAGTTATTCACCCTTTTCTTCCCCCTTTTCCCCAGCCCCTGGCAACCACTAATCTTTCTCTGTGGATCTGCCTTTTCTGGACATTTCCAACAGATGGAATCATATGCTATGCAGCCTCTTGCATCTGGCTTTTTCCACTTAGCATCACGTTTTCAAGGCCCACATGTGGCATGTGTCCATGGTTCATTCCTCTTTATGGTTGAATACTATCAATCGTATTGATAGACCACATTTTGCTTATCCATTCATCAGTCAATGGGCCTTAGGATGGTTTCTACCTTTGGTTACTGTGGACAATGCTGCCGATGAACACAGAGGTACAAGTTTATGTGTGGATGCTGTTTTCATTTCTCTTTCACAAGGCTTATCATTTTTTTCCCCCTAGATACAGGGTCTTGCTCTGTTGCCCATGCTGGAGTGCAGTGGCACGATCATACCTTACTGTAGCCTTGACCTCCTGGTCTCAAGCAATCCTCCTGCCTTCGCCTCCCAAGTAGCTGGGACTATAGGCACTTGTCACGTCACCCAGCTAATTTTTTAATTTTTGTAAACATGGGGTCTCACTATGTTGCCCAGGCTGGTCTCAAACTCCTGGGCTCAAGTAATCCTCTGGCCTTGGCCTCCCAAAGTGCTGGGATTATAGGCATGAGCCACCACACCTGGCCTTAATTCTTCTTCTTATTATTATTAACCTATTTCCCCTTTGAGGAATAAAGTTTCTGTACTTTAAAAAAATAGAATTTTCCCACTTTTTGTCTATTATGAATAACACTGCTAAGATTTTATGTAAAATTTATTTTTGAAATAAACTTGACAGCATGATGTTATAAGATACATATACATAGTAAAATGGTTACCATAGTGAATTAGTGTAACATACCTGTCATCTCACATAGTTACTTTTTTTTGTGAACAGAGCAGCTAAAATCTGCTCACTTAACACAAATCTCTTGTTTCTGGACTTTCTATCCCGTTCCACTGGTCTCTTTTTCAGTCCTTACCCCAGAAGCATCATGGAAGCTATACGCTACGAATTCTTGATATCTGGCGGGCTAAATCCTCCAACCCACTTCTCTTTTATGGTTGCCCTGGCTACTCCTGGCCCTTGGGGCTCCATAAACATTTCAGAATCAACTTACACATGTGCACACACACAATGCTGGAATTTTGATTGGGATTGTATTGGATCTATAGATCAATTTTGAGGGAATTGACACTTTTACTAACAGAGTCATTCAATTCATGGGCATGATATAGACCTCTGTTTATTTAGATTGTCCTTAATTTAATTGCAGGTGTGTGTGTGTGAGTGTGTGTGTGTGTGTTGGGTGTTGTGCATCTTTTATTAGATTTCTTCTTAAGTACTTGATATTTTGATGTCATTATAAATAGTATTATTTATACATTTCATCTTTTTGGATCAAGATTTTGAATTGGGAGCTGGTGGTGGGAAGAATCAGAAAAGGTAGGAAATGTTTTCTAGTGTAGAACTGGGTGAGGCATTCAAGTTTATGAGCAGCAGTATCTGTGCTGCCCATCATAGAGCTGTGGGCTCTGGTGACAAGGTGGTGTGGGCCGCTGCAGTTTTACTGGAGGGTCTGGTGTTGGGATAGGTAGGGGTAGCCCTGGCTTCTCATCAGAGAAGATCTGCAGCATGCTTCCATTGTGATTCGTGCTGTCTTGCCTCCCTTGTTCCTGCCTATCTTCTGCATCTGATTTTCCTTTTCTGCTGAAATCTGCCAGCATTGGTTTCTGTTGCTTGGAACCAAACACTAGGATGAGGAGGACACCAAGACTGATCACTTTTGCAAGTTGCATAGAGACCCGTTACATCATTGACAATTATCCTATTTGCAAGAGATACCCTAGAGACAATCTCATGTTCAAGAAGAGGGGAATGGCAAATTAGGGTGTGTTCACTGGATGGAAAAACATTAAATGAAAAAAAGCAAGATACAAAAGATAAAACCAGCATAAATTCAGCAAAATAAATACATAGCTGGTTTGAAGGACATATAGCAAAAGAGTAGGAGCTGAGACTTGGGATGATTGGAGTGATTTTTCCCTTTTTTTTTTTTTTTTTTTTTTTTTTTTTTGTTGAGACAGAGGCTTGCTCTGTCTCCCAGGCTGGAGTGCAGTGGCGCGGTCTCAGCTCACTGCAAACTCCACCTCCTGGGTTCAAACGATTCTCCTGCCTCAGCCTCCCAAGTAGTTGGGATTAGAGGCATGCGCCACCATGCCCAGCTATTTTTCTTTTCTTTCTTTTTTTTCTTTTTTTTTTTTGTATTTTTAGTAGAGACGGGTTTCACCATGTTGGCCAGGCTGGTCTCGAACTCCTGACCTCAGGTGATCTGCCCGCCTCGGCCTCCCAAAGTGCTGGGATTACAGGCATGAACCACCACACCTGGCCAATTTTTTCCTTTTCTATACTCTGTTATGTACTTTCACATACTGTATTCTATTATGAACAAATACTACCTTTATAGTAGAGAAAAGAATCCAACCAGAAACAACTTCAAAAGACACCCAGGTATTTTCCAGGTCCCAGGCTCCCTGGCTCAGGGAACACCTGAGCCAAATCCCATGTGTTTTATTGGGCAGTAGCTACATGAGATTCTCTCCGTCATGGAGGGAGGAGCCCCTTGCCCAGCCCCCAGTTACCAGGCTCAGGAGGATCCTAAATTCCCCATGACCTCCTTTCCAGCAGGCAGTGGAATGGGAGGCTGGTGTTTCAGGTAGAGTTTAATTGGTCTGGTCCCAGGGCAGATGCTGCACGTAAATACAAAGGCAGGCCTTCGTGTCACTGGATGATGACAACTTAGGAGCACAGGAGGCCTGGATTCTGCCTCCTAAGATGCAGGGCATGGGCCGAAAGCAGGAGGAAATGGAAAGAGAAATGACAGTTATAGCATCAACATACAATGCTTTCGGCACAGGGCCGGTGGGGTGGCTGCTGAGTAAGAAGCAGTAAGGCAGCCGTGTTTTCCTTAGCATGAACTTTGACCACGCTACCTCTAAGAATTCATGAGGTCCTTGGGAGACGTGTGTGTCTGATCCAGCAGCAGCCTGCTGTCTACTAGGGCAAATCAGGACACTTTGAAGGCTGCTAGACCTCCAGAGTCTCCCTCAATTCCTCCCAGGAGCATTGTATTCACAGGTGGGAAAAGGCAGTGCTGCGGGATAGGGTTCTGGGTGGCAGGCATTGCTCAGTGCCCTTTGATATCTTTAATACTCTCCTTCTTCCATAGCAATAGAGTTTTTAACTGGGCACCTACTACTCAGCTAAAGACTACATTTCCCAGCATCCCTTGCAGCAGGGGATGGCCATGTGACTAAGTCCTAGCCAGTTGGCTGTGAGAGCAACTGCTGATTGAAACTCCTGGGTTGGGGCATTAAAAGGCAGGGGCATGCTATCCCCTTCTCCTTTTCCTCTTCCTGATGAGGCGCAAACATGGCAGTGACTTTTCTTGAATGATGTGGATGAGGAATGTCACATTGATGAGGGCCCTTTACTCAATTATAGAGTAGTGCCACCATACCAAGTTTTGTACATGAGAGGAAAAAATACATTATGCCTTATTTCAGCCACTTTGTATTCATGATATTGGCAGTGGGAGTGGTTTCCTTGAAGACAGGCAGAGATTGGAAGGGCAAGAGGCTTGAAGGGGGCAGTGCTCTAGATGAGAGGAAGAGACTTGGAATTGCCCACGCTGGGTCTTAGGGCACAGGGACAGGGATGAGGGGGCCCTGTGCAGGGCTGAACTTCCTGTGGTGCTTCCCAGGAATGATGGGCAGTGACTCAAATTGTGGAACTTAACTTGTTCCCTTCCACACTATGATTCCCTTAGCTCTCTTAGCCCTCAGTGAGGCCTGTCCTCTGCCATGAAGATTAAGAAGCAAGAACAGTGATGCCACAGAGACACAGTCAATGGCAAAGTGGTAGTGGCCCTTAGTGGGGTCAGGATTTTCGGGGAGGAGCAGGAAGTCTGAGAGCAGAGCTGCCAGGGGAGAAATCAGCTTTGCTGGAAAGGGAAGGAAGTTGGAGAGGAGAATGGGTCACGGGTGGGGGGGTGCGGGGGGTTATTTTCTTTTCAACGGGAGAAATAGCAGCAGACTTGTTTGTTGAATGGGAACATTCCAGGAGAAAGGGAAAATGATGCAGGGGAGAGGCAAACATTGCAAAGCCCTTCAGGAGGCTGTGGGGCGGGGCCCGGTGCACAGGCAGAGAACTGGCTCTGGCTGGGAACATGAATGGTTTGTCTGCATTCATGGAAGAGACAGGAGAGTCAGTGGTCATAAATGCTGGGATGGGGGCTTCTGGGAGTGTGGGGCGTGTATGAGGACAAAGTACCCAGACAAGGAGAAAAGTCCCAGTTCTGAGGGATGAAGCGGGACCCAGGCTGAGCCACAGCAGTAGCAAGGGACAAAGGAGGTCCAACAAGGGCTAATGATGAAAGAGGAGACAGAAAAGCTGGAGAGTTTTTATTTTACACTTTTTTGCATTTTTCAGTGCTGATCATGAATTTTTTGTGTTTTTCAATGCTGATCATGAATTTTTTTTTAATAACAAAAAAGAACTATAAAATAAGCTCTGATTTTAAAAGTTGTGGCAGACGGTCTCTAGAATGGCACCCAGTAGTCCTGTCTCCTGACACTCGTGCCCTTGTGCAATCCCGTGCTCCTTGAGTGTGGGTGAGGCCTGTGACTTCCAAGGAAATGTGATGAGACATCCCTTCCAAGACCGGGTTCTGAAAAGGCTGTGCTGTCTGCCTTGCTGGCGGTCTTGGAGCCCTTGCCCTTGGAGAAGCCAGCTGCTATGTTGTGAGTTGTCCTCTGGGTTGTCCACATGGCCAGGAACTGCAGTCCCCAGCCCACAGCCAGCAAGGCCTTGCAGGCTGCTGACAGCCACGGGTGTGAGCCTGTAAGTCCACCCTTGAGATGGCTCCAGCCCCCCAAGAGCCCTTTATTGCAGCCTGTGAGAGACCCTGAGCCAGGGGACCAAGCTAAGCCCCACGCCGATTCCTGACCCACATCACCTAGGTGATAACAAATGGGCATTGTTTTAAACAACATTTTGGGGCAGCTTGTTACACAGCAATGAATAACTAATACAAAAGGAGAGGCATGTTTCCAGCTCCTGATTCAGTCCTTTCATTTCTAAGCAAGCATACAGGCCTGTCCTCCTCCTTGCCTCCCGGGTCTGCCGATGGATTACAGCCCAGCCAAGCAAGGCTGTGCGGTGATGACATGTGCGGCTCTGGGGCCAGACCCTGGGCTTCCAGTCTTAGCTCTGCTGCTTGCTGGCTGTGTGGTCTTAATTGAGTTGCTTTCTCCATGTGCCTTGTTTTACTTCCCTGTAAAATGGGGTGATAACAATGGGAGGACTTAACAAGTCAATTCCTGTAAAGTGCCCTGACCTAGGGCCTTCACATAGCTGGTGCTGAAGGTGTCAGCTGCTGTTACGCTCATCACACAGCTTGACGTCGGGCCTGTGAAGCTTGCTGTATGTCACCATTCCCTTTGCCCACCCGCCTGGCAGGCTACACTCAAGGACTTCTCTCACGATGCTACTCTGCACTCAGGCACCCTCAGTGGCTCCCCGGGGAATCCTGAAGGTGTTCTAAAATCACTACCTGGCGTTCCAAGACCCTCTTCACCCAAGTCAACTTTTCCCCACCCCCGGGGGCCTACCACACCTCTTTTCCAGCCCATGGGACTCAGCTGTTCTTGTAGTGGTGCCCCTGCCCCCAAGTGCACGGCACCTGGACCTTCAACACAAGACCCCACCGCGGTCCCACCTCGCCACATTGCAACCAGCTGCGCACAGCCGCCACCCACACCTGCCGACGTGTCTCAGGCACCATACGTGTTGCTCTACGGAAGAGTGACTTCCTCCAGAGTCTGTGACCACCCATTCCCTCCCACTGCCATCCTGGGCTCTCTAGGAGCTCAGGAGAGGGAGGGATCCCACGTGGCTTCTCTTTGGAGAAGGCGGGCTGGCTTGAGATTTGAAGCAGGCGTGGAGTGCCAGGAGGTAGGGGGTCTGTCTGCAAAGGCAGCTCGTGAGAAGTCATGAAAACACCGAGATCATGTACTTCCAGCTTCTCATGCTAAGATGCCCAACTCGAGCACCATGGCTGGATGGAGCCGGACTCCCAGGGAGCCTCAGCCCAGGCGGAGGCTCAGCAGGCAGCTCTCTGCTGCTTTCTGTATTTAGTCGTCGTTGTTTTCGCTGTTGTGGGCTTTTTTTTGTGTTTTGTTTTTTGTTTTGCCATAGAACCTTGACTGGCAATACACAAACCTCCTCAAAAGAACATGAAAAGGAAAATTAGAGGGAGACTGCTGAGGTACTTTGCACAATTGGAAAAATCAGCATTCTCCCTGTTGCAGAGTTCACCGGCACATCCACTCAACTCTGATTAAGGGGCCTTGGTGTTTGTGGGGGCGTTCGGCAAGAGGCCTCTGATTGGGAGACAATTTTGTGGCTTCAGCCTGTAACTTGGGTGCAAGGGATCAGGCACAGTTAATGTGATAACCTTGCAAACCTCTGCTTGTGACCGAAGTGCCTGGCCACCACGAGCCATCATTAAAGACATGCTGCAAACACTCCTGAGGCTGGGAAGGGCCAGGAAGGTGGCACTCTGGAAGGCAGTTGGGAAGAGCCCTTTTATGGCTGGTGTTGGGAGTTTGGAGATAAAAGTCACTGGTCATGTTTATCATCTAGTTCTTTTTTTTTTTTTCTGAGATGGAGTCTTGCTTTGTCACCCAGGCTGGAGTGCAATGGCGTGATCTTGGCTCACTGCAACTTCCACCTCCTGGGTTCAAGCGATTCTTCTGCCTCAGCCTCCCAAGTAGCTGAGATTATAGGCACCTGCCACCGCACCCAGCTGATTTTTGTGTTTTTAGTAGAGATAGGGTTTCACCAGGTTGGCCAGGCTGGTCTCGAACTCCTGACCTCAGGTGATCCACCTGCCTTGGCCTCCCAAAGTGCTGGGATTACAGGCATGAGCCACCGCACCCGGCTATCTTCTAGTTCTAAATGCACCCTGCTATTGAGTTTCATATTTGCTAGATATCAGTGTTTGATATTATCCATGCCCTAGACCAGGGGTGTCCCATTCTTTGGCTTCCCTGGGCCTCTTTGGAAGAAGAATTGTCTTGGGTCACATATAAAATGCACTAACATTAACATAGCTGATAAGCTAAAAAAATCCCCCCAAAATCTCATAGTGTTTGAAGAAAGTTTACGAATTTGTGTTGGGTCACATTCAAAGCCATCCTGGGCCGCATGAGGCCTGTGGGCCGTGGGTTGGACAGGCTTGCCCTAGACTATAAATGTTTTGAGGCAGGAGGGAAACCACGTGTGTCCTGGGGTACTGTCCACTGTAGGAGCTTTGCACAGATGTGTTGGACCAAGGAATGAAGGAATGAATGGACAGAAGTGTTTAAAAACATGTTTTGGGCTTGAAGAGTGATGGCCATTCCAGGTAGGGTGATGGCCCCAAGAAACCTTCCTGAGTACCAGGGTCATTTGAATGTTACCAGGAACACATGGGTTCTTTTTGGCTAATGACTGCTTTTGTGCATTTTTCTGGATTCCTAAATCACCGAGATCAGAAGGCTACTGAGAAGACAAACTCTGTGTGTGTGTGTCTGTGTGTGTGCACGTGTGTGTGTGTGTGAGAGAGAGAGAGAGAGAAATGTGGAAAATCAGGAGGGGTGGGGTGGAAGCAGGATAGCGTGAGGGAGGGAGGGATGGAGTAGTGGGGTGGGGTAGGGGAGGGATAAATAATATCCACAGCCGAGGCTTCCTACCCCCTCTCTGCTCCTGCAGGGTACACCTGGGCTCGCATTCAGCACAGTGTCTTTGCGAGCGTATGCTACACGTTGGTGTCCGTGGAGTCTTTGAGGCTCTGATTTTATACGATATTTCTTTGGTTCAACTCCTCCCAACCCGTTGTGACCAATATGGGCTGAATTCCTGCTGCCCCTCCATTTGGCTGGGAGGAGACTGGAAACTTTGAAACAGAAATGCGTCCTAGGAAATTGAAGGCAACCAAACCAACAGAATGTAAGAATGAATAAGACATGAAGGAGTTTATACAGCGCAAATTCCTTGTCCTAACTTTAAGATCGAAGCAGGGGTCAGTTAGCTGAGCTGATACCATTGATGGGAAACCAAGCTCCAGCTTCTTCCTCTTTCTAAAGGTTAGCAAAGATACACAAACATCCAGCACTAAATATACTTTCCGGTTTGACTTCGGGCATGTGATTCTTGATAGCATCTCTGGGCTAGATGATAATGGAGTTCGGTGGGTTTTCCCAATTAAACAGGGACCATTGAGCAGTGGCCGCCAAGGAAATGGGTCTCTAGTGACAAGCCACAGGGCTCTCTGTTACTGTTCAACTCTCTGCTCAGTGACTTAAGTAAGAAGTCTACAAAGCCTGCTTATCTAACTGTCAAACAAGAGAGAACTTACACTCAAAGGACTGTTACTAAATGCAGATGAATTGGATAAACTTTCCTCGGCTGGCAAAAATCCAGGTTGTTTCAGAGATTTTACTTATACCAATAACATCTTAATACAAAATGCCTTTCTCGGCTGGGCATGGTGGCTCACGCCTATAATCCCGGCACTTTGGGAGACCAAGGTGGGTGGATCACGAGGTCAGGAGATGGAGACCATCCTGGCCAACATGATGAAACCCCGTCTCTACTAAAATACAAAAAATAAAAATAAATTAGCCTGGCGTAGTGGTGCACGCCTGTAATCCCAGCTACTCGGGAGGCTGAGGCAGGGGAATCGCTTGAACCCGGGTGGCAGAGGTTGCAGTGAGCTGAGATCATGCCACTGCACTCCAGCCTGGCGACAGAGCGAGACTCAGTCTCAAAAACAAACAAACAAAACCCCAAATACTTTTCTTATTCTCAGTCTGATTGCCAGCAGCCTAATGCTCTGTGAGCTGTTAATAAAGTTACCATGACAAAGATTCTGGGGTCAAATTAATTGAGTAAATGGTACATAGTTTTGGAGATCCACAATGCACATTAGCAGGTAAAAGGCACTGACAAGTCCTGAAATATAGAAATATCTGTGTTTGCAATCACAATACTCTTTCTATATAATATCTATCAACATCCTTTGGAAGTATTCCAGAAATATTACTTGGAAGATGCTGCCCAGAACATATTTTCCAAAGTGATACAAAAAGGTATAAATAGTTTGTCTTTTTTTTTCCTCAAGAGCCAAGAAGGGCTGTCAGAATATTCTCGAGAAACAAAACCAAATTATAGCAGGCACCTCAAACAATGTGGAAACCTGTTTCCCTTTAGTCCTCACAACACAGGTTTTGCTTCCTTCAGCTGGTTCGCAGGTGTCTAACGATTTTCGTATTGTTTTGAGTTGTATTTTCTTGAATTGCTAGTGACGCTCTGCATTTTTTTCATGGGATGCTTTGTTGTCCAAATTTTTCCTGGTGTATAAATTGCATTTTTTTCTTCTCTGATCACTCATTAACTTGAAACTGGATCTTGAGCTTGCATATTTCACAGCAATACTTCATATATCTGGACAGTTACCTTTTTACTTACATTTATTACACATTTTCCAATGCTGTTGTTCTAATTGTGTTTTATTGTGCCTATGATTCTGTAAGGAGTTCACAACTTTTCTTTTCTTTTTTTTTTTTTTGAGACAGAGTCTTGCTCTGTCACCCCAGGCTGGAGTGCAGTGGCCCGGTCTCGGCTCACTGCAACCTCCGCCTCCTGGTTTCAAGCGATTCTCCTGCTTCAGCCTCCAGAGTAGCTTGGATTACGGGTACCTGCCACCATGCCCAGCTAATTTTTGTATTTTTAGTAGAGATGGGGGTTTCACCATGTTGGGCAGACTGGTGTTGAACTCCTGACCTTAAGTTATCGGCCTGCCTCAGCCTCCCAAAATGCAGGGATTATAGATGTGAGCCACTGCGCCCGGCCCTAGGAGTTCACAACTTTTTAAAGATGCTCAACAGACCCCCATCTTGTCTCTAATAAGATGTTTCCGTTTCTTTAGTCAGAGTTTGTTTCCTTTACACAGATGGGCAAAAAATGTGATTTTATTTTCTTCTAGCTTGTTAAAATAAATAAAAAAAATAAAAAGAATGTTTTCTCATCACACAAATAATACATGTTTATTATAGAAAAAATAAAAATAATTAAAAATAAGGGGTCCAGGTGTGGTGGTTCACGCCTGTAATCCCAGCACTTTGGGAGGCTGAGGCGGGCAGATCACCTGAAGTCAGGAGTTTGAGACCAGCCTGGCCAACATAGTGAAACCCCAACTCTACTAAAATTACAAAAAATAGCTGGGCTTGGTGGCCGGCACCTGTAGTCCCAGTTACTCAGGAGGCTGAGGCAGGGAATTGCTGGAGCCCAGAAGGCAGAGGTTGCAGTGAGCCAAGATCATGTCATTGCATTCCAGCCTGGGTGACAAGAGCGAGACTCTGTCTCAAAAATGAATAAATGAATAAATAAATAAATAAATAAATAAATAAATAAATAAATAAATGGAAAAAAGCACCTGAAATCTCGCTACTCAGACAGTATCGGTAATATTTTTTGTAGATCTTTTCAGACTTCTCTCAATGTTTAAATATAACAAATTAAATTTTTTCCCCAGGATGAGTAAATTCTGGATCTCTCTTGTACCACATGGTGACTAGAGTTAGTAATAATGTATCACATACTTGACAATTGCTAAGAGAGATCTTAAATGTTCTCACCGCAAAAGACAAAATGGTTAACTCTGTGAGGGGATGGATATGTTAATTAGCTTCATGTCAATGATACCTCAATAAAGCTAGAACAATTTTAAGTAAAAATGTAAAATAATATAGTGGGCCGGGCGCTGTGGCTCACATCTGTGATCCCAGCGCTTTGGGAGGCTGAGGTGGGAGGATCACTTGAGCCCAGGAGTTTGAGACCAGCCCGGGCAACATGGTGAGACCTTGTCTCTACAAAAAGTCAAAAAATTAGCCAGGCATAGTGGTGCGTGCCTGTGGTCCCAGTCACTCGGGAGGCTGAGAGTAGGAGGATCACTTGAGCGTTGGAGGTGAGCCATGATCATGCCACTGCACTCCTGCCTGGGCGACAGAGTGGGACCTTGTCTCAAAACCTAAATAAGTAAATGAGTAAATAAAAAGAGGAATTTGGGGATTTCTCAATCAATTCATTACATTCCTAAAAGTAACAGTGAAAAATCATTTGGCCTTTACTAAATGGTGTGTAGGAAAAACAGCTCTCTGGAAAGAAAAGCCCTGATTGGTGCATTTGTTGACTGCTTGATGGAAATACCCACACTGTGGCCACTTTCCTTCCTTCCTTCCTTCCTTCCTTCCTTCCTTCCTTCCTTCCTTCCTTCCTTCCTTCCGTCCTTCCTTCCTTCCTTCCTCCCTCCCTCCCTCCCTCCCTCCCTCCTTCCTTCCTTCCTTCCCTTTCTTTTTTATGGAGTCTCGCTCTGCTGCCAGGCTGGAGTGCAGTGGCGCAATCTGGGCTCACTGCAACCTCCACCTTCCGGGTTCAAGGGATTCTCCTGCCTCAGTCTCCCAAGTAGCTGGGACTACAGGCACACGCCACCACGCCCAGCTAATTTTTGTACCTTAGTAGAGACAGAGTTTCACCATGTTGGCCAGGATGGTCTCCATCTCTTGACCTCGTGATCTGCCCGCCTCGGCCTCCCAAAGTGCTGGGATTACAGGCGTGAGCCACTGTGCCTGGCCACTGTGGCCACTTTCAAGCTATACATGACTTAACAAATGGCTGGCAAATTTTCTGAATATTTAAGAGTTGTCTCTTGCCAGCTGGCAGGGATAAATTTTTCATCTTTATTATGCTGCTTCTTCCTAACAGGAGCGGGAAAAATTCTGTTTTTTATTTATCTTCCTTTATTTCTCCTATTAGGGTCTCACAATGCCCTTTGGGTAAGCATCTTATGTCGCCAATTAAATGGATATACAATTATTTGATTTTTAAATTGCTCTTGAATTCTCTTTTATTTTACATGCATTTTCTAGTTGCATTATATTCATGTAAGATGCACTTGATTAAATGTCTTCTTATGTATCTTCTGGAAGTAATTTACTGGTACTTTTGGTTGCTTTCCTAGGTTTATAATCATGGCTAAAAGACAATTCACATTTTAATGTCTTCTATTCTTATATTTACATGTTATTTCTTTTTCTTATTGATAGCTTTTGCCAGTGTTTCTAGTTTTAATTTAGTTTTATATTAAAATAGGAGTGGTAACCAGACAAGCGAGAGCATGTCCAGATTTTTAGTGCTAATGACTTTCTATTCCTTAAGCAATAATTGGCCTTTTTTTTTTTTTTTAAAGAGCTAGGGTTTTGCTATGCTGCCCAGGCTGGACTGCAGTAGCTGTCTACATGCATGATCATAGCTCACTGTGCAGCCTTGAATTCCTAAGCTTAGTTCATCTCCCTGCCTCAGCCTTCTGAGTAGCTGGGACTACAGGCACACACCACTGTGCCTGGTGGCTTTTGGTTTTAAATCCATAATCTTGGCCAGGTGCAGTGGCTCATGCCTGTAATCTCAGCATTTTAGCAGGCTGAGGAGGGAGGATTGCTTAAGCCCAGGAGTTTAAGAACAGCTTGGGCAACATGGCAAAAACCTGTCTCTACACAAAATGCAAACACTTAGCCGACTGTGGTAGAGTGCACCTGTAGTCCCAGCTACTCATGAGACTTGAGGTGGGAAGATTGCCTGAGCCTGGGGAGGTAGAGGCTGCAGTGAGCCAAGATTGTGCCACTGCACTCCAGCCTGAGTGACAGAGCAAGACCCTGTCTCAAAAAATAAAAAATAAAATTCCATAATCTTTATCATATTTAGAATAAAACCTGTCCCACAAATTTGTAGTGACTTTTTTTCAAATGCCTCCTTGATATTTATTGAGATAATTAAATGGACCTTGCTATTTCTCATGCTAATATGATAAATCATGTAAATCATTTTCCTGCTTGAATGCCACCGATATAGTCTTGGGATAAACTCTTCTTGGTTGCTATAGACCCTTTTTTTTTTTTTTTTAACTGGCAAGAGTCTCTGCTTGTATTTGGAATTTTAAGATAAACCTTTTATTCTGAAATAATTTTTATTTTTTTGAGACAGAATCTCGCTTGTCGCCCAGGGCCCAGGCTAGGGTGCAATGGTGTGATCTCGGCTCACTGCAACCTCCACCTCCCAGGTTCAAGAGAGTATCCTGCCTCAGCCTCCCAACTAACTGGGATTACAGGCATGTGCCACTGCACCCAGCTAATTTTTGTATTTTTAGTAGAGACGAGGTTTCACCATGTTGGTCAGGCTGGTCTTGAACTCCTGACCTCAGGTGATCTGCCCGCCTCGGCCTCTGAAAGTGCTGGGATTACAGGTGTGAGCCGCCATGCCCAGCCAATTCTGGAATAATTTTTGATAGTACAGAGTTCCCATATACCTCTCACCTGGTTTCTCCTATTGTTAACATCTCACATAACCACAGTACATTTGCCAAAGCTAAGAAACCAACACTGATATATTACTGTTTGATATAGTTTAGCTCTGTGCCCCCACCCAACTCTCACCTTGAATTGTAATAATCTCCACATGTCAAGGGTGGGGCCAGGTGGAGATAATTGGATCATAGAGGTGGTTTCCACCATGCTGTTCTCATGAGAGCGAGTGACTTCTTGTGAGATCTGATGGTTTTATCAGGGATTTCTTCTTCCACTCAGCACTCATTCTCTCTCCTGCTGCCCTGTGAAGAGGTTTCTTTTGCCATGATTGTAAGTTTCCTTAGGCCTCCCCAGCCATGCAGAACTGTGAGTCAATTAAACCTCTTTTCTTTATAAATGACCCACTCTTTGGTATTTCTTCATAGCAGTGTGAGAATGGACTAATGCACTGTTCATTAAACCCCAGACTTCTCTGGATTTGGCTAGTTTTCTTATTTGTGTTAGGATAGCCAAGGTCCATGTTCATGACTAATCTTTAAAGCTTCGCTGTTCTTAGTTTGATTCAAAACTCTAATCGTGTCATACTCCCATTGTGTCCCCCATTTTATATATATTTCTAATAGTTGATTTAGTGGAAGGATTATTTGTTCCTTGAAGGATACTAATTTTTCATGGTTTGAACTAAGTTGATAAACATGTGTAGAAGGTTAATATACTGTGATAATATTCTGTGTTCTTTGCTGTTCTAGAAGAATCCAAAGAAAACGAGAGCTATTTTTTTTTTTTTCTGTTTCCTACTTCTCCTTCCAGAGGGCAAGTGATACCTTGAGATAAGAGAGATAAGAGGACCAAGCTGCTCTGGCCCCAGGGAAGGGTTAAGACACTTTTCTTGGCTGGGCGTGGTGGCTCACACCTATAATCCCAGCACTTTGGGAGGCTGATGTGGGCGGATCATGAGGTCAAGAGATTGAGACCATCTTGGCCAACATGGTGAAACCCCGTCTCTACTAAAAATACAAAAATTAGCCGGACGTGGTGGTGCTCACCTGTAGTCCCAGCTACTTGGGAGGCTGAGGCAGGAGAATCTCTTGAACTTGGGAGGCGGAGGTTGCAGTGAGCCGAGATCATGCCACTGTACTCCAGCCTGGTGACAAAGCGAGACTGTGTCTCAAACAAACAAACAAACAAACAAAACAGACACTCCACTTTTAGAAAAGGGTTGAAATTTCTCAAGGGTTAGAGGAAGCTCTAGGGTTTGCAACAGGGCCTGGGAAGGAGTGGCCTAACTAAATGTGGCCAGACCTGGCAGACAAGATGGAGGCTCTATTTAAAAGAGGGGACATTCCAAGAGTGGGAAAGACCCTTGCGGTGTTCCTCCAGAGCACCCAGGAAAGTAGCAGGTCTCTGAGAAGTAGGGGAGAGAGAAGGAGACAGTTTTGGGGTGGGGCTCACTTCTTAGGATCCCTGTGCATCCTGGCATAGCAGGATGGAGCCCACCTTCACGTGGCCAACGAGAGCCACTCCTGGGCAGCCCAGATGGACCAAAGACCAGCGTCCTCTCTCCCACCGTGGAACCATGTAACTTACCAAATGCTTGTGTGACCCAGATGATGCTAACTTTCTGGAATCCCAGGATTGTCCTTGAACCTGGCCTTTCTTCTGTGGACATGCATTCCCTCAGTGATCTCATTCAGCTCAGGGATTTAAGTCCCATCTCGATACTGACCACCCACCCCCACGTTGATGTCTCCCACCTGGAAACCTCCCCTGGTCCCCACATTCATTCATGGGACACCTGCCCCTGCCACCTCGTGAATATTTCAGGCTTCAGGTTAATGAGACGTACCAAACGTGTTCACAACTGAACCCCTGATCCCCTCCCAATCTCAGCTGGTGGAGACTCCATTTCTCTAGTTGTTCAAGCCCAAACCTTGCAGTCATCCCTGACTCACCTTTTCCCCTCACACCCCATACCCACCCCCTCCCAGCTTTCCCTTCAGAATATTCCTAACCCCGACTGCTTCTCAGCACCTCTTCTGCTCCTTTTCTGGCCTCAGCTGCGTTGTCTGTCACTGGGATTATCGCTATAGTCCCCTAGCTGTCCCTCTGTCTCCGCCCCCATATCAGAGTCAGGCTGGTTTCGCTGCAGTAACAAAAAACCCCATCTCTGTGGCTGGAAACAACAAAGGCTCTGTTCTCCTTCGTGCTGGGCACCCACTGTGTGCCAGGGGGCTCGGGGCCCTGGGCGCCAGCTGGTCACCATGCCAGAGGAAGAGAGGGCGTGGCTGAGCTGTCCTGGCTCTGAAAGTGTCTACTCAAGGGACATCACCCTTGCGACATTTTGTTGGCCTTTGAGTGGGGAGGATAGTGCAATCTATCCTGTGTCTGACATGAGACAGAGCTGGGACATCTGTGGCTGGTCCCAGTGCCCCTCGTCCCCCAGGACATTCTCTGTTTCACTCAGAGAAAAGATCAATTCCTTCTGCTGCCCTGAGGTCCTGCACCATTTCTCCCCACCCTCAGTGGGTCCTCCCCACTCTCTCTGGCCTCTGCCCCTACAGTTTCCCCCACACTCACCCTGCTGAGCCCGGCCAGCTTCTCTGCTGAGCCTCTGATGCATCAGGCACACTCCTGCCTCAGGGCCCTTGCACTGGCTACTCCCTTGACCCGGAATGCTCTTTCCCTAGCTAGCTGCAAGGCTGGCGTCCTCCTGGGCTTGAACTCTTCAAATGCTGTGCTCTGGATGTGGCTGTCCCCATCCATCCCATCTGATGCTACAGGGTACCCCCTGCCCAGTGCACCCCACCCCCTTGCCATTTTTATTTATTTATTTATTTATGTATTTATTTATTTTGAGACGGAGTCTCACTCTGTCGCCCAGGCTGGAGTGCAGTGGCTCAATCTTGGCTCACTGCAACCTCTGCCTCCCGAGTTCAAGCAGTTCTCCTGCCTCAGCCTCCTGAGTAGCTGGAATTACAGGCATGCAGCACCACGCCTGGCTAATTTTTGTATTTCCAGTGGAGTCGGGGCTTCACCATGTTGGTCAGGCTGGTCTCGAACTCCTGACCTCGTGATCCGCCCACCTCGGCCTCCCAAAGTGCTGGGATTACAGGCGTGAGCCACCGCACCCAGCCCATTTTCTTTTGCTCTGTGGTATGCATTGCTTTCCCAGCATGCTCTGTAATGTATGGTATTTATTGTGTAAATCCTTGCAGTAGACCGTGCACCCTGTGAGGCAGGGCCTGGGTTTGGGCTCAGCTGTGCACCCTGCAGGTGCTCACGGAAGTGGCTCTCTGCCAGTTTGTCGAGTGGATCAACACCTCGAGCGCTTAGGATGCACCAGGCGTTTTACGAAGGGCTTTGTGTGTGTTGCCAGGGTGACCCCCTTACCTAGATTATTAGTTCCAAAATGGCATTTCTTGCCTCTTTGGGTTCAAAGTTAAATTGAATTTGATTTAGAAAGACTATGAGGCCTGGCAAGGATGGTTGGAGGGCAGCTGGGGGGTTCCAGGAGTGTCTGTGGCAAGAGTCAGGAGAGATGGTGGGAAGCGTCGGCCGGGCCTGTGTGGGGGCCTCCGGGCTGGGCTCCGTCCATCTGTCAGCAGGATGCACTGGAGATGTTCAGGTTAGAGAGCTGCGTGACCAGGTGGGGAAGCAGGTGGGGCAGTTTGGAGGATGGGTTTACCAGAGGCAGGAAGGCGGTTCCTGGGCCTCTCCAGCCAGCCCTCAGCAGTCAGCGTCCACCCTCAACTCTGCTTCAAGAATGCATTTTACATCTCGGAGCTCTCCAATGTGTCTGCCAAAGGCATGAGAGAGAATAAACCCCACTAATATTGGCATTCTTTGGGAGCAGGAAAGCCTGCCGTGGAAACCTTGCCTGCGGGTTTATCCACCTCTTACGGGAAGCGTGAGACGGCCCTGGTCACATTTGCAGGCTCCTCCCCGCCCAGGGGCTTCTGCAGGACCAGCTCTTGTTTCATGCTTCAGAGCCCCCTACTCAAATACATGCTGGGGCTTGTGCCATGGCCCAGGGCAGAAGATGCGGCAGAGGTTCTGCCTCCTGGGGGCTGCCTGCAGGAGGGCAGGCTGGGGATGACGCAGGCGCTGGTTCCTGACCCGGGGGAGGTGAAGACAAGCACTTTCCCAGTCCTTGACTTGTGCCTGTTACACCCAAGGCAGGTGGGAGTCAATTCGAGGACCCCAAAGTCTGGGACTGACACCCCGCAACTTCATTTCAGCTGGGCCCCTTGGCTGGAGCTGAGAGTCTGGTGCTGTTTACTGTGTCGGGCCGCAGGGCTATGCTGGCAGCTCCTATGAGTGCTCATCACAGGCCCCTGGTCCAGAGTCCAGGCTCCCAGAGGCCTCTCTGGCCCCTGCATGGCCCAGCCTCTCAGCAGATGCAGCCTTCCAGTGCGGTTGCCTGGCCCAGGGCATGCAGGATGGGGGCCGGAGGTGGAGGCTGTGTCACTTCTGGGTCTGTTTCTAGGGCCCTGCTAGCATCCAGGACCCCTTGGTTCAGGGGTTTCTTGGGCAGTAATTGTGCCTTGGCACACATGGGTCCTCACTAGCGTCCGGTCACATTGGTGAATCAAGCCTTTGGGGTTTGGCACCAGGTAAGTCTTGGCTCCTTACTCCAAAATTTACCAAATGTTTCCAGTATGACATCTGAGAAGCCCCATCCTCATAGTCTCTTGCCTGTTGATGACATTCCTGGGTGGATTTGCAATATATACACCATCTTTCTCTTGAGCCACCACTCCTTCTAGTCTCAAAGGTCTCCTCGTTACAACATCCTCACTCCATATCCACTTTTTTTCGGTGGGGGGGTTATGGGTAGGGGAGAACTGGGGAGCCGGGCCTCGGAGCAATTAGCAGGGGCCAACAGGATTGGGGCTTCCATCAAAGCCCTGTGGGATCCCTGAGGAGTTTGGTTACCATTAAATGGCTTTAACATTAAACGCCAGACTCATTAACAAATCTCAGAGTCAAATTGCAGAAGCCGCCAGTAGGGCAACGGGCCTGCCCATCTGTAAATTGGGAGATGGAGCCTCCCTCAGCGCAGGGAAAAATCATGGCTCAGGAATTGAAAATAATGTGGTCAGCAGTAATTTAGAAGGCTTTTCACTGAGCAAGGTTTAAAAAGAAAAAAAAAAGAAAAAAAGTAACTCATAAAAGTCTGTTTTAAAAACCTCAATGGAAGCGGCTGTGGTAAAATACTGCCATCGTTTCTATCTTAATTCAGTAAAATTTTTATTAACTTAATTTTTTCCCCTCTCTTGTTTTTTCACTCCATAAAAACATTTAAATCACTTTTTTAAACATTCCCCAATCAAGCCCTTTATCTTCACAGGGCGAATTCCACCTGCCAATTTGCAAATGGGCTTGTTTTGGTCAGCGGACCACAGGCAGCATTCCCTCCTCTGCAAAGTTTCCGTGTGTAGATGGGCAGGCCTGCTGCCAGCCCTCTCCCTGCGCTTCGGAAGAGGTGCAGTCAAAAATGGCTTTTTTAAAAGAAAAAATGGTTTGAGGGTGTGTGTGGTGGGGGAGCACAGACACCCGAAGCTGCTTTTTTTTTTTTTTTGTCCTATCTTATGGTGTTCGCAGCTTCGAACGTTTCGAGGTAGAGAAGGAGGTCCATTCCTGAGGTCCTCTCGTGCCCCTGCCTGAGACCTCAGAGGGTCAGATTTGTGCCTGCCGTGCTCTCACCTTGCTTGGGGGCCCTTCTACTGTCCCCTGCCCTGCTCCTGTCTCTTCTGTATCCTCTGCCACTGTGGCCCAGCACCCTGGGTCAGGCACTGACCTGAGAGCACCTTCCTGCATCCTGCCGTGGGCTGGGTTGGATTTCCTTGCTGGGGTGGAGGTGGGAGGCTCTGCATTGGAGAGCCAGGCTCCCAGCTAGGGCTGGCTGCCTCTTCCCTAGCCCACCTGAAACCATCACACTCCCTTAAGGAGTAAAACGTGGACCTGTTTGAGGGAGGTGGTATGTCTCATTCCTTGCGTATCCTTTGCGTGGAACAAAGATGCTGTCTGTGTATCAAGTTCACCACTGTTAGCCCCTGTCTGTGAAAGGGATTCGGTATTACAAGACACTAAGACAGGGCACCATTTTCAAGATGCCAAACTAAAGCCCCAGTGTGGCACATTAAGGCTTTGTCCAAGGAACCATCTTTCCATTTCCAGCTGGTGAAGGACTTCCCCCTGAGGACCAAGGTGTGCGGAACCGTGGTCACGCCACCACCACTTGCTAATATGACGGCAGCCAGACATGTATTTCCCAACATGTGAAGAGGTCAGGAGCTCCTAACCTGTGGCCCATTAACTTGGGGCAGGGGAAAGTTACATCTTGATTTTTACCAACCTCTAACTGCACGGTGGCACTGGAGGGTAGGCCATGAGCCACAGCCATAGCAGCAGGGCGTGTGGCTTTGTCGTTTGTAGAAATTGTGGATTTTTTCAAGTCACAATACGGTTGCTGCAGACATCTCGGAATGTTGTTTGTGCTGGTGTGCCCTTCGAAGCCATGGAAGTGAGAAGACCTGCTGCTGCCTTTATTGCATGTGCTGGAAAAGCAGGACAGTTTCCATATGATACACTTGTTTTTTTAAAATTTTAATTTTAAATTTATTTATTTATCTATTTTGAGACTGAGTCTCATTCTGTCACACAGGCTGGAGTGCAGAGAGGCACAATCTTGGCTCACTGCAACCTCCATCTCTTGGGTTCAAGCGATTCTCCTGCCTCAGACTCCCAAGTAGCTGGGATTACAGGCATGCACCACCACGCCCAGCTAATTTTTGTATTTCTAGTGGAGACGGGGTTTTGCCATGTTGGTTGGCCAGACTGGTCTCGAACTCCTGACCTCAAGTGATTCACCTGCCTCGGCCTCCCAAAGTGTTGGGATTACAGGGTGTGAGCCACCACGCCTGGCTATTTATTTATTTATTTATTTATTTTTGAGATAGAGTCTCACTCTGTTGCCCAGGCTGGAGTGCAGTGGCACCATCTTTGCTCACTGCAACCTCCACCTCCTGGGTTCAAGTGATTCTTCTGCTTTAGCTTCCCGAGTAGCTGGGATTACAGGCACATGCCACCACACCTGGCTAATTTTTGTATTTTTAGTAGAGATGGGGTTTCCCCATGTTGGCCAGGCTGGTCTCAAACTCCTGGCCTCATGTGATCCACCCACCTCAGCCTCCCAAAGTGCTGGGATTACTGCGCCCAGCCCACTTTTTTTTTTTTTTTTTTTTTTTAAGAATATTTGGTTAACTGATTTCAGTGTAATTTGCTTCCTTTGTAATCCTATATATTTTGTGTTTTGCACTGATAAGTGTTATTCTGAGAAGGGGTCCATAGAATTTAAAAATTTCCCATAAAGTCTACATTGCAGAAAGGGCTCAGAGCCCCTGCCCTGGTTATCTTCTTTTCCTGTCCACTGAATGAGAAATGCAAATCTGAGCCCTGAAATCAGAAGCATCCAGATGATTCCAGATGATTCCATGTGGATGTGATGCATGGAGGACATGGTCACTGAAATGAACACCAATTTTAAAAACCTCATGGAGAAATCGTGGGTGGCCCACCCACCCAAGAATATGGCCCCCAGGCCATCGGCTCTCAGCTAACTGGACAGGCCCACTTGGGCTTCCTTAGCTTTGTTTACATTGTTCACTGCCCTCCCCGCATCCCTAACCACTCCCTACCTATTCCAATGTTTCATGTTTCTCAAAGCTCTTCTGGGCCTCACCTCCTCCAGGAAGCCTGCCTGGATCTATAGAGGTCATGACAACACATTCTCACTGCTCAGGCCCAGGCTTGCCTCGTGCCATGATGCCAAGGGCCCCAATCCCTTGAACAGGGCTCCCTGGACATCATTTTTTGGTTCTAAGCCACGTGGTTTCCCTGAGGTGCTGGGAGTCCTCTCCAAGGCTGGGGAACCCGGGAGGAAGGGGATGTGCTTGGGTTTTCTGCAGCTACCCTTTGGCTGGTGCACAAACACCACGGTGATCCCTGTGGAAAATGATTGCTCGTGGTCAGGGTGTGCAGAGCCCAGGTGATCCCAAGCTGCCAGCGGCCATTTCCTTCCTAACAGTGGGAGTGGGCTGAGGCCGGTGACCCTGCAGGCTGTGACCTTGAGGATGGCATTCGTGATAGGCGCTTTGGTCTTTTTCCCTGTCCCTCTTGCCGCGAGGGCTCCCCGGCCAGGTGGGTGCCCATGTATCCAGGGAAAGAGCTGGTCACACTGGCATCATCAGGAAGGTCTGATGGAGACAAGCAGAGTCACTTTGATCCCAGAGCCCGGAAGTCCAGCTGCCTCCTCACTTTCCATTCCCTCCTGGGACGGTGGGCAGAGATTTCACAACTTCCCTCCTGCCCAGATGTCCAAATATTTCTCTTATCAAAATGTATATTTTCAGCAAATTGTACAGTCAAAGAGGAAAATCCCACAGAAACAGAAGAAGAAAAAAGGCTGTGTTTTCACTTTAGAAAACAATCTCTTGAAAAAAGAAATCTTCCTGGCCATGGAGGCCAGAATATGGTTCTGCTGGGCTCATGTGTGATCTCAGACTCAGATGAATCCACTGATTTAACAGGCAATTTCCCTTAAATGACTCTGAACCTCACTTACCTCACCCAAATTATTCTTTGGATAATTTGGGGCCTGTTTGGGGTTGATGGACTCTGGATTCTCAGGACAAAGTTCTCAGCACAGTCTACTAGGGGAAGCAAGAACTTCGGAGGGAAGCAGACTCTAGTTTGAATTTTGGAACTTCTAACAGATACCTGTATATCTTCAGATCCCAGTATTTTTACTTGTAAGATGAGCAGCATGTCATCTGCCCATGTTAATTTCCTGTCCTTACTTAAACAAAGTACATAGTGTTTTGGAGGGCTGGCTGGGTATGGAATTGCAAATGAAACCAATGTCATACTTACAAGTGGGCCAGGACTTCTTCCCCTTCCCCTCACATTCAAGGAACTGAGGCAAGAATGAGAATCATTCCCAAACACTCTCACCTCTGCCTAAAGTTTGCTCCTGAATTTAAAATCCAGGCAATTGCCTTGGTTTCCTGCTTCTCAGTTAAGACATACTCAGCATTGCAGTTTGTCTATTACCCAGAAGATGTTTATTGATTTGAAATGGCAGGTGTTTGGAGGTTAACCAAATGACACAGGTTGACTTGGCTTTCCCCTCTTCCCTTCCTTGTTCCCCCTCTCCCTCAGTCCTGTTCACTCATTCTCACTTCCCAACCAAGTACTTGCAGTTAAGTCTTTGTTTCAGGATTTGCTAAGAACATTGGGCTAAGATAGTTGGAAAAAAGAAATAACCTCTGAAAGCAGAGCCCCAGGATGGGATTTTGGTATTGGATCACTCACTAGTCAAACATCAATGAGGGCCCCGTTCCTGGTAGTGGTGATGATTATGGCACACATTGCCAAGGCTCTCACCTGTGGTTGCCTGGGATGAGGTGCACATGGAAAATGAGGCATTGGGCTGTGCAGGGCTGTGGCACTTGAATAGCATGGAGTGTGCTTCCTTTAGTTAAATGGCCCTGGGAGCCTTGAAAAAAGAAAGTGATAGGTTTAGATTAGCCATCTGTCAGTTCATGTCAAGCTGTGGAATCCAGAGGGTCTCTGGCAGCATTTATAGATTTTCATTTTCTGTAAGGCAGACTGTACTGAAAATCAGGCTCAGGATCTGATTGTAAGAGTGGCAGAGCAGCAAAGAAGACTGAATGCACAGACCTGCTTTGTCCAAATTAGGGTCCTGGTAGGAAAAGAGTGGGACTTTGAGATCCAAGATGGTAACATTTAGGTGGATGAACCTGAAAATCCTGTACATCCAGATTCTTTTGAGTCCTCTACATCAGCAGATATCCTTATCCCTTCGATGAGAAATGCCCCCTTTGCCTAGAGCTTCCTCCAATTCACAAAGTCTCACTTGAAGCAGGTATGTAACATGACATTAGCCATTTTCAGTATGTGTTCCCACCTCAGTACATCCAAGCCGATAAGGCTAATAGCTAGGGTCAGCCCTGAGCATGGCCCATGTGAGGAAATGTATTTCCTGCTCTAAGAGGAAAGAGCTCACTAGTGAAGAAATCAGGAGCTAATGAATATGTACCAATGGGAACCAGGGACGTATACATAGTAGTAGGTTTCAGTTTACAAACCCAGACTCCATTAATTAATTAATTAATTAACTAATTAACTAAAAGGGAAGTTGAGTATCCTTGAGGGAGGATCCTGTGATACCACTGCCAGTTTATGCAGCAATTATTTCCCTGATGCTTTCCTGAGGTGACATGTGGCTATCTACCGGAGTAACTGTGCACTGAAGAGAGAGGATTACTTACACTTTCAGGGATTGTTGGATATAGGGCCTGATATCAGGCAATCTGAAACTCCTGATTATCCCCTGGTTATACTGGCAGCGGACGGTGGGGGGCCTTCCTAAGAAGACCAGGTGATAAATGGAGTTCCTGCCCAAGGTCATCACACAGTGGAGCCATTGGATCCAAGGACTCATCTCATAGTCATTTCCCCTCTCCCTTATTGTAGTAATTGGAGTAGCCAGACTTCAGAATTGGCAGGACTTTTGCTTTGATTCTCTGACTTGTGGGAAAAGAGCCATGAAGTGGGAAGAACCAAGTGGAAGCCCCTGAAACTGTCACCTCCTGGCTAAGATGGTAAAATCAGAAGCAATACTATAAACCAGGGGGAACTGCAGGGATTTAGGACCATCACAAAAAACCTAAAGTATGTAGTGATGCTGCGCTGTGGCATTGTCATCCAATTCACCTCTCTGGCCCCTGCCAAAACAGACAGATCATGGTGCATGATGGTATGGTAAATTTTACCATGTAAACTTAACCTCGTTGCTGCTGCTGTGCCAGATGTGGTGAATTTACTGGAGCAGATTGACACAATCTCTGATATTTGGCATGTGACTATTTACCCACTTATTTACCAGTTCAGATAGTCTTCATTCATTTGTGTGGGTTCTTATTTCCATTGGTATAATATCCGTTCAAACTAAAGAACACCCTGGCAGTACAGATCCGCTGGTGGGAAATGCTTTCAGGTTTTATGGGTCTAAAGAGACCTTTATTTCATCCTTTCCTCCACTCTTGTTTTTGAAGGGTATTGTCACTGGATATAGAATTCTGAGTTGAAAAATTTTTTCAACACATTAAGTCTCTCTTGGCACTTTCTTCTGATTTTATTGTTTCTGATGAGGCATCAGTACGATTTGTATCTTTGTTTCCCTCCTTGTAATGTACATTTTTTTCCCCTGAATGTTTTCAAGATTTTCTCTTTATCTTTGGTTTTCAGCAGTTTTACTATGGTGTGCCTAGGTGTGGTTTTTCTTGGCAATTGTTCTGTTTAGGGTTCACTGATTTACTTGGATCTGTAAGTTGATGATTCCCATCAACTTTTGGAAAAGTTTTGCCTTATTTCTTCAGACTTTTTTCTGCCTTGTTATCACCCTCTTTCCTTCTAGGACTATAATTACACATTGCTAGGCCATTTGATTTTATTCCATAGTTATCTCAGGATCTGTTACTTTCTTTACATTTTTTTTATCTCTGTTATTTAGATTGCATAGTTTCCACTGATTTGTCTTTAGATCATTTATTCTGTCATTTCTAATCTTCTTTTAAGTCAATCCAGCTACTTTTTCATTTGCTTTGTGTTTTTGAGTTGTAGAATTTCCATTTGGTTCCTTCTCTAAGTTTTAATTTCTCTGCTGAAATTCCCTATCCATTCAGTCATTAACACCATATTTTTCTTTAAACCCTTAACATATTTATTATAATAACAGTTTTAAAGTCTATGTCTGCTAAGTGCAACATCTGGGACATCTCAGTGTCATTTCCAATTGATGCCTTTTTTTCTGAGTATGGCTCACGTTTTCCTGTTGCTTGGATGTCTAGAATTTGTTTTTATTATATTCTGGACATTGCCGATAACAGACCCTAGAAATCTAGGATTCTGCTATTTGCTTCTGAGTACCGTTGATTTCTATTCTAGCAGGCAGTTTGATTCTGACAGATAACTTGAATTTGCATAGACTAGGATCTAGTGTTTCCCAAGCCCCACTAAGTTGATTTAACTCATCCTCCAAGTTTTGCCTTCCAGCTATATGTGGTACTCTTGTTGAGGCTTAGTTTTAGGTTTAGTTAGAGAGTATAGAGTAGACCTTATTCTAGATTATGGTCCTTACTCCTGAGGCATGATTTTTCTGATGTCTCTTATGTCTGGGATATAAATGAAACCACTCCCCTCTGGCTGAGCTGGAGTTCCAATATGTCTCAGCATCATTCTCCCTCTCAACTGCATAGCAACTGATCTCTGGTAATTCTTCAATCTTTCCCTGTATATACACAGCTCCACCTTTGTCCGAGGACTGTGGGTGACCCCCACACAAACTTTTGAGGTACCCATGCTTGGAAGAGCTTCCCCTGTTTCTGGTGCCCTGACCCATAGATCCAGCTATTTGGCAGCCTCTTCAGCTGGGTAAAATTGCTATGCTCTCGCTAAGCCCCCTGGACCACAGTTAGGACATTTTCCTTAGGGAGAGAGGCAGGGCAATCCATGGGCTCACATCAGGAGTTTCCCTTCTCTTAGAGATCACAGTCTTTGCTGCCTGTAGCCAATGCCTGAGCACAGTTGCTTCATATCCCTCCCCCGTTCCCCAGTTTTAGAGTTGTTTGTGGCAGGAAAGTTACTTTTGGCCAGAATTGGAAGTTGGAAGGTGTGCAGCTATTGCTATAGCAAATGTGTTCTCCATCCTGATCAGTAAAGAGGATAAAAAGCAATTTATCATTAGATAGGAAGGATATTCACAATCTCACTCCAGATCTATGTTATAATAACTCCTGTTCTCCAAAGAATATACTTCACAGGTACCATAATCATCTTGATATTCTACAGATCATGCTGGTCTGCCCAACCTTTCAAAGGCAGACACTAGACTGGGTGTGGTGGCTCATGCCTGTAATCCCAGCACTTTGGGAGGCCAAGGTAGGCAGATCACTTGAGCCCAGGAGTTTGAGACCAGCTTGAGTAACATAGTGAAATCCCATCTCTATGAAAAATGAAAAATTAGCCAGGTGTAGTGTCGTGTACCTGTGGTCTCAGCTACTGGGGAGGCTGAGGTGGGAGGATCACTTGAGCCCAGGAGGTTGAGGCTGCAGTGAGCCGTGATTGTGCCACTGCCTTCCAGTCTGGGCAACTGAGCAAGACCCTGTCTCGAACAAACAAACAAACAAACACACACACACACACACACACACACACACACACAAAAGCAGACAGTAATGACAAACCTTCAATAAGGCCTCATTCCTTGAGGGCTCTGACCAACCACTTAGTGGTAAGTTGATTATATTGGTCCCCTTCTAGTCTAAAGGAGATAACACTTGTCTTTTTAGGAATTGGCATTACTCTAGATATGTATTTGCCTTCTGCGTTCACAGTGCTCTGCCCACATCAATCAAAGGGCTGACAGAATCTGTCTCCAAGGAATTGGCAGATGCCTTGAAGCAAGGACACATTTTACAGTGAGGGAGACACTCTCTGGAGCACACACTGGTGAGATCTGTCAGGCTTACAACAGATATATTCCCATAAGCCAGAAGCATCAGTCCAAGGGAATGTGAGAGCATCTTGCTAAAGACTCTGCTAAGGTGTCAGCTCAGGGCAACACCCAGTGGCATTGGGACCCCGTCTTCCAGTGTGTGGTGAATGCACTGAGCTAATGGCCGGCACACGGGGCTGTGTCCCCAGGAATTCATGGGCAGTAGGAGTGACGCCTCTCGTGGTCACACTGCGACCCACTCGTGCACCGTACCGGAGTTTGTGGATGACTCTAGCAGAGGGTGGTTGCTGATGGATGAAGGCGGGATTAATGTTTTCCCCTCTCCAGAGGAAAGTCCAGGAAAACAGTCACACACTCCTTGGGGAATCTCTTGGTTTGAGCGACCAGTGAGGGTAGCAATAGCAAGTTCAAGTCTGTGCCTTTGTGTCGCCCCCTGTCCTTCCAGCCTTGCTCACCCCACCTCAGATCATACTTCTCCATGAAGGGCTCACACTCAAGCCTTTGTTTCAGCCTCTGCGTACTCTGCACCACTGGGCGCTGAGGCCATTTACCCGGTAATATTGATCGAGCTCTCACGATGTATGAGGTAGGATACTCGGGCTGGGGACACAACAGTGAATTAAACAGACACTTCTCCCCACCACCCCATGGACACCAAATTCTAGAGGGAGAAGCAGAGAATGCCATGTCACTGAATGAGTAATAACACAAAGGGAATAATGCCAGGTAAGAAATTGAGAGTGACCGTGGGTGGAAGGAGAGGGGAGCAGGGAAGCAGTTAGCACAGGGGGCTGGGGGGATTTGTATGGACCTCCAAGTGGGCCAAAGAGGACAGCCAAGTGGCCATATCAGGGCAGAGTGTCCTGGGCAGAGGGGACATAAGGGACCACATCAGGGAGGTGAGGGTCCCTTTCTTTCCAATCTGTTCAGCATTGAGAAATAACAAATCTTCAGCTTCCCATCAGACCCCTGAGAACTGGGCCTAGCCAGATTATACAAGAACTCCACATGCCAGTGAGCCTGTGACCTACAGACCATGCAGAGCCTTCCATCCATCTCTTACCCCGGGCACATGAGCCCAGCAAGAAAATTATATTTAAAAGATGAAGATCAAAAGGAAGGCAAAACTGTGTGCATCCGGAATCCCTTTATTAGAGACCAAATTTAGTTAAGATCCGTCTTTTCTACTTTATTATAGTACAGAAGGATAAATAAAAGATGGTGAACCCGAGCCCTCTCCTTGGCTGTTCATTAAGAAAGACCATTTTGATTTTGAGCAATCTCAGCCAGGTGTGGGAGGGACCACAGTCATCCTCAAATGATACCGTTGATGGTGGAGAAATTAACCAAAGTCCACAGGAGAGAGCACAGACACATTTTTCTTCTTGGAAATTTTTGTTTGTTTGTTTGTTTGTTTGTTTTTGAGACAGGGTCTTGCTTTGTCACCCACTGCACTCCAGCCTGGGTTTGTTTGTTTGTTTGTTTTTGAGACACAGTCTTGCTCTGTCACCCAGGTTGAAGTGCAATGGTGCTATCTTGGCTCACTGGAACCTCCACCTCCCGGGTTCAAGCGATTCTCCTGCCTCAGCTTCCTGAGTAGCTGGGATTACAGGCGCCTGCCACCACACCTGGCTAATTTTTGTATTTTTAGTAGAGACAGGGTTTCCCCATGTTGGTCAGGCTGGTCTCGAACTCCTGACCTCAAGTGACCCACCCACCTCGGCCTCCCGAAGTGCTGGGATTACAGGCATGAGCCACCGTGCCTGGCCACTTCTTGGAAATTGAGTTGCTAAGGAATCTCTTCAGATCTCATGTCTGTTGTCTTGGGGCATTTACGTATAAGTGGCCCGTAGCTGTCAAAGGGCTTTAAAGGGTTTGAAAGCAGGTGTAGTGGACAGAGGCACATCTCAGAAATCCCCATTGCTGGCAGGGACAAAGTTCAGATAATGCCCACAGCATGTTATTGCAGAAAAAGAAAGCCTCTGGCAGGATTCTGTAATAACACTCTGTATCTGTGGTCTGTTTTCATCCGAGGATCTCAAAACATTTTCAAGCATTAATTAAACTTCACAACGATCCAAGGCCGTGGGTATAATTAGACCCATTTCTTAGCTGGGTCATTTGAGGCCCATTAAGATGAACCGATTTGCTTAGAGCCTTGGAACCCGACTTTCCTGTTTTGAACCTCAGCTTGCCAAATGTCTCCAAATCAGAGAGGAACATGCACATTTAAGCAAATCTACTCAGAAACCAGTTACTTAACGAATTCTTGGACAAACCCTCAATGGGTCTCCGTGACCACTGTGTTATCATGTTCTTTCATCACAACCAATTAACCAAGGTATTTTTTACATGCCTTTATGAAAAGTCACTGTATGGAAATATTGAAAGGCAGGAGGTTGGTCTCAAGAAGCAGTGAAAAGTGCCCCTTTCTCATGGCCTGAAACTGACTCCCTCCTGGGCGTAAAGGAGACTCCGGTGTGCTGTTGGTTTCCCATCATTTTGCCAGAAGGCTATAAGATGTCTTTTCATCTTAAGTTACATAAGTATCCAACAAATAAGAAGTCTGTTATTACAACAGCAACCATACTGGAGGGAAAAAGGGTTGATTTATTCCGAATATCTGCACTTAACAGTTTTGATGTCTTTTAAGAGACTTCCGAGTTTTAGGAGGGAGAAAAAAAATGCACAAACATTCTTTTAAAAATGCAACCTGGCTGTGGCTAATGTTGTCTGGCCAGAAAGCTATTGTTCATAAGCCCAGGGCCGCGCAGTTATCATTCATCCTGGGATGCATCGACTTGCCTTCTTCCTGCCGACAAGCTGCTTATGCAAAGCAGCCCCCAGTATTCGTATGGAGGGTGGGGGTAGGGAGACTCTCATGCGTTTACTTTGAAAAGTCTCCTCCTGACAATCAAAAACATTCTCAGGAAACATGCCTTGCTGTGGATGATCCCCACACCCCCTGCCCTCCTGTCTTCAGAAAAACAAATGAGTGGTTTTTCTACAGAAAGGTGTAGAGGTAACTGAGGGAAGCCTGTGATGGGAGAGGAAATTCCCCGTTTTTCATGTCCCCCTTATAACCGAGGGCCTCCTTCTCCGAGGTGCTCTACTGAGCTTCATCCTTCCACATTCTTTCCCCTTGACTGACTCTCAAAGGATCCATTTCAACGCGGAAGAAAAAACTCCAGCATCTTGGATGATGGTCGCTGATTCTGACACTCAGATATGTTGTCGGTTAAACAGATAGCTTTGGCTCAGTGATATCGGACAATTGACCTCTTGGTGCACAGACTCCCAGCAGCCTCGCTCCCAAAGGGGGTCTTAGGGGAAGCCAGGTCCACAGATCAGGAGCCCCTAGGGGACCTGAGATGGGTCTAGGGTTTCAGTTTCATCTGTGATCTTTTCGGTGAGGTGTGTTCAGTCAGCGACTTCCTAGGAGGAAGCCTTCAGCTGCATGGAAAGAAATTTAAGTTCCTATTCTCTGTCCCCAGAGTCATTTAAATGGGGCCAGTGTCGGAGACCGGAGCGTGATCCTGCGCTGTGCCCGTGTGCGATACCATCTCAGTTGCCACTGAGCTCGGCCTGCTGGGGAGGAGGAAGGTGGCCTGCCCCAGGGAGTCAAGAAATTCAATCCAAGTCCATTTTTAACTCGATGAACATTGATTGACAATTTAGTAGGTCTTACGTGGAATGCAAGGAGGAATACATTAAAAGACAGAGTCTCTGCTGAAGGTAGGAATGTACATAACTAGCATAATGCAAGTGGGGATGTGGTATGTATATTAAGAGGGGCACGAGAATGTGCTGCAGAAATGATTCTATCTTGGAGAAGTGGGGAGGCACTGCAGGTGGATGACAGCTGGATCCTGAAGGGCAAATGCAGTGTCAGTGAATGTAGTAGTGTCTTGATCTGCTGGGGCTGCCATGATGAGCTATTGCAGATGGGGAGGCTTAAACAACAGAAATTGATCCTCTCACCATCCTGGGGCTGGAAGTCCCAGATTAAGGTGTCACAGGGCTGGTTGCTCCTGAGTCTTCTCTCTATGGTTTATAGTTGACTGCTTTCTCCCTGTGTCCTCCAGGGTGGTCTTTCTGTGCGTGTCTGTGTCCTCCTCTCCTCTTACAGGGACATCGATCAGATGGGATTAAGGCCCACCCATGTGATCTCACTGGACTTAAATTACCTCTTCGAAGTCCCTGTTCCCAAAAACAGTGTCACATCCTGAGATATGGGGGGTTAGGACATCAACACATAAATATTTGAGGGACATAATTCAACCCGTGCTAAGGGAGAAAGAGGCCTTTCCATGGAGGGGACAGAGTCAGCAAAGCCAGAAGGATATGAAAGGGCAGGGTCTCTGGCCAGGCTTCTCAGATGCAGAGCCTGAGACAAGGGTTTGGGTCCATGGGATTGATTGACAGAGGGCTTTCAAGAGAAAGAAAGTGAGAGAGGCTAGATGGGGCAGGGGAGGCTCAGCACAGTGGTGGTTTCAGCCCCACAGGGGGCTCTGGAGTGTGACCTGCATCACAGAGTCAGTCCCACAGTGAGGCATGGGGGCCCTTAGACCCCCAGGGTCAGTCAGTCAGTCACTGACTATGGCCCTACCAGGCAGGGTGGTTCTGGTGGGATGTTCCAGGCCAGGTGGCTTTCATGCAGTCAATGTCAATTCTTGGCTCAGGACATGGCTGTCAGTCCTCAGCAGCTTTCATCAGAGACTAGGGGATGCTCCCAGAAGCCAGGCCAACACAGGGGACCTGGATGGTGAGCTTGGGGATGAGAAAGCGGCTGCTCTGCTGTGTTGACCACAGGGCTCTGAAGTGGATGCTGGAAAAGTAGTCGGTCTGGAGAGACTTGAAGGCCAAGCCAGGAATCTGGACTTTGACTGTAGGAGGGGAGTTTCCATCTGAGCTGTGCGGCCGGTCCTGCATACTGCACCCTCTTGTAAACATGTGGATTCACCCCAGGCTCAGCTGGGCCCAGGAAGCTGCAGGTTCCCACCTTCAGGTTTCTCCTGGCCAGGCTGGCCCTCAAAGCTGGGCGTGAAGCAGCTGTTGTCTCCCATGGCCTCTGCTCTCGGCCTCCTCTCTGCCACCGTGGTCTTGCACATGTAGGGACCTCATCAAGGGTTTAACAGGAAACTCATGGGGCCCAGCGCCTGCATCTGGAGAGCCACCTCCCTTCTACTCTTTGGGCTTTTATGAAAAAGAGTCCATTTAAATCTGATGAATAAGTCAAAATGAATTGAATAAATAAACGAATATGTGCATCTCTGCAGAGGATGTGGCTGCCTGGTGGAGAGGCCAGCGGGCCTGCCAAAGAACAAAGGCAGGCGAGGACTGGCCACAGTCCTGGGGCCTGGTGGGGGTATGGAGCCCAGGGGTTATCGAGAGCCAAGGAGGAGTGGAAATATGGTTGGCTTTGCTTCCTTCCCTGTTCATCAGTGGTGGTCCTATTAACACTTGCCCTGTCAGCTCCATCCACGGTTGCTTTGAGTGAAGGCCTCCCAGTGTCATTACCGTCATCACCGCATGTTGGAAAATGATAATGTGTTTGAATTTCCTGAGTACACATGAATTTCCGAGGTCTGAATGTGGCACTGGGTCCCAGGCGAGAAGGGGTTTACACAGGGAGAGTTCTGTTGGGACGCACACGCTCCCATGTGGGTGCCGCTCCGCAGGCCACTGTCCCTCCCAAGAGGCGCAGATATGGGGTCTGGAGCTGCCCGTTGCCAGCAGTTCTTCCTGCTGTGGGTGCTGGCCTTGGTCAGTGCCCACGGAAGGTCTCTTCTCTGGACCCTAAGTGGCCAGTTGGCTAAGGAAGGAAACTAGTATTAACTCATCACTCTACTGAATCCATCTAAGCTCCAGGGATGGAGACATGGGGGTGGAGGGTGGTGCTGACTCAAGTGAAATCTTGCCCCAGCTTTGATTCTGCTTGGACGATGGAGGAGGATCCCAGGAAAGTCTCCTCACCCCTACCCCTAGGGTGGCTTAGGAATGCACTGACATTTTGGTTTCCTCCTTCCAAAAATAATAATTTGCACATAACAGACAATTTCTTTCAAAAACAGAGACCCATGTTATAAAAAGGGCAACACCCTGCTAGAGATAGACCACCTCATGGTGGAAACAAATAGCTTGTTTTATAAACTGTACTCCATTCCTTATAGAAATTGTGTTTCCTCTCCAGTGTACCCCGCAACCCTGATGCACCAGATGGACATTGATGGGGAGTGTCTGCAGATCTAACGGGAGCTCAGCTTCACGTTCGACTTGGGTGGCAGCTATGCCATGTGGAACTGTAAAGATTCTGGTACTCGATTTTTATAAAACTACGATACTTATTTTTAAAACTGACAGGCAAAGGAAGAGAGGCAGAAATGCTAATTTAACTCAAGCTGACTTTTTTTTTTTTTTTTAGCTGACTTTGAGACATGACAGAAGTCTGGAAAAGATAAAGCAACAAGTTCAAACGTATAACGCTTACTTTTACTCCGCATCAAAGCAAACCAAACATCGAGAAGACCTATATGCAGAGCTAAAATACTCAATTGATCCTTTTTTTCCCCACTGACCGGCTCCTGGGAAACATGGATGCCTCAGCCTCTTAAATAACGCTGCTAACAGCGGGCCAATTGTGCAGCAGGACGGGCACTGCCCCAGGTAGCCGATAACTTCCTGTGTTGAAACGATGACTTGGAGATTTCATCATGATATCTTTGCACACCAGGAAATATCATCTTTCAGACCTGCCATTTCTTAATCGGTGAGAATGCTATTAAAGTCGATGTCTTAATTAAGCCTAGCATTAGCCAAGGAATTACAGGCATCCGAAGGCTTAGCTGTCTGGTGGGATCCAGTTTCATGAGGCAGGATTAGGTGCACGGCTGGGAACTCCAAGGGGGAGATCCCTGGCTGCGAAGAGAACAGGAACATCTCTGGAGAAACCTGCAGGGTGTGCCTGGTGGGCAGGAACTCAGAAACTCTCTTTGCCTCTCCAGCCTCTTTAACCCATTTTATTACAATTGGTCAGTTTGTTTATGCTATAAATGAATATGTACAGCCAGGCTCCTCGGACTTCTAGGCCTTTGTTTAACTCCTCTGGCCTCTGTTTTCAATCTGAGAAATGGGTTTCATTCTCAAGTGCCCAAGTAGACTGATCACAAACAGCTCTGAAATCTAACTTTGGAGTATGGGACGTAGTACTGAGCCAGGGGGCTGAGCCCTGGGCTCTGGCCTGGCCCCACCACCCCCAAAGCATTTGCACCATGGAGTGTTAAGATTGAGAGGTAAGGGTAGGAAAGCTTTCTGGTCTTGAACTCCTGGGCTCCAGCAATTCTCCCACCTTGGCCTCCCAAAGTGCTGGGATTAAAGGAGTGAGTCACTGTGCTGGAGTGGAGTGTTGCTGTCATGGCTCACTACAGCCTCGAACTCTTGGGCTCAAGCGATCCTCCTACCTCTCAGCCTCTCAAGTAGCTGGGACTGCAGGAGTGCCACCATGCCTGGCTAATTTTTCTATTTTCAGTAGAGATGGGGTTTCACCATGTTGCCCTGGCTGGTCTTGAACTCTTGGGCTCAAGCAATCCTCCCACTGCTGCCTCCCCAAGTGCTGAGATTACAGGTGTGAACCACCATACCTGGCCAGGAAAGCTTTCTGAACACCTGAATTCATGTACCTAGGTAAATGATTATTATTAGCAAAGCAAGGAGAGCTGCCTCCATCTGCTTAGGGTGTTATAACAAAATACCACAGACTGGGTGGCTTAAACAACAGAATTTTCTCACAATTCTGGAAGCCAGACGTCCAAGACCAAGGTTCCTGTTGGGTTTAGCTCCTGGTGAGGGCTCCCTTCCTGGCTGCCAGACTGCCGCCTTCTTGCTGTGTCTTTGCATGGTGGAGGAAGAGAGGGAGTAGGCTGTCTGGTGTCTCTTGCTCTTCCTATAGGGCCACAGTCCTATCAGACTAGAGCTACACCCTAATTTGACCAGGGCCACACTTGATCAGTGGCCCTCCAGGGATGACCAACCACCTGTCCAGACCCTTCCAGGCTAGAGGCTGGGGCTGCTGAGTGGACCCTGAGCCTGACGCAAGAGTAGGCAGAGCCATGCTACTCCTGCCCACCGGGTGGCTGTCAGCACCAACTATGGGGACCCGGAACCCATGTGCCATGCATAAGGAAGTGGTTACATCCCTCTGGCCATATTTCCGGGGAACTCTGCTTCCTCTTGACAGCACAAGGACTCAGGGGCTGTGAGCACATAAGCAAGTCCTTCCTACCCCAGGTGCTCACACCATGGGGACACCTGTCCTGACGTCAGTCCCCAGTTCTCACAAAAGCTCATGGCCATTCCTTTTTTCTAAGTAAATCTCAGGCTGCATCAATTGTAACAGTGACAATGATTATAATGATAATAATAAAATTTTAAAAGGCTGGCCTGGTATTGCCAGTGTCTTGTGTCTGGCACCAACACTGTGTCTACTTGGAATCACCATAAGATGAGACAAATTCTACGCCATTTCCTCAGCTCCCAGTGCACAGAGGCCTGGAGATTTTGCTGGACTAGAGAGAGGACTTTCTCCTGAATGTTCTACACTCTGTGCCTGGAGTCCCACGGGCCAATGCACCTCCTGGCCTGGTGGGAAGGGACACGAAGCACTGGCCTCCCCTATCCTGTGGGATTGGCCCCCTTAAGTGATGCTGGAGTCCTGAGCCCTGGTACCCATGAACGGGAATGTGACCTTGTTTGGAAATAGGGTCTCTGCAGATGATTAAGATGAGGTCATTAGGACGGGCACTAATCCAACATGACTGTGGCCCTCATGAAAAGGGGAAATCACACAGAGGGGCAACCAAGGGGAGACGCAGGGAGAGGAGGCCATTGACAAGCCAAGGAGTGCGTGGGGCCCCCAGCAGCGAAGGAGAGGCGTGGCACGGGTTTCCCTCAGACAGAACCAACCCTCCTGGCACCTTCAGTATGGACCTGGGGCCTCCGGAACTGTGAGTGGATACATTTCGATTGTTAGGCCACTCGGTCTGTGGGCCTTGTTATGACATCCTGAGCAGGGGACTGCATCCTGTGGGCCAGTCATTCCCCTCCTACTTGTGGGGGCTGGTAAACCTGCAGGTTGGAGCTGCCCTTTGGAGAGAGGCGTCCCCTGGGGACAGAGGATGGGATGCTAGCCTGTCCATAGAGAGAAACCCCGGTGCTCCTGGGGTTCCCACCCCGTCGCACTGCCAGGGCTACGGGAAGGATGCTTGCTTGCCCCCTCCCATGGCAGGTACTCCATGCGCCTTTGGTTTGCAGGTGAGGGAAATTCGAACTGGAGGTGGCTTTGCTGGAGCCTGTGGTTGGGCTGAGCAGCCTACACCCCCCTCTGAGGCAGCAGCAGAAATCAGGGGTGACCAGGGGCAGGCCCGATGTCACCACCCTCTTCACATCATCACTGGCAGGGCCAACTGGGCACAGCCTGGACAGGTTCTCAGAGCCCCTCAGCTTCTTCCTGCAGGGACCCCCTAGGAAGGTAGCCAAGAGCTCAGCCACCTGACAAAGCCAGCACCCACACTTCGCCTCTCAGGGGACAGAATGCTGGGAGGGTGACTCTCGCATGGTGGCTCCTGGCTGGAGGGGTCACTGGGTGGGGTCGGCTCTGTGTCTCCACTGCCCAGCCTGCCCAACAAAGTGTCTGTTGTTTCCAGGACAGGCACACAGTAGGGTCCGTTTTGTTGCTGTTGAAGAAGAAGAAAAAGATCTCTAATAAGCCCCATTAAGACTTGAGTCAACACAGTCCCTAGAGGTCCAGGAGTGGCCAAAATGTCTGCGTGTAGCCATGTCCCTGTGTCTGGCAAGGAGAGTGTGAGGACGAGGCATGAGGTCCTGGGAGTTCTGGGGAAAGAAAGCAGTTGGGAAGGGGCCACCGTGTGCCCAGCCACGGGTCTGTGGTGATGGTGGCTGGGATGTGCCTGTCACTCCTTCACCTGACAAGTCCTGAAAGCCAAGGCGCTCGCATGGTGCTGGATGCTGAGTCCAAGGACTAGAGGGACCCTCGTGGTCCTGCAGGTGCTCCCAGTGAGGTAGAAGGGGATGCTGGGCTTCTGAGCGCAGGTGGGCGGTGTCCACCTGGGGACTCTAGGGACAGGAAGATGGTAATGGGATGGCCAAGGTGAGACACCAAGGTGGCATTTGCTGCTGCCAGAGCCCATCATCTAACAGAAGGAAGCAACTCTGTGTGTGTGTGAGCATGTGTGTGTGTGAGCATGTGTGAGCGCGTGTGTGAGCCTGTGTGAGCACGTGTGTATGTGAGTGTGTGAGCCTGTGTGTATGTGTGTGTGAGCCTGTGCATGACCATGTGTGTGAGTGTGTGTATGTGAGCGTGTGTGTGAGCATGTTTGTGTGTGTGGGCCTGTGTACATGAGTGCGTGTGTGTATGTGAGTGTGTGTGAGCGTGTGTGAGGATGTGTTATGTGAGCATGTGTGTGTGAAAGCATAAGTGTGCATGTGTGTGTCAGCATGTGTGTGAGAGCGTGTGGGTATAAGCATGTGTGCGCATAAGCATGTGTGTGCATGACAGCATGTGTGTATGTGTGTATTGTGAGCGTGTGTGAGGGCATGTGTGTGTATGTCAGTGTGTGTGAGTATGTGTGTGAGTATGTGTGTGCATGTGAGCATGTGTGTGAGCATATGTGTGCATGTGTGTGAGCATGCGAGAGTGTGTGTGTGAGAAAGCGTGTGTGTGGATGCGAGCGTGTGTGAGCGTGTGTGTACCAGAGGGCCTTCCTAGAATAAGTGACACCAACACCAACTTATGCCTTGAAGGCGGAAGAGGAAGGCAGTCTGGCCAGTGGGAGAGGGTGGGCACCCCAGGTCAAGGGCCCAGCAGGAGAAACGGCGCTGAGGCATGACCTGGTGCAGTTGTTGGTCCCGCTGCCAAAACAGGCGGATGGCTTAAACTACAGGCATTTGTCTTCTCACAGTTCTGGAGGTTGGAAGTCCAAGATCAAAGTGTTGGCAGGGTTGGTTTTCCCTGAGGCCTCTTTCTTGGCTTGTAGATGGTATCTTCTCCCTGTGTCCTCACAGGGTTGACCATCTGTGTGTGTCTGTGTCCTCATCTACTCTTCTTATAGGGACACAGTCATATGGGATTAGGGCCCATGCTGGGGACCTCATTTTAACTTAATTACTCCTAAAAGCCCTATCTCTAAAGCAGTCACATTCTGAGGCACCGGGGTTAGGACCTCTACATATGAATTCTGGGGACACAATTGGGCCCGTCACACATGGGGTGGGCTCCAAGGGAAGTTGGTGCAGTGGTCCTAGCTCTTGTGACCGCATAAGCTCCAAAGGCTTGTTGGTATTCAGACCTGAGGAATCAGAGGCCCAAGGAGGACAGGAGACACGGCTTTAGGTCCCCAGTTCTTTGTGGCAGGACTGCCTCTCACCCAGGTCTCCACTCCCAGGAGAAGACCCCTTCCACACTTGATGCCAGGCTTCTTATTACACAGACCCTACTGCCTCAAAGGCCTCAAGTGACCCCGGACTCACTCACGCCCTGCAAGCAGGGGAACTGTCAGCATCTGGCTAGGGCCATGTCAGCTGCGATGGGCTGGGGCGAGCTACAGTAAGAGTGGGGCCCGTGGAGTGGGTTCCTGGGGGAGCCCATCGTATGTCTAGCAGTTGCGGGCTTTTTGGGATGTCAACCACCTCTGCTGGGAAGGTGCTGGGCGTGGGTGGGTGGGTAAGATGCTGGCTGAGTCATCTGTGTCCCCGAAATAGGCTGTGGAATGGGGAAGCTTGAGCTGTGCACGTCTGCACCACCGAACTCTGAGTTGACCAAGGAGAGGGTGAAGCTGTGTGGGGCAGCCTTCCCTCACAGCAGAGTCCCACACACCCACCCCGACCTCTGGCACTGTGAGGCTGCTCATTTGAGCAAATTCTTCTCTCACCTGCCCTTTGAATACCAGGAGTCAACCAGCACAGCGCCCTTCTTTTTGGGCTAAGCACCCCATTCCTTCAGGCTCACTGTGTCAGCCACTTTACCTCTCTGGTGGCGTCCTCTGCACAGTCCTTAGTGTGCTCTGTTAAATGCCTGGTGGCAGGGGGTAGAATCCTACAAAAACCAGCATGAGCCAAAAGGATCCCAGTTGGCTCTTGTGACTGGAGAAGTCAAGTGGTTTCAGGGATGGCTGGATCTAGGCACTCAGGTGATGTCATTAGGCTTTGTTTTCTGTCTTGGCTCTGATTTCCTCTGAATGTTCTTTCTCTCCTTTCTCTTTGCCAGTTCACACGGGCATCTGTCACGTGGCCAGAGAAGATGGTGCGCTCCAGGCTTATGTTGTTCTCCGACCCTAGTGGAAAGAACACTCATCTGCGCCACCACCCACAGAGCAATCCCAGGGAGGACTCTGATTTGCTCTGCTTGGGTCACATGACCACCCTGAGCCAATCACTGTGTCTGCAGGAAGGAGAAAAGGAACTATGGCTGGCTGAGCCTGTCTCTGCCCACACCGAGACTGAATGTACCCAACTTAGGATCTGTTCTCCAAGGTCCCTGGAGCTGGCAGAGCTGGCCTTCAAGGCCAAAACCTCATCCTCCCTGTGCAGCCTCTTGGTGCAGCCTCCAATCAGGCCCTGGGGAGGGCAACAGCTTGGAGATGCGGCCTCTGCCTTCAGCGGTTTACACCTGGCTGGGGAGACAAAGCAACGACACAGGAAACAAAGAGTTAAAAGTTCGGCCACAGAGAAAAAGCTTAAATGAGGTGCCAATCTGCTCCCCCATGGGCTGTGGAAGGAGGGCTGGCCCAGAAAGGGGACCCCAGCAGCAAGAAGGTGGCTCCCTGGCTGTCCTCCTGTCACCCCGATGACTGGCCTACGCACGGCCAATGGGGACTGAGCAGGGGGCGTCGGGGAGGTTTTGGAGGAAGGTACCTTTGGACACCTACATGGAGGTGTTTCCCATTTTCGTATTCAACAGTCACTTACTGTGCATGGAACTGGGCCGGACCGGTGGTTCTCACCTGGCCACACAGAAGACTCACCTGGGACAGTTTTGCAAGAAGACGAAGGCCACCCACTGCCACTTTGGCGGAATCCATCTGGGTTTGTTTAAAGCTTCCAGGCGATTCTGAAATGCAGCCGCTTTTGGGAAGCACTGAGCCAGACAGACGTTGGGAGGAGGTTCTTAGACCAGGACCCGGAGACAAGAGTGTTTGCCGCCTGTCATGGTGAGCACTCAGAGGGAAGGCCTCACTGCCCCGGGGAGCTGCCAGAGCCGCTGGGCAGAGGCCCTGGTGTTGAGAGCTCATTGTCTATACCGGGGCCGGTGCGGGCACCGGGTGATCAGGAAGCAACGCGTGCGGCCCGCTAAGCCCCCGTGGGCCCTCGGAGCAGACGTGGCCTCCTCTGGCCCTCTGCGTGCAGCACAGTCCAGCTCAATAGGAAGAGAGGTGAGTTCATTCAGCCACACAGAGTGTCGTCCCCGCTCTAGAGAGTTCCAACCATGAAACAGAACGGAATTCAGGGAGCAGGAGATTGCATTCACTTACAATTTTCAGAACGTGATTCAAAGCGAAAATGGGCTTGAATAGGTCTATAAAAAGAACACCAAAGTCCCCTTAGACAGACGAAAGCATTTTGATGATTTTAGTATAAATGAATCTGGAACATAAGGATTAAATTTTTCTCACAATACTTGAGAATCCAAGATGGTGCAGAGAACAGGACTGTGAAGAATCTGACAGCTTTCCGAGACTTTTTCGACGGGAAAGACGTAGCTGAGTAAAGCTCCCAGAGAACGGGTCTCCTTTCGTTTTCCTTCTGAGAAAGGATTTTCCATTTCTTTCCTTCTCTTCACAGATGTACACGGCACCCTCCTTCATGGACAGCCTTAGCCCCTCTGTCTGGGGAGCCCCCTGCCCTCTCTGGCCTTATCTCCTTGGCTTGTCTTGCTCTGTGCCCGTTCTTATTGTACCTTGAATCTCATTCCTGGAATCTGCTCACCATCAGGTGCTGGGTGGGGGACACTCTGTATGGGTGGGGGTGGGTGGGAAGGCTGGGAGGTGGACTTTAATGTAGACATGGGGTTGTTTGGGGAGGGCTGGGCTGTCAAGGTCTGGTTTCTCCTGAGGTCTCTCTCCGGCTTGTAGACACGCATTCTCCCTGTGTCCTCACGTGATCATCCTCTGTGCATATCTGTGGCCTCATCTCCTTTTCTTATAAGGACACAAGTCAGATTGGATTAGGACTCCCCCATCTGACCTCATTTTACCTTAATCACCTCTGTGAAGACCTCATGTCCAACTGCAGTCACTGGGCAATTGGGGTCAGTTCTGAGGCTCTGGGGGTTAGGACTTCAACATGTTCATTTTGGGGGAGCATGACTGAACCCTAACACTCCCCATCAGCAAGATCCTCCCCGTCAGCATGATTTGATAGGTTGCCTGGGATAATGGTGAACATTTCTTATAGTTCTAAAATCCTAAGAGCCTGTTTCAATCTTATGACAGTGATATCACTGAATCAAAAATGAGCCTCACAGAGGAAATGAAATCTGATCTCACTGTTTCAGGAGGAGATGGTGGGATATTGTAAGTGAATTATATCCACATCTATATACACGATGATACGTGAACAGGACACAGCAAGGTCTGGTGGCGTCTTTCCATTCACCATTCTGTGAGATGCTTATGGCTGCCCTAACAAAATATCACAGACTGGTTGGCCTAAAGAACAAGAATTTATTGTTTCACAGTCCTGGAGGCTGGAAGTTCCAAATCAAGGTGGCAGGGTTGGTTGCTGGTGAGGGCTCTCTTCCTGGCTTGCAGACTGCAGCCTTCTTGCTGTGTCCTCATGTGGCTGGCAGAGGGGGAAGATGGAGAGAGAGAGAGGGAGCTCTCTGGTGTCTCTTCTTATAAGAACAACAATCTTAATAGATCAGGGCCCCACCTTTCTGACCTCATTTAACCCTAGTCACTTACTTAGAGGCCCCATCTCCAAATACAGCCATACTGTCAGGCTTTAACATATGAATCCTGGAGGGACACAAACATTCAGTCTATAACATACATCTCCTCATTTTCTCTTCCCCCTTCCTGACTGTACTTTAAACTTTACACCATCAAAATGGACATTTATAAATAGTTGGCTAACCACAGTTCAGGCTTCAGAAATTGAAACTGTGTCTGAATCTCCTCTTATAAGGATACCAGTTATATTGGATTAGGGTCATTTTCTTTTCCCCTTCCTAAGTGTACTTTTAACTTTACACCATCAAAATTGACAACATTTATAGACAGTTGGATAACCACAGTGTAGGCTTCATAAATTGAAATTGCATCTTAATCTTCTCTTCTTGTGAGGACACCAGTTTTATTGGATTAGGGCCTACCCTAAAGATTTCAATTAGTCTTGCTTTTTGGTTTTTCTTATGGTGCTTTTTTTTTTTAACATGTGAGAGATTTTTGTTTTCATGTAATTTAAACTTTTTTATCCCTTTTATATTTTTAGTCATAATTTAAAGGCCTTCCCCATTGTCTAGCTGTAAAATAATTCTTTCATGTTTTCTTGTAGCACTTTTATAATTTTTTTCCTTTACTTTTCTCATTTGAACCTTTGATCGATGTGGAATTCATCTGAGCTATGTGACGAGGTCCCTGATTGTCCTAACACCATTTGTGGCCATCTCTTCCCCATTGGTTAAGATGCCCTCTTTTCCACGTACTGAAGTGTCATGTGTATTCTGAGTCTATCTGAACTTTTTATACCTTGTCAGTGGTCTGTTTATTTCTGGTATCATACTGTTTTAATGACTGATGCTTTTTTTTTCTTTTTTTTTAAAATTATACTTTAAGTTCTAGGGTACATGTGCACAACGTGCAGGTTTGTTACATATGTATACAGGTGCCATGTTGATGTGCTACACCCATTAACTCGTCATTTATATTAAGTGTATCTCCTAATGCTATCCCTCCCCTCTTCCCCCACCCCACGACAGGCCCCGGAGTGTGATGTTCCCAACCCTGGGTCCAAGTGTTCTCATTGTTCAATTCCCAGCTATGAGTGAGAACATGTGGTGTTTGGTTTTCTGTCCTTGAGATAGTTTGCTCAGAATGATGGTTTCCAGCTTCATCCATGTCACTACAAAGGACATGAACTCATCCTTTTTTATGGCTGCATAGTATTCCATGGTGTATATGTGCCACATTTTCTTAATCCAGTCTATCATTGATGGACTGATGCTTTATAATATGTTTAAATATCTGCCAAGATTATCATACTCTTTTCTCCTCTTCTTTTTCAGGGTTTTCCTGGCTATCTTATTTATTTTTCCACATGAATTTTACCATTGCTTTGTCTGGTTAGAGAAAAAGAAGCTATTTGTATTTTCAATGGGGTCAAGTTGACTTTGAAAATTAACAGTGAGAATTGGCTTCTAGAATTTGGGTTGTTTTTCCAATTGTTTATTTTCCTTTGTGTTCTTCAATAGTTCTTAAGAGTTTTAAAAGATAGAGATCTTAAAAATTCCTTTTATGCTTATTCCTATCATTTTATCTTTTAAAAAAATTAACTGAGAAGCAGATTCTGGATTGTGTGTGGTGTGTGTGTGTGCACGTGTGTGTGTGTGAAAGCTACTGATTTTTTAATATAGTCTGCTCCCTTAGTGATGCATTTGATTGCTTATAATAGCCTTTCAATGTATTTTGGGGGGTTTTCCAGGAATATAAGGATATCACCTGCAAATACTAAGACTTTTTCTTCTTTTCCATTTTTATACTTTGAATTTATTTGCCTTTTCTGGTTGTATTTGCTAGTAATTCTGCAACAATTAAATAACAGTGTTGATAATGATTGTTGCTGTCTTAGTGGCAATACCTTTCATGTTTCTTGTATTAAGAGGAAGCTGGCTGAGATGGAAATATTTTGTTAGATTAAAGATAGTTCCATCTATTCTTTTTTATTGAGTGTTTAACCAGGAATTTTTCAAATGTTTTTCAACTATGGAAACAATCATTTGATTACCTCCCCTGAAGTCAATTAATACAATCAATTTTATTAACATATTTCCCAGTGTGAATGTAGTCTTCTTTTCATGTGCTTCTGAATTCTATTTGTTTATATTTTACTTTGGATTTTCCCCTTGATATTTATAAGAAATTTTATCCAAAGCTCCCATCAAGTTTTGGTATCAATGTTATACTTGCTTTATAAAAATAATTAAAAAAATTTTCTTCCTTGTTGTATGCTCAAGTTTTAAACAGCATTGGGATGAAAGGTTTAGGAGCTATTCCCTGTGAACCTCCTGGGCCTGGTTCCTTTTTGGGGTTGAAGGTCCTAAAATTTGCCATTAAAAACAATGCCATAATGAATATCCTTCCTATCTATGCTTGTACACTTACACGGGTTTTTCAGTTAAGCTAATTCATAGATGCATAGTTGCTATCAAAGATCAGCCACAATTTAAAATGTGATCAATAGGTCCTTATAGTCCCTATCCCTCCCATGGAGGCTGAATCAATTTGTGCTCTCTCCAATAGTGACATTGGGTATTTTCAACCTTTTTTGTCTTCGCCAATCTGACAGACAAAGCAAAAACAAAACTCAAAATTATTATATTATTGGTTTAAAAAATGCACAGTTTTTAAACCAGTTATGAGGTTGGGCGCTTTTTTATATTTTTACTGGTAACTGAATTTCCTTCTCTTTGAATTGCCTGCTCATGTCTTTCCCATAGTTTTCCAACAGGTTTCTCTCCTTTTCTTCATTGCTTTTCAAGAGCTTTTTATATAGTAGGGATCCACAAACATTCCACTGGGTCCATAATCCTAGGCCAGCCATGCGTTGTCCTGGTGGATGGACTTTATTATAAAAATTATGTAGCTGCTCTACAGTACCTAAGTTCACTCTACTGGGCAGAGGCCGAACTGCAGATGATTCAGCCTTGGGTCATGCAGAGAACTTGAACTCGTCAATCGAAGATCCAGAACTGACTTGAGGAACTTGACTCAACTATCCTGTGTCCAGTTCCAGCAAGCTCTTTATAGGACTGGAAAAAGTGTCCATGGCTAGAGAACTCCCACAGATGGGGAAACATACCACACATCCACGTAAGTCTGGTCATCAAAATTCATTTCCTGAATAGGATCAGAGGAAGCATGGCCTGTCCCTGGTTAGTTATTTGAGGGAATAGAAGGGAAAGGAGCTATTTGCAATTTTTAAAAATCAAAATTCGGCCGGGTTTTCTGTCGAGTTGTGTTTTTTGGTGCTTTGTTGATTTCTGGAGGAAAACAAAAATATGTGATCGGGATGCAAAGGAAGTTTTGGGAGACCAAGAACGGCAGGGAGGTGGCAGTTCCCGGCTGATAACCACAGCAGGGAGGGAGAGGGTGTATGTTGCCCATATGTAGTTTGCTGTAGCTTTGCAAACAGCTTTAAAAATCAAGCAAGCCATCAGGCCACAATAGTTTCAGACCCATCTTTTTGGAAGCTGCATCTCTTAGCCCAGACCCAGCCCTTGCCCATGTGTCCTGGCAAGACAGGATGTGAGGATGAGTCAAAAGGATGAATGAAACATCAGATAAAACAAGGGGAGAGAATGTGGCTCCACTGTCCAGAGCACAGACATTCCTCTGACCTGTGTCAGGCACTGTTTTTGACTTTGGGCTGACAAAGGTGTTGAGAATAACAGTACAATCATGGCAACAACCAAAACACATGCTCATTCTCTGTCACAGGCGCTACTGGGAGGCATGTCACAAACACACGCCCATTGGGTCTGCAGAATGAGGCAGGTGCTATTGAGACCTCAACCTGTAGATGGGGAAAGTAGACTTGGGGAGGTGAAGTAACTTGCCCAAGGGTGTGTGTCTGGGAAGTCTGAGCCCAAATCCGTGCTCTGTGCCACGTTGCCTCCTCAAGACAACAGGTGCATGGGTACGTCCTTGGAAGCTCAGGGTGATGATGCTGTTGAAGGCATGAAGCCATGGCTTGGAGTACCATGTGGCACCTGCTGTATGGGGAAACAGATGCTGAGGGGATCCAGAAGACTGCCTGGGATGTCAGGGAGGGCTTCACCAGACACAGGGGCAGGTGCCCAGGGATGCTTTGGGTTTTAGCAGGAAAACAGGGAGGAGGCTAGGTGGGAGGATGGCCTTCCGGTGGATTGGCCAGGCTTCTGGAAGCAATGGAGCCCATGAAAAGCGACAGCCAGGGACAGTGGGGAGGGCTGGGGTTAAAATGGCTGTAACTGGATCGGGCATGGTGGCTCATGCCTGTAATCCCAGCACTTTGGGAGGCCGAGACGGGTGGATCACCAGAGGTCAGGAGTTCGAGACCAGCCTCGCCAACATGGCAAAACTCTGTTTGTACTAAAAAAATACAAAAATTAGTTGGCATGATGGCACGCACCTGTAGTCCCAGCTACTCAGGAGGTTGAGGCAGGAGAATCACTGGAACCTGGGAGGCAGAGGTTGTGGTGAGCCGAGTTCACCCCATTGCACTCCAGCCTGGGCGGCAGAGTGAGACTCCATCTCAAATAAAATAAATAAAATAAAATAAAATAGCTGTAACTCTTCCTCAGAGAAGAGTTAGAAGAGCTGTAGGGGCTGGTGGGCCATTCAGGAGGGTCCCTTAGGGCTCCACTAAGGAGTCTGGCCACAGTGCCCCAGCAGTGGGAAACACTGCAGTTTCTTAAGCAGAGAGTGGCTTGGTCAGATTCACGTTTTTTATTTTTATTTTTGTTGTTGTTTGTTTGTCTGTTTTTGAGACAGAGTCTTGTTCTGTTGCCAGGCTGGAGTGCAGTGGCACGATCTTGGCTCACTGCAACCTCTGCCTCCCAGGTTCAAGCGAGTCTCGTGCCTCAGCCTCCCCCATAGCTTGGGACTACAGGCGCACGCCACCACGCCCAGCTAATTTTTGTATTTTGAGTAGAGACAGGGTTTCACCATGTTGGCCAGGATGATCTCTATCTCTTGACCTCATGATCCGCCTGCCTTGGCCTCCCAAAGTGTTGTGATTACAGGCGTGAGCCACCGCTCCTGTCCCAGATTCACGGTTTTAAGAGCCCATTGTGACAGCAGCCAGGGGGGAGAACTGAGGGCCACACTATGTCCTTCATAACTCACCATCTGGGCCCCATTTGGAAAAGCCTAGGCGAAGTACAGTCATTGGTTCATTGTCATGGTTCACATCCCAGCGAATCCCAGTGGAGTGGGTGCTGAGTGTGTGATACTTGGAGGAAGAGTTGTTGCAACGGATGTCAACGTGCAGGCTGAACACGGCGACATGGGCCCGATGTTCAGCAATAACAAATGCAGGCTACTGGGGAGCTTAGGGGCAGGAATCCTGCTTCTCTTAACAGAGAATGTGGCCAAGCCTCTTCCATGTCAGACTTCTCATCTAACGACATTGAGCTTTTGATATATGAACATTATTTTTAAGGCTAAAACCAGATGTCACAATTTTTCAGAGTATTTGCTAGGAATATCACCCTGACTTGTTGCAAGGGAAGTTTCCTCATTGTGAGACTGAGAGATTAAATTCTATTTTATGTGTCTGGAGGAAGCCATCTGCCTTCGGCTTTTGTTAAGGGCTTCTTTCTGCCTCCTTTACTTTCAGCATTTCATGTTTATGTGCATATGTTAAAATTTCAAGATGACGCCAAAGAACCACACTTTATTATTATTATTATTATTGTTATTGAGTCAGTGTCTTGCTTTGTTGCCCAAGCTGAGTGCAGTGATGCCATCATAGCTTACTGCGGCCTTGGACTTCTGGGTTTAAGCAGATCCTCCCACCTCAGCCTCTTGAATAGCTGGAACTATAGGTGCATGCCACTGTACCTGGCTGATTTTTTGTGGAGATGGGGTCTTGCTATGTTGCCCAGGCTGGTCTTGAACTTCTAGCTTTAAGCAGTCCTCCCTCCTCAGCCTCCCTAAGTGTTGCGATCACAGGCATGAGCCACCGTGCCTAGCCTAAGAACAAAACTTTAAATGGGACATGATGACATAGGCTGGTGGGATATGAATTGGCTAACTGGTACAGACCACCAACCACAGACAATTCTCCAAGTTCCAATGAAATGTCCCCACAGACACTGAACCATAAAGTATATGATACCAGAGATGGCACTGAGAGACAGCTTCATGTCAACATCAGAGAAGAACAGACAAAAATTTAAACCCACAGAGAGCAGTGCACTAGGTAAGGTCTGCCAAAGAAACTGGGAATTAGACTGGGAATTGATCACCTCATTTGCTTCCCTGTTTGGGAGCTGAGAAAGGAAATCCACCGAATACAATTATTTGCCTGATCATTTAAAAACATGATGCCTTTACAGATCTTGCTTTGTTCAGGGATTTTAAAAAGGAAGCAAACCAGTAAACCAACCAACCAACAAACAAACGTCCAGAAAACAAACAACAAACAAATAAACAAACAAAAAACCACCAATAAGGGGCAAAACAGGAGAAACAGAACAGTATCTAAAAGATGAGGATCACAGTCTGAAAATGTTCTATTGCAGAATCCCCCACACCCAAATAAAGATCAAGAGACTGATTGGGTTAAATCCTATGAAATTGCTATTTTTATAAGTCTAAAACAGCTCAATATAGGCAATTTCATAGGGTTCAACTTAATGTATATTCAACATAAGATATAGTTTGGCTCTGTGTCCCCACCCAAATCTCATCTCAAATTGTAATCCCCACATGTCAAGGGAGGGACCTGGTGGAAGGTGATTGGATCATCGGGGTGTTTTCCCCATGTTGTTCTGGTGATAGTGAGTTTCTCTTGAGATCTGATGGTTTAAAAGTGTGTGGCGGTTCCTCCCTTGCACAGTCTCTTTCCTGCCACCAAGTAAGACATGCCTTGCCTTCACCTTCTGCCATAATTGTAAGTTTCCTGAGGCCTCCCAGCCATGCATGACTGTGAATCAATTAAACCTCTTTTCTTTATAAATCACCCACTGTCAGGTAGTTTTTTTATAGCAGTGTGAAAACAGGCTAATACAACATATCAAAGACAGAAAACAAAATAAACAAAAAGAAATGTACACACAATCATTGACTAAAGAGACAAAATAGGGCTGAATATCTGGGTTATAATAATAAATGTAAATGGGATATACTCTTTTATTAAAAAGACTCTAAAATTCAATTATGTGCCATTTCCAGGTGATACCCCTAAAACATAGTTGCTCAAAAGGTGAAAAAATATGTAGGTAAATACATACTAAATAAATGCAAATACAAAGAAAGAAGGGGCCGAGCATGGTGGCTCCACACCTGTAATCTCAGCACTTTGGGAGGCCGAGGCAGGCGGCTCACTTGAGGCCAGGAGTTTGAGGCCAGTCCAGCCAACATGGCAAAACCCTGTCTTTACTAAAAATACAAAAAATTACCTGGGCATGGTAGCACATGCCTATGGTCCCAACTGATTGGGAGGCTGAGGCACGAGAATTGCTTGAACCTAGGAGGCAGAGCTTGCAGTGAGCCAAGAACATGCCACTCTACTCCAGCCTGGGTGACAGAGTGAGACTATGCCTCATAAAAAAAAAAAAGTCACAATATTAACATTGGCCCAAGTAAAATTCAATAGAAAAAAACAGAAGCAGAACAAAGAAGGTAATTTTATTTTTACTTTTATTTATTTATTTATTTATTTTGAGACAGGTCTTGCCCAGGCTCGACTTGAACTCCTGGGCTCGAGTGCTCCTCCTGCCTCAGTCTCCCAAGTAGCTAGGACTATAGGTGCTTATTATTGGCTATGTTTATGGATGATAAAATTCAAAATAAAGATATACTGACTTAAGTTTCTTGGTGATAGATAATTATGCCCTAAATATATATAATGTAAACATGGTTAGAAATATAGGGAGAAATGGAGAGAAATCCATCGAGGCCCCAAATCTTCTTTTCATCATTTGATTTTCAAAAAACTATGAAAGGCAAAACCTTTTCTTAAGCCTGACCTTAGCTAGGGAGTGAAACTGGACTTGAACTGTTAGGAGGCTATTTATAGTCTTATCTCACTCAGTGTGGATATTTGTGTATTTCACTGAAGAAACATCACTGGATTTGATTATGGGGTCCTGCCTCTGATCTGTCTGGGGGCTTTACATAGAATGCCCTATATTACTTTTCTAAAAACTAGAACACTCTGAGTTTTGATTTATAGCCTGCTCCAGTGGATAGGGTAAGCGCTTGTGGGCCTGTGCTAAAGATATCTTGAACATACTTCTCTCAGTCTTTGGCCTATGCAATAGGCAAAAAATAGAGTATACAACATAGTCGTAACTAAAATAGGTAAAATTATAATTAATAAACGCCTTTATGTGTGTGTGTTTATTACCTTACCAATTGAGAATGCACATTTTCTGGCTCTTATTGTAACAGTTTTATGTTTATATAAATCACACTCTATGATACCAAAGCAATAAAATCAGAAATTTACAACCCAACCATGTGGTTTTAAAAAGCACTCTTCTAAATTAGGTCAAAGCAGAAGTAAAAACTGAAATTACAGACATCCAAATTTATGGGATGTGGTCAAGGTTGAATTTAGAGACATATTAAATGCTTTCATTATTAAGGAATAAAAAAGGAGAACAAATAAGAACGAGAACAGGGACTCTGCCACAGAGGTGGAGAATTTACACAATTACAAAGAAGCTGTGGAAGACCCACGGCTGATAAATGGCTTCATGTTTACTGGGTGCCTATGATGTGGCTACTATTGCCTAGAAAAATACAACTGGCAAAATTTCTGAATTAAGGAGGGGTTGAAAACCTGAAAAGACAAACATCCATAGGAGAAATTGAAAAGTTATCAAAGAATTGTCCTCCAAGAAGGCTGAATTCCATCAAGCCCTCAAGTTATCAGTCATCCCTATACGATGTAGACCACTCTTACTGAAAAACAGGATGAAGAGTTTCACTATTCACACCACAGAAAACTGCAGACATACCTAATTTGTAAACATAGATTCATAAATTCACAACATAAGATTTCAAATAAAATAATGCAAAGTCCAACAGAATATTTGAAGGCATAGAGCATAAACAGTCAGGTTTTATTCAAAGAAAGGGAGCAGGGCTCAGTATTAGACAATCTACTAATAATTCCTCTCATTAATGGGCCAAAAGGAGGAAAAATCCCTGCTATCATTTGAATAATTTCCAAAGAGACATTTTATAAAATTCAATATTTATTTCTGATTTGAAAAGAAAAGGAAATTCTTAGTAAGTGAAGACCAGCAGGATACTTCCTTGCCATGATGAAAATATCCATTTGAAACTAGCAACCACCTTTGTACTCAGTGACCGACCACTAAACACATTTCCACTAGAGTCAGAGACAGGGCAGAATGCCTCGCTGTTATTGCTACAAGTTCCTACAGAGATGTAGTTTTAGTAAGGAGGAGACAAAATATAATTATTTTATCTATGTATAAATCCTAGAGCACTCACGGAAAACTTACTAGGCTGTATTGCAGGATAATTCAGAAGGTGGCTGGTTAGAAAGTAATTATACAAAAATCAATAACTTCCTTATACACCAACCAGAGCCACGTAGGAAATATAATACAAAATAAAGACATTCACAATAGCAACCCAAATTATAAAATCCCTAGTAATAAATTAAACAATGTAGTGGGTACTTTTAAGCGTCCACTTGACCAGGTTAAGGGATACTCAGACAGTAGTAAAGCATTATTCCTGGGTGTGTCTGTGAAGGTGTTTCCAGAAGACATTGGCGTTGGAATCAGTGGATTGTGTAAAGAAGATTGACCGTCACGCAGTGTGAGTGGGCACCATCCAATCCATTGAGGGCCTGGGTAGAACAAAAAGACAGAGGAAAGGTGAATTCCTTCTTTCTCTTGGAACTGGGACACACTTCTTCTCCTCCCTCTGACATCAGAGCTCCTGCTGTTAATACTTGGACCTTCACACCCAAGATTTACACCTGTGCCCCCCCACCACCCCCCGCTGCCAGTGCCAGGTTCTCAGGGCTATGGCCTTGGACTAAGAGTTACTTGGTGGCATGAAACAACAAAAAAATTATTCTCTAGTGGATCTGGAGACTGGAAGTTCAAAATCAAAGTGTCAATTGCCTCTTTCTGAAGGTTCTCAGGGAGGATCCTTCCTACCTCTTCCAACTTCTGGGGGCTCCTGGCATTCCTCGACTGTGGCCGCATTGCTCCAGTCTCTGCCTCTTCTTCACATGGGCTTCTCCTCTGTGTCTGTGTTTCATCTTCTTATAAGGACACCAGTTATTGGATTAGGGCCCACCTTACTCCAGCATGACCTCATCTTAATTTAACTAATTACATATGCAAAGGGCCTGTTTCCAAATAAGTTCCTATTCACGGGTACCAGAGATGAGAACGTCAACATATCTTTTTGGGGGACACAGTTCAACCTGCAGCACCATCTAAGCAGCAGATCACTTATTTGCTTACTTTTTCCACACCTGGTAAGTTTGGTTGTATTGCATGGACAGAGCATAGGCTGTGTCTGAAGCTGCAGCATTCTTTTGGAGGACCTTCAATGAAAGAAATGGTCTCATAAGATCTCCAGTAGCCTGAGATTTTATGACTCTGTGAAGAGGAACACTCATGGCTTCAGAGAGCAATTTAAGGGAGAAATGGGTCCCATGTCCTTCACGTCATGGGGTAGGAACCTCAGGGAGGCTGACTGGGGCCAGATCTACTCTTGCTGAAGGACCCCACTCCCGAGAGGTCCAGAAGTTGGTGTGGCCATCATGTCAGGGTTCAGACAATGCCTACAGCACATGTTATCAAAACCGTGCTTGTGAAAGCACGTGGCTTGAGATGCTGGGAAAATTGGGCCTGAGTTATCTGACCCTAGTCAGAGCCACTTCAGGAGGTGATCAGTGGCCATTTTATAAAAGACCCATGAATGACCCATTAGGGACAGGTGTCAAGTTAAAACCCAAGGTGAGAAGGGTGATCGAGGATGCTTTCACAGGGCATCTCATAACAACAGGACACCTGCACAATTAGAATAGATTGTTAGGTTCATCACTAGAACGTCATCATCACTATCATTAGGCTATCATAAGAATCCATGTGATTAGAATATATTATTAGAATTATCCACATGATTAGGATTTATCAAATGCTACTAATGATAAAATAATGTGATTCCTTTTTTAAACAAATATATTCTTTAACAAAACAAGTCTTTGCAGTCATCCAAGGGGGATACACACCTATTCTACAAGACAGCCATTGCCCAGGCTTGCCGAATACACCTGGTGATCCTGAATAGATGGTGGTGGGTGCCTATTTTCCCAAAAAGAAGCTTCAAAAGGAGTTTGAGTAATGAGCAATGAGCCTGAACACATGAACTTTCAGGGACATATATGAAATTGTGAGACATCTACTTACCTAGTCCAACTCACTGATCTAGTTGCACATACACACATTTACAAGTACATATCACATGAAATGCTTTGATGTAGACATATTGCTTTTCCCATCTCACATATTATGACATGGTTTTATGGCAACACTTTGCAGAGTGCAGCTCTTCTCCTGTCTGGGCTAGCTGGCACCTGTCCACTCATTCAGGGAGCTACTCCCGCAAAGGTGGGGCAAGTGCTCTCTCATTTCTTTTATAGGTCTGTAGTGGAGACCCCACAACAAGTGGTCTTTAAAAGACTCGGGCTGGGCATGGTGACATGCAGCTGTCGTCCCAGCTACTTGGGAGGTTGCGGGTGGGAGAATCCCTTGAGCCCAAGAGTTTGAATCCAGCCTGGGCAACATAGTGAGACCCCATCTATAAAAAACAAAAAGTACTTGGACCTCTTATACTGGACATTTACAGTTATGAAGTCATGATCCAAGGGAGAATTCTAAGGCTATGCTAGATGTCCTCACTTCTCGATGGCACCTTTCATAGGCATTGAGAGTCTCCAGAGACTGAGGTTGCTTCTGCTACTGCATCTCTTTCAGCTAGGAGTACATTCGATTGCTTGTAATAGAAAGTCCAAAGTAAGTGTGTCTTATAGAGCATAGAAGTTTCTTTGTCTTTCTCATAAAAGAAGTCTGGAGGTGAGTAGTCTGAGGTTGTATGGGGTCTTCACAGGCACCAGGGACCTTGCTCCTTCTTCAGTCTTTCAACTCTACCATCCTAGTGTGCCATTTCCCCTCCCGAGAACAGCTCATGGTCTAACCTGACTGCTGGAGTTCAGCCATCACATCTGAGTTCCAGGCAGCAGAAGGAAGAAAGGAGCACAGCTCCCATCTGAGTTAGCTGCCTTGAGAGAGAGTCCCTGGAACCCCACCCAGCACTTCTGCTTATGGGTCATTGGCCTGGACCTACTATGTGGCCACATCTGGCCAAAAGAGAGTCTGGGAAAATAAAATCTCCAGTAGCCTGAGACTTTATGACTCCATGATTCGTGGCTTCCCAGAGTGATTTAAGGGAGAAATGGGTCCTGCGTCCTTAACATCTTGGGATAGGAACCCCAGGGAGGCTAAGAGGGGCCAGGTCTACTCTTGCTGAAGGGCCCCACTCCTGAGAGGTTCAGAAGTCAGTAGGTACGTTTGCTACGAGTGATGAACCAACCGTGGCACATTATTATTTGCTGAAGTCCACAGTCTTTTAGCAGGGTATGTTGCTGCCCCAAATAAAATTGAATTTCTCTTACTCAAGAATTAGGAAAGGACAAACACCAGGCAGGTAACTAGTATCTTTACCCAACATCTTCCAACCATGTTTCTTTTTTTAAAAAAAAATTGACTTCATCAAAGAAGATATACAGATGGCAATTGGCTGGGTGTGGTGATGGGTGCCTGTAATCCCAGCTACTTGGGAGGCTGAGGCAGGAGAATTGCTTGAACCTGTGAGGCGGAGCTTACAGTGAGCAGAGATTGTGCCACTGCACTCCAGCCTGGGTGACAGAGCGAGACACCATCTCAAAAAAAAAAAAGATACATAGATGCCAAATAAGCATATGAAAAGATGCTCAATATCATACGTCATTAGGGAACTGAAAATTAAAACAGCAATGAGACACCACTAGATACCTAATAGGGTGGCCGAAATCGAAAACACCAAATGCTGGCAAGGATGTGGAGCAACAGGAACTCTCATCACTGCTGCTGAGAATGCAAAATGGTGCAGCCACTTTGGAAACCAGTTTGGTGGTTTCTTATGAAACTAAACACACTCTTTTCATGTGATCCAGCTATCATGCTCTTTGGTATTTACCCAAAGGAGTTGAAAACTTATGTCTACACAAAACCTGCACACAGATGTTTAAAGTCGCCTATGCATGATTGCCAACACTCGGAAGCAACCCAGATGTCTTTCAGTAGGTGAAGAGACAAATGAACTGTTGGCTCAATGGCTCACACCTGTAATCCCAGCGCTTTGGGAGGCCGAGGCAGGCGGATCACCTGAGGTCGGGGGTTCGAGACCAGCCCGACCAACATGGAGAAACCCCATCTCTACTGAAAAAACAAAATTAGCTGAGTGTGATGGCACATGCCTGTAATCCCAGCTACTCAGGAGGCTGAGGCAGGAGAATCACTTGAACCCGTGAGGTGGAGGTTGCAGTGAGCCAAAATTGTGCCATTGTACTACAGCCTGGGCAACCAGAGTGAAACTTCGTCTCAAAAAAAAAAAAAAATAGCAATGAGCTGTCAAGCCGTGAAAGATGCAGTAGAACTGTAAATGTATCTTACCAGGTGAAAGAAGACAATCTGAAAAGACTGCACACTGTGTGATTGCAACTCTGTAACTCCAGGAAAGGCAAAACTATGGAGACAGTAAGATGACGTGTGGTTGCCAGGGGCTCGGGGGAGGAAGGAATGAATAGGTGGAGCGCAGGGGACTTAGAGAACACAAGTTCTTATTTCCAATCTGTGCTTGGTTGAATTGGTGGATGAAGAACCTGCGGATACAGAGGGCTGACCGTATTGCATATGACACAGTAAAGATGGATACATGTCATTGTACTACCGTCATAACTCACAAAACCGGCCAGGCACAGTGCCTTACACCTGTAATCCTGGCAATTTGGGAGGCCAAGGCAAGTGGATCACCTGAGGTCAGGAGTTTGAGACCAGCCTGACCAACATGGTGAAAACCCATCTCTACTAAAAATACAAACATTAGCTGGGCATGGTGGCAGGTGCCTGTAATCCCAGGTACTCAGGAGGCTGAGGCAGGAGAATCACTTGAACCCAAGAGGCAGAGGTTGCAGTGAGCCAAGATCGTGCCACGCAACCCAGTCTGGGAGACAGAGCAAGACTCCATCTCAAAAAAAATAAAATCAAAAATTAAAAAAAAAACCCACAGAATGCATGACCCCAAGAGTGAACCCTACTGTAAACTGTGGACTCTAGCAAATAATAATGTACTGCGGTTGGTTCATCACTTGCAGCAAATGTACCAAATCAATGCAAGATGTTAGTGATAGGGAAAGCTGGAGGAGGGATGAGGGAGTAGACGGGAATTCTCTGTACTTTCTGCTCAATTTTTCTGTAAACCTAAAACGGCTAAAAAATTGTCTATTAAATATAAAACAAAATATCGAGAGGGAGACCTATAACATGAGCGATCTGGTAAGGACTCCTTTATAAGGGGGGTCTCTCTTTTCCGAGGGTAGATTCTGGGACAACGAGGCAGCCTTATACAGGGTGTACGTCCTGAGCACACTCTTCAGAGGTGGTCACTGCTTTTAGGACTGATCAGCAGGAGGTATGCAGCTCTGTGCAGAGAAGGTTATGCGGCTGGGTGGGGGAGCCACTTTTGATGTGTGATAATAAAGTCACGGGAAGAATTTCCTAGCATGGCTAAGTATCCCATGAGCAGTGCCCAAATTGCTCTGAGCCAGGCTTGGCATCGGGATCTCTAATCGGACTTCTTTGCAGAGTGAGCTCTCATGTGTTGGACCCAGGCCAGTCTCATTACTGTGCCCTGAACCCCACACTCGGTGGCCCCATTCTTCTAAGATTCTGCCACTGTCCCACCAGCAGGAAGGAAAGAGCTTGGGTTTGCTTTGCAAGCAGTGAATGGATTTAGGCTGTTCTGCAATCAGTCTCTCTCCAGTTCCTCTTGGGGCCAACTGCAAATACCCGGAGATGGCCGGGCTGGGAGGGCAGCCCTGTCCTGGCTAAGGTCAGAGTCAGGGTACCTTGGCCAGCCAGGCTCTGCCCAAAGTCACCGGGTCAGGTGTGCATCTTGAAAGGTTCACAGGTAGGGCTGGGTCCTCTGCTCTGGAGCTCACAGATGTGCAACCTGCCCTGCTCCAGTCTGAAAAGGGGAAGGAATGTGCTTGGGCCTCCCCACCCCCCGCAACCAGCCTGGCACTGATAAGAAGCACAGAGGAGCTGGAAGGGTCCCTGGAGGAAACAGGCTGGAAGTGTGCGGTGACTGACCCAGGGTCACGCATCCAGGAGAGCTTGGCCTGGGCAGACCACGAGCCCACTGCCTTCCCAGGACAGCCCCACAGCTGGCCAGACACTGCCCGCTCAGCCGAAGCGATTCTGTGTGCTCATACAAGTGACCTTTCTACCTCTGGAATACCTGAAAACCAGGCGGACAAAGACACTAAAGCCCACAAGAGTCAGTATCTCCCGCCGCTTAACGCCTTGGGCGTTCTAAATTCCTTCCACCTCCACCACCACCACTTCTCCTGGGCCTGGGAACCCTCCGGGGGGTGTGGGTCCATCCCACATATCTCAGAGACCTTTGGGCAGCCGTCCTGGAAGAGGGACAGGCTGGAGGAAGGTCTCAAAGCTCAGTCAGTGTGGGGAGAGAGAAAGGGAGAGAGACATAGGGAGAGGGAGACAGTAGAGAGAGACAGAAAGAGGGAGATGGAGACAGACAGAAAGAGGGAGACAGAGAGAGACAGAAGGAGACAGAGACAAGGGCAAAGAGACACAGGAGGGAGACACAGAGAGAGACACACAGAGAGAGGGAGACAGAAGGGCAGAGAGAGACAGAGAGGGGAAGATGGAGTCAGAGAGGGAGAGGCAGAAAGAAACAGAGAGAGAAACAAGGACAAAGAGACACAAGAGAAAGACACAGAGAGAGAGACGTGGGACACGGGGAGACAGAGAGAGACAGAGGGGGAGACAGCAAGAGACACATTGGGATAGCAGTAGAGAGAGACAGGGAGACAGAGACAGAGAGAGACAACAACAGAGAGACACAGAGAGAGATGGAGAGGGAGAGACAGGTGATTGAAAGCATCAACTCTTCAGGACTTGAGTAAAGAAACCACGGAGACCCAGCCCCCACCAGGCTGTCAGTCTTGATAGGGTGCCCCCAATGTCCTAGCCGCACCCACTGCCTCACACCCCTGAGGAATATAAACACCTCCAAGGCTGTCCCCAACTTCAAGTGGCTTTGGTCTGACCAAGGTCCAGGGGGGACACACAGAGCAATGAGCGTCTCTCCCTGTAGAAATGGCCTGGACCCGCAGCTTGGTGGGAAGAGGCAGGGCGCCCAGGCTGGTGAAGGAGGCCCTGAGTTCTCGCCCTCGCTCTGCGACCCTGGCCTACCTCTGACTTCCCTGGGCCTCGGTGGTCTTGATGATGAGACATGAGGCTGTTGGCTTGGGGGACAAGGTAGGTGCAGACGGGAGCAAAAGCAGGTGATGGGATAGTGGGGGCAGGAAGCCGTAGGCTCAAGCCGGGTGAAGGGAGAGTTGCAGGGAGTCGGGGACACCTGGGGGTGACACAGGACAGCCGGACCCTGAGTGGATGGTGGGAGGGAGGGTGGGGGCAAGGCCTCCCTCCAGCCACGTGGTTCTCAGCATCTGAATGCACTGCACTTCTGCCACCTCGGTGCTGGGGCAGACTTGATGAGGCCTGGGGTGATGGGGAAAAGCCAGACTCCCAGGCCTCAGCAACAGGTACAGCCAGGAGTAGGGCCCTGGGAACAGAGCTGGGCCGGAGCATGGCCCGTTGGCTTTGTGGACCTGCCACCTCCCTGTCTCTGGGCTGGGCTGGGCTAGGCTTGGCTGGGCTTGGCTGGGGAATCCACCCTTGAGCTGCTCAGCCAGGAAGCCCCCAGACTCACATTAACAGAGGGAGGCACACACGGTTGAAATTTCAGTCAAAACCACCTAAAGCTCTCCAGTGGGTTTTTCTAGACCTTATAGTTGAATTTCCATAACATCTTTACTCTTTCCAAGCGCGGCAGAGCCGTGGGCCTCGTTCCCGGCCCCTGCATTCTCCCCATGGTGCTCTGAAAGCTTCTTATCAGTCGCCTTTCCAGGGCTGGTGGTGGCTTCTGTCTCAGTGAACTCAGCTACCAAGGGACCCCTGATCCAGGCAGGTGGTGCTGCTCTCCTAAGCCAATGGGAAATGCATGGATTATTTTTTCCCTTCCTCCCAAGTGCAGATACCAGCCCGCTTAGGACCCAGGACTTTGCTGCCTGGCCCTAGTACCAAAGAGCTGGCTTATTACCTGGCAAACACAGAGTATTTGAAGGAGAAAAGACTGTGAATCGCTGTTGGATGCCAGAGCCTTTGCATGCAAGAGCTTGGCAGCCTAAAACAGTAAAAACATATTGCATTCCTTCCAGTATTCCTTCGTTGGATACTGCAGAGAACAATTTTAATGTGTAGCTACCCTTTTCTGCATTCTTCAGAAGTTAAAGTCTTAATTAACAAGATGGTCGCATCCATAAGCATCTCAGGGGTGTGCCCAGCTTAAGACTGGAAGACTCAAAGAAGCGACATAGAGTACAAGTAGAGTTCTGATGGTTGGAGTCCTCCCAGGACCCTCAGAGTCACCCAGTGAAAGCCACATGGATGATAAGTGTCAAATTCCATAGGAAAAATAAGGCTGGTGAGCAGATCATAACCAATGTGGTCAAGTCTTTCTTTGCTTTTCAAGGGCCTTGAGCTAAAACTCAAACACAGAAGGCCCTTCCTGACCCCATTTTTAGCCTCACCCTTAGTCCCCCGCCCTCAGCCTGAACTCCAGCCAGTTGTGGGCACCTAACTGAGCAAGACCTCTTCTGCTGCCTCACCTTGGGTGCCAATTTCTCCCCCTTGGATTTCATGGCTCCTCTTCATCACTGGACTGAGTCCTACCTTCCTAGGGTCTCCTCAACTGACACCTCCTCCAGGAAGCCCTCTAATATCCATGGAAGGTGTGGTCCAGGCCTGCCTCAGTGTGGCTACGGCACTCCAGTGTGTCTTCCCAATATCTCTTCCCTCCCTGACCTGCGATTGCCTTCACTTCTGTGTTTGCACACAGGACTGGATTTCAGTACAGCATGAGCAGGCACCTTGGGCATGGTTGACCTTTCCTAAACCGTTTGTGAGACAGATCTTGAAGTCAGAGCTACTTGGAGGCCGCTGGCAGGGTGGTCCCACCTTTTCCTGAGCCCCCCACCCTGGAGACCTGCATGCACACACACGTGTGCTGTGTATATTTGGGAGGACCAGGTGGCAAAGCGTGCAATGGGAGAAGAGACAGCAGCATGTGTGGGGGCCCTGAGGTGGGGACAAGCTCATTGTCTTGGGGGTCCCAGCCCAGGCAGCAGGAGGTTGGAGAGCTGGCAGGAGCGAGCTGATGTTGCTGCTGGGTTCATGGGGACCAGAGCTTGTGTGAGTATGTAACAAACACCATTGGTGCCTGCCCAGATCCCCTTTTTGAGTGAGGGCATCCACCTCCCAGTTGCTGAGGGTCTTGGCTGTCAATGGCACCTGGTGGGTGCTCTTGGGAGCCCCCGATCTTGCTGCCCAGGCAGTTATGGAACACCCCACCTCAAGGGGCAGCCCACACCGGTGACTGCTGGAGGTGGATCAAAGGCTGGCCCAGCCTCGGCGCCAGTGGTGCAGTGGGACTCATGCCCCTGAGCTGCCCTGAGCATTGGGCTAGGGGCAGCCTTTTGCTGAGGCCAGAGCCAGGCCCAGTTCCTCCTCTTGCCTCACCCTGCTGATCCCTCCCAGCAGCTTCCCCAGGAGCCCGCACTCCACAACTCTACTTTGGGCTTGGTGTCCAGAGAGCCTGGTCTCACCCAGGCCACATGTGCCTTGTGCCAGGTCTGACGTCCCCACGTGCTGATGGCTGCCCCTTGGGTAGACAGGAGAGCCCGGAAGATGTGACCCACTGCAGCACTTCCAACAGCGCCCCACCCCCCACCCATCTATCCACCTGGACAGGACGTCCAAGTGTGACATCTCTTCCGAGAAGCAGCCAGATTGTGGTATTTCAAAAGGGGTGTTTTCAAAAATTAAAAGCAACCTAAATGTCCATCATCAAGTGAATGGATAAACACAGTGCCGTCCATCCACATAGAGGAATGCTGTTCAGCAATTGAGGGGAACAAACTAAGGCTGCATGCCACAGCAGGATGGATAGAAAACATTTTGCCCAAGAGAGAAAAGCCCACCACAAGAGACCACACGTTGCGTGATTCCATTCAGATGAAATGTCCAGAAAAGGTAAATCTATAGGGGCAAAAAGGAGCTCAGTGGTTGGCTAGGCAGGGGTGGGAGGTGGAGTGGGTACAGTGGGAATTACCAGTGAGGAGCAGGAGGAACCTTCTTGGGGTGATGAATGGCCCTGCAGCTATATGTTGATGATCGCACCGCTTGGTAAATTTACAAAGACATCATTCACTGGCACACTCAAAACCAGTGAATTATATGATATATAACATACACCCCAATCAAGTTATTTCCACTCCCATAATGGTTCTTATTCCTGGATGAAGGATTTTCTGGGTGTGAGTCTTTGTACAAGACCACCAACATCCCTATATTTTTGTTTTCTTCGGTAAGAGGCAGGTAAAGTCCTTGGCATCAAATATCTGGTTTGCAAAAGCGTTATGAAATTTTGGAAGTTGATCACACAACATGAAAGGTCCTCATTATTTGTTGTTTCTTTGGCTCAGACCCACAGCCAAAACTCTCAACACAAGCAAGAAGTTGTACTCACCATCCGTAAAGGCAGGTCTTTTGGGAACGTGGTTTGTTTAAAGATGATCATCCTCAAAAAATCACTAGACCTTTTTTCTTAGAGCAGAGTTCCTCAGACCTCTTGGGTCAACATCATATGAAAAGCTGGTTAAAAACACAAATTCATGACCCCTGCTCAGACTCAATGAATCAGAACTGCTGGGGCAGCCCAGGAACTTGCATTTTCATTGCTGCCCTGAAAGTCCTTATGTTCAGTATAGGAATGGGGTTCCCATGTGGCAGAAGCCTTTGGCCCAACTTTGCAAAATAAGCCTGGCTGTGGCTGTTGGAGGCTGACTACAGAATAATCCTTAAGCTTGCTAAGTCAGATTGAAAAAGCACATTTGCTATCCAAGGAGCACATTTTGCACTGAGGATCAGGAGGGGTCTGGGAAACCCAACTGTCTAAGTTGCAGCCCCATGAACCTGTGGATCCCGATGACCAAACCCAGGAATCCCCAAGAGCATTGCTTTTGTAAGTAATTTGCACCTTCACCGGGATCTCAGCTGAGCTGGTTTAAAGGTTGCAAATTCTCCTGGTCCACTAGTCACAGGGCCTCGGGACATGAGAGTAGATACTCTGTTGGGTTTTGACCAATTCTTTGGCTTCAAGGCCACCGAACTCCGTGACAGTGGACTGATTCTCATAGGGAACTGGGGTCTAGTCATCACGATATTGCCACAGAAACTCCCACTTCCCACAGGCACATGTGAAATGGGATCGTTGAGAGCCCAGTGGAGGAAATGGAAAACACACAGCCTCTGGGGGTGCCCACTGGGAGTGCCCCTTGGGCATTAGCAGTAACTGGAAAAAAGGCTGAAAAGGTGTTTTTTGAGTGGGCGGTTGGTGGGAAGTGAGGATGGGATCCCCCCAGGAATGAGAGAATGCACACAGGTGGGTTTCCTGAGGTGCAGATGCCCCTGAATTAAAGAGAAGCAGCACTTTAAACTAGGAGCTGGCAGGACCACGTGCTTATCTCCAGCTACTCAGCTCTGGAGTCCTGGGCAACTGTCCTTAGAGTCTGGCAAGGGGAGATGAGGCAGGCGAGGAGAGTCAGAATTCTCTGGCTATCTCTGTACTGATAGGTTGACCAGGATCCTGCCCCAGGCATCCCCTCTGAGAGCAGGAGATAGATGGATAGATGGCCACGGTCCTGCCTAGGCCTGGACCTGGCCCTCCGTCCTGTCCTACAGCATCCCCTAACCCACAGCAGGAATGTAAGACGTGACTTCCTGGCAGCCCCTGCTCTCTCACATCCCTCCAAAAGGCAGGAGGCAAGCCCAAAGCCCAGGGCCCCCAAGAAGGGCTGGAAAAGACTCTCTGGGACATTGGAGCAGGTTGTCACAGCAAGGGCATTACAGAGGGGCCGTATCTTCCAGCCTGCCTCCACTGGGGGCCCTGAGCCCTACTCAAGGGGAGGAGTAGACCAGTAGACCGTGAATTCAACAATCCTGGTGCATGTGCAGAAGCTGCCGCCAGATGGGTCAGAGGAGGGTGTGGGCGAAGCAGATTTGCAGGGGAGGATCGGGAGGCCTGTCCGTGGATCGTATATGGGGAGACGCCAACTGGCATGTGGGAAGGGAGGGCTAGGAGGGAGGTGCGAGGTGAGAGCTGTTGGCCTGTGGATGGTGTTCAAAGCCATTTCCACATCAGCGTGTCCTCAGGGTTCCAAGACAATGCCCATAACCCGTCCCTGCCCAGGCAAGAAGAAGGGGACAGAGACAGGGGTTACAGGCTAAGCCAGTGGTGCCTTCCTTTTCCTGGGAGCCCCACCGAAGGGTGGCTACTTCCTTGGCTTTGCCCAGAACTGGCTCCCAAGGCCACAGGAGAGTGGGGAAGGTGCACATTTGCGCCCACAGGGAGCCTGTGTGTGTGGCGCTCAGGGCCTTATTGAAAACTAACAGCAAAAATAAACGCTAACCCTAGGACCACAGAAGCTGGGATCACGAAGTCTCAGAAACGGGTTTTTCAGCATGCACACTGCTGGCATTTGGGGCTGATGATTCTTGGTAGAGGGGACGGTCCAGTGCCTGGCGGGGCTGGGGGGCTCTGCAGCCTCCTGGCTTCCCCACCGCTGGATGCCAGTGTCAACCTAACCACAAGATTGGGACAACCAAAAACATCTCCAGATACAGCTGAAGATCCCCTGGAGGGCGAAACCACCCCCCAGTTAGAACCACTGCTTTGAAGAATCAGAGGGAATGGTGTATTAAGTTTTATGTGACTACAATAGTTTATGAGGTGTTCTTCCATGCGTCCATCTTTGTTTTGTCCTCTCTGCAGCGGGGAGAAGTGGGGATAGCCACACCATGGAGCATGAAAAATATCCCAGAAATAGTTTTCAAAATAAAGCAATTACACACACACAGACACACACACACAGTTTTCCACATGCAGTGCACACACACACACAGGTTTCCATATGAAGTGTGCACACACACACAGAGGTTTCCATACACAGTGCACACACACACAGGTTTCCACACGCAGTGCACACACACACACACACACAGATTTCCATACGCAGTGCACACACACACACACACACAGAGATTTCCATACGCAGTGAACACACACACACAGGTTTCCATACACAGTGCACACACACAGACAGGTTTCCACATGCAGTGCACACACAGGTTTCCATACGCAGTGCACACACACACAGGTTGCCACATGCAGTGCACACACACACAAAACAGGTTTCTATATGCAGTGCACACACACACACAGGTTTCCATACTCAGGGCACACACACACAGGTTTCCATATGCAGTGCACACACACACAAACACAGGTTTCCACATGCAGTGCACACACACACAAACACAGGTTTCCATATGCGGTGCACACACACACAAACACAGGTTTCCATATGCGGTGCACACACACACAAACACAGGTTTCCATATGCAGTGCACACACAAACACAGGTTTCCGTATGCAGTACACGCACACGGATTTCCATACGCAGTGTACACACACACACAGGTTTCCACATGCAGTGCACACACACACAAACACAGGTTTCCATACACAGTGCACACACACACCAGTCTATAGTGCTTGGATGAAATCCCCCTTTCTCGAGTCTGAGTTCTTTGTTTGCTCTTAGCCAATGTGAGTTGCTCTGCAGGCACCTTTGATGTTGGGCACTAGAAGACCCAGCCGGAAACAGTTTCAGCCGCTGAAACTGTTGACCCCACTGTCCTCACTGAGTTTGTCTGTCTGAACAAGTGGGGCCTGTTCCCTGCACTGAGACCTCTTTGTGTGGAGTATTTCGTGACGTGACCAGGTGTAGCCCATGATGGCCAAGCGAGGGTGGTTATGTGATGGGCAAAGTCTGCCAGGAGGACATGCCAGCCACCTCCAGGGCTGGGGTTGCAATCGGAGGGCATGGAGGGGCCCTCGAGGAAGGGCTGAGGAAATACCAGCTGCATGACCCACAGGTTGCAAGTACGGGTGGACATTCCTGACATTTCCAAGAGCTGCACAAACCCTTGGGCAGCCTGGGGCCACGGATAGGGGCGCTGCAGCTGGAAACAGCTCAGTCTGGGACCACAACACCGGGTCTGGGGTCTCCAGTCTCCAGGGTGCAAGTCCTACCCTAAGGGCCAGGTGTGTGGCCGCTGTCCTTCCTGCTCTCAAGAACTTTCACCAGTCAGAATATTTGATTCTTCAAATTTTATGCATGCATGCATTGGATAAACTTATAAAACTTCAAACATTTGGCCAGGCGCAATGGCTCACACCTGTAATCCCAGCACTTTGGGAGGCCAAGGCAGGCGGATCACTTGGGGTCAGGAGTTCAAGACCAGTCTAACCAACATGGTGAAACCCTGTGTCTACTAAAACAATACAAAATTAGCCAGGTGTGGTGGTGCATGCCTGTAATCTCAGCTACTTGGGAGGCTGAGGCAGGAGAATCACTTGAACCTGGGAGGTGGAGGTTGCAGTGAGCCAGGATTGCGCCACTGCGCTCCAGCCTGGGCAACAAGAGCAAAACTCTGTCTCAAAAAAAAAAAAAAATTCAAACATTTTACAAAGTCAATCAACACAAAATTACTACCCAAGTAGCCCTTGTTTGTCTCAAAAGATCAGAAAATAAAGTGAGCAGAAGGACAGCCAACTGGAATCACAGCACACAGAGATGGGCTGCCTTTACATGGGGGCTTGGAGTCCAGGTTCTATGCAGAAAGATACATATTTCCTTTAAAAAGTGAGATAATTCAATATGCATTTTTTTGTAAGATGTATTATTTTTTAAAAATTAATAGTCTTTATTTTAGAACATTTTATTTCTTAAAATTTTATTTTTAATTGACATAATCATTGCAGATATATTTATGGGGTACAATGTGATGTTTTGATATGTTTACAGGGTGGAATGATTAAATCAGGCTAATTAACAAATTCATAACCTCATATACTTACTACTTTTCTTTGTGATGAAAACATTTAAAATCAACTCTTTTGGTAGTTTTGGAATATCCAGTGCATGATTAGTTATTATAGTCCCCAGTCTACGTAATTGATCCCTAAAGCTTACTCCTCCTGTCTAACGAAAACTGTATGGCCTTTGATCAACACCTTTTTGCCTCATCTATGCCCCATCGGCCCCCAGCCTCTGGTACTCATCATTCTACCTTCTGCTTCTATGAGTTCAACTTTGTTTTTTTTTTCCCCTCAAGATGGAGTCTTGCTCTGTCACCCAGGCTGAAGCGCAGCGGCGCAATCTCAGCTCACTGCAACCTCTGCCTCCTGGGTTCAAGCGATTCTCCTGCCTCAGCCTCCCAAGTAGTTGGGATTACAGGTGCCCACCACCACATCCGGCAAATTTTTGTAGTTTTAGTAGAGACAGAGTTTCAAGATGTTGACCAGGCAGGTCTCAAACTCCTGACCTCATGATCCGCCAGCCTCAGCCTCCCAACCTCCCAAAGTGCTGGGATTACAGGCGTGAGCCACCACTCCCGGCTGAGTTCAACTTTTTTAGATTCCACATATAAGTGAGGTCATGTTGTATTTGTACTTGTCTTTGTGTGCCTGGCTTATTTCACTCAGCATAACGTCCTCCTGGTTCATCCACGTTGTCACAAATGTCAGGATTTCCTTCCTTTTAAAAGGATGTGTAGTATTCCATGGTGTATGTGTATCACAGTGTCTTTATCTGTTCATCTGATGATGAACATCTAGGTTGCTGCTGTATCTTAGCTGTTGTGAATAGTGCTGCAATGAACATGGCAGTGCAAACACCTCTTCAACATACTGATTTCAGTTCCCATGAGTATCTACCCAGAAGTGGGATTGTGGATCACATGCTTGTTCTGTTTTCAGTTGTTTGAGGAACTGCCATACAGCTTTCTAAACTGACTGTGCTAATTTACATTAGCACTGTGCATAAGGCTTCCCTTTTCTTCACCTCCTCACCAGCACTTGTTATCTTTCGTCTTTCTGATAATTGCGGTTCTAACAGGTGTAGGGTGGTATCTCATTGTGATTTTAATGTGCGTTTCCCTGGTTATCAGTAATGATGATCATTTTTCTATATATCTGTTGGCCATTTGTATGTCATTTTTTTGAGAAGTGTCCGTCTAGGTCCTTTGTTTATTTATTTTTTTATTTTTGCTTTTGTTGCTTGTGTTTCAGGGGTCTAGAACATTTTTAGATTCACACACAAAAAAAGCTAAACAGATAGTACAGAGTGCTCCTATATAACTCCCTCTGAAGCACACAGTTCCCCCCATTATTAACATCATGTATTGGTGCGGTACATTTGTTTCAATTAGTGAACCGGTATTGATAGATTATTATTAACTAAAGTCCATAGTTCACATTAAGTTTTATTCCTGGTGCTGGTGCTGTGCATTCTATGGGTTTGGAGCATAATGTGCTGTATCCACCTTTATAGTATCACACAGAATTGGTTCACTGCCCTAAAAATCCCCTGTGCTCCGTCCACCTCATCATCCCTTCTAACCCCCAGTCTCTGGCAGCCAGTGATCTAGTAATTGTCTCTGTGGTTTTGCATTTTCCCAAAAGTCAAATAATTGGAATCATGTATTTACTTAATAATATACAATGGGCTGGGCGTAGTGGCTCATGCCCTGTAATCCCAGCATTTTGGGAGGCTGAGGCAGGTGGATCTCCTGAGGTCAGGAGTTCAAGACCAGCCTGACCAACATGGTGAAACCCTATCTCTACTAAAAATACAAAAAATAAAAGAAATAGCTGGGCATGGTGGCGAGTGTCTGTAATCCCATCTACTCAGGAGGCTGAGGCAGGAGAGTCACTAGAACCTGGGAAGTGGAGGTTGCAGTGAGCCAAGATTGCATCATTGCACTCCGGCCTGGGCAACAAGAATGAAACTCCGTCTCAACAACAACAAATATATATATATATATATATATATATATATATATATATATATATATATATGTAAAATGAACATCTCTGCATGTCAAAAAAATCCATCTACTTGATCACTTTACATGGATTCATAGTTTTCCCCGAAATAGATATATCCAAACATATTTAACCAGTGTATTGGAGCCATTTTCCCCTTTTTTCTATTTTAAATAATCCCACCATGTGATCTTGTACATGCATCTTTGCACATCCGTCTGCTCATTTCCTTAGGATAAATTCCTAGAGGGGGAAGTTCTAAATCAAAGGGAAGACCTGCACATTTGGAAGGTTTTGGGTAGAGACAGTCAATAGCCTACCAGGGCAGGTGGACCACATGCTCCAACATGAGTCTACACCTGCTCCGACGTGAGTCTGCACTGTATGAGGTGCACATTTGAGTCCTGGGTGGCTGTGAGTGTCCTGGGGCTGTCCTAACAGATGACCACAAGCCTGCAGGCTTAAAGCTGCAGGAATTTCTTCTTTCACAGTTCTGCTGCCCAGAAACCTGAAATTAAGGTGTCTGCAGGGAGGGTTCCTACTGGAAGCTCCAGGAAGGAATCTCCTCCAGGCCTCTCTCCTGACTTCTTGTGGCTGGCGACAATTCCTGGCATTCTGTGGCTTGTGGACTCATGACTCTCACTTCTGCCTCCTCTTCACATGGCCTCCCCCTCGTTTTTCCTCTTCCTAGGACACTTGTCGGGGGATTTAGGGCCCACCCTGTTAAGCCTGGATGATCTCATCTCTTAAGAGCCTTCACTTCACTGCAAAGGTCTTTTTTCCAAATAAGGTCACATTGCAGGTACCAGGGGTCAGGATGTGGACATAGCTTTTAGGGGCCACAGTGCAACTTATGATGAGTACTACCTCCTTTTTACAGAGAAGGAAGCACTGGCTTAGACAGGATGAGGGACTTCTCAGGCTGCACTCCCTGAGAGGTGAGGGTGGACCTCGCACTCCAGGCTCTGGGTACTTGACAAATAACGTGGGTGCTCGTCTCTCCCTGCCACAAGGGCCCCACCACAGACTTCCGGAAAGGGTGGCCTCAGGACACCATCTTCATGTGCCCCATTTCCTAGGAGCCCTCTAATCTTTAATGACAATTTAAGGAACGCTGAGAAATCTATTCTTTTTATATTCTACTTATTTCTATTTTTGCCATAGTCTGTGATACCGATCAGCCCTTCAAAAGACCGAGCTGGGTTTGTCCAGTGGTTGAATGATCATCAAACAGTGAATGATGGCAGAGTTCTTATGGGCACTTTGGACCATGGGCTGCGGCATGGCCTGGTGGATAAGCATTTGGGCTCCATGTGGCCTTGGGCAAGAACTTTGACCTCTTCGAGTCTCAGTTTCTCCATCTCTAGAATAGGGATAATAATATATGTGCCTCCTGGGCTGTTGAGGGAATTCAACCATACAATGTAGGTGGAGTTCTTAGCACAGCATCTTGCACAGAGCAAAGGGTCGTAAATATTTGCTACAGATGAAGGTGACTGTTGGGCTTTTTGCATTTGCTAACTTATTTATCAATTGCTGCTCCCCTCTTGTTGGTCCCTCTGGCCATTGCAATATGGGGCGGGCCTTTGCCCAAACTCCCAGCCAGGTCCCTGCTCCAAACACCCAGATCCCAGCCTCACTACTCCGGAACCTCCTTTGCATTTCAAATCCCAGGGCCATGGCTGGTGTGTCAGGAGATAGACATTGAGGATGAAGTTTCATTTGCTTCCCTCCTCTGCAATCCTGGGAGCTGCCATGATGACACAGAGGCCTTTCAGGGGTCACGCCTGGCCCCCCATTTCTTTCCCTTTGTAACTGGGCTCCTTTGTCAGCACAGGTCCCATTCTTTGGAGAAAAAGTATGGTTAGGCCCATGGACTCTAGGTCTTTGGATGTTCCGAGTTCTCTTCATGTCCTGGGTAACAAAGTCAGCATGTGGACAAGGCCCCCAGAGGATGCAGGGGCAGTCTTGATTTGGCTGGGAGGTTCCCAGTGACTCCAGAGGCTCTTGACTCAGAGGGACCACAGCAACAGACCCTGAATGGGTGGCACTGGTGACTGTCCTGGGTCATGATCCATGAAGGCAGTGGGTCCTGCGAGAAGGGAGACCCTCCCCAGCCCCGACCTGACCCCTGACAGCAAAGGCACAGAATCCAAGAGGCAACAGCACTGAAAGGTACAAAGGGCCCCCCCACCGGCCACAGCCCTGCCCTTGACCCGGGAGGGGAACTGGGGTTTCCTTTTTAGGAATAGTAGCTCCAGCATCCTCAGGGTATAGGTGGATCCCCAAAGAGGTCTAAATAATGCAACTAGACCCCAATGAGTGCATGTCAAGATACCTCACTGAGGAAGAAACATCTTGAGGTTTTGGGAAAATGGAGCCAAAAGAGGAAAAAACAAAAACATAGCAGAGCAAAACATGGAATGACCATGTGACCAGCAGTTCCACTCCTAGGTATATGCCTGAAAGAGCTTAAAACTGGTGTTGAAATAACACATGTACACAAATGTCCACAGCAGCACTGTTTACAGCAGCCAAAAGGTGGGAACAGCACAAACGTCCACCAGTGGATGAGCAGATCAACAAAATGTGTTCTGTCCATAGGATGGAATATTATTCAGCCATGAAAAAGAAATGAGACACTGATACAAGCATACCTCATTTTATTGTACTTCACTTTATTGTGCTTCACAGATGTTGTGTTTCGTATAAATTGAAGGTTTGCCACTCTGAGTACAGCAAGTCTATTGGTGCAATTTTCCCAACAGCATGTGCTCACTTTGTATATCCGTGTCACATTTTGGAAATTATCGTGATATTTGAAACTTATCATGGCCTGTAAGTGTTCAGGCGAAAGGAAGAGTTGTGTACCTCTCACTTTAAATCAAAGTTTAGAAATGATAAAACTTGGAGGGGAAGGCAGGTTGAAAGCTGAGCTAGGCAGAAAACGAGGCCTCTTACACCAGTTAGCCAAGTTGTGAATGCAAAGGAGAAGTTCTTGAAGGAAATTAAAAGTGCTTCTGCAGTGGACACATGAATGATAAGAAAGTGGACCAGCCTTATTGCTGATCTGGAGAATGTTTGAGTGTTCTGGATAGATCAAACCAGGCACAACATTCCCTTAAGCCAAAGCCTAACCCAAGGCAAGACCCTAACTCTCTTCAATTCTTCTTTTTTTAAATTTAATTTATTTTAATTTATTATCATTATTTTTTGAGATAGAGTCTGGCTCTGTTACCCAGGCTGGAGTAACAGTGGCAACACAGTGGCTTGATCTTGACTCACTGCAACCTCTGCCTCCCAGACTCAAGTGATCCTCCCACCTCAGCCTCCCAGGAGTGGTGGCAGCCTTGTGCCACCACACTTGGCTAATTTTTGTGTTTTTTGTAGAGATGATGTTTCACCATGTTGCCCATGCTGGTCTTGAACTCCTGAGTTCAAGCAATCCACCCACCTTGGCCTCCCAAAGTGCTGGGATTACAGGCGCGAGCCACCACACCCAGCTTTCAATTCTATGAAGGCTGAGAGATGTGAGGAAGCTGCAGAAAAAAAGAAGGAAACTAGCGGAGGTTGTACATGAGGTTAAGGAAAGAAGCCATTTCCATAAAATAGAAGTGCAAGGTGAAGCAGCAAGTGCTGACGGAGAAGCTGCAGCAAGTTATCCAGATGATCTAGCTGAGACCATTGATGAAGGTGGCTACACTAAAGATCAGGTTTTCAATGTAGACAAAACAGCTTTCTAGTAGAAGATGGCATCGAGGACTTTCACAGCTAGAGAAGGAGAAGTCAAAGCTTCAAAGGACAGGCTTACACTCTTGTTAGAGGCTAATGCAGCTGATGACTTTAAATTGAATCCTACACTCACTTGCCATTCTAAAAATTCTAGGACCCGTAACAATTATGCTAAATCTACTCTGCCTATGCTCTATAAATGGAATAACAAAGCCTGGATGACAGCATATCTGTTTACAACATGGTTTGCTGAATATTTTAAGGCTACTGTTGAGAACTTACTGCTCAGAAAAAATATTCCATTCAAAATATTACTGTTCATTGACAATGCACCTGGTCATTGAATCATGTGCTCTGGTAGAGACGTGCAAGGAGATAATGTTGACATTAATGTAATCATACCGGAAAGCATAACATCCATCCTGTAGCCCACAGATAAAGGAGTCATTTCAACTTTCAAATCTTATTATTTAAGAAACATCTAATGTGTCTCACAGGACTATTGCTGCCTTAGATAGCGATTCCTCTGATGGATCTGGGCAAAGTAAATTAAAAACCTTCTGGAAAGGATTCATCATTCCAGATGCCATTAAGAACACTCATGATTCATGAGAGAAGGTGAAAACATCAATACTAGCAGGAGTTTAGAAGTTTGATTCCAACCCTCATTGTTGACTTTGAGGATTTCAAGGCTTCAGTGGAGGAAGTCACTGCAGATGTGGTGGATATAGTGAGAATTAGAATTAGAGGTGGAGCCTGAAGAAGGGACTGGGTTCCTGCAATCTTATGAGAAAATTTGAATGAGTGAGGAGTTGCTTCTTGTGGGTGAGCAGAGAAAGTGATTTATCGAGATGGAATTTACTCCTAGTGAAAAGTCTATGCCCACTGTTGAAATGACAACACAGGATTTAGAATATTCCATAAATTGAGTGGATAAATTGAGTGGATAAAATTGGAGCAGACTCCAATTTTGAAAGAATTTCCACTGTGGCTAAAATGCTGTCTAACAGCATTGCATTCTACAGAAAAATCTTTCCTGAAAGGAAGAGTCAATCATCAAGGTAGCCAACTTCATTGTTATCTTATTTTTACAAATTGCCACAGCCACCCCAGCCTTCAGCAACCACCACCCTGATCAGCCAGCAGCCATCAACATCGAGGCAAGACCTTCCACCAGCAAAAAGATGACAACCCGCTGAGCGTTCAGGTGATTGTTAGCACTTTTTGGCAATATTTTAAAATTAAGATATACATTTTTTAGGCCAGGCATGGTGGCTCATGCCTGTAATCCTAGCACTTTGGGAGGCTAAGGTAGGCAAATCACTTGAGCTCAGGAGTTCGATACCAGCCTGGGCAACATGGTGAAACCCCATCTCTACAAAAAATACAAAACTTAGCTGGGTGTGGTGGCACACACCTGTAATCCCAGCTACTAGGGAGGCCGAGGCAGGAGAATTGCTTGAACTTGGGAGGCAGAGGCTGCAGTGAGCAGAGATCACGACACTGCACTCCAGCCTGGGCAACAGAGCATGACATGTCTCAAAAAATAAATAAAGAAAGAAAAGTTAGACACAAAAGACCACATATTGTACAATCCTATTTCTCTGAAATGTCCAGACCAGGCCAATCTATGGAGACGGAGAGTAGATTGGTGGCCTCCAGGCTGGGGGTAGGGTGTGTGATTGCTAATGAATGGATGTTTCTGGAGAGGGTGATAAAATGGTTTGGGACTAGACAGTAATTTTTCACTTTAAAATGGTAAATTTTATGTCATATGTGATTATCATCTGAATAAAAGAGAGAAAAAACGCAGAGCAAGAGCATTTGAAGAGAAAACAGGAAAACGCAGGATCTCTTTATGGGTGCATGGCCTCTTTTTGCCCATTTTAGGGGAGTGTGGGGCAGGACCTCTGAGAACAGCATATGAGTCGCTGGGAGAGCCTTATTGAGCAGGAACTTCCTTTGTGGGAACCCAGGGCTATCTGTCTGGCCCATCTCAGCTGCAGATTCCAAGGCCCCTTCAGCCCCAGGGCTCTTTCTCCAGTGAAGGGTCCTCGCCTTGGACCCAGGAATGACAAAGAGCCGGGGCTCTGAGGCTGCTATGTGTGCCTCTATCTTCCCTTTATGTGTTGGCTTGGCCCTCCTAAAAAGCCTGTGACCACTTCCTGACCAGGTGAACCCTTTTTGACCAGACACAGCTACTTAAAATAAGCCTTTAGGTACACGGATGGAGGTCTGCTGGCCGAGGCTGGCATTTGCACACTTCATTGCAGCACTGGAGAACTGAGTCTTCTTTTACTCAATTTTTCATAGAAATAGGCACATTCCCCATCCCTTCCCCTCGCCCCCACAACCCCTGACGCTCAGCATCCAGGGCTGATCTGAGAGGGACCCGGGAGGCAGAGAAACCCCAGAGCCGTCATTTCCCAGATGTGGCATTATGTGTGAGCCTAGGTTTGTGTTCTTTTAACGGCACCACATAAAGTCGCTTTAGGAAAGTCTTTATTCTTATCATGTAACCGGTAGATCAAAAAGCATCCTCATACTTACAGGATGTGATGTGACAGATAACCGACAGATGTGGTGGTGGGAGAGGCTGTGGGAGCGGAAGGAAAATCAGAGAAAGAAAAGAGAGCGCTTTGTTGGGTTCGGGGTGTTGTTTCACCCACGTGAAACAACAAGAAAAGGCCCACGTGGCCTTAGCTTCTTTCTAGTTTGAGAATGGGTTGTTATTTCTAAGACATAGGCAAGGAGCAGAATGTGGGAGGAAAAAGTCAGAGATTTCCACTGAACCTACGAGACCAAACAAGAAAGCGCTCGATGACAGTGGTGAAAGCAGTGTTTGGGGTGCCTCTATCCACCAGATGCAGCTGGTTCATATGGGGCCCTTTCCTGGACCCCACAGGAGACAGGTGGCCAAAGGATCTCAGACTAACGCATCCAAGCGTGCCTGGTTTGTCCTTAAGGAGGCCTAGGGAATGAGTTACACTGGCACAGAGTGAATGAACAAGCTAAGACCGCTGCCCAGTTAGACTCGTAAGCTTACTTTACATGGTGTAGATACTAAGAATAGCCAACATTTATCAAAACATCTTCTTTCTGCCGAACGCTCTCCTGGGAGTTTTCCATGTAGTAGCTGATTTAATCAGCTCAGCAGCCCTCTGGGATGGGGGCTTGCATTAGGGACATTTCACAGACGGGAAACTGAGGCAGAGAGGGGTGAGGGGACTTGCCCAAGGTTATGGTGGGAAAGCAGTGGTGCTGTGATACATGTAAAAATCAATGAGAAAAATTATATTATGCTGCAAGTCCCAAACCGCACCCAAAATAATCACCGAATAATGATACAGATTGGGCGTGGTGGCTGACGCCTATAATCCCAGAACTTTGGGAGGCCGCGGCAGGTGGATCACTTGAGGTCAGGAGTTCTAGACCAGCCTGGCCAACATGGAGAAACCCCATTTCTACTAAAAATACAAAAATTAGCCAGGTGTGGTGGCATGCGCCTGTAATCCCAGCTATTCGGGAGGCTGAGGCAGGAGAACAGCTTGAGCCCAGGAGGCAGAGGTTGCACTGAGCCAAGATCGTGCCACTGAACGCCAGCCTGGGTGACAGAACAAGAGTCTATCTCATAAAAAGCAAAACAAAACAAAAAATGATACTAGCAATAACTGCCAAATGCATTTAGCCTTTGCTGTACCCAGGCACTGGGCACCCTGCCTTTCTCACTGAGTTTACTTAGTGCAGACAGGCTTTAAGTAAGGTGGGAAACTAAACCCCCCATATAGAGGAGGGAATGGAGGCCTCAGAGCAGACGGACCTGGAATGGAGTCTTGCCTCCTATGTTTGTGGCCCTGTTTCCCGGGAATTGGAAATGGTGCTGTAAAGTGCCTGGTATGGGGAGGTGAACCTGCAGGCCGGTATTGTTGTGACTTCGCTCTCCCTCTTGGTAGCAGCCACCGTCAGTGTGTTCAGAAGCATCCAGCTGCCATGTTTTGGGTACAGTTCCCATGTCTTCTCCAAATCCCATGTTGGAATTAGACCCCCAAGCTTGGAGGAGGGTCCTGGTGGGAGTTGTTTGGGTCATGGAGGCGAATCCTTCATGAATGACTTGGTGCGTTCTCCTGGTAATGAGTGAGTTCTCACTATTAGTTTGTGTGAGAACTGATGGTTGAAGATCTGGGCCCTCTGCTCTCTCTTCCTTCCTCTCTCGCCAGCTTCCCATTGCCTTCTGCCAAGGTGAGTGGAAGCTTCCTGAGGCCTCACCAGAAGCAGATGCCAGCACCATGATTCCTGTACAGCCTGCAGAACCATGAGCCAAATGAACCTCTTTTCTTAGCAATTACCCAGCCTCAAGTATTCCTTTATAGCAATACAACTGAACAAAGACCCCAGGCCAAAGGCGGAGGGGATTTCGAGGCTCTAGGGTCCAAGAAGTGGGCAGGCCTAGCCCCCTCTAGGCACAGGCTTGGATCTTTTTAAATTTTGAATAAGACTGGAAATGATTTCTCTCTCTTTTTTTTTTTTTTTTTTTGAGATAGAGTCTTGTTCTGTCGCCCAGGCTGGAGCGCAGTGATCTCAGCTCGCTGCAACTTCCGCCTCCTGGGTTCAAGAAATTCTCTTGTCTCAGCCTCCTGAGTAGCTGGAATTACAGGCATGCACCACCATGCCCAGCTATTTTTTGTACTTTTAGTACAGACTGGTTTTGCCATGTGGGCCAGGCTGGTCTCGAACTCCTGACCTCAGGTGATCCACCCGCCTCAGCCTCCGAAAGTGCTGGGATTCCAGGTGTGAGCCACCATTCCCGGCCCTGATTTCTGTTTGCAATGTTGTGCAACCACTCCTCCACAGCAGTGAAACAGGTGACATTACAACCCCACTTTCAGGAAGTGGAAACTGAGGCTCAGAGAGACTGAGTGCTGTATCCCAGGTGGCTGGGCTAGTGAGGAGCAGAGCTGGGGTGTTTGGGTTTGTGCTCAGGGGAGTGTCCTCTAGGGCCCTTCTGGGCTGCTGAGGGAGCAGAGCCGGCTGCACAGGCGAGCCCAGCGTGCCTAGACGGGCCTGCACCTGCTGCAATGCCCTGCGATCACCATCTTGAAATTCTTACTAGGGTTTGAACAAGGGATCTTGCATTTTCATTTTGCACTAGCCCAGCAAATGATGTAAGAACAGGGGAAGGAACTGAGAGACAGCCACCTGGGGACCAGGGCCCTCATCCTGGTTCTCTGTGTGGCCTTAATCAGCTGTCTACCACTCCCTCTTGCCTTGGTCTCCCCGTCTGCAAGATGAAGGAACAGGGCTAGATTGGGATTCCCTCATGTATATTTCATGGAACACTGATACCTCATGGTTCACTGAGACAAAGTCCCTCCAAAAAGTGAGTTTGTGAAACGGTGCAAATTTTTCTCTTGGAAAAATCCAGGGCAGTTTTGCATATTCAGGGATCTGTGTAGACTTGAAACAACAACAACAAAAAGCCTTCTTTAAAAAAAATGGCATTAGTATTTTCCAAATATATTAGATCACAAAAGCCTTCAGCAAAGTGGGATATCGGCCGGGCGCAGTGGCTCACACCTGTAATCCCAGCACTTTGGGAGGCCGAGGAGGGCGGATCGCTTGAGGTCAGGAGTTCCAGGCCAGCCTGGCCAACATGGTGAAACCCTGTCTCTACTAAAATACAAAAATTAGCTGAGCGTGGTGGCGGGCGCCTGTAATCCCAGTTACTCCGGAGGCTGAGACAGGAGAATTGCTTGAACCTGGGAGGCGGAGGTTGTGGTGAACCGAGATCGCGCCACTGCACTCCAGCCTGAGCAACAGAGCGAGACTCTGTCTCAAAAAAAAAAAAAAAAAAAAAGTGGGCTATCTACAAAATATCCCCAGAGAAATGCTAGACTAACACACTTTTGAACTCTTTTCCAGTATTCAGGGCAAACCTTCTGCCTTCCTTTTACTATCCCCTGGATTGACCGTGTCATGCAGGAAATTCAGAGACAGACCCCGCAGGCATGTATGGAACGAGCACAGAACAACTGGCAGCCCTGAAGGAGGATCTGGGGACAGGGAAGGGGCTCGAACGGTCCTCTGCTCCCATTTTTCAGCCCTTCCTCGGACCCAGAACAGCAGACCAGAATCACCTTTCACCCATGGAAAGGGGCTGGCACTCCAGGGATCTGTCCTGCTTGCTTTGGGCGGTCACTAGATCCCTCTGCCACATTTAGGGTCACTCCTCAGAGCACATGACCCCTCTGGAATCCTGAAGCTGCCCAGGGTAGGGCGGCACTGAGGCGGAAGCAGTGTGACCCTCCTGGGTCGGCTGGGCCTTTGACAGCTGATGTTTCACGGGATACTCATTCCTGCATGGCTCAGCTGCCTGAGGGCTGCCCCACCACTTCCCTGAGCTAATGTTGCCAGTGTGAAATTCCAGATTTGACCCTGAACTTCCTAGCTGGGTTTTAAAAAGGTTTGTTTGTAAGATGCACGGAGCATTGTTGGCCATCTTTTCATGGGCTCTTTGGCCATTTGTATAGCTCCTTTGGAGAAATGTCTGTTCAATTCCTCTGCCAATTTCAAAATTAGGTTGTCTTTTTTTTTTTTTTTTTTTTTTTTTTTTGAGAGACGGAGTCTTGCTCTTTCGCCCAGGGCGGACTGCAGTGGTGCTATCTCTGCTCACTGCAACCTCCACCTCCCGGGTTCACGCCATTCTCCTGCCCCAGCCTCCCAAGTAGCTGGGACTACAGGCGCCCACCACCACACCCAGCTAATTTTTTGTATTTTTAGTAGAGACAGGGTTTCACCGTGTTAGCCAGGATGGTCTCGATCTCCTGACCTCTTGATCCGCCCACCTCGGCCTCCCAAAGTGCTGGGATTACAGGCGTGGGCCACCGCACCCGGCTAGGTTGTCCTTTTTATTGCATCTTCTCGGGGGTCATCACCGTTGTTGAGCCTCATGAGACACACACAAAGTCTCCCTTCGCAGCATGTATGTTTATCCTGTGGTGCAGTGGTGGGCTCTGGCCAGGCAGGAGCCGGGGGAATGAGGGGCCTGCACAAATCTTGCTTTCCCAGGTGGGAGTGGGGCTGGCAACAGCTGGGGGCATGGTGGGGAAAGGAGTCAGGGGCCAGTGGATGGACACTCAAGCGGGGCAATGTGGCCCCTGGCTCCAACACGGCCTGGTCATCTTCTTATGATTCCCATACATTCATTCATAGTGTTGGCACAAAGGGGCTGTCCTCACTCCTCTGGCTCCTGCAGTGAGGTGGTAGCAACACAGCAGTGCATAGAGGTTGCGCCCCTGGGAGGGCCCTGGGCAGGGAAACGGGAGCCTGGGCTCTAGGTCCCGCTCCTCCACTTGCAGTCCCATCACATTGGGCTCCTCATCTAGAACTGCGGGATGACCCTCACTTTCCTGCTTCCCGACTATGGAGAGGCACAGGTGAGAACACCCGTGACAGCATGGGGCCAACCTCAGCTACTGCTGTGTGCGTGTGTGGAGGAACGTGGCTGCTGTGTTCCGGCCCCAGCACAGGCACCCCCACTCCACATCCATAACCAGGCCCCACGGCTTAATCACCCTGCCACATGCACCCTTTTTGGCCAAGACAGGACTTCACAGCAGGGGACCATCTGAAACAGGGAGGCCTCAAAGTAAGACCCAGGGGGTGGACCCTGGGAGGGCAGGGCCTGGTGGTGGGGAGGGGCCTGGTGGCAGAGCCCCAGCAAGTTTCTCCAGAGCTTTGACAGAGGAAGAGGTGTCTGGGGAAGGTCTACCTGGGGCTGGGCCTGGCCAAGGGCTGGAGCCAGGTAGCGGAAAGACTGACTTCACCTTCACCTACTTGGACTTAAGCAGAGGGTCTGGACCTGGCATACAGAGGACTAGCCCAAGGTCAAGGCCGGAGACATGGCTGGGACCTGGCTGGCCTCTTCCTGACATTGGAAGCCATGGCCCAGGGCATGTCAGACTTAAGGGTAGCCACGACGTAGGACATGAGGGAGGGACCTTGGGGATTTCTAGGGCCAGCACCCTCAGACTTTCTAGCAAAACTCTGGCCTTTGCTCCCTCCCAATGCTTCTGATTCCTATACATTCATTCAGTCATTCAACAAACATCTGTGGACAGGAATGCTGGGGACACAGCTCTGAACAAGAAAAACTCAGCCCTGGCCTTGGGCGCTTGCCTTCTAGGGTGAGACAACGATAAGTAAGCAACCACGACACAGGAAGAGACTTGTCGGGGAGTGGAAGTGCTCCCAGGAGCATCAACTTCGCCTGTGGGCTGGGAAAGTGTGCACTGTCCCAGACAGACAGACCAGGATCTGGTGATGTTCCCAGGAGCCAGGCACGAAGGTGAAGCATCCCCAGCTCCCAGACACATGTACCTTGACAGGAAGCAAATCCTAGGCCTGAAACACCCGATACCCCAAATCCTAGGCCTGAAACACCCGATACCCCAAATCCTAGGCCTGAAATCCCTGATGCCCCAAATCCTAGGTCTGAAACCCCTGATACCCCGAATCCTAGGCCTGAAATCCCTGATGCCCCAAATCCTAGGCCTGAAACACCCGATACCCCAAATCCTAGGTCTGAAATCCCCGATACCCCAAATCCTAGGCCTGAAATCCCCAATGCCCCAAATCCTAGGCCTGAAATCCCTGATGCCCCAAATCCTAGGCCTGAAACACCCGATACCCCAAATCCTAGGCCTGAAACCCCCGATACCCCAAATCCTAGGCCTGAAATCCCCGATGCCCCAAATCCTAGGCCTGAAATCCCCGATGCCCCAAATCCTAGGCCTGAAATCCCCGATGCCCCAAATCCTAGGCCTGAAATCCCCGATGCCCTAAATCCTAGGCCTGAAACCCACGATGCCCCAAATCCTAGGCCTGACACACCCCATACCCCAAATCCTAGGCCTGAAACCCCTGATGCCGCAGTCCTAACTCCGGGAAGCAAATAAAGACTTCCTGCCAGAGGACTTAGAAAGTGGGAGCGTTTACTGATGCTCTTTCTGCTCATTGGTCATTATTGTGCTTCTCAACAGTATCAAACAGTGAAACTTAAGAGTTTGAGCGGCCTTGCCTCCTGGATCTTGTCTTTGCCTTTAGAATTGTAATTATAGGATGTGTGTGATTTTTTTCCCACTTAACATGTCGTGAATATTTTCCATGTCTATGTAATCCTTTAAAAGCTATTTACAATGATTACATAATGTTTGGGACGTGTCATGATTTGCTTTCCATTTTACCTCCTGTTAGATGCCAAGGTCATAGGGTGGAGTCTCAGACCCACCCCAGCCTGGTTTATCATTTCATTGCCCTCAGCAGGAGCCACGCCGAAGTGTCAGATGTACCTCACCTGCCTCTTCCTCCTGAAGGATCTTAGGCTTTCAGCACAGGAGGGGGGTTAGGGATCTTCTGTTCCCATCCTTTTATTTTCTCAGCTGAGAAAACTCAAGACCTTGTCCAAGATCACAGGGCAAGTGAGTGATAATCCCTCTATGGTGAAAATGATGGAACTGCACTGAAATACATCAAAGAGTGGAAGGATTTCTTTTTGTACTGGAACTGTGCTGAATCTGTATACAATTTGGGGGAGAACCATACCTCTAAGATACTGAGTCTTTTATCAAAAAAATGCTCATCCGGGCGTGGTGGCTCATGCCTATAATCCCAGCACTTTGGGAAGCTGAGACGGGGGGATCATGAGGTCAAGAGATTGAGATCATCCTGGCCAACATGGTGAAATCCCATCTCTACTAAAAACACAAAAATTAGCCAGGCGTGGTGGTGCACTCCTGTAATCCCAATTACTCAGGAGGCTGAGCCAGGAGAATCACTTGAACCCAGGAGGCGGAGGTTGCAGTGAGCCAAGATTGTGCCTCTGCACTCCAGCTTGGCAACAAAGTGAGACTCCGTCAAAAAAAAAAAAAGCGCCATTTGGATACATCTTTGTTAGATTTATTCCCAGTTTATTTACATATATGTATGCATCATATACCTGTGTTTGTTGATGTTGCTGTTGTAAGTGGCATCTTTTTAAGACTTGTGTTTGCTAGTTGTTGCTGCTTTATAGAAATGCAATTGAGGTTTATATGCTGGTTTTGTACCCACCCACTTTATTTAAATGTCTTATTGATAATTTTCCATAGGTTCTTTTCAGGTTTCTATGTAGACAGTATTTTCATTTGTAACTAAGAAGAGTTTTCTGTGTCTTTCTTCCTTTATATTTTCTTTTCATGTCTTACTGCACAGGTTAGCAACTCCAGTTTGGTGTTATACAGAAGAGTCTGGGACGTGGTCTTAGCAGGAATGCTTTTAATTTTTCTCCAAGCATGATGGTTATTGCAGGTATTTTTGGGAGAGGCTCTTTTGTGGTCTTAACAGGAATGCTTTTAGCTTTTCTCCAAGCATGATGGTTATTGTAGGTATTTTTGGGAGAGACTCTTTATCAGATGAAGGAAATTCCCTTCTATTCCTATTTTGCTAAAATTTTCAAACCATGATTGGATATGGACATTTATTGAATGCTTTCTTTTTCATTTACTAAGATATAATTTGCTTTTTTAATCTGTTATTGTGGTAAATTACATTAATTAGATTTTTATATCTAATTAATAGATTTAAATCTAATTAACATATTTGTATAAATCAGGCTTGTATTCCTGGGATAAACCTGACTTGTATGTGATTTATTACTCATCATTTAGAACTCTACATTTCCTTATAAGTATTGTGTGTGTTGCATCTGATAATTTGTGATATGGAATCTTTTTAAAAAATCACTCCATTTGGCTGGATTATGCCTGTAACCCCAGCACTTTGGGAGGCTGAGGTGGGTGGGTTGCCTGAGGCCAGGAGTTCAAGACCAGCCTGGCCAACATGATGAAACCCCGTCTCTACTAAAAATACAAAAATTAGCCAGGCGTGGTGGCACTCGCCTGTAATCCCAGCTACTCAGGAGGCTGAGGTAGGAGAATCGCTTAAACCTAGGAGGCAAAGGTTGCAGCGAGCTAAGATCATGTCACTGAACTCCAGCCTGGGTGACAGAGTGAGATTCTGTCTCTAAAAACAAACAAACAAACAAACAAAAAGAGGCCAGGTGCAGTGGCTCATACCTGTAATCCCAGCACTCTGGGAGGCCGAGGTGGATAATGAGGTCAGGAGTTCGAGACCAGCCTGACCAACATGGTGAAACCCCATCTCTACTAAAAATACAAAAATTAGCTGGGTATGGTGGCAGGTGCCTGTAATTCCAGCTACTCAGGAGACTGAGGCAAGAGAATTGCTTGAACCCAGAAAGTGGAGGTTGCAGTGAGCTGAGATTGTGCCATTGCACTCCAGCCTGGTCAATAGAGCGAGACTCCATCTCGAAATTAAAAAAAAAAAAATCACTCCAGTTGTGCATTGTTAGTGTATAGAAATAAGATTAATTTTTGTGTGGTGATCTTCTATCTTAGGACCTTGAAAACCTGCTTGTTAGTTCCAGGAGTCTTTTTTTAAAAAAATATAGGCTTCTTGGGATTTTCAGTGTGGTTATGTTGCCTGAGGACAGGGACAGTTTTATTTCTTTCCAATCTGCAAGGCTTTCATTTCTTTTTTCTTGTCTTATTTTATTGGCTAAGATTTCTACTATGATATTGAATAGAATGGTGAGAGTGTCTATGCTTGCCTTGTTCCCAATCTTTGGGGGAAAGTCTTTACTTATTAAGCATGATGCTAGATATAGGATTTTTGTTGATGTCCTTTATCAGATGGAAGAAGTTCCCTTCTATCGGTATTTTGCTGAGAACTTTATCATGAATGGATGCTTCATTTTGTTAAATGCTTTTTCTGTGTCTGTTGAAATGATCATATGTTTTTTCTTTAGGTTATTGATAAGGTGGATTCCACTGATGGATATTTGAGTACTGAACCATCCTTGCCTTCTGAGAATAAACCCCACTGGGTGGTGGTGTATTTCATATAATGCTGGACTTTATTTACGGATATTTTGCTGAGGACTTCTGTGTTTGTGTTTATGTAGGAATCTGGTCTGTAGTTTTCCTTTTTGGTACAGTCTTTTTCTAGTTTTGAGGCAATGCTCATATAATGTGTCATGAAGTAGTCTTTAATCTTTTATTTTCTGGGTAACAATCAATGTTATTTCTTCTTTCAATGTTTGGTAGAATTAGCCAGTGAAACCATGTGGGACTGGATATTTATTTTTTGAAAACAAATAGAAAACTATGCATTAAACGTGTTTAATAGTTATAGGAGTATTCAAGTTATTTATTTAATCTTGGATGAATTTTGGTAGTTTGTGTCCAAGAAATTCATTCATTTTGTCTAAGATGTAGAATTTAGGTGCACAGAATTGTTCATAGTATTCCTTTCAATCATTATTGACACCTGTGAGGTATTCTTTTCTCTTTGTTAGTTTGCTAAAGCTTCATCAATTTTATCGATCTTTTTAAAGAGCCATATTTTGGTTTTATTGATTTTTCTCTTTGGTTTTTCTGATTTCAATGTCATTGATTTCTGTTCTTGTCTTTATTATTTCCTTCCTTCTGTTTACTTTGGATTTATTTTGCTCTTCCTTTTCTAGTTTCTTAAGAATAAAAGCTTAGCTTATTGATTTGAGACGTTTCTTCTTTATAATAGCATTTAATACTATAAATTTCCCTCTAAGCCCTGCTGTAGCTGCTTTTCATACATTTTGACATGTTGTATTTTCATTTATGTTTAGTTCAAAATGTTTTGAAGTTTCTCTTGAGACTTTGAGTCATACATTATTTCAAAGTGTGGTGTTTAACTTCCAAGCGCTTGAATATTTTTCTCTGATTTTTCTGTTATTAATTTGTAGTTTAATTGCATTATAGGACATATTTTGTATAATTTAAATTCCCTTAACTTTGTTAATGTTTGTTTTATGACATAATATAGTCTGTCTTGCTGAATACTCCATGTGCACTTGAAAAATATGTTTTATGCTTTTTTGGGTAGAATGCTCTTTTTTTTTTTTTTTGAGGCAGGGTCTCACTCTGTTGAAGTTATGTGATCATAGCTCACTGCAGCCTCAAACTCTTGGGCTCAAGAGATCCACCCTCCTCAGCCCCCCAAAGTGCTGGGATTGCAGGCAAGAGCCACCACCCCTGGTTGGCAGAATGTTCTAAATGTCTCATAGATCCAGATGATAATAGTATTGTTAGGTTCTTCTCTATCCTTGATGATTTTCTATTAGTTCTGTTATTGAGGGAGGAGTGTTGAAGTTTCCAACTATTAACTATGGATTTATCTATTTCTTTTTTCAGTTCTGTCAGTCTGTAAGCTTTATGTCTTTGGAAGCTCTGCTCTTAGGTGATACACATTTGGGGTTTTTGTAGTGTCCGTAGTGAATTGATTCTTTTTTTCTTTTTTTTTTTTTTTGAGATGGAGTCTCGCTCTGTCGCCCAGGCTGGAGTGCAGTGGCGCCATCTCGGCTCACTGCAACCTCTGCCTTCCGGGTTCAAGCGATTCTCCTCCTCAGCCTCCTGAGTAGCTGGGATTACAGGTGGGCATGACCATGCCTGGCTAATTTTTGTATTTTTACTAGAGACGGGGTTTTACCATGTTGGTCAGGCTGGTCTCAATCTCTTGACCTCATGATCCACCTGCCTCGGCCTCCCAAAGTGCTGGGATTATAGGCATGAACCACCACGCCTGGCCTGATCCTTTTTAGCAGAATGTAATGCCCCTTTTTATGCTGGAGCTTTTCTTTGCTCCAAAGTTGACTTTGTCTGAAATTAATGTAGCTACTCAACACACAGCGAGTTTTTAATTTTAGTAATTACATTTTTCATTTCTAGAAATTCTGCCTTTTTTCAAAACTTGTTGGTCATTTTTTATGGATCCCTCGATCATGTTTTAAGTTTCACTTTTATTTCTTTAAACATATTAAACATATTTATATTATTTTTTATGTTTGATAATTTCAATTTTGAACTCTTTGTGGGTTTGATTTTGCTGTCTCTTACTTCTGCTAGATTTATTCTAATGTGTTGCAATTTTTGTCTGTGAGCTACTAATTTTCCATAAAGCTCTATCTATAGGAAGTTTTCGGGGCTAGGTTTGAAGTGGCATCTACTTTCGTTGCTCCCAACAGCTCTGAGTAGGTGGATATCACTTCCATTTTACAGATAAGAAAACTGAAACTCAGAAAGGCTGAGTGACTTGCCCAAGCTTCACTTTGACTCAGGGTGGCGTGGCGCACGCCTGAGCTGCAATCCTGTGGCACACAGATCACCTGGAGTTGAATGATAAATGCAATAAATCACACCCTGGTGCTCCTGGAAGCCCCACTGTGTGCAGCACCGTTCTCTCAGTTGCACAGTCTTTTCTTCCATGCTTCTTTCTCAGGGTGGCTCCATTCTTGGTTGTAGGCTGGTGAGGATGCTCCCGGGTGCGCCTGAGCCTTGCCAGATGCGCTATGAAACTGAGTCAACTTTTGGAGAGGATGGTGACAATAATGAGAAAGTAGTCACCACACACGACTCTGCCATCGTCTTCTTGCACTCCACCTCTCCCTCCTCGATGGTACCCAGATGCCATGACTCAGCGTGCAAGACCTGGTGTTCTGAGAAGCACCCGGGAGTGCAGGAGAGGTTAGCATCTCACAGATACACTTTTAAAAAACGTCGGTGAGATTCGTTTAACATCGATTAATCATTTTCAAGTGAACAACTCGGTGGTATTTAGTACATTAATGAGTTGTGCAACCACCACCTCCCTCAAGATCTAAAACATTGTCCTCACCCCAAACGCCCTGGAGCCATTGAGGAGTTGCTCCTCATCCTCTGCCACCCTCTACCATGGGGTAAACTTTTAACAGTGGGAGAGGAGTGACAGGCAGCCAGGCTGACAAACCCCCTCCTCCTTACTCTCTGTGGGCCACTTGGAGGTGCGGCTCCTGCTGGGACAGCTGGGGTGCTTCTGCCCAGGACCCCTCTGGTTCCCTCGTGTCGTCGTGCCTGTGCCTTCTTCATGGCCCTCTTCCTCACTCCCCCGCCTTGGCTGACCCCTCCCTCAGCCAGGGTCGGCACCAACGTCCTGGCCTCAGGCTCCGCGTCCTAGAGCAGAGCTTCTCAAAGCATGCGGTGCAGGGGAGATCAGGGGATCTTATCACAATGCACATTCTGGCTTACTGGGTCCAAGTGGGCCAGTCTAACAAGCTTCCACGTGACGTCAATGTGGCTGGTCGCTTGACCACGTTTTGAGTGGCCCAGCTCCAGAGGCCCCTGACTAAGACAAGTGTCAGCTGTGCTGGTGGAGCACAGGACACTGCCCCGTGGAACAGTGCCCGAGGCTGAGTGGCGGGCACTGTGCCTGTCTTCCAGAGGATGGCATTGGGGCTTGTGTGAGTGTCCTGGGCTGCTGAAACAAGGTTCCACACACAGCAGGGCTGAAAGCAACAGAGTTTCCTTCTCTCACAGTTGTGGAAGCCAGAAGTCCAAAATCAAGGTGTCGGCCAGGTTGGTTCCTCCTGGAGGCTCTCTGAGGGGCTACGGGAGGCTGTGGGCAGTCTTCAGTGTTCATCCCCCCAATCTCCTCCTCTGTCTTCACTGGCCTTCTTCCCTCGGTGTGTCCATGTGCCCCCGAATCTCCCTCTCCTTGGAACAATGCTAGGCCTTTTACCTGGGGCCCACCCGAACCCAGAACGACCTCATCTTCACTTGATTACATCTGTCAAGACCTTATGTCCAAAGAAGGGTGCATTCACAGGCTCGGGGGTTAGGATGTGGACGTAACTTTTTATGGGGACACAATCCAACCTCATACAAGGCCCAAGGGAATGCTGCCAGCTAAGAGTGGGTGCCGGGCTGCAAACATCACAGTTGCCCCTTTCTTCCTGCCCACTGCTGCTCCCGGTGACGGTGACGCAGGACCTGCCTCGAGGGCTGGAGGCTCAGGAGAGGAGGGGCTGGAGGCTTAGGAGAGGAGACAGAAACTGCCTTCATCAGAGGCTTTGACACAAGGGCATACTGACCCCTCCCCTGAAGGACCTGCTCACTTTGGGCACAGTGGGGTACTCCTAGTCATCCTTCAAAACCCAGCTCAGAAGTCCCCTTCCCTGAATGTTGAATCTAGGCAGGTTTCCTCTCAGTTTCTGCTGTGACCACAGAGCATTTTTTTTTTTTTTTTGAGACGGAGTCTTGCTCTGTCGCCCAGGCTGGAGTGCAATGGCACGATCTTGGCTCACTGCAAGCTCCACCTCCCAGGTTCATGCCATTCTCCCGCCTCAGCCTCCCAAGTAGCTGGGAATACAGGCGCCCACCACCATGCCCGGCTAGTTTTGTTTTTGTATTTTTAGTACAGACGGGGTTTCACCGTGTTAGCCAGGATGGTCTCAATCTCCTGACCTCATGATCCGCCTGCCTCCGCCTCCCAAAGTGCTGGGATTACAGGCGTGAGCCACTGTGCCCAGCCGACCACAGAGCATTTTATCTTCCGCTTGATTACTCTCCCATCAGCCAACAGCAACAGCACGGCCACCTGGCAGGTGCTCAGACCCCAAACCTCGTAGTTGTCCATGGTGTTGCTCTTTTGGTCCCATCCTGCAGCTCAGCGATGTCCGTCAGCATGACTGAGACCTACGTCCAGAACCCCGCATCGCCCCCGCTTCAGCCTCGCTCTGTGGTGCTGCTGGCCTCTCCGTGGCTGCTCTTCCTCCTCCCCGCTTGCCCCTCACCTGGCTCTCCCCATCTTGGCCAGGGCAGGCCTGGCACAGACTCTGTCCAGGCCACTTCTCTTTTAAGGCTCCCCCAAGCCCACAGTTCAACTCCCACGTCCTTAGCATGCTCGGGAAAGATGCCCTGCTCTGGGACTTGGCAGTGGCCGCCCTGCCTGCTTCTCCTCCTCCTTCAGTCCCTGCCCAGCCACCACTCTGCCTCCTTGCTAGGCCTTGGGAAATCGGGCACACTTCTCATTCAAGCCCATGGCACTGACTGCTTTCTGTACCCGGAGCAGTCCTCCCCTGGGGAGTCCCACTACCTCCCTGCAGTTGTAAGCTCCTCACAGCGGCCTTCCTGGGCTGCCCTGCAGACAACGGTGTCCCCATCACCCTGGAGCCTTTGCCCCTGCTTCATTCTCTCCATAGAGCTGTGCTCCACCGGGCGTTCTGTTACCTGCGGACTATGGCTTTCAAATCCATCTCCCTTACCGGAAATGCAAGGTACGTGATGGCAGAGACTAGAACAGTGCCTGCTCCTGCAACATGCTTGTGCTGGGCTGGAAGGTGACCCCACAGAGTCCATGGCCTTTTAGGACCTCAGGGTTCTCCCATGGAAATAGGGTGGGTGCAGACAGAAGAAGATGTAATAAGCTAGCACGAGGTCAGAATGGAGTGGGGTGGGCCCTAAATCCAATGGGTCCTTTGAAGAAGAAGGACATTTGATTACAGGGACGCAGACAGGAGGAGGCCACGTGACTATTGAAGGTGAGACTATTGGGCCATGAGCCAAGCAATGCCAAGGGTGCCACCAACCACCAGAAGCCAGACAAGGCAAGGTAGGATCCTCCCTGGAGCCTTCAGAGACAGTGTGGCTGTGTTAGTCCATTTTCTGTTGTTATAAGTAATTACCTGCGTGATTTATGAAGAAAAGATATTTATTTCTCATAGTTCTGGAGGCTGGGAGGTCCCAGGTTGAGGGGTGCCTCTGATGTGGGGCTTCTTGCTGGCAGGGACTCTCTGCAGAGTCCCGAGGGGCACAGGGCCTCAGATGCCCGGGGGCTCATGAGATATGGCTGAAGTGAGTTTCATCATAGACCCACTCTCGTGATAACTACCCCATTCCCTCCATAAGCCATGAATCCATTATCCCCTGAATGGATTAATCCACTCACGAGGGCAGGATCCTCATGGCCCAGCAACTTCCTGAAGGTCCCACCTCTCAAGACGGCTGCACTGGGAACCATGTTTCCAACACATGAACTTTTGGGGGACACAGTTAAGCCATACTGCATTGTCCCTGCTGACATTTTGATTCTGGATGGCTGGCCTCTGAAACTCTGAGGGAGTAAATGTCTATTGTTTTAAGACACCCAGTTTGTGGGACTTTGTCATAGCAACTACAGGGGATGAAAGCAAGTCTTACATGTCCCAACACATATTCATGGAATGAATGAACCGATGGATGGGTGGCGGGGGATGGACAAGGCAGCGCATTCTACTTCTCTCAGGGGTTTGCCATGACCAGGTGGGTGGGTCCCCCTACCCGTAAGTCACGCAAGCCCGTGAGCTGTGTCTTCTTTGTCTGGGCGTCTCTGCCACACAGTAGACCCTTAGCACACAACTGCGGCATGGACGCCTGTGGAAATCTGGCCGCGCAGTGCTAGTGACCACGTGGCACAGAATGTGGCAGAAGTTGTGCCCCGAGCCCAGAGGTATGGTGCGAAGGAGCATGGAAAGCTGTTTAGACCCTCTGAGGCCACCCAGGCAGCCGGAAAAGCTGAGGCTCTGGGAAGGAAAGTTCTGAGCAAAGATACGCAGGGCCCTGCCAGCAGCCCGAGGAGTGCAGACTGCAGAGTGTGGACTGCGGCAGTGAGGACTGCGGAGTGTGGAATGCAGAGTGCAGACTGCGGAGTGCGGACTGCAGAGTGTGGGGTATGGACTGTGGAGTGAGGAGTGCGGACAGTAGGGTGCGGAGTGCGGAGTGCAGAGCAGAGTGTGGGGTGCGGGCTGGGGACTGCGGAGTGCAGACTATGGCCTGCGGAGTGCGGAGCGCAGAGCGCCAAGTGCAGGGTGCGGAGCGTCGCCTTTGCCCCAGAAATGGGACCAAGGCAACACTTTGTCTCCCGCCTGCAGATGCTGGCAGAGAATTTCCTGGAAGCCACTGTGATATTTCGGAGTGCCCTCGGGGCCTTCATGGAACTCTCATGACAATACGAAGCAGCCCCACTCACGCAATGATCTCACTGTTGCCGGTGGAGTTTTTTTCGTGGTTAATCAAAATCAAAAGGCTTCTAGTCCGGAGAGTCATTGAATCATCCAAAATATTTCTTAACAAGTCCCCCAGGAGCCATCGCCCACCTCACCTCCCCCCGTCCCCCGCCCCGTGTTCCCCCCACCTCATTTTCCCAGTAGATGCTGTTGAAGTTTTAGAACCAGAGAATCAGGTAATCAATTCCCATAGAATCACTTGGGAAAAAAATCCCCTCTCCCCAGGTGAACTCGATTCCTAGATGTTCAAGGGCAGAGAAACACTCTTGGAAAGCAGCCAGGCCTTGTGGGTTGCAAGCATGTGGCCCATAGTTGTTTAAAGCCATCCCCTGCCCTCTTGGAAAGAATGGGCCATGCCCAGGGATGGGATTAGTCAAACATCTTCTTGAATGTTTTGGGTTCAGCAACACCCCACATGGATTTGCCAAGTGATTTCTCATGTAATTATTAACCCCGAGTGTATTCCAAGGGAAATGCAGCCTCGTGTTTCTGATTCACCCAGACTTCATTCAGCAGTATGTGTCACAAGCACTCGCTGGTGTCTGAGATGTCATTGTGACCTCCTAAGAGGCTTTCCTTGACCCCCTCCCCACTGCCCATCATAAGCAGGAGGCTGATTTGTGCCAACTTCCTGTGAACCTGAATACTACCGGGACCCAGCTCAGCTTGAAATTCAAAACCCTGGAATTTCGAGAGGGTTCTCATGGTGTCCAAACATCCTCACCCTGGCAGTGGAAACCAGTCTCCACTGCAGACTGATAACTGAAAGGAAAAGCCCAGAGCGAGAGCCCAGTGGCACCAGGTCCTCACACTGGCACCAGGTCCTCACAGTGGCATGAGGTCCTCACAGTGGCACCAGGTTCTCAGGCCTCCAGAGGCCAGGCTGGCTTCCAGGAGCAGATGCAAGTGCCAGATCTCGTAGCCTGGCTTCCTTTAGGTTCCTGTTCTTGGAGCATTGCTCTGAGGCTGAGATTGAAAAAAACCAATCATGATCCCAGCTGTCCTCTGCTCTGAGGCCTGAGCTGACCCTCAGGGTTGCCCCCAGCTCCTTCTTCAGACTGGACTGGTCCCATGCCTTCCTGGGGGGCTGGAGATGCAGCCTCCCTTCCTACAGCTGTTGGTACTTCTGATGCCATGTATTAGCCAGATCACCAGACCTCTGGAGATGTGGGACCCCCATTCATCTTGTCCCTGCTCCCCATGTACTCCACCGAGAGTCCCGGTTGCCTCTCTGGGGCTCAGTTTCCTCACTTGTCTCAGGTCCAGTGAGATGTGATTGTTCCATGAATCTAAAAGTAGAACGTTCTGGTCCAAGTCGAGGCCCTGGCAAAGCTGCCTTTCCTATCTCTAATTATGTGGCTCCATGACTCACTCATCATAAACCCAAGTCCTCAAGAAATGTCTTAAGGAGGTGGAGGGTTCTCAGAATGAACCTGCCGCCTGAGCCCCCGGCCCATTGTTACATGCACCGGCGCCAGGTACCTTATTCCCACCGTAGTGGGAGCAAGTTCGATGCTAAGAATAAGAGCTAGAGCGACGCTTTGCCTCCGGGGTTTCAGTGGGGGCTGGGGTGTGGAACCAGGGCAGGGATTGGCTTGGGGGCTTGAGCTGCTCTGGTGGGTGGTGTCCTGGGACGCTCTTCTCCTCTCCCACGGAGGCCCTGGGATTGCTGTCTCAGTCTGTGGTGGGTTGGTGGGGGCAGGGGCGGGCAGAGAAAAGGTTTTCAAGACCCTGAACCATCACCAAGCCCAGCAACCGGCCATTGTCCCTTTAGGGGTGCAGAAGGTGGTCCTGTGTGCAGTGGCACCAGCATTGTCAGCTCAGAGAAAGCAGCCATGACCCTGTGGAGTGTGGTTGAGTTGGGGGAAGTAAGGAGAAAGTGGAGGGACGGCCAGGGTAGGTGGGGTGGGTAAGAAGCGGGGATCGGGGTGGGGCCCGGCCCCGGAGACTTTTCTCCAGCAGAACACAGAACCATAGGAGCGGTATTTTTCCTACTTCCAGGCCAAATGGGCTTGCACGGGAAGCCTGCTCCAGTTCATGGGGAGGGGATGGTCTATGGGAACCAGAGAAGCCCGCCCTGCACCCAGCGGCCGCTTCCTGTAATGCGCTCTGCCCCCAGGGAATTCCCACGGAGCTGCCCAGGAGGAGCCGGGCCAGCGGGCAGCTGGGCCTTCCTGCCAGGCCAATGCCAGGGTGAGTTCCAGCGCCTGTGTCATTCTGCCGCCCAGGCTGGGCAGTGGCAGGCGCGTCCCTCTCCCAGGGTCTTTGTCCTTTCCCTGCCTTCCCAGGAGGGGCCAGGCCCTTGGAAAGGGGGAGGAAGACGAGGGAGAAAAGGGAGAGAAACTGGCTCCCAGCACTCAAAATAGCCATCTCCTTCTATGTGTTGATTTTCTGCTTTAAGCCAGGCTGGGGTGGAGGCCAGGAGTGGGGCCTGTGACGCTGATTTTCAATTCCTCCTGTGAGATTCCAGTCAGGTGGCACTCAAGCAGAGACTTCCTCCCTTCTGAGACAGGGAAGTGCCTCCGTGGAGGGGAGGGGCCTCAGTTCTGCAGAGGAGCCTGGGGTGCTGAGGGGGTGTGGGTGCCGAGATGGGTGGTAGAGGGGTGGCCCTGCAGATACAGGGTCTTACTCACATGCACTGCTGCAGCGTCCTCGCCCAGGGGGGCTTCGGGCCCTCAGGGGCAAATTCTGGCAAGTTTGTAAGTTTAATTTTTTCAGTGGATGAGGCATTCACGTGGTTACAAAACCTAAAAGTAGGCAATGAAGGGAAGCCACAGCTCCCTCGGTCCCCTGCGGCTGAGAGGCTGTGGGCACCGGCACACGCCGTCTTACCTCTCCCTTCTATATCCCGCTGTGGCAAATGCTGCCTCACTCTTGGGCACGCTGCTTCCTCATGCCACTGTCTAACCAGGTTTTTGGAGCCTTCCAGAATTCTGGGGCCTGAGAAGTCTCCTTTCCTTCCCATCTCTTTCCCTCTCCCTTCCCTTCCCTCTTCCTTCCCTTCCCTTCCCTTCCCTTCCCTCTTTCCTTCCTTCCTTCTGACTAACTGGCTGTGAGTGGCTTTGTTGAGTGGGTGCCTGACAGGAAAGAGAAAGTGACTTTTTGGAGGCCTCAAAGATGAAATCAGGGAATCCAGGGGCCTGCTGCTGGATCTGATGGTGGGGCCTGGTTGGGAAGGCTCGGTGCACTGTGGGCTGCAGGTGCTGGCACCAGGCAAGTCGGAGGCTGCCCCTCCCGTCCTTTCACTGCAGCTGGCCTGAAGCCCCTGGCTCGGTCCCCCGCCACGTTCTCAGCAGCGGGTGGCCTGTGAGCCAGGGCCCATCATCCCTGATGCTATTCCGCTTACTGGCGAAAGCAGAGGTCTGGGTTTTGGGTCCACCATAGCTCAGAGCCTCAGGTCCTCACCCAAGGCCTCAGTCCCCTAGCCTGGCCCACAGGCAGGAGTCTGGCTTGAAGCAGAGCCCTGACCAATCCACCTCCTCTGCCCACATTCTCTTGCTGGATGGCTGCCATCCACATGAGAGGGGCTGGGCATGTCCTGCCAGGGCTTCCTCCTGCCCACTCCAGCCCTGCTGCAGGCCCTGATCTCCAGGAGGAAAAGGCAGCCTGGGTACCTTTCCAACAGAGGCATTGCTTCCTTCCTCCCTCCGTCCCTCCCTCCCTCCCTCCCTTCCTTCCTTCCTTCCTTCCTTGAATTAACTGGCCCTGAGTGGCTCCACTGAGTGGGTGCCGGAGAGAGACAGCATTGACTATGACATGTCACTTGTCCTGGGGGAGGATGATTGGGGGTGGGGGACAGCTATGTCAACTGTCAGTGATCAAGACCCAGGACAATGTGAGAAACCAGCCAGGGGAGACTTGGGACAAGGTCAGGAGGGTTGGCGTTGGGGGCGAGTCCTAAAGAGTAACAGAAAGGACTTAATCAGACACAGTTGGGGTGTAGCCTCGGAGCTGCTCAGCTCATGGCCCCTCCCAGCAACCCTGCCTTGTGGCTGCTGGTCCCTGGGTCCCTGCTTTACAGCTGAGGACCCTCTGTGGTGGCTCAGCTGGAGGTGCCAGAGCCAGACTCTGCCTGCGTCCCCCAGCTTTGGTCAACTTGGGTCAGGTTCCCCAGCTGCAGAGTTGAGGCCCCCCAGTTCCAGCCCATCTCCTTTCTGCACGTGTCTTCATCAAGCCTTGACTTTGAGAACCACCGGCTGAAAGCAGCCCCTTTGCTCTCAATGCTCCCTAAGCAGTGGCCCTGCCGAGTCCCTGCTCTGCTGGGGTCAGGACCATCTAGACCAAGGAAGGAGGAAGTGACTTTTTGGTGGCCTCAAAGATGAAATCGGGGATCCAGGGATGCAGGAGGCCTTTCTTTAGAGGAGTGAGGGGCAGGAGGGAAGCAGATTTATGCCCTCGGAAATCAGCTCGGGAAGAAGACTGGTAGGGGCTGGGCACTGGGGGTTCTGGAGCCACATCCCCCAACATGGCCATCCTCTGGTTGGGATGGGTCAAGTGCTCCCATGACCCACACAGCACCGTTCAGAAGGCTCTGCAATCACACCGGGCACCCACTGGGTGCTGGGCCTGTGCCTCAAGCTCTGGAACATATGGGGGCCTTAGCAGCCCCACCATCTCCATCAATCCCCTCTACACAGCCCTCAAACATGAACAAAACATTCAGTGTGGACAATGTTCTGTAATGTTTGAAGAAAGCTTCCTCAGACAATCTCGATTTTTCCTATTGATTTGCACCATTCAGAAAGAAAAAAGTGTGACTTTCCGGTTATCAAGGCCTCTTGACTTAGGCGGCCACCCAAGGGGTACCCCTGCTTCTGGGGGCTCCGTGCTGTAGCGTTTTGAAGATAGAGCAAGGTGGGGCCTGCTCTTGTGTCCAGGCAAGGGATGCAATGTGACTCCAGCACACACACGGCGTTTCCCCAGTGGCCAGAGATATTTCAGAAGAAACACGGTGCCCCTTTACAGGCACCAGGTGACCCACGGGCCGTGTGTCCAGTCTGAGGCCCTGTGCTGGCATTTGGTGACATCCATATTTGAAGCCAAACTCATTTTCTCATGCATCCCCTCAGCCCCTCCAGCCGCGTGCCCTCCGTTGCCAGACATGCTTCTTCTCTCCACGTAGCCTGTGGGTCTCCCCTCCGTCAGCCCAGACCCAGTTCTGGCTCCTTCTCCAGGTGCCTGGCACATGCTGGCTTCCCACAGGGCACCACCTGGCTCCACTTTGCGTGTGGGTGTCTGGTCTTGTCCAGACTGGAGGCTGATGGAGTTCAGGGACTCTGCCTCTCCTTCTTACCTATCGATGAATCCCACAGTGCCCAGCAAGCTCCCTTTAATGTGCCAGATACTCAGGACAGCTTCCTAAATGTTAAAAGCAACATTTTTTTCTGCTTATTAAAAAAAGAATCCGCGCTCATTGTAAGCAAGTTGGAGAATACTCAAGGGTATAAAGAAGAGCAAGTCAAAATGATCCCATAACCTTCAGAAGACCCCTGCCTGGGAATAGTTCATTATTTTTTGGTATTTTTTTCTGTATTTACATATATGTATAATTATATAATTGTAGACACACATGTTATTTAAATATAATTAGCATCAAAGTAACCCGTGTTTACTAAAAGCTTCCGCACACTCGATTGGTGAAAATGGCGCCCACAGTATTTCCAGTGCATTTCTAAACAAGTGAAGGGAGGGGCCTGGGGAGTTGAGGCGTGCAGCACAGGTCCTGCTGGAGTCTGCCTATACCGGGCTCCAGGAGATGCCCGGGCAGAGGGAGGACACGTGCAGACATGGGCACAGGAACCAGCCCTTCATTCATTCACTGACTCAGTGCACCTGACCCACCTGGAGGCTGGAGGTCCAGGAACAAGGTGATGGCTGATTCAGTTCCTGGTGAGGGCTCCCTGCCTTGCCGGTGTGCAAGGCTGCGTCCGCTCTGTGTTCACATGGTGGGGGTGGAGAGACAGCTCGCAAGGACTCTCTTTCTGGTGTTGCTTCTCATAAGGGCACTAATTCCATCATAGGGCCCCACTCTCAGACCTTCCCTAACCATAGTCATCTCCCAAAGACCCTGTCTCCAAATACCTTCACTCTGGGGATGAGGATGTCCTCATAGGAGCATGGGAAAGACACAGTTCAGTCTATTCCAGGAGACATAGTTCAGTCCATCCCAGTTCAAGGAGACAGGGGGCAGGGCCCGAGGAGCTTCTCACAAGACTGGTGCTGCTGGTGGGGAATGAGCTCAGTGAGCAGACAGGATGCGGCTATGGCAGAGCCTGCAGGCAGGAGCTTCTGGAAAGAGGACTAGGGTGCTGGGGATGGATGGGGCATGATGGGCATGAGGGGAGGGAGGGGCCTGGGCCGAGGAGGGGGATGCTAGCTGGGCCAGGCAAGAAGTGGTCTGGGCAGGCGGGAACCCTGGGGCGAGTGTGGGGGGGCTCTGTAGAGCAGCGGGGCTGAGCAGCAGGAGGGCCGGATGCTGTGGAAGGGCATGGACTTTTCTTATGGGTGACAAGGGACTGTGGGATGCCACAAGCAGCTCCTTCACACTCTGGAACATTCTTGCATTGTTGTAGAGGGTGAAACAGAAGTGATTTTCATACTCTTAAAAAATATATTTTATGCCAGGCATGGTGGCTCCTGTCTGTAATCCCCAGCACTTTGGGAGGCTGATACGGGAGAATCACTTAGCCCCAGAGAAGTTCCAAGAACAGCCTGGGCATCATACATAGCGAGACTCGTTCTCTAAAAAATACAAAAAAATTAGCTGGGTGTGGTGGCACGTGCCTGTAGTCACAGCTACTTGGGAGGCTGTGATGGGAGGATCACTGGAGCCCAGGAACTCCAGGCTGTAGTGAACTATGATCATGCCACTGCTCCAGCCTGGGTGACAGTGTGAGACCCTGTCTCTGATAATAATCATAATATTTTATTAGTAGAGTCGTTTTTTCTTTTTCATTTCTTTTTAATTTAATGTTTTGTACGGACAAGTTTTCGCTATTTTGCCCAGGCTAGTCTTGAACTCCTGGCCTCAACCGATCCTCCTGCCTCAGCCTCCCAAAGCACTGGGATTACAGGCAAGAACCACCGCACCCGGCCCAAACATTTTCATTTTTTATATTTCAAGTACTTTGATTAATTATTGTGCAAGTTTCTTGTGCAAAGCTTAGAAGAAGAGGTCTTACAGAATTTTTGGCAGCACCTCTCTCATCTACATTTTGAAGGAAAAACAATTATTTCCTATTCTAGAGTTTGGGGTGAGCAGCATTTGTGTTTTATTTTATGTTTGTAGTAACAGTTCACCATTTCAACCATACATTCACATGGTTATACAATCATTACCACCATCATCTCTAGAACATTCTTGTCTTCCCAGACTTAAACTCTGCCCTCATTGAACACTCACTCCCCCTCCCATCCCCCAGCTCCTGACCCCACCACTCTCCCTTTACATCTCTGTGGATTTTTTTGTTGCTTGTTTGTTTGTTTGTTTGAGATGGAATTTCGCTCTTGTTACCCAGGCTGGAGTGCAATGGCATAATCTCGGTCACTGCAACTTCCACCTCCCGGGTTCAAGTGATTCTCCTGTCTCAGCCTCCTGAGTAGTTGGGATTACAGGCACACGCCACCATGCCTGGCTAATTTTTGGTATTTTTAGTAGAGATGGGGTTTCTCCATGTTGGCAAGGCTGGTCTCAAACTCCTGACCTCAGGTGATCCTACTGCCTTGGCCTCCCAACGTGCTGGGATTCCAGGTGTGAGCCACTGCGCCTGGCCACATCTCTGTGGGTGTGACGGCTCTAGGGAGCTCATGGAAGTGGGACCCCAGAGCATTCCTTCTTTTATGACGGGCTTATTTTGCTCACCACAATATCCTCAGGGTCCATCTGTGTTGTAGCCAGTGTCATTTTTCCAAAAAGCCCTACAGGCTGTCCTAAAGGAACAGTTATAAAGGGACTCGGGGGCCTGAGTCCCTCCCACGCAGCGACCCCACTCCTGCAGGTAGTTGCTGGTCACATTCACAGAACCCCAGGTCTCCAGAAAGCAGCCCACAGTCCGGCTGGATTAGAGGCTGGGCACGGCCAGGTGCACTGATGGGGCCGGGGCCAGGGCGGCACTCCCCGGGGTAACCCGAGCAGCTCTGATAAGCCTCCGGCACACCGGCTGCTGGCTGGTATCAGACCGGCATGTCCCTTGGGTCAGGTCACTGACGACTTGTGTTTGAACAGGGAGCCCGGGCCATAGCCATGGGTCTCATGGGAATGTCACTGAGTCTCAGAAAGACCCCATGAAAGGAGAGGCTTTGTTCCCATTCCAGGGTGGCCAGGACAGGGACACTGTGTATAAGGACTTCCTGATCTTATTCTCGCACCAGAGGAAACGGAGCTTTAGGGCTCAGAGACAGAACATGTTTGTCCAGGTGTGGCTCAGACATAGACAATGGGATGGGGTCCCCCTTCAGGAGGTGCAGCCCAGGAAGCTTGGCAGGGCCACAGCCTCATCTCTGGGGTTGGCCAGGGACTCCTGGACCAGACATCGGCTGGCGCCTGCCACCACCGCCCTGACTGCTGCCCGGCCCTGACAAGGGTGTGGGGAAGGCGGTGAGGGGTCCCAGCTCTCGCTGCTTTGGTCTCCCAGCCTCCGGAGCAGCCGGAAGGGGCTGAGTGGGGGTGGGTAGGACGAGGGCGGGGTTCTGACCAAGGAGAGGTACGTCAGCCTCAGAGAAACAGGGTTCCCTACCAGCTGTGGTCGCCAGCAAGCGTGGCTCCTGTGAAATCCGGGTTTAGAGCTTTTCTTGTTTTTGTTTTTGTTTCGACTTGATAGCCTTTATTTCTTAGAGAAGTTTTAGGTTTACAATAATATTGAGCAGAAAGTCCAGAGAATTCCCATATACCCCCCTGTACTCGTTCATTCTCACACGGCCTGGCCAGGCACCGTGGCTCACACCTGTAATCCCAGCACTTGCAGAGGCCGAGGTGGGCAGATCACCTGAGCCCAGGAGTTCAAGAGCAGCCTGGGGGCAACATCGAGAAACCCTCTCTCTACCAAAAATACAAAAAAATTAGCTGGGCATGGTGGTGCACGCCTGTAGTCCCAGCTACTCAGGTGGCTGGGGTGGGAGGATCACTTGAGCCTGGGGGGTGGAGGTTGCAGTGAGCTGTGATGGCACCACTGCACTCCAGCCTGGGCAACAGGGCAAGGCTCTGTCTCAAAAAAAAAAAATTTGGGAATTACAATTCAATATGAGATTTGTGGGGGACACAGATCCAAATCATATCACCCTCTCCCCCCCAGCACAATTCCCCCTGGTATTAACATCATGCATTAATGTGGCACATTTTTACAATTGATGAGCAGTGTTGATACATTATTATTAACTAAAGGCCGTAGTTTACATCGGGGTTCACTCTAATTTTCTATTGTAAATTCTCTCTCTCTCTTTTTTATTTTTTTTTTGAGACAAAAATCTCACTCTGTCACCCAGGTTGGAGTGCAGTGGCACGATCTTGGCTCACTGCAACCTGCCGGGTTCAAGCGATTCTCCTGCCTCGGCCTCCCAAGTAGCTGGGATTACAGGTGCCCACCACCATGTCTGGCTACTTTTTGTATTTTTAGTGTAGATGGGGTTTCACCATGTTGGCCAGACTGGTCTCAAACTCCTGACCTCAGGTGATCCACTGCCTCTGCCTCCCAAAGTGTTGGGATTACAGGCATGAGCCACCACACCTGGCCTTCTATTGTAAATTCTCTGGGTTTTACCAAATGTCTAATGCCCTGTATCCCCATTTTAACATCATACAAAGAGTTTCACTGCCCTAAAAATCTGTCTCCACCTGTTCACCCCTCTCTCCAAATTCCTGGCAACCACTGATTATTTTACTTTCTCTGTAGTTTTGTCCTTTCTAGAATGTCAAAGAGTTGGACTCATACGGTGTGTAGCCTTTTCAGATGGGCTTCTCTCACCTACTAATATCGTGGAAGTTTCCTCCATGTCTTTTCAGGCCTTGATAGCTCGTGTCTTTTTAGCGCTGAATAATATTGCACTGTCTGGATGCACCGCGGCTCAACCCTTCACCTACTGAAGGACTTGTGGGTTGCTTCCAAGTTTTGGTCATTATGAATAAGGCTGCTGTACACATCGGTGTGCAGGTTTTTGCGTGGACGTCTCAACTCCTTTGGATAAAGGCGAGGAGCATAATTGCTGCACTGCATATTCGGTTAGACTGTGATTAGCTTTCTAAAAAGTGGTTTTGTTAGATGTAAAAAATGAATATGACATTCTGAAACAGAAAAAAATAACTTACTCTTTATCTGCGTGGGATGAGATTAAACTGCGTCTTCTTCGTGGTTTGAACGCAAGAGCTCCCTGAACACCTGGCGCTGCCATTGGCGTGAACGAGGGGAAGCCCCTCCTGACAGCTGGATGGTAGGACAAAGCCCTCTAAGCCCCCTCTCCCCGTCACATCCCCCCGACCCTGCCCACAAGGGAACCTGGGGCACTGGGTGTTCACCTGCCTCCCACTAGGTGAGATCTTTCCTTTTTGGCTCCTCTATCCTAATCCTCACCCACAGCGTTCCCACGGTGGCCTTTGCAGCTAATATCCAGCGTCCAGAGAGTCCCTGGGCTTGGTTAGCGTTCCTCCCAAGGCTGACCCTGAGCTAAAGATGTAGGGACAGGGGAGGTGGTCCCAGGAAGCTCAGGTGAGACAGAGAGAAAAGCCCAAAGTGTGTCTTTTGATGAGCAGGTAACCTCAATGGGAACCCAGGGTCCATTCCACTGGAGACCCTTGGTCCTCCAGAAGGTGGAGAGGCTGGGACATGGGGTTCTCCCCGACGGCTTCCTCTCCTGGCTGCTGAGGGTCTCCTCTCAGGTGCTGAATAGAACAACTCTAGGGGTCTGGGCTGGAGAAACCCTAGGCAGAGGAGCAGAGAAGGCAGCTGCCCCAGGCAGGTGCAGACAGGCAGAGGGGACGCCCTGGCGCTGGTGCTGCCTCCTCTCATCTCCCGCAAGGGTCCCCTCACCTTCTTGCTCTGCCTGAAGCTTCCTGCACTGCAACTCACCCAGAGGTTCTGTTTCCCCTGGTGCTGGGGAGGGGGGAGGTGTCCTCTCACTCCTCACTTTCTTTCCAGAATGTTCTACTTCCCTCCTACCCAGGCTTTGAGCTGGGACCTTCAGACTCTGCCTTTTACTCTGGAGTCATCTACGAATCCCAGGTCGTCCCTCACTCCTGGAAGATTTTAACCCCGGATTCACGGTCGCTTCCCCACATCACTCCTGCCCAGTTCTTGAACATCCCTGTGGGTGGTCCCGGCCTCCCAGAGCCTTCACCTCCTCCTCTTCTCTCCTCCCCTCCCTTCTCGTTACCATCTCCCCATCTCAACTTCAAGCACCACCCCCAGCACCTCAACCCCCAGATCCCACCTCTCCTGTCCCTCTCATCCACACGGTCACTGCCCCGCACCCCTCACCTCTGCACTGGGATTTCCCTTCTCACGTCCTTCTGTGGCCTCTGTCTTCACGCTGCTGCACCTGGGCACAGAACTGTCACCTGAAATTCCCACCACCGACCGGCCAACTGACCTTGGCGTCCGAGGTCCCCTCTCCCCGACTTGGATTTCCCACCTTCTCTGCCCTCTGCCAGCCTCCAGGACTCTACCTGCTGCCCGTATGTGCTGTGCCCCCTCTCCTGGCTCAGGAGCCCCCTCCATGCTGGGCCCAGACCCTCACCAGCCCCAGCCTTGTCTCTTGGCTGGGTGATTCCATCAGCTGATAAACACGCCTTCACCTTAAAAATAAGTCAAACCTCCCTAGACACTGCTTCTCCTTCCGGCCACTACCCTACTCTGTTCCTCTTTCCAACAGCACTTCTGACCATGTGGGCACCCCTGGCTGCCCTCTCTCCTGCCTCTTGGGAGAAGCTGCACCTCACCCCAGGCCCCTCCCCCATGGCTCTCTTGTCGCCGGACCTAAGGGTCAGCCCTCAGGGCTGATTTGGCCTGGCCAGTGGGTCACTGTGGCCTCCTCACTCCCTTCATCTCCCTGACCCACCTTCGGAGGCTCCAGACCCGTGAGCCGCAGGGGGCCCCCACCCTCGGCCCTTCTTTCCCTCCTCCCCAGGTCAGCGTCTCTCTTCATTTCCATCACCTGCTATACCCTGAAGTCCCCGCTTTGTAATTCCAGCCTGACCTCCCTCCTGGACTCCAGACTCAGAGACCCAACCATCTAGGAGACCTCCTGGCAGCGTCCTGGGTTCAAAGCCACACAGGACAGCTCATCTCTCCATCTCCCCAGCTGACCCTGTGGCAGCCCTCTCCCCACTGACTTAGGCTCCAGCCTGGGGCATCCTGGGTGCTTCTTTCTGCTCGTTGTGTTCCACCCTCGGGTCTCCTGCAAGCTCTGTGCAGCGCCTCCTGCAGTGCGTCCTCAATAACACAGAGCGATGCCTTCAGATTCTTTAGAAAGTTGATTGGGTCATGAACTCCTTGGCTGTGGCTTCTGTCTCACCCAGAGTCGGTGCTGAGCTCTGAACACACCTGCCAGGCTCTGTGTCTCTGGTTCCCAGGCCTGTGTAACCTCATCTCTTTCCACCCCTCGCTCTGTTGCCCTGCCCCCACCCCCTCCCCCGAGGCCTCCTCCTCCTTCATGGACCCTTCCGGGCACACTCATGCCCTCTGCTTGGGGTGGGTTCCCTTCAGGTAGCCCCGTGGCTTGCTCTCCATTTCCTCCCAATCTCAGTTCTGACGTCCTCTTGGGCCGCAGGACCTTCCTTCCTGACCATTCTCTCTCAAGGGCAAAGCCTCCTTCTCACCCCATGCAAACATTTCCTAGCCCCTCCATTAGGCAGGTGAGCTGCTGCACCAAAGACCCTCCCCAAACATACGTTAACTCAACACAATACACATTTGTTCCTTATCCAGCCCACATGGGTGACCTTGACCAGTGAGCAGCTCGCCTCTGAGCAGCAACTCAAGGACCCAGGCATCTTCCATCTGTGGCTCCATTTCCCCAAGGTCCTGGAGTCCTCTCCTGGTTTCCCTACATTGGACAGCAGTCAGCAGAAGAGAGAAAGAATTGCACAGGGGAGGTCTCCATGGGCCGGGCCTGGACAGGAGGTGGATCACTGCACTTCTCTTCTGTTGGCTACAGGTGACTGCAGAAAGCAGGGAGACGGGGGCCGGCGGCACCCCCAGGAGACGGGTGGCACATGGCCCCACCTGCCTTAGCTTTCCCCCGGTGCCTGTGCCATGGGACTGATTAGGTATTGATGGAGCGTCTGTCAAGCCTCCCGACCCCCGCAGAAGATCAACTCCATGAGAGCCGGGCCCGTCTGTTCTGCTCACTGCTGTCTTCTCTGCCTGGAGCATCACTGGGCACAGTCAGACGTGTTGGAGCCAAGTCACAGGGTTGCTGGATGCTCAGTGAGTGGATTTGGCGCTTGGGTCCTGGTCCACACCCTGACAGAGCTTGGGTGTCAGGGCCCACCTACACCTTTTCACTATATTAACTTCACCATTAACACCATATATATATATATATATATATGGAGAGAGAGAGAAAGAGAGAGAGAGAGAGAGAGAGAGAGAGAGAGAGAGATGGAGTCTCACTCCGTCACCCAGGCTGGAGTGCAGTGGCATGATCTCGGTTCACTGCAACCTCCACCTCCCAGGTTCAAGTGATTCTCCTGCCTCCACCTCCTGAGTAGCTGGGACTACAGGCATGCACCACCACACCCGGCTAATTTTTGTATTTTTAGTAGAGATAGGGTTTCACCATGTTGGCCAGGATGGTCTCGAACTTTTGACTTCAGGTGATTCTCCCACCTTGGCCTCCCAAAGTGCTAGGATTACAGGCGTGAGCCACCGTACCCAGCCAACACAAAATATTTTTCATGTTTTGAGATCTCACCGTGCTTCGTGACAGCCGAGTTTGTAGCCACCTCCCAAATGCCCCCTGACTTCTCCAAAGCCGTCATCTCTCCAAACAGTATTTGGCTGGTACTAGGTCAGTTTCACTCCCCGCCCCTCCCCCACCCCACCCCTTTATACATAGCTCTGCGATCCACACATTAGCAGATTGTATAGTTGTTATTTTCTGTGGAATTATTTTCTTACGGCTTCTTAGGCATGGGATTATGAGGTCAAACAGTGTGGCACGGGTCTCCTTGGGCACCTGCGTGTCCTGTTCAAGGGCTGTAATGTTGGTTGGAAAAATAAACAAGAGAGGTGGTTGCTTTTCTCTCTGATGTCTATGCTTCAACCCTTATTTGAAACAAAAATGCTTTCCAATAATAACATTCAGTGAATTAATTATGTTTGAGACAGGGTCTCACTCTGTCACTCAGGCTGGAGTGCAGTGGTGCAATCATGGCTCACTGCAACCTCCACCTTTCAGGCTCAAGTGATCCCTCCCACCTCAGTCTCCTGAGCAGCAGGGACCACAGGTGTGCACCACCATGCATGGCTAATTTTTAAATTTTTTGTAGAGACAGGGTCGTGCTATGCTGCCCAGCCTTGATGATAACATTTAAAATAGTTGAGAGAAATGTGGAAAGTACAGAAAATGATTAAAAAGGCAAATAAATCCAGAATGCCACCACCCAGACATCACCACTACTTGCTGGCATTTTCCCTTCCAGATGTTGGTTTGGGTGTGTGTGCCTGCTTGTGTGTGCATGTGTGTACACATGCCTGTGTATGCACACTCTGTATGTCTATATATGCATGTGTACACACACATGCCCATGCATATAAATATATGTAAACATGCTTTTTTTTTTTGAGGTGGAGTCTCTCTCTGTTGCCCAGGCTGGAGTGCAGTGGCTCAATCTCTGCTCACTCCAAACTCCACCTAACGAGTTCAAACCATTCTCATGCCTCAGCCTCTTGAGTAGCTGGGATTACATGTACCTGCCATCATGCCTGGGTAATTTTTGTATTTTTGTAGAGATGGAGTTTCACCATGTTGGTCAGGCTAGTGTTGAAGCCTCAGCCTCCCAAAGTGCTGGGATTACGGGCGTGAGCCACCACACCCAGCCTACTATGTACATACAAGTTTATGTTGCTCAGAGCCAACAATTCAGTATCTGGATTTTTTCCCACTATCTATTTTTCATGGCATTAAAATCAATTCATAAATATTTTAAAGATTCTGTAAAATTCCATTATATGAATTTATTAACACAAGTGATTGTTCCTTTCTGTAGTGTTTTTAAAATAATAAAAACATTTAACAGGACGGCACGGCTCATGCCTGTAATCTCAGCACTTTGGGAGGCCGAGGCAGGCAGATAACGAGGTCAGGAGATCGAGACCATCCTGGCTAACATGGTGAAACCTCATCTGTACTAAAAATACAAAAAATTAGCCTGGCATGGTGGCACACGCCTGTAGTCCCAGCTATTCGGGAGGCTAAGGCAGAAGAATCATTTGAACCTGAGAGGTGGAGGTTGCAGTGAACTGAGATTGCGCCACTGCACTCCAGCCTGGGCGACAGAGCGAGACTCCCTCTCAAAAAAAACAAAAACAAAAACATTTAACAGCAATTATGGCTTATTTTTTCTGGTTACAATTTTCTGGACAACTTGGAAAATACTAAAAACTTTCAAAAAGAAATAAACATCACCCACAACAGAACTATCTGGGGGTGTTTTTATTTTATTTTATGTTCATTTTTATTTTTTTGTCGAGACAGGGTTTTACTCTCTCGCCCAGACTGGAGTGCAGTGGCACGATCATGGCTCCCTGCAGCCTCGAACTTCTGGGCTCAAACCATCTTCTCGCCTCAGCTGCGACTACAGGTGTACGCCACCATACCTGGCTCATTTTGGTATTTTTTGTGGAGGCGAGGTTTCATCGTGTTGCCCAGGCTCGTCTCAAACTCCCAGGTGCAGCGATCCACCCACCTTGGCCTTCCAAAGTGCTGGGTTAATAGGCGTAAGCCCCCACACCCTGCCAAGGGAGTGTTTTAAATTAAGAAAGGGGCACAGTGGCTGAGTCTTCCTTTCAAGAAAATCTGGGCTCCCGACAGCACACACATGTGCAGGGGCCCATTTCTAAGGACTGATGCCCAGGGCTCCCTTGAGCAACCCTCCTGGGGGGCCTGGGACACTCGGAGTCTCCTCTCCTTTGCTGGAGGTCAGGACACAGAGGCCTGACTCGCTCCAAAACTGGGGCCCTGCTCTGGTCCCGGCGTGTGCTCTGGGCCTCTTCCTTCCCACAGGGCATGTGCTTAGGACACTGTCTCCCTCCACTCTCCTGGGCTCATGCTGACCCCTCAGCTCTTCCCCTGTGCCCCTCCCGCTTTAACCCCACTCATTCCCAGGAGTTCTGGAAATCAGCAGCCCTACTGTGTGCACAGCTCGGCACCCCTGCCTGGCTGCCCCATAGCCTGGAGTGCAGAGTCATGCACACAGTAGGGCTCAGGAAAGGCGAGTGGAAACATCTATTTATTTGTTCATTCAATCACTCAGCTCAGCACCCCAGTGTGCCTTGCCTGTGCCAGGCACTGTTCCAGGCACGGGTGTGACAGGGAACAAGGCGTGGCCTGCATGGGCTCTCCTAGTTGGCAAGAGGATTCGACAAGGGTAACTCAATCCATAGTAATATGAGTCTGAGGACAGAGAATCTGGGAAGAGGTAAAATGGGGTGGAGGAGAAGGGAGTGCTGGGGGTTGCTGGTGCTGCTCTTTGGTACAGGGCGGTGGGGACCCCCCAGCAAGGTGATGCCGCACAGAGGCTGAGGGGAGTCGGGGACAGCGAGTTCCCGCAGCAGGATCTGCAGGTGCAGGCATCCTGGGTGCACTTTTGCTTGGCGTTCCTGAGAAACAGCAACGAGGCCCTGGCTGGAGTGGGGCAGGGGAGAGGCTCTAGGAGGCTGGCTCTGAGGATGTGGTGGGCTCCAGCAGGGACCCTGAGTTCTATCCTAATCGAGGGTAAGTTCCGAAATGTTTACCAGGTGGGGCACCACAACCAGACCCTGAAGCAGGTTCTGGAGTCCCCACTTCCCGTGCCAAGTGCCAACCCTTTAGTTGCCAGATTATGGGGAAGTCTGGCGGCTCCTCGGAAAGCAGTGCATAATAACCACTGTGGATGTAGGGACACATTCTAATAGCCTGCGCAGCCACCCCTGAGCACCACGGACCAGCAGCTGTCATGCTGAGTGAGAGGATGGCCACCGCAGGTGTGCGGCAGGAACAGCCCCTCCTCCTGTGCGAGGAGAGGCCCGTGGAGGCAAGCATGGGGACGGGGCGGGCAGGGATGAGGGCAGAGGGGGCAAGTGTGGGGACGGGGCAGGCAGACATGGGGGCAGGCCCAGGGAGCAGGTCCCGCGGTGGCCCTCCAGGGTGCCTCTCTACCTGTGCAGCCTCTCCTTTCAGGCCCCCTGGCAACTCCAGCCCCAGTTCCCCCCAGCCCCTCATCACACCGCGCAGGGTGATGAAAATTCTCCATCTTGGGTGTTTTGCTGTCATTTCCCGAGGGAGCCATTTGCCCCCAAGGGGACCGTGAGCTCCTTGGGGCTTCCATGACAGCAGCGATATTTGTCTTTGGACACAGACAGACCTGACCTGAAATCTCTGCCCCATCACTTGCAAGCCATGACTTGGTTCCGGTCACTTTCCTTTCTCGGTCTCCACTGTTTTGTCTGAACTTGAGGGGTGACGCCTGCCTATTTCATGAGTCATTGCAAAGACTAAAGGAGGGACGGCAAGCAAAGCAGAGGCCAGCATCTGGTAGGTGTGCAGGAAGTGGTGGCCGATAGCTGTGTCCTCAGGGCCCCCACTCCCCAGCGCCTTGGCAAGAAGTTGGGCCGCTGTCAGGCGACACCCACGCCTCCTCCAGCCGCCGGGAGGGAGAGGGCTGCATTCCTGGAAGAAGCCCAGGCTTTATTTATCTATTTATCTATTTACCCAGCAACTCATCTCTTTATTTCCAACTCTAACATCATCTCATTAGGGAGGCACCAATAAGGACAAAAAAAGTGAAATTGATACCAGGTCCTTTTTAAGTGGGGAGCTGGCTGCCTGCGGCCTCGGGAGAGAGGCTGCTTTCTGATCTCTTTCCAGTGAGTGGGTGCCCTGGGGCTTCTGCGGAGAGTTTCCTAAGATCCCTCTCCATACCAGGCCAGCCACCTCCGTCCTTCACCACATCAGGGGAAGGCTACACGCTGCTTCAAAGTCACAGCAACGCTCTGCAATTGGAAACATGCATGTTTTGCAAAGTATCAATTTAGCAACTAGTTCAATTGGCCAGGCGGGGCAGGCCAGCTGGTTGAGTTTCTATTCAGGAATGGCATATAGCCTGGAGTTCAGAAGGCCTGGGTTCGAGCCCTGGATTTGGCATTCACTAGCTGGGTGACATTAGACAAGTTTGTGCCTCCTTCTGGCTCTGGTGTCCTGGTTCCTAGGTGGAAAACCACCCAGGAGCCATTATTGACTGGTTCAGACCATATGGAAGACACAGAAGAGAAAAGGTTTCCCAGACCAAACCTTGGGATGCTTAGTAGAGGAATCTCATTCCACATTATCAGGCTCAGCTCTTGAATTGCTAGTGGAACTGGTAGCAACCTATCCTTGGCTTCTCTGTCAGTTTGGGCTGTTTTGTGACAGGAAGCAGAAAACCCACCCCAAAGTGGCCCACCCAGTTGGGAAGGGTGGTGGCAGGTAGGCTTCCGGTGCAGTTTAACCAGGGCTCTGGCTTCAGAGTTCAGCAGTTCTCTTGCTGTGTCTGCTTCTTGTTGGTGCTGTTATTGGGCTAGGTTACCTCATGGCAACAAAGTAGCTGCAGTAGCTCCAGGCTTTGTATCTGCACCCCTTACTGGTCAGAGCGAGAGAGAGGTCTTAATCTAACAGAAGTCTTGAGCCTTGTTCTGGTTAGACCAACCTGAGTTAATCACTGTGGCCAGGGAAGTGCTGTGTGCTTGCTGATCAGCTGAGTTGTTTTTGATCCCTAAAGGAGTCACTCTGGCAAGGGGGTTAAGATGATCGTGATTATCTTAGACCAAACAGACGCCACTCTGCAATTTGGAGTGGGGTGGACTCTGCAGAAACCACCTAGCTGTCACACATGGGCAGTCTGGGGAGATCTAAACCTACTATGGGATCAGCTCCTGCCATCAGACTCTAAGCCATCCAGTCTCTGGGCTGGGGCCATCCATTCAACCTTCTGGGATGACCTGGAATCTGGGCTCTGAATGTGGCTCCAAAGTGGCAGTGCCCTTCTACAAGCACAGCTTTGAGAAAAACAGAGCAGGGAAATGCACGTTTATTCTCTTCTACTGTGCACTAACCTCTTTTGCCTGTGCCACCTCACCTGTCCTCACAACAGCCATAATGCCCTTGTGCAGGTCAGGATATGGGCACAGTGAAACGAGGTAGTCTCTTCACTGTCCTCAGCAAGTGAGCTGCAGAGAGGGTTCTTCCAGACTCCAGTGGCCTGTCAGCAGACCTGATTAGCTTTGACTCCAAGGAGGCTGTGAATTGTGGAGGGAGGGATTGGAATAGAAATATTCTAGAATCAGGGGATGGTAGGTTATGCTGATAATGGGGTCCTTATAGATTGTGAGCATCCCAGATAAGCTGAGGTTTTGGAAAGAGAATACTTGGATTAGGGTCCTGCAGCTACCACTTATGACCAGGAGACTTACCTGAACTTCCTGAGTTCTGTGGTGACATAGTTCAGATATTTGTCCTTGCCCACATCTCGTGTTGAACTGTAATCCTCAATGCTGGAGGTCAGGCCTGCTGGGAGGTGTCGGGGTCCTGGAGGCAGATCCCTCATGGCTTGGTGCTGTCTTTGTGATAGTGAGTTCTTGTGAGATCTGGTTGTTTATCTGGCACCGGCTTCACTCTCTCTCTCTCTTGCTCCTGCTTCACCTTCTGCCATGATCGTAAGCTTCCCTAGGTCTCCCCAGAAGCCAAGAAGATGCCAGCTCCATGATTTGTGTAAAGCCCGCAGAACTGTGAGCCAATTAAATCTTTTTCTTTATAAATTACTCAGACTCAGCTGGGCGCGGTGGCTCACGCCTGTAATCCCAGCACTTTGGGAGGCCAAGGTGGGCGGATCACGAGGTCAGGAGATCGAGACCATCCTGGCTAACATGGTGAAACCCTGTCTCTACTAAAAATACATAAAATTAGCCGGGCGTGGTGACAGGTGCCTGTAGTACCAGCTACTCAGGAGGCTGAGGCAGAAGAATGGCATGAACCCAGGAAGCAGAACTTGCAGTGAGCCGAGATCGCGCCACTGCACTCCAGCCTGGGTGACAGAGTGAGACTCCATCTCAAAAATAAAAATAAAAATAAAAATAAAAAAATAAATAAATAAACAAATTACTCAGTCTTGGGTATTTCTTTATAGCAATACAACAATGGCCTAATGTAGAAAATTGGTACTAAGAGTGGGGTATGGAGGTATTAATATGAGGATACCTGAAAATGTGGAAGCAGCTTTGGAACTGGGTAAGGAGCAGAGGTTAGAAGAGTTTGGAGAGCTCAGAAGAAGACATGAAGATGAGAGACAGTTTGGAACCTCTTAGAGAATGGTTAAATGATTGTGACCAAAATGCTGATAGTGATATGGACAGTGAAGTCTAGGCTGCCAAAGTCTCAGGTGGAAATGAGAAACTTATTGGGAACTGGAACAAAGATCACATGTGTTAAGCCTTAGTAAAGAATTCGGTTGCATCGTGGTCATGCCCTAGGGGTCTGTGGAAGCTTGAGCTTAATTTGCTAGAGATATTTGCATAACTAAAAGGAAGCCAAGTGCTACTATCCAAGACAATGGGAAAAGACCTCAAAGGCATTTCAGAGACCTTCACGGCAGCCCCTCCCATCACAGGCCCCGAGACCTAGAAGGGAAGATTGGTTTCAGGGCCCAAGTCCAGGGCCTTCCTGCCCTGTGCAGCCTCAGGACATTGCTTCCTGCATCCAGGCTGCTCCAGCTCTAGCTGGGGCTCAAAGGTGTCCAGGTATAGCCCAAGCTGCTACTTTGGAGAATGCAAGCTGTAAACCTTTGTGGCTTCCCCATGGTGTTAAGCCTGAGGTGCACAGAATAGTGCAACAGTGAAAGAGGTTTGGCAGTTTCTGCCTAGATTTCCGAAGATGCATGGAAAAGGTTGGTTATCCAGGCACGAGCCTGCTGCAGGGGTGGAGCCTTCACAGAGAACCTCGACTAGGGCAGTGTGGGGAGAAAATGTGGGGTTGGAGCTCCCACACAGAGTATCTACTGGGGAACTGACTAGTGCAGCTGTGAGAAGGGGGCCACCATCCTCCAGACTCAAGAATGGTAGATTTTTTGGCAGCTTGCACCATGCACCTGCAAGAGTTATAGGCACTAACACCAGCCCATGAAAGCAGCTGTGGGGGCTGAACCCTGTGAATCCACAGAGGCAGAGCTCCCCAAGGCCTTGGAAGCTGCCCCTTGCATCAGTGTGCCCTGGATGCAGGATATGAAGTCAAAGGAGATTATTTTGGAACTGCAGGATTTAATGACTGCCCTGCTGGGTTTTGAACTTGCATGGGGGCTATAACCCCTTTCTTTTAGCCAGTTTCTCCCTTTTGGAATGGAGATGTTTATCCAATGCCTATACCCCCATTGAATCTTGGGGGTAACTAACTTGTTTTTGATTTTACAGGCTCATAAGTGAAAGGGATTTGCCTTGTCTCAGATGAGACTTTGGACTTTTGAGTTAATGCTGGAATGAGTCAAGACTTTAGGGGACTCTTGAGAAGGCATGATTGTATTTTGCAATGTAAGAATGACATCTCTTCCCCTCATGATGCTCCTGCTTACATGGCAGGAACAGGAGGAAGAGATAGAGTGGAAAGAGATTTGGGAAGAGCCAGGGGTGGAATGATATAGTTTGGACCTTTGTCCCCACCCAAATCTTGTGTTGAATTGTAGTCCACAATGCTGGAAGTGGGGCCTGGGGGGAGGTGTTTGGGTCATGGGGGTGGATCCCTCATTGCTTAGTGCTTTCTTTGTGAAAGTGAGTTCTCCTGAGATCTGGTCATTTCAAAGTATGTGGCAACTCCCACTCTCTCTCTCTCTCTCTTCTTCCTGCTTTTGCCATGTGAAATGCCTGCTCTCCCTTAGCCTTCTGCCACAATTGAAAGCTTCCTTGGTCTTCACCAGAAGCTGAGGAGATGCCAGCACCATGCTTCCTGTAAAGCCCACAGAACCATGAGCCAATTAAACCACTTTTCATTATAAATTACCCAACCTCGCATATTCCTTTTTCTTTTCTTTTCTTTTCTTTCTTTCTTTCTTTCTTTCTTTCTTTCTTTCTTTCTTTCTTTCTTTCTTTCTTTCTTTTTTTTTTTTTTTTTTTTAAAAAAAAGACAGTGTCTTACTCTGTCACCCAGGCTGGAGTCCAGTGGTGCAATTATGGCTCACTGAAGCATCAACCTCCCGGGTTCAGGTGATCCTCCCATCTCAGTCTCCCAAGTAGCTAGGACTACTGGTGGCACATGCTACCATGCCCAGCTATATATATATATATATTTTTTTGTAATTTTTGTACAGATGAGCTTTCACCATGTTGCCCAGGCTGGTCTCCAACTCCTGGACTCAAGTGATCCTCCCAGCTTGGCCTTCCAAAGTGCTGGGATTACAGGCATGAGCCACTGTGCCCAGCTGGTATTTCTCTGTATCAAGAAGAGCCTGATACATGTGGCAACGGGAATACTGAATGTTAGTAAGTCCTGCTGTAAAGGGTAAGCAAGTCAACTGTGCTCCTCACACCTTTCCACTGAAGGGACCCACCAGCCGAGGGAGAACTTTCTGTCCCTGGCCACCATCAAGTAGTCTGAAGTGCCCTCTGTGGGGTGGGGATTGTGTCTCGTGGGTTCTCACTAATTCCCTTGGAAAGATCCAATCAAGGTGGCAGTCAGCACACACAAGGCTACATCCTTGAAAAATCACATGAGATGTCCAAAGAGGTGCTGTGAATGTGTCATAAGAAACATCATCTTTAGTGACTTAAAAACATCTGGGATTCTTGGAAGGTGGGAAGCAGACAGGAATAGCTATAGAAAAACAGCCACAGCTCTGAAGCATTTGTAGAAGGCTGCCTAGAGAGCAGGGGAGCCAACTTCGGAGCTAGGTGGCTGAAAAGTGGGCAGGTAGGGTACAGGTTGGGGTCCCTGACCCCAGCATGGTGGTTTTCCTCAGGCCATGGGCAGCAGAGACATTTGCTCCCTCACCATCTGTGAGAGTAAGTGCTGTGCCCAGGGGGCAGGCCCTGGAAGAACAAGAGCTTGGCTCCCTCCTTGCCCCCACACCATTGTCAGGGATGGCTTCAGACCAGGGGGCAGAGGAACGAGTAGTTCTGGCTACAGCACTGATCTGGCAACCGGGGATCCCCAGGACTTTGAGTAAAAAGAAGACCAGACCCAACAACAGAAAAACAAATGCTGCAGAAATAAAATTAAACAGCAAAGGGAAGAGATTTAAAATATACACACTCATAAACATTACCATCTTCAGGGAATGCTGAGGATGTCCAAAATAGAAGCAGTTGCAGAGCTTGGGAATTACATATTTGATTGTCAAAAAGAAAATAAAAATCAATTGATGGGATAAATACCATAATGGACACAGCTGAAGAACAAATTCATGAGCTGGAATTCCAAGCTGAAGAATTCTCCCAGTACCCAGAAGGAATGAACCAAGAGGAAGATCCAGATGTTCCCACATCCGCGGATGGAATTTCCAGAAAGAATTAAAAGTGCAAACAAAGATGAAGTAATGATGGAAGAAGTCATGTGTATTAGTCTGTTCTCACACTGCTATAAAGAAATACCCAAGCCTGGGTAATTTATAAAGAAAAGAGGTTTATTTTGGCTCACGGTTCTTCAGGCTGTACAGGAAGCGTGGCAGCATCTGCTTCTGGGGAGGCCTCAGGATCATGGCAGAAGGCAAAGGAGGAGCAGGCATCTTACAGGCAGGAGCAGGAGGAAGAGAGAATGGGAGGTGTCTTGCACTTTTAAACAAACCAGATCTTGTGAAAACTCACTCACTATACAGTACCAAGAAGGGTTGGCGTTAAAACATTCATGAGAACTCTGCCCCCATGATCCAGTCACCTCCCACCAGGCCCCACCTCCAACACTGGGGATTGCATTTCAACATGAGGTTTGGGTGAGACCCAAACCATATCATCATGGTAGATGTTTTCCCCAGTTGGGGCAGGATATGAGTCTTAGGTTGCTGGGATCTACTCCATATAAGGCAGAACAGTTGTGAAAGGGGAAAAGATTCTTAAAAAAATCTGAAAGATGATTCACATTAAAGATTTTTTAAAATTTACTGTATAAATTTTGAGTGTACAGTGTGATGTTTTAATATACATACACATACAGTGAAATGATTACTACAGGTAAGCAATTTAACATATCCTTCATCTAACATAGTTACCTTTTCATGTGTGGTAAGAGCACCTAAAATCCACTCTTAGAAAACTTTTCATTGTAAAATGCAATATTATTAGCTAGAGTTCTCATGCTGTACTGTAGGTCTCTGGATCTCTGGATTTATTCATCTTATGTAATTGCAACTTGGTATCCTTTGATATACATCTCCCATACACCCCGCCCTGCCCCATCCACACACAATAAATATTTAGTTGGGTGAAATTTCAGGGTAGTATAGATAGAAACTCCTAAAAGCTTCCAAGGGTGAAAACAGGTCACATTCAAGGAAATGAGAATCTGATGGGCATGAACCTCTCAGCCATACCAGGTGCAAGAAGACATCAGGGAAATGGCTGCAGAATTTAAGATTGTGCAGAGGTCTTAGAGACTGCCTGGTGGAAATGCTGCATTTCACCACGGGGAAGATGAAGCTGCACCGAGGAGCAGCCCACCCCGCCTTAAGCTAATCAGGCAGTGCCATGACTGGGGAAGCAGTGGGGTTGGGGGTTGAGGTGCAAACGAAGTTTCTTCCTAAAATTCAGTGAGTATTCATCTCTATGCTGGGTGGCCTAGGGTGCAGTGGCAAAACAAAACAAAACAAAACAAAACAAAAAAACAGATGCAATTTCTGTTGTCATGGAATTCATGTCCTCATGGAAGAGAGGGAAAAATATAAAATTACAATTTTGGTGAGTTCTGCTAAGGAGGCACACATGGGCGGAGTTGACCATCCAAGGAGGTCAGGGTCTCAGTCTTCCCAGAGAAACGGATGGTTTAGCTGAGCTCTGGGGATGGATGGGAATGGATTAGATATGTCAAGGCCCTGCTGTAGGAAGAAGCACAGGGTGGACAGAGCCCAGGAGCCTAGGTCAGTGGAGAGCAGCTGACAGGGCCAGGGCCAGTGGGAAAGGCTGGAGGGGAAGAGGGGGAATTCCTACAGGGCTTGGCAGAACTAGAGAATGGGCTGGAGGGCTGCAAATGGAGACCAGGGAAGGCTGATGGAGCCATCCAGGGAAGAGATGCTTGGGCTAAGGCAATGGCAATGCAGGTGGCAGGAGGGGGCAGCTCAGAGGTGGTGCAGGAGGTGAAGTGGACAGTGCCAGTGGACAGAGGGAGTGTGGAAGTGAGGGCAGGAGGTGCTGGGTTGACTGTGGGTTTCCGGTGAGGATTTCCCTGCTCTAGACCTTCATGGGAGTGGAATCACACAACATGTGGTCCTTCCTGACCCTTCTTTGACTCAGCATCATGTTTAATCATGACTTTTTATCACCTTCAGCTGCTGAAGAGTTTTAAGAAGGTGGGTGACTCACACAAGTGGTCTTCCAGAAAGATGGCCTCAATGCCGCCATGTTCCCATGGACCTGAGCCAAGCTCTTCCCAGCACGGGAGCAGCTCACTCCTGCCCTCAGGACCTGGCACAACTGCTGCAGTTTAGAGGAAGCTTCTGGCACCCTCTCCTCCTCCTCCACCTGGTTAGAAGCCAGGATCCCTCATCTATGTCTCTGCTGTCGGCTGTGACTAAACCAAGAGGAGCTAGATGTCTCTGCCCATTTTCTATTGCTTATAACAGAATACCTGAAACTAGGTAATCATCTATAAAGAAAAGAAATTTGTATCTTACAGTTCTGTAGGCTGAGAAGTCCAGATCGAGGGGTTGCATCTGGCGAGGGCCTTCTTGCTGCTGGGGACTCTCTGCCAAGTCTCAAGGCAGTGCAAGAAATCACATGGTGATATGGTTTGGATGTTTGTCCTCTCCAAATCTCACATTGAAACATAATCCCCAATGTTGGAGGTGGGGCCTGGTGGAAAGAGTTTTGATCATGGGGTGGACTCCTCATGAATGGCTTGGTGCTGTCCTCAAGATAGTGAGTAAGTTCTCTTGATATCTGGTTGCTTAAAAGTGTGTGGCCCTCCCCCTTCTCTCTCTTGCTTCCACTTTAACCATGTGATGCCTGCTCCCACTTGGCCTTTCATCATGAGTAAAAGCTCCCTGAGGCCTCACCAGAAGCCAAGCAGATGTGGGCACCATGCTTCCTGCACAGCCTGCAGAACTGTGAGCCAATTAAACCTCTTTCCTTTAAACATTTCGCAGCCTTAAGAATGTCTTTATATTGATGTGAAACTGCTGAATACACATGACCGGGGCTGGGTGTGCTGGCTCAGATCTCTCTTCCTCTTTTTATAAAGCCTTCAGTTCCACTCCCATGACAACCTCATCAATCCATTAAACTATTAATTCACTCATCTATGAATGTCTTAATCCATTCATGAGGGCAGAGGTGTCACGACCCAATCACCGCTTAAAGGCCCTACCCCTCCATCCTGCTACGTTGAGAATTACATTTCAACACGAGTTTCGGAGGTGAGAAACACGCAGACCACAGCACCAAGTGTCCAGGAAGAGCAAGCCCAGCCAGAAGCCTTTGGGCAGGCAGCAGCCACAGGGCCGTCTGCTAGAGGATCACTCCTGGGGTGGAGACACCTGGAAGCTCAGGTATGCCTCTTGTTTCCCCTAAATTAAACAACTGGTTTATTTGACCTGATTTGCAGAGATGGATCTGCAGGCCCAAGGTCAGGATGACTGAGAGCTCTGGTTACTGTGGATTTTAGGTAAACAGGATCCCAGAGGGCATGGGCGGAGTCATGCCAGCTCAGGGCACCTGTGCAGGTCTCCTGTATGGAGTGCTCGGTGGAGCTGCCTGAAGTCACCATGTGGGGAGCGGGAGGTGCCACATACTTTTAAAAAAAACAGCTTTGGGGAGAACTCACTCACTATACAGGACCAAGGGGGGATGGTGCCAAACCATTCACAAGATCTCCACCCCCGTGATCCAATCACCTCCCACCAGGCCCCACCTCCAACACTGGGGATTTCAGTTCAACAGGAGGTTTGGGTGAGATCTGAACCATCCAAACATCTTCATCATGGAAGACGTTGTCCTGTGTGGACGTTTCCCTGTCTCCATGTGGGGCCACGGCAGGTCCAGCTCTCTTGGGCACATTCAATGCTAGAGCCATGCTGTGGGGTTGTGAGACTCAGTGTCTAGTCCTGGCTCTTCTGCTGCTGGGCTGTGTGTTCCTAGGCAAGTAGCACAACCTCTCTGAGCACCAGTTTGCTCCTCTGTGAAGCAAGAAGCATCAGGGCCTCTGCCTTCCTCACTGGGCTCCTGGAATTGATCTGTGGAGTGGAGATGCCCCTCCTTTGACTCTCGCAGCCACCAAAGCCCCAGTCACACTGCACTTTCAACGCCAGCTGTGAACACCCGCATCCTCCTACACAGAGTGTGTTGTGAGGACAGAACCAAGTTGTGGCAGACATTTGTCCCTTTACCTCTTTTTTGGTTCTTATTTTTTATTTATTTATTTTTTTGCCTGAGATCCTTTCTACTGGGACATTCCTCAATGCATGAGTCTTTTTTTTTTTTTTTTTGAGATGGAATCTCACTCTGTCACGCAGGTTGGAGTGCAGTGGCACGATCTCGGCTCACTGCAAGCTCTGCCTCCCGGGTTCAAACAATTTTCTTGCCTCCGCCTCCCAAGTAGCTGGGATTACAGGCACATGCAATCATGCCCAGCTAATTTTTGTGTTTTTAGTAGAGACGGGATTTCATCATGTTGGCCAGGCTGGTCTTGAACTCCTGGCTTCAAGTGATCCACCTGCCTCAGCCTCCCAAAGTGCTGGGATTACAGGCATGAGCCACCGCGCCTGGCCCAATGCATGAGTCTTGGTGGGACTTTGTGACACCAGGAGGCAGAGCCTGGGTGCCTGGGGAAGAGTGGGACAGAGGTGGAGAGAGTCACCCCTCCTTCTGAGGCCCCTGTGGCTCTGTCACCTGAAGGAGGCTGTTCTGTCCATTGTCCAGCATCTACAGAAAGCCATTCAGCAGCCTGTCCGCCAGGTGTTCCTTCCACACAGTGCTTCCAGGCCTCCAAGTGTTCTAGAACACCCGGGGCCTCTCACGGTGTCGGCAAACATCTGGGGTTTGACAGGCTTCTTGGGGCCTGGGTGGCTGTTTGGGGCCTAAAGAGATGTAATGCGGAGTTGCAGAGAAGCCAAGAGGTGGGGCTGGAGGAAAAAGCCAAGGAAGAGGCTCTGGGCCTGCAAATCTCCCTCGCTTCCCATGGACGGGAAGGGGACCCGGGCCGGGGACACCAGCACTGAGCTTTCAGCTTGAGGCAAGATCTCCAGATGGGGTGGACACAGTCTGCAGAGGGAGTGAACTCCCCGTCCCCAGGGCTATTCAAGCAGAGGCTCCTTCCCTGGCCTTCGTGTCTCCTCCTTGTGCCTGGCTCACCCCCTTCTATGTAAGGAGAGAGTCATCACAGCTCTCCCCATGGGGAGGGAAAAAGGGAGGAGGATGAGAGGGAGCGAAGGAAAGAAGGAGACGGAGGAAGAGAGGAAGGTGAGAAGGAAGGAAAGGAAAAAGGGAAGATGGGAAGCAGGGAGGGAGAAGAGAAGGGAGGGAGAGAAGGGGGAATCTGGCCCCCACGAGCAAGACCCTAACATTCTCTCTTCGTGGAGGCTGATGGAAGCTGACTTCTGTGCGGCAGGAAGTGCCGTACACCCGCTGTCACCAGGTGGTGGGGGGCGGGTCTTGCAGAGGTCACCTCAGTTGTCTCCCCACTGTCCCCAATTACCCAGGCCAGATAGGAGGAGAAGGAGGTGAGCCCCTCTTCCCGGCCCTGGACGCCATCCGCGTGCAGGACACAGACAGACACCGCAGCAACAAGGCCCAGACCCCATGGAGGGGAGGGTGTGGAAACTCAGGAAGGTCATCCTGCAGGCTGGGAGTCTTCAGGAGCTCAGGGGTCAGGGAGGAGGGAGAGACCTCCACTGTGACCTGGCCAGGGAGCGAGAGAGCAACAGTGAGAGGGCGGCCCCTCCGCTGACCCCAGAGAGGTTGGCGGGTGAAGGCCAAAGCCGAGCTCTGACATACTTGCACTCTCAGGAAGGACTGGTGGGCACGGAGGGGCCTCCTGCTGCGTCCCACAAGCGGGTCAATGTCTTGGGTTGTTTCTGGTTCCGAGCATCACAGTGTTCAGAACAACTTGGCAGCTGAACGACGCTTTCTATCTTGGGTTGTGTCGGGGAGAGGAGTTTCATCCTGAAGGCAAAGGGGCCCCGGCCCGAGGACAGGACACCATCACTGGCAGCTTGCAAGCCCAGATGCTGGAGAAAGTGTCCCACTTGGGAGCAAGTCACCGCAAAGTCTCCACCTGTCTCCACTTCCCCAGGTGCCCGGATCTGTCCCTGCACTTCAGGGTGATCTCGGGGGCTCTCGCAGCCCTGCCCACATGGTGGGCCCCACCAACTTCTGGAACCCTCAGGGTACCTGGGAGGCTGCCAGGCAGATTAAAGACACCCCAGTTTTGACCATCCAGTCAAAACAGAAGCCACAGCCACTCAGAGGTGCACCTATCAGCACCGACCATGGCCCTGGGGTCTCGCTCCTTTCAGTGGCTGGCTAGGTGCGTGCACCTGTGCACCTGGAGCCCCACCAGGAAACATACTTCAAAGCCTGAGCCAAGGGCATGCTGACAGCAACTTTGGAGGCCACCCCCATCTCCCCTGCTCTTTCTGCATGGACCCCAAATACTCCCACTCATGAGACCAGGCCCTGGGCTGAGAAGGCAAGATCCCCTTGCCCCACCCTGGCCGAATGAATGTCACCCTCCAGGTGCAGAGATGAGTGGGCTTGCAGCAGCAGCCAAGCTGACGGCATCCCTTCTGCTGGCCCCTAGACCTCCGCCTTCTGGCCCTTGGGCTCCATCTCTCCACTGTGCACTGACAGCCGAGGGCCGAGGATCGACCCTGGACGGGTGGGCAGGCATCCTCACTTTCCACTTCCAATGGAAGGGGTGAGCGACTTGGAATTCTAAACATCACTTTCCTCTGGATGGGGGAAAATGACCCTTGGAAAATTAGTGACAGCGCAACAATCATAGTGCGGGCCTCTGGTGGGGCTGTAGGAAGGATTAGAGGAAAGCAAATGCTTCCTCCGGCATCCACCGGTTGCTTGGACCGCATTCAGAACCCCCGGTGTGACTACTAGGTTCATGGCACACCCCACAACAGGATGGCAATGATGCGCTGTTTCCAAACAGATGCATCCCCCTCCCTCACTGGGCTTTCTGGTTGGTGCACTGAGCAGGGACGAGCAGCCCTGTGGCAATTAGGAGATGCCTCCGTCATCGATCCATTCAGCCGCTTGGCAAGAAGCAGACAGAAGCCCTCAAGGGACGATTCCCCGGCCACATGTGATGCAAACAAGACCGACCTCAGGAGTTTGGCTCAGAATACGGAATAACAACGTCATGTTGCAGTCATTTCCACTGTATGTTACCACAAAACATTTAGAATGATGGGCATTACCCATGAAGGATTGAAATATTTCCATCAAACTCGGACTTGAAGGCTTTGATTTATTTCCTCTGTGAAAGGAGATGGACCCCACCCTCGGCATAGCGTCCTGCACTGTTGGTGTAGTGTCTTGCTAGGAGGCCGGAAAACCAAGCTGGAGCCCGGGGCTGTGGGCATGAGCCACTGCCCTGTGTAGCTCCCTACAGATCTGCACCTCTGAAAGGTTTGCTGAGATGCTGCCCCGTCCAGGCCCAGAGTTGATGAGTTTCAGATCTTCTGCCTCGGCCACCCCTCCCTGTGGACAGAACTGCTAATTTTTGAAGTTCAAGGGATCCCCGCTTTCTTGTGAGCTGAACCCAGTCACCGTTTGGACCCCAAGGCTTCCTTTGTCCTTACTGACCCAGCGTGGCCATTTCCAAGTGGCCAAGCTGCCTCACTGAGAAGCACAGACCTGTTAGAAGATGCCAGAAGCACCCCCAGAAGATGCCAGGCCCGCCAGCAGACAGAGATGCATCTTCAGAGAAGAGAAGTTGTCATGCCCAGACCTTCCAAGAAGCCGGGCTGGAGATGTGTGTGAGATGGAGCCTCTAGTCACCCCATCTATCCTGATCTGACCCACGCAGTGGTCACAGTCAGGCTTCATAGAGTCCCCCAGAGGGTGGGGTCTTAAGGAACTCAGTGACCCAGACAGACCTGAGCTTCGGTCCAGGATCTTTGGATTCACGTGCAGTCTGTCCCAGTGGGATGCTGACCAGGTCGGGTGGCTCCTACCTCCCTCTGGGGCTTGTTGGTGTACAGGTGTGCAGGTCAAGGTGATCACAGGTTGCTGGAAGCACCTACTTTCCTGCAGGTAGATGCTCACACCTGCTGAAACAGCCCCCAGGCCTGGGTCTCTGGATTCTGCCTCACATCCCAGAGTCAGGGGTTGCAGAAGCCTGTATTGCCTGGGCGGGGGAGGGGGAAGCTGGGCTAGCAAGGGCTTGTTGGGGCCTGAGTCAGAAGTGGGTGTGATCTACAGGGAGGGGCTCGAGCACTGGACATGAGCGTGCCAGACCCAGCAGGGGCTGTGGGAGCAGCTCTAGGCTCAGTCTGCAGACCTGGCCTCCAGACTACTCTTCTCGTCTCCCAATCTCGGTCTTCCCATCTGCAAAATGAGATTGTTGGCTCTCTCCTGGGGGCTTGCCAGATACCCCATTCCCAGATGGTAAATACGCTCCTGAAGAAGGTCCCCGGGGTCTTAGCTCGGGACCAGCCACTGCAGTCGGGCAAGGACAGGCCGCTGGACATGCTCAGATGAGGAAGGCAGAACTTTGAGAAGCAAGTTGAAAACTGGAATCTCTCATTTGGGTATTCTGAGTGGCATGATACGTTACGTGTGGGCTACCTGGAGAGGCGGGCCTGTCAGGCTATTTGGGTTCCCTGTAAGTGTGGGCAGCATGGGGCCGTGGGAGGGAGCTGACATGAGTGGCCAGGGCTGACCATGCCGACCATCTCCACCAGGACTCAGGATGCTGGCAGAGCCCCACCCAGACTTCTCCCAGTTTCTACATGCTGGATTTAGCACATAGAAGCACTGTGCCCCCCTGGGTGTCCAGAGCCTGGCACGTGGCCGGCTGTGAATACACAAGTGCTGAACACATAAGTACTGAACAAATGAATGGATGTGCCAGTGCCAGGCTTGTTGAGCTGGCCGCGGGCTCTGCTCGAATCCTTGATGTTTTTGTGCAGAAACTGCTCCACTTCCTGCATCCCCCTGCCAGGAGGCCTGGACCTCAGTCTGGGCTGAACTGGGCACTGTTATCCCTGGGCATGGGTAGGGTACCAAATCCTTAGGAGGGAAGAGCAGCAGTCATCTTTGCTGCCCCCAGGGCACACCCTGCTGAAGAGTCCCCTTTGCTCTCAAGGCCTTCGTCTCTCAGTCGGGATGCCTGGTGGTGGTGGTGGTCGGTGAAGGGGTGGGCAGGCAGTACCAGCTGGTCTCTGTGGGGAGCCTGAACTCCAGAGCCCTGCAGAGAGAGCCAGGCCTGGGCTCTAGTGCCTGCAGGTGCTGGCCAGGGGCCTGGCTGTGTCAGTTGGTCTGAGCTGTGGTCTGAGGGGCTCAGCAGGCACCACATCTGCCCCTGCCCAGCCAGCCTGGACCCAGGTGTCAGGTGCCCAGTGGTGAGGAGGTGGCTGCCCAGAGCGAGTCCTTCCTCACTTGTGCCATGGCGACCGTGCCTCCCCATGCTCTGTGGGCACGCCTGTGTGGACCTGCTGGATTTAGCACATAGAAATAGAGGACAGTCAATTAAATTGAGATTTCATGTACATTCATTTCATTTTCAGATAAATAAGGAATACTATTTTGTCAATATGCCCTGTGCGTTCTTGGGGACATACATTGATACATACTTATACCAACAAGTGGTTTGCTGTTTATCTGGAGTCCTGTGGACTTTCTGGAAGCACCATCCCTATGGGCTCGGCACCCGGCACAAACATGAGTCAGACTTCCTCCCTAAAGCGTGCCTCTGATCACCTCCCCTTCCTGCCCCCAAACCATCAGTGTCCCCAATCTGCGGAACTCCTCAACTCTTTAGATCACAACCACCATCAATCAAGATCCTCCTATCATACACCCCACATACTATTGTACTCACATCTTTATTATTTTTTTAGAGTGTTATCTTATTGATTTTACTCTAAGCATGGAGTGGTCTTGATTTTGTTTTACTCTTTTCTCCCCAGCATTACTGAGGAATAATCAACAAATTAAAATTGCTTATAGTCAAGGTGTACACCATGAGAATCTGATATACATATAGACTGTGAAATGATTATCACAATCAAATTAATTAACACACCCATCACTTCACATAGTTACTATTGTGTTTGTGTGTGTGTGTGTGTGTTTAGGGGGGTGAGGAACTAATGTATTTTTTACACGTATGCAGAAAAGAAATTAGTTTCTAACAGAGCTAATATATGCCCACCTGGGACCCAGCAATTCCGCTTCTAAGTATTTACCCAAAAGAAATAAGTGCATGTGTGTATAGCAAGACACCCACCAGAGCACACATGGCAGCTCCATCTAGAAGAGCCTCAAAGTGGAAACAGCTCAGGCGTCAACAGGAAAACAAACATAGACCTTGGGCAATGGAACACTTCTCAGGAGTGAAGAAGAGTGGTTCTGATAGAGGCAATAACATGGATGGATCTCAGAAACATTAGGACAAGAAACAAGGTTCATGCACTATGATTTCAGCTGTATGAGGTTCAAGGATGGGGAAAACTCATTCATGGCAGTGTGGTCAAATGCAAAATACCCAGTTAAAATTTGTGTTTCAGATAAATGATCAATAGTTTTTTTCGTGTGTGTAAATATGTCCCAGGATATGTCCCAAATATTTCATAAGACATACTTATACTAAAATTTTATTTGTTCATCCCTCATTGTAAGCCTTACTGGGCATCCTATTTGGGTTTTTTTTTTGTTTGTTTTTTGTTTTTTTGCTGCATTTTGCAAACCTAATGGGGAATCCCATAACGGGACTCTCTGGGTGTGTGAAATGAAATGTCCTATAGCCAGATCTTGGTGGTGGTTTCATGGGTGTACACACACACACACACACACATAAAAATTCATCAAGCTTAAGATTTGTTTATACACTTATGATTTGTCAACTTCACTCTATGAGAATTATACCTCAGTAAAAAGATATGAAGACAGGTACTTCCTGTACCTGATAAAGGACATTGAAACCAAACCAAACAACCCTGTATCTAATATTCTACTTAATACTGAGAGACTAGACTTTCCCCTAAGATAAGGGACATGGTAAGATGTCCATTCTTATCACTTCTACGCTGTTCTGGAGGTTCTAGAGGGGGTAATTAGGCAAGAAAAAGAAATAAAAGGCATCAAGATGGAAAGGAAAAAGTAAAGCTATTTCTATTTGCAGATGATCTTACATGTAGAAAATCCTAAGAAATTAAATAAAAAACTATTGGAGTTAATAGATGAGTTAGGTATGGTTGCAGGATATAAGATCAATATATAAAAATTCCTTTTATTTCTATACACTAGCAATGAACAAATCAAATATAAACTCATGTATTTATAGTCAACTGAATTTTGCAAAAAGTGTCAAGGCCATTTAACAAGGAATGTCTTTTCAACAAATGGTGCTGGAACAACTGGGTATCCACGTGTAAAAGATGCAATCGGACCTCTACCCCATACTGAATACAAAAATTAACTCAAAATAGATCAAAGACCTAAATGGAAGAAAACTATAAAACTTGTAGAAGAAAGTGTGGGTTTAAGTCTTTATGACCTTGCATTCTTAATATGACACCAAGAAAAAAAATCAAAAAACAAGTAACCAAACAAAAAGAAAAGATCTAGAATAGATGAATTAGATTTATTCATCCAATTCATAAATATATGAAAATAGATGAATTAGATTTCATCAAAATTAGATGAGTTGGTTTTCATCCAATTCAAAAAATCATAGATTAATTTCATCAAAATTAAAAACTTGGCTGCTATGGTGGCTCACGTCTGTAACTCCAGCACTTTGGGAGGCCAAGGTGGGTGGATCACCTGATGTCAGGAGTTGAAGACCAGCCTTGCCAACATGGTGAAACCCTGTCTCTACTAAAAATACAAAAATTAGCTGGGAATGATGGCGGACACCTACAATACCAGCTACTTGGGAGGCCGAGGGAGGAGAATCACTTGAACCCAGGAGGCAGAGGTTGCAATGAGCTGAGATTGAGCCACTGCACTCCAACCTGGGGGACAGAGTGAGATTCTGTCTCAAAAAAACAAAAATTAAAAACTCGTGTATTTCAAGGGAGACAATCAAGAAAGTGAAAAGACAACCCACAGAATGGGAGAAAATATTTGCGAATGTCATATCTGATAAAGGTCTAGTATCCAGAATATATAGAGGACTCTTACAATTCAACAGTAAAAAGACAAACCAAATAGAAATGGGCAAAGGGCTTGAATAGACGTTTCTCCAAAGAAAACATGCAAATGGCCAATAAGTCCATGAAAAGATGCTCAACATTATTAGTCATTAGGGAATCACAAATCCAGAGAAGACTAGGATGGCACTCCACAGCCACTAGGATAGCTAAAATTAAAAAGGCAGATGGTGTTAGGTATTGGTGAGGATGTGGAGAAACTGGAACCTCATTCGTTGTGGTGGGAATGTAAAATGATACAACCTGGCGATTCCTCGAAATGTTAAACGTAGAGTTACTGTGTGACCCAGCAACTCCACTCCTAGATATCTTCCCAAGAGAAATGGTAGCACTTGGACGTGAACATTCCCAGCAGTGTAATACCAGCCAAAAAACGAAACAACTCAAAAGCTCATCAACTGAAGGATGGATAAATAGCCTGTACTGTGCCCAAACCATGGGGTGCTATTCAACCATAAAAGAAGGTTTGCATTGACACACACTACAACACGGATGAACCCTGAAAGCAGCCAGTCACCAAAGCCACACGCAGTGTATGTTCCATTTGTATGAAATGTCCAGAAGCAGTCAATCCACCGAGCCAGAACGTGGATTAGTGGTTGCTGGGACTGAAGTGGAGCGGCGGATGTGGGGTGGCTGCTAATGGTGTGGGGTTTCTCGGGGGTGATAAAAATGTTCTAAAATTAGGAGTGGTGATGGTTGCACAACTCTGTGAATATACTCGAAACCACCGAATTTACACTGGAAATGGATGAATTGTATGGTATTCTTGGTCAATAACGCTGTTATTTCTAAAAAGGTCTGAGAAAATAAGGATAAATGTCTAGCGTTTCTTCCGCTTCCAGTGACTGGCCTTGTCACTCTTGGGCGTGTGGTCTGCCGACTCAGCCTAAAGTCAGCCGGCCACTGGAGGCCCTTGGTGATGTGGGCTGCCCTCTGTGCCTCCTGGTGTACACCCCATGGGGAAGTATGCCCAGATGTTCCAGAACCTTCCCACCTTGTGCCCCACCTTCATTTACCTTAAGCCTCACCCACCCACCTTCATCAATGGCCTCCCCTGGGCTCACAGTGACGGACCCTGATGGCAGAGGCATCCTGGGTAGCTTCCCTGGCTGCCCAGCATATGGCAGGAGGGGCTCACTTGTGGCTAAACCAACAGATATGGTTTGGATCTGTGTCCCCACCCAAATCTCATGTGGAATTATACTCCCCAGTGTTGGAGGTGGGTACTGGTGGGAGGTGATTGGATCCTGGGCACAGATTTCCCCCTTTGGTGCGGTTCTTGTGATAGTGAATGAGTTCTCACGAGATCTGGTTGTTTTTAAAAGTATGTGACACCTCCCCGCCCTCTCTCTCTTGCTCCTCCTCAGGTTATGTAAGAGGTGCCTGCTTCTCCTTCACCTTCCACCATGATCATCAGCTTCCTGAGGCCTCCCCAGAAGCCACTATGCTTCCTGCACAGCCTGTGGAACTGTGAGCCAGTTAAACCTTTGTTCTTTATTAATTACCCAGCCTCAGGTGTTTCTTTATAGCAGCTTGAGAAGGAACTAATCCACCAGCCAGGCTCCCCGAGACCAACACCTAACACTTTATGGGAAGCAGAGGGGTCAGAGTTCCTGCGAAGGCCTCACCCAGGGCACATGGCTGGGAGGTGGGTGGGTGCAGGGCATGCCTGCAGCATCTACCCCACCCCCACTCCCCACTTCATCCAGGGAGGCCCCTGCTCAGCCTTCTGGCCTCTGCTGGACCCTTTGAGGGCTCTTACAGGCTCAGAGAAAGGCAGCGTCCTTTTAGGAACGGAAAACCAGAAAGAATGCTTGAAAAGAGAGCTGCCTCCGAGGAGCGGACTGCCTGTTGGTTTCTTGGTGCCTTGCAGGGGAAGGGGACCTGCCCAGGGCTCCATCCACTTTGGGAATAGCCTTCTCAGGAGTGACAGAGCCGGGCCCTCGCCCTGCAGAAGCAGTGGTGAACATCCAAAGATGGAGTTTAGACATGCACTATTTTCCAGTGGTGCAGGGTTTGGCTCTGTGAAGCCGGCACAGCCAGATAGTTGAGAGCATTTTAAGTTTCACCCAACTAATGTTCAGTGTGATGAGGACACGGTCAGAAGCAGGGTGGAGGCTGGGGTCCCCAAGTGGGGTTTTAAAAATCTGTATCAGTTTCTCAGCCTGCAGTGATTTTGTCCCCACAGGCGTTTGATGGGATCTGGAGACACTCCCTTGTCACAACTGGAGGGGACCCTTCCGGCCTCTTGTAGGTGGAGGCCGGGGATGAGGAACACAGAACAGCCTCCGCTCCTCCCCTCAACAAAGGATGACTTGGCCCAACGGGCCCATGACACTGTGGCTGAGACACCTCGATCCTGTCCCAGGGAGGGATGAGGCCAGACCCTGGCTGAGAAACCCTCATCCTACCCCAGGGAGGGACGAGGCACAGACCCTGGCAGAAGGCATCCGAGCACAGCAATTCTCCCAGTGCGCTGACACTGGCTAAAGACATAGCCATTATTCTTTTGGGTGATAAAAGTGATGCATGCTTGTTGGAAAAAAATTTGAAGAACACAGAAAAATCCAAAGAAGAAAGTAAAAATCATTTAAAGCAGGGGGGAGAGCAGCAACATGATACATGCTCATGCTTCATGTTGTATTTTAATCTCAAACAGCATAACTGTGCAGTGGACCCTTAAACAACATGGAGAGTAGGAGACCAAGCCCCTGCAGATGAAAAATCCACCTACAACTTTCAACTCCCCCGAAACTTAACTACTAATAGCCTACTGTTGAGTGGAAGCCTTGTCTATAACATACAAAGTCAATTAACACATATTTTGTATGGTATAGACTATTCATGCCATAAAGCAAGCTAGAGAAAAGAACATGTTACTAAGAAAATCATAAGGAAGAGAAATGTATTTACTATTAAGTGGAAGTGGATCATGGTAAAGGTCTCCATCTTTGTGGTCTTCATGTTGTGTAGGCTGAGGAAGAGGAGGAGGAAGAGGAGGGGTGGGGGGTTGGTCTTGCCATCTCCTGGGTGACAGAGGCAGAAGAAAACCCAGGGAGAAGTGGAAAGACCCTCCAGTTCAAACCCGGGCTGTTTGAGGGTCAGCTGTACATTGATTTGATGAAACTGCCCACTGGAGTTCCACGTCTTCTCCTAAGCACAGACCACGCTCATTCTCAGTTTCAATTTCTTTAAGGTGAAGTGGAAGCTTACAGACATGTGACACAGTCTGAATTCAGGATTTTTCTAGAATGATATGAACGGGCATCACAATTGTTTCCAGCTGCCTCACCCTTTACTAGGCGGAAGCTTTTTTTTTTTTTTTTTAAAGCAACTTATCAGTATCATTTTCTAAAGCGTAAAGCTTCATTTTCGTAGATTAGTAACCATATTTTTGCACTCGGATTTCATAGGTAGGTTTATGTACTAGTTAACAAAATAAATTAAGTGATGCATGGTCAGCCTCCCGTATCCACTGGTTCTGCATCAACATATTCACCCAATCTTGGATCAAAATGATTTAAGGAAAAAATTCAGTTAAAAATACAACAATAAAAATAACACAACAATGAAACAAAAAATACAGAATAACAACTGTTTGCTTAGTATTACAATTACTTTAAATCTGGATTACTTATAATGCCTAATAAAATGTGGCATATTATATTTTACCACAAGGGTCCACTTACATGTGGATTTTCTTCCAACTCTGCCAACCCTGAGACAACAAGACCGCCTCCCCCATAATATTACACCACATTTTGTTAGGTATTATAAGTAATCTAGATTTAAAGTATGCAGGAGGATGTGCCTGGGTTCTATGCAAACACTACAGCATTGTATATAAGGGAGTGGAGCATTTGTGGATTTTGGTCTCCTTGGGGATCCTGGAATCAATCCTCCTTGGGTTCCAAGGGATGACCGTAGTTGTGATTAGAAGTACAGAGGTATTAGCAGATGCGTGAACCCACTGACCTCAGTGGGCAGATGCAGCTGGGAGTAGGTGGGCAGGGTGCCAGGAAGCAGGTGCCAGCTGGGGCTGCCAGTTCCATGTGGGCATCAGTGGAGCTCTGCAGCCAGAGTGGGGTGTGTGAGTTAATGTGGCTGGTTGGCTACTTAGAGGTCAGCTTGGTGGAGGCCAGCTAGGTGGGTCTGGTTAGGCGGCCTGTGTGGGTTAATGGGGCCGGTTGGCTTAGAGGCAGCTTGGTGGAGGCCAGCCAGGTGGGGCTGGTTAGGAGTCCTGCTATCTGTGGTCTTTCAGTCTGTTTCTCTGCGTGTGGCTGTAGATTTGCAAAATCGGCATTCTATTACACACGTGATCTAGCAGCCCCTCGTCCCCACTTAACAGCATACACACCTCCTGATAGTCCTGTTTCAATGTGGTGGAGGAGGAGCACAAAGCTCGCATCTCTCACCCCAGACTCTGGGGCCTGAGCCGAGAAAAGAAGGCCTGTGGAGTGGCGCACAGAGGTGAAGACAGGGATGGAGATGAGGGGTCAGGCCGTGGCCTCGCTGCACTCTCTCAGGTCCCGTGTGATTGAGCACCAGAGGCAGCATGCCCCAGGTGGCCGCGTCGGAGGTCCATGGACAGGCAGGCCATGGGGGGACGCTGAAGCCTCCTGGTGAGGGCCATTCTGGTGCCGAGTGTGCCTCTGGGTGGCAAAGCCGGCCTCATGTCAGGGAAGGAGCCTCTGCTGGGTGGTGGGGCTGGACAGCCAAGTTGGGCGGTCACGTCCACGGCCGGCCCGAGGGGTTGGAAGGAGCTCTCTATTCAGCAGGTCACCTCAGCGCTGGGCTTCCTTCTATGGCCACTTGTATGTGATTGTGATTATTTTTCATTGGCAAAATAAAATCCATGCTAGAAAAATCCCCAGGATTCTGGTGCTTTCCACATTTGCAGGGGATTTTGGCATGCCTGGGCACGCACCTGTCTTGTTTTGGCGACCCCAGGTGCCCATGCTGCCAACATCACTTGGGGGCCAGTGGGTTCTTATGACATCTTCACCATCCCCACTCCGCCCCATTACCAATGACCTGGGCTTGGCAGGTCACTGGAGATCCCCTTGTTCATCAAAGGGAGGACACAGCCTGAGTAGAGTGTAAAGAGTTTCCGCCCAACCCCACCCTCCCAAACCCAACAAACCCATCCGTCTACCCACATCTACTCCTCCAGCCCTCCTTTCCTCCATCCACCCATTCTTCCTTCCATCTTCCTCCTTTCAGCCCTCCCCACTCCTTTTCCTCTCTCCCTCCCTCCCTTCCTCCCTCTCTCTTCTATCCATCTCTCCCTTCATTCACCAATCCTCCAGCCCTTCCTCAACTACCCATTTTTCTATCTTTCCATCCTTCCTTCCATCCTTTCATGCATATCTAACCTCCCTCCCTCCCTCTCTTCCTTCCTTTCTTCCTTCTTCATGCCTTACTTCCCCCCTCTCTCCTTTCCATCTCTCCATTTCTGGACACATTTCCTAACTATTTTTTCACTCGTCTATCTTTCTCTCCTTCCTTATTTCCCTCCATGCATCTGCTCTCCCTCCCTCCTTCCTCCCCCTCCCTCCTTTCTTTCCATCCAGCAGGTGCTGGCTGAGCACCAGGCGGTGTCAGACCCTGGGGTGCTGAGATGATTCAGACCCAGCCTTGGCCTCGATTTGCCCACAGTCTACTTGGACAGACAGACGAGGCAATGTGGACTTTCCCTGCAGGGTGATGCCTGCCTGGGTGACATGGAGCCCAGAGGAGGGGTGCCTGGCCCAGGTTTGGGTGAGGAGGAACACCCCACTCCGAGGGAAGGGGATGAGCAGGAGCCGGTGGGCGGCCGGGAGTGGAAGTGTGACCCATCTCCAGCAGAGCAAACAGGTTGAACCATGGGTGGGAAGCAAGAGGGGTGCATGGGTGGACTGGTTGGAGCAAAGGTCAGAGGCAGGGCCAGGAGGGTGGGCTGTGAGGCTGGACACACCTAGGAGAGATAAGGAGGTGCAGGTGCCTTGACACACACGTGTGCAGGAAGTAGGGGCCTGGCCCACAAAGACACCGTGCCCCCTGCACCTGCTGTCTGGCCAGTTTGCACAAATGCATGCACTGCTCAGGCTCTGTGTGGGGCTGCTCAGGGTCTGGGGCAGGTGCAGAGTGGAAGCGAGAATGCAGCGCTCTGGGGCGCCAGGTGCCTGCCTGAACTTCCTGGCTCCAAGCAGTTCCCTGCCTGCCAGGCTGGAGGATTTGTCTTCTGGGGCTGCACAGATGGAGCCTCCTAGACTGCAGGGAGGACAGGTCCCTGTACTGGTGCAAGGACTCAGTGCCTGTGAGCTGTGTGGCCTCGGGGCAGCCCCTTCCCTCTTAGGGGACCTGTTTTGGCCCACTGGACACTATGATTGAAAGCACAGGTTCCAGCTTGCAGGTTTAAGTCCTGGCAATGACCTTGGGCAAATGGTTTGCCCCTCTGGTCCTCAGCGCCCTGCCCTGCCAAGTGGGGCAGCAGCCCCTGCTGTGTGAGAGCCTGCATGCTGGTGGCAGCAGCTGGACCCTAAGCAGGCTTCAGCCCTGGACACTGCAAATTGTTCCCTTGAGCTTCCATCACAGTGCTGCCGGAGGCGCGGGAAGGCAACATGGTGTGTTGTAACACGCTGCCTGGTGGGAGCGTCTCTGCTAGGCCTCGAGGGCCCTCCTTTGAGGTTGGCCAGGAAGGGGCAGGAGAGAGGAGAGCTGGGGCCAGCAAAGCAGGCTCAGAGACGCCTCCAGATTCGGTCTGAGTTGAAAGGGCTCTGGTCGCAGTGTGGAGCAGGTGTGCCCTACATTGCAAATCCCACTGGGTCTTCTCATTGCCCCACAGCAGCCCCAAGAAGCAGGTGGTGTCGCTCACTCAAGCCCTGGAGTCAGGAAGGGACAGAACAGGGACTCGCCCAGTCTCTGCAGGTTCCCGCCAATGCACTCCTACCTCCTGCTTGCACTTACTCCTCATGATGAAGTCTGTACAGTTCCAACCACTGTGTGGGTTACAGCAAAGAGGCTTCTCTGAGTAGACAGAGTGAAAGGGGTGGGCTGGTCTCATGGTCAGGGCTGCCGCTGGCTGGGCACCTGCTGCGTGTCCCAGGGTGAGCTGGATTCTTAACCATTCGGCTTTACACACCTTCCACTTTAGAACAGTTGCAGCTTCACGGAGAAGTTACGGACACAGCAAGAGCTCCCGCGTGCCCCACACCCAGCTTCCCCTACTGTGAACATCTAATATTAGTAGGGTGTGCTTGTCAGAGTTAACGAACTCATGTCAATGCATTCTTGTTAATTAAGGTCTGTAGTTTGTTTGGCTTTCCCACAATACCCTTTTCTGTCCCAGAGCCCCATCCAGGGCCCCACGTGACACTGGGTCACCCCATTTCCTGAGACTCCCTGGGCTGCGGCAGCTTCTCTCTTTGCTTGCTTGTGACATCCTCACCAGTTTTGAGGACTGGTTTTGAGGATTTCACAGAATGCCCTTTAGTTGATCTCATAGTTGGACTGGGTTATGGGGTTTGGGAAGGAAGACCCCAGAGGGAAAACACCCTTCTCATCACACCTGCCGCTGGCAGGTGCTGAAGGCATGACTTATCTCTGTGGTCCCCTTTCTACTGAGGAAGGAGGTACAGCAGCTCACAGAGGTGACAAGCCTGGAGGAGGCGGAGTGGGCCTCATCACCCAGGGATGTATCTAGGGCTCGCTATCCCCCTGCCTATACCTGCACTTGCATATACCTGTACCTGCACCCGCATATACCTGTACCTGCACCCGTCCACCTATACCTGCACCTCTCCACCTGTACCTGCACCTCTCCACCTGTACCTGCACCTCTCCACCTATATCTGCACCCCTCCACCTATACCTGCACCCCTCCACCTGAACCTGCACCCTTCTACCTGTACCTGCACCCCTTCACCTGTACCTGCACCCCTCCACCTATACTCACATTTGTACATACCTATACCTCCATCCCTCCACCTACCCACACTTGCACATACCTTCACCTGCACCCCTCCACCTACACCCGCACCCCTCCACCTATACCTGCAGTCCTCCACCTATACCTACACCCCTCCGCCTATACCTGCACCCCTCCACCTGTACCTGCACCCCTTCACTTATACCTGCACCCCTCCACCTACACCTGCACCCCTCCACCTACACATGCACCCCTCCACCTATACCTGCACCTCTCCACCTACACTTGCACCCCTCCACCTATACCCACACCCATCCGCCTATACCTGCAGTCCTCCACCTATACCTGCACCCCTCCACCTATACCTGCACCCCTCTGCCTATACCTGCACCCCTTCACCTATACCTGCAACCCTTCACCTATACCTGCACCCTTCCACCTACACATGCACCCCTCCGCCTATACCTGCACCTCTCCACCTACACTTGCACCCCTCCACCTATACCCACACCCCTCCGCCTATACCTGCAGTCCTCCACCTATACCTACACCCCTCCGCCTATACCTGCACCCCTCCACCTGTACCTGCACCCCTTCACCTATACCTGCACCCCTCCACCTATACATGCACCCCTCCACCTATACCTGCACCCCTCCACCTATACCTGCACCCCTCCACCTATACCTGCACCCCTTCACCTATACCTGCACCCCTTCACCTATACCTGCACCCCTCCACCTACACATGCACCCCTCCGCCTATACCTGCACCCCTCCACCTACACTTGCACCCCTCCACCTATACCCACACCCCTCCACCTATACCTGCAGTCCTCCACCTATACCTCCACCCCTCCACCTATACCTGCACCCCTCTGCCTATACCTGCACCCCTCCGCCTATACCTGCAACTTGCACATGCCCATACCTGCACCTCTGCACCTGGACCTGAACTGCCTATACCTATACCAGCATTTTCATCAGGACCCTTTGGAGTTGAGGCTCTGAGTCCTGATGCCCAGGTCTCAGGCACTGAGGGGTATCAATTGGCCCCAGACAGTAAATGCAGCCTGCTTCCAGGGGCAGACATCCACCCCAACCCCACTCTGGCTGGCGTTCCTGCACAGAGGCTGCTGCAGTGCCCTGTGTGTGGGGAAGGGTGCGCCTCCCCTGTGGTCTCCTTTCTGGGGGCCGGCCCCCGCCCCCACCCCATCCCACCACAGAGCCTGATATCTGGGGGTGAGGTCATCGTTATTTATGTGATGGCCCTGCTGCCCGGTGGTGTTTGCACACAAAGGCCCCGCTCTGGGACTGTGCCATGCGGGCCGGCATTCCAGCACATTCCTGCAGCCCGCAGCCCAGCCCTGGACAATAGCTCGCCCTCTCTCCTTTGCCGGGCCGGCCTCTGTGAACAGAGCACTGTTGACAGCCGAGGCTGCTCTCACTCCCGAAGAATTCCAAAAATGGAACAATGTACGCCCGGCCTGGGACTCTCAGGCAGCTGCTCAGAGCAGGGCCCTGGAAGGCTGCGGTCTGGAACTGCCTGTGTAGCTGTCCTTTTGGCCGGCATTTCAATGGGAACCTGGGGCAGGGCGGGGCGGGGGGGCGGGTGGGCGCCACGAGAAGAGAGGAAATAGAAAACACCCAAACCAACCTGGAAGCAAGCCAGCACTTCCCTGGCCGCACAATCCCCGTGGTGAGGAGGCTGAGATGGTGGGCTCAAGCACACTGTGCTGGCCAAGTCTATGCAGGCACTGACCTTTGCCCAAGACCTGTGAGTGGTTCCCCAGCTCCTAGATCAGCTCCTGCCTCAGACAAGTAAATGGGGGTGGCAAGGCAGGAGTGACACATTTGAGCAGTGGGGGAATGAGGGAGAACGAGAGCCGGGACCCCTGCATCCTGGTCCAGGGCTCAGGCCACTGCTGCCTCCCAAAGATCTGTCCTCAGCCCAGGTGGGGACCACCCTGCTCCTGAGTACAGTGCCCCCCTGCATTGCAGTCTCAGGACAACTTCTGAAAGCCTGCTGTGGCTGGAGGAATGACCACACCTGGACGTCCACAGCCACTTGTCCCAGGATTTCTCTATCCTGCAATGCGGCCGGATAATTCTCTGCTGTGGGGACTGTCCTGGGCCCTGTAGGGTATTTAGCAGCATCTCTGGCCTCTGCCCTCCAGATGCCAGTACCAAGCCCCTTCAGTTGTCCCCACAACTGTCTCTCTGTTGGGGGCAGAAAGAAAAGAGAGGGAAGAGAGAACATCCAAACCACCCTCAAAGCAAGGTAGAGCTCCCCTGAGTGCATGGTGCTCGTCAACTCAGGAAAGCACGGATAATGCTGCCGGAAGTTGGTTCTGCAGCTGGCGAGGTGGCCACCCGGGACAAGGATGGCTCTGGCGCCATGCCCGTCTTGGACTAGAAGGAAAAGACAGAAGGACGAGTCTGCCTGTGAGTGATACCAACACGGGAAAGCAGAGCTAGAGAAGGAGGGATGGAGACCCCAAGTTCCGATGACAGACTCCTGGAACCAGCTATGCCTGAAGCTCTTCTACATCAATTAACCCTCTCCTTTTGGCTGTAACCAGTTTAAATTGGTGTTCTGTCGCTTGTAGCTGAAATTTTCTGCACAACCCACCTTCTTCACCCGATGGCACGCTGCTGTCTCTTCCCAGCCAATCTTGGTCAGGAGAAACATTCACTGTTGCTGCAGGGGGCTTGGGCTGTCATGGCCTCCCAAACCCAGCTGAGCTTGCTGCATATTGTTAAAGCCCTGCGGGTGGAGGAGAGCAAGGCATCCCGTGCCCCTCAAAGTCTGCCACCAGCACGGTCATCCCAGCTGCCCCACCTGCCCCAGGAGCTCCTGTCATCAAGCCCTGCCTCCTCTTTTCTTCCCGGAGCTCACATCATCCCCAGGAGGTACTTAGGACCAGGGATCTCAGGCCTGGTGCAGAGGTGAGGACAGAGGTGTAGGAGCTGGGACTCGGCCCCACACCCTTCAAGTTCCCAGTTGTGAACGTCTGGGCCCTGGGATCAGCAAAGCCAGCCTCCCCTCCCGGCCATGTGTTTATGCTGGACATGAATGGAGCCCCTGGAGGCCAGGAAGGGTGAGGCCTCCAAAGCCCTGGGGAAGATCCTGGTAGGGGGACAACCCCAGGCTGGATGGGCTTTGAATTATCCAGGTGGCACCAGAACCTCAGAGGCCTCTTTCACAGGCGGGAATGATGTGGCAAAGCCCAGCTGGCCCCAAGTGGCTTCACATATTCCACAGGGAGCAGGGACCCACTCACTTCCCAGCAGCCCCTGTGTGTGTGTGTGTGTGTGTGTGCATGCGTGTGTGCACCTGCACACCCATGTGTGTGAGTGTGTGAGTATCTAGCAGGGGCTGGTGAGGTGAGGGCAGCTTCTTCCACCTTCCGGGCTCTGGGTGGGTGTCCTGATTCATCTTTGTCCTTGCCCTCCTCACTTAAGACCTGCTATCCTGGTGCATGGCTTCTTCCAGCCCCAGGGCTTTGTGGCAACTTCCCACTGGTCAGAATCATACATTGAAAAATCTTCCTAGAAGCACCGGGGGGTTGGGTGGCCTTTCCCTACCAGGTCTCCAGAGGTTCCAGCCCCTCTGGTTCCTGTCCATGCTTTCCTGCTGGAGGTGGGGACTCTGGGGAAGCCACCTACTCCTCATGCAGCTCTTCCAGGAGTGCAGCGGCTGCTGTGGCCAATTGTGCCCACAAGCCTGCCAGCCTCAATCTTACTGGCCAGTTGTCAAAGCCCAGATCCCAGGTCTCACCATGTTTTCCTCTGAGAGGGCCCTCACTGTCCGGGACCACCTGCCATGCAGCAGGCACTTGAGTCCAGGATTTGGGCCTCTCTGGCAGGGCTGCTCCCCTGTTGCCGCAAGTGCTGCATTTTGAGGAGTCATTTCCACGCCCCCGGCATAGTCACGAAAAGCCCCTTGGGTTTGCCCTGAAAGCCCAGGTTGTGGTTGAGGGTCTTTCTGTGCATCTGGCAACCACATAGCCCTGTGCCTATGCCCTGCAGAAAGGCTGGCTTCTCCGCCTCCTTGTCTCCTCTGTGGGGGGTGGGCCTGGCCCTGTCATGCCAGAGAGGAATATCGGTGAAGCTGCCGGATGGCGTCACCGCGGGAAGAACAATTGGATGATGACAATCGAAGGAAGGTGAAAGATCTTGTCCCAGTCTTCCTGTTTTTGTGCACAGTTGACTCAGATGGGCACTGATAACGCGGCTGAGGGCTGGTCCTGCAGCAGGGCTGGGGTGGCTCTGGCTCTATGCCCATCTGTGCCATCTCCTGCTTCTTCCTGTGCAGAGCAGGGGTCAGATGGCAAAGCCTTCATGGCTCAGGTGTGGCTGGGGGCACCTGGAGGTCCTGAGATGGGGAGCAGGGATAGAGATGAAAGGTTCTCACGCCCTGCCCTCGGGCTGCCCCTCGTGGTGATGGCAAGCAGGTGACGGCAGCAGCAGGAGAGCAGTGCCCTCTGCCAAGGGAAGAGCTGCCCAGGCCTAGAGTCCCAGGATGTAGCAGTGCCCAGTCTTCTCGCAGAGCAGAACACATCCCTGTCAGGTCTTCCTGGCCTCTGCTTAGACCTGGCGGGGGAGGCGATGTGTCAGGGAAGGATTTCTTGAGATGTCCTAGCCGCCCTAGTCCCCACGCTGCTGGACAGCTCACCTTCCAGAAAGCTCTCCCACCCCCTGGAGTCATGCCGCCCCAGGGGCCCCAAGGCCACCGAACTCTGCCTCCTTCCAAACTTCCTTTGATGGTCGAAGCGCCCCCTCCACACGCCATGAACACAGTGCGTGAGCCAGGTTTTCGGCATGTTTTCGTCGCTTTCTTCATAACTGCCCAAACTTGGAAGCAACCCAGGTGCCCTTCACAAAGCGGATGATAAATAAACTGCGGTACGTCCAGATAGCGGAATATTATTATTCAGTGCTAAGGAGAAATGAGCTCTTAAGTCGCTGAAAGACAGGAAGAGTAACTACACATTACTCAGTGAAAGAAGCCGATCTGAAAAGGCTACAAGCTGTATGACTCCAACCCTGTGACATACGGAAAAGGCAAAACTGTGGAGACAGGAAAGGATCAGTGGTTGCCAGGGGCTGGGGGAGGTAAGGAGTGAGTGGATGGAGGACGGAGGACATTGGGGGCAGTGAAGCTATTCTGCGTGATACTGTAATGGCGGATATATGTCATTATACATTTATCCAAAGCCACAGAATCACCACACCAACAGTGACTGCTTATGTCACCTACTGACTTTATAATAATGGGTCAATATTGGTTCCTCAATTGTAACAAATGTACCACAAGATGCAAGATGTTAGTCACAGAGGAAACTGTGTGTGTGTTTGGGAAGGTGGGATATGGGAATTCTGCACTTTCTGTTCAGTTTTGCAGTGAACCTAAAACTGCTCTAAGGAATCATCTAATCATTGATTAAAAAAGAAAAAAGGAATTTGCGTGCACCACACGCCAGCTTCGAATCCTCAACAGATTTCATCACCGACAGCAGTGTTCCTTAGGCTGATCTGATGCAGATCCTTTGAAAAGATTCCCGTGGGTTCCTGGTGTTGGTTAAAATGCCTTTTATTCCAGTGCTTTGGAAATAGTGCAGACACAAAACTAGGGTAGGCTCCTAGGCTGACAGCTCTAATACAGCCCCAGACCCAAACCAAGCTGACAAATCTCACACAGAGCTGCAAAAGCAAGGCGATGCCTGTGGACAGCATCAATGTGGTGAGTGACATCTTGCTGGGTCCAAGGTGCTGTCTGTGTGGCAGGTGAGGGACTGACGGACGGCTTGGGTGCCATTTCTTTGACGTGGGGCATTCAGTGCCACCCCAGCCACTTTCTCTTTTTTCAGCCTGGGAATCTTCCCTGAGATTGCGATGCCAGTGGGCCTTCCTGGGTGGATGCGTCTTTCATCTCCATGCTGCGTTCTCATCCCAGCTCACAACCCACAGCATTCCAGGAGGCTTCAGTGTGAGCTCAGAGGTCAGCAGGTCCTCTTTAACCCCCGTACAGTTTCCTATGGCTGCTGTGACAAATACCACAATTGCAGTGGCTTAAAACAGCACACGTGTTATCTCACGGTTCTGGAGGTCGGGAATCGGACACGGTGTCACCGTTCTGCAGTCGAGGTGGCAGCGGGGCTGGGTTCTGCTGGAGGCTCCGGGAAGAGGCCTTGCCCTTTCTGGCTTCCAGAGGCCGCCCATGCTCCTTGGCTCATAGGTCCTCCTCCATCTCAAGCCAACAGCACGTCCCTCCGACCTCTGCTTCTATCCTCACATCTGCTCGGCTCCCCCTGCCTCCTCCTCCACTTATAAGCACCCTTGTGATGATGCTGGGCCCGCCAGACAGTCCAGGGCCATCTCCTCCTCTCAGGGTCCTTAACCTTCATGCCTGCAAAGTCCCCTTTGTGGTGGAGGTCTCACTGTCAAGGGTGACGGGTTAGGATGGGGCATCTTTGCGGGAGGCACGATTCTGCCGACCGCAGCATCCCTCTTTCCCTCATTTCACATCCACTCAGTTCAGAACCCTGCTGGCTCTACCCCGCCATCACCACTGGGGCTGAAGCCACATCATGTCTCCCTGGAGGACTACCCCAACTCCTCGTTGGCCTCCTGGCTTCCATCGTGGTCTCTCTCCAGTCTCTTCTCATCCCAGCAGCCAGGCGGTTCCTGGGAAAATGTGAGACCAAGCCTCCCATTAGTTCCTGTCTTCAAGGAAAATCAAAATCCTTCCAGTGGCCGATGAGGTCCAAACCCATCTGCCCATCCTCCCAGTTCCCTCTGCTCCACCCCACGGGCCTCTGTGCCCTCCTGCCTCGGGGCCTTTGCACTGGCCGCTCCCGCCTCCTGGGCTGCCTTGCCCTGTACCTCCGTAATCCCTGTCCACTGTGCTCCAAATGTCCCCGCTCTACTCTGCATCACTTGCGACTTCTAGCAGACCCCAACGCCCTCTTGCTCCCGATCTCCTTGCCTGTCTCACCACGCTGAAGCAGCGCCATGGGGCAGGGGTTCTGCCTGCTGAGTTTGCTGATAGAGCAGGGCCTGGCTGGAGTGGGCGCTCCACACAGATTGGTGCGGCACATGCAGGAATGGGTGAGAGGAGGCTGGCAGAGGCTTCAATGGAGGAGGAAGATACAGAACACAGGGCTAGCATATCCACCGGGTCTTCATACCAAGGGCCCAGGGCTGGTTCAGGCAGAGCAGGAGACCACAGCCCAGCTCCTCGGGAGGTCAGAATCGTCTCTCTCCTCCCTCACCCCACAGCTTCCCATAGGCTAACTCCATTACCAAACAGCCTTTTGGAGCAAACTATTCATTGATTCACTTACTAAGCAAATGTTGACCAGGTCTGGTCAAGGATGTGTGGATGCTGGGATAAGCAAGGTCCTTCCAGAAGGTCCAAGTTCATGGTGGGGATGCAGGACGGGATGGTCGTGGCTGCACTGACCGAGCACCTGCTGTTCCAAGCACGTTCCAGGTGTCAGCTCTTTATCCTCCCCCTGGAGCCTGCAAAGCTCAACCTGGCCATCTACTCCTTCATGCTGTGTCCCTGCTCCCACACCTTCACCTCACCACTGAGCCCTGCCAGCTCGCCTCTCCCACTGGCCACCTCAACCCTCCCCATCACAGGGTGTGTTTTGCAGTCTCCTTGTTTGTTTCTTCCACCAAACTGGGGGCTCTTGGAGGTCAAGGCCTGGGGTCTTCGATGTCTTCATGTCTCCAGCAGCTGGCGCACAGCAGGCCCTCAGAAAAAGTGGATAAAAAAGAAACGATGGCTGGCTGGCTGCATAATGAGTTGATAAATGAATGAATTCCAGGGGGAGGTCTTGCTTGGGCAGAGTCGCAGGGGTAAGTGAGGAGGGGGCGGTGGAGGGGCAGGGGCAGGCCCTTGCTCTGAGCCTGAGGAGGGGTGCAGAGTCTGGAAAGGGAGGTGGGGCTAAGCAATGATACTGCTGCACTGCTGAGCGCCTGCTGTGCCGGGGTCTACCACTGGACTTTCCCAATGACACTGTCAACTGGGGACCAGCGACTCCCACCAGGCCGAAAGTATAACCCTAGGATGTGGTAGAACTGGGCTTTGACACGAAGGCCTCAAAGGCCTGCCTGAGACGTCTGGACTCTGTCTGCAGGCTGTGCTCTCAGAGGGCACATAGGGGCCCCCCTGCCTTGGGAAGCAGCTTTTGAGCCCGCCTCAGGGACCCCACCTCACCTGCGCTCGGGATCTCTCTGCTCTCACCTGCTTCCATTGTTTTAATGCTTCCAGATGAGTTTGTATCTGGAAGAAAACAAGGATTCATCGGTGAATTGTATTTCTAGCTGCTGCAGGCACTGGGGAGCCATAGGAGGTTTCAGAGTCAAGAAGAACTGGATGAAAGGCGGTCCCTGTCACTCTTGGAAGCCATTGACTTTTCAGGTTCTTTGTCTTCACAGCACTGACTGTTGGCTGTGTACGCCCCAGATCCCACGCCTCCGCAGTCCTGCCAGCCTTACCGCTCTACCCTACAGAGACTGCAGCTTCGGACAAAAGCCCATTCGGCGGAACAGGGCTGACTAGGGATGGGCCTCTTGCCCCAGATGTGCCTGGGATGATGGTGGGACAGCTTCACTCCAACCCTGGGGCCTGGACCAAATCTCCAAGGAGCATGTGTGAGGGGCTGGGGCACTTCTCCTTGGCTGGGGTGTTGAGGGACCAAGGGCTCCTCCAACAAAACTCCAGGCCCCTTTCTGACCTATGCTGTGGTGGAGCATCTCCTTGGGGAAGAATTGTCAGACACTCCAGGGTGCAGGAGCTGACTCAGGTGCATGAGGTCCTGGCTGGGACCTGGGATTGGCACCCCCACCCCTGGGGCTGGAACCACTCACCCAGCCTGACCCTGGAAGCTTACCCTCCTCACCCGCTGAGAGTGTCGGGATGGGGCTACAGAGGGCAAGGTGGAAGGCCAAATCCAGCCTGCCAGCCCCTGGGAGGCTCGGCCACGGGGGTTCTCTGTGAGGACAGCCACCCTCTTTCTTGACTGTGGTCACAGAAGCCTGATGCATTGGATTGTGCCTTTTTGATTTTGCAAATGAGACCTGCCCCTGTCCCTGCGGGGGAGCCTACGGCCTATGGACGCCTCTCGGCCCTTGGAGCACCCGCTACCGGTGCATGGGAGTCCGCAGCCCGCCTGCAGCAGGAGCACGTTCCCACTGCCCCAGGCTATTCTTAACAAGCCAAGCCTCCGGCTCCAGGGCTAAAAATACCACATGGGAGGCCTGTGGGAAAGCTGCTGCTGGCTATTTTAGTGATTTCGCGCTGGAGGTTTGGGGTCCCTGCATGCTGCCAGGGCAGGGAGGACACTGCGGCCTGCACTGCCCAGGCCCCCTCTCAGCCCATGTTGGGGCTCCTCTGTGTCAGGGGTCCTCAGAGCCCAACGGCAGCAGCCTCTGGTGTCCAGGGAGGCAGAAGGAAAGACCTGGGAGTCTTGAGCTCCCTCATTTCAGTTTCGGAGAAACCAGCTCCAAGTGGGGAGCAGGTGCCCGGGGTCACAGTGTGGTCTGCGGTGGAGAGACCAGAGGGCGTCTGGGGTCTCGGTGTGGTCTGCGGTGGGGAGACCCCTGGACTGCTCCCTGACATGTGATGCCTGGTCCAGCTCCCCCCAATCCGAGGGGCGTTTGGGGGCCACAGCCGTGGTGTGCAGGTTCTGAATGGGCTTCTTAGACCAAGGCATAGCTTCCCATTACCTTTCTGAAGCCTTATCTACACACTTTCTTTCCCATGAGCCTTTTCTTCCTTGATTTCCCATCATCTCTCCCACAGTTTGGCAGGTGTGGCAGAGGTGGCTTTGGCCCCACTGTGGGAATGCAAAACCAAGGCTCAGGAAGGAGAGACGCGTGTCAAGGCTACGGCTGTGCAGGGCTGGGCCAGGCTGGCCTCACCCTCCCAAGCCTGGGCGTCTTGGTGGTGCCCCCGGCACTCAAATCGGCCCTTTGCTGCCGGTTCCCCATGCCCAGGGCCCCGTGCCATGCTGGTGACTGATGGCCATTGTGTTCTCAGACTGGAAGGCCTGGCTCCTGGGCAGCCACTGTGTGTCTGCACCCATGAGCTGTGTGTCCCTGCGACGGGGCTCTGATGGGCAAGCATGGTGATCGCCCCCGACAGGCGGCACAACGTTCCATTGTGTGGGGCCCACCCCGGGCCGGTCCATTAACTGCCCCTGCCCAGCAGGGCCTTCTCCAGGGTTTGACAAAGGCGCCTTTTCTGTACCCTCCTGTTGCCGTGGGAGAGGCCTGGGTCTGGTGCCCACCTCGGGGGCTCAGAGGAGCAGCTGGGGTGGCGGGAGGGGGCCCAAGCCTGCTTCCCAATGCTGCCTGCTGCAGACCGAAAAGGCCAGACCTGGGCGTCAAAACGGCTCCGTTGCTCGTTGGCCAGAAACCCTGGGCAGTCGGTCAACCTGTCTGGGCCTTGCTGTGTCTCCCTCTTACCCTGGTCCAGGGGTCCAGGCCAGTTCTCGCATGAGATCCAGACTCAGGCATGTGGTGAGTGGCTGTGCTCAGGGAAGCCCCCCATGGCCTGAAGGACAGAGGCCTGGGATGCATCATGATGTTCTTTTGTGGCAGTGACAGAGGCAGGATGGAAGGCCCCACTGCCGGGCCCACTAGGGTGGGACCAGGCCAGGGGAGAGGAGGTTCGAGGCCTGTGCCGTGCATGCAGGATTATCAGGGTTGAGGGGTGGCATGAGACCCTCTTCCTGCCACTGGGCTGGGGCTGGAGTCCTGGCCCAGAAGGCCAAAGGGCCTTGGCCAAATTCCCTCCATCCATGTCTGTGCCTCAGTTTCCTCCTCTGCAGAATAGAGATCTCTAAGGCGGCTCCCATCTTGACCCGTGTAGGGACCTGGGAGGACAAGGGACAAAGAGGCACAGCCGGTTACCAGGCTATCACTGTGGGGAAGCAGATGGGGATGTCAGGGTAGGAGGCATCTGACAAGATTCCCTTTGGACAAGATTTCTGCCTGAGCCAGGACCTGCCTCCAGGACCTCAGACAGCACCACCTGGACTCAGGAGTGTCTCGGGGGCCTCCACAAGAGACACCCACCCACACCTGCCTGGGGAGCACCCTGCTGTGCCACACTGGTCCCCTTAAAACTAGAAATTCCACGACCCACAAGAAATCAGCCACAGGGAGGCCCAGCGCCATGACCGACGGGGAACAGGACCCCAAGGGGACCACCAGGGCCAGCACACGTGGACACCACACGGCCCCTTCCTGAGGACAGGGCGGAGGCCAAACCTAGCTCCCCGTCAGTCCTTACTCAGGCCCTGCCTTGTGAGGACCTCAGAACATCATCCCCCAACTCACAGATGAGAAAATGGGCCACAGAGAGGGTGAGCGTCATGGCAGACAGGATTTCCACCCTTGTTCCCGCGAGTGATTTTTCGAGGGCCCTGGTGGCCTGCAGCCCTCACGGGGCTCCCTCTCCTTCCCATGCCGTCCCACCCTGTCCAGCTGGCTCTCCTGGGCTTTCCAGGCCCCTCTCTCCTCCCATCCTCCGCTCTCCTCCTCCCTCCCGCTACTCTCTTCTGTGCCAGCTCCAAGCACCGCACCCAAGCCTTGGGGACACAGTGTGGCCTCCAGCATTCCTGCCCTGTTTTCATTTAGGGGACACCCCCAAAATACTCCGCCTGCGGGAGGCGGCAGCCGCCCCAGGCCACCTGGGAATGCGCTTGCAAGCCTTGGCTGGGCCGCGCTGGCAGGGGCAGGGAATGCAGAGGCGGCAGAGTAGGAGGGGCCAGGACCCCCCAGCACGGCTTTTCGGGTTAACGCGAAAGAGGAGGCCGTGCAGCTCTGGGCCCGGAGGGGACCTCAGGAATGTGGTGGTTCAGAGCTGACATCCACATTTCCCTGTCTGCCTGGATCCAGTTCGGGGACAGTGGGGCAGGGCCAGGAGCAGGGCCAGCAACACAGCCAGGCAGCCGTCCTGGGGCTGGCTGGGAGTTCAAAGCCCTGCCACAGAGCCCCAGCCCTGCCACCCATCGCGGGGGCTTATGGAGCTCCTCAGATGGGCTGGGCCTTCCTGGAAGATGACCCCTGGGACTGGGAGAGGCTCCTCCCCTGTCCCCATAGGCTGTCCCCTCTCTCCTCATCCTCAGTCTCTGAGCAGAAGGCACCTCCCTCAGGAAGACCCCCCAGGACAGCGAGGGGAGGGCGACTGCTCCTCCAGCTTCCCTGGCCCTGCGTGTCTTCTCTGGAGCAAGCTCAGTTCTGAGCGTTCCTGGGCCCACGGGCCCCTTGCGGCAGAGACACGGCTTTTGCGCCTTCACCTGGTTTTGGAATCACAAGCCAAGCTCAGGCAACACCTGGGGAGATGAACCTGGAGGCCCCAGTGGGCAGGTGGACCTCGTGGTGCTGACCAAACTCTAGCCAAGTTTCGAGGCCCGGTTCTCAGATGCTCCCCCAGATGGCCCACAGCTAGCTAATATCTAGGGCTGAGATGGTCCGAGTGGGGCAGGGCACAGACCCCTCCACGGGCAGGATTTCTTCCCAAAGCTGTGCCATCCCTCAAGTCCCTGGGGATGCTAGTGACAGTGCAGACCCCAGGCCCGGCAGTGGGGCTGCAGTGACCCACAGTTATCATGGAAACTCCATACCTGAGGTAAGAGCTTGGACCTTGTCCTGGGAGGTCCCGGGCTGCATCACTCTGGGCCTCAGTTTCCCCTTCTGTCATGCAGGAAGACATCGCTGTCCTGCCTGTCTGTGGTTAAGAAAGGGTCCCCATTTGAGATGCCTCCAGGATCTCAGACAGCACCACCCTGACACAAGAGTGCCTAGGGGGCCTCGGCGAGAGGTACTCACCGCACACCTGCCTGGCAGGCTCCCTGCTGCAGCTAAGGATGCAGCAGAGGCTAAACAAGGGGGTCCTGCTACCTCGCCCCTGCAGGCAGGACCACGGGAGCCCTGGCGGAGCACCTGAACTGGGCCTCCTGGCTTCAGGAAGCAGAGTGGCAGCAGAAGGCCTGGAGGAGAACCCCATTGGCCCTGTCGTCTGCCCACAGATGCTGTACTTGCCTCCTGACCTCAAATATTGGCTAGGGCAGGCAGAGGGGTCAGCATTGCTGGCCAGGCAGCAGGCGCCAGTCAGTCTGCTGCTGAGTGACACAGACAATGTCCTGGCTGGGGCCAGCCCCATCCCCCACCTGTGCTCCCCTTGCCAGACAAAAGGCACCTCTGCAGCAAGCCAGAGCCTATGGCCAATGCCTGCTCTTCTAGCTCACGCCCCCAAGAGAGGGTCCCACCTCATCCGCAGTGTTGCCTGCGCCTAGGCAGGCACCTGGGGCTAGGGGTGGAGCTTCCCCTGGTTCTTCTGGTGTCTGGGACAAATATTTGTTGAATGAATGTTAAGTCCAGTGAGGTCAGTGGCATCATCAACCCTGACTCCAAGAACTCCTGAGCCCCCAGCACATTTATTCTCCCCTCCAGCTGACCTCGACTGAGAGGGGATGAGAAGACCTTGGAACCTTAAGGGTCTGGGTCCAACTCCTGGCTCCATCATGTTCCTGGGGGAAAACCCTTTGCCTCTCCTACTCTCTGGATCCTCATCTGTGGCCTGGGCACTACATCACCCAATTGCTAGGAGGTCAAGTAAGATTTAGCCTGCAAAGCACCTGACCTGGAGGATCTGGCCATGAACTCCACCCCGCCCCCCACTTCCCATACGCAGTGACATGCTGAGCTCAGGACAAGGTGTGGGGTGAGTGGTGGTGGCGGGGGGTTGGGTGGTTCAGAGATTTTAGCACAGCCCACTTGTGTCAAACTACTGGTCAGCAGTAGCAGATAAGACCAGGACACAAACCATTGTAAATCACATGCACTAGAAGATTCTCTGCCTTCAGAGAAAACAAAGGAGCCAGTGAAGACTCTGGTGCTGTGGACGGCTTCAGGGAGGAGGTGACCTGCAGACGGTCCTGAGCCCAGGGTTTGACCCAGCAGGAGGAGGACAATGCAAAGCACAGACTGAAGACGAGGCCCCAGGAGTGCAGGGAACCTGCCCACGGCCACCCATCGCTGATTGCTGCCCAACAGCAGGGCTCAGCAGCTGCGTGGGCCAGCGCGACACAGGGCCGGCCCACTTGGCAGAGTCAGAGGGGTGTCCTCTTCTCCTTCCAGAAACTGCTGGGCCTTTTCTAGTGCCTGAAACATTCCCGTTTCACACTAGAGGTCCTTAAAAGCTGTGCCTTTGTGAGGTGTCCTTTGTGAAAACACCTCTGTAAGTGTCCTTGGGAGGCAGGGGAGTCACCTGAAGTTGTGACATCTCAGGGCTCCCTTGGGACATCATTCAACAAGGATGTGCAGAAGGCAACACCCTTCTGGAGGTGGACAAGAAGCAGGTGCATGGGGCTCTGGGCCCACAGCAGGGGTGCAGGCCCAGTGGCCATTAGAAGACCCTCCTGCCAGGTTCTGTGTGTACTCATGCCGGGACTGTCCCTCCCTTCTCCCACAGAGCCTCTGTGTCCTCTCACCGGGCAGCGCTGACTCTCCTTCTCCCATGACCTCCTGTCTGGAGGCCATGCCCTGGCCTGTCTGTTTCTTGGCTGAGTGTTCTGAGGTCGCTCTCTATCTCGAAGCTGCAGAACGCAGGTTCTAAGGAGTGAGGGGGCACCCCAAGAGCACCCTCCCTTCCCTGGAGCTGACACAGGGCTCACAGCAGGTACCTAGGGCCCTAGTTCCCCTTTACTTCGCAGCTGGGAACCTGAGGCCTGGAGAGCGGGAGCTGCCCGTGTGAGGTCGTGGAGTGAGTCGGGCATCACCCAGAGCCCCAGCCCGCCTGCCCCTGCGGGGCCCTTGGCTCGGCTGCCTTAGACAAAGGCTCTTCTTTGAAGCGCCTGAGACAGAGCCCCTGGTTTCCGGCCCCAGCCCACCGGGAGGCACCCGCCTCGGCAGCTGTCTTCATTTGCTGCCCGCCAGCCGGGCCGGCCCGGGCCTTGGTTTATTGTCAGCTTCCTTGCCAGAAATATGCTCCAACAAATGCTGTAAACAAAAGGGACAATTGCAGACCATCACGCCTGCATTTCTCTCTCATATGCATAAAATGGGGTGCGGCTGGGGCTGCCTGGCCAGCAGCCTCTGCTAAGCAAAAGCCCCCTCTGGACGTGGGCCTGACCACAGCAGCCTCTTCCCCTCCTCTGAGCCCACAGCCCTCTGAGCCCGGGTCACAGACAAGTCCCGACGCTGTTCTACCTTCAGCCTACCCATGGAGATGGTTTCTTCATTTATTTAGCAAACACTGACCTAGTGCTTGCTAGGGGTCAGCACTGTTCCAATATCCCATGAATGTCCCTCATTTTATCCTCATAAAAACCTATGAGGTAGGGCATATCATGATCCTACTTTATAGAGAAGGAACCTGAAGTCCAGAGAGGTTAAATAAGAGGCCCAAAGACACACAGCTGATAAGTGGAGGAAGTGGAATTCCACCCCAGGCTCCACCTGTAGGCTCCAGAGTGTAAGTCCTGACCAGAGAGAAGTTTGGGAAGAGGGGTCCATGGGGCAGAGGACTCGGAGTCCTGATGAAAGAAAGAAGGGGACTCCAGACCGTGGAAAAGCAGATGGCTGCCCTCCCTTGCACAGACCTGCTCTGGGTAGCATTGCTGGGACTCTGGGAAGTCATGAGTACCCACACTCTCTCCTTCCACGGACCTCAGAAGTATCTGTGATAGCTTAACTGTTATGGGCTGAATCACATCCCCCCACAATTCGTATGTTGAAGTCTTAACTCCCAGGACCCCGGAATGTAACATTATTTGGATACAGGATCTTTACAGATGTAATCAAATTAAAAGGAGGTCACCAGGGTGGGTCCTCATTCAATATGACTGGCATCCTCATAAGATTAGGATACGGACCCACATAGAGGAACAACCCTGTGAAAATGTGAGGAGAAGATGCTGTCTACGAGCCAAGGAAAGAGACTGCAGAAGAACCAGCCCTGCCACACCTTGATCTCAGACGTCTAGCCTCCAGGACGGTGAAAGAAGAAACATCTGTTTGTAAGCAGTCCAGTCTGCAGAACTTTCTGGTATGACAAACTATATAAATCAATCAATGTAACTTTCTTCTCTCTCTTCCTTTCTTCCATCCATTCATCCATCCATCTATCCATCCATCCATCCATTTACCCATCCATCCACTCATCCATTCATCCACCTACTCATCCATCCACCTACTCATCCATCCACCTACTCATCCATCCACTCATCATCCATCCATTCATCCATCCGTCCATCCACTCATCCATTCATGCACTCATCCATCTATCCATGCATGCATCCATCCATCCATTCATCCATCCACTCGTCCATCCATCCACTCATCCATCCATCCATTCATCCATCCATCTACTTGATATTGTTTGGTTGTGTCCCCACTCACATCTCACCTTAAATTGTAATAATCCCCATGTGTCCAGGGCAGGGCCAGATGGAGATAATTGAATCATGGGGGCGGTTTACCCCATACTGTTCTCATGGTAGTGAATGAGTCTCATGAGATCTGATGGTTTTATAAATGGGAGTTCCCCTGCACATGCTCTCTTGCCTGCCTCCATGTAAGATGTGCCTTTGCTTCTCTTTTGCCTTCTGCCATGATTGTGAGGCCTCCCCAGCCATGTGGAACTGTGAGTCCATTAAACCTCTTTCCTTCATAAATTATGCAGTCTCAGGTATGTCTTTGTTAGCAGCATGAGAATAGACTAATACACCACTCACTCATCCATCCATCCATCCATCCATCTGTCCGTCCATCCACTCATCCATCCATCCACCCATTCAATCATCCATCCATCCATCTACTCATCTATCCATCCATCCACTCATCCAACCATCCACTCATCCATCCATCCACCCATTCAATCATCCACCCGTCCATCTACTCATCCATCCATCCATCCATCCATTCACCCACCTCCCTCCCTATTTAAAGGGCTTACGATCTCAAAGCTGTTAGAGACCTTACTTGCTGGATGGAGCCTGGTCTAGCCCTTCCTCTGTAGGGATCTCCTGCAGGTGTCCTCAGGGCAGGTGTCCTCTCTGTGAGCCACTCTGTTTGCAGATGCTCAGGCTGCCCTCTGCCCCACAGAGCTCTTCCCTCTTGCCTTGGGGTGTTCGTTGGGCTTGGCTCCTCCCCATGGGATGGCACTTGTCACAGGGAAGGAGCTCCAGTGTCTATGGCTGCCCCCAGCCTCCGCATTCCCAGAGGGCTGCATGGGCCTCTATGTGAGGACCTGATTCAGGGAAGGTCTTTTGCCACAGTGAGCTGCATCAGCCTGGACTGTCAGAGAAGCCCTGTTGGAGTGACTGCTGGGTTCGAGGGGGTGAGTGGGAGGTCTGGCTCCTTTTGCCTGGGAGACCTGAAGTTGGCTGGACTCTGGACCTTTCAGGGCCCCTGCCACTTGCCCAGAGTGTATCTGAGGTCCCAGGGTGTGGCCTGAGAGATTCTGGTGGGGACCCCTGAACTGAGTGAGGGCAGCCATCACAAGCCCCATTCTAATGGTGGCAGAGTATGGACTCTGATGTGTGGACCGCTAGATCGGCTGAGTGGCACAGCCTCCTGGTGCCTCCTCATGTGTCAAGTGGGGATCTAGTAACACTGGCTGCCCCAGTGGCTGCTCTGACGGAAGGAGGGAAGCTGGTCCTGGGCTTGTAGCTGTGCTTGGTGTAAACATGCTGTCTGCAGCATTGCCAGCACAGCCCCACCTCAGCCCCATGCCCAGCACACTGTAGGTGCCTGGCACCTGTTACACAGTTGCTAGCGGGCTGTGCACTCAGGCCTGGCTCTGTCCCTGGGCTAGGTGGTGCTGGGGTGATCCAAGGGTTCCTTGGGAATCCTGAGGATTCCAGGGAACCTTGGGAATCGAAGAGGCCTGTGCTACCTCACACTGTCCTCCTCACACGGCGTTGTCTGCAGGCCCTTGGCAACTCCTGACCTCTCCGAAACTCTTCCACATGATGAGGTCAGCAGGGACCCTGCCGGCATTCCATCCAAGCTACTGATCCCGCCCAGTGCCGGCTCAGTGCCAGAGTCCTCACTGTGGTGACCTGAACACTTTGTTTCACGATTCATAGCAGGGAAGAGGAGTTGAGTCCGGATGATGATGTCTGCAGACATTTCCTAACTGTTTCACAGAGAAGAGGGTTGAGGAGTGCAGACTCTGCCTCAGCTCCATCCTGAGGGTGGGACTATCAGGTGAAGGGAAGCTCTCAGAGGACTTCTCAATTTCCCAAGACTCAGAGAAGAGGATACAAAGGGTCTGAGAGCCCTCCAGCCCTGTCTGAGCAATTTTTTTTCCAGCATGCCAAGGGGACGACAACATTGACTCTGGTCAGGGTTCTGGGTGCCCGTGACGTCTGCAGCCGCACACCCAGGGGCCCCCAGCTCCTCTCCACGCCAGCACAGACTCCTGGGAACTCTCCCTGGGAAGCTGACGGGGTCCTGGGATGTGCTCAGGGTCAGGCCTGCAGAAGGGCCCTAGCCAGTGTTGGGAACCGGCTGCTGGCTCCGGCCTGGGCTCACTGTGTGGCCCAGGCTCGCCATGTCACCCTGCCTTCCCCTGGGAGAGAGGAGGCCAAGGCAGCCAGGGAACGCCTCTTTGTCTTGGTGCCCAGGGCTGTCAGATAAAGCCGTTGAGCCAGCCGCAACTGGGGCATCCAGACTGCTTTTCCAGCCACGCCAGGCCTCGCCCCACTGTCCCGTTTGCCCAAAGGGGGCTGATGAGTTTAGTAATGTTTACTGAGCACCCGCCCGCCTTGTGGAGCTGACAGCCAGGGAGACGAGTCGGCTGCAGACTTTGCCCTCACAGGCAAGACAGCCACACCTTGAACTCTGACTCAAGGAAGAGAGTGGGCAGCTCACCAGAGAGGCCAGAGGAGGCGGCAGGAAGGTGGGGTCTCTCCAGCCAGGGGCTTCCTGAAAGAGCTGCCTTCTGAGCAGGCCCCCCAGGCTAGGAAGATGTGCACCTGCCGAGCTGGGCAGGAGAGGGTGGCCCAGTGGAGGACCCAGCATGGGCAGAGGTTTGGAGGTGGCAGGTCCTGAGGGAAGCGGAAGGTGAGTGTGCGTTCTGGGGAAGATAAGGCTGCGTGCAGAGGCCGAGAGTGCAAGCCAAGAGGCTGGAGGCTGTGACCCTCAGGCTCCAGGCAGCCAGGCAAGGAGGAGAGGAGAAGATGCCACACTAGAGAAGCTGGCCCACTCCACCCCTTTGTCTTCTCCTCACCTGCAGCACCCTTCTCTCATCCCAAATGTGCACAACAGGGCGTTTTTCTGCTCATGAGAATAATACCTGTTGATTGCAAAAGCAATCAGAAAACAGAGAAGAGTTAGGGCACCGCAGGCAACCTCAGCAGAGACCATCAGAGCTCACATGCTGACACTGAGATGTGGTTCCTTCTGGTCTTTTTTATGTTCTTCCACATATATACCACCCACTTGTTTTTTCTTTTCTCTCTCTCTCCTCTCTCTCTCTCTCTTTTTTTTTTTTTTTTTTTTTTTGAGACAGAGTCTCACTTTGTCACCCAGGCTGGAGGGCAGTGGCGCGATCTTGGCTCACTGCAACCTCCGCCTCCTGGGTTCAAGGGATTCTCCTGCCTCAGCCTCCCGAGTAGCTGGGATTGCAGGTGCCCGCCATTATGCCCGTCAATTTTTTGTATTTTTAGTAGAGACAGGGTTTCATCACATTGGCCAGGCTAGTCTCGAACTCCTGACCTCAAGTTATACACCGGCTTCAGCCTCCCAAAGTGCTGGGATTACAGGCGTGAGCCACCGCACCTGGCCCACACTTGTTTTTTCTAAGTCACATCAGAGTGTTGTTTTGTAACTTTATATTTTCATGTAAAAACTTATTATGATATCTTGCCATCTGATTGCTGGTTTCTTTTTTTGAGACAGAGTCTCGCTCTGTCACCCAGGCTAGAGTGCAGTGGCACAATCTCGGCTCGCTGCAGCCTCCAACTCCTGGGTTCAAGTGATTCTCCTGCCTCGACTCCTGGGTTTAAGCCATTCTCCTGCCTCAACCTGCTGAGTAGCTGGAATTACAGGTGCTCACCACCACACCAGGCTAATTTTTGTGTTTTTTGGTAGAAACATGTTGACCAGGTTGGTCTTAAACTCCTGACCCCAGGGTGATCCTCCCCACCTCAGCCTCCCAAAGTGCTGGGATTACAGGCATGAGCCACCTCGCCCAGCCTAATTGCTATTTTTTAGGAACATATTCCTTTGTGAAATATTAAAACACATCCATCTGGGGAGAGAAGACGCCAGCCCAGCCCTGAGCAGAGGTGTGAGTGAGGAAAGACAGGAGCAGGCGGTCAGGGTGCAGGAGGCAGGTCCCCAGGGACTTGCAGAGGCTTGGGCTCAGCACAGGGGTGGAGGCGGGGGTGCAAGTCCTCCCCAGGGGTGGGGACTCCGATCCCTCTCGGTACCTGTGCAGGGAGTCAGCAGGACGGAGGACCAAGCAGCAACTTTCCAGCCTCCACTCCGTTGTTGGGCTGTTCCCTACTCCTGTCTTACTGCCCCACACGGCTTACCCTCGTCCTCTGGGAGCCTCCATTTTTCTGATCATTCTATCCACTAAGGGGTCCCCCAGCAATATCCTGCCTCACCCCCGGTCTGTTTTCTATGGAGCAGCGGCATGACCTGCAGCCATTTTGTTATTCATTTGTTAGCAGCCCCTCTCGGACCCACGGAGAAAGAACTTGCACCCATTTTGTCCAGGGCAGTGCCTGGCACGAAGCAGACAGGTGCTTGTCAGACAGGTATTGAATGAACTGTTCCTCGCCCCATCCCCACCACAGGGGCCACGGGCTCAGAAGGGCCCTGCACATGGTTGGATGCTCTGATCGTCCTGGAAGGAGGGTCTTGCATTTTCATCTTGCATTTTCGTCTTGCACAGGGCTCCACGAATCTCGTAGCTGCCCTGCTGTTCCCACATCCTGCCCCTTAAAAAGTCCTGGGCAGGAACCCTCCTATCCCAGGCTGTGGCAGCTTGGGGCTCATTCTTTTCCTGAGCCCAGTTTCGCCCTGCAGGGTGCAGGGTGCTGGCTATGAGTCCTTCTGCCCCACCGCACCTCAGCCAGGTGAGGACAGGGTGAGGGTCTTCATCCCTTCAACCTTGACCTCTGCTCCTCCCCACAGGCAGCCAGGTTGTGACAGCCTGTGAGGACCTCTTGGCTCCCGGAGCCTTCTCTCTCCTGGAATAGAGATGACACCGTGCTGCCATTGAACTCAACCCGAAAAAATGATCTGTTGCAAAGCTCACAGGAAATAATGGAGCAATGTTACACGATAAACTGTAAAGTGTGGTGAGCATGTGAACAAGCGTCCAGGACCCAGCGAAGCCCCAGGCTACTGGGCTAGGCGTCAGATGAGAAGAGGCAGAGGGCAACCTCCTGTAGGATCTGAGGCCTTCATGTGCTCAGCCCATGGCTGTCGTCACGGTGACGTGTGCATGCGATGTATCTGGGCCATCCTTGTTCTTGAACGCGGGCAGTGAGTCCCACGGTGATGTGGCATGTCACGAGCTGAAGGAGGGGCACCTGCATTCAGGCTTGCGAACCAGCGAGACAGCCTTTGGACCTTTCGGAGCCTCACTTTCCCACACTAAGAATTGGAGTGGAATTCCCAAGGTGCTGGAGGTTGAAAGGCATTGAGAATCTAAAACGCTTTGCAGACAGCAAGACCCTCTGTGTAAGTTAAGAATGCTCACTCAGTCCCAGCAGGTACTCAGAGGGATCCTTTTATTTCTCCAGAACATTCTGCAGGTGAGCTGGGGAAGCCCACTGGCCCTGGCCTCACCCCCGAGCCCGAGCCTTCAGCCTGGGAATGGTCTGGCCTCTTCCTTGCTGGCTCTCCAGCCTGGCCTCGCAGGACCCTGGGCGGGACCCCAGGAACCCTCACCCGCTATGTGCTTCCCCAAGAAGCGCTCCCTGTGGCCTAATTTGAGAAAACAATGGGCCTCAATCCATATTAATGACCCTAGAGGGACCCTTTGTCCTCGGTGCACAGGCTGTAATCAGCGGGGCTCCGGGGGCTCTGGCCTAATTTGGAGGGACAGGTTTTATCATCACCCTTGATTCGGGTGACCCAATCTGACAGGCCCACGACCCCCTGTATGCGGGGTCCACGTCAGAGATGGGCTTCCTCCCAGCGGCCCACCCCAGCGGGCTGGGGAGAGGGAAGGGGGAGGTGGTGGCCATGGGGGAAGTTCGGGGTGAAGAAGGGGTCACAGCCAGACCCCCACTTGGATGGGCCTGTGATCGGGTTCTCGGGAGGAGCAGGATATTGATTAGATCAGTGAATGGTGTGGAGGCAGCTCTCCCCAGGCACGTGCTCCCGACCACCCACCAGCAAGCGTCTGTTGCCTGCCGGTGCCAGGGCTGGGTGGGGACTCTGGGACAGGCCGGCTGCCTAGGAGGGGCCAGGCAGGAGCCAAGGGGCTGGCTCCAGGGACTGCCAGGAGGGCCCCAGGGAAGGGGAGCCGGGAAGCGTTTTGGCTGCCTCCGGCGTGAAGTCGTGGAAACGTGTTTGCAGGTTAGGGCCGTGGCATCCTCGTTGCACCATTTGAGCGCCTATGGGGTGCCAGATACATGACAAAGGGCCACCTCATTTAATGCTTCCCTCAACCTTCCCAGGCCCCGATCCCCATGTTCTGGGTCAGGAGGCCCATTCGAGGTCAAGGGGTGGGCGAAGGCTGACGAGACAAACCCAGGGACTAGCTCCTGAGTCCCAAAACCTGTCCTCACCCACCCAGGGGTCCCCTGCACGCTCTCCAGGGTGTGCGGTGCGTGGCTGCTGGGTTTGGGTGCATTAGAGCCTGAGGCAAGGGCTTGAGTCTGAATTCTCGCTACGGACCAAATGTGTGCGTCCTCCCTAAATACATATGTTGAAGCCTTAACTCCCAATGTGATGGCATTAGGAGAGGGGACCTGTGGAATGTAGTTGAGTCCTGAGGGTGCGGCCCCGTGATGAAATTAGTGGCCTGATAAGAAGAGGCCCAGAGAACCGGCTCTGTCTCTGCTCTCTGTCGCACGAGGACCCCACAAGAAGACGGCCACCTGCAAACAGCCATTGAATCTGCCAGTGACTTGGTCGTGGAGTTCCAGCCTCCAGAACTGTGAGAAATAAATGTTTGCGATTTAAACCGCACAGTCTGTGGTGTTGTGTTGGCAGTCTGAACTGACGGAGACAGCATCTGATTTGGGAAGCGACCCCGGGAAGCAATGGGAGGGGATGAGGCTGGTTCCAGGGGGCTCGGCTGGGCTCAGGCTCTGGGTCTGCACAAGGCCTCTCTGCTTCCTGGGGTCGGCAGCTGCTGGGCACCTGCTCTCAGCATTGGCTCTGTGCAGGGACAATTCAAACCTCTGTTCCCACCACTGCTGCCCATGGCCCGTTGGCTGGAGCCCAGCCTCTGTGGGGCAGGAGGTGCGCATGTCCAGGTGAGGAACAGCAAAGTCACGCAGCAGAGGGCATGGATCTGGGAGTGGGGAAGGCCTGGGAACCGTGGCACCATCAATCACGCCATCCTCCAGGTTTCCTCACTTGCTTTTGGGACAACCCTGAACTCCTCAAGGAGGCAAGGAAGGCCTCCTTGACCTACCCCTCCCTGGCCACCTCTGGCTGTGCCAACCCGACACGCAGGTTCAGGCTTCTGTCTCCTCCAGAACTGCTACTCTGCTGTGCCCATCCTGCCAAGTCCTGTGTGTGATTTTTGCCCGGGTTCCCTCATCTGTGAAGCCTTCCCGGACCCCACTGTTGGGGCAGAACACCCCTCGTGTGCCCCGAACACCCCTTGGGCCTTCCGCAGAGCTCCTGCGTAGCTTTCCCTCCACCCCCACCTCTGAGGCTTCTTTGTGCTCACCTCACCTGCCGGGTCATGAGCTTTGGGGCTCAGCAAATTCTGCTGGGCCCTGGAGGCAGCAAAGTAAGCAAATTAAATAATAATAAATCATAAACAAGATCACTTAAATAAGGGAATTTACCCTAACATCCCCAAGACCCAGCAAAGCCTCTGGCCCACGGTTGGAGCCCCCTACCCTCCAAAAATCGCGGCATAAACACAGATGAAGGAGATGGGTAGACAATTCCTATTCTGGAGTTTTTGGATCCAGAGGAGAGGCAATCTTTACAAATATGGTCAACCTGTGTCAGCCAAACAGCCTCGAGCCCTGGCCTACTTCCCAGCCCTGTGCTCATCTGGAGGGGGAGACCAGAGTGGGTGAAACATGGTTCCCACCCTAGAGACATTGTTGGAGATGAGACTGTGTTACTGCCAGACAAGGGTGTTATTGATTTGATTTAGTTCATTTCCACTGAACTCAGTTAATTCAATTCAGTGCAACCCAGTCTCATCCAGTCCAACTGAGCAAAGGTTTTCCAAGTACCTCTGAGGGTGGCACGCTAGCCTGGGTCCTGTCTGCACTGTGAGATGTAGAGGAAGTGCCTCCTTGTCTGCCTTCCTGGCCCTTCCAATCCAGTGGGGCCAGAGTCCACAGGACACAGGAAATTGTCAGAGGTGGGCCAGTGAGGTAGCCAGGGACGTGGGCTCAGGTCTGGACACCATGTTTTCCTGGGAAAGTTTTTGCATTCCCATGGGCTTACCTGACTAGAGCAGGGAAGAGGCCATGTGGTCCTTGTCTGTCTCCTAGCCTGTCTCTGCCATTCGACTGGAAGCTATGGGAAGGCTGGCTCCCTGCCCTGCTTTCTGGGTCTCCTCTGCACAAATCTCAGGGAATGAGTGAATGATGCTGTGAAGTGGGGCTTTCCACTCCCTTTTGCAGAGCTCTTTCTGCTACACTTTGCTGTCTCCACACTACAGGCTGGCATGGTCAGAACAGGCTTCAGGGCAGGGGGTACTTGAGCTGAGCTTCTAGGGTAGGGAAAGAATTGATACTGAAGAAAAGAGAGAAAGACAGCAACTGTGTGAACAGTGGCTTTTTTAGCCGCCTGGCACTGTAGATGCAATTAATTTCTGCATTACAAACTATCCCAAAACACAGGGCTTAAAACAATGTCTGAATCTTTAGCTTGGCAGATAAGGCTGGGCTCAGCTTGGTGGTTTTCTGCTTTGGGCTGGGCTCACTGGTGTGTCCAGCATCAGCAGCAAGTCAGGTAGGCAGCATCACTGATATTGCCTGGGTTCTCTCTTATCTCTGGGCTTTGGCTGGAACATCTGGACCAGCTTGGCTTGGCCCCACAAATTTGTCATTCTCTTGCAGGCTGCCAGGGCTGTGTGGAGGTGTGAGACCACAGGGCAGCACGCAAGGTCCCTGGAGGCCTGGGCTAGAATCAGCACTCTGCCACTTCCACCATATTCTGTTGGTCAAAGTGAGTCATACAGCAAGTCCAGGTTCAGGGTGGGGAGACATAACCCCATTCTCCACGGGAGACACTGTAGAGTCTCTTTGCAAACGGCATGGCTGGGTAGGGTGTTTGTTCTCAGTCCGCTCCCTCAATTCTTCCATGAGAAGGTACCAGCTTGGGGCGAGCTCCTACCTGCCACAGTGTCTCTGCCCTCTCACCTTGCATCTCCAGCTGGCACACAGCCTCAGAGCCCATCTTGCCAGTTTGTCTATACTCAGGCTTATGGGGGCAGGCATGAAGGCCTGTGAGAATATTGGGTCCTGGTGCCCAGGCAGAGGCTCCACACTGGCCAAGAGGCCCTGAGGTGGCGTCTTGATTTCCCCAGGAAAAGGATGCCGGAGCAGCACAGGCCCTTGGAGACAGGCTCTTCTTGGGTCCCTCCAGGGCCCAGCTATCTGGAAGACTGGCCTTGTTCTTCCTCTGGGCACAGTGAGTGACAGCCGCAGAGGTCTGGGGACCACATGCAACTCTGTGGTCCAGGCTTGCTCCTGGTCAGCTCTGCTCTGGTCCAGCTGCTGAAGACCAGCTGGAGGGGAGACTGGGGCCTGCCTTTCACAGCCTGCTGCTCCTTGGAGGGGAGGCTCATAAGGGCAGGCAGGCGGCCACGTGGGGGCTGGAGATGGACTCTGGGCCTCAGTTTCCCCATCTAATCAATAAAGCAGTTGGACGAGGTGACCTTCAAGGTCCTTACCACTGCAAACCCTCAATCGCCGGCGAGCGATTGCAGAGCAGGGGTCCACAGCAGTCATGGGGTGAACACTGCATTGTGTGTGGAGCTGGGGTGTGGAGCTGGGCTGTAGGGGGCTTTGAGTTTGTCTGGTTGAACCCCCGATTTTCCAGAGTTGTCAAGTATGTGTAGGCTCAGCCTCACCCGGTCAGCAAGAGGGAGGCCAGACTCAGTCACAGGCTGACAACTCCCCCACCCTGGAGTCAACGCCCTTGCATGGGCCGAGTCCCAGCACGCGGAGGGAATGGAGAGTTATGAAGAGCAGGGCCAGACGGCTGGCGATGGTGCGGTCACACAAGGCCAGCCTCAGTAGGTGTCAGCGTTTGGTTCAATGCTATGCTGTCCCCGCTGAACAGCCTGCAGCAGTTTTGGGAAACACAGGAGTCTGCATTCTCACTTGGCACAGGGTCCTGCAGCAGATGCAGCAGGTCCTGCTGGGGATCACGGCATCAGGTGGGACCCAAGGGGCAGGCAGAACCACCTTCACCCCTGCCCCCCACCTGCACCTGCCCATTCCCCACTCATTAAAGCACCCATCAGAGTGAGAATGAATGCATGTGAGTGAATGAATGAATGACACCATGTAGGTAGCCGGGTTTGATTTTGATAGCCATGCACATGGAAGCCATGGGAAGGGTGTGTTTAGGGCTTTGTAATTCAGACTGTGGTGGGAGTTGCAGCCTCTTGGTCACCCGCAGGGCAGGGGCTGGGGCTGGGGCTGGGGCTGTGTGGGGCAGGGCAGAGCAAGGCAGTGTCGCCCCAGGATTGTGGCCAGGCTCATTCCCCCATACCTGCTTCCTCCCAGCTCTTGAGTCCCTCATTTTCCCCTCCAGCTCCTGAAGGCCGGCTCCCTGTTGCCCCTGTAACCCTCTGCTTCCCCTCTCCTAGTCCCCCCTGCCCCCATTCTCACCCTCCCGGGCCTACGATTGGGGGTGAGAGCAGGGAAGGGGCCGGCCACCAGCCCTGCCGGCCGAACTGGCCCCGGCCCGTGGACCAGGTGGCGCGGTGGCTGCCCGGCGGCGCGGGCAGCTTTCATCCCGGGCCGGGGCCTGAGAAAGCGTGGGGGCTGCTTTATCCCGGCCGAGCCAGCGGCTCCTGAGAAGCATTGAAGGCGCATTACTCAGACTGACACATTCCGTTTCCCTCGGCGAGGACAATGAGGGAGGGCCAGTGCAGGATATGGCGCTGGCCTTGTGCGCGGTTGAAGGTTTTTTGAGAAAAATGTGATAGATCACAATAGAGCACTTTGTTGTCGTCGAGGGCATTGGGATGGGGCCGGGACGCCGCGGGCTTCATCATTACTATGATGAGAGGAGATTTAGTGCCCTCTTTCTTTCCTCTGTCAGGGAGAACAATGTGTGAGGAAAGCGGAGGTTTCCCATTATAAATCACCGTAAGCCCCATGGAAATCCTTCCCTACCCTGGGGTTTGAGTGGGGCAGACATTGAGCGCGGGGCCCCGCGGCCCTTGCTGCCCGCAGCCGGCTCCGGGGCCGCCTGGACGACGGGCGGCGAGGGGGCCGGGGGTGCGCGGCCTCCCTGGGCCTGCTCAGCGCCCACCACGGCCCCCTCCCAGGCCCCCACCCGTGGGAATCGAGGCTCCGGGAAGGCCCCTGCTCTCCACCCCGAAAAGCAGGACTAGTCATGGAAAGCGAGGACGCTGGGCCTGACCACCCGTCAATGAAAGCACGGGGTGTGCAGAGCTCGTCCTAGGACCTGGGGGCCTGGGGGGTCTGGGGGGGCTGGGTCTGAGAAAATGCCTTGTGTCCGGCTTAGCGCGTCCCAGGCGGCCCCAGTCGTGGGGACTGCTGATCTCTGCTCCCAGTCCTCATGCTTTGCAAAGAGAAAAATGAGGCCACGATGAGCCCCAATTATTCCACCTATAGAAGGGAGCTCCACCACGAGGACCCAGGTCTCCTGGACCCAAATCTCTTTCCCACGGGGCAATAAGACCAACCCTTCCTCAAGGGCCATCAGTCCCAGAAACAGGGTGGCCGACAGCTTCCCTTCGTGCAGGGGGCTTCATTCAGGGAGCTTCTTATTCACCTGCCCGGCAGCCTCACTCAGGAGCCGCTTCCATTCTGCCACAGAGAGAAACCAGGAGTGGCAGGACGGGAACTAGAAATGTGGACTCCTGACCTCCTTCCAACTGACAGCAGGATCTTTGCAGAAGGGCCAAAGGCCACCCTTCTGCCAAAAGACTGGGCCTTTTTGTGGATTTTAGAAAGGGAATTGGGTGAGAATATCATCTATTATTGCAACCCTCCCAGTGCGGCTGGGCTGTGTCCCGTATTCGAATCCACGAAACAGATGGCTGTTCACCCTAAAGAACACAAGTGAAGATTTGTTCTGGTGGAACTTTTTCTGTTGCCAAAAATTCCAGGTCAGGTTTTGATGCCAAGTAAGTTATGAGAAAATTCTGGGATTCAGAGGTTTTTGGATTTCAGAATTTGGATAAGTGAGGTGGGTTTGTGTTACTGTCCGTACGGCTATTTTTATTATCTGAAGGCTTGGTCCCCAAAGAGACCTAGCCTCTGCTAATGATGGCTCATGTGGTCTGACTCGAGCCCCAGTTATTCCACCAATAGATTGGAGGTGATCATTGCATCTGCTTACAGAGCTGTTAAAAGGATCAAATGAGGCCCAGCACGGTGGCTCACACCCATAATCCCAGCACTTCGGGAGGCTGAGGCAGGAGGATCACTTGAGCCCAGGAATTTGAAACCAGCCTGGAGAACACAGTGAAACCTCATCTCTACAAAAAAATAAAGAAATGAGCTGGGCATGGTGGCACACACCTGGGGTCCCAGTCACTTGGAAAGCTGAGGCTAGAAGATTGCTTGGGCTTGGGAGGTTGAGGTTCAGAGAGTCGTGATTGTGCCACTGCACTCCAACCTGGGCGACAGCACAAGACCTTGTCTCAGACAAAACCAAACAGATCAAATACAATCACTGCTAGGAATGTGGGTAGTGCCCGGCCTGGCCCACCCCGAAAATGCAATGCGTATTGCTGCTATGATTACTAGGATTGCCTCAGGAGGGTCAGAGTTCACCAACCAAACGAGGGGCTTAGCTGTGCCCACAGCCTCTCCCCCTGGGTCTGTGGCTGCTTTGAAGGAGCCCCAACTTATGACCCAGGCTTGCTTCACCCCTTTCTACCCTCTGTGATCCAGTCACCCCAAAGCCCCCTCCAGCTCAGCCCTTGTCTGCGATTTCCACCTCCAGGTGTCCGGTCCTTCCTTCATGTCTTCCCCCTGGCTTGAAATTCTTGTCCTCACCGTCACGTGTTCTGGAACTGTCTTTCTTCCATCAGGGAGCAGCTCAACTGTTCTTCCTCTGGGAGGAGGGCCCTGGTATCCACAGGGAGTTTCAGTTTCCTGGGGGCAGGAGTGCGTCCAGAGGCTCACAGTGGGTGTGTGTGCATTGGAGAGAGTTTCAAAGGCGGCCCCGGAGCCCCTGCCCAGACCTGCAACGATAGAATCTCTGGAAGTGGGCCCAGAAACCTGCTCTGTACACCCATCTCCGACCATTTAAAATACACTGTGGCCTTGACCCCAGAACGCCTGGCTCCGGCCGCCCCGTGTCCGCTTCCACCACAGCGAGGCGGCATCAATGGCATCCCGTTTCAAGTAGAATAAAATCAACCTGCTTTTCATGTCTGCTCCTGCCAAGGCCTTCTCCCTCCTTCCCTTCCCCACCGGGCTCCAGCCACTCCACCATGCTTGGTCCCACCTCAGGCAGGCCCTGGCCGCCCAGAGTGTCTCAGGAGGCCACATTCCCCTGCTTGAGGCCTCAGCCCCAATAAAACCACCTTGCACTGAGGTTCCTGTGGGTTTTCTGCAGCTGGTCTGCCTGGCTTCAACTTCCCAGGCTACCCCTTATGAGCTGTGGGACCCTGGGCAGGTCACCTTGGCTCTCTGTGACTTAGCTTCCTCCTCTGTGGAATGGGGGAAATAACAGAACTTTCTCCTGCGGTGAGGATGAAAATGGCTTTGACACATTCAAGGTACTGAGTTTGTGCTTAGGAAACACTAACCGCTATGACTCCGTGACCACCCTGTCACCTTGTACCCCATTTTTCTATCCTATTACAGGTTTACGCACTTCCTGTCTGTCTCCTCTATGAGAATGGAGTCTGCGGCAGACACTGTATCTACTCAGTTCACCGCCTCATTCCAAGCACCTAGCACAGCGCCTGGCCCACAGTGGATGCGCAAGAAACCCATGGAATGAATGAATAAATGAATGAACGAGTGGACAAACCACTTCCCCAATACCTAGCTCAGTGCACGGCCTATGACCAGTGCGGGCCAATGCTCGCTAAATATGACCTATTAGTAAATCAGTGAAACTGCTCTTGCTGTAAGGAATTCTGTGCCCTTTGTCCTGGCTACTCCCGGAGCCCTGTCTTGCAGAGGACACCCAGGTGGGTCTTTTGCCCAATTTGTACTTGGCTCTGCTGGCTTTGACATGAAGACCACCACCTTCCAGAAACGCCTCATTTTCTTGGCAGCACCTTCCCCCCATCCTTCCCACCTCTAGCTGCTTCTTCCCAGTGCCCTCTCTCCTCTCTTCTGTCTGTGTTTGGGTCAATGTTCTAGTACCAGGGCAGAATGAGAATCTGGGTGGTGAGGTCAGGGCTGACGGCTTTCTTCAGGTCTAGAAGCTGAGACCAGCTCCCCTGAAATGTACACATCCCAGTGTCTGTCCGCCTGGGTCCTGGCAATGTGCCCACCTGGGCTCCAGGGCCCAGCCTCTGAGACTCCTCGGGGCCTCCCTGAAGGGCGGCTCTGACCCTGGCCTCTAACTCACCTTGCTTTGCTGACTCTCTAGATAAGGCCCCTCTGATCAGAAGCTCATTTTCATAAACCACAGCCACACTCCCTAACCCCACCGCACCGCCTACTCACGTAGGTCTCATGTCTTCCTAGACACCTTGACGCCTGGGCTGGATAATTCCTGCAATGGCCACTTTCCTTATTCATACATTGCAAGTTTCTTCCGTGGCATAGGTGGTCTTTGCTTCTTGGTCTCCTGTTATTGACTATTGTCCTATCATCCGGTCCTGGAAAACCCCAGGGGGAAGATGAGGATATGCTGTTTGTCCTGACCTTCCCTCGGCCTTTCTCTCTGCGTGAGGATTAGCCACAGGCATCCGCAAGGCAAAGGGTGCTTCTAAGGTGCTTGCATCCTAATCCTAATGAGAACCACTGTGCATGAGTGACCTTCCAGCAGAGCCAGCGAGAGGTGTTCTGCCCTGCCCTTCCCTAACCTGTGCCTGACATCACTTTCCCTGGCACTGAGCTGGATGTCCCCACTCCTCCCCAGGTCCCCAGCCCTCTCTCTTCCCTTCTCTCCACCAAAAGGCTAAAAAGATAAACTGCCTAAAGGCAAGGTTCCATTCACTTTTGCTTTAGCTTTTGTCAACTTTGGCAAACAATTGCACAGTGTCTCCTGGTTGTTCTGATGTCGTCTTTGTTCCCACTGAATTTGGTTTCTCCTCCAGGGCTCAGGTAAGATTGCACTCCTCACCAGCTCTGAGAGTGGGTGTGGTCACGGGACTTTTTTGACCAAGGGGGTGCAAGTGAAAGCAGTGTGTGTATCTTCTGGATGGAACTTTAAGAGCCAGTAAATGTTCACTCCTTCCACTGTCCCTGGTCCTCCTGAGATCTTAGAGCCCAGGCTGAGATTGAGCCTCCGAAAGCCTCTGCTCTAGACTGATGGGAAGAAAGGCCTGGGACTCTCACTTGCCACGGAGCGTGAGCAAAAAACAGACATTGTGGTTTAAGTCACTCAGCTTTGGGGAGGATGCTTTTTACTGTGGCATAACCCAGCCTATTCACCAGGCCTCTGCTGGCTGCCTGCATTTCTTAGTTTTTCCATTGTTTTTTTTTCTTGTCCTTTGTCCTTTTCTGTTGATTTATAGTATTTTTTTCCTTATATTAAAAATATTAAGTCTTATTAATGGAATTATTTTGTCACCAGCTGAAAATCTCCTTAAACAGGTGATTGGACCTAGGATTGGACTACTGCCAGAAAGAATGGCATAGATTCAATTGTTCCAAAACGTGAATTGTCATTTTTAGTAAACCTCTTTCAACATTTAGCCAACACAGCGCTAACAAGTCTGATTCGACTCATTGGGTTACCTGCGGGTACATGTTTCAGCTACTTTATCTCCAAGGTTCCTTCAGGAAGCCTCTGTATCCAAAGCTTGGTGTTCTGCTTCTGTTGGCCCCTAGAGCTCCTTAATTAATGATTTTTTTTTTTTTAATAATCAGGTTTGGCTGAAATTATTACAGCAGCCTTTCTCAATGAATAGGCTGTAGAACACAGTGCCATGAAACCAGCTCCTGAAAAACACTAGATCTGGAAAATAGGGTTTCATGGCCCAGAGTTTGGGGAACCGGGCACGAGAGCTGAGTCAGCATCTTTGGCTGTGAAAAATCTCTGCTTAATGTTGGCTGCCACGGGCTCCACAGCCTCTTTGCCATGGCATATCTTCTGGCGTGCCACTGACTCACACCATCATGAAATGAGCGCCATGCAGAACACAATCTTGGGGAAAAGCTTATCTAAGGAATAAAATTACAGGTCCAGATCACTTATATAACTGGCGCTTAGAAGAAGAGCCCACCCACATTATTTTTTGAGGACCCCCATGGCTGATGGTGAACCCCTGCTCTGAGGTGGGTGGCTTCCCTTCAGCCCCACGGCTTGTTGGGGGGCACCCTCCACCCAGCTGTCGCCTTGGGGTAAGGCTCCCCACGGAGCCACCCGAACTCGCTGCTGCTGGAAGCTTGCCAAACTGCGAGTCCTGCGCTTTGCCGGGAGGACAGGTAATCCACCTCCCCGGGAGTCAGTGTTCTCTAACTTGGCTGCACACGAGAATCACCTGGAGAGCCTGAAAAACTTTTCATGCCCAGACCGCACCCCGGACAGATTAGGTCAGAACTGGGGGTGGAACCCAGCGCCCAGTAACTTTGTAAACTCCCAGGTGATTGCAGCTTGCAGCCAAGTCTGAGCACCAGGCTCCAAGTGGGTGCTTCTGTAACTTAGTTCCAACTGGAAGGAGGGCAGGAGCGGGGGACGGGGACTTTGCAGAATCTTGTGGGATTCTGCAAAGTCCCCATCCCCATGGGAGTTGCAAGGTTTGGATTCCACTATGCCTCACCCTCGAAGCTGTGCTCAAGCCTCTTCAGGCGCAGCCACCAGACAGCTGCAGGCCCCTCTACCTCAGCTTATCCCTTGCAGGGGGCCTGAGCCAACCTCTTGTCCCCAGGGATGCTATGATTAAAATGGGCCAGAGGCATCCCTGTGTGTGTGCTGGGACACTGTCCAGTTGCTATTCATGCTGACACTGTCAACATGATCCTGATAAGAAGTTCCTCTTCTTTTTCAGAAGTAGCTGTAGCCCAGTGTCTCCCAGCAGCTTGTTAGTTTTATCCCATGCTCCTTGTAAATTCAAAGGCAGGGTGTGTTTTCCTTTTCACATTGGCTGCCGGGGAACTCAGAGTCAATTTTACTACTACATCACACAGTACACATTGAGGACTTAGGGCATATATTTTGACTTCTGCTTCATCTTATGTTTTCCTCACCTACTAAAAATCACATTGTATTGTGTGCATTTTTGTAATTTTGTAAGCCTCCTAGAATCTTCTTTTTGTGACAAAGTAGGTACGTAAAGTCACAAATCCACAAATAAAAGACAGGCTTCTTTTCTCTAGTTGCTCTTTGGTTGCAGAGTTGTTAGCTCCTCTCTCTTTGCATACGGCGCTGCTCCGGCCCCACCCATCACCCACTCAGCAGTGGCTCCAGCACAGCTCCATCTCCCACAGCCCCTGGCTGGGCCTCCCGGTGGTCTGTGGGCTCCTGGTCCCATCACATGGAGGACTTCACCCTGCCCTCTCCCCAGTCCTCCCTCTTTCGGAAACCTTTCCTGGTGAGACTTGCTGCCAGGTAGAGCCACACCTATGTTGTTTCATGGCTTAGTGGCAGTTGGTCCACAAAACTCTCCCTTCCACCCAATGGCAAGGTTCAGGTTGGTAGCAGCCCACTCTTATTTCTCTCTGTACCCCCCGGGTGGGGTCCCAGGCACAGGGCATGAGCCCTGTGGGGCACCAGGGAGTTGTCTGCTGAGCGGCTTCAGAGTCTCCAAGAGGCTGTGTCCCTCAAAAGTCGGTTCTATGCTGGGTGGGGGACTGTGGGCAGCCTGGCAACCCCAGGTGTGGTGGGATTGATGATGCTCCCAGATGGCACAGGTTATGAACTGTCCTGGCTCCACCCGGGCCCTGCTGCTTAGGAGCTGTGTGACTCCGGGTGACTTCCTTGCCCTCTCCGTGCCTTCCTTTTCTCATAAACAAAATGGGTAAAGAGAGTAGGCTTTTTATGGGGAGAGAACAAGAAAGGGCAGATAAAGCCCAGGGAACCAGCGCAGCCTCTGCTACCCTTAGGATTCTGCAGGGGCAGAAGACTCTCTGCTCCTTAGAGGCTGGGCAGGCAGAGGCCCCTGGGGTTGTCTGTACTCCAGGAGTGGGAATAGCCACAGGCTGAGACAAATTGCAGAATGGTCTCGGGAACCAGGCGCCTGCTGTGTGCCGGGGCCAGCCACAGATCCCTGCGGGGCCTCTGTTTCCCCACCTGCCCTGCTGGGGGGAGTGGGACTGGCCCTGCAGGAGGGTGAGGCTGAGGCCAGAAGGGAAGAAGTGAAGCCTTGAAGCTGTGCCGGCCCCCAGCAGCTGGCCTGTGTGTGATGATTTGGGGCGGGGGGATGGCTCTGGGGGTTTCTGGCTTCAGCCCTCTAGGCTTCCCCTCCTGGTGCCCAGCCTGACCTCTGTTGTGGAGGACCAGGCTCCTAGTCTGGAACCCCAGAAGCCAGCGTGGACCCGGGTCCGCCACTGAACTGGAGGCAGGCTGGCCTGGCCCTGAGCTGTTAGCTGTCGGGGCAGCTGGCTCCAGAGGTTGTTGCCATGGAAACCCAGACTGATGTTCTCCTAAACAGCTCAATTATTTGTGGTTTTTCTGTTGAAGATCCCAGCTAAGCAGGCCAGGACGGTGGCTGGGGTGGGATGGGGGCTGCAGGGCTGCTCAAGGAGGGAGTCCCCTGAGAAGGCCCTCAGCCCTGCCTTAGCCAATCCTTAGGGAAATGGTCCAAAGTCACTGAGATTTTGGGAGAGGGAGGAAGGGTGTGTTTGGAAAAAATGTGCTGAGGTCATCAGGCTTGTTTCCAGAAAAGCTTCTGTGGGAGGGTGTGGGTCCAGCATGCTCCTTAGAAGGAACTGGGGAGGTTTCCCACCAGCCACGGTGCCTGTGCCCAGCCCCACCGGCTGGCATTCGGTGCGGGTGAACTCAGAGAGGTGCCCCATGGGGCACTCAGCCCATGTGCAGGACACGGGGCCATGGCTTCCCCCACTCGTCCATCCCAGCTTTGCCTCTGGGTGCTCATGTGATCTACAGCTCCCCTCGCCTCTCAGAACCTCAATTTCCTCATCTGTAAATGGGAACAGCTTTCCTTGCCCGGCTTTCGGGTGGGGGAGAAGGTCTGAGCTAAGGGGTTCTGCAAGCTATTCAGCAGCCCCTTCTGAGGGACTGGGATGTCCCATGGGGAAGCAGGTATTTGGGGATAAGAGGAATTGTGCAGTGTCCTCAGATCCAAGACACACAGCTGTTTTGGTTTTCAGAAAAGAAACTGGAACCAGACATATCGAGACCTGGGTACCTTGCTGCTGGACCATACAGCAGAGGCTGCGGAAAGCATGCTGTCAGGAATGAGCACAGCAGTGAATCGCACGGGCTGGGGCCCCACACTGCTGGCTTGGAAGATTCTTTGGCTCTTGAGCAACTGGTGTGGCCATGGATGTCTGGGGCCGGGTCCAGGCCAGACACTACGGGTCCCACGTTCGTCCTGTCCACATGAACCCAGGGAAGGTTGATGGGTGACTGGCACGTGCAGTGATGGGCTCACAAATGGCAACGTCTCTTGGAAAATCTTCTAGCAGGAAGGAGGGGAGGAAAGAAAGTTTAAATGGCACAAAAGCAATTCTGCACATTCTAGGCAAGGAGAGCAAATAACACCCACAAGGCGCCACTCCCCTCTCATGCGCCGGCAGACACAGCTAATTGATGACAGAGTTCTTTCCTCCAGCGTCTAGACTCTCCCTCCCAAATCATCCTCAGCCCAGCAACCCTGGCCAACACCCGGCAACCAGGTTTGCACATGAGACAGACCCTTCTCTGCTATCCCTGGGCCAGGTGCTGCCCCTCAGCATCAGTGTCTGCAGATGGTCCCCAGCCTCCAGTGGGTGTAGAGCTGGTGCCGTTCCCATCGACAGCAGCCATGCTGTCACTGTGCGGGTTATCCATGCTCTGGCCTCCCCTGGGCTGAGCGTCCCTCTGCCCTCCCAGCCAGCTGGACTCACCAGTGAGTCTGCATAGAGCTGCTTTTCTCAAGCTCTGTGCCCGGGAATCCTGCAGATTCATACTCTGCAGACTTGGAGCTAGCCTCAGATCCTACCTCTCAAACCAGCTCCCCAGGCAATGCCACTGTTGCTGGTTGGAGAACCACACTGGGAACAGCAAGGGTTCAGACAACACTGAAATAATGAAACAGGGGTGAAGAGAATGGAAGAAGAAAAATGCCAGACACCATAGAATGGAGCCAAGGCTTGCATTTTGATTGGATGAGATGTTTTTCCATCCATGCTGAAGAACCAGGATCTAGAGAAAGCTGCAGGGCCATGCTCCTTCCCCTTTTCAGAAATGCGCTGGGCTTTTCTCCTTCTCTGTACTTCCAGACTCCAGTTGCTACAAGGGAGAAGAACAGTGGGTGAGGTTTGTTCCCCTGAAAACAGTCACTCCCTTTGGATGGCCTGGGGAGGGCTGGGCCGGCTCAGGGCGAGGTTTCCATCTCCCACTCCGGGCTGGAATCAGCCTTCTCCTGTGGCTATCCAGGCTTCTTACCCTGAGGACCCATTCCCTTTTCCAGTGGGGGAATCGTGACCTGGGGGGTGTGTGCACCTCTGGGACTCTGGCAATCTGCTGCAAATACATTGTTCCATTTACTCTGGTTGCATAACAAAACACCCCAAACTTAGTGGCATAAACCACCCTTTGTTATGCTCACAGATTCTGTGGCTCAAGAAATGGGAGCACACCAGGGGAGGCTCCCTCACATGCCTGGCAGTTGATGCTGGCTCTTGGCTGAGACCTCAGCTGGAGCTGTTGGCTAGAAAACCTACATGTGGCCTTTTCATGTGGGTTGGGCTTCCTCACAACATGGTGGCTAGATTTGAAGGGTGAGAATTAAGAGATGGGCGTGGGGCGTGAGAGTGGGAGAGGGAGACAGATTGAGATGGAAGCTGCATCATTTTTGATGACTTGAAAGTCATAGCTCCACTTCTGCCACAGCCTATTCAAGACAGTCACAAAATCCTGCCCAGGTTCATGGAGAGAGGAAATAGACCCTGCCTGTTGATGGGGAGTGGCAGGGTTCTGGAAGAGCACATGGGCCTGGATATATTGTTCTGGCCATTTTTGGAAAATACAATACAGGCTTCCCTCTGGACTCCATCATTTACATTCTTACTGCATGCAAAATAGACTTTTCCTTTTATCTACATTGCACTTCCCCAATCTCTCATCCCATCACAGCATCAGGCTCAAAGTCCAGGAAAGCATCCTCTCCATCAGCTCCAGGTGAATGATGGTCTTAAGTTGTGGTTTCTTGCCCATCTCACCCAAATACAGTGGTGAGCCAGGTAGAGGAGAGCCACCATAGACACTCCAATTCAGAATGTGTAAATATAATGAGCACACAGATGTAATTGGTCCATAGCAATTCTGAAATCCAGCTGGGCATGTGTTGCCAGTTCCCTGTTTGGGGCTCAGTCCTACTACCTGAGAGTGAGTCACTGTGGCTTTTGGCTCTGTCTTCCAGGCTCTTGCTCCACCCTCTGAATCAGCCTCCCTTTTCCCTAAAACATAGCCTGTGTTTGCAATTGAGTCATTTCTCAGCCTGCTTCCTGACGTAGAAGTTTTGGGGATCCAAAGATCTCTTTGTATTTTGTGCTGTCTGTGTCTCTTTTAGTCCAAGCTGATACACTTCTTTAAAAACACAACTTTGTGGTTTTTAAGGCATCAATTTATAATCCATTCTGCTAGACAAGAGCTTGAGCCACACATCTCTTCAAGATAAATTCTTCTCTACTTTGGGCTTCCTGTGAGAATGCTGTGGGAAATTGCTCTTAAGATTTATGAAGAGGCTTTTATTTCATGGAGAGGACCTGTGAGGCATGCACTTCAGGTCCTTAGAGGGACTTCTGTTGGCTAGACAGTACACTGTGGCACCAATTTAGGTCTTTCTGAGAGCTTAACAAAGGCTCTTATAATTTCAGTGTGAATATCTTTGCTGTGAAGCCTTTTCTTAATCTGAATTTTGAAGAAGTTAGGAATAAGAAACAGTTTGATTTTCAAACCCAGCAAGTCTTGGCTTCTTGACATTGAGTGTTCCTTCTTTGGCTTGTCTCTGTCCCTTACTTTCATCACAAGCAGCAAGATGTCAGCCAGCACTGCCAACCCTTTGCCTAGGGTGTTGGCTTCTGGTACAATAGATGGACTCCTCTATAGACCAGCTCTCCCACTGATAACAAGTGTGAACTTTGGACAAAACTTAAAAACTACCCAAGGATTCTGAAAAGTAAACAAAAGCAGGAAAGTTGTTGAAGGGAGTCAGAACTTGGTGTGCTGATGGTCTGGAAGTGAGTTCTTCATTGCTTACGACTTTGCCTCTGGAGTGGGATGCAGTCTCAGAGCAATGTGGCAAGGGACAAGGGGCAAAGATGCTAAGAGAAACCCCACCATCTTTCTGGCTGGAGGAACCAGGGAAATTAGCCCAGGCAGCCACAGCTGTCACTGGAGAGTGAAGGGGAGGGCTCAGAAGGGAGACAGATGAGGGGTCTCCTAATTCTGCATACGCCCACCACACACGTCTCAGGCTGGCCCAGAACCATGCATGTATAGGACAGTCTCAACAGCACTGCTGAAAAGGCTTAAATAATTGAACTAAAAATTCAACACCATACACAGATGGTAAGGCAGAGCTTACAGTGTAAGTCTAACCAGGTGAACCGCTGCTGAAACAAAATGGTCAAACACTCTCCAGTGAAAGAGTGCTTCCACTAAAAAGTGCCAAAGCCCACTGGCAACACAATATATATTTACAACGTCTAGGGTGTAGCTCAGAATTACTTGACATACAAAGAGCCAATAAAATGTGACCCATTAACAATAAATGCCAACCTCTAATGACCCATATGTTGGAATTATCAGACAAGGAGTTTACAAGAACTACTATAATTTTGCTCAATGAGGTGAAGAAAAATACACTGACAATGAATGAAAAAAATTATGTCTCAGCAGAAAAATAAGAAATATAAAAATAACCCAAAAGAAATAATTTTAACTGCAATATGAAATACTAAAAAAAAGAAATTCAAATATTCAAAAGAAGACAGGAAGGGGGAAATGGAAGAATAACAACTACAGGGGACAAATTGAAGAAAAATTATAACATGGTAGACCTAAACCCAACCATATCAATAATTACACTAAATACTAACAACATGAATATTTTAATTGAAAGGAAGTGGTTATCTGATTAAAAGACTCAACCAGATGCCAAAAGAGATGCACTTTAAATATAAAAATACAGGTTGAAAGTAACTGGATGGAAAAAGTTATACCATGTGGCTGGGCACAGTGGCTCATGCCTGTAATCTCAGCACTTTGGGAGGCCAAGGCAGGTGGATCATTTGAGGGCAGGAGTTTGAGACCAGCCTTGACAACATGGAGAAACCCCGTTTCTACTAAAAATATAAAAATTAGCCAGGCATAGTGGCACACATCTGTAATCCCAGCTACTTGGGAGGCTGAGGCGGGAGAATCACCTGAACCCAGGAGGCAGAGGTTGCACTGAGCCAAGATTGTGCCACTGCACTCCAGCCTGGGTGACAGAGCAAGACTCTGTCTCAAAAAAAAAAAAAAAAAAAAAGTTATGCCATGCAAGTAATAAGCATAATAAAGTCAAACTGGCTGTATTAATAATAGAGAAAATAAACTTTGAGATAAAGTGTAATCTTTGAGATAAAAAATCACATTTTATAATAATGAAAAAGACAATTCATCAGGAAGTCACAGCAATTTTAGTAGAACCTCACAAATGCATGAGCAAAGATGAAAAGTATTAAACGGAGAAACAAATAACTTTACAATCACAGTGGAGTATTCAACTCTCCCTCTCTCATCAATTGATAGAACAACTAGATTAAAAAGTCTGTAAATACATAAAGGATTTGAAAAATAATAATAACCATCTCAGCATATGACTTGATATTTATAGAAACTGCTTTTGGATATTATGAAATAAAGATTCTTTTGAAGTACACATGGTTCACCCATCAAGTTAGGTCGGATGCTGGTTTATAAAGCAAATATCAATAAATTTAAAAGTATTGAAATCCTGAATGATAACAAGAACATACCAAAGTATATAGGATGTAGCTAAAGTATTGCTTAAAGAGAAACATACCTTTAAATACTTATATTTGAAAATAAGAAAGATCTAAAATCAATGACCCAAGATCCCACCATCCAAAGCTAAAAAAGGAAGAGCAAAATAAGCCCAAGGTAAGCAAAGGAAAGGAAATAATAAAGGTAAGAGAAGACATCAATGAAATTCAAAGCAGAGAGACAATGGAGAAAATTGACAAAGCTAAAAGCTGGTTCTTTGAAAAGATCAACAAAATTGATCAAGAGAAAAAGAGAAGAAAAAAGAGAGAGAACACAAATCACAAATGGCAAGAATGAAAAGAGGGGCCATTATTACAGATCCTACAGATATTAAAAAGGAAAAGGCAATATAATGATATTATGAATGACATTATGTCAAAAAATGTGTGACAATGATAGAATAAAAAAATTCCTCAAAAAATTTAACTTACCAAAACAGACACAAGAAAAAACAGAAAATCCGAAGAGCTCTATATCTATTTTTAAAAATTGAATCCATTATCAAAAACCTTCTACATTAGTTTGTAACAAATTACCACCAACATGGTGGCTTAAAACAACACACATTTATTCTCTTACACTTCTGGGCATCAGAAGTTTAAAATCAAGGAGTTGGCAGGGCTACACATTCCTTCTGAAGACTTCAGGGAAAAATATCTTTTTCAGCTTTTAGAGGCCACCTACATTCCTTAGCCTGGGGCCCCTTCCTCCCACCACTCTGACTACCTGCTTCTGTCCTCATATCTCCTACTACTAACTGTATTCCCGCTGCCTTCCTCTTATGAAGGCCCTTTCGATTACATTATGCATACTTGGTTAATCCAGGATAATCTTCCCATCTCAAGATTCTTGGCTTAATCACATCTGCAAAGTCCTTTTTGCCATAGGAGGTCACATATACACAGACATGGGTACATTGGAGGATCATTAATCTGCTTACCACAGTGGCATAAATTAATCATTTTTTTTCTAATGTTCATTGATTCTGTGGGTTAGGAATTCTGACAGGGCACAGTGGGGGCTGCTCAGCCTTAGACCATGATATCTGGGACCTTGGCTGGGGGCTGACATCAGCTGATTTCAGCTGAGCGAGTGCACTCACTTATGCGTCTGGCAGTTGATGTGGGCTTTTGGCTGAGATTCAGCTGGGGCCATTGGCTGGAACGCCTGCACACAGCCTCCCCATGTGGCCTGGGCTTCCTTACAATATGGCAGCTGGGTGCCACAGGTGAAGCTTCTGACAGATAAAACCAGGAGGAAGCTGCATCACTGTTTGCGACCTAGCCTTGGAAGTTAGGCAGCATCTCATCTGCACATTGAATTTGTCAAGCTGTCACAAAATCCCACCCAGTGTCAAGGGAGGGGAAAATAGACTCTACCTCTTAATGAGGAGTGGAAGAGCACGTGGGAACAGAAATATAGCTGTGTTCATGTTTGGAAAATCCAATTTGCCAGAGCTGTTTAACGATTGAGATTGGGTATTTGAGTATTTCCTGTGTTCCAGGGATTGTATTAAGTGGGAAACCACCCCATGAGATAGGGCCATCCTGTAATGACCAGCATCAGGCATCTACCCAGCATCTGCTTCCCTCCTCTACTCTACTGTCCTGATTTGGGGTCATGCCATTGATATGAGATGCTGTGGCACGCAGCTATATTCTTAGTTGATGGCTGGACCTGAGTGTGATCCTGTCCCTTAGCCAGCACCTGGTGTAGGAATGCAGGCCTAAGTCAGTTCAATGACTGACCATGGATTGGTGCAGGCCAGTGGGATGCAAGAGACAGGATCCTAGAGGATCTTCCCTCTGGACATTGCCCTGCGCAGGTGTGAGCATGGTGAGCTGCAGCCACAGTGCAGCAGGGCAGAGGCAGGACGCTTCTGCTGCAGACGTAGTACTCTGAACCACACTGACCCTGATGCCTGTCTGGCCCCAGAGTGCCACTTACAGCAGTCAGCACGTTTCCTGATTGTTCAGGCTAGTTTGAAACAGGCTTGGTGTTACTTGGAGCTGCAGGGATAGTTATTGATATAGTCTTTCCTCACTTTGCAGCTGAAGAGATCAGACTCAAAGAGGTAAGCACACTGCTCTCAAGCTTCTGAGTGCATAAGAATCCCCTTCAGATCTTGCTGAAATGTGGATTCTGACTCAGCAGGTCTGGGGTAGGGCCTGGGGGCCTGCGTGTCTAGCAAGCTCCTGGTGATGTGGATGCTGCTAGCCCGGGGGCCTCGCCTTGATCAGTAAGAGGGTCAGGATGTGCCCAAGACCACCCCACCCCAAGTCACAGAATTAGGCTGTAATCAAAGGCCTGCCTGACTCCCAAGCCACAGCCTTGGAATGGCCCAGAGCTGACACGTCCTACTCTATCCACGTTAGAGAGGATGATCCAAGGACCAAGCCACACTCTGCTGGGTCTACTGGGAATGGGACCCAGGATACCTGCTTCCTATACCGGAGGAGCCCTGGCGACAACTTAAACCCACACGAGACTACTTGCCTCTCAAATTCCTCACACATTGATTCCTCGTGCACTGGGTCCAAGCTTGCTGGGAAGTCAGGCTGTGTCTCCTTCTGCCAGATTGTCAAGTAAGAAAAGCATTTCCCAGAATTCCTTTCTCATATAAATCACTGCGGGGAGGCCAGGCGCTGTGGCTCAGGCCTGTAATCCCAGCACTTTGGGAGGCCGAGGTGGGTGGATCACTTGAGGTCAGGAGTTCAAGACCAGCCTGGCCAACACGATGCAACCCTGTCTCTACTAAAAATACAAAAATTAGCCGGGCGTGGTGGGGCATGCTTGTAATCCCAGCTACTTGGGAGGCTGGGGTGAGAACTGCTTGAACCTGGGAGGTGGAGATTGCAGTGAGCCAAGATCACGCCACTGCACTCCAGCCTGGGTGACAGAGCAAGACTCTGTCTCAAAAAAAAAAAAAATCACTGTGGGAAGGGTGCTCTGTAAAAATGCACACGTGATGGGGTGAGAGAACCTCTATCTATCACAAGCATCTTGGGAGACTCTTATGATCAGACAAGTTTGGGGAACTCCAAGCTTTGGGGATGTAGAGACATCACTTATTCTGGCCTAGGATGGTTCTGTGTCATAGTCTGGATGGTGGGTGGTACTATTGTTCCCATATTACAGAATAGGAAACTGAGTCACAGAGTGCTTCCCCCCCCCACCCCCATACATGCTGGCTTCCAAGGCTGGTAAGGGGGCTGGAACTGGAACGCAGGTCTTGGGACTGACCTGGCTTCATTGCAAGTCTGCCAGAGAAACGCAAAAGGACAAGCAGCATTCCCAAGCATCTGGCATGGTCATCGGTGCAAACACCCCGTTCATGTAACACGGGCCTGAGGTCAGCAGTAGAGGACCAGTATTGGTTTTGGCCCCAGCCTCTGCGTGGATGGATTGAACGCCTGCATCCCTGCTTTTCTCTCAACTCTGCTGTCTCAAAGGAGAGGTGGGGGTGGGCCTGAGGGATTCTCTCCCTGCATGGAACCTACGGGCTTGATCATCGAGGATATGGGGCTAGATATGTCCCGAACCTCAGCTCGTCCTTTCTTCCCCGGGAATGGTCACGGGGAGTCCTGCGTGCATGTCTGGCTTTGTTAATAATAAAGAATAAATAATAAGATGGTGAGACTCATCAGCTCACGAGGTCTGTGTAGGCTGGCTTCCTCGCCCGAGAAGATACATGGATGGGTCTGTCTTGTCCCCCCGCACTGCTAGGGGAGGAACCTCAGGACCACCTGCCACCTCTCCAATGTGCAGGAATGGCAGCATTATTTGCATATAAGTAATGTCCCTGGGGCAGAGGTGGCTCTCGCTGCTGCGGATTAGCCCTTGCTTCATCCTGGTTGCAGAGACCTTTGTCCCTGGTAGGACTGAGTTGTCTGAGAGAGGTGTGTGCACATATGTGAAAGTGTATGTGTGCATGTGCCTGTGTGCATTCATGTGTGTGCATGTGTGTGCTTGTGCATTGTGTGTGTGTGTGTGTGTGTGTGTACATCCGAAGGCGTAGCTTCTGAAACGTTGTTGGGAAAGTCAGGAAGGAGAGCTGAGAAGGTCCCCACATCTGGTTAGGAGATTCCAGGGAGAGGACATTTGTGCCTCAAGTGGGTGGCTGCACTAGAGGTCCTCCTGGGTCATATGAAACTTAGACTCTAATTCTGTGACTGTGGGTAACACAGGAGGGCTCTTGGGTGCAGACACAGCTTGGGAGGCCTTGTGTTGGTTACTTGTATGTGTCAACTTTCTTAGTCCTCGGTACCCAGTGTTTGGTCAAACATTATTCTACAAGCTGCTGTGAAGGTATTTTTCAGATGAGATTGACATGTGAATCAGTCGATTTTGAGTGAAGTAGATGACCCTCCATAGCGTAAGTGGGCCTCATCTAAACAGCCGAAGGCCTTAAGAGAAATAGACTGAGGTCCCTCAGCTAGGAAAGAATTCTGCCAAAGATGGCCTTCAGCCTCAAGCTGTGGCATCAGCTCTTCCCTGGGCCTTCCCTGGCTATCTTGAATCTCTCTCTCTCTGTGCGCACGCACGCGCACACACACACACACACACACACACACACACGCACACGCACCCTCTGGGTTCTGTTTCTCTGGAGAACCCTGACTAATATGCAGTTCCCTGCAGGGTCTCCCGGGGCAGCCAACCCCACTGGCATTGCTGAGGTCACTCTCCCGTGGACCCAGTCAAGGGCTGACTGTGGAGCTGGCTCCTGGGTCCCAGGCTGAGAGGGACAGAGTACCCTGTGGGCACATGGACCAGAGCGGGGGATACAAACCTGGCCCAAGGCCAACCAAAGAGGCATTCTTGCTGAGTCTAGTGGCAAGTGAAGTCTAGGGGCAGAGAGGAAGGCTGAAACCACATAAATGCAAAGGGATTTGGTCCATGGATTCCCAGCAGGCATCCCTGCCTCTGGCCTTACCTGTGGAGCCTTCGGTCAGGGCAGCTGCTGGTGAGAAGGAACCACCCCCTCCACCCCGCCCCACAAATCAAGGCCTCTGTGACTTTGGAATGGCTTTACCCTGGTTTATTGAGAGGAATTTTAATGTGTGCCTCTGTTTTTTTACTTATGGCTGTGTCACATGGGGCCACATCTGGATGCAGGGAGCAGGAAGCCATGCCACAGTGGTGACAACACAGTAGCTGTTGTCTACCCACAGCTGGCAGTTCAGGGCTGGTGTGGCAGCTCCACCATGCCATCACTGGCCCAGGTTCCTTCTACCTCTCCACTCTACCATCCTTGGCATGTGACTTTAGTCCTCATGGTTGCAAAATGGCTGCTGTGCTCCAGGCATTGCTTCAGCTTTCATTGCAGGAAGGAAAACGTGGAAGGAATAAGGAGCAGCACTAGATGAGGGCTGTCAACCCTTTCCCTGTAAGCCCCACGACTTCTGTATTCTACTGGCCAAAGCTGAGCCTGATGGCCAACCCTTACTGCAAGGGAGGTTAGGAAATAGAATGTTCTAGCTGGTCACAATGCCACCCTGAACAGTGGCTGTGTTCTGTTGGTAGAGAAAGGAACCTTGGGAAGGCAATTAGTAATGTCTGCCTCAGTTTCTCATGTAGATTTTACTAGGTAAGAAGGAGTGATACTGACCACGATGCAGAAAATATCTTCAAAACCTCCTTTTAAATGGTTCCCTTTCCCTGGAAGCTGCTCCCTCCCACACTCTCCCTCACTGCTCCCCAGAGCCGCAGCCTCCACTTCCTGCCTTGGTTCCCTGCTTCTTCCTTCTTCTTTCCTTTCCCACCTCTGCATCGTCCTCTTGAGTCCAGAGACTCTGGACCCAAACTGACCTGTTCCAGTCCTGGTTCTGCATCCACTGGTCACACGAAGGCTTCACTGGCCCTCACTGGCCTCATCTGGACAATGATCCTCAGAGGAGGAAATGAGACCCCGTGTGTGAGGGTTCAGGGTCTGGTACATGGGGAGTACGCCACACATGCGGTGGTTGTAACTATTGTCATGGTTGGGGTCATTGCAAGGGGACAGGCTGGCTGGGATGGGGCTTGCAGACGTGGCTGGTCAGCACTTTGTTGGGCAGACCTGTGGTGGGCAGAGATGGGGCCTGGGAGGCTGCACTATGGTTGGGGGAGACCATCTGGGTGGTGGAGGCAGAGAGCAGGTGTGTGGACTTCCTCCCAGGGCCACCAGAGGGTTATTATCTGTAAAGCTGCCCCCCATCTTGTATGCCTGGGAAATAGGCTCTCCATACTCCTGGCTGAGCTGCCACAGTCAAGAAGGTTATAGAACTGACTTTTATTTAACGTGTTTCTTTCTTTCTTCTAAAAAAAAAAGATAAGAAGTGTCCTACAAAACCAACTTAATCTCTCCTTCCTTCTTTCCTTCCATTCAACCTCCCTCCCTTTTTCCCTTCCATCTTCCCTCTTTTCTTCCTTTCATCCATCCATCATCCATCCATCAATCCCTCCTTCTAATCATCCATCCATTCATCTTTCTCTTCTTCCCTCCTTCTATCTATCCATCCATCACTATCCATCTGTCTCTCCATCCATCCATCCATCCACCCATTTCTTCTTCCTTCCATCCATTCATCCATTCATCTGTGCATCCATCCATCCATGCATCCATCCATCCATCCATTGCTCCTTTCATCCTTCCATCTATCTGCCCATCCATCACCATCCATCCATCTTTTCTTCCATCCATCCAACCACCCATTTCTTCTTCCTTCCATCCACTCATCCATCCATTCATCCATCCATCCATGCATCCATGCATCCATCCATGCATCCATGCATCCATGCATCCATGCATCCATCCATCCATCCATCCATTGCTCCTTCCATCCTTCCATCTGCCCTTTTCTTCCCTCCTTTTTTCATTTGGTTCCTGACAACCCAGCTCTTTGCTGGGCTGTGAGCACTGCAACCCTGGGCTGTATGCAGCCAGCCTTTGGTTGAGAACACAAGCACCCTGCTCCATAGCAGAAACGCCCTTGGTGTTACGTGAAGGCTCCGTACCCTGTCATGAGCTGGGCCTGGCCTGGCAGCTGTTCTTTGGAGAGTAGGCCCCACCTATTCCGTTGCTGGCATCAGGAGGATCTCCCGGAGCCGGTGTCCTATTCCCCCAGAAGCAAGGTTGTGTGCATGGCCCCACCTGGCTGTGTTTGGAAGGCTGATGGAGGCCTCCCAGGGACACTTTCCCCCAAAATAATCCACAGTGACACTAGTTCCATACCAACCACTACCTCATTTCCTGACAAATTGTCCAGCCCCAAACAAAACTCGTCTTATCTAGTTCCATCTCGGAGCAGCCTGTCAACTCCAGGCATCAGCAGATCTTTCAGGAAATCACCTATTGTGGCTAAAATTCGCACTCCAAGGCGTGTGCGGAGCCGCAGGAAGCAACAGCCAGGATGCCTGGAGACTCGGTACACAAAGCAGGCCTTTGCCCTGCCGGGCTGAGGAGGCTCAACCCACAGGCACCGGCGAGGGGTTTCTTTCCAGGAGGAAGTTGCAAATGAGTAGCTTTTCCATCTTGAGTTTTCATCTCAAGCCCTGACTTCCACAGCAATCCTGTTGGGGCCCAAGGGGAAGTCCACCATCTGACTCCCAGCATGCCAGGAGGCCCACAGGGCTGGGGGAGCCCCCAGCACTAATTTGCCTTGATGGCATCCCAACCATTCCAGCGGAGGCTGACCCTGGAAGCCCCAAGGCTTGAAATCGCCTGCAGGGCTAGCCGGCCCCTCGGTCTGGGGAGCTAAGGAGAGGTGGGGCAGGCCACTGTGGACCACCCGTCCTGGTCCTCACCACAGAACCAGGCCCCTCGGAAGCTCCTCTGAGAGCAGAGATGGGGTGGGGACTTGCCACTTTCCACGGACAAGAGGTGGATGGGCCAGCTGCCAGCATCCCAGTGTCCTCACCTGCCCATCCAACCACAGCAGGACTAAGTGTGTCCGCCCTGAATCTTGGAGAGAAAGAAAATAAATAAATAAATAAGACAAAAAAAGGATCCCATCAGATGCCAAAAATGAAGATAACATGGGAGGAAGTTTATTTTGATGAGGAAATCCCTAAATGCTGTTGAAACTATGCTTGGAATGGCTAATTAGTGCTTGGGGGGCTTTGAAGGAAGCGCTATCTCACAGGGCGGCCACCCCCGCCAGGTTTCCCTGGCGCTTGTCGCTTATCTGCAGGAAACGGCTCGAGCTTCTGAATCCGCAGCAGCGCCCAGGGCTGGCCCATGACTCATGCCCGGGCAGCTGGACGAGCCTCCGTGGTGGGGACAGAGCAGCAGCTCAGGGGACAGCCATCCCCAGGCAGTGGACCCGGCCCGGTGGCTGGCTTGGGCAGACACAGCCTCCCAGGGCAGCAGGAAGAGAAGGTTCTGGTAGGTTCGCCTCAGCGCCCCCTGGGATGCACACCTGCTGCACCCAACACACCCGCTGGATCTGCTGTGACCCAGGCTCTAAACATGCAGGATTTATTCAGTGAAGGGGACAGGAGCCTCGAGGAAGTGAAAGCCAGATGGTGCCCCCAGGGCCCCGGTGACACTTGGCTGAGGCCTGAGCATAAGCGCGTGGCTGCTCGGAGCTTCCAGATGCTCCGTCCGCCTTGGAAACAGACGTTTTCCTGCAGGGCCCGTGGCAGAGCCCTGGACACAGGAAGAAAGGGCTATTTTTAGAGGCAAGGCTTCAGATGTAGGGCTCAGCTGACCCCATCCCATCCTGCCCTCTGACTCCCACAGGAAGAGTCATCGGAAACGCCTGACTTGGAGGCGTGCAGAATTCTGCCTAATTCCGCCTCCATTAGCATGCAGGGTTGGGGGTAGTTGGGCCGGGGTTGGGGGGATGCAGAAACTCATCCAACCCTGAACCGAGCCAGCCTGGAGCAGAGACCACACGATCCAATATGGTAATAACCTGGGATCGGCCATGCATTTGCCCAGACTTCAGCACACTGCCTTCGCTGCCACCCGTGGATACACAGCATGGTCCATTGTATTGGGAGCTTTGTGCTGGGCCAGGAGTATCACGTGACAGGCCCTGTCCTTTCCAAGAGCCACAAAGTTGAGTTTGGGCTAGCGAGAGTCCACTTCTCAATGTCTATAGTGACACGGGGCTCAGAGGTGTGGCCCAAGCCTCTCAGAGCCCAACAAATGGGTAACAGAGCTTGCCCAGCCCTTGTCCTCCCGGGCTCCGCTGCAGTCCCCATGCTGCCTGGTCCCCTAGGGGCCCAACAGAACCTTCTGGAAAGGTGTGGCCGGCATTGGCCCCCACACCTGAGTGCATTCTGGCTGCTGTATAACGCTGCATTTTTGGCTGCAATCCTTCCAAAAAAGACGCAGACCCACATTCTCCCTACTCTCTAGCCTCCCACACGTTCCACATCTTCAGTCTACTCCCACACCTGGGAAGTCAGGGGCAAAAGACATGGGCTGAGATGGGGGTGAAAACCACAAGGGTTGGGGGAAGATAAGGAAGAACTTTCTTCACTTCCCCACCTTCTGGTTCTAAGTTTAGAATTTTCACTTTTCACTCACAATGATTGTCCTTTTGCTAATGGAAGATCCTCTGTGGATCCAGCAGAAGTCCTGCCTCCCCCACCCAAATTTCCTCTGTAAAAGAGAAATCTCTTCACACCCATGGAGGGGCCTTGCTTTTATCATGTTCTTCCATTTTGAACTACGAGCTGCTTTTTTCATGATTCTATCTCTTGGGGCACTGAGGAGCTGTTTGGCCATTTCCGCAGGGCACAGAGAACACAGGACGGTTTTGCAAAACTGCAGATGATGCTCTGTGGGAGGCTAAGGAGGGGGAGCCTCTCTAGACCTAAGCTGGGGTGCCTTCTGTTTTTAAAAATAATAGAGATGGTGGGGGTCTCATTATGTTGCCCAGGCTGGTCTTAAACTCCTGGTCTCAAGTGATCCTCCTGCCTCCGAAAGTGCTGGGATTACAGGCATGAGCCACCGCATTCAGCCATCAGCTGAGGTGCCTTCTGTTGCCTGAGTGTTGCTGTGCCCCAGATGGCCAGGTGAGCTGCAAGGAGGCTTTGCACTGTCATGTGAGCCTTTGCACACCTGAGCAGGCTCCGTGCAGCCACAGTGCTTGTCAGGCACGGCTGGCATGGCTGGCATGGCTGGGCCTGGAGTTTGTTTATATTTCCTCCTTAACAGCTGACTCAGAGGTAGCTTGTGGCTCCCTGGCCTCAGCGATATAAATTCATTCAATTGGCAACCATGCACAGAGGTCCTACTACCCACCAGGCTCTCATCCAGGTGCAGGGGTGATGCAGAGAACAAAATAGGCGAAAGCTCCTGTCCTGACGCAGCTCAGCTTCTGGAGAGTGGAAACCTCATAGTCAAAATGAATAAAACTCCAAAGTCATTTAGAAGGAGATCACAGCTGTGGAGACAATCCCAGGCAGTGGGGACACAGGGAGGCCCCAGAGCTGAGGGAAGGGATTGCTGTTTTAGAGAGAGTGGTTGGGGAAGGCCTTGAAAGTTGATTGAGATTTGAAGGAGGTGAGGCAGAGGGGCACATGGACACCTCAGGGAAGCCACAGACCCTGCAAAGGCCCTGAGGCTGTGAAATATCCAAGCAATTCCAAGAACAGCAAGGAGGACAGGACTCCAAGGCCACTGGAACTCCCTCGTCGACCCCCTTCTGATGGTCTGACGGGGCCTGGACAAGTAGCTGGATGAGCTGTACCATCAGCCCATTTTCTCCTGCCCACTTTATCCCTCATCATTAACCAACTTCCCTTCTCTCCTCCCCTCCCGGGAGTTCCACCCAGCCCCAACCAGAACCAAGCCTGGGTCCAGCTTTGGAAACTCATGCCTGGCTGGCAGGAGCAGCAGCTGTGCCCACACACCATTCCCAGAGTAACAGTTGAATGTGGAGCTTCAGGCCAGGCGGCGTGGCTCACGCCTGTAATCCCAACACTTTGGGAGGCCGAGGTGGTTGGATCACCTAAGGTCAGGAGTTCGAGACCAGCCTGGCTAACATGGTGAAACCCTGTCTTTACTAAAAATACAAAAATTAGCTGAGCGTGGTGGTGCACACCTGTAATCCCAGCTACTAGGGAGGCTGAGACAGGAGAATTGTTGAATCTGTGAGGTGGAGGTGCAGTAAGCCAAGATCACGCCACTGCACTCTAGCCTGGGTGACAGAGAGAGACTCCATCTCAGAAAAAAAAAAAAGAATGTGGAGGTTCAAAACTTGGGATATTTGGGAGACTCCCCAAAGGCTGAGTCATGCTCTGGCCTGAATGTCATCCTGTCCTTGCTCCGTGGAAGAGCAGTGGAAATAAATTCATTGTCCCCCATTAGGAAAAGCAGAGGCCATGATAGTGGTGCTGTTCTCAGGCCCAGAAAAACCTGAGGAACATGCTCCACACCTTTTTGCAGGTGGGGATCTACAGGCCAGAGAAGGGAGGAGGCCTGCCGGGGGGACACGAAGTTAGTTGGTGGCAAAGGAGGGGCCCAGAAACCAGGTCTTCTAGCTTGGATGGTTGAAGACTAAAGACTGTTTACGAAAATTTCCAGATCTCTGCTTTCTGAGCAAATAGAATTGTTCTTCTCATCCCCGTTGAAATCAGGTGTGGTGGCATGACTTGATTGACCAGTGAAATGTGAGTGGAAGAGGTCTCAGTCACTTGTGAGCAGAAGTTTTAAGAACCAGCTCGTGCATCTGGCCTCCATGATGATGGAGGTCTGGGTGGGACTCGATCCTCCATCAGCCTGGGTCCCTGGAGCACGTCTGGAGCGGGCCCTCACTCCTTGCATGTGTGGCACAAGAAGAAGACAAACGTTGGTTATCTGAAGCTGGCGGTCAGCAGACGCCAGCCTGTGGGCAATTTCTCAATATCATTTTATAGGAATGCAGCCCACTCATTGGTGTGCTGTCTGCCACGCTTTTGTGTTACAATAGCAGAGTTGAGGAGTTGCGACAGAGACTGAATGGCCTGCAAAGCCTAAAATATATATTAAAAGTAGCCGGGCACGGTGGCTCACAACTGTAATGTCAGCACTTTGGGAGGCTGAGGCGGGTGGATCACTTGAGGTCAGGAGTTGGAGACCAGCCTGGCCAACGTGGCAAAACCCTGTCTCTACTAAAAATACAAAAATTAGCTGGATATGGCGGTGGGCACCTGTAATCCCAGCTACTCGGGAGGCTGAGGCAGGAGAATTGCTTGAACCTGGGAGGTGGATGTTGCAGTGAACCGAGATCGCGCCACTGCACTCCAGCCTGGGCAACAGAGTGAGACTGTGTCTCCAAAAACAATAGCAACAACAAAAGTACACGTCACTCTTTACAGAAACCATTTGCTGATCCTGCTGGCAGCCATTGAGATCTGGGGGCCTGTTTGTTGCCATAGCATGGCCTAGCGCATTCTGACCGATACACTTTCTAATCATGCCGAGAACTTCTGAGTGCCGTCTCATGAGCAAAACGTGCGCTATATTAGTACTGTAGCAAAGCGCTTCTGGCCTGTCTCCACGGGCTGAGTGCAGAGCCTCCATTACAGTCATCATTTTATGTCAGGAAGGGAAGGTCCAAGGAGGTGGCCGGTCTGAAGTGACCTCGGGCTTCTCCAGGCCTCTGCCACCCACGCTAAAATGAGAAGCCCCTGAGAATTTTTAAGTTTTGTCTGCATTGTGGAAGCCAGGACGCAGAGGCAGAAGGAGACCCATGGGCCTTTCTATCCCAACACCAACCGTTTAAAACAACAGAAGAAAAGGGAAGCCGGTCCAGCCCAGAGCAGAAATGAGGAGTGGTAGGATCCGGCTGCCCCAGGCCGCCCAGCTCCTCTGTCTGCTTCCTCTATTTGTGCCGGGCAGCCCCCAACTCCCTGGCTTATGTGGCCTGTGGAGGGACCAGCTGTGGCGGGCAACAATTTTGTCCAACCCCAGGCCTTGGTGTCCGCGTCCCTCTGTGTGCACCCTCTTCCTGCGTGGGTGCTGCAGAGCCAACGTGAGGGGCCCACAGGCAGGGGCACCCTTCTCTGCCCCCCACCAAACAGAGGCTGCTGGGGTGGAACCCGAGGTCCTGCGGGAGGGGTGCTGGCCGCTGGGAAAAGCCCGTGTCCGGGCCCCGCCCTCCGTCTCCCCCGCAGCCCTGGCTTACTGGGCTCTCCTCTCCCGGATCTCATACCTCACATTCCCCAGCACGGTTCCGACAGGCCCATGAGTGGGGAGTCCTCATGGCCTGGGAAGGTGGCCGAGAAAGTTTGAACAGCTGCAGAGCCTGCCCGTCCACTCTCTCCAGCCACATTTGTGTGTGTGTGTGTGTGTGTGTGTGTGTGTTGTGTTTTGACCAACCTCTTAGGCTTATGTAACACACTTGGAAGTCAAGAAGTAAGGACTCATTACTGACAGCCTCAGAGAGGCTTGCGAAACACTTGCTGTGAAGAAATCTTTCCATTGAGAAAAAGTTCCCTGGTGCTCATGCTCCCAGTGGCTCAGGTATGTGGCTGGGGGTGACGGTGGTGTGAGAAGCAGGGGTCCCCAGGGCTCCAGAGCCCAGCGCCCCCTGCCGGAGCTGTGTCGCGCCCGGAAATGGAATTGAGCATCGCTTTTGTCCTCTATGTCACTGCTCACGTCACCACCAACAACCGACGTCGGTGACTAAACTCTCGCCGCGTATCAGGCACTATGCTGGGCCCCTGCGTTTGTGATTTTCCTGGGCGCGTGCATGACCAAGGGCTAGGTGCTCCTACGCCCATTTTATAGAGGAGGACACAGGCAAGGCGGTGGGGTCGGGGCCCTTGTCAGCAGGCTGCCACCCCACACCTCCCTGAGGTACATGCAAAAGCAGACCCCTCCCCTCCCCACAGGTATAGCTCTATGTGGGCCCTTTGCATGAGTGTATTTTTAAGCTACTTGCTAGATCCCAAGAGGAAATGAGTGCTCATCCTGCAGGGAGAGGCCAGCATTCCACTGGGCCATTTCCCTTTTCAGAGAGCTGATGTGGAGGATTCTGCGCCGTTCTTGGCCATGCCGTCATCTGGGGCCCCAGGAACCTTACAGACCCGAGGGCCAGGGTTTGGGGCCCAGAGCCCAGCAGATAGCCATCTTAGAAGCATTCTCCCCAGGACCAGGGCTGCTAAACCCAACCCCACATCTCCCACACAAATGCGTCTTTCACTGGGGCTCTGGAAACCGGAGACCATGTAAATCCAAGAAGATGAAATTGTGTGGGTCTGGGCCGCAGCTACAGACTGAGACTCAGCAGCCGAGGGGCCCCAGCCTCAGAGGGAACTCAATGAATTTGTCAGGGAACTGAAAACAGATGATTTCAATCAGCAGGGGAAAAAAATGACTTCATGGCCACAGTTGACCGAAGCAAGCGGCGTTCGGCTGCCAGGCCCTGCCTGGGAGGCGCTTCCAGAAAGCCTGGCCTCTTCCGCAGCCTCTGGCCGGGGTCTTCCCTGCGAGGAGCCAGCGCCGCTCGAGCCGCAGCATGGCCCGGCAGAAGGCACGGCGGCCGTGATGGGGCTGGCGGGGCGCGGTGATAACCCGGGCTCCCCGCCCCCGCGCTTCCTCTCCGCTGCGCTTTCATGAATGGCCCCGCTTCCCAAACAGCCGATTGGCTGAACCCCCGGCCGCGACGCCCAATCAGCGGCTGTGGCCGCCTGGTCTCCGCTCCGCGTGGGGCCTCGGTCCTGCAGCCATGAATGGCGCAGCCTCAGCTGCCTGCAGCCACCGCCTACCTTGCGGGGGCCGCCTCCCCCCGAGGGAGGAGGAGCAGGGGATTTTTTCTTTCCCCCAGACTGTTCAGGGTTCTGGTGCAATTGTGTCAATCTGAGGCTTGGCTGGAGCTCCTGACAATAGCCCTTGGGCTTCCAAGGTTGACATTCAAGGTCTTGTGACAGTGAAAGGGCTTGCATAGTTAGAAATGAATTTCTTTGCCTATAGCCCGGGCTGATTCCAGTTCCAGGGAAAGAACGGCAGCCTTTCCGTGTAAGCAGGCAGCCCTGCTGGGGACAAAGACAGGGCCGTGGGAGGAGGTGGGGCCCCTTCCTGGCCAGTGCTGGGGGGGGCGGACACGTGCAAACTGCTGGGAACTTCGCCTGCAAACCAGAGGGCTTTGGCCACCCCTCTTGGTCACTGGCCTTGTCCTAGCTTCATATGCCACGTGCATGAAGCGGCTGGGGCCCCTGTCGGGGAACCCAGCCATTCCGCTGCATTTCCTGTTAAGTAGGAAAACATGTTCTGTTTGCTGATGTTATAAAGAAGGCATGTGTTTACAAATGCTCATTGGGGAGAGCGTGGTTAATGGGCCAGCTTCCGGCCTCACCTCCCCAGATGAAGTGATTGTGTGGCTGACAGAATGGGCCTGCTCTTCAGGGGAAGACCCCCTACTCGGGAAAATTAGACTCAGCAGAAGCCAGAATTCAAAGCTGTCTAGAAAGTGCTTTTGCAAGGTGGGTTGAGGCCAGGATGAGGAAGGCCTCGAATGCCAAAGTGAGGAGGTGTCCCAAGCCCTGGGGAGTCATGGAAGGCTGGTGAGATGCAGAGTGAGATTCCGGAGTGTTTCAGAAGCTTGACTCTTCCCCGGCAGGGACTTCTCTGCCAACACACCTACCCTGAGCATGGCTGGGGTGACCTTTTATGGAACTTCCAAATTAGAACTGTGCAAACAGCTTCCTGTGACCCCTTGATGAGCCCCATTTTAAAGATGAGAAAACTGAGGTTCAGAGTAATCTGCAAAGGGTCCCACAATTTGGGAGTGGCGAGACCAGGACTGGACCCTATCTCTGCCTGATGCCATAGGGGAAAGGCACACCCAGGTGCTGCACGCCCACAGGGACTGGTGTGAGGAGGCTTCAGCAAAAAAATGCGGGCAGATCACTAAACACTGGGGCAGGCACTGACTCATTGCTGCAGTGGTTAGGATCAGAACTGGTGAGAAATGTACCTGCTCCCAAATTTCTATGAGCCAGACTCTGGTCTCCCAGGTAGATTCGTGAGGCCATGAGTATGCAGCAGGGGGCGGCCTGACAAATTCATGTAGATTTCCAGTTGTAGCATCTATTTTTTTTTTCTTTTTTTTTGAGATGGAGTTTCGCTCTTGTTACCCAGGCTGGAGTGCAGTGGTGTGATCTCAGCTCACCGCAACCTCCGCCTCCCAGGCTCAAGTGATTCTCCTGCCTCAGCCTCCCAAGTAGCTGGGATTGCAGGCTTGCGCCATCACATCTGGCTAATTTCGTATTTTTAGTAGAGACGGGGTTTCTCCATGTTGGTCAGGCTGGTCTCAAACTCCTAACCTCAGGTGATCCGCCTGCCTTGAGATGGAGTCTCACTCTGTCGCCCAGGCTGGAGTGCAGTGGTGTGATCTCCATTCACTGCAACCTCCACCTCCTGGGTTCAAGCGATTCTTCTACCTCAGCCTCCTGAGTATCTGGGATTACAGGCATGCGCCACCACACCCAGCTAATTTTTGTATTTTTAGTAGAGACGGGGTTTCAACATGTTGGCCAGGCTGGTCTCAAACTCCTGACCTCAGTTGATCCACCCACCTCGGCCTCCTGGAGTTCTGGGATTACAGGCATGAGCCACCTTGCCTGGCCTGTAGCATCTATTTCTGCCAGCCTAATGCCCAGTATCTGTTTTTAACCTTCTAGTTCAGCAGTTTGTAAAATTTCTGGTCTTGGGACCCATTTGCCTCTTAAAAGTTATCGAGGACCCCAGAGAGATTTTGTTGATATGGGTTTTATCTACTGATATTTACTGAGTTAGAAATGAAAACATAGAAATTTGTAAAATGCATGATTCTGCAAGCATACATTCTGTTAGCTCTCAGAGTGACAGTGTCATCATGGGTCCTATGGCCTCTGGGAAACTCCACTGCACAGTCATGAGAGAATGAAGAGAGAATGAAAGGAAAAAAGACAATTCATGCCTCAGTGTCTTCATGAAATTAACTGCAACCTCTCAGACCTCCTGAAACCACACTTTGAGAACTGCTCTACAGAGAGCAGATTGAGCTGGGCGGCGGGTGCCTGGCGAAAGCTTCATTTCCCAGCCTTCTTGTGGCTAGGTCCGGCCATGCCATACCCTGGCTGAATGGACTGTGAGCCATCCTCCATGGTGCTGGGCAACATGATAGATCTGTGAGTGAAGGAGTCATTGCAGTGGCCACATCCTGCCTCTGACCAATGAGCTTTTCCCTTCTTCTCCGCCTTCCACAGGCTGGGGTATAAATGAGGCATGGGTCAATTTGGCCCTCGTAGACAGGGCAACCCTCAGGTGTGACAGAGCCTGGGTGACCAGTATCATGCTGCCATATTTGTTTTTTGTTTTTTGTTTGTTTGGTTTTTGTTGTTGTTGTTTTGGAGATGGAGTTTCGCTCTTGTTGCCCAGGCTAGAGTGCAATGGCGCGAACTCGGCTCACTGCAACCTCCGCCTCCCAGGTTCAAGCGATTCTCCTGCCTCAGCCTCCCAAGTAGCTGGGATTACAGGTGCCTGCCCCCACGCTCGGCTAATTTTTTGTATTTTTAGTAGAGATAAGGTTTCGCCATGTTGGCAGGCTGGCCTGGAACTCCTGACCTCAGGTAATTCACCTGCCTCAGCCGCCCAAAGTGCCGGGATTACAGGCGTGAGCCACCATGCCCAGCCCATGCTGCCATATTTGTCCTGGATTGACTATGTGGGCTCCTGTGGGAAAAAGAAATCAACAGCCAGGCTTCTGCTACTGTATTTTGCAGTCTTTGCTATAATAGCCTAACCAGAATCCTGATCAGTACATCATTCTTACACACCTGGCTTCCTGCTCTTATTATGCTTGCAAGAAGTTGGATGAACCATCCAGATAAGCCCTTGGGAGGAGCTGAGTCTTCAGATGGAAGCATGAGGTGGTGAAGCACCCCTGACAGATCATTCCTTTAACATGCGTTTATTGAGATATTCTTGCCATGAGTCCAACAGAGTCCAGGAGAGGAACATGAGGTCACAGCTGATGGGAGGAGGGGACGCTGGGATGGAGCTTGCCAGAGTGTCGGGGGCTGCCATACAAATCACCACACCCTGGGTGGTTTCCTACAGAAAGAGGCAGAAACGTACTCTTGCACAGTTCTGGAGGCTAGGAATGGAGATCCAGGTGTCAGCGGGGTTGGCGCCTCTGAGGGCTGTAAGGCAAAGAACCCATCCCTGGTTCCTCTCCTGGCTCTTCTGGTAGCTTCAGCCGCCCTTGGCGTTCCCTGGTTTGTGGCCTCATCGCTTCACCCTCTGCCTCCATCATCATGTGGCCTTGCTCTTCATGGGCCTCTCTGAGGAAAGCAAGAGGTGGGAGCAGTGGGCCTGGGCCGGGGTCAACAGCCAAGGTGTGGCCAAGGTCCACCCAAGGTCATTGGCTCCTTGCTCGGCCTCAAAGCCAGCTTGACGCAGCAGACCCTCTCCCCGGTCTCTCTTTGTCCTTTCTTCTTCTTATAAGGACACTTGTTATTGGATTTAGGGCCCACCCTAGTCCAGGATGATCTCATCTCAAGATCTTTTGCCTTCCCTGCATGCACAACGATTCCTTTTGCAAATAAGGTCACACTCACGGGTTTCCCTGGCCGTACTCTTTGGTGTTGCGGGGGCGAATGGGTGCAGCATTCAGCCACTCCAGGGCTCTAAGTAGGAGGGACAGGCAGAAGCCACCACCAGGACAACTGGAAGACTTCCTGGAGGAGGGGGTGCTAATTTGGGTCTTAAGGGGAGTCATTGCTGCGAGAAAGGGGAGTCCACGTGGGAAGCTCAGATGCAGGGAGGTGCAGGACCTTGGCAGGGTGTGGGGCCTCCAGGGGAAAGATGACAAGTGTGCTGGAGGCCTTGGGGGTGGAGGGCTGAGTGCCTCAGGATGAGGCTGGGAGGGCCAGGTGTGGGAGGTCTCAGGGCTTTGTTCTGCAGACAGCAGGAGCCAGCAGGGGCTCTAGGGCTGGGAGTGAGAGAGTTCCCTGCAGGACAAAGGTGGGCTAATGGATTCCCACTAGGTTCAGGGATGCAGAGGTGGTCCTGGGAGGGGGTGTAAATATGTGTCTTGCAAGGGGTGGAGGGGGAGATGGAGCCTTGGGGTGGTCCCTGGGAGGACCCTGGGGGCGTGTGGGGACGTCTGTACAGAGTGCAGCAGGAAATCAGGCTGGTCTGTCTTGCTGTGTTTCCAAAGAAAAGAGGCAAACCCAAGGGGTAAGGGGCTTCCTTAGACGCAGGGCCCAGTGCACCCGGGCGCTGGCGGTGGGTCTGGGGGCTGACTGTGTCTGTACTCTCTCCTTTGTCTGCAGGCCTGGTCTGCACTCAGCGGCTGCCAGGACCTCCCGGGAGCGCCCACACACCCCACAGCCCGCCTGTCCTGGGAATACCTCTCCAGGCCCTGAATACCTGTCCCCCACTCCCTGCCTAGGACAACGGGGGCTGTCAGGGCCATGGGCAGGCCCACCCCACCAACCAGACCCTACGTGGGCCCCGCCTTGGTCCCGGAGCCAATGTCTGGCTGATCAGGGAACAAGAGGAGCCTTCAACACCTCAATTCTGGGACGGTTGAGGTTTTCACACCGGGCCACACCTGAGCCACTAGGAGCCGGGAGGCTCTGATCGTCTCTCCGCCTGTCTCTCTCTGGCATCGCCAGGGCTGACTTCATTCCACGTCCGCGCGGAAACAGCAGGGCTATCTCAGTGCAATCCTGGTTTTGTATTCAGAGCCTCCTCTGAGTGAGTGCCAGGGCGCACCGTGCAAGGAGCCTGGCTTTGCCCACTGCAATCCCGTGCCCTCACCCTAGTCTTTTAACCTCTCACGACTCAGGTTCCTCATCTGTGAAATGGAGCTGTCTTCTTTGTGGGGTTAGTGGAAGCAATAAGCGAGAAGTGTGTCCACACAGGCCCAGCCTTTCTGGGGCCTCACTGTGACCAGACACTGCGCTTTGGACTAGGGGATGGGATGCGACTTAGGGGAGCTGCGGCCACCTGTCTCTGGAGGCTGAAGTCTCCCTGCGGACCACCCTTCCTCAGGACCACCCTTCCTCACTTGCACGTCTCCCCTGCAGTCAGGACTCGCCTGCCCCCACGCCAGGCTCTCCCTAGTGGATCAGGCTGTACAACCTGGTTTGTATGAGGAAAGGCAGCCGCTGGGGCCCCAGTGCAGCAAGAGAGGGGAGGAGGAGGTGTTCAGAGGGAAGACCCCTCCCCACCCCCGTTGGCCCCTTGTCTTCAAAGGAAGGGCGTGACCTTTCTGCCCCCCAGACCCACCCTGAGGGTCACTGTGGCGGTGAAGCCTGGTGCCGGCACTTGTGCCCGCCCTCTGACTTGCAGTGTCCCGAGACATATTCAGGGGAGCCAGGTATTCAATCAGCAAGGCTCCCAACAAGATGGGGTGGGTGGGAGAAGCACCCACAATTCTCTAGAAGGCTTTCAGGGCATTCTTCACTAAAGAGACACATTGGAGTCTGGAACCCCTCCCCTAGCAGGGGGACACCTCCAAGCTGTGCTCAAAACTGGGACAGGATATTTGGGTTGGAGTGTTCTCCGTCTCTGCCTCTCTGTCTCTCTCTCTCCCTTTCTCTCTGTCTCTCTCTCTCTCTCCCTCTCTCCCTGTCTCTCTCTCTCTCTCTCTCTCTCACTCTCTCTTGCTCTCTCTTTCCTCCTGTCTCTCTAAAGGTCTCCTTTCCTCTAAGGGCAAAGCAGCAGCTGTCAGGTCCTTAGAGCAGGATCCCTGGTTGGTGCAGGCCCAGGGCCAGCCCCTGGTCCCGGCCTTTCTTCCCCTGGGGGATGAACAGTGAATGCAGCCGCCCTGGGAGTTGGGCGACCTGCGGGGCTTGGAGGGAAGGGCAGGAGGGCCCAGGGCTGACACAGCACGCCTGGCTGGGGTGGGGGCAGTGGTGTGGGTGGCTGACCACATTCCTGGGATGCCGGGCTGCAGGGCTGGGCGGCTGTGTCTACACCTGTCTGCCCCTGTCGGCTGTGAGCAATGCAGCCAGGGACAGGGCAGCTAGAGCCATGCTGTGGTCTGGCCAGTGGGCCAGGCACGTGAGCTGGTTCATGCCCTGCTGCACCAACAACGTTCACCTGGAGAGGTCAGTGGCCTCATTGAGGGGAAGAAGGGCTCTGTCCCTAGAGTCTAGCAAGCCTGGGCCATGGTCTGTGGGGCTTGTCAGGGTGACTTCACCTCTGTGAGCCTCAGTTTCCCTCCCTGGAAAGTGGAGCATAACATGGGTGGGGTCCCCGGTGCTGGCCTGCAGAGCCCTGGGAGACGTGTGGAGTACAAGCCCCATACGCTAGGCCAAAAGATCCGCAGACCAGGCAGCTTAACTGATAGAAATGAAAGTCCAAGATCAAGGTGTCAGCAGGGCAGGCTCCTTCTGAGGCTGCGGGGAAGGAACTGGCCCAGGTTTCTCTCCTTGGCTTGCAGGTGGCCCATGCCTCTCCACATCAGCTTCCCTCCCATGCGGCCTCTGTGCCTGAACTTCCTCTTTTAGTAGGACTGCGGTCATATTGGATTAGGGCCCACCCTAATGGCCTCCTCAGAACTTGGTGACCACTGTAAAGGCCCTATCTCCAAATCAGGAAATGTTCCGGGGTCCTGGGGGTTAAGACTTCAACACAAACATCTTGTTGGAGGGGGGTTGCAATTCAGTCCACACCCGCTTCCCTCGTCTCACTTCGTCCAGCACTCAGCACCCTCTGGCCCTGCCCTTAGCTGTGGGTCTGGATTTCCCATCTCTTCCACGGTAAGCCCTGTGAGGGCGGCGTCTTTATCCCATTTGCTGTTACACCTGCAATTCCTGGGGTGCCGGCTTGTTCTCATCATTTAGCAGACCATTGCTGAATGGCTAACAAATCCAGGATACAATTTGTAGGTGCACCAAGCCAGGCAAGGTATCTGCGTCACCTGCCCGTCAGTGGCCCCAGGCTGGGAAGACCCCTTGGGTCATGCTTGGACACTCTGCACCATGGGCAGCCAGAACTCCTGGCCGAGTGGTCAGCGGCCGCCACACCTTGCTGGAGCAGAGGCACCCCTGCCATCCCACAGGCAAGACGGACCTAGCTCGGTTTCCCAACACTCTGTTGAGATGGGGCTGCCCAGAAGCCCACACAAGCCCACACCTGGGGGAATCCCAGCCCCACGTTCTGGTTCAAGTCGCTGCTGGTTTGGGTTCAGAGCCCAAACATGAGCTCCTGCTCTTCTTGGTGTGATCTGAGGCTGTGGATATCCTGAGAACATCTGTCTCAACAGAACACCTTCCTCCATGTTGCCTATATCCCAAATTCACTCCCAAGTGGCTTTTGTCTGGCAGATTCCGGTGGATTATGCAAAGAGGGACTGCCAGAGAATCTGAGCTGTTGGAAGACTTCTGAAACGTCACTGCGGTGGCGGAGGCACTGCCCCGGGGGGACAAAAGTCTTGTCTCTTCCTCCAAATGTGGAGGATCAAATTAGAGTTGACTTGTGTGTTTCCAAACCCGTTGTCGTCCCAGCATTCAACTAATTTGAAGATACCAAAAGCCTCAGAAGAGGGTGGCAGAAGAAGAAAGGGACAAACACAAAAGGGGAAGGACAAGAGGGCAGACCGTTAAAAAAAAAAAAAACCTACAAGAATGCAGTTTGCTCCTGGGTGGACCCTCCCACCCCGTGCCTGCCCCGAGCTGGCCCCTGACCTGTGCCGGCAGCTCAAATTCCTAACATCTGGCCCAGGGTAAGGATATGGGCAACTCTTTAAGGAAGCGTGTCCTCGCTAGGTGCTGATCACTCACTCCAAGGGACTTTGCTCCTGGATGCCCAGGCTCAGAGAGGGCTGTGAGCCTCCCATGGTCACACAGCAGCAGTCCAAGTGCCTGGGGCAGTCCGATGCCCACATCCCCCTTGAGGTCCCAGGTGAGGGCATGGTCACAGGATGCAGACCCCTGCCTGGGTAGGTCTCTGGTCTTCTATGGCACCTACTTGTAAGCCTCCCCAGCAAGTTCAATGTGGGGCTCCCAGCACCGGTCCTTGGGATTTGGGGGTTCCTTGGTTTCTTCTCTTTTCTCTCTACCCTTCTTCTCCCTGGGTGACCTCATCTGTTCCCCTGGATGAGGTGTGGTCCCCTCCTCAGTTCAATGCTGGGAGCCCTGCACTGAACCTGGAGGGAACCAGCAGGCTCTAGGTCCCGACTTTTGGAGTAGGGCCTGCCCCTTCCTTCCTGCCCCTTTCTCTAGGGAGTGCTGTGAAGGGTGCATTTGGGCCCTGGGGGCCCATGAGTTTGGGCCTCCAGGATAGCTGAGAGCACGTGGGCCTGGCCTGCCCACTCTTCCTGAAGCCCCCCAGCTTCGCCCCACTCCTGGGCCCTGACCAGCCTCCTGCCTTTGCCTTTGTCTGGCCTTGGGTTTCCCAGGCAGTGGCAGCTTTGCTCTTTTTCTCGCAGGTCTCAGGTGTCACCTCTTGAAAATTCAAAGGAGGATCCTTCGAATTCATGAACCAGCAACCTCCCAGGAGGTGGGTCTTCCCACCCTGCACCATCCGGCCTTAGGAATTCAGTCTGGAGCCCTCCCTCCCCAGGGCCTGGGGCCTGGAAGTCGGAGCCAGCCAGAGCAGGGAAGGGTCGGGCCCTGGAAATCCAGAGTGGCCTGCCTGGGCCGGGGTGGGGCTGGGCATGGGGAGGCGTGGGTCCTGTCGGGGTTGGGACCAGCGCTCCAGCTTCCCTAGCTGATTTGAGCATTTAATTTTAATTCCACAAATAGAGAAAAAGAAAGAAAACTCCTGAAAGTCGCGGCAGATCCTCACGGCTCTGCAGATGTCCTGCGGAGGTTGAGCCTCTGCACTTTGGCCTCAGCTGCCCAGGTACCAGTCTCAGCTACTGTCACTGGCGGTGTGGCCTGGGCAGCCATGTCCCCTCCCCAGGCCTCAGTCTCCCAGTGTGTCAAATATCTGCCCCGTCTCAGGTCTCATTCTGCTGCTTCCCCCTTGTGATCATACCCTGCCCCTCCCCACTCCCCAAGGACTTCTTGGCCTTAGCCCACAAACCTATGCAGGTGGTTCCATCAGAGACTGTCCCCCCCAGCCACCCCAGCCCTCATCCTAAGTCCCATGCTCCCCTCCCCTGCAGGAGGCCACTCCGTCCTCCTAGTACTCTCTTCTCCCAGCATCTCCAGTTCTCCACTGCCCGCTTTTCCTGCTGCCCCACTTGCTGGTCCCCTGGAGTCCCCCAGACATCATCGCTCCTGCAGTCAGCAAGGATTTGGTGGGTGCCTGTTGAGGGGGCCGCTCCTCTGGGGCTGGAGTGCAGCGATGCGTGAAACATTATGATCCCTGATCGCCTGGGGCTTCTGGTCCCATGGGATTTGAGGGTTCCTTGGTTTTTTTCTCTTTCAACCCTTCTTCTCCCTGGGTGACCTCATCAGTTCCCATGGATTGAAATATCCTTATGCCAATGACTTCCAAATTTGTCTCTTCAGCCATGACCTCTCCTCCAAACTCTGGACCCATATATCCGGCCATCCACTTGACATCTCCCTTTGGGGTCTCCCAGACATGTCAAGCAGATCGTGTCCAAGCTGGTGTCCAATCCTTTCCCAGGCAACTCAACTCCCATCTTCCCCATCTCAGTAAATCCCACTGCCACCCCTCCACTAGCTCCATCCAGAAACCTCTACAATCTCCTTGCTTCTCCCTGTCCATATCCACGATCAGGAATCCATCCACAGACCTGTGCATCCTGTCTCTGCAGATCCACAGCCTCACCCCCATCAGCACCCCGGTCCATAGAGAGAGACCTGGTGACACAGATGGTACTTCAGAGAGAGGACATGAATGGTGTCTCTAGTCATGAGAGTCAGGGTTTAGGTTGAAGCTACTCCGCCAGGGAGAAGTGGAGATCCAGGGCCCATCCAGGGACACGCAGGGAGAAACCGCTTCCCCCAGCCTCAGGGTGGAGCCCCTGGTTACCCTCTGAGCCCCAGAGCCTTGTGTCCCCAGGGAGGCAGAGGGTGGAAAAGACTGATGGGTAGAGAGAGTGAGAGCATCAAGACCCCTCTACACTGCAGTACAAGAGGCTCCCTTTTGGGTGGGCGTGACAGGAGACATCCCAGTACGTGGATCCCAGCCTTTGGACTTGGTGACTGTGATCAGCTAAGAGTAAAACTGTTCTTGCTTTATTCTTCTGGGAAAGGGCTACACCTGCTGGGTTCCACACCAGGTGAAGACCGGGCAGGTATTCTATTCAAAAGGGTGTGGCTTTGCCACCCATTTGACAGGAGAGAAAACGGAGGCATGGAGTTACCAGGATGTGAGCAGCACAGCAGAGCAGTCCTGTTCAGGGCCTCACACTCCCTCCCCACAGCCCCCTTCCTGACCCTACAGCCCCCGTTCCAGGCAGTTCCTAGCACCATAAGGTAAGTGGACAAGCCTCACTCTGGAAGGAGAGCACAGGGCCCTGTCCCTCCTGGGGGCCCGCTGAGAAGCACAGTGGAGTTCTCCAGGGACCACCATCACACCGAGGACACGTTACCATAAAGAAAGGGCCCCTGCTCACACACATTTCCCAGTCACTAGCAGTGAGCACGTGGCAGCCTCCAGCAGCTCGGATTCCTCCAGGCCACACCCTAGACCTGGCCACCCACATTCTGGCTTCTCAGGGCACATGGAGCAGCCATTCCCCTGGGCTCTGGGCCCCAGGCACAAGAGACCCAGGCTTGCAGCTGTTTTGCAGAGAGTAAGGGCAAAATGGAAGCTGCAGTGATGAGGGAGAAGGTGCTGGGGAGAGGGAGAGAGATAGCTGGATGGGCAGGGCCGCTGTTGCTGGGACCTCAGCCCCAGGACGGGCATCCTTTCAGCAAAATCTTTGCTGGGCAGCTATGGTGGGCTAGACACTGTGAGGTGATGGCGTCTGGGCAAGACCTACAGGACAGGGGACGCGCAGCCCAGTGGGAAAGACAGGGAATCAGCTCAACCGTCCACCATGGGCCATGTCAGATCCAGTTATCCTACCATCCAGAAGCAGGGGGCCAGGAGGTTAAATGACGTGCTGGTGGCCATGGTGTGGGGGCAGAAGGGCCAGGGTTCAAAGCCATACCCCTTTGAACAGAACAGGTGTAGCCTATTTACCCGCCTCTCCCTCCATCCATCTGCACATTAATTCATTCATTCATTCATTCATTCATTCGCTGAGCACCTGCTATGTGCTGGGCCCTGCTCTCAAGAAGTTTGGATTCTGGTGGGGAGGAAAGAAAAAATATCCAGGTTCATCAGACAAGCAAATAATACAACTACAAAAGTTGTCAAGAGTCTCCTGGAAGAGAAGGAGCTGGCTATGTGGGGCCTGCACACACACGTATGCATATATTCACATGCATGTTCATCCATGTACACATGTGTGCATGCATGTCTGTGTGTGCTTTGAGCATGACTGTACCTGTGTATCTGTGTGTGCACAGATGTGCATGTGCACGTGTCTATCTGAGTGTGTCTGTGTGCAGGCAGGTTTCATGGATGTTTCTGTGCCTGCATACATGTGTGTGAGTGTGTGTGCATGTGTGAATGTGAATGTAATTCCCAACAGAGGTATGAACATAGCTCAGAGGTGGGTGGACTCAGTGGGATGTGCTTTAGGGAGGAAAAGAGGCCCAGTGTGCCAGGGGTCAGGGCGTGGGGCATTGAGGGGTTTCGGGAGGAAGGAGCACGTGGAGGCCAAGCTGTGAAAACCCTGTAGACCATGAGAGGAATTTGAGTTTTATTCAAAATGCAAAGGGAGCCAACAGAGGAATTTCCACATGGCTAGAAAAAAGCACACAGCCATGGGACTGTGGGGAGCACGGAGTGGAGGGGGTGTGAGTGGAGGCAGATGGCCAGGCCAGAGGCCAGCACTGCACCTGCCCAGGTGAGAAAGGCTGGGAGATGAGAAGGAAACCCACACTGACCAAGATTAAAAACAATACGATACAAGGAATTAACAGCAGATGAGACAGTGTAAAAAAAAATAATAATAATGAACTTAAAAACACAGTCATAGAAATTCTCCAAAATGGAATACAAGGAGAAAAAAGACTTAAAAAAAAGACAAGGAAGAACAGAACAGCAGTGAGTTCTGGGACATCAAGTAGCCTAGCATAGGTAACTGGAGTCCCCAATGAACCCCAGTGAGCGTGACCCAGTATCCGCCTAGTAGGACGCTGAAATAAAAATGACTGACCGACTCAGTGCCAGCGAGGACATGGGGCCACTGGACCCCTCCCACACCACGGGTACCAGCTCTTTGGAAACCTCTTCTGCAGATTCTTCCAAAGCTAAATATCCATCTATGTGTGACTCAGCCATTCCACTCCTGGGTATTCTCCAAAGGGAGATTAAAGTGCACAGCCTCCCCAAATCTCGTACACAAAGGTTCCCAGCGGCTTTATTTGTAACAGCCCCAAGCTGGAAACCACCCAAATGCCCATCAGCAGGTGCTTGGGTAAGCAGAGGCCTGGGGTCACCGTTGGTTCAGCTGTTGGCCTCTCCTTCTGTCTCTCCAAGCGCCCTAGGGCAAGTGGCATCTTCAAGCTGAGCCTTGGTTTCCTTTCCTGTGAAGTGGGTCTAGTGAGTGGGCCTGATTTGAGGTGGTGGGCAGGATCAGCGTGGCATCACTGGGGAAGCTCGCAGCCGAGTGTGAAGGGCCCGGCATGGAGGGGTGGAAGATGTCAGGCTCCAAGCAGCCCCCGACGCTGGCAGTGCTCAGGCTGACCCTTGGCTGCCTCAGCTCTGGGAACCCCATGCAGCACGAGGCGTCGGGGCAGGTAGTGGGGCCATAGGAGGCGGCAGGGCCTGGGCTGTGGCCCCGTTCCCTGAAGGGCTCCGTGTGTTCCATGCAGCGGGCAGGGTCAGGGGTCATGTTTAAACGCGGGGGAGCCCAGGGCAGTACCTCCAGGCCGCATGCTATCCAAGTGGCGTGGGCAGGCGGCCCCTTGGATGGTCTCGGGACAGCACAGCAAGGCCCTGGGCACTCACCTGACCAGTCACGTTGGGGCCGCCTGAGGGAACAGGCAGGCAGATCCAACCCATGGTGGGGGGCTGGGACTTAGGATGGTTTGAGGGGTGCGCCGAAAGCCTGGGAAGGAGCCTGGGTGGGAGAGTGGATGCCCGGCACACACACTCGAGTGGACCAGAGGCGGTTGGCTAGGCCACAGCTATCCCGTGCCCAGCACCCTGGTAGCCAGTTCAGAGTGACTGTCCCAGCCCTAGCTGAGGGTATGCAGCCAAAGCAGGGCACACCTGGTGTTTCTGGAAACCCCTCTCCCCATGCCACTGCGTGCCAGCTCCAGTGGCCCCCGTGTCGGTCCTTAGGACTCTGGCCACCCACACGCTGAGCTCCCACAGGGCAGGTCCAATGCCCAGCACACAGGGGAAGCTCAGCCCATGTGCCGGCGGAACGGTGAGATGGGTGTGAATGAACAAATGAAGCATCTCTCTCCCCCTCCCCTCCCCAGCTTCTCAACCACAGAATCTGTGCCTGGCTCAGGAAATGTACCCTTCGTGTGGGTTTTCTATTGCTGCGTAACAAATGGTCACCAATTGAAAAGCTTAAAATGGCATTTATCTATTGTCTTAAAGTTTGGGCAGGTCAGGAGCCAGGACATGGCATAGCTGGGTCTTCTGTCTCATGGGGCTGCAGTCAAGGTGCCAACCGGAGCTGGGGTCTCCTCTGAGGTTTGGGACCCTCTTCCAAGCTCTCTCGGTTGTGGAAGATTGCATTTCCTTGCCCCTGTTCCTCATGGGGCTGGATCTCCAAATCCTGCAGGAGAGTCTCTGACTTCAAGGCCATTTTGAAAGGGCTCACCTGATTAGCTTGGGCCCACCCAGGATCATCTCCATTTTGATTAACTCAAGGTCAGCTGGTTAGGACCTTAATTACACCTGCAGAAGTCCGGCACCTTTGCGATATAAAGTAACCTCACCACGGGAGCACATCCACCCTCTTTGCAGCCCTGCCACACTCCAAGTTGGGGAGTACACAGGTGTGTAGACACCTGGGGGCAGGGATGCTGGAAAGCGTCTGAGTCTCCTCCCAACCACGCTCTCCTTGGCTCTGAGACTGAGTCCTGGCCCCAGGTAGGTAATGAGTGAAGCTTTGCGGAATGAATACACGAGGGAATGAGTGAGTGAGTGAATGTGTGAGTCTGGCATCTTCCATCAAACTGTGACCTTCCCAGGGCCAGGGTCCACATTGGACTCACCTCTGAAATCGCCATGCCAACTAGTGCTCCTGGTTACCTATGACGCTTTGAATGCTCACCTGAGCGAGTGGAGGAGGGAGTGGCGCCCCTGTCTCTCCTCAAGGTCAGTGTCTGTGCAGAGCAGCTCCAAGACCCATTCCTCTGGGAGCCAGGTACAGGGCCGCAAGCTCTGTCCTCGGCACCATCTCCTCTGGCTCCTCCATGCAGCTGACCCTCCAGTGCACAGCAGCAGCCCCCAGGGCAGCACTGGCCACACAGGGACCAGTGGAGGCAGGCTCCTGGCTGTGAGACCTTGGGCAAGGCCTTCTGTCCCGACCCTCCTGGTCTCCATCAGCAAGAGAGGGGTGGCAACACCTGGCTGGCGTAAGGATGGAGCATTCCCCGCATGGCCAGCTCTCAGGGCAATGCCTGGTGCCGTCCAGATGCCCACACCGTTGCCTCCTTTCATCCCTCCAAGAGCATCACCAGGCAGGTGCTGTCATTATGCCCATTTTATAGCTTGGTAAACTGAGGCACAGAGAGGTTAGGTAATACATACAAAGCTGGGGATTGGGCCCAGACAGTCTGGCTCTAGCCATATTGGAAGGGCATTCCCCCTCACCCCTGACTACTGGGTTCCTGAGTAGTGAGTTGAAGACCCTGCTCGTCAGTGTGCTGTGTGACGTTAGCAAGCCAGCTGTCCTCTCTGTTTTGGCCACTGTGTTGGGCTTCCTGGGGCTGCTATAACCAAGTGCCACAGGCTACACGGCTTAAACCACAGAAGTGTATCGTCTCACAGCTCTGGAGGCCAGAAGTTCAAAATGAAGGTTGGGCAGGGGTGGTTCCCGCTGGAGCTCTGAGACGAGGATCTGCTCCAGGACCTCCTTGGCTTGGAGGTGGCCGCCTTCCTGTTCCCAGGGCGCCCTCCCTGTTTGTGTCTCTCTCTGTGTCCAAATTTCCCCTTTTTAGAAGGATGCCAATTAAATTGGATTTGGGCCCACCCTCATGGCCTCATTTTAACTTAATTACCTCTCTAGCGACCCTTTCTCCAAACAACGCCACATCCCGAGGTACTGAGGTATCCTGAGATACCACATCCCGAGGTACACTCCAACATATGAATTTTGGGAGGACATGATTCAGCCAATAGCAACCACAGCAAACTGAGGTGAATTTCCATCCTTGCCCCAGGTAGCACTGTGAGGGACTGAGCTGCTAGGCACCTTAACTCTTTTATTTTTATTACCTGGGGCTCTGAAATCTCACACCCAAACCTTGGGCTGTGTGTCCGTCCCTGGGAGGTCCTGACCTCACTGGCCTCTGACCCAGGGCTTATCTGTCACTCCTCTTTCTTCTGGATTCCGGTTGCAGGCATTGATCCCTTCCCTGGGGTTTATTTTGCTGGGTGTCAGGCAGGAAAAGGGTCAAATTCCAGCATGCAGGTCCGATGTTGCATACCAGGACAGCAGGCATGGGCCACTTCCCCTGGCTGCAGGGAATTTGTCCAGACTGAAGAGGATGCGGCCCTGCCAGCGGCCCAGAGCTGCTGCTCCTCCAGGGGCAGCTGAACTCAGCACCCAGCCTCAGGAAACAGCGGATTTGAAAGCAGAAATCCTTTTCTCTGAAAAGGGAAAAGAAAGTTCCTTCTCAGCATCTCTGGCTTCTTCTCCCCTCTGCTGACCCCAAACTGAGGCACTCATTTTACCTTAGCAGGGGTAAGAAAAAAGGCACGTTAAAAACATTTTGTTTACACTTATTACAAAAATAACGCATCGTCTTTTACCTCGACACGTCCCCAATCTCCCCTCAATCATTAGGGGCAATCCTGGGTTCGGGCTGATTCCAGACGTCCAGAACAAAAGGAAACACTCGACCTCACCCCTTCCCTCGCATATGGCTTACTATCTATCTATCTATTTATTTATTTGAGTTATACAAGCAATACATGTTCAGTATGCACACCTTGGAAAGAAGAGATGGAAAAATATCACCTGCAACCTCTCAGCCACTAATAACCCTCACAAGGATTAGCATGTACCCTTCCATTCTTCTTCCGACACACGTGTGCATGGCTGTGTGTGCATTTACACGAGTGTAGTTACGCACTAATTCAATCCTGCAAACTTGGTGTTAGGGTTAGACAGCTGCCTTTCTTATTAGATAATTTTTTTTAAATTCCAGTTAAAATTAGCAAAGGTGGCAAGGTGCGGTGGCTCACGCCTATAATCCCAGCACTTCAGGAGGCTGAGGCGGGCGGATCACCTGAGGTCAAGAGTTCAAGACCAGCCTGGCCAACTTAGCGAAATCCCGTCTCTACTAAAAATGCAAAAATTAGTCGGGCATGGTAGCGCATGCCTGTAGTCCCAGCTACTCGGGAGGCTGAGGCAGGAGAATCGCTTGAACCCAGGAGGCGGAGGTTGCAGTGAGCCAAGATGGCACCACTGCAATCCAGCCTGGGCGATGGAGTGAGACTCTGTCTCAGAAAAAAAAAAAATTCATCGAAGGCAAGGAGTTGTTATACACCTTAACGTTAACAAAATGGGTTTTAAAAAGAGAAAAGTGGTTTCTGGGGAGGATGTGGCAAAGCTGGCACTCACACATGTATCAGCAGGTTCATGGGTATGAAGCGCACATGTGGTCAGTACTGCCTTCCCACGCGCACCCACATGCACCCACGCGCACCCACATGCATCCACGCGCACCCACACACCCATGCACACTTGTGTTGAACCTTTGTCCCTTGCCTGTCCAATATCTCTCCCACTTCTTCGTCTCGTTTTTAAAGTTAATTTTATTTTTTTCTGGCAGTTTCAGGTTTACAGAAAAATTGAGAAGAAAGTGCAGAGAGTTTCCACATCCGCCCCCTACCCGCAGTTCCCCCTATTACTAACATCTCACTTTGGTGCCGGGTGTCAGGCACCAGGCGTCCTTCTGGCCACGCTGATCGGCTCCTTTGTCACAACTGAGGAGCGCCTGGGATTACTTTATTATGAGACTAAGGCTCCTAGTTTACATGAGGGCTCACACTTGGTGCAGTACGTTCCATGAAATTTGACAAATGTTATGGGGACATGTGCCCACCGCGCCAGTATCCTACAGAAGAGTTTCACTGCCCTAAGCATCCTGTGCTCCTCCTGTCCATCCCTCCCTCCCCGCTAACCCCTGGCAACCACTGACCTTTTTACCATCTCCATAGTTTTGCCTTTTCCAGAAAGTCACGTAGTTGGAATCATAGAGAAAGTAGCCTTTTCGGATTGGTTCTTCTATCTAGCAATATGCATTTCAGCTTCCTGTGAGTCTTCCCATGACTTGCGAGCTCATCCCTTTCTAACAGGAAAAAATATTCTTCCCTCTGATTGGCCCAGGGATGGCCACATGACCCAAGCTAGACCAATGAGAGTTCTACCTGGGATTTCGGCCAGAGTGGGTCTGAACATAGACTCTTTCTTCCCATCAGAATCACAAAAGTCCCTCGCGTTGGCCTGAAAGTGAAGTCAGCATAGAGACAGCAGATGCACAGAGATGGTGTTGTCATGCCATCATTGTCACCTTCTCAGTCGTGTGGTGCCTAAGGTTTACAGCTGGGTTCTCTTGTTACATAAGCCAGCATGTTCCCAGTTTTGCAGAAGGGTTAGGGCTTCTGTTACTTGCAACCAAAACCCCTAAGATAAAGACAAATGTTTTTTACATGCACCTTTTTTTTTGTCAACAAATTCATATGATGTTATTATTTTAAACATTTTTATTAGGGTAAGATTTGCATGCAATAAAATTCACCCTTTTAAAGTGTACAGTTATGTGAGTTTGACAAACACAGCTGTGTTTGATCCCTTTGCCACAACTGAGATCCAGGACAGCCTCATCAGCACAAAAAACTTCTCACTCTGCTCCCCCTCCTCCTGCTCCTGGGAAACACAGAACCCGTTTCCTGCCCCTACAGTCTTGCCTTTTCCAGAACATCACATAAATGGAATCATACAGTGTGCAGACTTTGAGTCGGCTTCTTAGCACGATGCATTTTGGACCATCCATTTGGCTTGTTCTTTTTCATGGCTCAGTAGTATTCCACTGAATGGATGTACCACAGTTTGTTCATCATTCCTCAGCTGAAAGACATTTGGGTTGTTTCTAGTCTGGGGTATTTAAGAATACAGACTCTACACACATCTGTGCACAGATCTTTGTGTGTACTTAAGTCAACTCTAAGGAGGTGTTAGGACCTTGAAGTCAGGACAGTTGGGCCCTCAAAGGATTCTCCTCAGCCTTGCCACATTGCTTTCAGAACTCAGACATATTCTAAGAATGAGAAAGAGGGCTGCTAGGAGAATTCCCCCTACAATCATCAGAAGAAAGGCTTCCAGAAGCAGCCACCCCACTCTTCTCTGTTGGCCTGAACGAAGCCCACCATCAGATGATGAGATTCAAGGGTCCAGTGGGGTGCAGTGTAATGTTTTGATAAACACATACAATAGGGAATGATTCAATCAAGCTATTAACATATCCATCTCCTTGCTCACAGGTATCAACGCATCACATAAATATACAATTACCATTTGTCAGTGCAAAATAATGTTAATATACAATTACTACTTGTCAATGCAAAATAATATTAACATACAATCACCATTTGTCAATGCAAAATAATATTAATATACAATTATCATTTGTCCTTGCAAAATAATATTAATAATAAATATGAATATTAATAATATTAACAATGCATAATAATGTTTACATAATTAATATTAGTCAGTTAATAATATTAATAATTAATACTCAATGCAAAATAATATTAATAATAAGAGCATCCAGTTGGAGTTGCCAGGATGGAGATAACAATGACAAAAATGATGATAATGATTATCTAATGATCCACTCAGCCCTGGCATGGGTCTGACACCCACATGTTATTTTTTTCAGGTCTCATAATACTATTCCAAAGGTCCCCGTCCCTAGTGTCACTGTGAAGATCCTGAAGCTTGCACATGCTCGAGGCAGAGTGAGAGGCATGCCTTCTGTTCACCCGAGACCCACAGTCTGCTTTAGATCCCAAGCAGGTGTTTACGGCAGTTCTCCCCGAAGGACCCCAACCATTGCATGGCAGTTCTCATGGCTTGTTCCATTTGGTGCATCCGTAAGGAGACTCACCCCAGGGCTGGGCCAGGAATTTCACCCTCCCACCTGCTTCCGACTTACAGATGGGACCTGGCTGGGCCCTCACCGCTGTCTTACCCTGGCCAGGCGACTCAACTCAAAGGAAGCCACCTACGCTGTTCAACCTGGTTGGAAATGGAAAGGACTTTGGATGCCATCCAGCCGAGGACTGCCACACCACTGAGAGACCCAGGACACAGAGACACACGGCAGGCCACTGGCAGGGTCCTGCCAATGGGGTGGCTGACCAGAGCCAGGCCTGGCCAGTCCCAGCCCTCCTGCCAGCAAGGACGCAGATCAAAGCAGTGCATGGGCTGTTTGATTTTCTTGTAAGGTCTTGCTGAGTGGATAGTTTCACCCTGGGCTGCTCAGATCTCGGCGACAGAAAGGGAGAATGTGTCCTCTGTCCTCTCACGCCCTGTGTCTGTGCTCCTTGCAAAGGTTGTGAACACATTCACGTGGATTTAATTAATCGCCGCAGGTGCACGTCCACCTCTGCCTTTCCCTCTCAGTGGGTTCCCATGTTTCCACATGGTGGGTTGAGTGTCTGCACGCTAACTGGCTTAGACGTTTGGACGGTCTCCATTGTCAGCATCATTTATTCATTCAACAAACATCCACCGAGCATTTCCTGACCGCCAGATTCTCCTTTGGGTGCTGAGGGTGCAGCGGTGAACAAGTCACCATCCTCAGGAGCTGACATTCTGTAGTTCAGGGAGATGAACAATAAACCAAATAAACAGTAAGTAACCATGAGATGGACCATGTTGGGTGGGCATAAGTGCTCTGGAGAAAAACACACAGGCAAAGGAGTGCGGGGGGATTGGGCAGGTGCCTCTGTGGATACCAGGGCCAGCTCTGACCTTCCTGAGGGGGGCGGTCTGAGCAGGGGTGGAGGGGTGCCGGAGGGAAAACCTGGATGCCAGGGTTGGGGAAGTTGCTTCAAGAAAGCGCAAAGCCCCCAACACGAGAGCTTGACTGGTGGGGAAATGCGGGAGTTTCGGTGGGCTGGGGCAGGGTGAGCGACGAGCATTGAAATAACAGGACGTGGACGACGACGATCAGCAGGTCTGTCTCAGCAGGGGCCTCGTTACATGGGGCGGGGAGACTATTTCCTTGGGATCAGTGTTTAGGCCTAGAATCATTAGCTTTGGGGCTGCGTACATTTTCATGGCCCTGGCTCAGTAGTTGTTATTTCTGTACTGTTTTCCCTCGGTCCTGATCCAGTTTATAGTTACCACCGACAGGATATGATAATCATGCTAACCAACCCTTCCTGAGCACATGCGTGCTTCACACGTGTGAACCTGCTGATGCCTGCGTGAGCGTTGGCTTCATCACATCCTCCCCAGCACCTGCTTTTCTCATTTTAAAATAATTTTGTTAACATGAAGGTGTAGAACACCTCTCTCTGGACTTTGCTGATTTTAACTGGAATTTTAAAAATCCCCTAATAAGAAAGGCAGGCCAGGCGTGGTGGCTCACGCCTGTAATCCTAGCACTTTGGGAGGCTGAGACAAGCAGATCGCCTGAGCTTAGGAGTTTGAGACCAGCCTGGACAACATAGTGAAACCCCATCTCTACTAAAAATGCAAAAAATTAAGTGGGCGTGGTGGCGCACGCCTGAAGTCCCAGCTACTCCAGAGGCTGAGGCAGGAGAATCGCTTGAACCTGGGAGGCGGAGTTTGGGGTCAGCCGAGATCACGCCACTGCACTCCAGCCTGGGTGACAGAGCAAGACTCTGTCAAAAAAAAAAAAAGAAAAGAAAGGAAGGAAGAAAGAGAGAGAAAGAAAGAAAGAGAGAGAGAGAGAAAGAAAGAAGAAAGAAAGAGAGAGAAAGAAAGAAAGAAAGAAAGAAAGAAAGAAAGAAAGAAAGAAAGAAAGAAAAGAAAGAAAAGAAAGGCAGCCATAAGTGAACCCTAACACCAAGCTTGCAGAATTAAATGAGCAAATCGTGTCGCCTCTGCCTGCCTTTCTACCATCATTGCATACGAAGCTTGTTACTTATGTCTTCATCTCACTGTGTCCCCAAATCTGGGGCTGTGTGAGCTGATTTGGGGTGGGACACAGATGGCTGGGTTTTAGCCCTATTGTGAAGGGTGACTTTTAATGTGTAATCTATTTATGGCAAGTGACGTTGATCCACCACATATGGCAGTGCTATCAAGTAGCCAGTAAAAGTACATTTATTTAAGAAAATAAGCAGAGTGGAAGCATCGTGTCAGTGATGGGACAGGTGGTATTCAGCAGCCTCAAGGTGCTGGCGGCAGCTGATGTCTTAAAGACTGCACTGTCTCATTTAATCATCCCAAGCACGGATACTGGAGGGAGTCTTTTTTTTTTTTGAGACAGAGTCTCACTATGTCACCCAGGCTGGAGTGCACTGCCACAATCTCGGCTCACCGCAACCTCTGCCTCCTGGGTTCAAGCGATTCTCCTGCCTCAGCCTCCCGAGTAGCTGGGATTACAGGTGCGTCCCACCATGTCTGGCTGATTTTTGTATTTTTAGTAGAGATGGGGTTTCACCATGTTGGCCAGGCTGGTCTCGAACTCCTGACCTCAAGTGATATGCCTGCCTCGGCCTCCCAAAGTGCTGGGATTACAGGCATGAGCCACGGTTCCCGGCCTGGAGGAAGTCTTATTAGCCTCATTTCATGGAGGAGAAACTGGGGCTCCAGGGCATGGAGGCTGCCTGTGGCCACGCAGCCTGGGAGGCTTGTCAACCTCCTTTGACAAGCACGCCACCTGCATCACAGAACAGCTGCATTTCTAATGTCAGGCTTCTGCTTACATGCAGTTGGTCTTCTCCTGTGAATGGGGAAACTGAGGCCTTGGAAGTCAGTCAGCAGGTCAGGACACAGTTCAGCCCAGAGCCGGGGCTCTGGCCCCATCCAGGGGCTCCCCCAGCAGCCAACTCTGCCAGCCTTTGATGCCTCGCTGAGACAGAGGGTCTGGACAGTGGCCACTCACCCACTGGGCCCACATCCCCACAGGCCTGGGCTCTGGACGCTGGAGGCCTGAGGCTGCACCCCAGGTTGGGGCTGGCCTACCTGCCACGGGGCCAGGGCTGGGTGCTTTCTGCTGAGTCACTAACAAAGCTCAGGCCTGACCACAGGACATTTTTGAGATTCCAGGGCTGGTTCCACAACGGCCGGCATCGGCCCTGCGGCATGTCCGGCTTCACCCTGCCCAGAATCACAGCCTCACAGAGTCTAGAGGGCCCGTGGGGACGGGAGTCCTGGGAACCGAGGTTGGGAGACAATGGGTGGCCCCTCGGTGTGGTGTCCTCTGCTCACCCCTTAGCAGGACCCTGACGGAACTGGGTACAGGCAGAGATTCATCTTCATGGCAGGACTTCAGGCAAGAGAGGCCCCGGGGTTGAAGACAAGGGGCTCAGAGCTTGCTTTTTATACACTTTCAAATTTTCTCAGAGTAGAACAATTTAAAAAAATATAAAATATGGTTAAAAAATTCTCCTACTTAAGACTCCCAGACCCCTAGTTTTCCTCCCTAAAGGCAACTGACATTACCAGTTTCCTGGGTATCCATGCAGGGATATTTTATGCATAAACAACCAAATCTCTATACATGTCCATAGAGAGAGGCAGACGTATCTGCATGTGCATAAACACTCGTGTGTGTGTCCTTTTATCCCAAAGGAAACACTTCTTTTTCCCTTGACAAAGGACATCCTCTGCATCTAGCTTCTAGAAAGTGCTGCCAATTTGGGGACCAAGGGAGGGAGGCTGCAGAGGAACATCGTTTGGTCAAATGTGAAATGTGATCAGGAAGCCGGTGCTCAGCAAACTTATCTGAAGCTCTTGGGGACCCCACAAAGATGAGCGGGTCCCCTTCCCAATTTTCGGACCGTCTTGGCAGAGGCTCCCTGTCATCAAGGACCTGAGGTTGTCACAGCCGGATGGTGTGGGAGCTGGCACTGCCGGGGCTCCCGCTGCCTGGGACACGTACGGCTGCCCAGTGATCCTGAGCGCCGACCCCTGAGCACCTCAGTGTCCGTGACTGTGGAGCGGAGGTACGTGCAGAACCAGCTCTGTCTTCCCAGACACTGTCGCTTTGGTCTAAAGTGATGTAATGTTGCCACGGAAATTCTAATCCCTCCCATCAGGCAAAAATACTTCGATGGGACTGTGTTCTTTCAGCAGAGAGGGTGTGCATTTGAAGTATAGATTTGTTAAACATAGATGCTGAGAACATGACTCTGCTTGGCGTTCCATTTAATTGACCAGAAACCCGAAAAATGTCCTGGTCCTCTTCTTAAGTCTGGGGGTAGCTGCTGCCCCACTATGCACCATCGCTTATCTGTTCTTTTCTGCCCCCTGCAGCAGGGAAGGGGCTCTGGAAGGGTCTGAATCTGGTGTGTCCAGTGTGATCCCTGCACCCATGCCCGGAGCTGTGCCTGGGACCCTGCCCCAAGCAAAGTAATAATCTGAATGATATCCTCAAAGGAGCCTGGCTTGGGCTAACAAGGAAGAACTTCCAACGTGGAGAGCTGTCCTGGCACCATTTCTTCCTGCTGTATTAGTTGAAGACCTACTGTGTTCAGGGCCGTGAGCCAGGGCACAACCACCCCTTGGGAGCACACTCTGCCTCAACCCTGGAGTGGCTCCGAAATGAGTCTTCAGTCCACAAGACTGAGGGTTGCCAATCCTTCTCGGTGAGCCGTGAGGGTGATTCCTCCTTGGGCTTCAGGGGCAGGATGCCCTCAGAAAGATGCCCTCCACTGCCCCCGCACACTTCAGGCTCCCCATGACCCTATGTGGGGAAGGTGTTGTTGCAAGAGGCCCATGGGTGTGTGGGGGTAGTGGGGCTTGTTGGCTGAGCAAGAGCTCAGGCAATACTGCCCGGGTGGAGATTCTGGGACTTTGCACAAGTTGATTCACCTCAACCAGCCTCAATTTCCTTGTCTGTAAAATGGCGCAGTAGTAGTCCTTGTCTTACCGGGTTGTTATGCAACTTAAATAAGAATATCGAGGCCAAGCGCCTAGCCCAGTGCCTGACATGTCGAAAGTGCTTGGTGGGTGCCAGTCTTTCCCCTCCTCATCAAGTCCTGTGGCAGACAGGCCCCCCAGCAGAGCCGGACCTGCCCTGGGAGTCAGGGTAGGAAACAGATGAGGACCTCAGCCCGGGACTGGCTCCCCTTCGGCCAGCACTGTGCAATAGGAAGACTATGTCAGCCTCACCTATAATTTTTAACTTTCTAATGGTCACATTAAACAAAAAAAATTGGCTGGGTGTGGTGGCTCACGCCTATAATCCCAGCCCTTTAGGAGGCCGAGGCAGATGGATCACCTGAGGTTAGGAGTTTGAGACCAGCCTGGCCAACATGACGAAACCCCTCTCTCTACTGAAAATACAAAAATTAACTGGGTGTGGTGGCGCACGCCTGTAATTCCAGCTACTCAGGAGGCTGAGGCAGGAGAATTGCTGGAACCCGGGAGGCGGAGGTTGCAGTGAGCTGAGATCACGCCATTGCACTCCAGCCTGGGCAACAAAGCGAGACTCTGTTTCAAAAAAAAAAAATTCAATTTTTAATTTCTGTGGGTACATAGCAAGTGGTGGCCACATTTTAAAAAGTGAACAGGACAGGTGAAATACATTTTAATAATATGTTTTATTTAACCCAATATATCCAACATATGATGACAACATGCATTCGCCGTTGTGATTATTAGTGAAGTCTTTCACATCCCCTTTTTCCTACTAAGTCTTCAAAATCTGGGGTGTATTTTGTTCTTCCAGGGCATCTTGAAGCAGACCAGCCACGTTGCAAGTGCTTGGAGGCCACGGATGACTGGTGGCTGCTGTTCTGGGAGACAGAATCCTATAGCATCCCCAGTCCTGCAGCACACAGGTGGGACAATTCCAGCTTGATGTCTCAGCCAGCGGGTTCCCACGTCCTCCCCGCCTCTCCCAGGCAGAAGACAGAGTGACCCAGGTAACCAGGTATGGACAGGCGTATCCCTGGGAGAATTTTAGCAGGCTGCCCCAGCAGCAGGGTGTGTCTGTAACACCGTGCCCCCTGCCCCTCTCAAATCCACACAGTGGGCAGCTTACACAGGGACAGAAACCACACTGACTGTCGTTCCTGCCACCTGACTATTGTCCTGTGGCCCAGGGCTGCCCAGAGCCCCTTCCTGCCCAAGTGGCAGCTGGCCCGCTGGATCTGCAGGTGGGTCTTGGGGACACTTCTCATCAGCTCAGCCACGCCGCCCGGGCAGCTCCTCATGAAAGGCCTGCCTTGTGCGCCTGGGTGTGCCCAGGCCGCCGACGTCACCCGAAGCCCCTTCTCATAAATTCCAGCTCCGAGGTTTGCAGTTATCGGGAGGAAGTTTCCAATTGCTGGCTCACATGTGGGAAAATATGTAAGCAAGTGAGAGGCCCTTTTGTCTGGGGCTCAGAGGGGGCCAGTAACCAGGAGGGAGGGTGGCCTGTCCCCAGTGGCGGGTGCAGAGGAAGCGGCTGCGCTCAGGTTTAATGAAGTGCCATGAATCATGACCACCCATCAGGCGCAGATGCTATAAATCACCTGTGACGGGCTTGGCTTGTTTGTTCTTTCTGAAGCCAATACATTGATCAGGGCAGTGGACACGTGAGAAGGCTCACTGGAGGCTCAGACCCTCAGCGACCTGCCGAGGTGAAATCAAACCCTCTTCTTTTAACTTGCAGGAAAACAAGGCCATAAAAAAGGAACTCCTACTAATGAAACCTCCTAGATTCCAAGGAGGAAAACGTAGCTCTCAGACCAAGTCCGTTTTCGCCCTTGCATCTGAAAGGGAGTCCAGGGAATTGCTAATTTTGAACTTTCTATACACCCTTCCTGCCTCTGGATGTGGCCGCCTGACTCGAATTCCTTTGCACAATAAAATGAGGGGGAAAAAAATCACATCACTTCAGCAAAACACAGGCTCGATTTTTCTTGATTAGCGGAAAAGTGTGTGCTATTTAAAAAGACACGTCATATAACTTTTTATTTTTTAGCATTCCCAAGCAAAAAAAAAAAAAAAAGGAGGGGAGTGTGCATTTTGGGAATATGAGCTCAGCTCAGCACCTAATTTGGAAAGACCTTGTGTTTGGTGATGGACTTGGAAAAACAGGCCTGAATCTGCATTTTAAGAAGATGAGATGTGCAGGGTTTCATTCCTTCTTCTCCTGGGCTTCTCTCAGACTCCAAAGAGAAGGGCCCTCTGCTTCTCAAAGTTCACAGGACAAAGGGGCACCTTGGTCCATGGCTGAGAAACTGAGTTGACCCTTAGGGAAGGGTGACCAGGCTCCCTGGCAATCTGCCATCCCTAGAGGACCCCATCTGTACCTGCCTGCTGCTGTCACCTGGCTGATGTCATTCTTTTTTGGGGAGGGTGGTCGGCGATGGACCCTGGACTGCCTCAGGGCGGTCTTTGGAAGTGGCCTCTGAGTGCGTGTTTAGATGACTCCTTGACAAGCACTGGTTTGCTTGTCATCTTCCTCTTCCTCCCCAGAGTGAGAGCAGGAAACCAGGCCTTGTCAACTGCAGGCCTGCACTCCTGCCCCTGGGCGGCCCCAACCTGCACACGCCGCCTGCCCGCCCGCCAGTGCCAGGGCGCCCGCTGCCTGTCAGGAAGGCCAGGGAGCAGATGCTTGTGCCGTGTGCATGGTGGCCGAGCCTGTGGTTGGGCCACGGGTGCAGGGATCCTGTGTGGCCCCTGCCAGGACCGTGGGCTCTGCAGGAGGGCCAGGGCCATAGCATGGGGGAGGCAAGGGGAACCTTGTCATGGTCCCTGTCCTCAGAGACCCCTCCAGCCAGACCTTCCAAGGTGGGTGGTGGGCATTGGGGCCCTGCCTGGAAGAAGCCACTGCCAGCCCCCTCTATGGGACCTCAGGGACCCGCTGGGCTGCGAGCTGGGAAGGGCTCAGCTCAGCCTAGGAGGGCAGTGTGTTTCCAACTTCGCAAGGTCGGCTGAGCACAGGGGTTGAGGAGTCAGTGTCCTTCAGGGAAGGTGGCCCTTCCTTCCTGGTCTTGGCCCATGTCAGCTCTAGAATGTAGGCTGGCTGCAGTGGGGGAGTCTGGACTAGAGGACACTTTTGGGGGGCCTCCTGCTATACTCTGCGTGGGAGAATACAGGAAAAGCCCAGGTCTCAGTAGGCCAGTACCAGCCAGGCTCGCCCTGGGCTCCCATTGACGCTCTGTGGAGTGTGAGGGTCTCACCCCAGACTGGGAGGAAGGGGTGTGAGGCTGAGAAGGCCAGTGACATCCTCGGATGACCTGGGATGCAGCAGAGCTGAGCTGGGGCCAGATCTCATTTCTCCGCCTCAGTGCAGCCTGCTAAGCGTGTTTTCTGTCTGTGGCTGTCTAGGTACGTGGCCAGCAGGCAGGGTCCTGTCCTCAAGCCCAGTGGCTCTGCTGGGGTATAGGGCTGGCCACAACTCACTCACTCATTCATTCATTCATTCAGTCAGTCAGTCAGCCAACGACCATTGTGAGCACCCCCCTCCTGCCCCCCACCTCTGCTGCCAGCCACAGCATCAACCCTTGAAAGTTGCCACAAATACTTTCCCCGGGGCCTGGCTTCAAGTCGCATTCAGAGCAAATCAGAGCTCCTCATTTTGGGATCTTGTCAGGAAAATGAAGGTGTTGAAAGCTGCTCCCCACAGCCCTGACCCAGGGCACTGGACATGGGAGCAGGCGGGGGCCGAGGTCCGGCAAGCTCTGGAACCCCATCCCGCCGTCCTTGGCCTCCCCATCCTCTCCTCTGCCCCTCAGCTTCCTCTCCTGGCCCCTCTCCCCCGGCTTCCCTTCCTTGCAGGGCAAAAGGAGCAATTGCCTCTCTGTGCGTTTCTATTTCTGCACCTTCCGCTTCCTGGCTGGTGGCCGGCTGGCTGCTTCAGAAAGTTCTGGAATCCGCAAGGCCAGCTGGTCCTGGGTCAGGATGTGGGGGCCTCAGATTTCCTTCTCCCCAACAGCTCCACAGGCGTCCCAGGGGCCGGGCGCCCAAGGGTGTCGGGGAAGGCTGTCACCAAGTGAAGGGATTGGGGAGCAAGTGTGTGAGGGGCAGGCAGATCAGCTTTGTCATGGTGACTGACCAGTGCCTGCACTGGCAGGCAGGTAGAGGGCCTGCTGCTGGTTCCACGGACACGCATTGTGCACCTACTGCACACCAGGCCCTGTTCTAGGCTCTGGAAATGCAGTGACGAACAAATACACATACTAGACTTTATTTTGTCCTTTGCAATAGCCCGCAAGGTAAGCACCTTTACTATCAATTTTTCAGACAAGAAAACGAGTTTTAAGTGATTTGCCCAAATCTACATAGTTAGCAAACCACTCAGAATTCAAACACAGGCAGTGGGCTTGAGGCTGTGCCCTTGCTCATCCTCTTCAATAAGTGGATGGTTGTGTGTGTACCTGTGAGAGAGAGGTGGAGAACAGGGGGCTCCAGGTATAGTCACTAGAAGTCTAAATTGTAGTGTACTGTATTAGTCTGTTCTCACGCTGCTAATAAAGACAATACCTGATACTGGGTAATTTATAAAGGAAGGAGGTTTAATGGACTCACAGTTGCACGTGGCTGCAGAGGCCTCACCATCATGGTGGAAGGCAAGGAGGAGCAAAAGCACATCTTACATGGCAGCAGACAAGAGAGTGCGTGCAGGGAAACTCCCACTCCCCTTTATAAAATCATTGGATCTTGTGAGATTTACTCACTATCACAAAAACAGCACAGGAAAGACCTGCCTCCATGATTCGATTGCCTCCCACCAGGTACCTCCCATGACACATGGGAATTATGGGAGCTACAATTCAAGATGAGATTTGGGTAGGGACACAGCCAAATGAAACCATACCAAACACATTTTTTTTTTTTTTTTTTTGAGATGGAGTCTTTCTGTCACCCAGGCTGGAGTACAGTGGTGACATCTCGGCTCACTGCAGCCTCCGCCTCCTAGGTTCAAGCGATTCTCCTGCCTCAGCCTCCTTAGTAGCTGGGATTACAGATGCCCACCACCATGCCCAGCTAATTTTTGTATTTTTTAGTAGAGACGGGGTTTTGCCAGGTTGGCCAGGCTGGTCTTGAACTCTTGACCTCAGGTGATCTACCTGCCTCGGCCTCCCAAAGTGCTGGAATTACAGGTTTGAGCTGCCACGCCCGGCCCAAACACATTTTTAAAAAATATCTCAGTGTTCCAGTGTCTGGTTGTGAATCCTCACATCACCTCTGGGCCTGCCTTAGGGCCGAGGTAAGAGCATGCAGGTATTGGGAAATCTGACTTGGAGTCACACACTCCCTCTCTGGGCCTCATGCTGTCTCTGTGGAAGGAGCTGCTGGTCTCTACTGGGCAGGGGTGAGGCCAGTAGAGTGGTGCAATGGGTACGACCAAGCTGGCAACCCATGCCATGTGTGCAGGGGAGAACACGGCCATCACCACCCAACACTACTTGGAGGGCTAGAGGTGACCCCGTGGGCAGCTGCCCATGCCTAGAGACACATGGAGATATACATTGGCTGCTTAAAAAATGGGATTGTTCTAGACCTGCTTTCCTGAAACCTGTTTTGCTCACAGATTGGTACAGCGAGGTCATCTTTGCATGTCAATAAAAACAGAAAGCAGGGCATAATCTCCATTGCCTGGCAGCATCCCCTGCATGGTTGCATCATCATTTTAGGGACCATTCTCATGTTGATGGACGTGAGTGCTGTTCCCAGTTCTCCTCTTATCAGCGACTCTGTACGGAGCCACCTTGGACACGTGTCCTTTAACACGCATGCGAATAGCGCTGTGGGCTAAGTTCCTGGAGGGAGGATTTCTGGATTAAAGGGTTTGCAAATTTTACACGTTGATTCCTATGGGAGGTGCCTCTGTGTTTCTGAGGAAAGCAAGAGGATGGGCCCTTAACATTGCACACAGGGTTATTGATGAGTTCGGGGAGTGCCTTCTTCTTTATATTAAAAATCTTTTTTCTTTACTACACTTCAGTGTAGGAAATCCAGGAAGTACAGCAAAGTACTCGTTCATTCATTCAGTCATTCATTCAGTCAGCCAACTATTTTTTTTTTTTTTTTTTTTTTGAGATGGAGTCTTGCTCTGTCACCCAGGCTGGAGTGCAGTGGCGAGATCTCGGCTCACTGCAAGCTCCACCTCCTGGGTTCATGCCATTCTCCTGCCTCAGCCTCCCGAGTAGAGTAGCTGGGACTACAGGCGCCTGCCACCACGCCCAGCTAATTTTTTGTATTTTAGTAGAGACGGGGTTTCACCGTGTTAGCCAGGATGGTCTCAATCTCCTGACCTCGTGATCCGCCCACCTCAGCCTCCCAAAGTGCTGGGATTACAGGCGTGAGCCACCGCGCCCGGCCCCAACTGCTATTAATGAGCACCGCCTTGCGCTCCCCAGCTCTGCTGCCAGCCAGAGGATCATTTAAAAATTGAAATGGCCTGTTACTCCACACAGAGGTAACCTATTAATCTATCTGTCTATCTCGTATGATATTTGGTTCGTTAAATGTCTTATCATAAGCCCAGCCCTGTGTTGTTAAATAGCCTTCAAAAAGATAATAATAACAAGACCTTTGGCCGGGTGCAGTGTCTCACGCCTTTAATCCCAGCACTTTGGGAGGCCGAGGCAGGAGGACTACTTGAGTCCAGGAGTTCAAGACCAGTCTGGGCAACACAGCAAGTCCCCATCTCTACAAAAAATAAAAATAAATTAGCTGAGTGTGGTGGTGCGCTCCTGTAGTCCCAGCTACATGGGAGGCTGAGGTTGGAGGATCGCTTGGCTCAGAAGGTGGAGGCTGCAGCGAGCTTTGAGTGCCACTGCACTCAGCCTGGGTGACAGAGCAAGAATCTGTCTCAAAAGAAAGAAACAAACAAACAAAAAGAAAAAGTTCACCATAGCTCATGCTTATTGTAGAAAACTTGAAAAATTTGGAGCATTGGAAACTGCTCAGTGTCTGTGTTTACAGGCTGGTATGCTTCACTGTGGTATATTTGTTATGCGTATGCAGACGTTTCATTTTATGTAATCAGTATCATATTGCGGTACCAGTTTTGTCTCCTGCATTTCACTTAACAGACCGTGATTATTTCCCCATAGTGTTAAGTCATTTTTGAAACATGATTTTTAATGGCTGAATAATGTTTTATAGAGCAGATGTTTCATCAATGACCTGTTTTTGCTGTTTCCAGCTTTTACGCATTACAGGAAGTGCTGTGATGTTCCTACTTGCACACAGGTCTTTGCACACATGCAGAAGGGTTTTTTAGAGTCATTCTTAGAAGTTAGATATGAAGTCTAGCTGCATAGTGCCAAACTGTCCTCCAGAAAGCTGGTAGCAATTATATTCCCACCAACGTTGTAAGAGAATACGGCCATCAACACTGCTGAGTAAGGATATTTTGTCTATAATGGCTGCAAATCACATTTCTTTGCTTACTAGTGAGAACAAACACCTTTTTAAAAATAGGATTATCAACCATTTGTATTTTGCTCATGAAATTCCTATGTAGCTTTTAGTCAGTCATCTAGTGGTCATTGGTCTTGTTGATTTTTAAGCGCTTTTTATATATAACAATATATTAATCTTTTGTTTTCTGCGTTGTGGTATTTTAGCAGTGTCTTTTGAGTAATCAGTTTGGTTTTTTTCTTAATATAGAGACTTTTATTTCATGATCAAATGTCTTGAACTTCTTTTTGGTCACTATTATTTTGTTCTTTTTTTTTTGACAGTCTTGCTCTGTCGCCAGGCTGGAGTACAGTGACGTGATCTCGGCTCACTGCAACCTCTGCCTCCCAGGTTCAAGGGATTCTCCTGCCTCAGCCTCCTGAGTAGCTGGGACTACAGGTGCCCACGACCACACCTGGCTAATTTTTGTATTTTGAGTAGAGACAGGGCTTCACCATGTTGGCCAGGATGGTCTTGATCTTATTTTGTTCTTTTTTAAGTTCAGAAAGATCTTTCTTAACTAGAGCTTGGTTAACTGTGCATTTCTGTTTCTGCAGCTGGGGCCCAGCAGCACCTCAGCTGGAATGTGGCGTTTTTCGTTGCAGGGAGAAGTGGTGAACCTGCGGCCCTCAGGCTTGTACCTGCTTCACTGGGGGAGGCTTCGGTGAGGGGGTATCTGGGGGACAGAAATGGCCTGTAGGGTGATCCCACCCTAGAATGTTCAGCAAAGCCTACAGAAAGGGGGTGCTCTGCTCTCTCTCTGCAGAAGGTGGCCCAGCTCAGCAGACACTGTGTGGATGTCACAGCCCAGTAGTTCAGAGGACCCTGGACCACCACCTAGACAGAGAAGGCCACAGCCTTGGCAATGTCCAGACCCTTCCTCCTCTGATCCCACAGGTGTGGCGTCACCCAGACAGGAGGCTGCAGCTGTAGAGTCAGACAGCCCCCTTTCTGCACTGGCAGGAGACGCCCAGGACTGGAGCCTTTGGCGGGGGTGGGAGGGCTGATGGCGGGTGTGATGGGGTGGGAGGGTGACGGGACAGTATACCTTAGGTGTGCATGCTCCTGTGGTCTCATTCCTATCTGTAAATGGGTCCCCCCATTTGTCCTAGCTTTTACATGAGGACACACATTTGTCCTAGCTTTTATATGGTTCTATATTTTCCAACTACTCATGTGTCCCTGGGTTTGCTCATTCATTCATTCATTCATTCATTCATTCATTCATTCCCAGTGCCAAGACTGAGGATTCAGCAGTGGATGAGCTTGATAGTGAAAGAAGAATCAACCAACCATGGGAGGATGAGATAAGCTCAGCAGCGGGGAGGGCATGAAGCCAGGCAGGGGACAGAGCTGGGTGGGGCAGGATGTGGGACATTTTAGACGTGGGAAGGAGAGTGGGGAGGGGAAGTCTCGTTCAAGCAGAGACACTTGAGACACTTGAGGAGGGTCTGGTTGAAGCACACAGTGGTTGCGGATCAGTGTTCCAGGCGAGGGGCAGGGAGGTGCTCTGTGGGCAGAGGCCCCAGGAATTCATTCTGGAATCAGTGATGAGACTGGGACTTCGCTTTAACGGATCCCGGACCCCTAATTAGACCGTCCCATCTTCCCTAAGGATTAAAATGCCACCTTCGCAACACGCTAAATTAGTGTGTGCATAGCAGGTGCCGTTGCGGGCATTTTGTCAGGTCCCTGTGAGTCCCCACCTAAGGTGCTATGGTGGGAGGGAGTGATAGCCAAGGAGAGGCAGGGAGGGGCTCAGGGTTATGTGAGGAGGGGTCTTTGGACTCCAGAGTTCCCCATCTTACAAGTTAAATGTCTGGAAATACATGGCTTTTGGCCCCACCAAGAAAGCCAATGATACTGTAATGCCCAGTTCTTGCATTTGGAGTGGTTTGAACGATTATGTAGTAACTCCTGAGAAGAACAAGCATTTTACTTCCCCCACCATCCCAAAGATTCACAGGTCTGTCCTCCTTGGGACAGTGGAGAGACAGTGGATTCCTGCCTGAATAAGCCCTTCTCACCCCACATGACTATGACGCTTTGTAAAGGGGCATTGCAGAAGGATGTGCTGGGGGTGGCAGAGAATCCTGTGGAGCTCTAAGCAGGGCTTCCTCAGGAAGAGAGTCCCTCTCCTGCCCCTCCACAAGGTGGGTATCCCCAGGAATGGGGCCCCACTCTCCATCTTGGAAATAGAACACAGGTGTGAGGAAGGCCAGGGCCCCCCAACCCCCTCATTGGGGCAGATAGGGGTCCAGATGAGGCAGGTTCAACCCAAGGTCATCAACAAGTACTAGCAGAGATGCCTGGAGCTGGCGGGAGGACAGAAATGGAAACTGCTCATGGAAGCCCTGGGCAGGCGTGGGATGGGAATAACTTTCACCTGGCTCAGTTCAGGGGAGAACTGTGTTTTCAGTATAGTTAGTGGGTAATGACCAAGTTATTTATCTCCAGAATAAGGGTAGGACACAAATAGCTAAAATTAGAAAGTGGAGACAATACTACCAACCTTACAGGGATGAAAGGATGATAAGATAATAAATACTATGGACAACTGAGCACCAACAAATTAGATAACCTAGAAGAAATGGACAAATTCCTAGAAACACACAAGTTACCTAACCTGACTCAAGAAGAAATAGCAATCTAATAGGCCTACAATTAGTAAGAAGCATGAATCATTAATCAAAAGCCTCCCAACAAAGAAAGCCCTGGACCTGATGGCTTCAGGAGTGAATTCTACCAAACATTTAAAGAAGAATTAATACCAATTCTTCTCAAACTCTTCCAGGAAAGTGCAGAAGACAGAACATTTCTTAACTCGTTCCATGAGGTCAGCGTTACTCTCACGCCAAAGCCGGACAAGGACATCATAAGAAAAGAAAACTACAGACCAATACCACTCAGGAATACAAATGCAAAAATCCTCAACAAAATATTAACTAACCAAATTCTATAACGTATTAAAAAGATTATTCACCATGGCCAAGTGGGAGTTATCTCAAGAAAGCAAGGTGATTCAGCACAAGAAAATCAACCAGTATAATTGATCATTAGGAGAATGAAGGGGCTGAGCACAGTGGCTCACACCTGTAATCCCAACACTTTGGAAGGCCAAGATGAGAGGATTGCTTGAAGCCAGGATTTCAAGACCGGTCTGGAAAAAATAGCGAGACCTCATCTCTACAGTTTTGTTTTCTTTTTAATTAGCCAGGCTTGGTGGTGTGTGCCTGTAATCCCAACAACTTGGGAAGCTGAGATGAGGGGATCACTCGGGCTTAAGAGTTTGAGACTGCAGTGAGCTCTGATTGTGCCACCGCACTCCAGCCTGGATGACAGAGTGAGATCCTAAGTCCAATAAATAAAAAAATAATAGAATGAAGGGAAAATAAAAACCCCACATGATCATCACAGTTGATGTGGAAGAGGCATTTGAAAACACTCAGCACCTTTTATGATAAAAATCTAAGTGAACTAGGAATAAAGGGAAAACTTCTCAACGTGATAAAGGGTATTTATGGAAAATCTATAGCTAACATCATATTCAATGGTGAAGGGGTGAAAGCTTTCCCACTGAGATCAGGAACAAGCTAAAGATATCCCCTTTGCCATTTCTATTTAACATTGTACTGGCAGTTCTAGCCAGAGCCATTCAGCAAGAAAAAGTAATAACAGGCATCCAAATTGGGAAGGAAGAGGTAAAACTATCCATATTCACAGATGACATCCCCTCCCCTCCCCTCACCTCCCCTTTGCTTCCTTCATTAATTATAGAGACAGGGTCTTGCTCTGTTACCCAGGCTGGAGTGTTGTGGCACAATCATATCTCATTGGAGCCTCAAAGTCCTGGGCTGAAGCGATCCTCCCACCTCAGCCTTCCAAGCAGCTGGGACTAAAGGTGTGTTCCACAATACTTGGTTATTTAAAAAAAAAGTATAGAGCTAAGGTCTCACTATGTTGACCAGGGTGGTCTCAAACTCCTAGGCTCAAGCAATCCTCCTGCCTTGGCCTCCCAAAGTATTGGGATTATAGCTGTGAGACACTGCACCTGGCCTCATAATCTTTTATAAAGAAAATTCCAAAGAATACACAAGAAAGTGACTAGGCTAATAAATGAATTCATCAAAGCTGCATGGCAAAACATCAGCACACAAAAGTCTGTTGCGTTTCTATACACCAGCAATGAATAATCTGAAAAGAAAATTAAGAAAGCAATTCCATATATAATAGCATTTAAAATAATTAAATACTTAGGAAAATACCTAGCCAAAGAAATGAAAGACTTTCATGCTAAAAACTACAAAACACTGCTGAACAGAATGAAAGGATATCTAAATAAATGAAAAGACATCCCATGTTCACAGATAGAAAGATTTAACATTGTTAAGATGTCAATACTATCCAAAATGTTCTATAGATACAACATAATTCCTATCAAAATTCCAAGAGCCTTTTTCACAGAAATGGAAAATCCAATCTTGAAATGTGTATAAATTGCAAGGTGCCCCAAACTGTCAAAATTACTTTGAAAAAGAATAAAGTTGGAGAACACACATTTCCCAACTTCAAAAAAATTACTAGAAAGTTACATTAATTAAGAGTATGGTACTAGCATAAGAACAGACATATAGACTGATGAAATAGAATAGATAGCTCAGAAATGAACCCTCACATATATGATCAATTGATTTTTGACAAGAGTACCAAGACCACTCAAATGGGGAAAGAATAGGTTTTTCAATAAATGGTGTTGGGAAAACTGGCTATTCACATACAGAAGAATGAAATTGGACTTTTACCTTGCACTATATACAAAAGTTAACTAGGATCAAAGACCTAAACTGAAGAGCTAAAACCATACAACTCTTAGTTAGAAAACACTGGAAAAATCTTTTTAACACTGGATTTTATAACAACTTCATAGGTATGACATCAAAAGCACAAACAACGAAAGAAATGAGATAGATAAATTGGAATTCATCAAAATTAAGATTTTTTTTTGCATCAAAGGACATTATTTAAAACGTGAAAAAGGCTCGGTGTAGGGCTCACATCTGTAACTCCAATACTTTGAGAGGCTGAAGCAGGAGGATTGCTTGATGCCAGGAGTTTGAGAACAGCCTGGGCAATGTAGTGAGACCCTAACTCTACAAAAAAAATTAGCAAATTAGCCAGGTGTGGTGGAGTGCACTGGTAGTCCCAGCTACTCAGGAGCCTGAGGTAGGAGGATTGCTTGAACCCAGAGGTTTGAGGCTGCAGTGAGCTATGATCACACCACTGCACTGCAGCCTGGGTGACAGAGAGAGATGCTATCTCTAAAAACAAAATGAAGCAAAAAAATGACACACACTGTGAAAAGACAATCTACAGAATGGAAGAAAATGTTTGCAAATTGTATATCTGAGAAGAGATTAATATCCAGAATACATAAACAACCCCTACAACTCAACAACAATAAAAACCAACAATGCAATTCAAAATGGGCAAAGGACACAAAGAGACATTTCTTTAAAGAAGATGGCCGGGCGCGGTGGCTCAAGCCTGTAATCCCAGCACTTTGGGAGGCTGAGATGGGCAGATCACAAGGCCAGGAGATCAAGACCATCCTGGCTAACACGGTGAAACCCTGTCTCCACTAAAAATACAAAAAATTAGCTGGGCGTAGTGGTGGGCGCCTGTAGTCCCAGCTACTCAGGAAGCTGAGGCAGGAGAATGGCGTGAACCCGGGAGGCGGAGCTTGCAGTGAACCGAGATGGCGCCACTGCATTCTAGGCTGGGCGACAGAGCGAGACTCCATCTCAAAAAAAAAAAAAAAAAAAAAAAAGAAGATATACAAATAGCCAACAGGCATAGGAAAAGTCATTAGGGAAATTCAAATCAAAACCACAATGAGATACCACCTCATGCTTACTAGGGTGGCTATTACTTGAAGGAAAAAAAAAGGAAAATAGCAAATGTTGGTGAGGGTGTGGAGAAACTGGAAGCTTTGTGCAGTTTGGTGGTTCCTCAAAAACTTAGACATAGAACTAAATATGACCCAGCAATTTCATGCCTAGATACGTACTCAAAAGAACTGAAAGCACACCAGTGTTCACAGTAACATTATTCAGAGCCAAAAGGTGGGATCGACCTAAGTGTTCATCAACAGATGAATGGATAAACAAAGTATAATACATCCAGACAATGGAATATTATTCAACTATGAAAACTATGAAAATACATGAAATTTTGATACATGCTGCAACATGAATGGACCTGAAAAACATTATGGCAACAGTCTTTGGGAGGCTAAGGCGGGTGAATCACCTGAGGTCAGGGGTTTGAGACCAGCCCGGCCAACACCGTAAAACCCCGTTTCTACTAAAAATACAAAAATTAGCCAGGCTTGGTGGAGCACACCTGTAGTCCCAGCTACTCGGGAGGCTGAGGTAGGAGGATCACTTGAACCCAGGAAGCAGAAGTTGTCATGAGCCGAGATCACGCCACTGCACTCCAGCCTGGGCAACAGAGTGAGACTCCTTCTTAAAAAAAATAAAAATTATATATATATATATATATATATATATATATATATATATATATATCAAGTGAAATAAGCCAAATACAGAAGGACAAATACCATATGACTCCACAAATATGAGGTGCCTGTGATAGGCAAATTCATAAACAGAAAGTAGAATACAGGTTACTAGGGCTGGAGGAGGGGGAGAGGAAGATTATTGTTTTATGGGTACAGAGTTTCCTTTTGGGAAGATGAAAACTTTCTGAAGATTGATGATGGTAATGATCATACAACACTGTGAATGTATTTAATGACACTGAATTGTACACTCACAAATGATTAAAATAATAAATATGATTTTATGTGTATTTTACCACAATAAAAAGTAGAAGTAAATCTGTTACAGGAATGGATTGTTCCCCCAAAATAATAATAATAATGAAAGGAGGCTGTTGGTTCAAGCTCCTCCCTCCCGCCTTCTGCTTCAAGCATGTGCCTGCAACAGCCAAAGGTTATAAACTGGTGGGTTTGAAGCAATGTCTCAGCACAAGACATGAAATGTACCACCTGTGCTGGTGCTCTCCTTGTGATAATAATGGTTATTAGCAGAGAAGCTGGGCAGGGTTGGACGCAGGGCCATCTGGACCCCTGAGCTCTGCTGCCCTGGCTGGGAAATTTAGGGTCCTCACTATGTGACAAGGACCTCTTAGCAGGAAGCACAGACTAAGTGGAGGTCATTGCACCTGGGCTTGTGGGGGGGCCTCGGATGTTCACAGCCCCTACAGGGGAGCACACAGCTGAAGCTTGACAGGGAGCCACGGATGGCTTCTCTTTGGAAAGTTCTGCATACCAGAAAGTTCTTCTCCTACTTCCCCAAGTCAGTCTCCCTGCATCTCCCTGACCCCACCAGCTCCAACTGTGGGGCCTGTTCTCCTCCATGGAGTTGTGAAGACAAAAGTGAATGTCCTTTCATGGGACTCACCTCCAGATGCTCAAAGACAGTATGACATCCCCCAAGAGGCCTCGTCCCCAGACCATCCACCCCGAATTCCTCCAAATCTTCCTCATAGCTCCTGTTCTGCTATTTTTATAGCACATGCTTTATTGAAGGGCATGACTCACAGACAGAAAAGTACACAAATCGAAGTTTACAGCTTGAGACAGAGGTTGACCAGAATCCTCCCCAGAAGCCCAGCATCCTTTCCAGTCATCGCACCCTGCAAGGGAGCCACCAGCCTGGCTTCTGTCGCCACAGATGAGTTTTGCCTGTTTTGAACTCGACTTAATGTGATCATGCAGAATGTGCTCTTTTGTGCCTAGCTTCTTTCACTGAACATGGTATCAGTGAGATTCATCTATGACGTTATGTGTAACATAGTCCATTCATCATCATTGATCAGATTCATCATCATATGAAGATACCACCATTTATCCATTCCACTACTGATGGGCTTTTTATGTTAAGAACATTCTCATATATGTCTTTTGGGACACATATATGTGTGTTTCTTGCGTGTTTACCGAGGGGTGAAGTAGCTGAGACATAGGGTAGGTGAATTAGTCTGTTTTCACGCTGCTGATAAAGATATACCTGAGACTGGGCAATTTACAAAAGAAAGAGGTTTAATGGACTCACAGTTCTACCTGGCTGGGGAAGCCTCACAATCATGGTGGAAGATGAAAGGCACATCTCACATGGCAGCAGACAAGAGAAGAGAACTTGTGTAGGGAAACTCCCCTTTATAAAACCATCAAATCTGGTGAGACTTATTTACTATCATGAGCATAGCACAGGAAAGACCCATCCCCATGATTCAATTACCTCCCATTGGGTCCTTCTCACAACATGTGGGAATTGTGGGAGCTACAACTGAAGATGAGATTTAGGTAGGGACACAGCCAAACCACATCATTAGGCATGTTGCAGCTTTGTAGAGACCACCAAACCTTTCTCTACTGTGGGAGCGCCACTTACTCTCGCCAGCTGAATGTGAGCATTCCAGTTGCTCCATATTGTCTCCAACACTTGGTTTAGTTGGCCTTTGTCAGTATAGTCCTTCTGGTGGAAGTAGCATGGGGTTTCTGAATGTCCTTGCTATGCTAGCCCCACAACAAGACCCAGCTATCTTTGCTCCTCTCAGCACAGAGCTATGGGAGGGCTCTCAAGTCTTTAACCTGGTGTCTCATCTTCTGTTACTGTAATCTCCCATTCCACACCACCTCTTTGGCAGACACGTGACATTGTTGGTTCATTTTGAGCTTACTGTTGACTGAAACTCTAAGGTCAGAGCCATCCTCCGCCATGCCTGGCTTCCTCTTCCCCACTGTTCTCATGTGGAGGGTTCTTGGAGTCATGGCAGTTCAAGTCCCAGAGCCTAGGGACCTCACAGCCAGGTAGCTCTGCAGTCCCCATGGCCTGGACGGCATCCACTCTGTGTGAGAAGATGGGGCTCAGCGTTCAGCTTCTGCTGCCACAGGGAGACCTCAGGCAAGGCCCTCTGCCTTCTAGGCTTGGGTCTCTGCCTTTCCAGTCAAGGTGATAAATTCACCTGCCCAGACTGTTGCTGGGAGACTTATCAGGGTCTCTGGATGCTGGTGAAACCCCAGCCCCAGCCAGTTTCCAGGTTATTGACACCATCACAAGAAAGAATTTAGAGACAAGTCAGGTGAAGCGAAAGGCAAGGAGCTTTTATTGCAAATCCAAAGTACACACTCAAGAGGGAAGCACAGTGTACTCATGAGAAGTTTGAGTTTCTAATTTTGTGGACGTTTCTTTAATTAAAGGGTGGAATCATCAGGTGTTCTGGAAAAAGAGGGGATTTCAGGGACGCCCCCTGGTTACTGCCCTCTTTCTCTCTAATTTGGGTTTGCCTGGAAGAGTCCTGGATATATCACCCTGACCGCTGTGGCTCAGGCCGTTTTCTCTCCCTTATTTTGGGTTTTCTGTTATCTTGTGGTTTCTTCGCCTAGTTCCTGTTTCAGCTTTTTGGGTTTTTCTATCCTCCTGCCAACACCTCCTGCTATCTCACTTTCTGTCTCACAACAGGAGGTCCTGGAAGTGGACCTACTTTATCTACTGCAAAAGGCCTCAAGAGTGGATTTTTGCTGTCCCTCTTAGAGCCCTCACTGGCATTCTCTTGGCAGGTGGGAATCGGGTGGGATTCCCAGTGGACAGGCCATGCCCCTTTGGCTGTGGGCATGTGTGTCACCTGCTCCTCCCCCTCCCTTGTCCCTTCCCCTCCAGCCCTGCCTCTCCGCATTCCGGGCTCTGACTTACTTGGTTTTTGTGTTTCCAGTGTCATCTCTCCTTCTCGCATCCTGTCTCTGTTTCTGTCTCACTCTCGGTCTCTCTCTGAATCTCTCTTTTCTCTGACTTGGCAGGTCTGAGGTGCCCGCTGCCTGCTGAGGCTCCCTCCTCTGGATGAAGGCTCCTAGGAAGTTCATGTTACCCTGACACGGAGCTCATCCCTGATCCCAACCACAGGGCCTGGCACCTGCTCCGAGGGCCAACAGCCTCCCAGGCGCCTGTGCCAGCAGGGAACACCTGCAGCTTCTGCTTGGCAGCCTCCAGGAAAATGGGGTGCAAGCAAGGCCAGGACAGAGGCAAGACAGGTCGCTTCACTCAGTCCCTGCCGCCTCTGAGGGGACTCTACCCTCAAAGGAGCCACGTAGAGTGCCAGGCCTGGAGGACACAGCACCTCACCTTGTGTGGAAATGCAGCATGGGAAGGACCGCAGTCATGACCGTGGGAATTGCCGGCATTTTCCACGACTTTGCTTTCTCCTAGGCCCTGTGCTGAACACATTTCACGTGTGACTCAGGGGATCTTCCAGGCAACACTGCGAGTGACTTGTCACAAACAAGGAAACGGCGGCATGGGGTGCTGCTGGCTCAGGATGGGGCAGGCCTGGAACCTGAGCACACTGTCGGGCCCTGGACCCCTCACCATCCTGCAGTGCCAGGAGAGGGCAGGGGCGGCCCCCAGGGAGGGCACCCACCCAGCCTGAGAACCGGTGGGGGTGGGCAGGAGGAGAGGGAGTTGTTCCCGCTATAACCCAAAGGATCACGGGGAAGCAGCCACAGGAAGGGAAGGGTCAGGGTGGGGGAAAGAGGCAAAGATCTGGAGGCGAAGAGGGTTTTGGCTCCTGGGGAACTGAAGGAAGCATAGTGCAGTTTGAGGACCCACTAGGCAGGGCTCTGGGGTGGGGTGGGGTGTGGGCAGCTGCATCATGCATGCTCCTGTCTCAGAGAAGACAGTGGCATTTCTGGTCCTTTTCTTGCTACATGGGGTGAGCTACTGACCATGTTACACAGATCTAGAATTTTCTCCAGTTTGGGGGTTTCTCTCAGAATGATAATAAGGCAAATTCCTCTTGTACTCCCCAGATGGACCTGTTCTTCCTACCATCCCTTCTCTGCCTCAGGGAGCCCAGTGGGTACAGACCTCCCTGGAACTGCCTCCAACTCACCCACCCATCCACCCGTTTATCCACCCACTCACCCATCCAGCCATCTTCCTACCTATGATGGTTAACTGTATGTGTCAACTTGATTGGGCCACAGGGTGCCCAGATATTGGGTCAAATGATTCTGGGTGTGTCTGTGAGGGTGTTTCTGGATGTGATTAGCACAACGATGTGTAGATGGAATAAGCAGTGTGCCCCCCTACCCCCACTCCCAGGGATGGGCCTCACCCCATCCATCCAGGGCCTGTAGAGAACACAGGGGCCCACCCTCCCCCAGGCCAGTGGGGATTCTCCTGCCTCCCTGAGCTGGGCCACTGGTCTTTTCCTGCCTTCAGATTCAAACTAAACCGTGGGCTCCTCCTGGGTTTAGAGCCCACCAGCCTCTGGACTGGAACCACACCACAGGCCCTCCTGGGCCTCCAGCTTCCTGATGGCAGAGCCTGGAACTCACTGGCCTCCATCACTGTGTGAGCCAGTTCTTCAATATAATTCTCCTCTATATACACACACCCTATTGATTCTGTTTCTCTGGAAAACCCTGACTAATGTCCCTCCACATTCTAGTGCCTCCCGTGTCCCCTCCGTATGCTGGGTCCTGTGCCCCACATGGGGACTCTGGTGAGAGCAGGGCGTTTCCTCAAACACACGCACCACTCATGTGAAAGCACACACAGATATTCTCACATGCCCAGACACAAAAGCACACAGACTCGCCCAGGCACCCACACCCACACACAGAGTGTCTGTGCAAGTACACACGTGCACACATGTATGTTCCCAGATATCCACAGAGAGACCTGTGCCCTGACAGGTGCCTGGGCATGTTAGCTCAGGTGCACACCAAACTGTAGCTGCAGGCCACACGAGGCACACGCCCTGCAAACACAGGCCCATGCCCCAGTGCACACGGGCAAAGACGTGTGTGCTCCCATGTGGGTGTGCATGCTCATCAACTCACATGGGTGCCCTTGACCAACTCACACAGCACACAGGCTGACTCACAGACACGCAATACCCCTACACACACATGCACACATGCACACGCATGCACATGCACGTCGGCCCACAGTCATCCACGATGGTGAGTATTTTCCACGTTCCTTGTTGCTAACCGAGGTCACCAGTTGGGACTTGCTAAATTGCTGCTGCAGAAAAAGAGCCGTCAGCAGTTTCTGGCTCAGGCTGCCTTGCGGGGGTGCCCTCTGGCTCCTCGGCTGCCTGGTAACCAAAACCCAGGCCCGGCCTCAGGAATGCTGGCAGCAGGAGGGAGGGGGAGAGTGCATTTACCCCGTCATTTAAACATCTCAGTGTGGTACACAGCACAGCTCGGTGCTGCCCGTGCCCAGCCTGCTGTGGGCACGTGAGGGGTGGGGTGGCTGGCGTGGCTGCTGGTGCCCAGGGATCCCGGAGTCAGCATTTGCCCCGGGCCCCCCCACATCCTGCTGCCCAGAGCCCCCTTCCTGGTCCCCACTGTGGCCTCTGTCTTGCTCACCACACCCACCCCACACCCTACGCCCTACTGAGCCCCCCCGATGTGGACCCCCTCGCTCTTCATGTCCCTTCTCTGGCCACCCCCACACAAGCATGCTTCTGGGGGCTCTGCAGGCCCCCGGTGGTCTTGCACCCACAGCTGGGCTGAGGACAGCGCCCCAGCTGCTCCGCTCTCTAGGCTTCCCAGACTCCACAGGGCCCTCAGCCTCGGCTGTCCTCAGGGCGCTGCCTCCTTCCTCCTGTCCTCGTCGCTTCCTCCTCTTCCTCCTCCCCCATCCCTTTCATAATGAGTTTGCTGTTTCTGTCACTTGCATGTCCTTCTAAGTCAGGCCTAGCAATGGGGTTGGTTTCCAGATGAAACCAACTGGACATGCTGGCTTCCTGAGAGGGAGCCCTGAGGAGAGATCCTAGGGGGGAATCCTGAGGGAGGGGGTCCTGAGGAGGAATCCTGAGGAGGGATCCTGAGGAGGGAATCATTAGGAGAGATTCTGAGGAGGGATCCTGAAGAGGGATCCCGAGGAGGGAATCCTGAGGAATCTTGAAGAGGGATCCTGAGTGGGGATCCTGAGGAGGAATCTTGAAGAGGGGATTCTGAGGAGGGATCCTGAGGCGAAATCTTGAGGAGGGGATTCTGAGGAGGGATCCTGAGGAGGAATCTTGAGGAGGAGATTCTGAGGAGGGACCTTAAGGAGGGATCCTAAGGAGGGAATCCTGAGAAGGGATCCTGAGGAGGGATCCTGAGGAGGGATCTTGAGAGGGATCTTGAGGAGGGAATTCTGAGGAGGGATTCCAAGGCAACCACATCACAATGACTGGGGAGTGAGGGTTTTACGGCCATTCTTACCCCCAGATGACAGGTCAGACTGTGGTCAGAGGGATGTCTAAGCCACTAAATGTGACTGTATCAATTTAATACCCTGCAAGATCTCCCCATTGTCTGGACTTTAGGACACAGCTCATCACCAATGTCTACATTTTCCTGCTTGGTCACACTCATCTCTCCCCACTAATACTGGTCCTTCTGGCAGTTTATGGAATGAACCACATTCTTTCTGACCACAGGGCCTTTGCACAGGCAGTCTGTGAATTCCCTCCTCCTCCTGACTGGGGGCATGGGGCTGTGTCCATGCAGACAGGTGGGCGCTGTTCTAGCTCAGGCTGCTGTGACAAAGCACCACACACGAGTGCCTAAATAGCAGGCATTTATGTTCTCACAGTCCTGGAGGCTGGAAGGCCATCATCAAGGTTTCACAGGGCTGGTTCCTCCTGAGGCCTCTCTCCGTGGCTTGTAGACACTGCCTTCTCCCTGTGTCTTCACATGGTCATCCCTCTGTGTGTGTCTGTGTCCTCATCTCCTTTTATTAAAAGGACACAGTCATATGGGATTAGGGCCCACCCTAATGACTTCACTTTAACTTGATTACCTCTTTAAAGACCCTAGCTCCAAATGCTGAGATACTGGGGGTTAAGAGCTCAATGTGTGAATTTCAGAGGGATACAATTCAGCCCATCACAGGCAGCTTTTAAAAATTCACCCAAATGTTCCATGTGAGTGAGCAAGGGCTCTAGATGCCACCTCATTCTTGTTCCAATATCTTCTCTGACCCCAGCCTCCTTCGTTCAACCCCTCAAGCACTCTGTCCAAGCTCACTGGTGGCCCAGGACACTCTAACTCAGCTGGTAGTGTTTGATCCCCCGAGAGTGGGAGCTGCAGGAGCAGGCATTGTGTCTCACTCATCTGCTGACCACTGGGAGGAAGAAGGCTGTGCCCTGGCCAGTGCTGTGCTGCTCTGCTGCTCTGTGCTGGGCTGTGGAGGCAACCACGCTTCTGCCCTGCCCTCCTAAGGCCCATGGTCCAGCCAGGGGGATGAATGGATGTCACAGCATGAATTGTTGGACCCTTTAACAAAGGCCTACAGCATGGGGTTTCCAGAGGGGTTGGGGGATGGCTTCTTGGGGGTGGGATTCTCTGGGTGGATCCAGTCCTGGTGGCTACAGGAAGGGATGGGCCACATTTGTCTGGCATCCTGCCTACAGTAGGCACCGGTTTCCACCACCCAGTGTCCACTGTTGTCTTTGGATCACAGCACCTGAATGAATCCCTTTTTGGCCCTGAAGCCACCAGCACTAGGCATGGCCTGGGCAGAGGTCACCACTCGTGTGCCCAGCTTCTAAAAGCCAAGGGTGGTCATTGCCCTGGGCAGGGTTCTTTGGACATAAAAACAGAGGTGGATGGCGGCAAGGACAGAAAACAGAAACGGCTTCAGCCAGCCCATTCCGTCAGTGACTTCTGGTGGGACAGCTGTCATTCACAAACCTGGGAGGACTGGGTGTGCCCTTGGAGGCTGGTGAACAGGGGGGGCCCACAAATGGATAAAGGGCCTGTGCTGCTTGCACTAGGGTGGGTCAGTTGGCCTGGAAAACAGAAGGGCAGCTGCCTCCTTCTCTAGACTGGCTCTGTGGTCATCTTTCACCTGAGGGCGTCTGTTTAAAAGAAAATCCTCAGAACAAGATGTCGAGATCAGCCGGTAGCTCTCTTGTCCTCCATTGGCCCAAGCTCCCTGGGGGCAGGCCAGAGTTTCTGGGCCTCTGCATTTCTGACATTTGGGGCTGGGCCATTCTTGGGGTGGGGCTGTCCTCGGCCCTGTAGGATGTGTAGCCGCAGCCCCGGCCTCTGCCTGCAGGATGCTCATAGCACTCCTCCCCTCTCCAGAGTTGTTACAGCCAAAAATGTCTCCAGGCACTGCCACGTGGCCCCTGGGGGCACCATCACCCCCTGCTGAGACCCTCTAATCTAGCCTCAGTACCTTGTACTGTTAACTGGACACTGTGAGGGGCCACAGGGCCACGGGTCTGAGGTGGAGGCAGGCGTGTCCATGTGTGTCTGGGGTTTCTGCAAGGGGAATGCTGGTTCCAGCCGGTTTCTTCAGGGGAGTTACGGCTGTGCCTCTGGTCATCTCTTGGCTTTCAAGAATGAGTTTTCTGGGCTTTTCCTTCTGGGCTTCCCTGGAGGATAGAGGTGCCCACTCATGAAGCCTGTGCCTCGAGACTTAGGGCTAAGGGGGCTCTGCTTGGTTGGGGAAGGGTGGTGGACTGCAGGGCCTCGAGCTTGGAGGAAGGACCGGGGGTCCCTGAGCAATATCACAGAAGCTTTAGGAGCCAGCAGGCCCAGCCAGGGGATGCTGGACAAGTGCGGGAAAACTCCCCAGGAATCCTGGATCCCATCTGTGGGGTCTCTGGCTGCCTCCTTCCTGGGCTTCATCCCAGGACCTGGCCCCGATCTGGATGGTTCTGTCACTGAGGGCAGGGTTCTCATCACCTGGAGCCCTGCTGTCTGCAGCAAGAGGGAGGGGCCTGGGACCCTCTTGCTGTCAGTGGTAGAGGCTAGAAGAGGTAGCTCAAGGACTCCCACCCTTCTCCCCTGCCCACACACGAACTCTGGCCGACTGCCCTCTCCCGACTCAGCCAGCTGCCACCAGCCACTGCATTCTCTGGTTCCTTTACTCCAGCCCATCTCTGCCAGCAGCACCTCGCCTTTGTTCCTCTCTGTCAAGAAGACAAAGATCCAAGGCAAGGCGCGGTGGCTCACGCCTGTGATCCCAGCACTTTGGGAGACCAAGAGGAGAGGATCCATTGCCTGAGCCCAGGAGTTCAAGACCAGCCTGAGCAACACAGCGAGACCCCACCTCTGCAGAAAATAAAAAAATTAGCCAGGCATGGTGGTACATGCCTGGGGACTCAGCTACTTGGGAGGCTGAGGGGTGAGGATCGCTTGAGCCTGGGCTCAAGGCTGCAGTGAGCTGTGATTGCACCACTGCACACCAGCCTGGGTGACAGAGCAAAGCCTCCACTCAAAATAGGAAGAAAGAAAAAAGACAAAGATTTCTTCCCCGTGGTGTTTCTAGTCTAGAGGGGGAGCCAGGCAGCCAGGAACCAGGGCACCGACAAAGCAGATGTGTGATGATGAATTAAACCACCGCCCACGCCCACCACTGGCTTTTCCAGGCTGCCCGCAGAAAACATCCCTCTTAGGGGTCCAGCGACCTGGACCTAAATCCAGCCCTGTCCCTGCGTGGCCCTGTGATCATGGCAGGTTTCTGTTCCTTGTGTCTCTTACTTGGCAGAGGCCCGAGACCCACACTGCTCTGCTCCTGTCCCCACGGCGGGGGGACCTGGGAGGGAATTAGCAGGATTCTGCTTCCACGCCAGCTCCCAGGGTCCGCTGCTCTGTGGAGGCGCAAAGTCTTTATCTGGTGCAAGAAGCCACAGGACCCAGGCAGAGCCCTGGGGGACTGTGCTGTTTCCCACAGTGTTCCTCCCCATCCCCGCTGCCCTCCCCGGCCCTCTGGGGGATGGGAGCAGAAGCCTCTGTCTTTCCCAGGCCCAAGGAAGGGCAGAGGCCGTGGGCGGGCCCTGCAGTGTGGATGGCCTGCCAGCCTCTCCTTCCCGATGGCTGGGGTCAGTGCGGGAGGATGAGCCGGGAGCAGCAGCCCTGGAGAATCGGCCAGGTCACCCAGGTTGGCAAATCCCCGTAGCTCCCACTGCCACCCCCAAGTCCAGCTTCCTTCATGGTCCAGACGCTCCGGCCCCACCAGCTCCTTCCCCTCTTTCAGATCTTCTAGTGGGCCATGCTCCGGGCTACCCCAGGGCCTTTGCATGGGTTTTTTTGGCACCAGGCAGGACTCTCATCTGCCTCCCGCTTTTGCCTCCCATCCTTCCCTTCAGGCCACTCCCTGCCTTGGATCAGACCACAGCCTCGCCTGCCGGCCCACCCCTCTTCAGAGCAGGTTGTAACGTTACCTCCTGCCATCATGAAGCCACCTCCAGCCCTCCCAGCAGCCGGCTTCCGAGGGAGATAAGGACGACAGCTGCCCCACCTAGCATTGGCCCCAGGGGTGCTCAGTGATGATGGGGGAGGCACCCTTGAGGCCCACTGGGGATCGGTGCAGAAGATGGGAGTCCGATTCTGCCCTTCCACAGAGCTTTCCCACCCTGGGATACCTTGTCCTTGCCTGTACCCCTGCCCTCCTGGGAGTCACCTTACTGCAGGTTAGTACTTGGGGCCCCAACACCAGCCATGACTCCACTGTGGATTTGATCAGCAGCCTGGGGCCAGCTGCCCACCCTGCTGTGGACACAGGGTCCCTGTCACCTCCAGGGGTGTCTGGAGTCTGGGGACATATTAGCCTTGAAGGGATTAGTGTCTGGCGTGGACGACGACGTCTCCCACTGCACTGCTGCACCACAGGCCCTTGCCAGGGCATGGTAGAGCTGGGCTGTGTTGGGATCCCTACTGAGGGGCACGTGTCCATCTGTCTCCCATAGCTGGGTCCCGACAGCATGGAGCGGGCCTCTGGAACCTACTAGGCACAGAGCCAGGGTGAGGCGCTCGCTGCCGGGACACACAGGAGGCCCGGTGACACCAGAACAGCCATCACAAACGGTGGAAACACCAGCCAGGCAGTGATGGGCTAACCAGGCCAGTGCTTCCCAGGCCTCATCTCACCTTACCATGCCCAGTGCAGGAAGAGAGGCACAGAGAGGGGGAGCAACCTGCCCAGGGCTGCACAGCACATGACGGGGACTGTGCTGTGTGACCCTGGTTTCTCCTGGTCCCACGAGCCAGTGTCACCCACACCACATGCTGGTGTTCCACCGGCCACCTTCCTTCCTCTCCATGTTCCCACCAGAATCAACTGATTTTTTAAAAAATTCAGTACAATGTTCATATAGTAAAACAGCCAGATCTTACGTGACCACTCAATGACCTCTTCCACTTGTCTACACCTACATCACCCACACTCCCAGCTCAAGAAACGGAACTACTTCATCCACCCTACAAGTTCTCTCAGTCGCCAGCATACTCAATACGTCTCATTGCCATAGACGAGTTTTGCCCGTTTTGAACTTTGTATGAATAGACTCACATGGTGCGTTCTCTGTCTGGCTTCTTTTGCTCAGCGCAGTGTTTTCGGGACTCACCAATGTCGCATCTGTGGTTTGTCCTTTTTCCCTGCTGAGTGATGTTCTGCTGTGTGGATCTACCGCTGTTGCCTACTGGTGGGCGTGTGGGTGAGTCCAATTTGAGGAATATAGACGCTGTGAACCCCCATGTGCACGGAGCTTCCGTGTGGAAGGACGTCTGTACTCATTTCTCCTGTGCAGATACCCTGGAGTGGGCTTGCTGGGCCATAGGATTGACAAAGGCTTAGCTTTATAAGAAACTATGATTCGAATGCCCTTTAACAATTACTATGGAAAATTGCAAACATTTACGAAAGGAGGAGAGTGGAGTGAACTGTGGAAACCAACTCCAATCCCTGGAGGCGTTTTGTCTGCAAATTTCAATACGTATGACAGGACTGACTTCCACAGAACGAGCCTTTGGGGACAGGCTGCCTCCAGGGGTGGCTGGTGGAGCCCCTCAGCCCAGAGGAGCCCCCAATACTTCCTACACCCCACAGACACCAGCCTTGGCCACTGTCTTCCTTGAGTTGGGGGATCAGTGGAGGTACCCGTCCACCCTGGAACATCCCAAGAGGGGGCCAGTGTTCTGGGGGGACTGGATATGGGGCCAGACGGGCTGGGATGCAGAGCTCCCCCCCCTCTGCCTCCTCCCCTGTGGTCCAGGAGGTCTGGACCTGCCTTGGGATCCCTGCCCGGATCCTGGGTCCTGCTCCTCCACCCTTGCCAGTTTTCTCACCTGCTGGTCTAGGAAAGCCAGTTTCCAGGCAATCCACTGGGGCCCCGCCGTGCGGGGGAACGTGGGTGTGTGTGTCCAATGCACAGTTGAGGCTGGCCACTGTCCCAAGCTCCCCAAAAGACTCACCCCCCTCTGCCCCAGCTGGATTCCTCCCCAGCCTCCCCACCAGCCTGGGCATATCCCAAATCCCAGCTTCTACTCCAGCCCTGGGGCTTCTGGATACACCTGGCTGCCCATGGGTGTTTGCAGCCCTTTAAAATCAGTGTAGTGAGGAACCCAGGAGGCGCCTGCAAAGGCCACTCCCCTAAGGACATCGTTTTCACTCAATCTCCCCTCCAAAGGCATCGGTGTGAGTTTTGCAGATTAATAAGCAGGGCTGCTGCGCTGAGTGCGTGGAGCCGCCATCACCATGCTTTGTGGGCCCCCCGACCCCGGCGGCCAAGCAGGACCCTGGCTCCCCAAAACAATGCCCGCCCGGCCTGGGTGGCACTGTGCGATCCCACTTGAAAAGGCCTTTCGCCGGGGCTGCCTTTTAAGAGGGGGACAATTGGCAAGAGGCCTGGCGCTTATTCATGCAGAACAGCAGTGAAAAGTGCTCGCAGCCAGTGTCAGGGGTGGGCAGTGCCCAGCACAAGGGGCCCGTGGGGTGGCGGGACGTCAGTCGCTAGGAGACGGGCCCGCCAGGCATCTCCCCAGGGCCCCTCTGGCTCCCTCAGTAGGGCTATCCTAGCCGCGCTCAGTCCCTGTATCTGTCAGCCCCTGAGCCTTTTCCTCAGCTCGCCCGGGTGTGCTGGGAGACATGGGCAGCCATGCACCCTCTCTGAGCCTCCATCATCCAGGGGCAGTTTGGGATATTCCCAGCATCCTTTGCTGTTCTAACCTGCTCCATCCCTCATATCACTCTCTGCCTCCCACATGTCTGGACCTCGCCAGCCCCGTCAAACTTTGACCTTGTCCCCCAAACTCCTCGTTTTCTCTGCGAACCTCCCCTGCCTCCGAAACCCAAGGCAGCTGCCGTCCAACGATCGGTTCCCTGTTTGTTTCCATCACGCACTCCACCTTCCACTCCTGTCTGCCTTTGCAGCAGGATACCCCTGACCCCGAAACCCAGGGCAGCTGCTGTCCAACGATCAGTTCCCTGTTTGTTTCCATCACGCACTCCACCTTCCACTCCTGTCTGCCTTTGCAGCAGGATCCCCCTGCCGCCCTAACACAGAAGGAGGCGGACGGGCAGAAAGGGAAGGGGCAACCCTGGGGTCTGGTGGTGCCTAGGCAGCTCTCCAGACAGGATCTGGGTCTTTGAGGTAGGATCGTGCTGTTGAGTTACTAGAATAATCTCTGCCCACACATGGCCACAACCCAATGCCCGGGCCGCTGGCTCCTTCTTCCTTCCCCAAAGGTCTTCACAAATCCACATTCCATCCCCTCTGGGGATTTAGCTCTGCGGTGAGAACCCAGGAGGCCCCCTGAGTCCTGGGCCAGAACACTTCTCAGTGCACCTTGGATGGGGCCACCCTCCCCTCTCTGTCCAAGGTCTTGGTTTTGTTTGCTTATCTGCTGCAAGCACCACTCCCCTGTCGCGCCCCATCCTACCCCTCCTCAGCACCCTCCCATACCCGCGTTCCCCATCCCTTCTTACCTCTCCCTCCTCCTCCTCCTCTCCCTCCCCTCCTGTCACTGTCTGACCCTTCACCTTCATGCCAGTCTTCCCCTCCAGGCTGCTTTGCCCTCTGGTCCCTATGTGCTGAGGGGGATGTGGAGGTGAAGGGGCTCAACATGAGCCCTCTTCCCAGCTACCCCTAGACTCAGCAGGGAAGCGTCCGTTGCCCACACTGAAGAGGAACAGAAAGAAGCAAAGTTTCCCAGGGCCCAGGGCTGCAGGACAGCCCAGAGCGGAAGCCAAGTCACCTGAGTGATTCCATTTATCCGTGATGGAGGGAGATGCTGGTGGCCAGGGCTCACAGGCCTTGAAACCCTGAGCCTGAGAGGCCAGCCCCAGCTCTGCCATGGCTCTCTGTGTGGCGCTGGCAAATGCTTTCCTTTTGGCCTCAGTTTCCTCATTAGGAAAGTGAGCTGGCACATCCCCCATGCCATGCACTCATTCGCTGGTGGAAGTCGGTGGGCATGGCATTGCCTATCCTCTGTCCCAGAAGACTGGATAGGAGAGGTAGCAGAGCATGGAATCGTTGCATTTAATTGAATAATAGAGACCTGGAGGTGGCAGGAGGCTTGCAATTGGCCACTGTGGGATTGTTTACACCATGGAAATTGGCAAACACTGATTGATTGTTTTGTTGACTGTCTAGACTTCAGAAAGTGCTGGAGAAAATGTTATTAATGTTAATAATGCAGATTAAACATGAAAGTACATCATTCTGTAGCTGTTACACCATGAATAGCATAGAAAAAGAGAGGAAATATTCTTCCGGTATTCAAGAATCATGGCCAGGCATGGTGGCTCACACCTGTAATCCCAGCACTTTGGGAAGCCGAGGCGGGTGGATCACCTGATGTCAGGAGTTTGAGACCACCCTGACCATGGTGAAACCCTGTCTCTACTGAAAATACAAAAAGTGGCCAGGCATGGTGGTGCATGCCTGTAACCCCAGCTACTCGGAAGGCTGAGGTAGGAGAATCATTTTAACCCAGGATGCAGAGGTTGCAGTGAGCCAAGGTCACACCATTCCTCTCAAGCCTGGGCGACAGTGTGAGACCCTGTCTAAAAAAAAAAAAAAAAAAAAAAAAAAATCATTACCCAGTTCAGCAAAGAAGTATCTCCCATTCTTGACAAATGAGGTAAAGTTCTGATATTATGCCTTTGTTATTTTATGTAGGTGTTATTTGTGGAATGAAAATGTCAACCAACAGAACCACACTTGTTCATAAGTTGATCCATACGTTGGCTACAGATACAGAATTCAGCAAAATCAACACAAACATTCACTGAGAATCAATTGGCAGTGTGGAATTTACAATAGAGAGCATTGTGTATTTTATTATTGTTTATAAATTGGGTCTGGGCTTTGGGGAGGGCTCCCTGGCAGAACTGGTTGAAAATCATAATGGATAGCCAGGGAGAATTCTTAACTCATGCCTCAAAAAACTAGCCAGTCTTAAGTGCACAGATCAATGAATTCTCACCAGCTAAATCACAGACCAAGCAGCAAAACATTGCCACTGCTCAGACACACCCATCTGCTTGCTTCCAGTCCCTCTCTCTCCCACAGTGGAAGTGCCTTCCTGACTGGACCCCATGGGAAATGTCACCTGTTTTTGATATATAGCATACATTCTTTTGTGTCAGGCTTCCTTTGCTCAATATTATGTAGGTAGGATCCATTACATTGCTGCAGGTAGCTGTTAATCATTCATTCTCATGGCTGCCTGGTATTCAACTATTCAAATATTTCACAGCTTATTCACTCATTCTATTGTTGGTGGACATTTGTGTTGTTTCCAGTTTGGGATTACTATACGTCAGTGTTGCTATGAACAATCTCATGTGTCTCTTTACGTAAACATTTATGTAGGGCATATACATAGGAGTGGAATTGTTGTGTCTTGGGTTATCATGTGTTCAGCTTTAGCAGACTCTGCAAAACAGTGTCCAAAGTGGTTCCACCTGCAGGCACTGCATGGCTGCCCTGGGTGCCCCATCTCACCTCCAACACTTGCTATTGTCTATCTTTTTTCTTCTTTTTAACTATTCTGGTGACCATACATGGTATTTCATTGTGGTTTTAATTTGAATTTCCCTGACAACTGACACAAGTGAGCACTTTTTTGTATGCTTATTGGCAATTAGAATATCCTCTTTTGTCAAGTGTCTGTTCAAGCTTGTTGCCCATTTTGATGTCAGTGCAGCTGTTTTTCAAAAATTATTGCTGTAAATGAGTTCTTTTTAAATGCTACATACTCAGACACTGTACTGCAGATAATTTCTTCTACTCTGTGGGTTTAATTTTCACTTTCTGTTGTCACTTAATGAACAGATTTTCTTAATAACCTTAGTACTGTTTAACTTATAAGCATTTCTCTTTATGGTGGGTGCCTCTTGTATCCTGTTTAAGAAATCATCATCTGCTCATGTGTCATGATGTTCCCTTACGTTTCTCCCAAAACCCTCACATTTCAATCTGTAATCCATCAGCTATTGCATTTTGTGCATGCTATAGGGCAAGGGTTAAGACACAATTTTTCCTTAGGGATACCTTGTTGATTCAAACCCACCCCCTGCAGGGACACCTCTGCCACAACATGTGGACCCTATGTCTGTGGGTCTCTGTTCCATTGATGGTTTGGCTGCCTGTCAATGCTTCACCATCTGATTTACTGTTGCCCTGTCATCACTTTTGAGACCTGCTGTCAGCCCTCTGCTTTTGTTCTTCTTCATGATTGCTTGACTATTCTTGGCCCTTTGCAATTTCCCGTGAATTTTTGAAATCTGCTTGTTAATGTCCAACAAGAGGGACTTTGACAGGAAAATATGGGGGTGAAGCAAAGCGGATTCCAGGAAGAGGAAATTGCTTCATTCGGTCATTTTTCCATGCATTTAACACCTCCTTTGTTCTAGGCCCTGGGAACCCTGAGCTGAGTGGATTAGCACCAGGCAACCACCTGAGAGGGAGGCCCTGCACCCATCCATGTTCTACTGATGAGTAATTTGAGGCCTGGAGGAAAAAAAATCACTGATCCAAGATCACAGAGTAAGTGCTGAGTGAATGTGCACCCAGGCCCATCTGAGGTTAAAGCTCATTCACTCATTCATTCATCATTCCACAAACATTAACCTAGCACCTACCATGTGCCAGGCACTGTGCTAGGTGCTGGGGATGTAGCTGTCATCATCCGCATCCCTAACCTCCTGCATCTGCCCAGGCTGCCCACAGGATAGATAGAAGTTTGAAGGAAGGAGAAAAGGGGGACATGCCAGACTGAAAGAATGGCATGTGCAAAGGCCCAGGGGCATGAAAACACCTGGTGCATCTGGGGACCACAAGTGAGTCCTTCTGACCGAGCAGAGGGAGGAAGGGACAGTGGGTGGTGGAAGGTCTGATCCAGGGTGAGGAGCTGGGCTCTGTCCCAAGGATGTCAGGGGCTAATACATGCCAAGGGTTCATGGAGGCCCTAGGGAGGAACATGAGGCTGGAAACAAGCAGGCGAGCTTTCCTTGTTCAGGAGGGGACCAGTCCTGTCCTACTGGCATTGACGGTGGCCTGCAACTTATGGCGGAGGAGGGGTTGAAGGGAGGCCTGGAGGCATGGTCAGCAGGACATAGACAGAAGAGGAGGGCCAGATCCAGGAGCAGGGACAGGGATGCAGGGATCAGAGAAGAGCTAGGAGTGGGGGCAAGGAGGCAGAAGAAGATGGCCCAGACACCTGAAGGCCAGCCTTAGAGGACATGAGGGTGGCTGGGTCACAGAGTGAGCCAGCTGCTGTGGTCACCTAGGCCATGAAGCCCAGGCAGCATGGAGTGGCGGTGGGGAAAGCCTCTTAGCTGGCTACGGGTTTGGGGTCAGTGATGCCCCAGACACCTCGGCCTGAGGCTCTGGGCCTCAGCATAGGCTTTTGCACACAGTGTGCTCAATGAATGAATGAATGGATGAGACCCTCTGTTTGCAAGCATTGAGCCATGCTCACTTCCTAAATATTGGCTGTTATTTCACCTGTTCCCCTCAATAGCCCCAGGGAAATGGAGGCTCAGAGAGAGAATGGAGCATCCATGGCCACATGGCTAGGACCCCCTGTGCCACCCACATGGGGGAGTTTTGAGATCAGATCAGCCATCCTTTGTCCTCCCTGTGCCACATGACTGTAGCCAATGGATGCCTTTCTCATTCTCGCTAACAAGGAGATGCCAAGCCAGGCCTGGGTGTTCCTGGGAGCCAGGTCCCCCAATTTAGCTGCCATGTCCAGACAAGCCTGGAGTGAGGCTAATGCTGGGGTCGGCAAACCCGGGGGGCAGCCCCTGCCCCACCCTCAGCCACCACGCTCCTATTCACAGCCACGGAACAGAGGCCAGAGAGAAAAGGGCTTGCCTGGGGTCCCAGTTCACACAGTTCCCAGGTCTCTGGGCAGGCGACTTGCCAGCAGGAAGCATCGTGTACAGGTGCACAGGACTCCGAGGCTCAGAAGGCCCCTGGACTGCTCTACACTCTTGAAATTCCTCCTCATCTTGGAACAGGCGCTGCCTTTCACTGTGCCCGGGCCCCACATGTTACCTGGCTGGTCCTGACTCGGCCACCTCCCTCTGCCAGAGCAACACAGCGTCTCCTTTCCCTTGAAGGCTCTTGTCCATTCCAGGGCACAATTGCTCGGATTACACGTCAGGAAGTGCATGAAGAAAGGACAGGAAAAAAGGAAACATTCAAACTTTTCCTGGTGAAAACAGGGGCTCATTTTAGCTTCAACATCAGGGCATCTACACACCATTGCAAATGCAGAGGAAGATTAAGGCTGGGCATGTCACAGTGGGGGGCTACCCCTGGAACCCACTTCCCAGGAACAGTGCACAGGGGTGCTTGGAGCCAGGCTGCTGCCCTCCGGCATGGGGAAGGGGCAGCTGGAGTGCCCGGTTCAGAACCTCGAGCCCTGGCAATGCTGCTTCTGGCTGGGAAGCACTGGGAGAACCTGAGCCGGCTTGGGCCTCAGTTTCCCCTCTGCAAGCTGGACTCTCCAGAGAGCCCACCTGTCTGGGTTGGTGTTGTGTTCATGGGATTGTTGGGAGGAAGTATGGGAAGCCCCTTCCACGGTGCCCAGTTTAGGTGAGTGTGCCATAAATGATGGCTTGTTATCTGAGTGTCAGCACCACAGCTCTTCAGGAAAGCCCCCACTGGGGTGCTCTGCAGAAAATAAACCTGAAGCTTCAACTGGGCTCAGCATAAACTGTCCCCACAGGGACTTTCAGACACCAAAGTGACTCCCTGGCCCAACAGGGACCACTGTTGAGTGGCCCAGATGAGCAGGAATCTCCCTCACGAATCCATGCAGGAGGACCAAGGGCCCCAGGACCTGTGGGCAAAGAGCCCAGGCTCCTCCAGGGTTTCTTATAGCAGGAGGAGGAGGAGGATGCCTGGTGGCCCCATTGATAACAGTTGGAGACCCCGTCTCTCCATCCCCTTCTTGCCATCTCTCAGTCACTCCTTCCCCACAGCCTGGCCCTTAGGTGGGCTGTGAGGGGGCCCTGGGCACGGGATTGAGAGCAGCCCAGGAGCAGCGGCCCCCAAGTTGTTTTTCCCAATGCAACCTTTTTCCAATTAGAATCCACAGGCCTCTAGTCACTTAGACCTCCCAGAGGGCAGGCCACCTAGGGCAGCGGAAGGCGATAGCTTTTCCTGGGTGTGCTGAAAGCTGGGGCCACCACACCAGGCTCCATCCCCTGAACAGCAACCACTGTCCTCTTTGAGGAGGCCTGCGTTTTGGCAGAGGTGCTGACAGCTCCCAGCTAGGTCAAGGGCTCTCATCTGGCCTCTCCATCTCCTCCTCCTCAACCTCAAGGTGAGACGACCGCGGATGCACAAGGTGGGACGACCGCGGCTGCGCAAGGTGGGACAACCGCGGCTGCGCAAGTTGGGACGACAGCGGATGTGCAAGGTGAGACGACCGCAGATGTGCAAGGCGGGACGAGGGACGACCACGGATGCACAAGGTGAGACGACTGCAGATGCCCAAGGTGGGGTGACCACGGATGCCAAAGGTGCCCTAGGTGGCAGAGGACAGCATACTTTGTGTTTTCTTTTTTTAACTTTTGCTTTTACTGTCATTGGATATAGGCTTCCCAGGAAAGCATGGGGCCTCAGGCAAGGGGACCCTCTGCAGCTGACAGCTGTGCGTTTGGCAGGCCAGTCTCTAGCCCCTCCAAGCCAGCAGTGAGAGGCACACAGTTTGTGATATGTGCAGCAGATCCCCGTGGTCACGGCCCACTCCCACACCTCCTTGCTGCGAAGTGGGTCCCTTAGCCTGACTTGAGGCTCTGCGGGCTCCCAGGCTGGTGGATCACACACTCAGTAAGCCAAAAGGATGGTGCCGCTGGGGGGCTGGGACAGAAAAGACAAACTCTGACCTGAAGTTTGTGTCCACTTTAGTCCAGATGAATCTCCGATCTTTCAAGAGTTGAATATAGCCAACTGGCCAAGCAGCCAGCTGGCCTCAAGGGAGGGGCTTTACAGGGGACATTCAGCAGACAGTAGCTAGGTCAGCCTTAGTAAGTGAGGGCCCATCCTTGCCATCTCGGCTACCCTCTCCAGTGATCCATGGTGCCGGCCCTGGCATGGCCAGTGAGACTGACTGATGACAGCTGGTTGGACCACCTTGCCTACCTGATTGTTCAGTGCCTGTTTGGTGGCAGATGCTTCCTGGAAGGAGCGCAAAGACCTTCCTCTTTAATTCCCACTCCTGTACGCCCATCCATCAACCTCTGCTCCAGGCCTCTTGTCCCTCATCTTTCTCCTTCCGGGCCCCTGATGAGCTGGCCAAGCCATTCACTGCTGCCTCTCAGCCCCGGTGTTTTGACCTCAGGCTGCTCCTCTTCCCACACACAGCGGAGGGCCAGGTGCATTGCCTGAAGCTCTGCCCATCAGAAGTATTTGTGTTTCTTTCAAGGTCATCACTGAGCGAAGCTGTGGTTCAGCAGCTATCCACCTCAGGTTGTGCTCACCATCCATAAGCCATGCTCCAGCTTTTTCTTCTCTGGCGTCTGGCCCTACCGAGTTTACATGTGTCCCTAGATGTGAGCTGAGGGACACTGGAGCCGCAATGGTGAATGAGGCAGGGTTCAAGGACACCTGCTCATGCCTGCTAGTCCTCCTGGTGTTCCATCTCAGGTGGCCATCCTCTCTTATGATGCAGTCTTGCCAGGCACATCCAACTTATGATGTGGTGGAGCTGATAGAACCCAGCTAACGATGGGTGGCTGTGGCCACATGCTCCCCAGTCCTAGGAGAGGGAGGGACTGTGGCAAGGATTTGGGTGGTGAATGAAGCACTGGCCCCCAGGAAGGGGAGCCCAAGACAACCTCTGGCTCTCAGAACAATGGTATCGTGTCCAGGAATGCTCAGTGCTGAGTCCTCAAAACATTCATTCATTCATTTATCTAACAGCTCCCAAAACCGACTTTGTGACAGGGTCTGAGCAGAGTCCTAGGATGCAGAGAGGAATTCAGCCTAGTCCCTGCCCATGATGAGAGACAGGCAGTGAGAGTCACAGGGGGACAGACACCTTGTGGAAAGGAAAATCCAATTCAACTCACCCACAGTTTGAGTTCCCACCCAAGACTTAAAGCCTGGAAGACTTCCTGGAGGAGGGAGTGGTCTCTGAGTCTCCTGAAACTGACAAGCAATCCCTTCCAGATGGATTATCAATGACAACCGCATCACTGAGCACTCACTGTGCTGAACCATTTCCGCCCATTTCCTGTTCAGTCCTCACAGCAACTCACGGGCGGCCTTTGGGGCGAGTGGACCTGGGCTTGAATCCCAACCCTGGCTCTGATAGCTGGATGATCTTGACAAGCTGTGTCTTCATACCCCAGCGAAGGAACGCGAAGTTCAAGGGAGATACAGCTTGTCAGGGTCATCCAGCTATCAGTGCCAGGGTTGCGATTCAAGCCCAGGTCCACTTGCCCCAAAGGCCAGGCCCTTAAACCGTGGTGCTTTCTGGTGCTGTTCACCGTGGACGCCTGGCTCTCATCTCCGAGCCTGGGGCAGGCGCACTTCCGGTCCCTCTGCTGGCGGGAGAGTCATGTGACTGGAGCTGGCCAATGAGTTGCAAGGGGAGGAGTCGCGTTATTTCCCAAGCAGAGTATCTTATTGCAAGATTTCCCCGTGCTCCCCTGCCCTCTGCATATCTGGGAGGCCCCTGCAGGTGTGTGGGGTACACGTTGTGTGTGTGAGGAATCAGCCTTTGCTGTCTGGAGCTGCCGAAATTTGGCATCCTCTGTTCCTGCAGCACGACTTCCTCTATCCTGACTGATGAACACGGCTGGAGTCAGGCCTGCTGAGCCAGTGATTCGGGCGTGGCCTGAGTATCTGCTTGCTTGAAAACAGAGCCTTGGGGCTTTGACACAGGCCACATACAACGCCTGTGCTGGGTGGTCCTTCATCCTCTTGCAATGTGACCACAAACCCTGACCCTGTGTGATTCCCAGCCACGCATCTTTGGCGTCTCCTGCCTGTCCTCCTCCGTGTCTGCTCTCCATCCTCCTGTTGTGGTCTCCTTTGCAGCGTGCTCAGGCCCCAGCACGGCAGCTCTCCTCTGAGATTCCTGGGCCGTCAGGCAGGTGGGCCTGTTTGAGGTGCCCGGCAACTAAGGCCTCGTCCTGCGGACAGTGACCTTGGCCCTCGGCAGGCAGCAAGGAGCTGCCCTGAGAACGTCTCCTGTGTGCCCTGGGCACGTGGGTCTCTGCCTCCCAGACAGGATTCTCTGGCTGCTGTGGTCACCACAAGCCCAGCGGCCTGCCCCGCCCCTCCCCATGGACTCTTCCTTTTGCGCCACTCACGGTTGTGTCTGCTCTGTGCTCCCCCCGACCCAAGCCCAGTTCTGGACTCTTTGGGGCTATAGGAACTTGGAATGAAAGTTCCATGCCTGGTCCTCCACGCTGTCTGTGTAACCACCCACAGGGGCCTGCAGCATTTGTGTACACTTCCTGGTACAAGTGAGTCTGGTGGTGGTTTTGGATGGGGATCATTTACAGCAGTCCCGAGCCAGGAATCCAAAGCCCCTTTTGCCCCCTAGGGCAGTGGCTCTCATTTGTGGCTGCTGGGGCCACTAAGTCCTGAAGTTGTTTGCGAGCTCCAGATTCCAAGATGGCAGCCAGGTGTCTGCGGCCCTGGCACCAGTTGATCCTCGCTGGGTGGCTCTCCTTGGGGTCTGAAGCTTGATGCCATCAGGCCAGAGCACACTAGTGGCCAGAACCATTGGGCATCCTGACTGGCCCTTCTGCTTCTGGCCCGACCAGCCACTGGGGTGAGCTTGGCTGTGCAAAGCCTCCCTGCTCCTCCCAGGGGGCCCCGATCCTGCTGGAGGGAGCATTCTGGTTGCCCTGGCTCTGAGAAGGTTGCTTTGAGAGCCAAGGAGGTCACGAGGCTGGGAAGTTGCCCCAGGAATGTGCCCACTGGCTGTCCAGCCTTCCTACGCCTCACTGCCAGTGAGTGGCCACTCCAGGCCGGCCCCAGGGCAGGGCAGAGACCAAACCCCATGGCCCTGTCTGCAGACCTGAGTGTGGTCTGGCTTCCCAGCTGACCGAGGTTGGTCCCCACATAGTCCCAAGTTCCAAGCAGAGCCACCCAGGGCCCCTTTGTGGGCTCTGAAAAGACAAACAAACAGCTCCAACCGGTGGAAACATCTCTGACTCTCCCAGTTCAGACAGCCTGGGCCAGGACATAGAGAGACCCCAAAGGGAGCCGCTTCAGCAGCAAACAAGCCACAGCCTGTGTGCAGGGAGCTGACCAGACGCCCTGCAGCCGCCGGGAAGCTGGCAGAGACAGATGGCGTCTGTGCTCAATGGGGCACACAGGGAGCAGAGGCCTCCGCTGGAGCCCACCCGGCCACCCGCCCGGCAGAGGCTCCTGGGCCGGCCATGCAGGCAGGGAGAGGAGCGCCAGGAGGTGGGGGATTGGCCTGCCATGAGGCCCGCTGCGTGCCCGGGCCCTCCTGGAGTCGGGTTCCTCATGGTACCAGCAGCCATGGATCGTTGTGACAGCAGAGGAAAGGCCAAGGCACCCCACACAGGCCTCCCTGGCACAGGGAAGGCGACGGGGGCCGGTTCTAGTTAGAATCTGTCCTCTCGGTCTGGACCCTTATTAGTTAAGTGCTAATATTTTATCAGTACCTGATATGAACACCTGCATGTCAGCCACTGTTCTCAGGGCTGTCCCTGCTCTATCATCTCTTGGACTCCTCAACAACCCACAATGCAACATCCGGTGATGATTCTCACTTTGGGGATAGGGAAACTGAGACCCAGGGGAGCTCCATGACAGTGCCAGAGAAATTCAATCTCTGGCCCCAGTACTCTGCCTCTGCAGTGCTCTTGCTGAGCCCCTCCAGGGATAGTGCCAGCCAAGGAGTTTCATTTTTTCTGAGTCATGTTTTAAGAGGAAGGAAAGACCAGGCGCGGTGGCTCACGCCTCTGATCCCAGCACTTTGGGAGGCCAAGGTAGCCAGATCGCCTGAGCTCAGGAGTTCGAGACCACCCTGGGCAACATTATGAAACCCCGTCTCTACTAAAATACAAAAAATTAGCCGAGCATGGTGGCATGTGCCTGTAGTCCCAGCTACTCAGGAGGCTGAGGCAGGAGAATCGCTTGAGCCCCAGAGGCAGAGGTGGCGGTGAGCCAAGATCATGCCACTGCACTTCAGCCTGGGCAGCCGAGTGAGACTCCGTCTCAAAAAATAAAAATAAAAAATTAAGTAAAAATAAGATGAAGGAAAGAGAGCTTTTCATAAAGTTAGAAGGGAACCCATTCATCAAGCACCTACTGGCTCTTGGGCAAAGATTCTCCTCCTCCTGACTCCTGCCACCTCAGCGGCTGTGGCCTCACAGTCCACACAGTCTGTACTTCCTGGGGCCCTACTGTGTGCGGGATGGGAGCCATGTGCTTTCTGAGCCTGGTCCTACTTCATCTTCTCAGCAATGCTGTCAGGCAGGACTTTGTTTTTTTTCTTTTTCTTTTTCTTTTTCTTTTTTTTTAAGACAAAGTCTGTCTTTGTCGCCCAGGCTGGAGTGCAGTGGTGTGATCTTGGCTCACTGCACCCTCTGTCTCCCAGGCTTAGGTGATCCTCCCGTCTCATCCTCCTGAGTAGCTGGAACTACTGGTTAAGTTTTGTATTTTTAGTAGAGACGGGGTTTTGCCATGTTGGCCAGGCTGGTCTCGAACTCCTGGACTTAAGGGAATCTGCCCATCTCGGCCTCCCAAAGTGCTGGGATTACAGGCGTGAGCCACTGTGCCCGGTGGAGAGGGATTTTTGTTCAGCTTTTACAGATGAGAAAAAAGAGGCTAGAAATGGTTCACCTCGTGTGTCTGACTTTAAAATGTTGAGGGAAGATGAAAAGGGAAGGGCAGGGAGGATGCTGAGTAAGGGGGTGGCTATCCGCTGTCTCCACCTCTGCGGGGAAGGAGGGTCCTTAGCCATGCCCTGTCCCACAGTGACCAGCCTCGGCAGGTGTGGCGGTACTGAGCTTTGAAACGGACAGGCGTGAAAGCCAAACCCCAGGGGCACTGTGGTCCTTGTCACACCAGGTGCTGATGATCCTAACCTGGTTCTGAGCTCCACAGGGGTGTGCACCCCGCACCCTGTGTCCAGGGCTCACCCGGTGCCTGTGTGCAGAGGGCAGGGGCCCTGTTGGGATGGAAGGACACAGAAGCCCTGTGCCACCAGCTCTTGCAGGGAGAGCATAGCCCTCGCCAGGCCAGTGGTCCTGATAGCTCGGGTGCCAGCAGATGCAGTGTGAGCTCTGGAGGGCTCAGCGGATCTTCAAGGCTTCACGACGCCCCAAATCTCAGGCCTCAGGAACGGGAGGGCTCAGAGTAGGGCAATCCCAATTCAGGCTGCGTGGGGTCCCGGCTCAGGGAGAGCAAACAGGGAGAGACAGCAGCAGCTCCAGTGTTCAAGAGAGCAGGGGCGTGACCATCCCAGCCTCCAGAACCGCCTGGCCCAGGGCTCTGCACTCAGTAGGTACCAACTAATGCGTGCCAGGGAAGGAGCTGATGAATGGGGGCTGCCTCCCTGTCCAGTCCAGGCTGTGCCTCCCCATGGGTTTCCCCGGGGCACCTCCGCGAAGCCCAGTCCGGCTTGTGGTAGAAATGGCTCTTTCGTGGACCCGTGGCTGCTCATGTCCTTCGTGTGTGTCCAGCACGGGACACCCGGCCAGCCGTGTGGGTGACAGAAGGAGGTGCCCCACCCTGAAAGGACCCCTGAGCCCAGACCTCTATGGGACCTTTTCTAGAGATCTGCCGAGCGCAGGTCTTCTCCCTGGGAGCCTGGAAGGGGAGCAGGAGCCTGTGATCGAGGGAAGCAAACCCCCTGGCATCTCCAGGGAGAAGCCCATGGGCAGGGCGTTTGGGAGGGAGGCAGCCACCGTGACATGGGACATCAGGCACCTGAGTCAGTAGCCCCAGGCAGGTCCCAGCCCTGGGAAGTCGGGGTCCACAGTGGCCCCTGCTGGGTTAGGTGTGAGGCATGGGGGCGGCTGCGCCCGTTGGGTGCTCTGTGTTACAAAGGGGCTGGACGGTAGAAGCCTTGGCCATTCTGGAGTCGCAGCCCCCGACGCTCCTGCCTGCCTGGAGTCTCCTGAGGCTGCTCGTTATATGGGAGGTCCCCAGCCCCTGCCCTGACACTTGAAGGCCATGGGAGACTGATCCCAATGTGTCTCCTTCGCCCAACTGTCTCTAGTAGGGTGAGCGACTTGTCCCGGCTCGCCCAGGACTTTCCCAGTTTCAGCACTGAAAGTCTCACATCCTGGGAACCCCCTCAGTTCCCACACATCGGAGCAGCCTCGGAACAGCCTCTGCCACCTAATCCCACAGTTTGTGCGACGCCGCCCTTGGTATCTGCTGCAGGGTGCAGGGCTCTTCACCCCTGCTCCAAGCCCCCTGCCCCCCACAGCATTGGCGTTTGAGTTCTCTCTGTTTTTAAATCAAGTAGATTTTTTCCCAGAGAGGTCCATTTTCAGCTCCGACTGACTCTAGATGAGAAGCTGCATGCCATGCCAAACAGAGCTGGGCACGTCGCCCCCTGGGGTGGCCATGTGCGTTCACGGGTGGGCGTGTGCGTTCCTGGGTGGGCGTCTGCGTTCACGGGTGGGCGTGTGCATTCCTGGGCGGGCGTCTGCGTTCACGGGTGGGCGTGTGCATTCACGGGTGGGCGTCTGCATTCACGGGTGTGCGGTTGCATTCCTAACTGGGCGTGTGCGTTCCTGGATGGGCGTGTACGTTCACAGATGGGTGTGTGCGTTCCTGGGTGGGCGTGTATGTTCCTGGGTGGGCGTATGTGTTCACGGGTGGGTGTGTGCGTTCACAGGTGGGCGTGGGCATTCCTGGGTGGGCGACTGCATTCACGGGTGGGCGTGTGCGTTCACAGGTGGGCATGGGCATTCCTGGGTGGGCGTCGGCATTCCTGGGTGGGCGTGTGCGTTCCCAGGTGGGCGTGTGCGTTCCCCAGTGGGCGTGGGCGTTCCCAGGTGGGTGTGTGCAGGAGCACTCGGGGTGTGTTCTTGTGTGTGCTGGGTGTGTTGGTGTGTGCGGGTGTGTGCCTCCAAGCCCTGCCTTCTCCTACCCAGGGACCTGCCCTGCCACAGAGCCAGTTTCTGACCCTGCTCTCACCCCTCTGGGCCACCAGCCCCCATCTCACCCTCTCCCGCCTGTCAGTTCCCCAGGGTGAAGGCGAGAGGGTGAAGGCGAGAGGGTGAAGGCGAGAGGGTGAAGGCAAGGGTCTGATGGGTTCGTTACTGTCTTATCCCTCCCAGACAATGGGAAGAAGGGCCTCCTGGAGGCCTGGCAACCCCATCTGGCCCCATTTTGGGCTGAAGGCATGGGCCTTGGCTGGACCCCCAGACCCCTGGCACCCCCTTCCCAGGAAGGGAAGAGGAAATGTTCAAATGCTCCCCACGGCCCCGCAGGCACCAGCCTGAGGCCCATTTGAGACCACCCCCAACACCACCCCAAGATCCTCGAGGCCACCCCAGATAGGGCCTGCAGAGGCTTCTGGGCTCAAAGCTGCTCAGAGAAGGGGCTGGGCTCAGCACAGAGCCAGCAACCCTGGAGGAAGGGCCGGAGAGCTTTCAGCCGAGGGTCATTGTGAAGCCGAGATTAGACCCAGGTGTCCCCGACTCACCGCTCTGCAGCTGTGTGTTGTGGGCTGACCCCAGTCGCCTCATGTGTACGCTGGGGTGATGATAGGAATTACCTTCCTCATAGGCAGCTCCAAGACCCATTCATTCATTCACACATTCATTCATTCTGTAGATAATGATGGAGACGCGCCCACCATAAGTCAGATGCCCTGGGCATGGTGTGAGGACCTTGAGCTGGAAAGGACACGCTTCCGGGCCCCAAACTGACATCTAGTGGGTGGGGTGGGGAGTTGGCTGTGAAGGGCAGACAAACAAGCGGGTTGTTGGGGAGCCGCGGATGACGCAGGAACTGCAGGCAGGCGTGGGCCACAGGCCAGGAGCCCGCTTCCTGGGTCCTCGGAGCCTGGGCCCTCGGTGCCCATGTGTCCCTGGCCTGAGAACCCCTTGCTCTTCGCCTGGGGAGGGCCAGATGGGGGCCCTTTAAAGCCGGGGCCTGGAGAGGGAGCTGCGTGCTCTGGGCCCAGCTAACTCTCTGGTGCTCCCCAGCATGTCTCATCTTCCCAAATCACCCAGACGTGCTGACACCCCACTCTGTGCTGTCCCTGGGACCACCACACCCACTCCTCCCTGGGGGATCCTCTCCTGATGTCTTTACCCCTATGTCTCCTTCCTGTGTGCAGTTGGCTGAATCATGGCCCCCAGACGTCCACATTCTAATCACAATTCACATGGTGAATGTGCGACCTTACCTGGCCAAAAGACTCTGCAGACGTGACTGGACTATCCCTGGGTGACCGAGGAGCCGGTCTGTGTGGCCCCAGGCCCAGGGAAGTAGCTGCTGTTGTGAGGACAAACAGGACAAGGAGGAGGAGGCCACCCCTGAGAACAGCTCTGCACAGCGGGGCTGACCTGCTGGCCACACTGCACAGCCCGGGACACACACAGAAACCTGGGGCCCACGCCGGCCGCCACTCTCACCTATGGGCTGAGGGACTCACAACTTTGCTGGCACCTGTCCCTGCTGAGACAGTGTGAGGACAGGGAGCTTTCCTTCTCACTGCACCAAGGCCTCTCCCCAGCCCTGCTCAGGGCTAAACCCATCCTCTTCTGGAGTAAGAGTCTGCAGGGGGCCCCTGCCAGCATGAAGTGTGGCCTCTCCAGTGCCACCTAGGGACCCCAGGGAGTCCCAGGCCCATTCTCCCTCTCAGCACAGTTGGAGGAAGTGGGTCAAGTGGGGTCCTGTCTGCCCAAGGTCACACTTCGAACCCTGACAGTGACAAACAGGGCACCAGACCCCACATCTGGGCTCAGACTCCATATCTAGAGTCACCCTGAACCATCTCCTCTACCAAGGGTCTCTGGGAAAAGGCCAGCCTGGTGACCCCTCAGGCCCAGGGCGAGCCCTGTCCTTTCCATGTGGCCTCTGTAGAATGTGACCTCGTCCCTCATGGGCCGCTCAGCCCCAGGCAGTAGACTGTGCTGGGAATGGGCTTCCTGCTCTTGCAGCCCCATGCATGGGGGAGCAAGGTGAAGAGGCAGCTACCCCTGGGGTCCCCCCACCCCAGTGCCATCCGGGGAAACCTGGGGAATGAGCAGGGCCCTCCCTGGCCGCAGGTCTGGTTCATCTTGGCCCCAGACTCCGGCCCACCCCCACATGGAGCAGTGGACGGCAGTGGAGAGGGTCCTGGCTGAGCTGCAGGATCTGCAGGAAGCAGACCCATGCAGAGGAAGTGTCTGGTGGGATAAGCTGCCGCCTGGCTGCGAGCAAGATCTGCCCCACCCACCCCGGGCACAACAGGCTCCCAAGGGGTGGGCTGGGGAGGAGCCTCCGAGGCCTGAGGTGCCCTGTCCTGGGCACAGGAGGCCGCTGGAGAGGAGGCCACACCCATCAGGCCTGTTTTCCTCTGCAGCTGTAACACGCCAGGTGTGGGTCGCAGCTGAGCAAGTGCTGACAGCTGGTGTTCCCATGCTCCTGGGGGCAGCATCTCGCAGCCACTCCAGGGGCCATGTGCACGCTGCCTGCCACCCGGCCCCGCCTCCCCCAGATGGAGGTGAGTCCAGGAGGTCAAGTCCTGCCCCAGCTCAGCCACCAACTCCCAGGTGCCTGACTGGGTGCCGCACTCTACGAAGAATCTGTTTCTTCGCCCATGGCGGTGTGCCCTGCTCCACGCCCACCATCTGCCTCACCCTGTGCTACAGTTCCTGCAGGCACCATAGTGCAGCACCGCAGGCTGGGGCTTCCAGGGCAGACATGTGTTCTCCCACATTCTACAGGCTGGAAGTCCAAGGTTAAGGTGTCGCAGGCCTGGGTCCTCCTGAGGCCTCTCTCTCTGGCTCGCGGGTGTCGCCTTCCCCCTGTGTCCTCACACGGTTGTCCCTCTGTGCATGTCTGTGTCTCAATCTCCTCTTCTTATAAGGACAGCAGTAGGGCCCATTCTAATGGCCTCATTTTAATTTAACTACTTTTTTTTTTTTTTTGAGACGGAGTCTTGCTCTGTCACCCAGGCTGGAGTGCAGTGGCGTGATCTCGGCTCACTGCAACCTCTGCCTCCCAGGTTCAAGAGATTCTCCTGCCTCAACCTCTCAAATAGCTGGGACTACAGGCACCCACCACCATGCCCAGCTACTTTTTTGTATATTTAGTAGAGATGGGGTTTCACCACATTGGCCAGGCTGGTCTTGAACTCCTGACCTCAGGTGATCCACCTGCCACAGCTTCCCAAAGTGCTGGGATTACAGGCGGGAGCCACCACGCCTGGCCTTAACTTAATTACCTTTTTAAAGATTCTGTTGCCAAATACAGTCACATTCTGGGGCACAGAGGGTTAGGGCTTCAACTTAGGAATTTTGAGGAGAATGTAACTCAGCCCATAACACTCCCCAAGGAAGTAGAAGACCACCATTGGTTCACTCATGCATTCACTTACCCCACAGATACTGGGTGGGTGCCCTGCAGAGCTGTGGACAGTGGTGGCCATGAGGGATAAGATGGCCAGGGGTGACCCCAACCTCAAGGGGCTCACAGACTGGGAGGCAGAAAGGAAAGATGGATGAGACAGGCAAACACAATCTTGAGGTTTAGAGTCATGCTGGGCCCCTTCTTCTCTTGCCTCCTCCATCTGATGCAGGAATCTAGTAAGCCCTGCTTCCAGAACCTTCTGGAACCTGCCCGCCTCTACACACGGCCACCACCCTGGTCCACTTGCATCTCTATCCTGCCCCAGCTGCTGTCCTTATGCTCATAGCGCCCAGGGATCCTGCCTAGCCTACGTCAGACTACAGCCCTCCTCTACTCAGAACTTACCGTGGTTGCTTGTTCCCATCAGAGTAAATGCCCAGGTCCCCACAACAGCCTGGAAGGCCATACCGGGGGTGGCTGTGACCTGCTGTCCACGTCTCCCACTGCCCACCCTCTCCCCTGCTCCAGCCGCCCGGACTCCTCACTCCTGCCTCAGGGCCTTTGCATAGCCATAGTTCCCACTACCTGGGACACCCACAGAGCTCTTCCCCTCTCTTTCTCCAGGTCATAAGTGAGGCCACCTGACACCCTTCTTTCAGTCGCCCTCCCCACCCTCTGATTTGCTTCCTGCTCTGACTCTCTCTCTAACATGTATCCCCTGCAGCCCAGACAATTTCCTTCTTTATTTTGCTTGTTCTTTCTCCCTCCACCAGAATGTTGTCTCCACGAGGGTAGAAAATTCCAGTTTCATCATGGCTGTGTGCCCAGCACCTAAAACAGGGCCTGGTGCTCAGTGCTTGAGTGCATCTGACAAGTTATTATTTTTTGCTCAAGCGTCGGCAAACATTTCTGTAAGTGGCAGATGGTCAATGTTTTTGGTTTCGCGGTCCTGAAGTCTCTGCCAGAGCTCCCCGACTCTGGCATTGGAAAGCAAAGCAGCATAGACAACATGTACAAGAATGGGCATGGCCATGTTCCAATAAAACTTTATTTTAAAAAGCAGGTGGGGGCAAGATTTGGCAGGTGGGCTGTAGCATGCAGGCTCCTGGTTCATCTAATGAGTCAGCGACTGATCCCCACACTCCACAAACCCACAGACCCTCTCTCTGACAGCCCTCCCTGTCCTGGCCATGCCCTCCACCCCAGATCTGTACCATCCATAAACTTCCAAGGCCACCAGGACATTTGCAGCTCTTGGTTCTTTGGGCCCCTGGAGTCCCCAAGGAGGAGGCTGGGCAGGCACAATTCTCCCCATTCTGCAAACAGCAAAGATGAGGCTCAGCCAAGCCAGCATTCAGGGCCATGGCTGAGAGGCATGTGGCCCTCTCTCCTCCCGCTCTCTTCTTTACCTCACTTCCGGGGCAAACTGTACCACCTGACGCTGCCGTAGCCGTCTGCCCTTTCCTCCCGGATGGCCTTCCCAGCCGCCCTCTCCTCAGTTCCACCCAAGCCCTCAGATACGGTGTCTCGGGGCAGCCATCTTGGTGCACCCCGAGCCAGCCCTTCCTGCGTTCTGTGTCCTCCTGGAGGATTTGTCAGGTTCCCCAGAGCTTCTAGGAGAGACGCCAAGTCCTGAACCTCAAAAGAGATGAGAGAATCACAGACCAGCGGCCCTCAAGTCCTCTTGGCCCCCCACAGTGCTGAGCACACTCTGCCTGGTGCTGAGGCTGCTGCTGGGGCTGGGCACTGTAACTTGGATGCGAGTTACCTGCTGGTCCCAGCAGCAATTGCGCCTGCACTCTGCTAGTGCCTGCACTCTTCTAGTGCTGGGCCTTCACTCATCTCCCTATGTGCATTCCAAGCAGTACCCCTAGACACTGTTACCATCCCCATTACAGCTGAGGAAACTGAGGCACGGAGAGGTGAAGTAACATTCCCACAACCACACAACACAACAGGCATTCAGGCAGCATCTGTCTGTCTCCAGCGATTACCTTTTTGGTTCCCTCTGAAAGAAGACTTTCTAAAGGATGATTACTGCTGGGCTTTGAAGGATGAATAGAAGTTCACCAAGGAAAATGGTGCAAAGCGCAAAGGCAGGAACTGCTCTGGTCTGGGTGTGCAGACAGCCGCAGGAAACTGTGGAGGCATAGACACGGAAAATAATGTGAGAAACCTTCAAACACCAGTCCAGTCTCTACCCACAAAATGGAATAAGAACGGGACCAGTCATGGAGGTTGTTTAGGGTTCAGGCTGAACCCCACCACTGCTTCTTTTCCTGGAGGTTTGGGGGGCCAGAGGCTGATCTAACATTCCGAGGCCAACCTGGCAAACACTTGCATCCAGTTCTCTACTTTCTGCCCACAGCTTTGGCCGTCACCTGTTGTGCGGTGCGGACAGACACAGCCCGTGGGAGCACACCCCAGGGCCCCCCGGCTCCTCACTCACATGGAAGTGAGCACCCACAAACCACTGTGGTGGAGACCCACCGGTTACAAGCAAGGAAACCCACTCTCACTCCTCAAATAAAAGGGGAATACTATTACAAGGATGCAAAAGACGAGTTCTCAGGTATTGGGAATGAATTGATTTTTCCTAAAAAGATACGTTCATGCCTGACCCCTAGTACCGTAGATGTGGCCTCATTTAGAGACAGGGTATTTATAGAGGGAATGGAGTTGAAATGAAGTCATGAGTCTGGGTCCTAACCCAAGAAGCCTGGTGTCACACAAAGGGGAAATTCAGACACAGGGACAGACAAGCATGGAGGGAAGGTGGCCACATGAAAACCGGGGCAGGAGTGAGACCTCGACCAGCCAGGGAACCTCAAAGACCCACAGGAAACTGTCAGGAGCCAGGGAGAAGTGAGGAAGCATGCTTCCCCAGAGCGTCTGGGGATAGCATTGCCCTGCAAACACCTCGTCCCAGACTTTCAGCCTCTAGAACTGGGAGAATAAGTCTGTCTTCTCGAAGCCACCCAGTTTGGGGTACTTTGCTCCAGCAGCCCCAGGAAACTCTTGCAACAGCTCACTGTGGACAGGAGCTGAAAGCAGCTGGTGCTCAGTTCGAGGCTGCAGTGAGCTATGATCATGCCACTGTCCTCCGGCCTGGGTCACAGAGCTAGACCCTTTCTCATAAATAAATAAATAAATAAATAAATAAATAAATAGAAGGGATTTTTAAAAACTTACCAATTCAATTTCAGGGCATCTGGAAATGCCAGGGCTTCCCAGGTCTCCTTCATCCCTGCTTCTCTCTCCACATCACCACGGCCACCATTTCTCCAAGACTAGATTCTTCTGTTTCTCCTTGTCCCACACATGGCCCAGCATGGGCACCCCACCCCAATGTACTGCAGCCTTCCTGTGAAAGCACCTTTCCTCAATGGGCAATGCCTGCCAGGCCACTGGTCAGCCACAGGGGTTGGCTCAGCTCATGGGTCCTTCTCTTGCCCAGTCAGCTTTGGCCAGGGAGGAGACAGGCCATTGATGTCTACTTCCGCCTCACTTGACCTTCTCCTCTCTGCCTATTCTGTTCTGTCCACCTCTCTACTCTGCATGTCTGTCTCAAACCTCCCTCTGCCCCTCTGTTAATAAGGACACCATCATTGGATTTGGGGCCTACCCAGATAATCCAGGATGATCCCTTCCTCTCAAGCTCCTTAACTCAATTAGCAAGTCCTTTCCTTAAGGGAAATGTCAGAGGCACATCTTCATGTCTACAGTGATAATGAATTATTAGTATCACATACACACACAAACACTTAAATTGTGAAAAAAAATCATCCTATAGAAAAATGGGGGGAAACCTTAACAGAAGAGGAAATTTAGAGACAAAGCTTGGATGACAAATAACCATTGAGAAACTGTTCAACCTAACAGGGAAATGCAAATTCAAACAAGTCATGTCATTTCACATCCTGCTCCCCCAAGATTTACAGAAATTTGGAAGTCTGACATTAGCAAGTGCTGCAGGAACATAGAGAAATGGGAACTCAGACTTTGCCAGAGTAAATTGGCCAAGGGACTTTGGAAAGCAACTTTGCTTCCTAGTGAAGCCGACTCTGGCCCTTCCCTGTGAGCCTGCAATTCCGCTCCTAACCCCAGCCCTAAGCGCTCATAAGAAGATGTGCACAAGGAAGTCCACTGCAGCATTTTTAATGGCAAATTTGAAAACAGCCTAAATGTCCATCAATAGGAGAGTGGATGGATAAATTGTGCTGTTTTCACACAATAAAATACCGTGGAACAGTGAAGATGAGCACACACATCAGATATCACTAACATGACATTGAGACTAAGGAGGCATACAGCTACATACAACGTGGTGTCCTGAAGTCCCAGGATCCTGGAACACAAAAAGGACATGAGTGGAAACACTGGTGGAATTTGAGCCAAAGTGTGACTTAGTTGATGGGGATGCACCAATGTAAATGTCTTAGTTTTGATCAATGGACTGTGGTTATATAAGATGTTCAGACTAGGGGAAGCTGGTGAAGAGTGTCAGGGAACTTGGCATCTGTGCAACTCTTCTGTGAATTCAACATTATTTCAAGAGGAAAAGTAAAAACAAAAGCAAGTTACAGGCAAGTATATACAATATTAGACTGCTTGTATTCAAGTGACGCTTATGGAAAATTGTTTCATATATTGTTTAGGGAGATATAAGAAGTGAGCGCATAAAGAGAGCTGAGGGCCATGCTTCTCCCCACTGCGAGTGGGGTGGGGAAGGGTTGTGGGAGACTGGGGAGGGGGAAGAGGGATGCAGGAGGGATTTCCACTACCTTGATACTGTTTTACTTCTTCAGCTGAGTAGGGGTGTGCCTAGGTGTTTATTCTATGACTCATTACACTTTTGGTATGCCTGACATATGTCATGATAATTTTTTAGAATCCTGTAAACCTTATGTAGCCCCAACTGCTCAATGCACAGGCAAAATCAACTCAAGAAATCGGCGTCAGAGAGGGGCTGGGAACGAGCCTCCAAGTTCCAGTTTGGAATCTCTCTTCACCACATGAAATGCTTCCTGGGCGGGTTTTCTGGGTGCAGACAGGAGGTTATAAGTACTCTAACAAGTTCGAGGGGCCCACTCCAGAAGGGCAGGTTCCAGCCACCCTGACTTGCCCAGGGCAGGGACACAGCCTCACTCCAGGCACATGGCTCCTTGCCCCTCTCTCCCTGACTCGAGACCTTGCCCAGACCTAGCCCCATGCCCAGGGTCTCCTGGCCCCTGAGTTGACTTTTGCTTCTAAACAAGGTGAAAAGGCAGTTGATGTAGCAAGTGGGGGTGGCAGTGTTCCCTGAGGGGTTGAGTGGGTGGTCCGTGTATGTGGGTGTGTGGTCACCGGGGCCCTGGCACTCAGAGAAGATGCCTGCTGTGCCTGAAGAGGGAGTGTGAGGCACACTGAGGGGGCTTTGCAAACACTGATGGTTTCTTCTCTTATTAAAGTCAGGCATCTCATTAGGGCAAACCTGAGAAATGCAGAAAAAGCAAAAAATTTAAAAATAAAAGAGAAAAACAACCACATGCCCGCTTCCCCTGCCCCCCATAACCACCACTTATGCCCCGAGTTTTTCCTTTATTTTTCTGAAGTGCAATTACTAGGTCAAAGTGAATGAATAATTAAAGACTCAATGCAAAATACCAAAGATTTGACCTTTGGTATATATAGAGAGAGGGAAAGACAGAGAGAGGAATAGAACCTCCCTTCTCTAGTGAGGGGAAGGGGATCATTTTTATAGCCCAGTTTTACTTCTTGTAAAAGTCCCATGACACCAACATTCAACAGCATTCGAACTGAGTCACCTCACCCTGAAGCTCATCATTAATTTCAACATGAGATCATTTCTTCAGCCCTGCCAGTCTTCATCTACAAAGAGGCAAGTTCTGGTTTGCAAGTGACAGTTGGTAGACGTCCTTGGAAGTCAGCTTTCTCCCCGTGCCGGTTTGCCACACAGATGGGTTCACACAGCATTTTCTTGGTAGGAACTATCTGATGAGCAGCAGACACCTCTGTGGTGGATGGACTGTGGGCTCGAGGGTCCAGAGGGGGCACTCCCTGTATTTCGAGGGCTACGAAGCTTAGCTGGCCCCTATGTCTGGGCCTGGGGTTGTTTTCACAGATGATTCTGCAGGGGTGGTGTCCGCACGGTGGTGGGTTGCACTCAGTGGATCATCTCTGCACAGAAATCCCCAGCTTAGAGCTGCACTTCGTGGCACTGAGTGTGGAAAGTGAAGTTGTTGGCCTGGTGAGGATCATCAACAGGAAGCAGGTGTTGGCTGGACTGGGGAGAGCGTGTCCCAGGCCCCCCACCACCCTCCGCCCCGCTCTCCAAGCCCGGACTGCCTCATCCATAAGCCCGGACTGCCTCATCCGTAAGAAAGGACAAATAATACCAAACTCATAGACCTGTTGTGAGGTAAATACCTGGGCAAATTTTCACAGAGGCTTTAAATGCTTTAAACCAGGAATCTCCAAACTTCTTTTGCTGTCTTCCATTACTTAAAAAAAAAAAATTTTGAGCTTGCATCCCCAGTAAAATATATATAAATTTTCTTTTAATTTGTATACATGTACATCTACCATACCAATAAGTTATAAAACATTAGAAAACACATAACAATATTGAAATTAAAAAGAATGAAATTTAGGGCTGGACATGGTGGTACACACCTGTAGCCACGCCTACTAAGGAGGCTGAGGTGGGAGGATTGCTGGAACCCAGGAGTTCAAGGCTGCAGTGAGCTGTGATCACACCACTGTCCTCCGGCCTGCATCACAGAGCTAGACCTTGTCTCTTAAAAAAGAAATAAATAAATAAAAATAAAAGGGATTTTTAAAAATTTACTAATTCAATTAGTTTAAAGGTTAAAGGGCTAACACAGTTTTTAATTTCTTGAGTCTGTTTCGTAAGAAATGTACCAATTCATTTACATTTTCAGATTTATTAAGCATATAGTTTAGTAGACACTATCTTTTAAATATTCTGATTTGTTCCCTTTTTCTCTTTGCTCTTTTTTTGATTGTCATTTATTCATTTTGTAAAATGTGCTGTATATTCATCAGGGTTATACGGAGAAACAGATTGATTTTAAGAGGAATCAGCTCAAAAAACTATTACAGAGTATCACAGTGTTGCCCAGGGTGGTTTCGAACTCCTGGACTCAACAATCCTCCTGCCTTGGCCTCCCAAAGTGCTGGGATTACAGGCGTCAGCCACTGCACCTGGCCTATTCCCTTTGGCATTTTTCTCTTTTCTGTTTTTGTTTCTCCATCTCTAACTTAATCAATCTTTGCAAAGCTTTGTTGTCGAAGCACTAGTTATTAGCTTTGTTGATGCTGTTTTTTTCCTTTTTTCTATCTTATTAATGTCCTCTCTGATTGTTATTATTTCCTTCTTTTTACTTTTTTTTAGTTTCCCCTATTTTTTATGTTTTTTTTTTTTTTTCCGGGGGGGAGTTGGTCACTTAGCTTTGTAAAAGTTTAGCTTTTCTTCTTTTCTAATATAAGCATTTTAGACTTTAATTTTTCTTTAAATGTCACTTTCACTGCATCCCACAAATGTCAATACATAGCATTTTACCATCTTTTAGTTAAAAACATCGTATCATTTCCACAATTTCTTCTTTTCTCTTTGAATTACAGTTGACCCTTGAACAACAGGGGTTTGAACTGCATGCATCCACTTATAGGCAGGTTTTCTCCCACCTCTGCCACCCCTGAGACAGCAAGCTAACTCCTCCTCGTCCTCCTCCTCTTCCACCGCCTCCTCCTCCTCCCCACTCCTCACCCTCTACCCCCTCCTCCTCCTCAACCTACTCCTCCTCCTCCCCGCTTCTCCTCCTCCACCCCTCCTCCTCAGCCCACTCAACATGAAGATTGTGAGGATGAAGACCTTAATGATGATCCACTTCCACTTAATGAATAGTGAATATATTTTCTCTTCCTTATGCATTTAAGAACATTTTCTTTTCTCTAGCATATTTTATTATAATATTATAAGACTATAGTATACAATACATATAACATACAAAATATGTGTGAATTGATTGTTATCCGCAAGGTTTCCAGTCGACAGGAAGTTATTAGTAGTTACATTTTTAAGGAATCAAAAGTATACGGGGATTTTAGACTACACAGGGGATTGGCACCCCAAACCCCACATTGTTCAAGCGTCAAATTACAAGTGTGTTCTAAAATTTTTGAATATGTAGGGGTTTTTGAGTTATTTTATTATGGATTTCTAACTTAATTTCATTGTAGTCAGAAAATGTGTTCTATATTATATCACTTATTAGAATTTGTTGAACTTCTGTGGCCTGACACGTTGCCAATTTTTATAAATATCCCATATGTTCTTGAATACACAGAATGTTATTCTTTAATTGTCAGGGGCCGGATATGCTTATGTCCATTAGCTCAGGATAGTTTATTTTATTTAACAAACACTTAGAGATTGCTAACAATGGACCAGACTTTGTTCCAAGTGGTTTATAAATACTGAGTCATTTAATCTTCGTAGCACTCCTTTGAGGTCCATACAGTTATTACCACCATTTTAGAGATAAGCACGCTAAGGCTTTACAAAATTTACCAACTCAATTTCTTTAGAGGCTAAAGGGCTAATATAGTTTTCAATTTCTCGAGTCCATTTTTTTAAGAAAGGTACCTCATTTCATTTACATTTTCAGATTTATTAAGCATATAGTTTACTTAAGTAGGCACTATCTTTTAAATATTCTGATTTCTTCCCTTTTTCTTTTTGTCTCTTTTTTTCTTGATTGTTGTTTATTCATTTTGCAAATGTACTATATATTTGTCAGGGTTATCCAGGGAAACAGATTGATTTTGAGGAATTGGCACAGAGAGGTTAAATCATTTTCCTGAGCTCAAACACACAGCCAGTAAGTGAGAGAGAACTGGGATTTGAACCACGTAGTTTAGCCAGAGTTTGTCTTCTTGAATACCGTTCTATGCTGTGATATTCTAAACTGCTCTATTCTTTTTTTGGCCGGGTGGTACTACCAAATATCGAAATAGACCATTAAAATATCACTCTATAATTATGAATTTATCTATTTCTCTTTGTAATCATGCCATTAAAAAAAGATACTTCTAAGGCAATACTGACAAATGCAATAAATTCTAGCGAATTGTTATATCTCCTTGGGAAATTGTACCTATCATCCTCTACACTTTTTTATAATCTTAAAAGCCATTTAGTTTGACATTAATATCGCTGTATCAGATTCTTCTTGGTTAGTTTCTGCTTAATACATACTTTTCATCCATTAACGTTTCTATGTCTTTACATCATAGGTGTGTCTCTTGTAAACAGCATATAGCTACATTTTGTTTGTTTCTAGTCAGTTCATACAAACTCTTTTGAATTGTGTTTTTAGTTAATTTACATTTACTGTAATTAATAATATTATAGGAGTAATATCTACTGGTGTCATTTTGGACTTGCCATTTTTGATGTATTTCTTATGATTATTATTCTCTTGTTTGTATTAGATTAACTGAGTTTCATTCATTCCTGTTTTGCCCCCTACTCACCTGGAAGTTATATAATAGACTTCTAATCTTTTGGGGCTTTAATTTACAATGTTTAACACACATGTTTGACTTAAGTAAGTATAAATTAACTACCTCCACCCAATTGGGTGAAGAATATAAGAACTTGCTGAAGAATATAAGAACTTATAGTCTTAAGATTGTCTTCCTTTTATCTTGTTAATTTTATTCAGTATTATTTTCACATTTTTCAAAGTATGATTTTATTATAATAATAGTATTTTATACTGTCAATGTTTGTTAGGATTTACTCACATGTTCATCAAATTCTTTCCAATTTCTTTATATATGCATTTCTTTCAGTGTAGATCTCGTAAGTGGTAAATCCTATTTTATCTTATTTTATTGTGGTAAAAAACATTTACCATGAGTTCTATCCCCTTGACAGATTTTTAAATGCCCAACTCAGTCTTATCTTTAGACATAATGCTGTATAGAGATCTCTAGAACTTCTTCATCTTGCGTAACTAAAATTGATACTGGGTGATTAGCACCCATCTTACCAGCCACCCCTAGCACTCACCATTCTAGTCTTTGCTTCTGCGAGTTTGACTACTTTAGCTACCTCATGTACATAACATACTATATATTATGGTATATATAGTATATTTACAAAAAAGACTACATATTATGGTATATATAGTATATTTACATAATATATTACATGTAAAATATATGGTGTATTTTATATAAATATACTATATAATAATATATTGTCTATACTATATATTATAATATATAGTATATACACACTATATATTATATTATATATAGTATATATAATGTATATAGTATATATATAATGTATATAGTATATACACACTATATATTATAATATATAGTATAGATAGTATATAATTATATAATTATATAATTTATTATATATTATATTGTACATTGTATATTGTACATATAAATTTATATTAATACATATATAATAGATTATATATTATATATTTATATTGTATATTGCATTTAGAATATATTATGTATTTATTATATATTATATATAATATAGTACATATCATTATAATATAGTATATATTATATCATATATTGTACATATATAATACATTATATATAATAAATGTCGTATATATACACCACATTTTTAAAAACCCACTCATCTGTCAAAGTAAGTGGTAAATTCTATTAATATTTTGGGTCCAAACATGTCTTTATGTCACCCTTGCTCTTGAAGGATAGTGTATCAGCTATATAAGCACCATTTGATCATCATTTTTTCTCAACCTTTGTATCATTTCTGTTGTTTTCTGGTTTCTATTTTTACTGTCAGCCTAATTGGGCTCCTTGGCATGTCATCTGCTTTACTTTTCTATCAGATGAATTTATGAGTCCTCAACACTGGGGCCACCATGCTTTGCTCCTGTGCCCCTCCTTCTTTCTTTCTCCAGAAACTTGCCACTAGGTGGAAGCCAGAGTGGTTGTCATACCCACTTTGTGTGTTTCCCTCTCCCGGGGGCCCCAGTCCTGCTCTACCTGTTGGCATTGTGTTTAAAAAAATCGTTATTTCGTCCATTTTATCTCATTTTCTAGTTGTTTCAATGGGTGAATTAACCCAACCCTTTTCATGACCATGGCCCAAACAAAGAAGTCTCAAGACATGGAGCTTTAATTTAACTTTTAATTTTTAGAAATTCTATTTGGTTCATTTTGAAACATATCTATTTCATCTTCATGATGACTTGCCATTTCCGTGTTTTCAACTCCTCCTTGTAGTTCCTTGAACATTAAAAATGTATTATTCTATCGTCTTCACCTGCAAACATCAGTGCCTTTGAGGTTTTAAACCCATGCATGCTGATTCTACTCCTGGTGATCAGTTCCTTTGTGTTTGTAATTTATTATTGTGAGCTCATCTTCCGATGGACTTTATTTATAGAAATCCCAGATGGTCCTGAAGTCTCTCTGGTGAGGTTTTGGGTTTGATTCTTCTAGATGCCCCATGGGTCACTGGTTCAGGCTCACTCTCTATGGTAATTTCTTGACTTGAGAGTTACCAGGCCATAAGGTAAATAGAGGCATTTCAATCTGAATGCAGTCTGAAGACAGACCAATGATGATGGGTTCCTAGTAGAGAGGTTTTTCTTCCCCTGTCAACTTCATTTCATTTCCCTGAGCCAGTGGGCAGACTTACCTCCTTTACCCGTGTCCTGAGAGGGAGGCACTTTGTGAACACTGGCTCCCCATGGGGTGCTCAGCTCTGACTCTGCCCCACATGGGACAGGAGCCTCATCCCTGGCCCCTTCCTGGCTGTTGAGCACGGCTGCAGCCTCCGGGGAACCACAACCAGCGATCCCTCCCAGGTCTTCTGCGGCCTCACCCCACAAACTTCCCACCCTTCGCTTTAATTCTGTCTTTATTTCCACACCGCAGAGATTTCCCTTGTTTTCTCGTGCCCCTTAGCTATGCACTGAAAAGGATGTTAGTTAAAATGTATACAACATTTCTGAACGTTGCATAGAGGAAAGGCATAGAGCTAATCTGTACTTCCATGTCGCTGAAGGCAGACGTCTTTCCTGTAATATTCATTATGCCCTCATTAAGTAGGTGCTATTCTTGCCCCCATATGTATAGACGAGGAAACTGAGGGACAGAGGGGTTAAGTGACTAGGCCAGAAGTCCACAGCTACCAGAGGCAAAGGCCAAGATTTGAATCCAGGCTGTCTGGTGTCAAAGTCCAGGTTTTTTCCACTGGGCTTGCTGCTTCCAGGGGCCCCAGTGCTGCCAGTGAGGGCTGCCAAATAAAGTAAAGGATGCGGCTGGGTGGGGCTGTGTCACCCATGGGAGATAAAGGAGAAAGGACATGTTACATCTTCTAGGAAGCTTCCTTAAACAGGCGAGTAGCATGCACTTTCTTCGATCCTTTGTCCATACAGTATTTAGGTTATACTAAAACTTTTGTTGTTTATCAGAAATTCAGATTTAACTGGGCATCCTGTATTTTTATTTGGAGTGAAATCTGGCACCCTGCTGCCAGCTGCGGTTAGGAGCCGTCAGGCCTGCCCCAGCCAGGCTGATGCACATTTCCGGGCATTTGCAGCACAGCATCTCAAGGCTTGGTGGCTGTACTCCTTGTCCATCTGATTGAGGGGCCAGGGTGATCACCCACAGGATGCCTGCCCCAGCCCCTCATTCAGGGTGGCAGCCACTGCCCCTGTTTAGCTCAAACAACAGCCCCAGGCACCTGCCCCTGCTTAGCTCAAACAACAGCCCCAGGCACTATGGGAGGCTCCTGCTCCTTGCTGTCATCTAGAGGGGTTGGGACCTCATGATTGGTGTTGTCCAAGGCAGGGGCTTCCCCAAGGATCCCACTGGGAGGATTGGGGGCACACTTCCCCGACCTCTACCATGGGGAAGGGAGGAAAAAGTCCTAAATTTGGAGTAAATATGGGAGCAAACCCACAATGCCAAGAGGGACCCAGCAGGGGCAGCTGAGCCTCAGGTCTGGGGACATTCTCAGCTCCATCCTGAGCCCCCACAGCATGGTGAGGAGGATTGCAAACTGGGCCAACCTTTCTGAAGGGCAATTTCTCAATTCATGTCCAAATGTCAAAAGTGTATCCTCTTTGACTCAGCATTTCTACTTCTGGGAACTTACGGGAAGGAATGTTCCAACCCGGTGCAAAGATGATACATCCAGGGGTGTCAGGGGCTGTAATACCAGAAAACTGGCAATGGTCTGCATGTCTGTTGATACTGGTGAAATCATCAAACCTCTGCCTGATGGAATTGCAAGCAGCCTTTAAAAATCTGTGAATCTTTATTTGTGGGCGTGGGAAGCTACCTGTGATCCCCTTTACAGTGAAAAAGACACATGGCCCACCTGTAGTAAAGACCATCTATCTGGACTCTCTTGCAGCTAGGTGTGGCCATGTTACACATGGGAAAAGAAGATAAAGAAAAGGACATATTGTAGCTTCCAAAAGTCTTCCTTAAAAGGCAAGTGACATGCACTTTGTTCATCCCTTCTTTTTTCTTGCTGCCTGGGACTTGGACGTGATGGCTGGAGCTCTGGCTGCTGTTTTGGACCCAAAGGCAAGAACCATACCTCCAGGTTAACGGCTCAGAGAATAGTCAGGAGGTGACTGTCTCCAAAGGCTTTGCAGAGCAGGACCAACCACCTCCTATCCCATTTCTAGACTCTCACTTGAGAGAGAAAGCAATTTCTGTGTTGTTTAGTCCACTGCTATTTGGGGAGGTGTCTATTATTCACACTAGAACCTAACCCTGACTAATATAAGTAGTTTCTTTGGCAGGTGAGATTTGTAGGGATTTAAATGTTCTTTTAGATTTTTTTGTTTCTTTTGCATGTATGTCTTGAACATTTATCTGTCATTTATATTGTTTAAAAAAACTTGATTTCAAAGCAAATAAGGAAAAAATAAAGAAATCTGACAAACACCCAGCTCTTACAGTGAGCCAGCCACTGTTCTGAGGACTTTACATGAACTCTCTTGAGTCTTCACAGCAGTCCTGTAGGGTGCGTTAGTATCCCCATTTTACAGAGGGAGAAACTGAGGCACAGGGCAGTTGAGTCCCTTGTCTGTGGTGCCTCAGCCAGATGATGAGAGCATGCAGGCAGCTCCATGGGAGCATGCAGGCAATCCATGACCTCGATCATGATGCCACCCTGCCACCCTGGAGACCTCCAGCCTCAGAGGCTACCCAGGCCTAGGCTCCTACCTTCTTCTCTCCCACCATTTGAGGCTCTTCCCCAGAGCTGCTTTGGAAAGTACCTTAAGTTCTGGGCTGCCTTAGCCAGGGGCATAGGCCATGGAGTTGGCCAAATTCATTCCTCTCTTCATTCATTCTACAAACATTTCTGAGTGCCCACCCTACATCTGCCACTGTGCTGGGCACAGGGATGAAGTGGTGGGCAGGAAGGCATGGGCCTCACCCTCAGTCAGATGTTAGAAGACAGCCCTGTGTGGCATTGCTGCTCCTATAGAAGAGGCCCCTGGGGGACATGGGGGTGGCCTTAGCCAGGGAAGTCAGAGGCAGCTTCCCCGGAAGGGACACGTGATCTGGGATCCGAGGCAGGGGTGGGAGTTACCTGTGTGACGGGGGACGGGGAAGATGCTAGCTGGAGGGGATGGCATGTGCTAAGGCCCTGTGGCAGGAGGGGTTAGCCCACACACCCATACACACCCCCTCATTCCATGCCCACCACAGCCCACCCTCTGCACCCTCCTCCAAGAAGGCAGACAAGTCACCCGTCCTTCCCCAAGGCTGGAGGACAAAGACCTGTCCAGGTGCATCTTGCCAGGGAGCCTGGAGCTGTGCTCTAGCCTGGACCTGCCTGCAAAGGGGGAGGGGGCCCCAGAAGAGCAACCCACCCATTCCCCCCACCACGGAGCCCTTCCAACACCCCCAGGGCCTCTCAGGCTGGCACTGGGTGGTCAGCCTCACAACTCACTGCTCAGTCCCTGAACACTGTGAGAAGTAGGCATAAGAACCCCATTTTCTTCAAGGAAAGAACTGGGTCCTTGAGGGAATAGGGGCTGGCTCACGCATGGGGTTACAGGAAAGGAAGCCCCATGTGTGGCCTGTCCTCGACCCCACAGTGAGGACTGGTGACGGAAGAGTGAGGGCACCAGCCAGATCCTGCCTCTCAACTGTGGCTTCATTAAAATACATAGACACATGCACACTCACACACACGCACACACCTGCACCTGCACATGCACACACAGGCACACACATGCACACACTCGCACGTGCACACATGCAAACACATGCAGACACACACCAGCACCTGCACATCCACACACTCGCACATGCACACACATGCACACACACACACACACCTGCGCATGCACACACACATGCACACGCATGCACCCCTTATATTCATGCCTTTATGGGCTCACAGTTGGTGCGAACTGTGAGCAGAAGGTTTGCAGGGGGCTAGATCCGGCTCTGGCCCTCCCTGGCTGTCACCTCCAGCAAGTGTCCTCCTTCTCTGTGGGACCCATTTCCCCACCTGCAGCGTGGGCACCCCGACAGCCTCTACCTCCTGGGCTTGCTTCTGGAGGATGAAAGCAGTCCCATGCCGAGTCCCTGGTGCAAGGGACAGCTCAGAAGGAGGTCACCATTGTTACTCTGCCCCTCTGAGGCTATTGTGGTCACCCTGTCCCACTGCCCTGGACTGGCTTGGGGGCCAGGCTGGCATGATCATGCTGCTCTAGGCTGGCAGGTGGAGCATTCCCAGCCCCGGTTCCAAGGTCCCCCGAGGCGCTGACAACACTTGGAGGGAGACCATGCAGGCTGGGCTTCCTGACCACCCAGACCCTTCAGGACCACCCCCCATCCCACCCCACCATGGATGTGGCAAAGGCCCTGCCTTGGCAAGCCTTCCCCAGACCCTCTGCTCTGCTGGAGCTCCAGAGCCTCCCAAACGGGGCCCCCAGTTCCTGCCATGAAGACCTGAGGTTGAGGCGGCCTTGGGAGGCCTTGGCATGATCTGGGGCCCCTTTGGGCCTGAGTGGCCACTAACTCCGTGGCTTCTTGTGTTAAATGTCATTCACATTTGTCACCCCATCGTGCCCCTAGTTCAACTCACACCAACTGCAACATGTTTCCAATGGGGGTCGCACTGCCCCAACTTCCTGAGACACTTATCTGACCCAGTCACTCTCCCTCTCAATCCTTCAATAGCTCCCTATTGCCTTCAGTCTCAATGCTGTCTCTGCATCCCAGGCAGCCACACAGCAGGGGCTCTGTACCCGTCTGCTGCCTTGGAGGGTGGGGAAGGGGCATCTGCCCCACATGTGGCCCCACCTGTCAGGTTTCCCCGATGCTCAGATGTGCACCAGCTCCCATGGGAGGGGAAAGGAGTGTGGGGGCGAGACTTTCAGCCTGTGCTCCCAGCAGCAGTGTTTCAAAAGAGTTTGTTTTCTTTCAAAACAGAATATATCGAGCGTCCGGCCGGCCAGTGGGTCTGGGGCCAGAGACCAGAGAAGTGCTGCAGGCACTGGGCATGCTGAGTGACATCACCATGGGCCGGTGCTGGCAGGGGCTGGGCCAGACCACAGGCAGCGGGTAGTGCAGAGCCCTCCCCGAGCTGGGCCAGGTCTGGCACAGGGGTCCCAACCCTAGTGGGTTCCCAGATAGGGGCTGAAGAGTCCCTGAGTCCCCTGAGCTCCCGGTGGACTCCACTGTCTCAGTGTGCCAGCCCAGTCTTCACTCCACCCACTGGGGTGCTCCTGGGCAGTGGGCAGACCTCCCGCTCTGTCCTCCTGGCCCAGCATGGAGGTCTTCGGGGGCGGGAGAACAGTGAGGTAGTCCCCCTTTACCTGCGGGTGCACTGTGCCTCGTCAATCAGTCTTCCAAGCAGCCTTTGAAACTGCTTCCCTCTCTACAGACGAGGAAACTGAGGCTCACAATGCTTACTGTACATGCTTAGAGTCCAGTGTTTCCTCTTCCCTCCCTCCCTTCCTTCCTCCCTCCTTCTTTCCTCCCTCCTTCCCTCCTTCCTTCCTCCCTCCTTCCCTCTCTCCTTCTTTCCTTCTATTCTTCCCTCCCTCCCTCCATCCATCTTTCTTCCCTCCCTTCCTTCCTCCCTCCTTTCCTTCCCTCTCTCTTCCCTCCCTCTTTCCCTCCTTTCTCGCTCCTTCCTTCCTTCTCTCCTCCCTCCCTCCCTCTTTCCTTCCTTTCTTCCTTCCATCCATCCTTTCCTCCTTCTCCTCTCCCTCCCTCCCTTCTTTCCTCCCTCCTTCTTTCCCTCCCTACTCCTCTCCCTCCCTCCTTCCTTCTCTTCATCCTCCCCCTCCCTCTTTCCTTCCTTTCTCTCCCATCCCATCCTATTGTACAATAATGTAATAATGCTTCGCTGGGCACGTGGCCTCCCAGATAAACACTGCATTTCCCAGACTCCCTTGCAACACATCCCAGCCATGAATAAGTTCTGATTGAGGCCACTCCAGCTGAAGCTCCATAAGCCCTTTTAAGCCTTGCCCTTAATGGCAAGAGGTGTCCCCTCCTCCCTCCCCATCTTGGACCCAAGATGGAAGTGACTTGCTGAGGATGGCGAGGGAGAGAGATAGAAGGAGCCAGGCCCCTGGCACTGTCAGGCCACCAATCAGCCCTGGGCTGCCTATCTCCCTTTTATGTGAGATCTTGACGCAGGGATTGAGCCCCTGTGTTTTTAGGTGTCTTTGTTGCAGCGGTGTAACTAACTCATGCAGAATTGCCCCAAGCTTCGATCTGGGGACTCACATCTTTTACCACCATGCGCTTCGGCCTCTTTATGTTTCATTTGGGCAGTTGGATCTCAAGGGGTCTCGCTGCCAGCAAAATGAACAAGCTGCAGGCTACCAGGGCACCACGGTTTGGTTGGCTCTGGGCTCTCAGCTCTCCATACCCAACCCAGGACCTGGCCCAGGGCAGGGGACCGGCAGAGTCTGAGAGTCCCAGAGCCTGGACCTGGGTGGGTGCTTTGGGAGGCACAGAATAAGGAGGGCGGCTAATGCATATCCAGTGCATTTGGGAAGGGTGCTGGGCTGGGCATGCCTCTGTGTGGTCTCCATCCATCTCTTGGGCACCTGCAAGGGGTTTGACCCAAGGCTAGGCACTTCCCACATGGTCCAGCATTCTTTACTTTTCTTTTTTTCTTTTTTGAGACAGAGTCTCGCTTTGTCACCCAGGCTCGAGTGCAGTGGCAGGATCTCGGCTCACTGCAACCTCCACCTCCTGGGTTCAAGTGATTCTCCTGCCTCACCCTCCCAAGTAGCTGGGATTACAGGTGCCCCCCACCATGCCTGGCTATTTTTTATTTTTTATGTTTTTAGTAGAGACAGGGTTTCACTATGTTGTACAGGCTGGTTTCGAACTCCTAATCTCAAGTGATTCACCCACAGCTTCATCGAGGTGGAATTCACGAACCAGCAGTCCACCCATGTGAAATGTGCAATTCAGTGGTCTTCAGTATATTCAGACTCGGGCATCCAACACCAGAATCAATGTTAGGATATTTTCATTCTCCTGGAAAGAAACTCCACACCTTCCAGCCATGCCCCACAACTTCCCCACCCCCCATTCATTCCCCAGCCCCAGTAACCACCCTTCTACTCTATCCCTCTACAGACTTGCCAACTCTGGGCATTTCATTAAATGGAATTCTACGACATTTAGTTTTGTTGTGACTGGCTTCTTTTACTTGGCCTAATGTTTTTGAGGTTCATGCATGTTTGCAGCATGGACCAGGAGTGCATTCCTTTTCAGGGCTGAATAATATTCCCTTGTGTGGCTAGACCACAGTTGGTTTCTCTGTGCGTCAGTTGCTGTGGACATTGGGTTGTTGCACTGTGGCTGCTGTGGATGGTGCTGCTGTGAGCTTGGCTGTGCAGGTTTTTGTGCAGACATGTTTTCTGTTCTCTTGAGCAGGTACCTGGGAGTGACTTGCTGGGCCCTGTGCTAATGCTGGTTAACCCTTTAGGTTCCTTGTTGCACTGGAACTATGCAGACTGTGAAGGCGGCCTGGGCTTCTGTCTGGCTCCAGCATCTGCAGCTGGCAGCCTTGGGCAAGTCCCAGCAGCTCAGATTCTGCCTTTGCTGTCAGTAGCACAGCAGGGGGCAAGCATGTGTGTGAATTTGCAGGGGGTCCTGTAATTCATAGCAGGCCCACTGGGGCTGCTCACCGAGCTCCATTCTCTCCCCCTGGCTGAGGCGGTCAGAGGGGATGAGACAGAGAGATGCATAAGGATCCACCCTCCCAGCCGACCTCCTGCTGCCCTGAAACCTGCTGCTGAATTTCTCTGGGCCCAGCCTGGGGCTTTGCACACCTGCCCACTAGCCCCTGACGACACCATCTCAACCCAAAGCTCCCTCCCCGGGCCTTGAGTTATCTGGGGAGGGGGGCGTCATAGAGCCCTCAACTCTCCCTCACACCCATGGCAGAGGCTGGGCCTGCCCTGGAGCCGATGAGGACCTTGCAAGGGGGTCTGCCACAGTCCTGGGGGGTTCCCTCCAAGGGAGGGACTGAGCCCCACCCATCCGTGACTCTGTCTTGACGTAGGCTCCTGCCCCAACCCCAGGTCACTGTCTCTTCTCCACGATTGCAAGTGACCTTAGCCCCGCTGCACCGTTGGAAGGGACGTCGGCCTGTGTGGGTGGCAGTTGGTATGTGGACTCAAGACCTGCGGCACCTCTCAAAGGCTCGCGTGGCCCCCGGACACCCCTGGTGGCCCTGCCCTGACCCCAGGCGTAACCTCACCTGGGCCCTCTGATTCAGCACCCACAGGGCCCCTGTGAAGCAGATGCTATCACCATTGCCCCTTCACAGATGAGGAAACTGAGGCACAGAGCAGGAAAGAAACTTTACCATGGTGACACTTGCGGCAATTCAGAGCCTGCTGTCACTCAGGGACCTCATCCGGCCTTCACTGCCCACAGCACTGCCCAGGGTCAGCACCAGTGCACCTTTGGGTGGGATGGGAAGCTGTGAAACCCAGAGAGGGACAGAAATGGGCCCAGGAAGCAGCCCAGGCCAGTCTGGGAGGTGGCTCTCCACCATCACCTTCTCTGATACTCAAGGTGAGGCTGTAGGGGTGGGTGGGAGTGGGGTCCCTGCATCTGGAGGGCAGGGTAGGATAAGCAGGGTCCCTACACCACCTTGTTCTTGCTCTGTGACCAGAAATGCTGCACATCCCTGAGAAACAGTTCTGTTCTCTATCAAATGGCAAAACCTATCATGGGAATGCTTGTTGTAAAGGCTACTAGTATTTACATATCAGGTATCAATAAGGATAATAAATTGTGAGCTTATTATTTGCTAGCCCTATGCTGAGTGTTTACTAATGATTGCTTCATTTAGCCTGAAATGTGAATTCAGATCAGATTTCAGAGCTGACATTCATAATTGCTACCTCCTCCCACAATAATCATTTAACAGCTGCCATTTACTGGGCTCTGGCTCTGGTAGGCTGCAGGCTGTGATTTCATGTGACTTCTTACTTGATCCTCATGACAACCCTCTGAGTAAGTACTGCTACCATAATCTCCACTTCACAGAAGAGGAAACTGCAGCTCAGCGAGGGTGAGTCACTTGCCCAAGGTCACACAGCTGGTCTGCAGCAGAGCTAGGATTTGAGTCGGGGTTGTGTGGCTGTAAGAGACATGCCTGTAGCCATTCTGCTCTGTGCTGCCTCCTAAAATGCCCAGCCTGTTGTCCTAAACTGGAAACAGCCCAGCTGTCCATCAGCAAGGGACTAGATCAATAGACTGCAGTATGTTCATGCAATGTGGTATCACCCAGTAATGAAAAGTCATGAACTATTTCTACATTTAACAGCATGGAGGCATCCCACAGATACTATGTTTTAAGAAAAGAAGCCAGATGTTTTAAAACACATATTGTGTGGTTCTGTTTATGTGATATTCAGGAATGGACAAAACTAACCAATGGTTAAATAAGTCAGAATGATGATTACTTGTGAAGTGAGTACACCCTTGGAGTGGGAATTCTGGAGGGACTAGAAATGATCCACCTATTGATCTAAGTGGTTGTGATTGTTCATTTTGTGGGCCAGCTAGGCTGGGCCACAGGATGCCAGATAGCCAGTGAGTGATTTCTCGGCGTGTCTATGAAGGTCTGGAGGAGACTGGCATTTGAATTCATGGGCTGAGTCAAGCAGATGGCCCTTCTCAGGGTGGGTGAACACCATCCAACCTATTGTGGGTCTGAATAGAACTAATAGATGGATGAAGGGTGAATTAACTCTGCCTGATGGCCTGAGCTGAGACATCAGTCTCTTTCTGTCAGCACTCATGGTTCTCAGGCCTTCAGATCTAGATTGGAATCAACACCATTGGTTCTCTGACTCTCAGGCCTTCAAACTACACCACTGGCTTTCCTGGGTCTCCAGCTTGCAGAGGGCAGCTTGTGGGACTTCTCAGCCTCCATAATCCTATGAACCAATAACTTACGGTAAATAAAGAAATACACACACATGCGCACACACACACACACGCACACACACACATATGCACACACGCACATCCACACACACAGGCACACACACACATCCATGCACACACACCACACACACACATCTCCTGTTGGTTCTATTTCTCTGGAAAACCCTGACTATTATAGCAGTGGTTATGTGGATGCACACATATGTATGAATCAATAGCCTGCTAAAACAAAGACATCTACATAATTCAGAGGATCTTAACAGAATGTAGAGTCTATATAATATGACATTAAGATTGTCTATGATACAATCCAAAATTATTTGACATACAAAGAAACAGGAACATGCAGCCCATTCTCAAAGGATAAAAAAATTAACAGATGAAAGCACCAAGATGACTCAGACATTGAAATTATCAGACAAAGAATTTAAAGCATCTACTACAACTCTACTCAATGAGATCAAGGAAATACATTTGAAATGAATAAGCAAATAAGAAATCCTGGCAGAGAAAGTATTAAAAGAGGATATTGGAATTTTAGAAATAACAAAGAAAATATTTGAAATGTTTAAAAATCACTGGATGGATCAATAGCAGAATGGAAATGAGAAAGGCAAAAGTCAGCAAACCCATAGATCAATAAAATGAGTCAATCAGAAGGACACAGAGGAAAAAAAGATTGAAGAAGGAAAGGAACAAAGAGCATCAGGAACCTGTGAAGCCATATCCAAAGCTCTTAAACATTATAACTAGTCCAGAAAGAGAGGAGAGTGAGATGGGAGCAGAAAAATCTTTGAAGACATGACTGAAAATCTTATATATTTAGTGTAAGACATAAGTTTACAGATTCAAGAAACTCAGAGAACCCCAAACAGGATAGAATCAAAGAAACCATGCATAGAGCAACTACATACACACAGGGAAATGCAGCCAAACAGCCAACAGATAAATTAATATGGAATACTATAAAATATTCAAATAATCCAAAAGCATGCAGAGAAAGGGGAATAAAGGAACCAAAAAAGAGAAAAGATCAGCATTAAATGTTAATGTTCTAAACACTCCAATGAAAAGGAAGAAATTGACAATATGGATTTTTAAAAGCAACACCCAATTATGTGCTGCCTACAAGAGATTTACTTTGAATACAAAAACACAAATAAGACAAAAGTAAATAAACTGAAAAGAATAAACACAAGATGCAAAGAATAAACACAAGATGTCAGGGTGGCTATAATGATATTAATTAATCAATATGAGACATTATTAATAATAATTACTCAATAAGATGTTAACTAATGTTAATAATTATGCATATTGATCAGTTAATTAATAATAATTACTTAATATTATATTATGAGCAATTATTTTTAATTACTCATATAGATTAATATTAATACTTATGTTGATATTAATATTAATAACTTTCAATACAGCAATATCAGAGATAAGGAGAGACATTTTACATAATAAAAGGAATGATTAGAAAGGCATAAAAGTGTAAATTTTGATTTGTCTAAAATATATAATATAGCTTCAAAATATATAAACAAAATTAATAAAGGGAAGAAATGCACACAAATCCCACTATCACAAAGAGAGATTTTAATACCCTTTCTCAGCAATTAAAAGAACAAATATATAAGAAATTAGTAAAATAATTAATAATAATTACTCAATATGATGTTAACTAATGTTAATAATTACACTTATTGATTAATTAATAATTACTCAATATATTAATATGAGTAATTATTTTTAATTACTTATTTAATTGAAATTAAATGGCAAAAACCGCAATTACTTTTGCACCAACCTAATATAAACATAACTATTCATCACCTTGATCTGACTGATAACTATAGCACACTATACCTAGCAACTGTATGTGGTACATTTCACCAAGAAAGACCATATGCTGGGCCAGAAAACAAGTCTCATTAATTTTAAAAGAATAGAAATCATGTAGGGTGTGTACTCTGACAACAACTGAACCTAATTAGAAATCAGTAATAGTAGGATGTCTAGCAAAACCCCAAATATCTATAAATGTTTCATGCGTCTACAAATGACTCATGAATTCAAGATGAAATCACGAGGGAAATCAGAAAATAATTTGAATTGAAAGACAATGAAAATACATCCTATCAAAATCTGTGGGATTCAGCCACAATAGTTGTTAGAGGGAAGCTCAGAACTTTAAATACTTACATTAGAAAGCAAGAGCAATCTAAAATCAATTACCTGAAGATCCACCTTGAGGAGTTAGAAAAGAGAAGAGCAAAGTAAAGCCAAATTAAGTGGAAGAAAGGAAAAAATAACAGTAAGAGCAGAAATAAATGAAATAGAAAACAGACAGACAAAAAAGAAGGAAAAAAAGCCAAAAGTTGATTATTTGAGATCAACAAAATTAATAAACTCTTAGCTAGACTGTTGAAGTAAAAACGAGAGAATACAAACTACCAGTGCAGAAACTGAAAGGGTATTTATTATTAACACAGATCCTACAGACTTTTAAGGGCTATCATAAACATCTTTATACCAAAACTTCAACAACTTAAATTAATTGGACAAATTTCTTGAGAAGTAAAACTTAAATTGATACAAGAGGAAACAGAATATCTGAATAGCACTACACCTGTTAAAGAAATCTCATTATTATGCTAAAGTTTTTTTTTACCAAAAACTTTTTAAAAAGGAAAATCCAGAGCTAGACTGTTTCATTGGTTAATTTGATCAAATATTCAAGGAAGAAATAAACTAATCTTAAGGAATTTTTTCAGAAAATGAAGGAAGAGGTAGCATCACCCAACTCATTTTATAAGGCCAGCATAACCCTAAAGAAGGCAGCAGCTGCTCAGGAAGGCAGCAGGGGCTGCACCTTCCATGGAGCCACCGGGAGCTGGGGGAACAAGCGGGAGCCCCACCCCTTCTGAGTTGGCTGAGGAGCTCCCTGAGTGCTCCTGCCACCACCCAAACTGTGGCTGCAGACCCAGGCCTCCAGTTCCACGGAGAAGGCAGGAGACCCACCCTCCTGGGTGAAGCTGCAGCCACCCAAGTCTGGCTTCCTGACTTCCCAGGCACCTGCTACCTGGCTTATCCCTTTTGTCGGTGCCTACTCTGATCTTGGAGCAAAGTCAGGGCCAAGCCCAGGCACCATGAACAGCAGTGGGAGGCAGACAGATTCCTGGGCAGAAGAGGACAGGTCCACTGGTGAGGCCCCCACATTCAGGCCAGGAAGGGCCTGAAGGCTAGGGACCAGGCTGCCTGTCCCATGCACCAGAGTGGGAGCTGGTGCCTTTTCTCAGCTGCCCATGGCTGCCCATGGCTGCCCATGGACCAATCGGTGTGCACTTCCTCCCCTGTGAGGCCCATAAAAGCCCCAGGCTCAGTCAGAGCTGAGCAGACAACAGGATGACCAGCTGCAGCTGGGAGCTACCCTGTTCAGGGACTCTCTCTGCTGAGAGCTGAACACTCAAGGGGATGACCTGCCTACAGAGAGGAGCTACCCACTGCGGGTCTCCTCTGAGCTGTCCTAACACTAAATAAAGCTCCTCTTCATCTTGCTCACCCTCTGCTTATCTGTGTATCTCAGTCCTCCTTAATGCAGGATAAAAACTCAGATAAACGTGCCACCAGCCATACAGAGGTTTCTGGCCAGAAAAGTGACACCCTGCAGATTCCATAACACTAATATAAAAACCTGGCAAAGACATTCAAAAACAGAAAATTGTAGACCAACATTCCTCATGAATATAGACACAAATATTCTTTAAAAATATTAGCAAAACAAATCTCATCATATATAAAAATAATATCAGAACTAAGTAAGGTTAAAGCCAGGAATACAAGGTCTGCCAAATGTTCAAAAATCAATCAATATGATTAATAATATTAACCAAATATAGGAGATAAGCCTTATGAATTTAAAAATACATATTAGAAAAGCATTCAATCAAATTTTATGCCCACTCATAGTAAAAAAAATTCCAGCAAACTAGTAATAGTAGGGAACATCCTCAAATGAACGAAGGTCATCTACAACAAAGCTACAGGCACTATTATGATGCTGAGTCTCACATTTTTTCCCCTTAAGGTCAAGGAAAAGGTAAAGGTGCCCACCTTCTGTAGCTATATCTGGTCAACATTGTACTGGCAATCCTAGTCATTGCAATAAGGAAAAAAAAAGAAAAGAAAAGGAAAGCTATAAAGTTACTAAAAATTGAAAAGGAAGAAATAAAACTGTTTCTATTGGCAGCTGCTATGAAAATTTACATAGAAAGTCTCAGGAAACCCATAAAATAACCATCACAACTATTAAGTGAGCTTAGCAAGATCACAAGATCCAAAGTTAATGTACCAAAATTAACCCCATTCTTATACAAATAGCAGCAAACAGTTAAAAAATAAAGAAAATTGGCCGGGCGCAGTGGCTCACGCCTGTAATCCCAGCACTCGGGAGGCTGAGGCGGGCAGATCATGAGGTCAGGAGATCAAGACCATCCTGGCTAACATGATGAAACCCTGTCTCTAGTAAAAATGCAAAAAATTAGCTGGGCGTGGTGGCACGTGCCTGTAGTCTCAGCTACTCAGGAGGCTGAGGCAGGAGAATCACTTGAACCTGGAAGGTGGAGGTTGCGGTGAGCCAAGATTGCGCCACCGCACTCCAGCCTGGGCAACAGAGCAAGACTCCATCTCAAACAAATGAATTAATTAATTAAAGAAAATTTAAAATTCTATTTAGGGTAGCACCAAAATAAATAAATAAATAAACTTCCACAAAAAAACTTAGGAATAATCTGACAAAAGACAACCAATACTCAACACCACAAATTATGAAACATTGCTGAGAGAAATTTAAGACCTAAATAAATTAAGACATATATCATTGTTCATAAACTGGAAGATTCAATATTAAGGTGGCAATTGTTCACACATTTACAGAGTCAACACAATCCTGATAAAAATTGTCAAGCTAATTCTAAAATTTATAGAGAAATGCAAAGACTTAAAATGATGAAAAAAATTATAGACAAGAAAACAAAGTTGGAGGATTTGTCTAATTTTAAGTCATACTTGAGAAGCTACAGGAATTGAGACAGCCTCGCATTGGTGGAAGGACAGACACACAGATCAATGGAATAACAGAATAGAGAATCCAGAAACTGCCTCACACACATACAGTCGATTTATTTTTGGCAGAAGTGCCATGGCAATTCAGTGGAGGGAACATAGAGTCTTTTCAAAAACTGGTTTCAATCAATTGGATTCCCAAATGAACAGCAATCCTCACTGAAAACTGTAAGTCTTCTAGGTGAAAATAGAGAAGAAAATATGTGTGACCTCAGGGTTGGCCCAGATTTCCTAGATAGACTACAAAAAGCACAAATCATGAATGCAAAAAGTTAATACATTGGTCTTTACCAAATTAATAACTCTTGCTCTTTGAAAGATGCCAGTAGGAAAATGAAAAGGTAAGTGTCAGACTGGGGAAAAGGCAAGTGTCGTGTTGGACTGGGAGATAACATTCATTACACAGATCAGATAAAGGACTCATATCCAGAACATATCAATAACCCTTACAGCTGAAGAAGGACAAGGCAGGCCAATAAAAATGGGTAAAAGATTTGCATTAATTCTCCACTGAAGAAGATAAACAAATGGTCACATGAAAAAATCTTCCATATCATCAGCCATTGTAGAAATATGGATTGAAATGACAATGAAAGATCACGATGCCCTTATTAGGATGATGAAAATTAAAAAGACAACACATATCATGTGCAGATGTGCATAGCAAACAACTAGAGCTCATATATACACTGCTGGGAGTTTGAAATGGCTCAGCCACTTTGGAAAAGTTTGACTGTTTCTTAGAAAGCTAAATAATATATACCTATCATCTGACCTAACCATTCCATTCGCAGGTATTTACTCAGGAGGCATGGAAACTATGTCCCTACCAAGAATTGTACATGAATGTTCATAGCAGCTTTATTCCTAATGGCCCCAAGCTGGCAACAACTCAAATGTCAATCAATGGGTGATTGATTGAATACTCAAACTGTAGTGTCTCCGTGGAATGGAAGACTACTCCGCAATGAAAAGCAATGATTGGCTGGGCGCGGTGGCTCAGGCCTGTAATCCCAGCACTTTGGGAGGCTGAGGCAGGTGGATCATGAGGTCAAGAGATCGAGACCAACCTGGCCAACATGGTGAAACCCTGTCTCTACTAAAAATACAAAAATTAGCTGGGCATGGTGGCGTGCACCTGTAGTCCCAGCTACTCAGGAAGCTGAGGCAGGAGAATCACTTGAACCCAGGAGGCGAAGGTTATGGTGAGCCGAGATTGTGCCACTGCACTCCATCCTGGGTGACAGAGTGAGACTCTATCTCAAAAAAAAAAAAAAAAAAAAAAAAAAAGGTAAAGAAAAGAGAAACAATGATTTGTTGATGCACACCACACCACGGATGAATTTCAAAGCACTTATGCTCAGAGAAAGAAACCAGATAAAAAATTAGAGTACATCCTTTGTGTTTCTATTTGTGCCGAATTCTGGAAAATGCAAACCAATCTATCATGAAAGAAAGCAGGCCCATGGTTGCCTGGGGACAAGCCTGGAGATGGGGGTGGACTACAGGGGCACAGGGAAAAGAAATGTGTGACGGGGGATCAGGGATGGCCTCACAACCTTGACAGTGTCAATGGCCCCATGTGGTTTACATACATCAAACTCGTGAAATTGCACACTTTAAGTATGCACAGTTTATTGTACTTTCATCATATCTCAGAAAAATTGAATTAAAAATTCATGAAGCTGTACACTTAAATTTCCTGTAGCTTATACTTTAATAAAAAAGTAAATAAAAATGTAAAATATATCTTTGACCCTGTCATCCTTGTCCCCCTGAGCCCTCTCTGAGCTCAGCACTTCTGCATGTGAGCATCCAAAGCCCCATTATACCAGTTTCTCCAGACTTCCTTAACCAAGTTCCACAGGCTGGTGATAGGGTTTGGCTCTGTGCCCCCGCCCAAATCTCATCTCAAATCATAATCCCCACTTGTCAAAGGAGGGACGTGGTGGGAGGCGATTGGATCATGGGGTGCTTTCCCCCAGGCTGTTCTCATGATAGTGAGTGAGTTCTCAGGAGATCTGATGGGTTAAAGGTGTGCCACGTCCCCACTCCTTGCTCTCCCTCCTGCCACCTTATGAAGAAGGTGCTTGCTTCCCCTTCACCTTCTGCCATGACTGTAAGTTTCCTGAGGCCTCTTCAGCCATGTGGAACTGTGAGTCAATTAAACCTCTTTTTCATAAATTACCCAGTCTCGGGTAGTTCTATATAGCAGTGCGAAAACGGACATTTATCATCCCACAGTTCTGCAGGCTAGAAATCTGACAAGGAGTGAGCAGGGCTGGTTCCCCCCAAATCCTGTCTTCATGGCCTGTGGATGGCATCTTCTCCCTGAGTCCTCCCATGGTTGTCTTTCCATACGCATCTCTGCATCCAAATCTCCCCTTTTTATCAGGTCAACAGCCATGTTGGATTGAGGCCCACCCTGATAACGTCACTTTGACTTGATTACGCTATAAAGACCCTATCTCCATATAAGGTCACACTCTGAGGTACTGGGGGTCAGGACTCCAACATACACCTTTGGGAGGGGGTATAATTCAACTGTAAACACCATCCCTTCCAGAACACCCTCATCTCTTCCCTGGCCATTCTCTCCCACCCCTTCTCAGCTCACTGACTCTCTCATCACAAAGCATTTCTGGGCCCCCAGGCCAGGCCTGCCCCTGTCAGAGGACTCATAGAACCTCCAGCTTGTCACACGAGGTGCAGCGGTCACTTCTGGTCTCACTTTGTCCTCTCCTGCTAGTCCTCGATGAAGACCAAGATCCAGCTGCTGCCTCAGGGGTTTGCTGGCAGAGTCCACAGTGAATGAATGAAGGAAGGAATGGGTCAGGGAATGAGTGAGTTGCTGTGGCCCTGCTGCACCTCCGTCTCCTCCGCATCTCAGAGGTCACGGGGATCGGACACAGAAATCACGCTGCTTCACCGCCTGCCGGCTGCACGTTCTGGCCCAAAGGGGTCTCGGGAAGCCCAAAGCTGCTGTCTGCACCTTCTTGGCTTTACATTTAGCAGCAATGCTGAGGGAGGCCACAGCCAGAGGGGCCTGGATTCCTGAGATGCTGGTACCTTGGTCCTTTCACATGGGAAGAACACGGGGCACACCAGGAAGAGTCCCCAGGGATTGATGGCAGCACAGGCAGTGGAGTGGGCCAAGGGTGGGAGCTGCTTAACCTGGCAGGGTACTTGGCCTCTTAGAGCCTCAGTTTCCCTACTTGTAACACAGGGATGATAGTGGCCCCAAGGCACAGGGCTGCTAGGAAGCCTAGACTGTGTGTGACAGCTGGCATCAAGCTTGGCACCAGGACCTTCCTCACTCAGGGATGGAGGCTGGTCAGCAGGAGATGCTTGGGAGTCCCCATCCCATGACCAGGTAACAAATGGGTCCCTCAGAGCTGACCAGCAGGGAGTTGATTCCACACAGCAGAATTGCATGCCACCTCCAAGTTTGCAAATCAACCCAACAATGATAAGTGGCAAAATGGAAGATCGAAGAGTGTGCCGTGGGTATGGCGATGGATGATTACAATTCTTTGGCTGTTTAGGATTCATTCTACCTTTAGGAAGGAAGTATTCCCTCTGGTTCAGTGCAAATGCGCCGTGTCAGATGGGGCTGGCTGGTATGTGGTTCCCTCCTTGTGCACTGGCAGCTTAGCCCAGAATGCGCAACTGCTTCCTCAGAGGTGCTGTCAGCGGACTTTCTGGTCCCCAGGGAGCTGAGGGGCCTCCGGCTCAGGCCACCTCAAGGCTCAGCCCTTCAGACAGAAGCACGCGGCCCTGGCTGTTTTGCAGACGATGGCATGAGGCTGGGGGCCTGGGACCCAGCCCCTGTCCTGTGAAAGCAGCAGGTCTTTCACGCCCACTCTGGCTCCTTTCTGACTCTTTCCTGGCTCGCTTTGCCTGGACTTAGCCTCTGACCCCATCATATGAACAGCAATGCCTGGGAATATTGGAGCAGGCTGTCCTCTCTGTTCCCTTCTGTGTCCCTGCCACCATCCCCAGGAAAGAACCCACTGCCTGGGCGGGGACCCCCAGGCCTGCAGGACTGGCCTTTGCCTGTGTCTGGCCTTGCCCCATCGTGCACGGCCTGCCCCTTGTTTCTCCAGGGCACAGGACTCTCTTGCTGCCTTTGCACCTGCTGATCCCCCAAACACCTCCCCTCCCTTCTTGTGAATTTATGCCCATCTTCCAGGTGGGTATTCCTTTGCTCAGGCTACTGTAACAAAGCACTGCAGGCTGGATGGCCTCAACAACAGATGTTTATCATCTCACAGTCTCAGAGGCTGGAAGTCCAAGATCAAGGTATGGGCAGGGTCAGTTCCCCCAAGGCCTCTCTCTTTGGCTTATCCCCGTGCCTCTCTCTGTGACCACATTTCCCCTCATTACAAGGCCACCCATCAGATTGGATTAGAGCCCACCCAAACGACTTCACTTTGACTTAACTACCTCTGTAAAGACCCTATCTGCATATAAGGTCACATTCTGAGGTGTTGGGGTTAGAACTACAACAAATGAATTTAGGGAGACATAATTCAATCTATAACAATGCCTAAGCCCCAGTGTCATTTCCCCAGAGCCTCCAGAACAGATCAGATGCAGGCACCACTCCCTTCCACTCCCCTGTCGTGGCCTCGCATCCCTCAAGGGCATACGTTCCCTGTCTGCTCCACCCCCACTTCCGGAGGCAAGTGTCCATCTGCCTTATAACCTCCGCCGACCCCATGCCTGTCACCAGCAGGTGCTCAACACATATTTGTCAAAAGACACATAACCAAGATTTTGGCCGGGCGTAGTGGCTCACGCCTGTAATCCCAGCACTTTGGGAGGCTGAGACGGGTGGATCATGAGGTTAGGAGATCGAGACCATCCTGGCTAACACGGTGAAACCCCGTCTCTAATAAAAAACAAAAAATTAGCCGGGCGTGGTGGCGGGTGCCTGTAGTCCCAGCTACTTGGGAGGCTGAGGCAGGAGAATGCCATGAACCCGGGAGGCAGAGCTTGCAGTGAGCCAAGATCGTGCCACTGCACTCCAGCCTGGGCAACAGAGCAAGACTCTGTCTCAAAAAAAAAAAAAAAAAAAGACACATAACCCTGTTGGAGCCATGCCCCTTGCGGTCCAGTCTCAGTGCTGTGGTTAAACACACACACACACAGAGTCTATGCATCAGCTAGGAATGCTTTCAATAACAAACAACAGATACCCCAACTAACCTTGCCATAAACAAATAGGAGTTTATTTTTTTCTCACACTCTGAGTCTGGAAGCAGGTGCTGCTGCTGTGGGTCCAGGGGCTGGCATCTCCGTGGTTCTCTTGACTGTCATTCCCACTGGTGCTTCACGGCTGCAAGGTGGCTGCCACAGCTCTGGGCATTGCCTCCACCTTCAAGGTAGGAAGGAAGAGGAAGGACAGTTTCAGGTATGTGTATCTTCTTTTTTAATCAGGAAAGAAAAAACAAAAACAAAACAAAACAAACAAACAAAAAACCTTTCCCAGAAGTTCCCAAAAGACTTGTGGGAAACGGACAGAATGGGTTACATGGCCACCCCCAGTGGTTGAAGAAGCTGCAAACAGCAGCGCTTGGCTCTTCTGTCCTCTGTAATGGGAGGTACTGGGCCTAAAAGAGTTGGGAATGTGATCGAGTTCACCAGCCAGCGGTGTGTCCCCTCCAGAACCTCAAAACTAATTTCAGAATGTCTCCAGCTATTACCTTGCACCTCTCAAACCCCATAATGGGCACACAGGGCCTATACCAATGTACTCCAGCAACAGGCATGGCCCTCACTAGCCTGCTTCCTGCTCTCCTTCTCCAACGTGCTTCTCCATCCCAAATCTGCATCCCAAAAGGCCCAAAACACCAAGGGGCAAGGACAGAAACTTCCTCCAGGAGGTGGGAGGAAGAAGAAGAGACCGAGGGTAAAGCCAGACCCCTGCAGGGGGAGGCAGAGGGAAGTCTGGGAGCCCTCTGCCATCTCAGTCCTAAGACAAATGAATGGGCAAATGCATAAATGAAACTTTACTGCATTTGTGCCTCAAAAAAAATCTGTGCACTCAATGAAAAGACCAGCTGGGGTGTGCTAGAAACAGAGCACCTGCTGCCGGGGTCTCATCCTGGCTCGTGGCGTGGCTTCAGGTGGCTCCTTCTCTGGGCCTCCATTTCCTTATCCGAGGATGGGGTAAAGGTTGGGTCATGGTTTCCTCATGGAGCATTGTCTCTGTGCCCACAGCATGTTAAACAGGAAAGAGTTATGTATGCACAGGTGTGTCCTACATATGGAGGGGAGGCTGTCATTGGAATCCCCTCACAGCCAATGCTGGGAAGAGCCCAAAGATGGCTGCCCTGAACTGAGAGCTTTCAGGGTGACTTTCTGACCTGCAGGGGAAGCCCTTCTAGGATGCTGGGCCATCTGTGCTTCCAGAAGTTTCCTTTGAAGCCATGAGAGATGTAGGCTCTGGGCAGGAGGCAGAGGCTCTAGGGAGCTTAGCTATGCAGCAGGACCCATCTTTCCACAGAGGGGACACTGTCGTCATCTCCTCCCATGTACCAGGCACTGTGTTCAACATGCCCCCAGTTTGGAGGAGCCCATCTGATATGGTTTGGCTCTGTGTCCCCACCCAGATCTCACCTTGAATTGTCATAATCCCCACATGTCGTGGGAGGGACCCAGTGGGAGGTCACTGATTCATGGGTTTTTTTCCCATGCTGTTCTCGTGATAATGAGTAAGTCACATGAGATCTGATGGTTTTTTAAAGGGGAGTTCCCCTGCAGACACTCTCTTGTCAGCCGCCATGTAAAATGTGCCTTTGCTCTTCCTTCGCCTTCTGCCATGATTATGAGACCTCCCCAGCCATGTGGAACTGTGAGTCCAGTAAACCTCTTTCCTTTATAAATTACCCAGTCTCAGGTCTGCCTTTACTAGCAGCATGAGAGCAGACTAATACGCCATCCTCTTCCCTAATGCCCTGTGGAGTCACACACTGGCCCATGGCCCTACACTTCATCCTTGCACCCCATGGAGAATGGCTTATTTTATAGGGGTGTCCACCTTTGGCTTGTATTTCTAGGTAGAGTTCAGTAAATTGATTAAAACACTCTGGGTCTCTTCCACTTTCAGCCGTGTTGGGGTAACTAGTGCTGGACGGGCCATCCCACTGCAAACACACATGATTGAACTGGACAGCATGTTTGAGACAACTCTGGGCGGGCAGTGAACAGCAAGCAGTGCATGACTTGATGCTGAGAGGCAGGGCGCTCAGGAGCCAGCCATGCCACCCCTGGAGACCATCTCCCCCCATGGCTCAGCAGGCAGGAGGCCTCACAGAGCAGAGTGGTCCCACTGAGCTCAAGAGGCAGAGACCAGAGTTCACAGTCCAGAAGCTTCTGGGAGCTATGAGGCAGGGCATCAGAGAGGCTCTGCTGTGGGGGAGGCAGGCGCAGAGGTACCATCAGGGGTCCCCCAGCCAGGAGTCCTCGGCTGAGTCCTGGGGAGGATGAGGCTACAGGAGGGGTGCCCAGCGTGGCTGCTGCAGAGTTAGGGAGGGAAGGAGATGCTGTGGTTCCAGTAAAGCGTGGGGTCAAGGGGGCTGCAGCCACCCAGTGTGCAGAGGTCTCCAGCACCTGGGCATCCAGCTGGGATGAAAGACACTCAGGAGCAAGACCCGCTTCAGACTCACCCCATCACAACCTATGTCAAGCCCTGATGAGATCTGTGGGGGAAGAGGGTGGGTGGTGGAGTCCAACCACGTCAGAGAGGCTTGGGGAGCACCCTGGGCTCCCACAAACCCACGCGGCAAAGTATAAAGCCAAGTACGTGCAAGTTCAGGGTGAGCAGAAAAATCCCAACGCTCCTCAGAGGGGGAAAAGGAATAGAGGTTCCACCACACATCACCCACAAGGTGGGTGCACAACAAAAACATTCCTAGGTATTAAAAGAAAAAACACAGATGGGAAAATGTGACCCACAGTAGAGAAGAAAGCAGTCAAGAAAAACACCCCAAGATAATTCATGGGCCAATAAGGAAATCACAAGGACACAGAGAGTATTCACCACAAAATTTAAAAAATTGATCCATTGACTTCATCAAAATTAAAACCCTCTGCACTTCAAAAAACACGGCAAAATCACAGACTGTGAGAGAATATTTACAACGCACAGCTCCAACAAAAGTTTGCATTCAGAATATTTAAAGGACTCTCGGCTGGGCGTGGTGGCTCACACCTGTAATCCCAGCACTTTGGGAGGTCGAGGAGGGTGGATCACCTGAGATCAGGAGTTTGAGACCAGCCTGGCCAACATGGCAAAACCCTGTCTCTACTAAAAATACAAAACAAATTAGCCCAGCAGGGTGGCGGGTGCCTGTAGTCCCAGCTACTCATCAGGAGGCTGAGGCAGGAGAATCACTTGAACCCGGGAGGTAGAGGTTGCAGTGAGCCGAGATCGCGCCATTGCACTCCAGCCTGGGCAACAGAGTAAGACTCTGTCTCAAAAAAAAAAAAAAAAAAAAAAAAAAAAAAGGCTGGGCGCGGTGGCTCACACCTGTAATCCCAGCACTTTGGGAGGCCAAGGCGGGCAGATCACAGGGTCAGAAGTTCGAGACCAGCCTGGTCAATATGGTAAAAAACCCTGTCTCTAATAAAAATACAAAAATTAGCTGGGCATGGTGGTGGGCGCCTGTAGTCCCAGCTACTCAGGAGGCTGAGGCAGGAGAATCGCTTGAACCCAGGAGGCAGAGGTTGCAGTGAGCTGAGATCGTGCCACTGAGCACACTACGCACAGCCTCACGCAGTCACTGGGGTCGTGCTGAGCCAGGAGGACAAAGGAGAGCCCAGGCTGCATAGAACTCTGTTTGTACAGCATTCTGTGACACATAAATTCACACAGTAGCTACAGGAAGAAGCTCTGGTGTTACCTGCAGTGGGGAGTGGCTGACTGATTGCAAAAGAGGCGTGCAGAAACTTTCTGAAAGTGTTTTATCTCTTGGTAAAAGTGACAGTCTCAAAAAAAAAAAAGGATGTCTAAAGGACTCTCATAACACAATCACAGATAACTCAGTAAATATATGGACAATGGGTGTGAATGTATGCTTCACAGAAGGAAATACCTAACTGGCTAATAAACTCATGAAAAGGTGCTCATCAGCATTGGTAATCATGGAAATACAGATTAAACCCAGTGAGATGCCACTCCATGCCCACTAAAGCACATCAGATGAGATGGGCCACCCCCGGCACTGGCAAGGATGGAGAACATCTGAGTTGTCATGCACTGACGGTGGCCATGGAAAGGTGTACAGCCATTCTGCAGTAATTTGGCAGTTTCTTACAAAGTTAAATATACTTTTACCATACAACCCACTCCTAGGTGCTTTCCCAAGAGAAATAGCATCTGCCCACGAAAAGAGTCATACACAAATATTTATAGCAGCAGGAAGTGGAAATAAGCCCACTGCTTACCACTGCTCATCACTGTGTGAGTGGATAAACACCATGAAAAGGGGCAGGCTGCAGATACGTACAGCCTCATGCAGTCACTGGGGCCATGCTGAGCCAGGTGGACAAAGAGCCCGGGCTGCATAGAACTCTGTTTGTACAGCATTCTGTGACACGTAAATTCACACAGTAGCTACAGGAAGCAGCTCTGTTGTTACCTGAAGTGGGGAGTGGCTGACTGATTGCAAAGAGGCGTGCAGAAACTTTCTGAAAGTGTTTTATCTCTTGGTAAAAGTGGCAGTGACCCAACTGTGTACATTTGTCAACTCACTGAATTGCAGGCTTAAATTAGTGAATTTTATTGTATACAAATTATACCTCCGCAAAGTAGATTTTAAAAAATCAGTGTGTTGGAAGGCCGAGGCAGGTGGATCACCTGAGGTTAGGAGTTCAAGACCAGCCTGACCAACATAGAGAATCCCCGTCTTTACTAAAAATACAAAAAATTAGCTGGGTGTGGTGGCAGGTGCCTATAATCCCAGCTACTCAGGAGGCTGAGGCAGGAGAATCACTTGAACCTGGGAGGCAGAGGTTGCAGTGAGCCAAGATCACACCATTGCACTCTAGCCTGGGCAACAAAGCAAGACTCCATCTCAAAATAAAAATAAAATAATAAATAAATAAATAAAAATAAAAATAAGTCATTGTGGCCGGGCACAGTGGCTCACACATGTAATCGCAGCACTTTGGGAGGCCAAGGCAGGAGGATTGTTTGAGCCCAGAGGTTGAGACCAGCCTGGGCAGCATTGTCAAACTCCATCTCTACAAAAAATACAAAAATTAGCTGGGTGTGGTGGCACATGCCTGTGGTCCCAGCTACTTGGAAGGCTGAGGTGGGAGGATCGCTTGAGCCTGGGAGGTCAAGGCTGCAGTGAGCTGAGATCGCACGCCTGGACTCCAGCCTGGGTGACAGAGTGAGACCCTGTCTCACAAAGAAAGATCATTGAGCTTCACTCTTAAAAGATGTACAATGTATTGAACGTAAATTGTTCCTCTGTAAAAACTGATATTTTTTTTAAAGTCCTAGGCATGGGGCTTGATATCTTGCCTTCCCTCTCTGCCCCAGGCTAGATAACGTAACATATAGCTAAGTTCGTGTGCCCAAATCTAGACATCCCTCAGTGGGCTTGGCCAGGGCTGGATTCCAGGTACGAGTAGACAGGGCCATCATTAGCCCAGCATGACTCAGCATTCGGAAGCTACATTGCCTGGCAGTTTTGCTGTGGTATAAACCACCGCACCTCTCAGAGGTGTATAGCAGTGAAGGTTTATGTCCCCTGCACTTTGCATGGGAGCCACGAGTCTGCCCACAGCTTGCGTGCCAGGGCTCATGCTGAAGGCACAGCTCCTGGTGGCACATGCTCTTCTCACGTCAACCTCAATGGCACTTAGCGCTTGCACTCAGACCAAGGGTCAATGTTGTCCTCTCATCTTCCATTGACCAAAGCAAGCAGGTGGTACTCCCCAGCAGCACAGGGACAGGAATGGAGGCGCTTTCTGCAGGCGGCACTGCCAAGCCACATGGCGTTGGTGGGGACATCCCATTCTCTTAAGGGAGGAGACAGTCATTGTTGGGAAAAGAAACACAATCTGCCACATCTTCCAATCAGCTTTGGCAAGTCATGACACTGACACACTTTGCTCTTTTCTCTGCGTAGCTCCCGTGTCACTCCCTCCATGGGGTGGGACAGAGCAAGGTAGAAGAGTGAGGAGCTGTCCCCGTCCCCTGCTTGTGAACCCCAAGGCTGCATTCTATCGCACAGGTTCTCCGACTGCATTCCTAGCCCTGGGTCCTTGCAGGCAGGAAGGGGGTGGCCCTGTGTGGGGAAGGTGGGGAGTCCACCGGTCCCAGCAGCCGTGTTTCCATCACCTCTGTGTGTTAGGAGATTCCTCACCAGATTCTGATGAAAAGGAAGTCTCTGCCACTGAAAGACACATTTACAAACAGCTGTATGGTCTCATTCAGTTTCCGCAGCCCTGAGGAGCAGGAACTATCATGTCCATCTCCTGGATGAAGAGCTCCAGAGAGATCAAATGACTCATCCAGGGGTGCCCCACTGGCATTGAATGGGGGGTCAAAATGTCAACCCAGGTGTGTCCACCGAGGCTCTTTGCCCCACATCAAGGCATCCCTGGGCACAGGCCACGCTGTGGGGCACTGACTGCCAGCCTCCCAAAGGTGTCCACACACTGATGCCCGGAACTGTGCACATGCAATCAGGGTCGTGCATATGCAAACAGATTCATGCATATGCAAACAGGGTCATGCATACGCAAACAGAGCTGTGCATATGCACACAGGGCTGTGCGGATGTGAGTAAGGAAATGATCCCGAGCTGGATTATCCAAGTGGGCTCTAAATTGAATCTCAGGGTCCTTAGAGAGGAGGCAGGGAGGACAGACAGAAGCAAAGTGCTGTTACAACAGAAGCCGATGGGTGAAATGATTGTGGTGTGTGGTGAAGCTATGCTGTTGTTTTGAACATGAAGGAAGGGGCCACAATCCAATGAACACAAGTGGCCTCTAGAAGCTGGAAAGGGCCCCCAGTGGATTTCCCTCCTGAGCCTCCAGAAAAACCAGCCCTGCTGACTCCTTGATTTTAGCCCAGGGAGACTGATTTCAGACATTTGACCTCCAGAATGTATGGGAATAAATTTGCATTGTTAGAAGCTACTTCATTTGTGCTAATTTGTGACCGTAGCCACAGGAAGCTAATACACACACCAAGCAGTGACAACCTCTCTCTAGGGCATAGAACTTTTCACTGTACCAAGCATATCCTCTATGGCATTAGACTCTCACAACCCAAGCTGAAGACACTGAGCTTGGAGAGGGGAAGGGACCTGCCTAAAGTCACACAGCCACTGAAGGTGGCACCAGGACTGGGCCCAGGTCTTAGGTTCAATGGCTGCAGTACAAAGACCTTGAGCATTAGACCAGGGTTGGCGAGGAATGTAGCAGGGGCTGGTGAGCACCAGTTGCCTTTTCTCCTGTCCAGCCTCTCTTCCCAATATGCCTGGAGCTGTCTCTCAACCTCTCCAGCTTGGGGGTGTAGTTTTCCTTAGATTCACTAATCTACCCCATATGCATCCAACAAATGCCCCCTTTGCCTAGGTCAGCTGGAGTTGGTTTCTGTTCCCTGGACACAAAGAACCACAATTGAATCCCATGGTCACCCCAGGGTATGGGGGAACTTGGGGCCTCTCCCACTGTAGCCAATCACCTTTCCCACCCCATCTCAGCTTCCTGAATCATAGGGTGAATAGTTAAGCAACCACCAATTGGGCTTCCCACCTACACTAATCCCAGAGGCCTGGTGGGTTTATCCAGCCCGTATCAGGTGTCCTGGGAAGGCTTGCTCTGTGGCCTCATAGCTGTCCCATGACAAATTTATTAAATGCTCTGGCAGGACAGACTCTCATGGGGATAGACATCTGGCTGCAGATTGGACTGGCAAATGGACAAATGGACAAAGGGACCAGAAAGACTTCACGATGTGAGACTTTAAGCTTTGGCCCAGGGCAAGAGAGGGGGCCAAACAGAAAGGAGGTGTGGGGCAGAGAATCAGAGAAGCTGGTGTTTCCTCAGTGCCCACACAGACCTGCCAAAGTTCTAGTGCTTTAGTGCATTGTAGCTGTCTTTATAGCCAGCCTGACAGGATCCCCATTATACAAATGGACAGACAAAGGCTCAGGTGATGCTTTCTCACCCAAGTCACACACAGCCAATTAGTGGTGGGCTCAGAATTTTAAGTCATGTCTTTCCAATCTCAAAGCTCATGCTTTTTTCATAGCATCACACCTTGAGAAGCCACGAGGTTGCTGCCAGGGCTGAATCTGGCTCGTGGCATTCAGGCCAATTCAGTAAGTGCATATGGAGCACCAGCTGTGGACAAGGGGCTGTGAAAGACTCAAGGGAGAGTCCTGTGGTTTTGAGCTCTGCCCTCAAGTAGGTGACCATCTGATGGGGCAGACAGAAAAGACATGCCCTGCTTCTGCAAGAAGAGTGTGGCCCAGGCAAAGGATGCCTGTACATGGGGAAATATTTCAAGTCATTGGCAGAGGCTGGGGAAGGCTGCCTGGAGGAGGGGACATTTGAGCTGCAAAGGATTTTTACAAGTGGGAAAGCCAAACTTTTCTCAACAACTAAATGGGAACTATAATAGCTGCCTCTCACTGCTGTGCACACACATATACAGACACAAACACAACTGGACACCTAAATGGTATGAAAACAATAGTACAAAGGTGAGACATGGAATGAAAGTATACTGCAATAAATTTCTTTTACTAGATGTTAGGTAGTATAATATCACTGAAGGATAATATTATTCAAAGATAGACTGTGATAAGTTAAAGATGTATACTATAAACGCTTTAGCAACCACTAATATAATACAGCAAAGAATTACAGCTAATAAACCAACAAATAAGATAAAATGAAGGAATGAATAATACTCAATCACAAAGAAGGTAGAAAGGAGGGAAAATGAAACACAGAACAAGTAATACAAATACAAAACAAAAATCATGATGGCAGAATTAAATACTATTATATCAACAATCACATTAAATGTAAAGGTCTAAACACCTCAATTAAGAAACAAAGATTGATAGGTTGGATAAAACAAGCAAGACCCAATTACATGCTGCCTACAAGAAGCCCACTTTAAATATAAAAAAAATAATAATTTTAAAGCAAAAGGATAAAAAAAGATGTACCACACTAATTACCATGCTAATGTACTTTGCTATGTTCATATTTGCTACTTTGCTACACTAATAGCAAAGTAGATTTTAGAGGAAAGAATATTGCCAGGAATAGTCATTTCATAATGACAAAAGGTTTCAATTCTCAAGTGAACATAACAATTCTAGATGTTTATATGCCAAATAAGACCTTCAAAATACATGAGGCAAAATGAATAGAACTACAAAAGAAATAGACAAATCCAGTTATAGTAATAGGTTTCAACAGCTCTATGATTGACAGGGCAAATGTACAGAAGTCAACAAGAATATAGGGCTGGGCATGGTGGCTCACACCTGTAATGCTAGCACTTTGGGAGGCCGAAGCAGGCAGATCACCTGAGGTCAGGAGTTCTAGACTAGCCTGGCCAACATGGCGAAACGTCATTTCCACTAAAAATACAAAAATTAGCCAGGTATGGTGGTGCATGCCTGTAGTCCCAGCTCTTCCGGAGGCTGAGGCAGGAGAATTGCTTGAACCCAGAAGGTAGAGGTTACAGTGAGCCAGGATCACACCACTGCACACCAGTCTGGCTGACAAAGTGAGACTCTGTCTCCAAAAAAAAAGAAGAAGAAGAATGTAGAAGACTTGAATAACACTAGCAATCTAGCAATCAATGTGACTCAACTGGCATGTTTAGAACACTTCACTCACGACAGCAAAATATAAATTATCTTCAAACACACAGAACATTTTTCAAAAATATATCATAATCTCATCTCAATAAATTTAAAAGGGCGTGAAAAATCTCAATAAATTTAAAAGGATACAAATCATTCAATGCATGTTTTCTGGCCAAAATAGAATAAAATTAGACACCAAATAATAGAATGATATCTGTAAAATCCCCAAATATTTGGAAACTAAATAACACTTCTCTGTAAAGCACAGTTTAAAGAAATCAAAAAGATAATTAGAAAATGGAAATTGGAAAACATTTTGAAATATTTGAAAATGAAAACACAACCTACAAAGTCTGTGGGATGTGATTAAACCAGTACTCTAAGTAATTTATAGCACTAAAATATCCCAGCTTTTACCTGAAGAAACTAGAGAAAAAAGGACAAATCTAACCAAAGAGAAACAGAAAAAAAGGAAATAATAAAGATTAGAGCGGAAATCAATAAAATAAAAAAAATAGAATCAATGAAACCCAAAACTGGTAATTTGAAAAGATCAATCCGACTTACAAACATCAAACCCTACTCATCAGAAAGAAAAGAAAGAAGACAAATTACCAATATGAGAAATGAAAGAGGTAGCATTACTACCGATTGCACACATATTAAAAGGAATATGATGAATAATTGTATGCGAAGAAATTTGACAATTCAGATGTAATGGACAAATTCCTTGAAAGACAAAAACTAATAAAGCTCACTCAAGAAGAAATAGATAACCTGAATAGTCCATATTTTTTAAGAAGTTAAAAACTTTACTACAAAGAAAACTCTAGGCCTCACTGGTGCATTTTACAAAACACTTAAGAAAGAAATAATTTCAATCTACACAAAATTTGCCAGAAAATTTAAGAGAAAAGAGTATTTCCAACTTATTCTATGAAGCCAGCACTACTGTAATATCAAAATCATACAAATATATTACAAGAAAAGAAAGCTACAAACTAATATCCCTCATGAAATAGATGCAAACATTCTAAACAAAGTTTTAAAAATCAAGTCCAGCAACACATAAAAAAATAATACATATGATCCAGTATAGTTTATTTTAGGAATACAAGTTCGGTTTAACATTAGAAAACAATGTAATTCATAATATTATTGCGAAAATATTATATTTACAATATAAAAGCACATTGTCTCAATGGATGCAGGAAAAGCATTAGTCCAAATCCAACATATATTGCTGATAAAAACTCTCAATAAACTAGGAATAAAAGGAAACGTCCTCAACCTGGTGAAGGGCATCTGTGAAAAACCCGCAACTAACATCATACTTAATAGTGAAAGACCAAAATCTTTCCCTCTAAGATCAGGAATAAGGCAGGGATGTGCTCTCTAACCACTTCTAACCAATATTGCATGGAAGGTTCTTGCCAGTCTAGTAAGATTTTAAGAAGAAAGAAAAAAGAAGGAGGAGGGAAAGAGAAGGGAAGTAAGGGAGGGAGGGAGAGAGGAAGTGTCTTTGAATCAGAAAGGAGCAAATGAATCTGCTTTATTTACAAACAATTCGACCATCTACAGAGAAAATCTTATGGAGTCTATGAAAAAAGCTACTAGAAGTCACCAACGAGTTTAACAAGTTTGCGGTATAGAAGATCCATATACAAAAAGCCATTGTGTGTCTGTATAATAGCAACATGACACAACCGGAATAAAAACATTTACAGAAACACGACAAAAATAGGAAATACACACATAGACAAGTCTGATAAAAACCTGTGTGAAACTGAAATTTGCTGAGAGAAATTAAAGAATACCAAAATAAATTGAGAAATAGACCATATTCATGGGTCAAAAGATGCCAATTCCCCCAAAATGGATCTACAGATTCAAAACAATCTCAATCTCAATACCAGTAGTTATAACCCAGCCATTTCACTCCTCAATATGTACCCAAGAGAAATGAAAGCCTATATCCATACAAAGGCTTATACACAGATGTTCATAGCAGCCTTATTGTAATAGCCCCAAACTAGAAACAACTCTGATGTCCGTTAACTGGGGAGTAGATAAAAACAAACCAGTGCATCCACTTAGTGAAACAGTACTCCGCAATAAAAAGGAACAAACTAGTCATACAAGTGACAATGTAGATGAACCTCAGAATACTTATACTGAGCAAAAGAATCCAGGCAAAGCAAGAGTGCATACTTTATGACCCTATTTATATAAAATTCTGGAAAATGCAAACAACCTATCATGAGAATTAGCAGAGAAGCGTTTCCCTGGGGATGGGGGTGGGGAGGAACATGGGAAACTTTGGGGGTTGTGGACATATTTATTGTCTTGATCATAGTGATATTTTCATGGGTGTATAAAGATGTCAAAACTTACCAAATTGTACACTTTAAACACATGCAGTTTATTGTATGTCAATTCTGCCTCAACAAACAATTGAAAGGGAACAAAAATATCTTTCTTTTAGGTATGAAGATAAGAGGAAAGAAGACTGTATGGTCTTAATGTTAGGATTTTGTTTTTAAACCAAGAATTTAGTTGGTTGTCGGGGTATTCTCTTAGCTTTTTAGCCCTCTAAGTTTTTCAGCAGCATCTCTTTCTAGGCCCAATTGGTTGAGATAGAAGCAACATTCTTCACCCAATGAGAGGCAGGGGCCCCCTTTTTCACCCATTGTAAGATCTAATCACCATCTATTTTGGAGGACTACTCCAGCCAAAGAGTCTAGTTGGTCTTGGACTGTCTTTTTTTGTTGTTTGTTTGTTTGCTTGTTTGTTTGAGACCGAGTCTTGCTGTGTCGCCCAGGCTGGAGTGCAGTGGCATGATCTCGGCTCACTGCAACCTCCGCCTCCTGGGTTCGAGCAACTCTCCTGCCTCAGCCTCCAGAGTAGCTGGGATTACAGGCATGTGCCCAGCTAATTTTTGTATTTTTAGTAGAGACAGGATTTCACCATGTTGGCCAGGCTGGTCTCGAACTCCTGACCTCAAATGATCTGCCAGCCTCGGCCTCCCAAAGTGCTGAGATTACAGGCGTGAGCCACCATGTCCACCCTGGTCTTGGACTTTTATCAGGCTTTGGGCTATATCTTTTAATGAACCTTGCAGTTCTGTTGACAGAGCTTTAAAGTATGTTAAGGAGGTGGTCAATCCGCCTGCTCCCAACCCAAGCCCGGAGGTTATACCTAAGGCGGCCATTAAAGGAATAACTTGGATGGCCCTTCTTTTTCTAACATATTGGACGGATGGAATGGGTAAAGATAGATTAGGAGGAGCTAGTCCAATGGAGGGAGAAAGATAAACTAGGGTACAGGATTCTATTCGGACCAGGAGAGGCTTGCATTTGCTAATATGGAGTCCAGACAGGAACCCATTGCTTCTCTAGAAATTAGATGCAAGCCTCTTTCTCCAGGCTCACTGGGTGTGCTGATTCTACTTTTCCATCTTCAAGCAGCAGAGATGGGGGTAGGAGAGCGAGCGACCATGGAAGGAAAGTTCCTGACCTCTTGTAAAGCCTGGGCCCGCCACGCCTGTTCTGTGCCAGGCCAGCCCCTTTTGTTCAAGCCTGTTGAGTTGGACTTCCATCAGGCAACAGCTCAGAGAGAAGCTGCCGGCCCTGTAGCCACGGGACAGGGGGGTGCAAAGCCATAAGAGCCTTGTGCCAGGCAGCTTTCCCAAAGCAATACACATTGTCCCTGGGTTCAGGGTAGAGCAACTCACTGGGAGGAGGGAGACCTGGATTCCGGTCCAAGCTCGGAGACTCAGAGCTATGTGACTTTGAGCAAGTCACTCCCCTTCCCATGCCTCAGTTTCCTCCACTGGGCAGGATGGGGACAGGGGAGAGGCGAGCCCCTTGGGTCCAGTATGACACAGCAGTTTTATCAACCTGTGAGCAGCCTCTCCGGGTGGATGAAGCAGAGCCACCCCCATGGGAATGGGCACAGCTTTGCCCGGGTTCCTGAATTCAGGAGACCTGGGACCAGTCTGTGCTGCCAGCCCTGGTAGCCAGTGGCCAAGCCTGCTGGGCACTGGGCCTGCCGCTTCTCAGCACGTGCCTTCCCAGAAGTCAGCATGGGAGGCACACATGGGAGCTGCTGTCCCCAAGGAAGGCACAGAGCATACCAGCAGGGCCTCTGGCCTTGGGAAACAGGCCCCGGAAGCTGGAAGTAGGTGACCAACAGTTCTGATTCTCCCATGCAGAGGAGAAGCTTCCCAAGATGGGGACCTTGCAGTGACAAAACCAAGCAGGAAAATCCCAGGTGAGCTGGAACAGCTGTTCACCCTAACAGAGCTGCCACATTCCACGACACTTCCTCCTCCTCCTCCTCCCTCACCACCATCACCTGTTTTTCCACCATCAAGACGAGCAGGGCCTGTACTGAGCAGTGAGGAAGCTATGGTTCCTAAAAGTGGGGCCCTCTTACCGACTTCTCTCTCCTACCTCAAAAATAATTTCTTGGGGGCCGGGAGTGGTGGCTCACACCTGTAATCCCAGCACTTTGGGAGGCCAAGGTGGGTGGATCACGAGGTCAAGAGATGGAGACCATCCTGGCCAACACGGTGAAACCCTGTCTCTACTAAAAATACAAAAATTAGACGGGCGTGTTGGCACACGCCTATAATCATAGCTCTTCGGGAGGCTGAGGCAGGAGAATTGCTTGAAACCGGGAGGCAGAGGTTGTAGTGAGCCGAGATTGCACCACCGCACTCCAGCCTGGCCGACAGAGCGAGACTCCATCTTAAAAAAAAAAAAATCATTTTTCTTTCTGATAAAACCCAGTGTGGTCGAAGATTTGGGGTTCACCGGCATCCTCTCTCACCAGCTTTCCAATCCTCAGCAAACTTGAGTAGAATGTGTCAAATCCCTCTAAAATCTAAATATGCTCTGACACAGCAATTCCCCGTCTAGGAATGTACCCCACAGAAACAATGGGCTAGGTGTGAAATCTGAACACACAAGTGTGCCCACTGCAGGGATGTTCAAGGTCACAAAAAATTGGCAACAACCTACATGTGCATCATTGGGGATTGAACAAATAAGTTCTTGTAATAGGTGACCAAGAAGTTTCATTTTAACAAGTCAGGGAGCTGTGCTCGTTGCCCAGAAAGATTACAGAATATGCCAATGCTTGAATAAAGCAAGTTCCAGAACAGCCCGTAGCCATTCCGCTGACAAGAAGTGGCATGTGTCTACCTGGGGAGAAGTGGAGAGTGTCTGCGAGGGTTCCCGGGGTCATCTCTGGGGGCAGGGGTGACTATCAGCTGATTTTTAAAGAATTTTTTCCTTGCATTTTCCTGTGTCATTTCAATTGTTTCAAATGAGACTTTATGTAATCCATGAGTGCAGTCACTGTGTTCCACTGTTTGTTTATTTATTTATTTATTGAGACAGAGTCACACTGTGTCATTCAGGCTGGAGTGCAGTGGCACGATCTCGGCTCACTGCAACCTCCACCTCCCGGGTTCAAGCGATTCTCCTGCCTCGGCCTCCCAAGTAGCTGGGATTACAGGCGCGAGTCACCGTAACGGGTACTTTTGTATTTTCCGTAGAGACAGGGTTTCACCATGTTGGCCAGGCTGGTCTCAAACTCCTGGCCTCAGGTGATCTGCCCGCCTCGGCCTCCCAAAGTGCTGGGATTATAGGCGTGAACCACCATACCCAGTCTGTTCCGCTGTGTATAAAAAGTTTCCTATAAAGAGGCTGCCTGGGGACATGAGGGTTGGCAGCACATCTCGACCTCTGTCCTCGGACATCGGGGCCTAGAGCTGGGTCAGTCCCAGGGTCTCTGGAAAGAGACAGCCGGAATAAGCCAGATTTGGTCTGCCAAGACCAGAGTCTTTTGTCCCCACATTTGGAAGTCAGCCCTGTCATAAATTTTGCTTTCTTGGGAAGGTTCTGGGAATTCTGGGAGACTGAAGGGGTGAGAGGTGTAGAGAAGGATTCTTTGGTTTGCAAAACACAGAAGCCCAACTCCAACTCCTGAGGTCATTCTATAACCTGTGTAACTCAGAGGCTAGGAGTGGATGGTGCTATCTTCAGGCACAGCTGGATTCAGCAACTTCAACGAAGCCCCTGGGCTTCTCTTTGGCACCATCTGTCTTTCTCCTCCTCTTTCTCCCCATCCTCCTCTTTCAGTGCTTCTTGCCTCTGCTGCTCTTAGTGAGTTATCCTTAGACTTCCCATGGCAAACGGGGACTCTTCAAGGGGGAAGAAAACTGTTGGCAGGCTCAGGCAGCTTTGTAGCTCTTGAGCCAAAGCAGAAGAGGCCCTGGGAGAGATACACTGGGCCCAGCCTGCATCAAAGGTCCACCCCTGTGACCGGGAAGCATGGATCCTAGGACTGCCAGCCCCCTCCGAACCACACCGAGGGAAACATACATTGTGTGAGATTCCCCAAAAGGAAGAGGAGCTGCCCACTGAACAAGGAGGGTCTCCTGCTCCCCAGAAAAAAGTCTCGGATGCCGCGGTCCTCTGCAGCAGCATTCTCTAGACCCTGGCCTTGTCTGCACAGCAGCCAGAGCTGGCCCATCCTCGAGGCCCACAGTGCCTCAGAATTACAGTTAATCACAGGCGACAACAGGCCTCGGCCACTATAATCCCCACACTGCCCAGAAAGGGAAGCAATATCACTCCCTTTACTGATGAGAAAATTGAGCTTCAGAGAGTCCAGGCAAGTTGCCCCAGGTCTCCAGATAGTAAGTAGCAGAATTGGACCCAGAAGTAAGGTCCTCCGACTTCAAATCTTCTCTTGCTATGCTTCTCTTGGGTTGAGGTTGTGAGGTATCACCACCACCTTTGTCTCCACCATCACCACATTGACATCCCATCACAACTACCACCACCTCACCATCTCCACCTCCAGCATCACTACCATCATCAAAACCATCACCCGCACATCCACCACCACCATCATGAACACCATCCCTTCTGCCTCTACCACCATCACCATCACCACCACCACCGCCATCACCAAAACCATCACTCTCAGCTCCACCACCACCACCACCAAAACCATCACTTCCACCTCCACCACCATCACCATCATTAACACTAGCATCACTAAAACCATCAACTCCACCACCACATCACTAAAATTATCACCTCCACCACTAATGTCACCATCCCCACCACCACCATAACCATCACCCCCACCATCATCATCACTAAAACTATCACCCCCATCTCCACCACCATCACCATCAACATCACTAAAATCACTACATCCACCTCCACCACCAACATCACCATCACCACCACCACCACCACCAAAACCATCACCCCTACCTCCACCACCACAACCAAAACCATCACTTTCACCTCCACCACCAACATCACCATCACCACCACCACCACTATCACCAAAACTATCACCCACACCTCCACCACCACCACCACCAAAATCATCACTTCCACCTCCACCACCATCACCATCATTAACACTAGCATCACTAAAACCATCACTTCCACCACCACATCACTAAAACTATCACCTCTACCACTAACATCACCATCACCACCACCATAACCAAAACCATCACCCCACCATCATCATCACTAAAACTGTCACCCCCATCTGCACCACCATCACCATCACCATCACTAAAATCACTACCTCCACCTCCACCACCAACATCACCATCACCACCACCACCACCACCACCACGACCACCAAAACCATCACCCCTACCTCCACTACCACTACCACCATAACCAAAACCATCACCCCGACCATCATCATCACTAAAACCATCACCCCCATCTCCACCACCATCACTATCACTAAAATCATTACCTCCACCTCCACCACCAACATCATCACCACCACCATCACCAAAACCATCACCCCTACCTCCACCACCACCACCAAAACCATCACTTTCACCTCCACCACCAACATCACCATCACCACCACCACCACCATCACCAAAACCATCACCCTCACCTCCACCACCACCAAAATCATTACTTCCACCTCTACCACCACCATCACCATCATTAACACTAGCATCACTAAAACCATCAACCCCACCACCACATCACTAAAACTGTCACCTCCACCTCCACCACTAACATCACATCACCACCACCACCATAACCAAAACCATCACCCCCACCTCCACTACCACCGCCACCATAACCAAAACCATCATCCCCACCATCATCATCACTAAAACCATCACCCCCATCTCCACCACCATCACCATCACTATCACTAAAATCATTACCTCCACCTCCACCACCAACATCACCATCACCACCACCACCACCATGACCACCAAAACCATCATCCCCACCTCCACCACCACCACCACCCAAATCATCACTTCCACCTCCACCACCACCATCACCATCATTAACACTAGCATCACTAAAACCATCACCTTCATCACATCACTAAAACTATCACCTCTACCTCCACCACTAACATCACCATCACCACCACCACCATAACCAAAACCATCACCCCACCATCATCATCACTAAAACTATCACCCCAATTTCCACCACCATCACCATCATTAAAATCACTACCTCCACCTCCACCACCAACATCACCATCATCATCACCACCACCACGACCACCAAAACCATCACCCCTACCTCCACTACCACCACCGCCATAACCAAAACCATCACCTCCACCATCATCATCACTAAAACCAGCACCCCCATCTCCACCACCATCACCATCGCTAAAATCATTACCTCCATCTCCACCACCAACATCACCATCACCACCACCACCACCATAACCAAAACTATCACCCCCACCTCCAACATCACCATCACCATCACTATAACCATCATCCCCATCTCCACCACCACCATCACCATCACCATCATCACTAAAATCATTACCTCCACCTCCACCACCAATATCACCATCACCACCACCACCACCATCACCAAAACCATCACCCCCACCTCCACTATCATCACCAAAATCATTATTCCCACCTCCACCACCACCATCACTAAAACTATCACCTCTACTCCACTGCCAACATCATCATCACCACCATCACCAAAACAATCACCCCCACCTCCACCACCACCATCACTAAGCCCATCACCTCCACTTTCACCACTACCACCACCGCCACCACCATCACCATCCACAAAACTATCACTGCCACCTCCATCACCACCATCACTCCCACTTCCACTGCCAACATCACCACCACCACCACCAAAATCATCACCTCCACCTCTACCACCACCATCACTACCACGACAATTCACAAAAATATCACCCCCACCTCCACCACTAACATCATCAAAACCATCACCCCCACCTCCAGCATCACCATCACTAAAACCATCACCTCCATCTTCACCAGTACCATCACTGAAACCATCACCTCCACCTCCACCATCCTGACCACCTCCACTATCACCATGAAGAGCACCAATCCCACCACCGCCACCAACAATCCACTACCACCACCAGCATTGCCAGTACTACTGCTATTACCACCATCACCTCATCACAATCAGCACCGAAAACAACACCACCATTACCATCACCATCATCAACTCCACCCCCAGCACTATCAAAATCCTATCACCATAACTACCTCCTCACCACCGTGTCCATCAGCACCACCATCACCACCCAATGCTACCACACTGTCACCATCACCACCACATCACCACCCCACTATCACCCTTAGAAATAACCCACCACCACTGCCAGGATCACCACCATCAGAAACAGCAACTCCATCACCATAGCAACAACACAAACATCACAACCACCATCTGCCAGGCAATTCATCATGGAGCCATAGTTCTTAGATGTAGACATAGCCAGGGAACTGTGAAGCTAAACTGAAAGGGAGAAGTCAATTGAATCAGATTTTCCAAGTGGGAACTCCTTTCATGGAGACCAGGCTTGCACCCAGCTCTTTTGTGGCCGGAACCCAGCATCCTGCTCACAGCATTGAAATGTCTCAGAGATGGCTGAGCTGATCCCAAAGGCCTGCGATTGTGTTTTTGGGAGAAACACACGTGAGTCACTGGGGCTGACATTCTTTGGGATCTGACAAAGTTTCTACTTTGGGGACCTGCTAACTGACTCAGCAGCGATTCACTGAGGAAAACCAACAGGGCAGCTGGGAAAACGTGCCCCATCAGTGTGTGCTGGGGCCACTGTGCGCTGGAGCTGGGGCTGGGGGCTGCACACTCGGCTTCTTGCTGAATTCTGTATAGAACTCTAGGTGGAACTGAGCCTCAGAGAGATGATGTGGGGCACCCCAAGGGTGCACAATGAGTAACAGGTAGAGGCAGAACTTGAACCAAAATCCCTGTGACCCTAGAGCCTCCAGTCATCATTGCCCTGTGCTATCACCACATGGTCACCGGGCTGGCCTTCCATCTGCTGCACCCTCATGGACCTGGGAGCCCTGCTCTGGCTTGCACCCAGCTTTCCAGGAGGATGCCTGGGTCGTCCTGGGGGTGTTTAGAGTGTACCCCATCAAAGCCTCCTGCATAGGGAGGCAGTGGCACATCACAGCTAGAGGCCTCTCTGGGGTACAGACCACCCTCCTAGGCTGCCACAGAATGGGGAAGTGTCAGGTTTCCACTAGGAAAGAATGACTCAAGTTGGGAAAACTACTGGGTACAGGGAAACCATAGGGGCAGGCAGTGCACCACAGTCCATGCCCCAGGGCTGCGGCCACCCTGAGGCTGAAGGTTTAAGGGAAGGCATAAGCCATGCCAGAACCTGGAAAGGAGGGAATGTTGGAGAGGGGCCTGCCTTGGGAGAAGCTTAAGACCTTCAGTCTAGGGACACAGCCTGCCCAAAGTGACCCCAAAGCTTTCGATGCTGTGACATGAATATTCTGACTTCACCCTCCCCTCTCCCTTTCACCTACAGCTGGGGCACTCCCAAAAGGAAGCCAGAGGGCATGGGAGCTGAGGAATGAGTCCATCGGGCTTAGCCCCTGAAGCAGAGAGCAGAGCAGAGGGCAGGCCTGGAGGGGCAAAAGAAGGCATTTCCGGCACAGGGGTTCTTGCCCTGGACACCCACAGAACTCCTGGGGTGCAGGGACTCTTGGGGCCTCCTCAGCTTGGGCTGAAACGCTCCCCGGGTTCCTCTCTTCTTGTCTCTTGGCTCCTGCCCTGCCCTGGGGGTGGTCAGCGTTACCTCTGGGATTGACAGAGGGTCCGTCCACACCTCTCACTCTCTCCCTGCCTCACTCATGGCCTGTGTCTCCCTACCACTCTCCTGAGTCCCACTTCTCTTTCTTTTCCTCAGCTACTGTCTCCATCCCCTGAAGGATCCCGCATTGTGGTTTATCCAGACCCAACTTATGTGGGTGTTAGAGTGAGAGACCCAACAGTTACCTAAGACTTTTGGGGAGGCAGGCTGGGGGCACCCTGTGCAGTCTGCAGGGGAAGGATGCAGCCCTGGGGAGGAAGGACACCCGCTGCCCTGGCATCTGCACACAGGGCACTGGGTAATGATTCCCCCGGGTGAATGTCTGGCTCAGGAATGTGGACTTTCCCAGGGGTGGGAAGTTGGTGGCGAGAAGGAGAAACGCCCTTGGTTTGGGGACTCCTGCAACGCGCCCTGAGGCCGGAGGTTGAAAAGCATAGAAAGTTGAGGTCTCTGCTGGAGTTACCCACCAAAGGAGGGTACCACTGGATGGGGTGATAGGTGGCCAAAGTGGGGGAGACAGGAGGCAGCGGCCAGGGGGAGCATGAAATCCTTCCAATCTCAGGTCTTCCAGCAGGTCTGGGGGTCCTCAGGGGGTTGCAGGTGGCCCTGGAAGTATCTCTGGGGACCAACGTGCACATGGCCCCATCTACACGCACCCCTTCATCCTGGGCTGTGCTCACTGCCTTCTTGCAAGGAGCAGAACTCACCACCACTGTCCCTGTGGGTGCCAGCAGAACGCCCAGAGTCGTTGCCAGTGGTCAGCCTGTAGAGCACCCCTTCCCTCTGCAGAGCTTGCATCCATGTTGGGAAGTCCCCAGGCTCCACGTCCAGCATCGTGGTGCACAAACACCTCCGCCTTCCTGCCCCTCTGTAGCCTTTGACATTGACTCCCTCGTCAGACAGTAAGGGAGCGTGTCCTCCAGGCTCTGGGAAGTGCGGTGAACCCACCTCCCTTTCTGCTTTAGCGGAGCTCAGAGCCTGCTGAGGGAGGAAACACAGGCACTGTGCCTGCACATAGAGAAAGGCCTCACTCGGCCTTGAAGGCCACCCAGTGTGGGTGACAATGGACTACACTGGAAACCTTGCTAGACAGAATATCCAGGGACAGCAGTCACACTTGGAGCAAGGGCTCCCAGACAACAGGTGGTCTGATGGCATCTAGGAGTTGCAAATAGATCCATGTGGCAGGAATGTGGGGAAGTGACAATAAAAGGGGGACAGAGCTAGGTGGGGGTTGCAGATTTCAAGAATTTTGCCAGCCAAGACTACAACTTCAGGGCTTTATGTAAGGCACAGCCAACATCAGATCTGTAGGTTTAAAGGGGGCCTCTGGCTGCTGGGTGGGGAATGGACCAGAACAGAGCAAGACTGGAGGCTGGCGGCCAGCGAGGAGGCAGTTGGTTGGTCCTAGTGAAGACAGGCAGTGACCTGGACCTGGGCAAGGGGAGGAGAGAAGGAAAGTTTGACAGACTCAAGGGCTCCAGTGAAATGTCAAAGGAGCCAATTTTGCTGATGAATCGCCCATAGGGAGTGATAGAGAGGGCGGTGGCAAAGATTCTATTTTGGAGAAATGAGTGAATGAAGAATATGAGAGAGGAAGGTTTTGGGTAAAGATATGCATTGCTCATGTCTGGTCATGGCATAGTAACTTAAGCTATAAGCAATCAGAAGACTGGACAGAATACAGAAGGCCAACATTGTATCCCTGACAGAACAAGCTTTCAATCCCCAAAAGAAGAAGAAAAAAATATGAGATGAGCCCCATGATCTCCCTGGATCTGTGCTTGGGGACAAATTCACAATCAGGGTGCAGTGAGCTGGGATCCACATTGAATACAATGGCCCTCACACTGTGTTCAGAGCGGACAGAGACTAGAGTCTGGAATAGCTGAATGTGTTGGTCCATTGCTTTACTATAAAGGAATACCCGAGAGTGGGTAATTTATAAAGAAAAGAGGTTTAATTGGCTCACTGTTCTGCTGGGTGTACAGGAAGTGTAGTGCTGGCATGTGCTTCTGGTGAGGGCCTCAGGAAGCTTCCAGTCATGGTGGAAGGTGAAGTGGGAACAGGTATGTCACATGCAAGAGCAGAAGCAAGAGAGAGAAGGGGCAGGTGCCACACACTTTTAAACAAGATCTCACATGAACTCACTCATCACTAAGGGGATGGCACTAAGTCATTCATGAAGGATCCACCCCCATGATCCAAACACCTCCCACCAGGCCCCACCTCAAACACTGGGGATTACCTTTCAGCATGAGATTAGTAGGGTACAAACATTCAACCTGTATCACTGAAGCACCTAGAATCTTCAAGGCAGGGCCTTGGAGAAGAGGGAGCTGCATAGGGGAAGGAGGAAGAAGTCCAGCTGAGGGGCCCTGCCTGCTGGTGAGACCACCTCAGGCTTAATGAAGAATGACTCCTATAACGTTGAGAGTGAAACAGAGATTCCAGATGTCAAGCAGTGCTCGGGGACTTTGGAGTTCTTTCCTAACCAGAGTACAGAGAACTCATTAACACAGCAGGCATCTATCTGCAAGGCCAGAAAAGCCTCATCTTAGTAATAAGGTCCACATCCTTGAGTAAAGCCTGCTGTAGATCTTCTCTAACAAAGCCTTTAGAACTAAGCCTCAAAAAGATTTGCATATTGGAGCTGGATGCTCACCAAGTTGAGAGAAATTTGGGAAACACATTAGGCTTCCCACAGATCAGCCATAACAAATAATAAGACCAAGACTACACACACTCAAGTAATCCACCAGTAATTGAAATGCCTCCTGGAATAAAAATCAACCCTTTTCAGAGCAGGATATCAGAATCCAGAGTTTCTGCAACTTATCACCCACAAGGTCCAAAATATAATCCAACAATTATCAAACACACAAAGAAACAGGAAAACATGACTCATAGGCAAAAGGAAAACCAAAAACCATCCGTAGAAACCAATCCTGACATAGCCCGAATAACAGATTTGGCAGAAAAATCATTCAAAGCAGCAATAATAAATATGTCCAAAAAAGTTAGAGAAAAATATGCTTGACAAATTAATGGAAAATATGATTGTCATAAGGGAGCAGATAAGGACTCTAAGCAGAGAAACAAAAACTACAATCAAAAGAACCAAATGGAAATTCTAGAACTGAAAATAACAACTGAAATGAAAAAGTCACTGAATGAGATAATGAATTCCTTAGTTTGAAACACACCATGATGTCTGTAGGGTATCCAAACAGAGACATTAACACATACACTGGGAGACATGACTCTGAAATTCAGGAGGGAGGCCAGGCTGGGAGAGAGGTCTGCAAGTCATCAGTACAGAGGTAAGGATGGAGGAACTCATGCAGGAAGCCTGTGGACACTGGTGTGATCCTTACTTCAGCCTATGCCCCACTGGGGAGGTAAAACCAACCAACCAACCAAACAAACAAACAAACAAACACTGATCCCTAGACAGGCTATGTGACTGCAAACACCCTTTCAATCCCGTCCCTCAGAGGGCTCCATCCCCCAAGCATAGCCTTGTCAACCTTGCCCCTCAGGATCCCCACCTATTAATTACAAGCTCCTCATGGAGCATAGAGGTGCCTTAGGGGATGTTCTCTGCCAATTAGAGCCACGGGTTGGGAAAGCTACTATGAATTGGGCTACTTCCACCTCCTCCCACTCTTGCAAAATGTGCTCTATAATCTTGCTCGATTCTAAACCCAGTGAGGCCTTCGCAATGCCCCATGCCCCTAGGCTCCGGAACCTCAGCAGAGGAGTGTAGGGGGTGGGTGGCAGCTGTCAGGAGCTGGTCTTGGCAACCCAGTTCCCAGGGCCTGTTGGAACTAGGAACAGGAGCAGGGCTGCTGAGATGGGGTGATAAACTCCCCATCAGAGGAGAGGTAATTGTTAACAGCAGAGTCTTTATCTGAGCTCTCACCTGTACAGGCACTGTGCTGAGCTTGTTACATCTATCATCATAACATCCCGAGGAGGTGGAAAGTTCCATTTTCCAGGTGACAACACAGAGACCTAAAGAAGTCAAGTGACTAACATAAGGATGAGAGAGAAAGTGGTAGGACCAGGATTCAAACATAGGTCTCTCTGACTCCAGAGTCCGTGTGCTTCACCTCTAGGCTCTGAGACTGGATGTGTGTCCAGCTGTTCTTCAAGCCAATTTCTTCCAGAGTCCCTGAAAATGGCTGGAAATGGCTCATTGTCATGGTGGAAGAGCCTGCTGATGGAGGAAATAAACCACTACCACAGCCACCATCATCAGAAACAACAACTCTATCACCATAGCAATTGGTGGTAGGATCATTTGAACCTGGGAGGTCAAGGCTCCAGTGAGTCTCAGCAGAGGAGTAGGGGGTGGGTGGCAGCTAGGGTTAGGGTTACGGTTAGGGTTAGGCCAGTCCAGTTGCTGAGGTGAAACGGCTGGGAAGCATCCTTCTCCCCAACAGCCAAATCATAAATCAACTCTGTTGTCTGTGCCTTCAAACATGTCCTGAACCTGCCCCATCTCCCCAGCTGCACTACCTCCCTCTCTAGCCTGGTCCATGGTGATGCCCTCTCACTGCCTTCCTGCTTTCCCCTCACGTGCCTTTCTGTATAGCCCCATGGAGTAGCCACAGTGATCCTTTACAGAACTCAGACCATTCCTCCTCCTGTTTAACACCCTCCTGTGCCTTCCAACCTACACAGAACAAAATCCATGCCTCTGGCCATGGCCTACAAAGTCCAGTGTGATCTGCCCTGTCCTGTTTCTCTATTGCTATTTCAGGCCACAGCTCCCTCTCTTATTCCACTCCAAGTACTCAAATCTTTTTACATTATTGAACAAGTCCAACTTTGCTCCTGCCTCAGGACCAGTGCACTTACTGTTCTCATGTCTTCCCCAGATCTTCATACAGCTGACTCTTGCCATTCAGTCCTCAGTTCCAATCTTATCCTCTCATCAACTCTCCCTGATGCCCCTAACTAAAGTGCCCCCCAGTAAGCTTCAGGCAGTCATCACCTTTAAAACATTTTGTTTGGGCTTTATTTGCATATTTCCTAGCTTCTCAACTAGATGCCAAGCTCCATGAGGTCATGGATTGTATCTTGTTCCCTGTGGTATCCCCAGCACCTCATACAATATCTGGCAAAAAGAGACACTCAGAAGCACTGATCAGGTAAATTAATTTGGGTTGATCTATACAGTCTCAAAGTTCCTGCTTCTATGGTTTAATCAGAATCTAAAGATTCTAGTTGTATTGTTTAACTTTCCACTTATTCATCTAATCATCTGTCCATCATCCACACATCCAACTGTCCATCCATCACCCATCCACCCACCTATTCAGTTATCCATCATCCATTTATCCAACCATTATCCATCCATCCATCCATATATCCATCCATGTACTTATCCTTCCATGCATCCTTCTAACCATACACATACACCTACATACCCATCCATCCAATGATTCTTAGCCCCCACTCTGTGCTTGGTGCTGAAGACCCAAGTTTAACCAGGACATGAAATCTATGCTAGAGAAACTCCCAGCCTTGTCCTCCTCTTCCCTCTGTTCCTTATACTGTGAGCTGCTCCAGGTAGGAACTGCATTAACCTTGTAGGCAGATGCAGGCAAAGTCCTAGGAGGCTGCTCCTGTTTGTAGATAGGTCTACACCTTCTTGGGACTTAGATTTAGACCTTCACCTCTTTCTTCTGTGCCCTGGTCACTGTTGGCTGTCCCCTGGGGCAGAGTCAACAAATTTATCCAGCTCTGAGGCTCCAGATATAAGGGATTTGAGGAGAAGACTCTGCCCCATCCTGAAGAGTCAGCTGAAGCATTTCAAAATTCAGAATGAAGTTCTGAGGGCCTGATGTGTGGTGTGATCTTTGTGCCACAAGACAAGAGGAAGGAGCAAGATAATGCCTGGGGTAGGCAAGAAGTCTTCCTGGAGGAGTTAGGGTTAGAGGTGGACCTAAAGGAAGGGGGCCTTGGGGAGGAGGAGTAAGGGTGAGAAGTATGATGCAAAGGCAGGGATGAGTGTAGTATGAATGTGGGCTGCTAGTGGGGAAGCACAATACTAGTACCCAATGAACTCCTACTCATCCTTCAACACCCAGTCCAAATGACCCCACTTGAGAAGGCTTTCCTAAACTGCCCACTCTCATCCTCCTATTCTCTTCAGACAGAGAGAATAATGATGGAAATGGTGATGCTAAAAATAATCATAACAGTTACTTAGCACCTTCCATGCCAGGCACAGTAACAAATACCTTGTGTCTATCATCTCATCTAACACTATAGCAGTTCACCATTGCACTACCTTATCCCCACTTTTCAGATGAGAAATTGAGGCTTAGGGTGAGTGGGTGGGTTTACATCTTCTTAGTTATAGAAGTTTCCTGACCTATCAGGGGGATTTATTTGTCTTCTGTCTCCCCTGCCTCCACTGCTCATATATACACACTGGAAGTGTCTATATATGCCCAACAGGGCAGGGACAATTTGATTATTTTCTGGGTCTTTGGAGGCCAGTAGAAGATGTGCCCTAGTGCAAGTCTTGTATGAATGTTGGATGGATGGAAGGATGGATGGTTGAGTGGATGAATGGATGGATGGATGGATGGATGAATTAGTGGATGGATGGGTGAATGGATGAATGGATGGATGGATGGATGGATGGATGGATGGATGGATAGATGTACTAGTAGATGGATGGGTACAAGGAGGGGTGGATGGATGAGTGGATGAGTCCGAAGGGTGGGTGGATGGATGGATGGATGGATGGATGGGTGGATGGATGGACCAATGGGTGGATGGGTGGGTGGATGGATGGGCGAATGAGTGGATGGATGGATGGGTGGATGGATGGATGGGTGGATGGATGGATGGATGGATGGATATGTGTGTGTGTGTGAATGAGTGGTTAGATGGATGGGGGGGATGGATGGATGAATGGATGGATGGATGGATGGATGAATGGATGCGTGGATGGACGAATGGATGGATGAATGGATGGATGGATGGATGGATGGATGGATGGATGGATGGATGAATGGATGGATGGATGGATGGATGGATGGATGGATGGATGGATGGGTGGATGGGTGGATGGATGGATGGATGGATGGATGTGTGGGTGGATGAGTGGGTGAATGGGTGGATGGGTGGGTAGGTGGCATATAGAAGCCCTACCATCTCTCTGAAGTTGTTGGTTTTGTGGTGCCTCAGTGTGGCCCATATGAAGACAGCTTCTTGACTGTACCAGAGCTGAGCAAGCGCTGGAGGCCACGTCAGCCCCTCCCATCTTCCCCCCCACACACCTCTCTCTCTTTCATGGTCATTCCCCAATTTGGCCTCCCATCCCATCTTCCTGTTTAGGGGCTCGGCTTTCCAGGGGATGCCCCCTAAACCAAACCTTCATGGCCCCCAACCCACTTGCAGATGCTGCTGGCTTTGACCTCCCACTCCTCAGCTTCCCCAGTCTAGCCCCCGACCCGGCCCCCACACCTCCCCAGAGCCAGCTCCTCTCCCCGCAGCTGTCCACACTTACAAAGCCAGGACTGTTCGATAAAGCCGTGCCAGCTGGAACAAGACACTTCCCGTCTGACGGGAGGTTCTGCATGGAGCCTGTGGGCAGCTGTCAGCGCGAGGGGCACAGGACCGGATCTGGAGGCTGTTCAGGGCCAGCGCCTCCCTTGGCCCCCTCAAGAGGGGCTCTGCTGGGCCTGGTCCAAGGTCCCAGAAAGGGCTTCTCAGACTGGGGGACCTGGAGTAGGGGTTTTAGCCTCCTGAACCCTTTGGGGCCCTCATACTCCCGTCCCTTTGGGATGCACAGGGGCAGCCTCCACACTGGAGCCTGGGAGCTGGTGACATTTGTTTGTTCTGCCCCAGGGCTCAGCCCACAGTGACCAGGGCACAGAAGGAAGAGGTGAAGGTCTCAATCTAAGACAGGCTGCTCGGTGTGGTCACCTGCAAGCCACGGTGGGCCACCAGGGAGGTCAGAGCAGAGGTAATGGCCAAGAGCAGCCCCAGGAGGAGGCTGCTGCATCCCTTCTAGAAAAATCATCTGCTGAATGTCTTTAGGGCAGCTGAGAAAGTCACTCCACCAGCCCTTTCTGCTTGCTCAAAGTCCACTAGGCAATTATTCCACAACTATTTCTTGAGCACCTAGTACATGCCAGGCATGGGGACACAGGCCTGAGTTCCAGCCCTCATAGAGGCTGCATTCCCACAGCCAGCCTCTACCTTCCACTCCCCCAGGCCCAGCCTGCCCGGAGCTGTGCACCAGGCCTGGACCCAGCCTGGCAGAGCCCCTGCCTTCTCTGGCTCTGACTCCTTCTATAAGGCTCTAATTACATCCTGGGAGAAACAATTAGAATGAAACTATGGGTTGTTTTTTTTTTTTTCTCCCCCCTGCCCCGCCCCAAGCTGGGCCTGTTTAATAACTTAATTAAATAAACAGAATTATAATTATAATGTTAATATTTCCTTTCTGTAATGCCGGCACATTCTGCTGGAAGAAGCTTCTCTTGGGAATGGGAGTGTCCCACAGCCCCCAGCACCTCCCCAGTCCAAGGCTGGCTGCCCACCGGCCTCCCTGCTAGTGCCTCAGCCTGGAGCCCACCCGGTTCTGGGACTCAGCAGAGTTGGCAGGAAACCAGCCGGGGGGGAAACAGCCGCGTTCTCTCCTTCCTGAGTGTTTACAGTCGAGCTCAAACCACACGATGAAAATTACTCTGAAGCTCCTAATTGCACATTTCCTTCCTCTAACCATTTTCTTTTGACAGTTGACTTTGAAAACATTTACCACTTAATTCTCCCGAGGCGGGAAGGAGGGAGAAGGAAGGAGGCTGCCCTGCTAGTGAGAGCTAGCCTCCCTGGAGGGGCCAGGCTTGGAGCAGGCGTCCTCACTAGCAGGGTCCCTGGGGTCCCAGGCTGGGGAGAGTCTTGCCTCTCCTCGCGTCCTCACTAGCTAGGCGACCTGGAACAAGTCAATATTGCTTCCTTGAGTCTCATTTCCTCATCTATAAAATAAGATGAAGAATATTCACTTTGCAAAGTAATGCTATGAGATCAGCCAGCACTTAGTAGGTGCTCAATAAATGTTAGATCCTTTCCTCCAGGCTTCTTGGAAAAACACAGTCCCTGAAGGCAGAAGTCTCCCAGCTCTTATTTCCTCTACACAGTGTGGTGTGGAGAAGTTCAGAGCAGCGGTCTGGGTTCACACACGAGCTTGGCCTCCACCTAGCAGAGCAGTGGGGTCTGGGAAAGCAGCTTGCTTTTTGTGACTCAGTTTCCAGGTCTGTAGGAAGGAATAGTGACAGTGCCTACATCACTGGGTTGCCTGGAGGATTCTGTGACTTATGGGAAAGTATGAACAGGAAACAAAGGATGGCTCAGCAAGGGCTGACAACTATCCGCATGGGTCACTCTGCAGGTGGCTGGACCGAGACAAAGTTGGATTCTAGTCTTGGACACTCTTGTGCTGGGAAAGTCCCTGGTTTCAGGGGCTTTCTGTGTCCCTGCTGTGAAATGGGTACGCTGACTCACAGGCTTGCCACAAGGCATGGGGAGGTAGTGGGCAGGAGGCCCCAGTGGGAGGCCTAGCCAATGGCAGGGAGCAGCCACAGTCTTGTCCCAAAGCTAGGAGCCCGAGGAGCCTTTGTCCCAGAGACAATGAAAGGTGGGGGCTGTAGCATCAATAGAGACACCTGTCGGTACTACAGCCACAGTCAGCGGAAGGGAGCACTCGGCGTGGCCAAGAGCGAGACTGGGACCTCTGTGCCCACCCTGCCCAAAGGCAGCAAAGAACCCCCCGGCTCAGGACTCCCCTCCACCCCCATCCATGCCTAGGCTCTGGAGCAGGTGGCCTGGCTTTGCCCCCCTCGCTGTGTGGCCTCAAGCAAGTGACCGAACTGTTCTGAGCTTCCACCTCCACGTCTGCAGACTGGGACTAATCTGGGTTACTGGGAGGACTGGCAAGTTAATACATCACCCAGGGTCTACTGGATCACACAGTAGGCACTCACTGAATGTTGGCATAATGTCCAGGACTGTTATTCATTCCTTCCCAAGCTCTGTGCCACCCCTGAATGGTCCTGGAGCTGACAGAGACAGAACAGCCCCTGGCACTTGCATCCAGGCCAAGTCAGGACCTGGTTTCTGCACCCCTACGGCCCAGACACCCATGTCTCGAGACCCAGTTCTAACGTACCGTCCTCTTGGAGCCTTTCCGCAGGCTTCCTTTCCACATTATACTCATGCCGGGGGCCCACGGGGCTCAGATCCCTGGAGTGCAGGGACAATGGACTTATCTTTGTGGCCCCAGTGCCGTCCTCCTAGTCTTTTCCCACATGCTGTGGGAAGACACAAGGAGATTGGGAGAGGCCGAACTGAGAGCTGGAACGAGACTTAGAAGCACTCACACCAGTGTGCAAAGGGCCCACATTGGCTGGACAGAGACCACCTGCTCGTACCGTGCAGAGCCAAAGGCAGAGAGGAACATAGGGACGGCAGTGGAGATATGGAGAAGGAGACGGATTTGAGAGTCGTGGAAGGAGGTTACAATGATGGAATGAAGCAGAAGAATCTAAGAGCCTGATTCAAGAGATACAAGGGACAGGAATCCCCAGAAGGACGTGTGACACCCATGTGTGAGGCTTGGCCCCATTCCATGAGATGGGGACAGCCCATGGAGGACCAGGATAGGGGCAGGGAGGCCATCCCGTTTGGTTTAGGCCATGTTTGGCTGGGAGCATTTCAGGTGAGAGTCACTGCTCCTCCTCTCTTCATGGGATCACACAGAGAGCCACAAGCAGAGCTGGGAGAAGGATCTGGTCTCCCTTTCCCCCTCATGTGAGTCTAAGACTGTTTCCAGCCCTCCCTGTGGTTTTCCAAGAGGACACTGAGTGGACCGAGTCCAAAGAGGAATGTTCCCTTGAAAACACGCATCCTCTCAGCTGTTTTCCTCTAGAATCATCAGCAAGAGCCCAAAATCCATACATTGTTTTCTGGTGAAAAATAATAGCAATCCTGTCCTGGTTGCCAAGTCTGTGAAATCATGAGCAGCAGACAGGGGACCTCTGGAGCATTCCCAGCGAGCCAGGTGCCAGCAGCCCCCTGTGGCCCTGAGGGCAGGTGCTGCGGGCGGGAGGGTCCGTTAGGGGCCAGCTGGGCCTGGAGTGGAGGCCATAGCCCTCTCTCCTCCAGACACCTGCTTCTGGAGGGACCTTGCCCCCTCCATGCTGAAGTCACTATGTGAATACTAGGACCCCCAGAATTTTTCTCTGGCCAAGATCTCCCCTGAGCCCGGAGCTGCTAACCCAGCAGCTCAAGGCTTCTGCCTCACCCGTGGGAGTCTCTTAAGCAGCTCAACCTCAGTGTGCCCCAAAAGGAACCCACCTCTTTGCCTTCCTTTCTCCAGGTCCCTCTCCTGCTTCCAGTTGCCCCAGCTGCAAACCTGGGAACACATTGAGACCCAGGTCACTGAGCTGCATGTAGTCTCCCTCCTTGAGCTCTCACATCTGCCTCACGCCTCCCACCCCACACTAGCCTCTGCCCAGATAGCTGCCACCACCCCTGACTCACCCGGCAATCTGCCCTCCTTCTATCAGAAAAGGGGTCTTTCAAACAGGATCCGGACAATGCCACCTCCTGCTCCAGTGCACTTCAGGCCACTCCCAGTGGCCCATCAGAACCCCCCACTCACCCCCTCCGCCTGCTTCAGGCCCTGCCTGGGGGCCCCACAGCCACCCACCCCCACGGGACCTCCAATCAGGCCCAAGGCACTCATCACCAAATCTGCCCCAACCTGCATGTCGGCCATGTTTGCAAGAGCTGTTCCCACTCTCAGAATGGTCTTCCCACTCCCCGACCCCAGGGGAAGCTGAGTTGCACCCCCGTCATAGCCCAGGAACCTCTTCCCTGGGATGCATCCCCATCCCCTCCTCCCAGGGCATCCCTGGAGCAGCCCGTATCCCAGGTGCTGCCTGGCGGGCTCCACTTCCCGTGCTAGGTGGCACACTGTGCACCTAAGGCAGTGGGAGCCTTTGGAAAGCTGGGACTTACAGTCACATCTAGCTGGGTTCAGACCCGCAGGAGCAAGAGCCAGGCAACCTCAAGCAGGCCTCGTGGCTGCAGCTTCTGCACATATACAATGTAGGAGACCGCATGACCCAGCCCACAGGGCTACTCCCGCCTTCACCCTACATGGCTTGTTGGCATTCCTATGACGTGCCAGGCATGGTTGTAGGAGTGGTGTGAGAGCAGGGAATGCACAGCCCAAATCCCTGCCACCCAGAAGCTGGCCTGCTCACGGACAGAGGCCCAGCATGTCAGATGGTGCCAAGTGCTCCAAAATATTGGGAGAGGCAACTATAAATAGGGGGCCAGGGAAGGCTCATTGTGCAGGCCTTCATTTGAGCAAAGACTTGAAGAAGAGGAGGAAGCAAATCACATGGGTGTCTGGGAAAGAGCGTCACAGGCAGAGGGCCCAGCCAGGGCAAAGGCCTGGGGTATCAGCTGCCCCAAAAGTATGAGCAGCTGCAGGGATGCCATAGCGGCTGGAGTGGAGGAACAGGGTCGGGAGAGGCAAGATGAGGTTGGAGGGGCAGGCCCGCAGAGGACTTTGCTGCCTCCTCTGAGATGAACCCTTGGAGGGTGAGCAGAGGAAGGGCAGGGTCGAGGCTCAGATGTTAACAGATCGAGGGCCATGGAGATGCCCCTGCAGGAAGCCAGGGCAGCTTGGACCAGAGAGGACTGGGGCTGTGGCAGGGAGTGGTCAGGTGTTGAATGCCGTGTGGAAGGGGTGGGGACATCACATGCTTTGCAGTGCTGTTGGCACGAGCTGTGCACTCGGGTGTGAGAGGGGTTTGTTTGGCCAATAACTGATTAAAATAACGAATCCACAAGACATGATAAAGAGGACGACGGCCAAGGCACAGAGGGTGTGGGAGACCCTCTTCCTGGCCAGGATGATGTGTGTGGACCTCCTGGAAGAGATGGCCTCTGAGCTGGGAGAAGGAAGATGGCTTGGACAATTTCGGGAGCATGTGATCCCCATGAGAGGAACAGAGGAAGCTTCCTATCCTGCCTCCTGCTTTGGCCAGTCCCAAACCCTCCTGGGCCTGGTTGGGCAGGACCCAGAACCTCCCCCCAAGGGACCGGGATGAAAGGAACAGCAAAGGTGGGCTGGGAGTCTCTCAGTGGTTAGCACAAGACCTGTAGCATTTCCCCCCACAACCCCGAGAGCTGGCCCCAGCTCTGGCCCCAGTGCTCATCTGGGCTGTTCTGCCACCTACATGGGCTGCGGGGCTAACTTGGGCCCCAGAATCACAGGCACAGGGCTGCCCCAGCACACCCTGGGGTGTAGAGAAGACAAGCGAGCTCCCTGAGCCTCAGTTTCCCCATCCAGAAAACGAGGGTATTGTGTTACATCTAAGCACGGAGGACCCCTCCTGCTCAACCTCGTTAGGGTTCTGTGGGAGCTGGCACTGTCTTCCAGCAAAGCCCCGCCCTCACCTGCTGGGGTGCCCAGAATTGCTACAGAGCTACTCTGCTTGGCACGTGAAGACCCTGTTGTCTCCATCAAATTGCAAATGTGTGACCTTCAATGAGCAGCCCGTTCATGTCCCAGCCCCTTTCCTGACACTGGTCCTGCCTGGTCCTTTGGCACTGATCAAAGACAGTGGGAAGGGGAAACCAAGTCCTAAGTTTTGAGGTTGGGGCCAAGGAAGGGTGATGTGAGGGAGCGCTGCACTGCCCTAGGTAAGACTCACCGTGAGCAGCAAAGGCAGCGAGTGGTATTGATGGGCTGCCCTCTGCCCACTGTGTTGTGCTGGGCACCATGGCACACTTCAGCAAGCATCCCCTGCATGGCAACCACTGGTCACTGCACTTCACAAAGGATGGAACCAAGGCCCAGGGAGGTGGCTTCTGCACAGGAGGAGGGGAGGGGACACTGGACCCCAGCGGGAGGACGTGAGGGCATTGGTGGTCCTGGAAGGACCTCAGTCTTCACTCCCCCACTGCTACCTGCTCTGTTTTCAGCCTGATTCTTTCTTCTTCAGGGCAAACATAGTCTCTAATAGCTTGGGCATTCGGGTGACTTGGGAAATCCTGCCAGGTTTCCCAAGACAAGAGCTAGGTTCTTATTGTTCTTGGGGACTCTAGCCCCCATCGTGGGGCAGGTGCACAGGGCCTCAGGAGTATTAGGGAATGGAGGGAGCAAGGATGGCCCTTATCTCGGGTGGCCAATGGTCACTGGGGCTTAGGCTGCTGAACAAGGTGGAGGGCAGGCACTTTGCGGATAGAAATGAATCTTTGGGGGCCAGACCCAAGGTTGGCTAGGAGACATGGCCTGTTGGCCTGGCCAAGGGGGCCCACTGTGAGGAGCTAGGGGCCCACTGGCTTCTGAACCAGTGCATTCTCACTCAACTGGCTGCTTTTATGAGCCCTGGACTCTGCAGCCAACTTCCCGGCAGCAAAGTGAAGGGGCATCCCCAAGCCACCTGCCAGCATCCGGCTCCTACTGGTGTGGTGGGAAGGAAGGAGACCCAAGCTCCTGGCCATCCCGCAGCACCCAACTCTGTGCCTGTGGGTCAGGCCCCTTACTACTCAGGGCCTCGATGTCTCCAACACCTGTTATTGGGGGCATTCCAGAAAGGAGAGAGTGTCCACATTGACTAATATCTATGAGAACTGAGAAGGCCCTGGGGGCATGCTGCCAAGAGTCCAGCTTTCTGCCAAGCCAACATAATTCAAAAGGTCGTGTGTCCTTCTGGGCAAGGTCCACACTGGGAGGTCTCCGGGGGCAGTGCTGGGAACAAGAACATTCGAGATCTCTCCTGCACCCACGTGTGACTATGCACACGCCTCAGAGCCTCCCCATGCCTCCACCTGCCCATCTGTTAGATGTGATCCTGCCTCTGTCTCTGCCCTGAGCGTCGTGGAGCTCTGTTTTATGTGGAACTGCAGAAGTCTTCTGCAGCTTCTGCTTGCGGCCTGGCTGTCCTTGACTTTCAAGAGGACCGCTTCCTTATAAAATAACCGGTATCTTTCAAGCTCTCCCACTACACCCACTGTTCTGCAGCTATCCAGGATCTTAGCTTATTTATATCAGCTCACATATATTAGCTCGTTTTATTCTTTTTTTTTTTTTTTTTTTTGAGACAGAGTCTTGCTCTGTTGCCCAGGCTGGAGTGCAGTGGAGTGATCACCGCTAACTACAACCTCCGCCTCCCAGGTTCAAGTGATTCTCCTGCCTCAGCCTCCCGAGTAGCTGGGACTACAGGTGCTCGCCACCACACCCGGCTAATTTTTGTATTTTTAGTAGAGACGTGGTTTCACCAAGTTGGCCAGGCTGGTCTCGAACTCCTGACCTCAAGTGATCTGCCACAACCATGTGGGGGGGAATTATTATTATCGTCATGTCCATGCTACAGAGGAAGAAACTGAAGATCAGCGAGGTTGCCAAGGACATGTAGCTAGAAAGCCTGAGCTCAGAACCCGTGCTCTTAATTAAGGCACCACACTGCCTCCCTTCTGATGAAGGCCCAGAGGGGCAAAGGAACCTTGGGAGGTCACACAGCAAGCTATTGGCTGTATACAAACCCAGGATTCCTGACTCCCAGGCCTCTGTTCTTGCACCCACATACTCCAGGTCCTCCATTTATTCCGGGGATAATACGAGCAGGTTCTTCATGGGAGAGAGACATAAAGGAAATTTCTCCTGCAATGAGGCACTTGTGAGATTCTTGAGAGAGATTAATAAAATCTTATCAAAGAGCACAGTGATTCATGCCAGCCCACCCTGTCAATCAGGAATCGGCAGAACTATAATTTCTATCAAACTATAATTAGCTGAATTTCCTTTTGTAATCTTGGGAATCTGAACTGACTGCAGCCTATCATTGGAGCCGTGGGATAATGATCAGCTGCTTCTCGTACAAAAAGGTTAGGAGTCAAAATGCCCTACGGGTCCCTTTGATGTTTAAAGAGGAATCATTAATGCAAAGACACGAAAAAATTAGTGGAATTTCAAATACAAAACAAATGTAGCCTTGTTGGGATCCAGGGTTTCATGGAGGGAGGGATGCTTGCCCGGCTGCTAAACCAGGATGGCTTCCTGGCCATGGCCACCCCCTCCTTGGACAAGTGCCACAGAGTGGGTGAGGAGTGGGGTCAGTATTTCTCTAGGGCCAGCATGGTGCCAGGTAAACAGTGCATACAAGAAGTAAGTGGAGAATGAATGAGTAGATGAATGAATGAATGAAGTGGGAGGGGTTGGTGTTTTGTTCCTACACATGAGCCTTTGCCATCTGTCATTCTACCTGGAATACCTTCCCCTCTTTCTGACTCTCTGCCTGGGGAATCTGCTGCTCAGCCTTCAAGACTCACCTCAAATGCCCCTTCCTTCAGGAAGGCTTCCTGGATTTCCTCCCCAACTTGGCTGCTCTCTCCTCAAGCTCCTGGGGCCTTAGTCTGCATTTCCTCTCCCGCTAACCCCAGTCAAGGCTTCTGTGGCAGGCACCACTCTGCACTGAGGATTTATGTCAATGAAATTGACTTGGGTCCCTGTCCAAGGGGGTCTGCATTCTATTGAGGGGAGACAGAAGGCAGGCAGTAACCTGTGCTCATCAAAAGGTGCTCATCAGCCTTTGTGTGTCCTTCCCCCATCAGGGAATCTCTGGGGAAGACCTCGTCTGCCCCACCTCTGTGTCCCCAGAGCTGAGGGGCATCATCAGAAAATGGATATTAGGATCACAGATCATAAATCTACCCTTAACCCCATCCCCCAGTCCCTTCTCAACCTGGCAGGCAGAGCATCCTTTCAGCAGCCTGAGTCGGACCCATCCTTCCCCTGCTCCCTAATCCATTCAAGCGAAAGCCAAAGGCCTTAAAAAGTCCTGCAAGGGTAGGACCAACAAACTCACCCTTTGAGAGGAGAAGGGGGCCCCATAAGAATACACTAGAGCGGAGAAAACGAAACTACTAGGGAAAGGGAGGGCCCACTGAGAATCACCCCAGAAACCCGACCACCACTGGTCTTCGCTGGACACCATGAACCACACTGTCCAAACCTTCTTCTCTCCTGTCAACAGCAGCCAGCCCCCCCAACTATGAGATGCTCAAGGAGGAACACGACGTGGCTGTGCGGGGGCACCCCACAACCCTGCTCCCCCGACATCCACTGTGATCCACATCCGCAGCGAGACCTCCGTGCCCGACCATGTTGTCTGGTCCCTGTTCAACGCCCTCTTCATGAACCCCTGCCGCCCGGGCTTCAAGGCATTCGCCTACTCCGTGTAGTCTAGGGACAGGAAGATGGTTGGCGACCTGACTGGGGCCCAGGCCTATGCCTCCACCGCCAAGTGCCTGAACATCTGGGCCCTGATTTTGGGCATCCTCACGACCATTCTGCTCATCGTCATCCCAGTGTTGATCATCCAAGCCCATCGATAGATCAGGAGGCATCATTGAGGCCAGGAGCTCTGCCCATGACCTGTATCCCACGTACTCCACCTTCCATTCCTCGCCCTGCCCCCGGAGCCAAGTCCTGTTATCAGCCCTTTATCTTCACACACTTTTCTACAATAGCATTCAATAAAGTGTATATGTTTCTGGTGCTGCTGCGAAAAAAAAAAAAAAAAAAAAGAATACACTAGAGCACGTGGGGCCATCCCAGAAAACTGGTCCCATGTCAGCCTCCCTGGGAGATGGGAGATTGTGCAGGATCTAGCCACTTCCCAGATTTGGTCCCCTCTGCCAGCCTCCCTACTGCTCCACAGCGGGGTGCGCTGTCCAGACACCCCCCATCCCTGCTCACCGTGCCCCCCCGATCCCATCCAAAGCCCTTCTCAGAGAGCACCCTCTTCCCTCACTCTCCTTTCTCTTTCCCAAGGTTCTGATTGCCTCCATAGCAGGCCAGGCCATGTGACTATGGTTACTGCCTGTCTTCCGTCTCCCCTCAATAGAATGCAGACCCCCTTGGACAGGGACCCAAGTCAATTTCATTGACATAAATCCTCAGTGCAGAGCGGTGCCTGCCACAGAAGGCTTGACTGGGGTTAGCGGGAGAGGAAATGAATGAAAAGGACAGGGTGCTCAGCGGTGCCGGCTTCCTGTGTCCCAGGTTCCTGCCATGGCAAATTCAGAGGCTGATGTATGGGCCTCATGGACCCTGAGACCACCAGCCCCAGCCTGGCCCCAGGCCCCGTGCCAGGCTCCCAGCGGCTGCCCTACCTGGCACCTACTGTGTGGGGGCCAGGCTACCACCCCGGCCTCTCTCTTCCCACCCCTGGGAGCCCAGCACTCAGGGTTCACCACCCTGGGTCCCTAAGCTCTTAGTGTAGCCCAGGCTTCCAGTTGGAGAGAGGCTCACCTCTCAGGCCCAGAATTGTGTTCCTGGTGGCATCTGACACCAGGACTCAGGACCTGCCAGAGGTGAGCCCTGCAGGTCAGAGGGCTGTGGGACACTCCTGGCCCCAGGAGGGACAGAGGAGCACCAGGTGCCCACACAAGTCACCAGAGGCGGTGCCTGCCGACAGCCCGACTACAGACGAGGACACGGAGGCCTGGAGCCGTGCATGGCCTGCCCCACACCCTACAGAAAGGAAGCGCTGGGACAGACACAGAGCAGGGCTGCCCACTCCGGAGCTGGCCTGGTCCACTGCAAAGGGGCCACAGGCCCTCTGCGGGAGAGCCTAGCCTGGGTGTGGCTGCTGAGGAGACAGGCAAGGGGGGCAGGTGAGTCACTTTCCTCTCCTCATCCCAGTGAATCTTAGTGAGCTGAGGGGCCCAGTGTTCCTCCAAATGACTGCTAAGGGGCCTCAAGGAGACAGGCACCTAGCCCTCCCATCTGCAGGGAACCCAGCCCAGTGAGGTCAGAGGGCTCCCGGGCTGGAAGGGACCCAGAGGGTGTCCACACCTTCCCGGAGGTCATCTTGCCCAGCCCTCTCTCCCTGCCAGGGGCCCATCAGGCAGGCCTGAGTGCCCTCCACACCCTTGGCAACTGCCCAGTGAGATTTCAGGGAGGTGGCCTCAGGGGTAGACACTGTATGAATGAAGGAATGTGTGGTAGGAGGTGACAGTGGTGACTCAGGGTGACTCAGCTGGAGCCTGCCAAGGGCCTGCTGAGCAGCTGTCTGCAGCCACAGTGGTCCCCAGCCTGCCCACCCTGCAGCAGGGGCCAGCTTCCCTTTCCCCAGGGCCCATCTCTCCTGCTGGCTTCATGCCCAGACATTTAGAAAATGGTGGGAAAGAGGGTGCATGGCAGGTGCCTTGGCTGAGCCTGGGAATGGAGTGAGGGAAGGCCTGTGAGCGGAAGAGAGAGGCGGGGGTGCTGCCCCTCCTCCTAGGAAAACCTGGACACTCCACCATAGAGGCCCATCTCATCCAGTAAATCCCCATAATCCAGACGGGAAACCAAGGCCAGGAGGGGAGAAGACTGGCCATGGTCAAGGGGCTGATAAGGCTGAACCAAGAAAATGACCCGAGTCTCTTGGTCCTAGACAAACCATTGGTCTTCTAGTTGGTGGAGGACATGGGCATTGTGCCACGCATGCCAAGTTTCCATCTGTGAAGCCGAGCAAGCCCCAGCACAGTCTCTGCTAGAAGCATCTCACATTACCCATATCCCAAGCGAGCCCCATCACAGTCTCTGCTAGAAGCGTCTCACATTGCCCATATCCCGAGCGAGCCCCATCACGGTCTCTGCTAGAAGCGTCTCATGTTGCCCATATCCCAAGCGAGCCTCATCATAGTCTCTGCTAGAAGCATCTCACATTGCCCATATGCCTGAGATGACCCAGGTGCTTATTTCACTTTCTACCAACCCCCTATAACATCTATCCACTATCTATCTGTCCATGCATTCATCCATCTATCCACATCCACACATTCATCCATCGTTGATCAATCCATCCTTCCATCTGTTCATCCCTCCATCCATCCTTCCACCCTTCCATCCATCCTTCCACCCTTCCATCCATCCATCCATCCATCCATCATCCGTGCATTCATTCATCACTTATCCATCCACCCATCCCTTCATCCATCCACCCACTCATCCATCTTCCCTTAGACCATCCACACATTCATTTATCCATTTATCCTTCCACATATCTGTCTGGAATTCATACCCTTCGGTTAGTGGATAATTCATCCATCAATTCCTTATTCATTAAACAAACCCTAGGAAGCCTTGACAGGGTAGCCAGTCCTGTGACTTCCCCCTGACCCTCAGCCTTCCACACCCTACTCCCTCCTCTCCAGCCATCAAGCCGTGCTCATCCCAGCAGGCCCCAGTGACTCAGACACGCATGGTCCATGACTTTCAGGAGCTCATAGTCTCAAGGGACAGACAGGATCTGAACCCAGAAAACTCTAAACCAGGCAGAACTGCCAATGCCTCCACCCCTCTCTGTCTCCAGGATGGTGGAGTCCTTAGTCCCGTTCCTGCTGCTGCTGGTCTTTGTTCCTCACCTGCTGGGGATGGGGAGGACCCGAGCTCCCCATTCTCGCACCAGCTGGCTTGGGGAGAGGGGTCGATTCTGAGGGGAGGAGGACTGGGACGGCAGAGAATGAGCAGTGCCTGCCACTTCCTGCCTGGCCTGAGCTTGCCTCCCAGTGCTTCTAGGAGTGGTCTGTGGACCTTCCCAGTGCCTTGAGATCCCCAGATAAGAGGGAGTTCCAGAGGGGCAGCTCAGCCTCATAAAACCAAAATGGGTTGCGTTCTTCCTGTTGTGTTTTTATCATCATGACACCACAGAGCTTTCACATTTCAAAGTGCCTTGCCCCTGTGATGGTTTCATCCCCGCAGCAGCCATGGCCAGAGGGTCAGGGAGGGTGGCGAGAGACCCCTGGACTGCGATTCGGATGACTCCGGGAGCACCTACTGCATGACCTTGGACAGAACTTGCCTCTTAGGCCTCAGTTTCCTCAACTGCAGAAGGAGAGACAACGCCTCCTCACAGGGGCAGCACCAGGGTGAAATGAGACCCTGGATAGGAGACCCCAACACAGTGCCATGTGCATTGTGCTGCACGAAGCTGTGGTCAGCCGGGCGGGGCCAGCCAAGCACACAAGCCTGCAGGGGTTCCTCACCGTGCTCAGTAAAATGTCCAAGCCACTCAGCCTGGCCGACCCCCTGGCCTGGCCTCCATCCCCGCTCCACACCACCCAGACCCCCCACACACTCCTCTCCAGCTCCGACACACCAGGGTCTCTCCTGCACTCAAGCCTTGCACTTGCTGTCTCTCTGCCTGGAGACCCCTCCCTGCCTCTCCTCCCAGCCAGTCCCTTCCCCTAGCTGGTATCTCATCCTTCAGGCTCTGCTCGGATGCCCCCTCTTCCAGGGAGGCTTCTGTGATGCCCAGATTGGGTGGCCCCCCTCCTCTGCATCTCCCCTGCTAAGGGGGGTTGGCACTGGGCGTCCTTACCATCCGGGACTGCTGTTCTGTCTCCACCATCAGATTGGCAGCATGCGGTGGGGGAGAACATCAGAGTCACTGATGTGCGCAGAGGGCCAGTGGGGCCTGGCACTGAGGGGCCACAGGATCATCTGATGCGTGGAGAATGAATGATGCCAGCATGACCCCGGGCTCCCTGTGGACACCTGGAAGCTACTCGCAGGAGGCGATACGAGGTTGGGTTTAGGAGCCTGTGCCCCAACAGGCATCGTTTTCTTCCCATCCCCTTCTCTTCCCTCCCCCTTGGATCCACCCCACACTGAGAGGTGGGAACCACAGAGGGAGCTGGACCAGTCAGCAGAGGCCATCCTCCCTGGGCCTCCCAGCTCTGTGCTGAAACAAGGATGGGTCAGTGGGGCCAGGGGAAGCGCCAAGGTGCTCAGACCCAACCCTCAGCTCCTATAGAATCCTGAGTTTGAGGCTCTGCGCCAGGCCCCTGTGGGGGTGAGCTGGGAGGCACCGTGGGAGACAGAAGCATAGTGGCGGGAAGGGGGGGTCCTGACAGAGGCCGTGGGGTGGACAAACTCAAGCCTCTTAAACCCCAGGAGCACCCTCACTGGCCCCTGCAAACTTGCAAACACCCTGTGAACTGGCTGTAGGGCTGCGGGCCGGGCAGCCCAGGCAGGACACAGGAAGCGGGCGGGTCGTGTTTTTGTGAATGAAACTGCAGCCCAGCTTCCTCCTGGTCTCCACGCCCTGCTGGCCTCGCTTGACCACTCCGTAACCTCAGGCAAAGCACTGGCAGAAAGGGGGAACTTCAAAACGAAAGTGTGAGTCAGACAGGAGAAGGAAACGGAGAGAGAAATTCTTGTTTCACGGAGGCCTCACATGAGACCTGACCTGGGCTGGAACTGCAGCCTGGCCCCCAGCAGCTCCAGTCCCAGGGATGTCCACCTGCAGCCTCGGCCTGCTCGCCATGCCTGGCCCCCAGCCCCTCCAACACCATCTGGATGGGGAGGGGCCACCCACACCCCATCTGGGGCCCTCGACAAGGACGGCTGCAGAGGGTTCCCCGACAGTCATTTCCCATTGATCCCAGGAATGTTGAGTGAGCACCTACTGTGTGCCCGGCCTTGTGCTGTGAACGAGATAAGTAGGGCCCTGCCTTCATGGAGCTGACAGTCCACACTGGGGGCCGTTAACATGGGGAGCAAGTTGAATAGAGTTTGGGGTTGTTCCTTGTGTTACTATGGAGATAAATAGGTTGCTATGACGGACTGGCAGTATGTACGTGGGAGGAGGTGGCATGCAGCTGGGCTCGGAAGGAGGAGATGGGACCACCACAAAGAGCGGAGTGACGTGCATGCCAGGTGGCAGGGAGGCAGCCGGGGGAAGCAGCTCAGGATGTTCTAGGAACTCCAGAGGTTGTTGCGACGGAAGTACAAGGAATGAGGGGGCCAAGGATGAGAAGGAAGTGGTGCACGTGGGGCATTGGGGGTGGCTTGCAAAGCCCCCATTACCTTCTGAGCCCAGAGCTTGGGCAGGGCTTGTGCCCAGACAGAAAGGAAGCTTGCTGAACACCGGGGTTTCCCGCCTTGCAGATGGTCTGCTTTGGGGAAGTCACAGGTCCGTCTCCCTTGGAACAGGCAGGAAAGCCCCTCCATCCTTGGTGTCTGGGGTAGGGGAGTGAGGCAGGGCTGCTCACTCAGCCGCCTGCCTGGGACCCCTAAGCTTCCTCTTGACCCCTGACTCCTCTCCCAGGCAGGTTCTTCACCTCTCCTCCCTTGCTTGGAATGAATGGATTCTGCTGTCCCTTTAAAGGGACCTGAGTCAGAGAGTTAAGAATGAAACTGACTCATGGTAGAAGGGGTGGTCACCAGCTGGCCAGGCGCCAGGGCTGCGGCGGGAGAGGAAGCCGGGCGGCCGCAGCTGCCTGTGTGTGCTCGGCTGCAAAGGGCAGAAACCACAAAACCCCATTTGAAATTCCGCCGTGCAGCGTGTCTTGTGTAATGAGGTTACCCCTCATAATGGGGGCATTCAGGGCCCACACGGGCCTGGGGGCTGGGGGCCTGCCCCCCGGGGCCAGCTGATGCTGATGTCATCTTCAGTTAGGAGTATCCCCTCCCTTGATTAAGAACTTTAAAAAAAAAAAATGCACCAGGAAACTAGAGTGAGAGCCAGAACGGAAGTCTTGGTTTTATTTATAGTTGATAACTTACATCCGGCCTGCTCCTCAGGAAGCACAGCAGGGAGGAGACAGAGCCCAAAGGAGACGGCGACAAAAATGCCCAAACCCCTGAGCTAATGTGGTGACTGAGAGCAAGCCTAAAGCTCCCTTCTGAGCTCCCCAGCAGCCAAAGCAAAGAGAGAAACAGGGTCCTGCAGCATGATGTCACAGAAAACCAGGGACCCTGGAGCCTGGGTTCCAATAAGAACCTTACATTCTGACGCCTTAGATTTCTCCCTGGAAAATGGGGAGAAAAATACTGAATTGGTTGGGAGGGCCATGCAACACACCCAGCACAGTGTCTGGATGCATTTCAGAGGCCCCACCAGTCTAGGGTCTACAGAAAGACAGTACAGGCGCCTCACTCTCCATGCCTGTACGCATGGCAGACATCACTCATGGATTGCAACACGCTTCCCTGGAGCCAGATGCAGCCTCGTAGCCCCATTGCACAATGTCTCCAGGGGCTACCACCAATGCCCCAGTCGGCTGGAGCTGAACTTGCGTGTCCTCCCAGCCTCTAACCAGCTGAGAAAATGACCAGAAGGAGCTGGGTTATCATGATTTTCCCAGCACCTGGCTCATGCCTGCACCTGGGAGACACTCAATAAAAAATTGTCTAGTTAGGGAAGAGGCAGGGAAGAATGGGAGAAAGGAGAAGGAAGAGGAGAGGGTAGGAGAGTTGGGAGAGGAAACTTGGAACTTAGGCAACTTGTTGAGCTTCTCTAGGCCTCAGTTTCCTCATCTGTTAAGTGGGGGGTTTTAGTAGCTACCTCATGGAGTCATTCTGAGGATTAAATGAGGCTGGGCATATAAACCACTTGGCACACAGGACGTCCTCAACAAGTGAGGATGATGATGAGGAGGAGGAGGAGGAGGTGGTGGAGGAGGAGAGGAGAAGCACCTGACACTGGGGGTGGGTGCATAGTGGGCCCCACCTGGCCAGTCCTCCTAACTCCCATGCGCCACCCCCCCAGGGCCTCAACAGTCACAACAGTCAGCCAGGACCCAGCCACCCGCAGAGGCAGGCCCCAGGTGGAGCAGTGAGGGGTGGGGTGCCGGTGGAGGGTCAGGCATGCTCTTCTTCCCCTTTCATAGTCAGGGCAGCTCGATTCTGCCAGGGTCATGCAGAGTGCCCCGGCACCGGCCAGAAGTCCTCGCCCAGGTGAGCGCAGAGCCACATCCATTCGCGCCCACATAATTTCCATGGAGAGCCCATGCCGCCCATGCACCTCCTCAGGGCACGAGCTAATGGCCTGCTCAACGCCCACTCTAAAGGCTTCTCCCAGGTGAGCAACGCCCACCACCCTTGCAGACTGACTCCCAGAATTCCTGTTCCCAGTGCCACACAGAGTGCCTTGTGGTGCATCTGTGACCCTCCTGGCCCGGGACACGTCCACGTCTTCTGCCTCCTGGCTGAGCCCCGCACCTGTCTGGGCACCCTTGTCTCCCTTGTTTCTCTCCCGGTCACCAGCTCCAGCAGCAAACCACAGAGACACAAATGCTCCTCTCACCGCAACACGCAGGGCCTGGGAGAGACAGAGGCGGCCCCGGGATCTGCCGGCTTTGGAGCCCTCCACGAAGTGTCCAGCCTGCCGGGTGAACATGAGCAACGAGTCCCTGTCCCCAAGGGGGACAGACTACAGACAAGAAAACCGATGAATAAATCAGACATCAGCAGGTGGCATTCACCCACCCAAGAGAAGAGGTTACTGGGGTCAGGGAAGTGTCGGCACCTGGTGGAGGTGGAAGGTCAGGAAGGACACACCACGGAGACAATGACACCAGGAGGGAGACTGTTCCAGGCAGAGGCAACAGCGAGTGCAGAGACCTATCGGGAGAGCTGGGGTGTATGTGACGCAGATTCTGAGGGCCATGAGCCGAGGGAAGGAGCCAGACGCTGTCCTAAGTGCCAGGGGAAGTTGTTAGAGGTGTTAAGCGTGGCATGACGTGGCTGGATTTAGGGTCTGAGATGAACTTTCCTGCTCCTGAATGGACTCTGAGGAGAAGGAAGATACTACCATCCGTAATCCACCCCGGGAAGGCACTGACCTCCTTGACCATGGGGAGGATGAGAGGCCGCCGCTCTGTGCCTGGGTCCCCATGGCCTCTAGGGTCCCTTCACGTTTTCACCTCATGATCCTGGAAGCTGGGACCTGCCCAAATCCACCGGGTGGCCCCAGCCTCCCCATCTCTGGGGCAGGGGGTGGGCAGCCTTCTCCTCCTGGTTTATAGCCACAGATGACTCCAGGCACAGTGGTCCTCAACCGCCTCTAGGGACCATGGGGACGGCTGCCCTCTGTGTGTGACGGTGGCTGGGCAGAAGCCAGCTGGGCTGTCGTGGGTAGGGCCTGGAGGCCTCTGGCTGTATGGTGGTCTAGCTTTGGCACCACCTTGGGGGGCTCCGGGTAGGAGGTGTCCACCAGAGGGGACCTGGGCAGCTCAGCAGAGGCTTGGTCACTCCCGAGCCGTCTGTGGGTCCCACTGGTCTGTACCCTCAACCCCACTGACCTGCACTGGTCATGCCCAGCTCTCACAGGATGATGGCCCCAGCCTTGTAATGAGTCACCTGCTGCCCTCCTGCCCCTCCAGCTGGTCCCCCACCCAGCAGCCACAGGGCTTTCCTTAAAACATAAGAAAGACCCTGCTTCTTACCTGCTCAGATCCCACCAAGAACCGGCCACCTCACTCCAGATAAACTCCAGACTCTTCACTGAGCCCAAAGGCAACGAGCAGAAGTGTCCAGAAATCACACAGAGCTCAGCAGGTGGTGAGGCACCTGGACCCGAGTCACCCAGCAGCTGAACAGGCCATCCCTGAGGCCATGCACGCCCCGGCCCTGCAGGTGTGACGGCCGAGGCTTCCACGACGGGGGGTGAGTGGGAGCTAATATGGCTGGTGAAAGCACTGGGTTCAGTGGGGATGGCATCTCCCGCCCTCTGTCCAAGGTGGGGAAAAAGTCAGCTTCAGGTGAGGGAGACCCTGGACGCCTGGCTTTGGGCTGATTCCCCACTCACTTGGCCTCTCCCAAGCATACTTTCCTGCTTTGTAGGGATGTGGGTTCGCGGGACAGTAACAGGAGAATCAAGGCAAGAACTCAGAGGGGGATAGCCAAGGTAGGCGGAGCTGCCTGGTGGGTGGGACTAACCCAGGTGGGTGGGGCTGCTTGTGAGTGGGGCTAGCCCAGGTGGGTGGGGCTGCCTGGTGGGCAGGGCTTTCTTCCCCGTCAACATTTCCCTCTCTCGGTTAAGGCCAGGGCAGAGCCCACACATGGGTGTGCCCAACCTTAAGGCCTGCCCTGGGTGAGTTAAGACTCCCCAGCTCACCTAGGTCCTACCTGAGGGGAACCTACACGGCCAACCTCCTCAAGGATCCTGAAGCCACCCAGAAGACAGTGGGGCTAGGGTGCCATTCATTCATTCATTTATTCATTCACCTATTCATTTATTTACTCGCTTCACCACCCTTTCCTGGGTAATATTAAGAATAACAGTGGGCCTAGGAATATAGAACATTCTTAGGGGTTTCTTGCAGGCCAGGCACCCTAAGAAAAAGTTATGTAACCCACGTGGCCTCGCTGTGAGGGGGACGACTGCTGTCCTCACTTAATAGATGAGGAGCTGAGCCATGGAGGCCTCACAGCTGGGCAGCTGGGGGTGGACCCCATAGACTGGAGGGGGATGGGCAGGGGCAAGGAGTTCTGCTGGCCCCAGGCCTCTTGTACACATCTTGGGAAGTACTAAAAATGAGTACTTGCTCAAGTCCCTCTCTTCATTGAGCACAGGGAGCTCTTGGCCCTTCCCTCCTCCTCCCTTTACCCTCACCGCCCAATTCCACACGGGTGTACTGAGCACTTGCTAAGGGCCAAGACCAGCACTAGGTGGAGCACACAGTAGGAACCCAAGGCAGCCCTCCCTGCCCAGCTCTCCAGGACACTGTCGTCAATGCCAGCGGGAAGCATAGAGAGGCCAGGGAAAGACGGGCAGTCAGGAGGAAGGAGCCAGCGGAGGGGAGAGAGGGCCGGCAGCTCAGTGCACCTGGACCGTGGTGGATGCTGGACTATGACCAGAGACAGGGCTGCAGCCCAGAGCTAGCCCCAGACCCACAGGGCCTCAGGGGGCTTCACAGGCTTTGTCAGGGGTTTGGACTTTCTCCCGAGGGCTGGGGACCCTGCAAGTTGCAGAAACTGGGCTATATTTGGCATTTTAGAAGCCTCCCCCAGCTGTAGTGGAGGGGAATTGGAGGGAGTGGGAGAGGAGGTTCCCATTCTCACTCAGGTGGGAGATGGTGGTGGGATGGAGGGTGACCCTGATTGATAGGACTCAGGGACAAATTAAAGGTGAGGGCCAGGGAGAGGGTTATCCAGACAGCTCCCAGGAAGATGGCAGTGGGATGGAGGGTGACCCTGATGGGACTCAGGGACAAATTAAAGGTGAGGGCCAGGGAGAGGGTTATCCAGACAGCTCCCAGGAAGATGGTGACACCAGTGAGGTGGGGAGATAGGATGGCATTTGGTTCCCACTGAGCTGGAGATGCCTGTACAAAGCTTCTAAGATACCCAAGGCAGAATCTGCAGCTCCTGCAAAGACAAGAGCTCTGCTCTGCCTCCAGGGAATCAGGGGAGGTCTCCCCAGTGCCCTACTGGGACCTCCAGAGACCCTATGCGAGCCTCCCCCAACCCAACCACCAGCCCATCAGCGCCACCTACCGGCTGCTCAGGGCAGGCACTCAGCAACTTGCTGAGGGCAGATCCTGATGTGTCCCCGTTTTACAGATGAGGAAACTGAGGCCAGGAGACAAGATGACGCCTGTTTGAGGTTACGTAGAGGTGGAGGTGGCATAAGACCTCAGTTCTTCCTGGCAGATCCTCTCCAAAGAGCCCCGTCTGAGAGCAGATGGAAGGAGGTGGTGTCAGGAGATACCTTATCTTACTTTTGTCTGCTGTCAGCATTCCAACAACCCTAGATTATTTTGGCACCCCGCAGTGTCACTCAGTCTCACCATAGCCTCACTCTAATTATCAAAGCTCATCTTTTGGGCTGATATCTGCTTCTGGGACTCCCAGTAGCCCACCTGGGTCCTGCTGGGGAGGACTGTAGAAATCTGACTGCCCCAGGTTGATTTTCTCCCTCTGTCTTCAACATTCAGATTGCCAGCCCACCTGTTAAATCATGATGAGTTGGTGATGGTGATGGTGATGGTGATGATAGTGATGATGGTGATAATGATGGCGTTGATGATGGTGATGATAATGGTGATGATGGTGGTGATGGTGATGGTGATGATGGTAAGGATGATAATGGTGATGATGATGGTGGTGATGATGGTGATGACGGTGATGGTGATGATGGTGGTGATAATGATGGTGATGACGGTGATGGTGATGAAAGTGGTGATGATGGTGGTGATGATGGTGAGGATGATAATGGTGATGATGGTGGTGGTGGTGATAGTGATGATGATGATGGTGAACATGGTGAGGATGATAATGGTGATGATGGTGGTGGTGATGATGGTGATGATGGTGGTTATGATGATGGTGATCATGATGGTGAAGATGATAATGATGATGATGGTGGTGGTAATGATGGTGATGATGGTGGTCTGATGATAATGTTGGTGATGATGGTGATGATGGTGGTGATGATGATGGTGATGGTGATGATGGTGGTGATAATGATGGTGATGGTGATGGTGATGATGGTGATGATGGTAATGATGATGATGGTGATGATGGTAATGGTGATGACGGTAATGATGATGATGCTGGTGATGATGATGATGATGGTGGTGATGATGATAATGGTGAGGATAACTTGTACTGAACATGCACCACATGTCAGTAGTTTTCCCACACTATTTCATTTAATCCTCATGACAACTTTATGGCTAGGACTACTGTTATCCCCATTTTACAGAGGAGGAAACTAAAGTGTACAGTGGCTCAGTCACATAGCAAGTTAGCAGTGGAACCTAGGGGCACCCAGGCAGTTGCACCAAGACCTGCTCCTAACATTACCCTATACTGCTTTTGGCTCAGCCTACAGAGCTGTCTTTGTGACCCCTTCTCTGACACTCCTCCTCTGAGCCAAAGGGCAGCTCCTCCCATCATCCATATCAGTCTGACTGCTCTTTCGCAGTAAGACACAATGAGGAAGCCAAAGACTCTAAAGGGAGGGGCACAGGGATGCCAGTTTCCCTCAGAGCACTGCCAAGGAGGGACCACAGCTCCAATGGCGTGGGCATATGATGTTCCACCTGCCACAACTCCATGCCCAACTCTCCTGCTCTGAGGGATCAGGCTTGGCCCTGACCCTTCTGCCTGTGAGCAACTGGTGAGCAGCCAGCCCAGGTTGCAGCCACCAGCATGTGGGCACTGGTCAGCACAAGGCATGTCTCCTGTCCAGTACTCAGGGCCTCGCTGGCCACAGTTGGACTCTGAAAGATTCCTGATGTGGACTCAGATGTGTTTGAGCCTAAAAACATGCTTTTCATTGGTCCCACCCTACTTCAAACAAAACAGAAGCCTGGGTTGTTCTAAAAAACCATGCACAGCTGCATCATCTATTGCCCAGGCCCCAAGGGTCAGGTTCTACCAAAATTTCTACCTGCATGATCCCATTTAACCTTCCAGCTGCCCTGCCAGTGGCCCTCACTCCATTTTACAGATGAGTAAACTGAGGCCCAGAACAGTCATGCTGCCTCTTCAAGGCCATAAGCCGTTGGAGATCAGAGCCAGGATTCTGAACCAAGGCTATGTGAAGCCAGTGGCCCTCTCCATGCCCCACCCCAGCCCAATATGGTGCGATCTTCTTGGGAAAAGTAAGAACTGATGCTGAATTAATTTTTAAAATTGTGGGAGGCAGAATTCTATGATGGTCCCCAGACCCACACCTCTGGTATACATGCCCTACATAGTCCCTGCCCCTGTGAATATGATGAACACTCTATGATAGGATTGTGTTTGATGGCACTGTTGACTTGTTCATTTTGAGAAAGGGACACTAACCTAATGGGCCTGACCTCATCACATGAGCCTTTTACAAGTAGGGTGTTTTCTCCATCTGGTCCTCAAAGTGGAAGTCGGGAATTGGACGATGAGAACCACTGCTGATTTGGAAAATGAAGGGGACCACATGGCAAGGAATGTGGGCAGCCAAGGGAGCTGAGAGTGGCCCCAGCCAACAGTCAGCAGGAAACAGGGACGTCAATCCTACAGCTGCACCTGCAAGCAACTGCATTCGGCCAACAACCCGGATAAGCGTGGATGCAGACTCCTCCCCAGATCCCCCAGAAGGAGCCCAGTCTGCCTGACACCCTGATTTTCACCACGTGAGACCACGAGCAGAAGACCCACAAAGCAGTGCCTGGATGTCTGACCTGCAGCACTTTGAACTTGCAACTGGGGTTGTGGTAAGCTATTGAGTTGGTGGCGATTTGTTATGCCGATAGATAACTAATACGGGTATGCCTGCAGGTGGTCTCCGGGGGATCTTTGAAGGTCATGGCCAGTGGGGCCTTTCCTCAGGAGGTTCCTGAGGCTTGGGTTCCTCCTGGGATGGGGGCAGGGGAGCCGGTTGCCTCTCCACCCAGACCTGCTTGGGTGCTGCAGAATTAGCAGGTGCCACAGTGAGAGCATGAGCTGTGGAGAGCAAGAGGGAGGCCTTGGTTCAAATCACTGCCTTGCACCACCTCTCTGGGCCTCCCGTTCCCCAACAGTAAAGCAAGATGGATGCCAGCAAGTTGTGAGTGAGAGAGTGAACTAAGTGATTCATTAAAAAGTGCGTAGCTCAGTGCCTGGCACAGAGTACGTGTTTAAGAAGCCCTGGGTGGTGATCAGATGCTGATCTCGACATTGTGTTATGATTATCACACACATGACAGAGGGTGTCCAGGCCAAGCCCTATAGCACTGAAATAGGTACCTGCCTCTCTGCCTTGCTGGCTGGCACCCCAAGTAGGAATTTCTCCCGCAAGGAGCAACACAGAAGGCTGGCTGGAGGCCCCTGCTGCTCCTGGGGCAGAGAGGGACCCTGTCCATTCACACTGGTAGAGCCACCTACCAAGGTCCTCCAGAGCCTTGCAGAGGGGTTGAAGAAGGCATTCCTTCAACAATTGTAAAAGGTGCATTTTAGAAACCAAGAGGGTCTTGCTTCTGTGAGTCGGGACTGAGGGTGAACTGGACACCTGGCCCTGTGCCAGCACTGTCAGAAACAAAAAGGAACCAAATCCCTGTTTCCATGCATTCTGGGAGAGAGACTCAGAGACAATGGCTGGCAGGGGATGGGCACAAAGGTGAAACTCAGTCGTTCTGTGATGGGCCCCAGGAATGGAGCAAAGGAGAGAGATTCTTTGCATACAGGTGGTTTACAACACAGTAAACATCTCAATGCAAAGCATGGGGCTTTCTCAGTGCAAAGCATGGGGCTGTCCGAGACGATGCCGGAGCTCGGAGGAGCTGGGCCAGGGAGGGCGGGGGGCTTTGCTGTCAGTGCTGCAGAGCTAGCAGAAGCTTTCCAGGCTGCGCAGGCAAGAGGAAGCAGCCCAGGCAGAGGCAACAGGTGGATGCAGAGGCCGGAGCAGACACGGCAAGTCAGGGAGCTTCGGCTGCTCAGCATGAGTCATGCCCACCTCCCTGGGTCAGAAGCCCCTGGACCTTGCTTCCGGACAAGATTCGTGTCCCAACTTTGGTCCCTTCCAAGACTTACTCAGACGATGGCTTAACTGAAGTGCACTATAGACAGTGAGCCGGCAGCTACATGGGGCCCAAGGGAGAGGCTGGAGGCTGGGAGCGGCACCATAAAGCTAGAGGGTGTGGTTCACAGGTCTGGGTTTAGCTTTCACAGGTGTCTGAGGCCATCGGGTGACCCGGGCAATGGGTGGGGATAGTGTGGGTTCTTATCTCAGGACATGTCACAAGCTACTCCAGGCCCTTGAGATAAGAAAGTTCAATGGCTTTGTCCAGTTGCTTTCATAATTTTTCCTCAAACACCACTTCAGTTTCAATTTTAGAGCAGCACCTGCTCAGGCCCGGCACACAGGCTATGTATTGGTTGTGCCATGCTGTTCTCGTGGCAGACATAACTAATTGATTGCAGAATCCTCACTTTAATGCTCAGGCAACTGATGGATTCAGGGTGTTTGGGGTCTGAATCACTCTTCTGAATTAGATGAACACCTCACCTTATCATGAAGCCTACGTGAAGCCCACCGGAGTCCAACCCTCCTTTCTGCTCTCTGGCTACTTTTGGCCAAGAGAGTTGGAAAATTGTGGTAACTAGCACAAAGGGAGGATGAGACAGCTGTCATCCTCTCTCTGTCTTTGTCTATCACACACACATAGAAATGGAGGCAGAGCAAGGTTAGGTGCATGATTTATCATCTGAAGCACAGTGACGTACATGGTGCACATGGTGGTAGTTACTACAGTTTTCCAGCTATCTCAGCCAAGAGGGCAGAGAGGAGGGTCAGACCCTGGTGGGCTGACCAGGTGGGTGCCAGTACCTGGCACACAAAAGTCGCTCCACCGATGTCGGAGGAACATCTATGTGACCCAGCCACCTCTTGACCAATCCTCCCCGGTACCATCTCTCAGCCAGTTCACATCGCAGCAACGTTTTTGGCCCCTCTGGTTTTCATCTCTTTTCCCAGGAAGTCGGGGGAGGGTGGTGGCGTGGGGCATTGTTCATTAAACGGTTGAAGAGCTAGGGCCTGGAGAAGTTTTCCTGGGGTCTTTAAATGACTGCTGAGATGGATTTCTAGATAAATGCAGAGTGAGCATTTGGAGGTGGGGGACTAGGCTCTCCCAGGGCTTTCAGCTCCCTCCCCCCACCCTCGCCTCCACTCCTTCCTCTGGGAATTAATTGGTATCAAGAGAGAACTTTCGGAAATGGCCATGTTTAAAAGGCCCCTGCTTAATGTTCCCTTTAATTAGAATGGGTTTCACTTGACACCGTTTTTGCTGACCCACAGGGGAGGGCGGCCCTGCCCGGTGACTGCGCGGCGACCCAGGCATTCCCGCGTCTCGGTTATGCCCTGTTTGTGAGCTCACTCAGCAGAGTTCAAAAGAATGGCTTTTTCTGCAGCAGAACAACTGCCAGGGTCCAGAGAGTCACTCCCCTCAGTTCAGGCACCTCTGTGGGAACCTGGGCCCGGGACATTCCTCTGGAAGGAAGAATGTGCACGCGGGCATCGGGGAGGGGGCCTGCTGAGGGCAGTCTCTCAGCAGGCTCAGCAGGCGGGGCATGAGCCCCAGGAGGGCCAGTCTCGAGAAGGGCCCCGGAGCTGGAGGCGCAAGCAGGGTGGGCACGGGGCTCGCCCCCAGGGCTCCACCAGCCAGGCCAGGAGGTTGTCCCCTGAGAGGGTGATGCTAGCAAAGTGGGCCATGGTGGCAAAGGCCAAGAGCTGGGGAAGCCCAGGGGGGCACCTGATGCCACCCAGGCAGGGCCAGCAAACTCCCCAGGGAAAGGTCTCTCTAGAGCAGGACGTTGAGTGAGCCTGGATGAGCTCGGCTGTGCTCAGGCAACAGACAGGCCCGCAGATCTCAGAACCTTCACGCTGCAAAGGCCCATCCCCACTCTCGTCACGCTGTCACAGAGGCCATCCTTGATGGGTGTCCCCTCAGCATTGGCTCGAGGATCTGGGCCGCCTCCAGCCGTGGGAAGGAATGCAGAGCACTCACATTTGGTTCCAGCCGCCGCAGGCTGGGCGCGATGTACAGGCATCGAGTTCCATGGTCTCGAGGAGACTGGGAAGTGGGGCCTTGAATCCTCTGAACCCCGGAAGAGGCGACGGTGTGGGAAGCACAGAGCTCTGTCACTGGCCCATTTCTGAAGGGCTGGAGAAGCAGAGGGAGCTGCGTGTGCAGAGGCCTGGAAGCGGGAGAGGTTTGGGGAAGCACAGGTGTTCAGGATCCCTGGACTATGAGGGGCGAGGGATGGAGGGATGCAAAGAGGTGAGGTTGGAGAATGGGGTGGGGGGAGCCAAGAAGTTTCTGGAAGGCTATGGCGAGCAGCAATGACTTCATCAGGAGGGCTGTGGGAGCCACTGAGTGTTTTCGGCTGAGAGTGACATGGTCAGATTTGACAGGAATGGGCCTATAGGAACAGCCCTGCAGACCCCCAGCAAGACCCCCTGTGAGCTGGGGAGGCCCCATCCACTGTCCCCTGAAGCTCTGGCTCAGGCTGAGGGGCAGCTGCAGGGTCGTCTCGCTCCCAGAATAAACGTTGTTGCCCCAGGCGTCTGACGGAGCGGTCAGTCAGGAGCACGGAGGACTCCTGCTAGGCCAGACTGAGGCAGGGCCTCAGGGCAGGGACAGGTGGGGGTGAATGTGTGTCCATGATTGCAGAGGCCCACAAAGAGCTCCTCCAGGCTCACTGCAGAGCCTCGTGGGGAAACCAGAAGAGAAAAGATGGCAGCCCTGGCCCCAACCCTGACACAGGCCTTCCGTCATCCCGGTCCAGCGGTGAACACCGCGGCCACTTCCTCAGGTCCAGGGTGGACACGGGCATCTGTGGAGACTGCTGAGGCAGTGACTGGACTCCAGCTGGAGAAACTTTGTTCCCTGCAGCCCAGGGTCATCATTCTTAGCCATTCACTCATTCACTCATTCACCCAACAAGCGTCCATTCAGCACCACCATGGGAGCCACCGCTGACCCCAAAGGACACAGTCCCTGCCCTCGTGGAGCTTATTCTAGTGGGAGAGGCAGACTCTGAACAGGTGGGGAAGCAAATCAACAATGACAAAGTGTGTCAGTGAGGGGAACGGCCAGCGAGGGGCAGGAACAGAGCCCCTCATCTGCCCGGGAAAAGCAGTGCAGAGGCTCTCTGGGGAAACCCTGAGATTGAGAAGGAGCCCACAGTGTGGGATGGAGGCAAAGCCACTCCCAGCAGGACGAACAGCACATACAAAGGCCCTGGGGCCAGCAGGACCTGAGTCATTGGAGGCACTAGGAGGGATGCAGCGAGGCTGGTGCATGACAGCCAGGGCAGGTGTGTCCAGAGAGGCCCCGTGGCGGCTCGATTTCAAGACTTCAAAAGGCATCGTGTACAGAATGGGCGACAACAGGTGAGGATGGAGGCAGGGAAACACCCAGGCCTCCAGGGCAATCTCACTAGGCTCAGCATGAGCCGTGCCCACCTCCTTGAGGAAGAAGCCCCTGAGCCTTGCGCCAGACAGGATTCGTGTCCCAGCACTCGTCCCTCCCAAGACTCACTCAGGTGGTGGCCTAACTAAAATGCCATCATCTGAGTAAGTCAGGTGGAAGGATTTGAGAGACCCCTCAGAGGGAAGATCCACCCCTGGTCTTGGGTGATGAACTGGGTCCATGTGTGTGGGTGCAGGAGAGGAGGGTGGGGAGGTCCTGGACTGAGCACCTGGGTAGACAATGGCCATTTGCTGAGGGGGGAAGCAAAGACAGGAATGAGGGGCAGTGAAGCTGAAACCAAGAGCCCAAGGGGGGAATGCCAGGTGCGTGGTGCCCACGAGCCACCCACGTGAGGATGCAGGTAGAGGTCAGCTGTCCGGAGCTCAGGGGACTGGGCTTACTGGAGATTTGGAAGGAACCCTTTCAAGAAGCTCCCCACCATGGAAAGACAAATTCTCCATCTCTATATGTATTAGAGGAATAAAGCCACAAAAGCTCAAGGGGTACTTAGCTCCATGGAAAGGGTGGAAACCATCATTATCCCAATTTTCCAGATGGGGAAACTGAGGCACAGAGAAGCTCAGCAAGGTCCCCAAGGCCACCTAAGTAGCCAGTGGCAGACGTGAGATTTTAATCCAGGCCCTCTGCCCCTGCAGCCCATGTTGTCACATCAGATGACTTGTCTGGGGTCACGCAGTCTTGGCTGAGCACAAAGCTGGCTCTCCTGACTCCAACTGCAGTGCTCTTTCCTCGCCCTTGCCTCAGCAGATAGTTGGAATTCCAGAGCCTGTAGCCACCAGAGAAGTTATCAGCGCATAGCTGAAATTACACCTTGCGAATTTGGATCTAAATCTTCCCCGGCTGTGGTTTTCACCCAGCATTCCTGGGCATAAGACGTCTCAGCTTGGCCCCAGGGGCTTATCGATGGAATTACCAGGTACCAGGAATGTGGGACCCAGGATCCTTATCCCAGAGGATGAGTGGTAAAGTATCCTGTGCCGCCATGTTGAAACTAAGGCAACCACCACCACCCCAGTCTCCTGCGGAGTGGCAGACCAGGGTCAGGCTTGGGTCACACAAACAGGTGTCATTGCTTTGGGACAAGCCAGGGAGCCAGGGGACGAGCCAGGGAGCTTCTGCATCCCCCATGCATCCCACTGTTTCTGAGCACGGTCACCAGGCTTGAAGCCTATGGCAGCCCCATGAATGGGTCTCCATCCCGATGTTATAGACTAGGAAGCGGAGACTGGAGGAGAACAAGCCACCTGCCTGGGCCCCCCACCCAAGGAATGGCAGAACCAGAACACAAACCCCAGGGGCTGGACTTGCATCATTTCTTCCACAACTACATCTTGCATCAGGCTTACTCAGAGCCGGGTTCCAAGACAGGGGCTGGAAACAGACAAACACGAGTTCATACCTGCCCTCAAACATCTCACAGTGGGAGGGAAGGGAACACTGGGGGACACACCATTCACTACGGACGTGGTTGTGCCTTCGAAAGGAAGGAGAGTCCAACACACGCTATGACGTTGAGCTGAGAGGAATAAGCCAGTCCCGGCAGGACAGGTACTGCAGGATCCCGCTAACAGGAGGTCCCTGGAGTGGTCAGATTCATGGAGACAGAAGGCAGAATGGGAGGTGCCAGGGGCTAAGGAAGGAGGAAGAAGGAGTTAACGTTTAACGGGTAGAGTTCTAGTTTGGAAGATGAGAAAGTTCTAGAGATGAATGGTAATGATGATTGTACAAGCATCCTGATGGGTGAATGTACTTTAATGCCACAGAACCATACACTAATAAATGATTAAAATGGTGAATATTATATTATGCGTATTTTACCATGATTAATTTCTTTTTTTTTTGAGATGGAGCCTCACTCTGTCACCCAGGTTGGAGTGCAGTGGCAGGATCTCAGCTTACTGCAGCCTCTGCCTCCCAGGTTCAAGTGATTCTCCTGCCTCAGCCTCCCAAGTAGCTGGGATTACAGTGCATGTCACCACGCCCAGGCAATTTGCGTATTTTTAGTAGAGACAGGATTTCACCATGTTGGCCAGGCTGGTCTCGAACTCCTGACCTCAAGTGATCAGCCCACCTTGGCCTCCCAAAGAGCTGGGATTACAGGTGTGAGCCACCACACCCAGCAAAATTGTTAATTGAAAAAAAAAAAAGAAACTGTTCACTTCATTCACTGGTTCTACAGCAGTGACCTAAAGCCCACTGTGCTCCCTTAAGCACTGTGCTGAGCCCTGGGCTGGGTGAGTGCATGAGGTTGTGTGTGTGATTGTGTGAGTGTGTGTGTGGGCATGCATGTGCGAGAGAGTGTGCACATCAGGGCATGAGAGGCATGTAAAAAAGTGTCCTGCTGGTGGGGTGTGGACGCCCAGGCAGGAAAGCCCGGGCCCACACAGGCAAACGTGGCTGCAACAGAAATAATTGCAGCATAATCATGTGGCCTTCAGGAAGCCAGGCTCAGTGCAGGGCACCTGATGCACACACCATTTAGTTCTCAGCACAGCTCTCTCAGGGAGCTATTATTAATACTATCCTGTCCAACAGAGAAGGAAACTGAGGCTCCCAGGGGGTCACCTGATCCAGGCTACTCAACTACTAAGACAAAGAGCAGGATTCCCACCTCATACATTGGTGATCTGTTGCTCATCCCAAATGACCCCAAACTCAGCAGCTGAAAGCCATACACATTAATTACCTCTTGCAGTTCCTGTGGGCCAGGGATCTGGGAGTGGCTTAGCCGGGTGATTCCGGCTCAGGGTCTCTCAGGAGGTCACAGTCTCAACTCTCAGTTGGCCAGGGCTGCAGTTTTATCTGATGGCTCAACTGGGGCTAAGGGATCCACTTCCAAGATGGCACACTCATACAGCTGTGGGTGGGAGACCTCAGTTCCTAGCTACGTGGACTTTTCTAGTGGGCTGCTTGAGGGTCCTCACAACATGATGGACATCATAATTGAAAAAAGAAAGACAGAAGCCACAGGCCTTTTATGATATGGCCTAGAGAGTCAAACTCCATCCTTTCCACAATATCCTGTCGGTTACAAGCTCAGTCTTATTCAGGATGGGAGGAAGCTACACAAGGATGTGAATAGCAAGAGGTGAGGATCAGTAGATGCCATTTTGAGTCAGCTACCACACCTAGTGTCATCCAAATCTCCTGCCAGGAGTCTGTCTTCTGCTACAAGACCAGAGGTCACTCACACAGAGTTGTTGGCATCAAAAGCCTCCAGAGACTGGGATTTGGTTGCTCTGGAAGAGAGGGGCAGGCCAGGCGGGAGTTCTGTACTGAAAGGAGACAGAAGTGGTACCCGGTCTGAGCCTGGGTCTCAACTGAGAAGCTCACATTAAGCCATAATCACATTTTGGAAACATTATGGGTGTGCGGGCATGGGAGGCATCCTTCTCAGACACATGCCAGCTCAGAAACACACCAGGGACCTGGGGGTGGGTGACCAGGTGAATGGCAGCACTTCTGATTGTGGCAGCAAGAGCTGGATGTTGGTGTCAGATAGACTTGAAATGTGTCCACTGGGTGTGACATTGAGTAAGTTTCCCACATCCACTCTGACCCTCAGTCTCCTCCTCTGAAATGGGATATTGTTTCTCCCACACAAGAGAGGGAATAAAGCCACACGTATCAAGGAGCCTGGAACACACCAGAGCCTTGGGTTCAGGCTCTGAACCCAAGCAAGAAGCAGAAACAGCCATGGCTCAGACCAGGCTATGCTCTGCCACATCGTGACTATGGCAAGCAGTTGGCATGGTCAGACACACTGCACCAGTGAAACATGACTGTCCTTGTCCCAGTTCAGCCAGAAGGACTCTTTCACTCCCACAGACACAGATTAGTCAGACTGACTAGTCGCTCCCTCCTGGGTGTGCCTGGGTGAAAGGGCCAACACCGCTTGTGGTTACTGGAATGCCCCATTAATGAGAAATGATCCGAACAAATATTTCACACCTCTTTTTTCACATTCCAATGGGAAAATAACATGGAGCACGGCGTGTTCCCCTCAAGGATAGCTGACAAAGGAAAAGGCCCTTCCTTTATCTCCACTGGGAGTTTTGTTTTCCTTTTATCTAAAAGGGGTTATCAGTGCTGCTCAAATAAAGAAGAAATGTGTGATTGAAAATGGGTGGAGGATATGCTATTTAGAAAAAAGAAAGCCTGAACAAATGAAAAATTGTATAAAGAGATTGTTTTTCATCAATTTGGCATTCCTTAATTACAGGCTAAATAAACCTCTCACCCTCAGTACAATCAGACATAATTAATGCAGTCTCTGTAACTGATCATTAATTATATCAGTAACACATATTATTTATTGCATGCATTTCATTGTTACAGTGACTCAGCGAAGAGGTGCTGGTAATACAGTTCACACTCTAGGAGGCATAGAAAAGCCAGTTAACTCATCCAAGCTCATGCAGCTAATAAACCGCAGACCCATGATTCAAGTCTGGCAGAGGTCTGACTCCAAAGCTCATGCTTCCCCACCCAAACACCATTCTATCTCCAAGGAAAGGAAGAACAGGTGTCTCTGGCTGAACAGTTGCAAAGCCAAGACTGAAAGGATTTATTTTTAAACAGCTTGACTTTTGTCACTTCACCCAAAATCAATACCAGCCTTGCTTTGTGTCCCTTCTGCAACTTGAGGTCTGACACTAGGAATTGGGGGTAGTGATGGATGCGCAGTACATCAGTGGGTGGGTAGAGGGGCAAAAAAATGGGCTCCTGAAGATTAAGTGGATGGACAGACAAGAAATAGATGATGCTGGGCAGGTGAACAGATAGACTGGCGGTGAGATGAAGGATGGATGCTGCATGCATGGGTGCCTGGCGGGTAAGGTGATGGTAGATGAATGAGTGTGGATGGATTGATATGGATGCTGCATGCATGGGTGTTGGGCAGGTAAAGTGATGAACGGACGGGTGAGTGTGGATGGATTGATGGTGGATACTGCATGCATGGGTGGCTGGTGGGTAAGGTGATGGTAGATGAGTAAGTGTGGATGGGTTGATGGTGGATGCTGCATGCATGGATGGCTGGTGGATAACATGGTGGCATGAATGAGTGACTCTGAAGGAACTGATGGTGGATGCTGCATGCATGGGTGACTGGTGGGTAATGTGATGGTAGATGAATGAGTGTGGATGGATTGATGGTGGATGCTGTGTGCATGGATGGCTGGTGGATAACATGGTGGCATGAATGAGTGACTCTGAAGGAACTGATGGTGGATGCTGCATGCATGGGTGACTGGTGGGTAATGTGATGGTAGATGAATGAGTGTGGATGGATTGATGGTGGATGCTGTGTGCATGGATGGCTGGTGGATAACATGGTGGCATGAATGAGTGACTCTGAAGGGACCCATGGTGGATGCTGCATGCATGGGTGGCTGGTGGGTAAGGTGATGCATGGATGGGTGAGTGTGGATGGATTGATGGTGGATGTTGCATGCATGGATGGCTAGTGGATAACATGATGGCATGGATGGGTGAGTGTGGATGGATTGATGGTGGATGCTGCATGCATGGGTGGCTGGTGAGTAAGGTGATGGATGGGTGGGTGAATGTGGATAGATTAAAGGTGGATGCTGCATGCATGGGTGGCTGGTGTGTAAGTGATGGATGGATGGGTGTGTGTTGATGGATTAATGGTGGATATTGCATGCATGGGTGGCTGGTGGGTAAGGGGATGGATGGATAAGTGAGTGTGAATAGATTGATGGTGGATGTTGCATGCATGGATGGCTGGTGGGTAACATGATGGCATGGATAGGTGAATGTGGATGGATTAATGGTGGATGCTGCATGCATGGGTGGCTGATGGGTAACACGATGGCATGGATGGGTGCGTATGGATGGATTGATGGTGGATGCTGTGTGCATGGGTGGCTGGTGGGTAAGGTGATGTATGGATAAGTGTAGATAGATTGATGGTGGATGTTGCATGCATGGGTAGCTGGTGGGTAAGTTGATGGATGGATGGGTGTGTGTGGATGGATTGATGGTGGATGCTGTGTGCATGTGTGGCTGGTGGGTAAGGTGATGGATGGATAAGTGAGTATAGATAGATTGATGGTAGATGTTGGCTAGAAGGACAGATCAATGGATTGTTAGGGGTCAAGGTGGGCAGTAGAATAAATGAGTGGGTAGGGCCAGTCCATCCTCAGGACACAAGAATCAAGCCCCTGACTGTGGGCCTGACTCCCCATTCCTCTGCAATTATCCCATGGGGTCTGGGAGATTGGCGAGGGCAGGACTTGGTCAGATACGTACCTGAGAGGACAGGCGATTCCTGAGCACTTGCTGCCTGGAAGTCTAGAATCTGAGAGGTGGCAGGGCTATAGAGACCACACTAGTTTTTTGGCAGGACCCCAGAGTGGGAGAGCCTGGCCGGCAAGCACAGGTAACACCAGGGCCCTCCACTCTGACCCTCACTTGGGCTCTGGTGGCTGAAGCCTGCCCCACACTCCAGCCTGAGCTGAACTACCCCTAGACCTGGCTGACTTAACCTCTCCAAGCCTTAGATTTCTAAATGAAGATCATAATATTAATTTAGGAAGATCATTTTAAGGATTCAGTAACATGATGTTTGCAAAATGCATGGCACAGAGTAGGTGCCCCGCAGGTGTGTCCCCAGGGCCTGGGACTCCAGACTCACCTGTGGGTGCCTGAGGCCTCACCCTCCCCCACAGCCCCGGCCTCCGGGAGGTAACTGCAAAAGCTCCAGGCGAGAGGCCCTGGGACCGTGGGAACTTCCTACAGCATGTTTGTCTTGGGCTGCCTGGGAGGGGCTGCCACCTCCGTCAGCTCCAGCAGGAGCTCCTGCCAGGTCACCCAGTGTGAAAAGAAGGAATTGTTCCCGGGACCTTTGCTTCCCTTGTCAAAGGTGACTTGAGCCTGAGATACAAGCACAGCCCCTCTTCCCTAAAGGCCAGGCCAGTCCCAGTTCCGTCCACACTCCCAAAGGGGTTGAAGGAGTCGTCTGTGCTGGGGGAACCCACAATGTCTTCCCTGCCAGCAGGTGTGAGGCTTTGCAGCCGTGAGTCCCCACCCATGAGCCAGCAGCTGGCTAGGGCTCCTCCAGGGTCCCACTAATTCCCACCACTTACCCGGTTCTCATTCCCCTTTGTGCCCCACAATACCCAGCACGGAACCCAACCCAGGGTCAGGGGCTCAGACACTTGGCTGAATCGAACTCCCCAGCCCAGGTGAGACCCCCACCCACCCATCCAGAACAGGGCACCTTCCCCTCCTCCCACCTGTCCTCTACCCTGCCCCCGGAGGGTGTCCCCTGTGCTGGTCTCTGGAGGTGGGCCGCAAGTCTCTATGCAGTTGGACACTTTCCTCACCAAGTTCTTGTCACTCTGCCTCAGCCTCCTCCACCCCAGTCACATGACTGAGGGTCAAGGTCTGCCCTCTCCCAGCCCACTGCCTACTGCCCACCTGCCCTGCATCAACCGGCTGGCAGCCCCAGGGTGTAACCTTCTGGCAACTGTGGAGCCTTCTGGAGACCAGCCATGTGGTGCTCGCTGCAGGCAGCACAGCTGGGGTTAAGGGCAGCCTCGGATCACAGAGGTTCCATTTCCGATTTTCCAGAAGTTGCCGATTATTAATGATCATTGTTCTTTCCTTCTGGGGCATAACAAAGCAGATTCAACTGACAACGGAACAGCAGCAGGTCAAGATTCCCACAGTATGAAATGTCAGCCTCTGGCGGCAATGACATTCACCCAGGGGCACTAAAAATAGACGTAAAAACAGAAGCATGCAGCCTCCGGAGGCTGGAGAGGCCAGGTGAGCTCAGGACTGAAATGACACTTGCAGTGACATCTATGGCCCATGGCAAAGCTGGGCTTTTCCTACTTCCTTTTTTTAAAAATTTTTTTCTTGAGAGAAAAAAAGAAAGTGAACTTGAGAAGGGTCAGCCCAGAAGGACTTTGCTTTTTTAAGTCTGATTTTACGTGCAAAATTCAGGTAGAAAGAAAAACTGCCATGAGATATGAGCATGGGGGGCATCAAGTTGGGCTAAATTCACCACTGCTTAGCCCAGAGAGGCGCAGAGGCTGCTTATTATGCTTCCCAGCTCCTCACTGACCCAGAATTGGCTATGGGACCTGGCTGAGGTCAGCACAGACCAACAGAACTCTTCTGACAATAGAAATGCTCTGTACCTGCTCCGTCCCATCTGGTACCCAATAGCTATAGTAGCACTTGAAATGTGGCTGTAGGCTGGGCACGGTAGCTCACATCTGTGGCCCCAGCTACTCAGGGGGCTGAGGTGGGAGGATAGCTTCAGACCAGGGGTTCAAGACCAGCCTGAGCAACATAGTGAGACCCCAACTCTACAAAAAATAAACAATTATCTGTTCTTGGTGATGCCCACCTCTAGTCTGGGCTACTTGAGAGGCAGAAGCTGGAGGGTCGCCTGAGCCCAGAAGTTCAGTGTTACAATGAGCTATAATGATTGCACCACTGCAATCCAGCCTGGGTGACAGGGTGAGACCCTATCTCTAAATTTAAAAAAGAAAGACCGAAACGATGTGACTCTGGCAATTGAGCAACTGAATTGTTAATTTTATTTAATTTTAATTGATTTAGATTTAAAGAGCCATATTTAAATGATGGCTAGTGTCTACTGTACTAGACCACACAGTTTTAGGCTCTGGGGAAAGAGAGCTGCAATTGATTAGCAATGTCTGCCAGGGACGCAGGCTGGGAAGATAAGGCACAAATGCCATATTACAGAAGGACCAGAGATCCAGTGTGATCTGGGTCACCTGAGACCTAAATCAGTGATTCTGGTGCCTGCACAGTTTCAGCATTCAGGAGGAAAAGTGTCTGTGAAGTTTAGTGTCACCCCCTACTCTTCAGTCTCATGGTCTAGTCAGGCAACTGCAAGTCTCTTTACTAGTTTTCTTCCACAGCAGACAGAGGGGTCCTTCCAAAATACCAATGCAGCCATTATCTACCTTGCTTGAAAGCCTGAATCTAATCCTCCAACCATGGCCACCAAGACCTATCCTGAGGCTGTGCCCCTCTGTGGCCTAGGCCCCTCAGTCTTCTCCACCTCCATCCAACACAGACCCCACCAGTCCTGGCTGGTTCTTCCTCTGCTCCACTGCACAGGAAGCTCCAAAGCAAGGGCTTCCTCTTGCACCATCTTAGCACCTCCACCGAAAGCACAGGACCTGAAGAGTCCCCACGGGAGGCTCACATGATTCCAGGAACTCCCAAGTCTACATTATTTTTATGTCCTTCCAATAATAAGACAAGAATCCTTATCGCCCTGTTTTGCAGATGAGGATACTGAGGTTCAAAGAGGGAAAGAGTTTGGCCAAGAACAAAAGAGAAAATGGCATATCTGAGACTCAGACCTGGGTAGATGTCCCTCCCAAACTTGGCCTCAGCACAAGGGTTGCACTGAGAATGGAAATCAGGTCATAGGACACCCAGTCCACTATTTCTTTTACTATTAACTCAACAAATGTTATGTGATGGAAGGGAGGAAGGGGTGGGTGGGTATGTGTATGGATGGGTAGATGGGTGGGTGTGTGTATGGATGAGTAGATGAGTTGGTGCATAGGTGGATGGATAGATAGATGGATAAATGGATTGATACATGGATGGTTGGATGGATGGATGGATGGATGGATGGATGGATGGATGGATGGATGTGTACATGGATGGGTGGATGGATGAGTGTATAGGTGGGTGGATGGATGGATGGATGGATAGATGGATGGAGATGTGGGTGGATGGATAAATATGTAGGTGGATGGCTAGATGGATGGATAAATGTATGGATAGATGGATGAATAGATGAATGGATCAATGGGTGACTAGATGGATTGATGGATGTGTATATAGATGCATGCAAACACACATGAATGAATGCAAGGGCAACAAAACACGGTAACAAGTCATGAATAGGGAATGGGATGAGGTCATCGTCCACCTTTCTCTTAACCATATTCAGGTATATCAGAAAATGAGGTCATGTGAAAAAATTATTTGAGACTTTTGTTTTTAAAGAGATAAAGTAGCTGGCAAGCTGTGCGTATGGAGCAAGCCCTGAGCTGTGTGAGGGCCTGCTCCCCCCACTCCTCCCCTGCCTCCACTCCCCCCACTCCTGCTGGCTCACTGAACCCCTCCCTAATGCTGCTTTCCCATGGGAAGGCTGAGAAGCAATAGCAATTTCTTCTGAATGGAACTCTCCCCTGAGCCAAAGAGTAAACAGGAGCCAGCAAAGAGCTCAAGTTGGTGTGTAACTGCTCGGGCGGTGATTACATAACCAGGACATACCTGGGAGAGGCACTGATCCAGGGGATTTTAACAAGCAAGTGGGGAGGGCTAGCGTGGGAGGCGGGCAGGGGGAACGCCCAGTGCAGGAATGGCCGTGCAGCTACCTGGCCTTGCTGGGAACTGGAGCCGGCTTGCTTGGGGAGGAAGGACACTCAAGTGTCACTTACTGAGAGCCTTGTACCATGACAGTCCTCTTGCATGATTCCTTTGTTTAATCCTCACAAGGGCACTACAGAGTGGGCTAGTTCAGCTATGTTCCCTTTGATAGATGAAAAATTAAAACTAGACACAGAGAGGGGTAGCCAGGCAGCAACTGTGTGGTGAGCTGGGATAGCCCCAGACTGGCTCCAGGGACTGCAGGGTAGACCGAGCTATAAGGCTGGTGCTTTCTCTTCTCCTCTCCCTTCCCTGCCTTGCTGTCCTCCTTCCCTCCCTCCTTCCTCAATTCCTGCCATCAGATCACGTGTCCAAATATTCTTCCAATTGTCCACCCATCCACCCACCTGGTGCCCAGTGGCTTTTCCCTTCTCTCCACAGTAGTGGACCTGCATCAAGAAAGGGACCAAAGGGAAGCAAGATGCAGCTGCTGCCTGCAGAAGGGCTTTCTGACAAGGACGGGTGATGTAGAAGCATCCACCTGCCACAGGACATAGCTTGAACACTTCGGGTGCTGAGCCCTTCCTGCCTGTGGGATACTGAGCAGTTTTGCAATGATTTTCTCCTTTCACCCGCGAGACGGCTCCAAGTTCAAAGCCATTATTCTCCTGTGGCAGAGAGGAGACTGAAGTCCAGAGAGGTGGGCTCAGGGTCTCATGGGAGCCTCAACCTTGGGACTTGGAGGTCAGGGAGGGCTTTCCAGAGGGGGTAGCCTCAAGCTGGCAGAGCAGTTCAGGGTGGGGGATGTTTTTAGCCGCTAGAGCCTTGGGATGGCGAAAGTGGGGAGAGGGTCCTTTGCTGCCTGGCATTCGGCTGCCCCACTATCCTCCAGGAGGAGGGGACTTGGGAAAGCCATGGCGCACCCAGGCAGAGCCCTGGCCAGGCTGAGGACAATTGGCCCAGAGCAGTGGCTTCAGCCCTAGAGCATGGTTGCAGAGTGAGACCATGCACACTGAGACCCTTCTCTGTGTCTCCCCGTCTACAAAGGGAGGGTGAAGTGAGACAAAGCGTGGAAGCTGTGTTGGCACCTGGTGAGTTCTTAGAGGTGGAGGTCCCTGTGGATGCTGCAACTGATAATACGTATCTCCCCAAAGTCCTGCAGGAAGGGCTGGAGCCCAGCCGACAAGCAACAGGGGAGGCCTTGCGCCCAGGTGTTCTTGCCTGCCTGGGCTGTCTGGGGCAACCAGGTCCAAACGGGGTGTCACCCCCAAGGGCGGGACTAGGGTACAAGTCACATCATGAGGGAGACCTCCCTTTCCCACGGCACCCCAGAGCTGCCAAGCGCCACGCTGCCATTGCATAAGCCACCGACCTGCCACCGCTGGCTGCCCCGTGCGTTGCCACGTAAATAGAACCCTGTATTTACCTACCCTGGGGAAGGGACAGGCCTACCTGGTGGGCGGGGAGACAGCAGCTCAGAGGCCTCCAGCTCTGATTTCTGTTCTGCTCCAAGTGCACACACATCCTGTGCCCAGGAGCTGGGCTTGGGTGGGGGTGCACCGGCAGAAGGGGCCAAAGGAAACTCTGCGTCCTGGGAGCATGGGCCAAAGGCCTCTGGGTTGCAGGCTCAGGTTGCAGCCACCAGCTCTGGGCGGGGGAGACCAGACTTGCCTTGCAGGCTACGGCCATATCTGAGCAGCAAGCGTCAGATGGCACTGATGGCCCCAGAGACCTCCCTGCTGTTGGCACTGGTCAGCTGCACAGGAAGGACAAATGGCCATCTGCACAGCCAGGGCCAGAGCCCAGGAGTCTCCAGGAGCCAGCCATGGGCACAGCCCCACCTGTAACAACCATTCCTCCAGAAAGCCAAACTCAGTAAAGACTTATTTTGTTGTAAAGAAATATAATACATGTTTTAGCTTTAATTTCCATAACATTCTAGATGTTCCTATTCTTGTTTTACACAGGAAGAAACTGAGGCACAGAGAAGTAAATGACTGATCCAAGGCCACAGAGCTAATGGGATGATAGAGTCAGGATTTGAACTCAGGTTTCTCTGACCCTAAGTAGTTATTCCCAATAAGTATGCTGCCCCTGTATTTCATCTCAGTGTTTTCATCTACCAAGTAAGAGCAGTCATATAATCCAAGACACAGCATTACTCTGGGCTCTGCGATGAATAATGGTAGCCTCGTGGCATCTGTCCATAGATGCTTGGCTGGATCAATGAATGGATAGGTGAATGGACAGTGGGACAGGTGGGCAGATGGATGGACAGAGTGCCACATTTATGAGTGGGGTGAGAAGATGGCAGGATGGATAGATGGATAGGTGGTTAGAATGATGACCGATAAGCAGATAGACTGGTACATGGACTAACAGGTGGATGAGTAGATGAATGATGGATAAATGGTTGGATGGGTGGATGAGTGAATGCGTGAGGACTAGAAAGGTAAACACAGATAGGTAGAATGGATGGATGATTGAAGGAGTGATGGGTAACTGGATGGATGGATGGATGGATGGATGGATGGATGGGTGGCTGGATGAATAGGTAAATCGGTGGATGGAAGATGAATAAATGAGTGGGTGGACATGTAGATGGATGGTTAGAAAGGGCTTTGAATGAATAACTAACAGTTGGATAGAGGAATAGATAAACAAGTAAATGAATGGATCAATGAACAGATGGACATGTGGATGGCTACAAAGATGGTTGTAATGAAGGCTAGAAAGATGAATGGCGAGATGGATGAGAAGTTAAGTGGGTGAGTGGATGGGTGGCTCTCCTTCCAATCTAACTCTAGTTGGAGAAGAGACTCTCAAACATCCAAAGCCTAGGCCAAACTGAGAGGGAGAGCACCCATACTAAAGGGTCAACCATATCAGCTCTGTGGTGTGGACGTTGCCTGAAGACTGTCAGGTCACCTCACGGAGCCTGTATCCTTGGTGCTGTGAAACAGCCCTGTGGCAGGTGGAAGGAGTGGTGGTGGCCCAGGCAGGACCCTGGCCAAGCTGTGGAGGCTGCTCCTTTCTCTCCTCCTTCAGTGCCAAGCCAGGGCTCCTACGTCACAGCTACCAGCATAGCCCCTGCCATTCTTCCCTCCTCCCTCTCAGTCAGGGCAGCTACAGGTAGACCAGTAGCTCCTTTTCCCACCCCACTAAAGAAGCCAGGGGAGAGCTCTGGGCAAAGACAAGGGCCTGGGGACGTCCCCAGATCTGACACTGACCTGCCATGTGATCGGGGAGGTGGCACTGCCAGTACCTGATCTCTGCTATGAGCAGCAGTCAGACTGGAGTGGAAATACATGGCAGAGAAGCTTGGAGTTACTTTGAGGCAGCCAGATGGAGCCTCCTCAGCCCCTGGTCACAGTCCCTGACACACCCCACTCAGAGCCCCAGGGATCTCTGGACCCCACTGGCTGGGACCATCACCCAAGGCCCTTCGGACTTCAGTGGACTGAGATTCTGGCCCCAGAAACTGAGTCATCCCAGCCCGGAAGGGAAAGGCAGCGAAGCGAAGAGAATAAGCTCAGTTCATCTGGGCCCGAATCTCCCTGGCTAAAGGTGTCCCAATGGACGTGAGCTTGCTCGAGCCCTGCCACTCTCTGGATATCATGTTTCTGTCTCCACCTGGAGCCCATCTGGGAGGCTGGCATGGGTGAGGGATTTGGTGATTTTTTTTATTTTATTATTATTTTTTTTGAGCTGGAGTCTCACTCTGTCACCCAGGCTGGAGTACAGTGGTGTGATCTTGGCTCACTGCAACCACCACTTCCCGGGTTCAAGCGATTCTCCTGCCTCAGCCACCCGAGTATCTGGGATTACAGGTATCTGCCACCATGCCCGGCTAATTTTTGTAGTTTTAGTACAGACAGGGTTTCACCATGTTGGCCACGCTGGTCTCAAACTCCTGACCTCAAGTGATCTGCCTGCCTCGGCCTCCCAAAGTGCTGGGATTACAGACGCGAGCCATGACTACTGGCCAGACTTGGCGATTTTTACAGGACAGGAGTCTAGGGGATCCTGGGCCTGGCTTGGAGGGGCTGCAGAGGACATGGAAAGGATGTAGGAGCCACGACGTGGCAAGCAAGCCCCAGAGCCGGGGCCTGGGAGCAACTCCCACTGAGCATGGGATGGGAGGAAAGGGGGCAGCCCCTGGGAGGAGGGGACCCAGGTAGGCTGAGGGGACCCAGGTGCCTTCAGAGAGAGCCACATCCCCTTCTCCAGGCTTCTGGTCTTTTCAGAGAGAGCCCCGTCCCCTTCTCCAGACTCCTCTGCTCGCAGGACATTTGGCCAGTGCTGACCTCTGCTCACAATGCTGCTGCCATCTCAGGGCCACCATGGGGTCCCTGTGGGACTCCCTCCGGTACCCTAACTCAGAGGCCTGGGACAGGCCTGGGAGGAGAGGGAGGGGCCTGGAGGAGTTGGGGGGCTCACCGTTCCCAGCACAGCCTGCCTGGGCCGCCTACTCCCCACCGACAAGCCGTCAATCGCTCCCCTGAGAGTCAGTGCGTGGGCCCCAGACCTTGTCAATCTGCCGGAGGACACGAAGCCAGGGCCAGAGCATTCCCACGCTGGACAGCCACTGTGGAGGGGCCCAGGCCGCAGGGTTCCCCCAGCCCCAGGCCTGCAGCTCCAGCTCCCCTGGAGGCCCTGTGTGCTCCCATTCCACACTCGGACTCAGCAAACCAAGCCCACCCAGGGCTCCTCACACCACCTCGAGTCACAGAGCCCACAGAGCTGTTTCCCAGGCTCGTGTGGGTGTGGGAGGGAGCACCAGGCCCACCAGAGGTTGGGAGGGCCTCCAAGGGCCACTCTTCTGGAAGTTTCTGGGGTCACATGAAGGCTGAGACAGTATAGCTGGGGCCTGGAGGCGAGCTGGAAGGAAAGGCCTACACCCCCACACCTCCACTCAGCCCTATCGGTGACCAGGACAGGTGGTCCCTCTTGGGGGCCTGAAATTCCCACACTCCTTGAGGGTTGTCTGAGGCCCCAGTTTTCAGACTCAGTCTTTTCCACCTGGCCAAGAAATGAAAAGTGCAGACATTTTAAAGGAAAGGGAAAGGGCTCAGAGAGGTTAAGTGACTTGCCCAAGGTCACACAGCAAGGAAGTGGAAGAGCTGGGCTTCAAACCCAGAACTGTGCTTTGCATGCAGCAGGTGCTGAATGAATGCATGAAGATTACAACGTCCATAATCTCAGCCATCGAGACCACATGCTGCCTCTGACTGGCTGGCAGCCAGCAGGGCCCAGCTCCAGGAGTGGGGAGCTCACCACTCACTCTGGACCCCTGGCTACTGTAACCTTGCTCATTATAGGTCTGGGTTCTGCCTGAAACTCACAGAGATGAATCAGGTTCCCTTCCCAGGAGCAGCCTTCAGGGCTCCAAGGCACATTCGGAGCTCAACTCCAAAGCTCCTTGACCCCATCCCTTCCCACATCCCTTTGCACGCCGCCTACACCCCAACTCTGACCCACTGGACCTCTCTCTCCCCTGCCGGCCCCCCGTGCTGAGCCCCGTCCAGGCCACTATGGCTCCCGACTGGCCTGGGCCCTCTCAGCCTCTGGTGTGCCCCCGGTCACTCCCTGCTCTGAGGTTGGGCATCTAGAAGGCCACTCTGTGCCCAGGCCTCTCATTTCCTGGCCTCCTCTGTACATGAGAAGCAGTGGTGTGGCTACTGTTGCTAGGCCCAGAGGGCCTCCCTGGGCCACCTTCCTTTACTCTCTTCCTAGGCAGGACGAGGGGACCCCCATGGCCCCAGCCTCCCAGGACCATCAGCCTGAAGAATCTCCCTCTGCGGTCTCAGGGAAGCTGGGTGGGACCCCAAGCCTAAGGCCAGGATAGAGCCCAACACTCTGGGAGGCCCAGCCATTTTCCTTCCCACCACACAGGCAGAAAGAGGCCCCCACCCCAGGGAACAGATGCCCATCAATGCCTCATAGCAGGGAGATTTCTCAGCACGCCTCCCCTGTGAAGCTCCCCAGGCATGTGGCAGAAGGGGAACGTGGAAGCTGCATTTGAGGTGGACGTCACACACCCATCTGCCAAACAAAACCCATTCGCGAGCTCGAGGGCCAGAAAACCAAGCTCATTCACCACAGGTGCCCGCTTAGTGCAGAGAGAGCGTGGCAAGCTTGATCGTCACTTTCCAAAGTGTATTCCAGTTCCACTGGATGTTAACAGGATCAAGGGAGTTTGGGGACCACAGGATGAAGCAAAGTCTTTAGAGAACTTGCTGGGGCTTTTATTCTGTCTCTCTGAGAGGAGAGAGCAAGCTGGGTTTCTCAAACTGATTTAACCTCCTAAGTTCTATTTCTGGACTGTCTTATGGGACCAGCATTCCCTGGAATCCTTTTTGAGAAACACAGCCCATGCTGTTTCTGCCGCCCTGAAGTGCTTGGCTCCTGTGCTCTGGCCCAGCACTGATGTGGCTGGGGAGGATGCTTAGAGAGCTCCAGGGACCAGGCCTGGGCCCACATTCAGTGACGGATAAAGGTGCCTTCCTTGCCTGGTGGGCACAGCCTCTCTGGGGTTATATGGCACCAAAGCCCACAATGCCACCAGCAAAGATGTATGAGGGCCAAACACAGCCCCTCCTGGGGTTCTGGAGACAGGGTGCAGTCCCCACAGACTAGCAGAGCCTACAGCTTGCAACCTGGAGGGGAAGTTCCCGAGGTACCCAAAAAGCTCATGCAGGTGGCTCTATCCCTGGAATAGGAATAAAGACCAGTCTGTTCCCACCCCCTCCGATCTCTGCCATTTCCACCAGCCAAGAGCCTCCAATGCCCTGGTGTCCCAGAATCTGGGAAGTCTGGCCCCAAACAGCCTGTGAGTGGCTACCTCGGGCCCGTGGGTGTAACGGGCACCGAGGCTGGCTCTCTGTTGCCCCATTCCCCAGGCTCCACAGACTCCCTGGCTGCTGGCTGGGCTGCCTGGGCCCCTCCTCTGGGGCCTGCCTCCTGACCCTGAATAGCTTTTCACATTTCCCCAGAAGCGCCTTTGATCCGGCGGGGATCTTTTCCATTGATTCAGCATCTAATCTGGTTTCCCATCTGATTGCAACGGTCCCTCCACGCCTCCTTCCGCTCAGTGTTTTCCTAATCCTCGGCCCTGCTTACTTATCGCTTGCTCCTGAGCACTGGCCAACTCCTTCTCTTCCCCTTGACATTCCTGCCCCATCTTCCTCCCTCTCTCCCTCCGTCCCTCTGCGGCTGGCCATGGCCTTGCCTGAGCCAGGCAACCTTGAGTCTGGGGTGCCTTCCTGGAGTACACATCAGTCAGCCTTTCCTTCCTCCCCTCATTTAACCCAGCGGTTCCCAACCTTTTTGGCACCAGGGACCAGTTTCACGGAAGACAATTCTTCCCTGGACCAGGGGTTGGGGGGATGGTTTCAGGATGATTCAAGTGCATTACATTTATCATGCACTTTATTTCCATTATTATTACATTATATAATGAAATAATTCTACAACTCACCATCATGTAGAATCAGTGGGAGCCCTGAGCTTATTTTCCTGTAACCAGATGGTCCCATCTTAGGGTGATGGGAGACACTGACAGATCATCAGGCATTAGATTCTCATAAGGAGCGTGCAACCTAGATCCCTCACATACGCAGTTCACAGTAAGGTTTGCACTCCTATGAGTGTCTAATGCTGCCGCTGATCTGACAGGAGGTGGAGCTCAGGCCGTCATGTGAGTGATGGGGAGTGGCTGTAAATACAGATGAAGCTTGGCTCCCTCACCCACCATTCATCTCCAGTTCCTAACAGGCCACGGACCAGTTAGGGACCCTTGGTCTAACCAACGTTGATTAAATGCTTTCTCTGCACCAGGTGCAGGGGCCCCCACATCTGCAGCCTTTTGCAAAAACAGTGCTTCTCTCTAGAGGCAGAGACTGAACTCTGGAGGCAGAGACTGAACAAAGAAATGTGCAGGGGGCTGACACACAGCCCACCAGGGTGATCACAAAGCCCTCTTGCACACCACCCTGGAGATGGATGAAGTTGTACCCACTGCGTAGATGGGAAAATTGGGGCTAGAGTTATTTTCAATTGCCCCCGCCACACAGCTGTGAGTGTCAGAGCAGGAACATCTGACTTTCTGACTAGTTCACAGCAGGGCTGTTCTAGTTGTCATTCAAGGTCTCTGGCATTTCATTGCCAATGTCCACATTGACCAGCTACAGGGTCCCAGGGAAGCCATGCTCAATAGAATGTGGCCCAGGCTCTGACATTGTCCTGGCTTGAAAAGTTCGTGCCCCAACCCTGCCCAGGCACACACACCCTGTTCACCTGCGATGGGCACCCCAGGCAGCACCTCCACGAGAAACAGAGGCCAGAGCCCCCTTTATCTCCTCCTCCCTAACAAGACTGCCCAGGCAACTGACCTTGAGGCCCACATGGAGGCAAACAGTCCTGGCAATTATCTTCCAGGGGCGTGGGCAATTAATTGAAAATCTGAGGCTGGCAAACTTCCATGCCCGCCTGGTGGAGAAGGCAGCCCCCTCCCTCCTCCCTCACATGAGGTCGGGAAGACGAGGGGATGGCCAGACTTGGGCTCCTGAGCAAGCAGCAGCTGTGTGGGCAGGACCTGAGGGGCTCAGTGCAAAGTGAAAATGCAGGACGCCTTGTTCAAAGTTATTAAAGAGCATCTAGATGGTGACGGCAGGGCCGGGCACAGTGGCTCATGCCTATAATCCCAGCACTTTGGGAGGTCAAGGCGAGTGGATCACCTGGGGTCAGGAGTTCAAGACCAGCCTGGTCAACATGGCAAAACCCTGTCTCTACTAAAAATACAAAACAAATTAGCCGGGCATGGTGGTGCACACCTGTAATCCCAGCTACCTGGGAGGCTGAGGCAGGAGAATCACTTGAACTCGGGAGGTGGAGGTTGCAGTGAGTCGAAATCGCACCACTGCACTCCAGCCTGGGCAACAGAGTGAGACTCTGTCTCAAAAAAAAAAAAAAAAGAAAAGAAAAGAAAGAAAGAAAGATAGATGGTGGTAGCAGAGCTTTGAACCCTGAGAGAGCCCCACTGACCCAGGGGCTGGTGCAGCTACACAGGTCACTTGCCCGAGAGGCTGGCCTGGCACTGGGCACTTAGCAAAATCCAGGATAAGATCCCTCATCATTTGCACGACCCATGAAACCCCACGTCACTGAGCCCCAGCTGTGGTCTAGCCTCTTGTCCCTCTTCCCTGCCCTCCCAGGTCCCCACCACCCACAGCTTGCCTGTCACTTCTTCAGAGGGTCCTTCCCTGGCTGCCCAGGGCTGATCCCTCCCTCTCTTCTCCATCCTTTCTAGAGGGTGACGTCACACGTGTGTGTGATTGTTCACTGCAGTGCTGGCCCCACTGTGGTGTGCTTGATAAACACATATTGGGGGTGAGAATGGGGAGCCCCAACTTTGTTACCTGCGGGACCCTTACTCTGTGTTCTGAGCTCCTCAGCTGAGGCTCCTGCAGGGCCTGGAGACCCTCGGCTGGTCACTGTCATTATATACCAGCCTGCCCCTCATCCCAGCCCTCAGTCGTGGCTGTGAGCTCTAGAACAGGGTCACGGGGCCTTGCTTTGGAGGCCCCAAGGCACCCAGTGCCGGGTTACATATAGTAGGCATACAGTAGGCACTCAGCAGTACTGAGAGTCCCTGCACTGCATTCTCTGGGCCTCAGAGCCATGGGGCCAGTGAGGGACATGGGCAGCAGAGCAAGAGACAGGGCACGTAAACATCCTGCACATCTGCCCCTGGCTTCTGGCTGTGTGCACCTACACTCTGTCTGTGAGCTCTTCCTCGTGAGACTGCAGGTTATGCTGGCATCCAGACCATTCCCACACAGCAGGGTCTCTCTGGCTGCCTGGTGTCTACAGATAGGGCACATTCCCTCCCAGCCACCCCAGCAAGGAAGACAGTGACCTTGCTCCTCCCACCCAAAGCAGATACACGCTGGAGGGGAGCAGCGGCCAGGGGAGGGTTGAAGGCCATGCTCTGGTGTAGCCGCTCCCTCCCCAGGGCCCAGGGCAGGCCAAATCTTGGGTCTTGGGTGGCATTCCCTGTAGATGCTTCCTTGTTCCCTCCCTCCTTACTGCCAACAACCCCTGCCTCCCTCAGCCAGGCCCAACCAGGGAAGCTAGTGATTCAGCACCCTTAGGAGCCTCCTAGTCACCTCCTTGATGCCAGGTGTGGGGCATTTGGGGCTCGGTTCTCTTCAGACCCTTCAGACCCTTCTGATCCTTCTGGTCCTTTGCAAAACACAGCCCCAGGGTTGAAGGGCAAAGGCGCCGCATCTGCCCTGTTATTGTTCCGTTCTTTCTACTCAGGAGGTGTGGGGAGGCCTCTGTCACAGGGTCTGGGGCCTCACATGGCCACACACGGCCTCAAAGAGGGCTGAGGACCCAGGGGGTCACAGAGCAGCCAAAAGTCCTGGGACACCTGCAAGGACGGAGCCTCACGTTCTGGCAAACCCCTCAGGCTTGTCCTGGTGCCCCACAGACTCCATTGCCAAAAGGGCCAGCATGAGATGGAATAAGGGCTACATCAGGGGCATATTCCATGACTGGGACACAGGGCAGGGGTTCTGCTGGCACTGAGGGAACCCACCCAGGAGATGACTTCTGAGCTGGGATTCAGAGCATGAGTGCAACATTTAGGGGAGGGCTGAGTACATGCTATGGCCCAGTGCAGGTGGGAGGGTGCAGTAGGGCAGGAGGAAACACAGAGGTGCAAAATGCCCTGGGCTTGGGAAGCAGGACAGCCTGCTCCGCACATGACAGAAATATCTTAGCTCCCAGACAAGAATTCAGAGTGATCTTGGAAAGCAGCCAGCCCAGTCTCTTCATGGTGGGGGCTGTGGGGACGGGTGTCGGGGGTGGGGGCAGTGACAGACTTGAGGTCACACAGCTGGTCAGGGAGGAAGCCAGGGCTTACCCAGGCCAGGAGTGCCCTGGTCTGGGCCCTGCCCTCAAGTTCGGGGCACCTAATGAATTTCTTCTGCTTCCTTGTAACTCCAGAAGAGCAACTGAGGTCTAGAGGATGACATCATCAGAGTCATATCAGCTACACGGAGACACAGCCCAGAGCAGGAAAAGGGTACTGGACTACTGCTTTCAGAACCTAGAGTGGGAAATGATTCTCCATCATGGCCCTGGATGTTGAGTTGTCATTGTCTGTTTACACATCTGTCTTCCCACCAGACTCTGAGCAGGATGTAGCAGGTGCTCAGTGAGTGTGGATGGATGGGTGAGTGGATGGATGGATGGATGGATGGATGGATGGATGGATGGATGGATGGATGGATAGATGGACAGATGAATGGACAGACAGATGGATGGAAGGATGGATGGATGGATGGATGGATGGATGGATGGGTGGGTGGATGGTTGGATGGATGGATGGATGGATGGATGGATGGATGGATGGATGGATGGATAGATGGACGGATGGATGGATGGATGGATGGATGGATGGATGGATGGACAGATGGATGGATGGACAGACACGGTGGGTGGATGGACAGATGGGTGGACAGATGAATGGATGGACAGATGGATGGACGGACGGATGGATGGATGGATGGATGCACGGATGGACAGACAGGTGGACAGACGAATGGACAGATAGATAGATGGAAGGATGGATGGGTGGAAGGATGGGTGGGTGGATGGATGGATGGATGGACAGATGAGTGGACAGATGAATGGATGGACAGATGGATGGATGGATGGACAGACAGAAGGATGGATGGGTGGATGGATGGATGGATGGATGGATGGACAGACGGATGAATGGGTGGATGGATGGATGGATGGAGGGATGGATTGATGGATGGATCAATGGATAGACAGAGGGATGGATGGATGGATGGATGGATGGATGGATCATCCATCTGCTAAACTGCCAAAGTGTTTTCCAATGTGGCTGTACCATTTTGCCTTCCCACCAACAGTGTACAAGGGTTCTGGTTTCTCCACATCCTCACCAATACTTGTTATTTACTTGTGTTGACAGTGAAGAGAGAGGTGTTCTTCTCACTCGCATCTCAGGCCAGGTGAGGGGGTCCTCAGAAGCATCTCTGAGGGTCTGCAGGAGATTTTAGAGTTTTGGAGGATGCAGAGCCTGGTGCTGACCCCTGCCTGCACTGCCTAAATGAGGGGTGGCCAGAGCTGCCCTCGGGGTGGCCATCTTCAGGCATGGAGGGGAAAGTGAGTCATGGTGGACAGCCATGAAAAGAAGCCATGAGTGGGTCATCTTGAAAGGACATTTCCTATGAGGGTGAGAGACCACCAGGAGCCACCTGAGGCCCTCCCTAGAGAGGAGCCCAGGATGGGAGCAGTCACAGGCCCTTAGCTGAAGGCACCTGGCCAGGGCCAGAGACTCATGCTAGGGGTTCCCAATGGGGAAAGGCCCAAAGCCAGACATCAAAGGCACACGCCAGAGGAGAAACTCCAAGCCTCATGGGGGAAGAAGGAAAAAGGAAGAATGCAGCAGAAACCACAGCCCAGGCCCTCCCCATGACAGCTGCCCACCCTAGCAGGAGCCGTGGAGTGGGGAAGAGGGTGTACATGGGATAAGAGACTGAAGCTCTGGCCGGGCGCTGTGGCTCATGCCTGTAATCCCAGCACTTTGGGAGGTTAAGGCAGGTGGATCACGAGGTCAGGAGTTCAAGACCAGACTGGCCAAGATGGTGAAACCCCATCTCTACTAAAAATACAAAAAATTAGCTGGGCATGGTGGCACGTGCCTGTAATCCCAGCTACTCCAGAGGCTGAGGCAGAGAATTGCTTAAACCTGGAGGGGCAGAGGTTGCAGTGAGCCGAGATCGTGCCACTGCACTCCAGCCTGGGCGACAGTGCGTGACTACGTCTCAAAAAAAAAAAAAAAAAAAAAAAAAGACTGAAGCTCTGACTTAGACTGGACTGGACTTTCCATTTACTGAGCATGAGACTGTTTGTTAATCCATGAAGGTGTTGAGGAGAGCCACGAATCTGCCCCACCAACCACGTGGGCAGGATAGAGGCCCAGCATTGAAGGCCTGGAAAAAAAAAGAAAAGTGATCTCATGGATTTCCACCCCGAAGATCAGAGGTAGAAATCTCCACCCTGAGATCATTGGAAAAATTGCCACTGCCCCGTCTTCTGGTGGGATTGGGGCCACCCAGTATCTAGAACACATTTGGTGTGAGGAGTGGACCATGATACAGAGTCAGGACCCATCCTGGAGGCCCAGCCCTCCAGGCACAGGCAGAAGCAGACCCGAAGATCCCATCCTCCCAGGTTCCAGGCTGCCCTCTCATTTAACATTGCAGCTGGGTCCCAGAGACCATGCTGGTGGCGAGATGTGAATGTGATCCCTGTGTTTGTGAATAATCCCTCAAGGTCAGCCAGAAACCAGAGAACAATCTCCTCCTTTGTAGGGGGTGCAGGAGATGGGGCAGGAGACTGGCCTGTAGACATAATCAGCAAAAGTGGAGGGGTCCAGGAATGCCAGCCGCATCCTCAAATACCCCTCATACCTCTTCAAGTTGCCCCAGCCAATGCTGTTGTCATTTGGTACTTTAAGTCTTAAAAGAGACACAGGAGTTCTAGACAGGCTACCAGTTTCTGTAAGAAGGTAGTGGAGTTGAGGAGGCAGGGGAGCAATCACCCCTAATGCCATCATCAATCTGGCAAGTTCCAGATGATTCCTGATACCCTAAGTGTAGTATAACAGCAAGTGTGAGCTAGAAGGGAATCTAGGAGAATATCTTACTTAGAGCTGAGTACAACTCCAGAAATTTCTGTGACTCTGGCTTGAAAACTGGTGTGGCCACTGCCCCCCTAGAGTAAGTGCTTTCTAGATACTTGGTTGTCATGTGTGATTGATTTTGCTCTGCTTTCCCCAGCCCTGCCACATTCCAATTTCCTAATCTTGGTGAGCTAACCATAAAATACTTAGAAATAAGTTTAATAAGAAAAGCACTAGATCTCTAGGACAAAAATGATGAAATGTACCTGAAGAACATAAATCAAGTCCTGAGTGAATGAAGAGAAATGATCTTCAAGAAGACTTTATTATCACAGTTGGCAAAGCCTTCAAGGATTAATAGGTGTGTTCTTTTCCATTCGGAATCCCAACAAGGTTCTCAGTTTGGGTTGTGTCATTTCTTTTAAAACTAGATAAAATCTTTATTGTTTTGAAATTGGACTGTATGAATCTGGTGTTCACATGAAAAACAAATCAACCTGCAAAAATTGTCAAAATAGCTTCAGAAAGAGAAAGGGGGTTGGGGCTTGACCAGATTTTGAACCCATGCTGAAGCTACAGTAATTAAACCCTGTACTCCTGGGGTAAACAGATAAGTGAAACAAAACAGAGGGCCCAGTCATTTCTCCAAGTATATTTAGGGACTGAAAATATGACAAAGGACAAATTCTGGGTTTAAGAGGGTTGGGAAAATGACTATTCATTTGGAAGACTTTTAAGTTAAATCCCTACCTCATACCATATACAAAAATGACTTCCAAATGAATTGAAAGAGTTGTTTTTTAAAACTATAAAGGCCAGGCACAGTGGCTCATGCCTATAATCCCAGCAATTCAGGAGGCTGAGGCAGGCAGATTGCTTGAGCCCAGGGTTCAAGACCAACCTGAAAAACATAGGGAGACCCCATCTCTACAAAAAAATACAAAAATTAGCCAATGTGGTGGTGTGCACCTGTGGTCCCAGCTACCAGGGAGGCTGAGGTGGGAGGATCACTTGAGCTCAGGAGTTTGAGGCTGCAGCGAGCTATGATTGTGACGCTGCACTCCAGCCTGGGTGACAGAGTGATAACCTATTACAAATAAACAAAAGGCCCAAATTATAAGTGTATGGATGATAATAAAGGAAAATATTCATATAACTTCATCATGCAGGAAGTCTTCCCAACAAGATAGGAAACGAAGAAGCCATTAAGGAAACAGAAATAAAAGAATTAACTACACAAAACACTTTTAAAAAAGTCTTACAAGACTATGCTTTAGGAAAGCCACTCTGATGGCCAGAGTGGAGGAAAGATTGGAGGATGACACCAGCTGTAAAGGAAGGAGGCATCCAGGGGAAAGAAGTGGCCACGGTCCTTTTAGGAGGTGTCAGGATAAACGAGGTGGTGGCCAGTGGTGATAGAGATGCAACTGAGCAGCATTTGTTTGAATTATTAATCAGCTGTTGGTTTGCAAAAGGGACCAAGATTACCTTGGTATTTAACATATATATGACAAACAAGCTGTATTCATGTATGGGCATAACTTGCCTTTTTTCTCACCAACCCTTTATGCTAGAGAAAACTTCATCTTTGCCTAATCAGATTTACTTCCTTCTCCACCCCGAAAGCAATTCTTGGCATGTGTTTGATGGGAAATGGAAGTGTCAGTTTTATTGGGTGAGTCAGGTGGGTGACAGGCCTTGAGAGCTTCTTGATAGAGCTCGTCTATCAAAGAAAGGAATAATGAAAAGGGAGAGGCAAGAGCAAGGCATTAAATACTCAGATCCCTGCCACCAAGAGAAGTCCAGTTTCAAGGCTGAAGGGGGAGATGGAATGGAATAGGGAGGGGCTCAGTGAATGAAGAAGCCTCTGGATATGGCTCCCTCCCCAACCCACCCCCTCCCCCAGAATTTCCTTACTAACCCAATAGTTTCCAAACTATAGTGTGCATCAGACCCAGCTCGAGGGCTTGTTAAAGTACAGATGGCCAATCCTCCCCTAAAGCTCCTTCTTTAGAATTGCATTGGTTACTCTGTTCCCTGTGTCTTTCCATATAAATTCTAGAATCAGTTTTATAATAACTATAAAGTAGCTTGCTGGGACTTTGAATGGAATTGTGCTGATCTACAGATGAAATTGGGAAGAATTGGCATCTTAATATTGAGTCTTCCAATCCATCAACATGGACTATCTCTCGATTTACTCCCAAGGTTTCTGATTCAGCAAGTCTGAGGAGGGGCCTGAGATCTTGCCTTTCTACCTACTGCCCAAGTGATGCTGATGCTGCTGGTCCAGAGAGCCCACATAGGAGTTCCCCAGTTCCGGCTTTGAAGCCCTGCCTGGTTTGGAAGTTAAGGCTATCCTGAAGACTTGAGCCCCAGGACATTGGAAAGAGCTTTTGTTCTCATGCAAATCACAGGGGGCCAGTTCTCCTGGGGTTTGCATGCTAATAGCTGTCTTTTTTGTTTTGTTTTGTTTCTAATTCACAGCAGATAAACAGTGAATGCCAGGAACAGACAAGTGTGCAGGGTCAGCAGATACAAGCCCCTTGTGGGAAGGGGGTTTTTCTCTAAGTATCAGATTCGTCAATTACTGGGTAAATTTCTAATCTCTTAGGACTTCCCCTTTCAATAAATACTTTCCCAGAAAGTCTCACGAAATCAACCCTGGGTCTAAAAATAAGGCTCTACTCCCATCCCCTGGGCATGAGTGGTCCCCATGAGCCCAGGTGCATGGCTTGAGGAAGGCACTGGGCGGTCACAGGAGTGCTTTGTGGACAAGGTGCCAATGGTGTGGGCAGAGATCTGGCAGACAGTAGTCCCTACTCTCTTCCTGTCTTGATGAGGAGGATCCGAGCTGGCCCAGAGAAGGGGCAAGCCTTCCAGGTAGAGGGAATAACATGGGCAAAGACTCAGAGACCAACACAGGAACTCCATGGTGCTGCGTCACAAAGATGGAACTCTGGTGGCCTCCTCCTGTGCCTGCCTGTGACTCAAACCCCCAGTGCTCACTCTACCTCTGCCTTTCCTTCCTCCTAAGCTGCCCTTAGTGGGTAAAAACTCTTCCCAAGTATCTTCTCACTGATGCTAGCCCAGACAAAGCTTGGCCAAGGTAGGAAGGGGCTCTACAGAGTGAGTCAAGGACCCGCAGGGTGACTCTGGCTTTGCAAGGCAGGAAGCCTAGGAGGGACAGCCTCAGCCTTGGCTGGGGGCCCTGCCTACTCCCCACACTTCCCAGGGCATGCAGAGGCTCCAGGAACAGGGCTCTGTCCCTCAGAGTCCTCACAGGGGCCAGTCTGCTCTCAATCCCTCTGTGTGTGTCCTAATCTCCTTTTCTTATAAAGACACGAGTCCACCCTAACGACCTCATTTAAACTTAATTGCCTCTTTAAAGCCCTATCTCCAAATGCAGTCATATGCAGAGGTTTTGAGGGTTAGAGCTGCAACACATAAATTTTGGGGAACACAATTCAGCCCATGACGGCACCTGTCTGCAGGAGCCTCTCATATGCAGCTGTGTGCTGGGGAGCTGGAGGCCCAGCATTGGGTTTGCACCCCCAGGCCCTCCCACCAGAAGGAAGAGGCAGGGGACCTGGGACCAGCAGGTTTTGGTCCTCTTCTTTTCCTCCATTCCTGCATCCCTGCACTCGGTGGCCTTAATAGGGGAATGAAAAAGTCGTGAGTGAGTGAATGGCAGGTATCCAAGGAAGAGAGAAGCAGAGCTCCCGGTGGATGAAAGGAGCATGATGTCCAGGGGTGAGCAGCACCCAGGGCACTTGAGCCGGGGCAGACCCAGGACCCAAACCACTGGGCCCTTCCATTACCAGGCTCTGCCTCTCACTTGGGAATGTGGCAGGTGTGTTAGCTGGGACTTGTATACTTGTTTCCAATTGCTGCTGTAATAAATGACCACATACTTAGCAGCTTCTAAACAGCACACATTTATTGATCCCAGAATCCTGGAGGTCAGAAGTCCTCAATGGAGTCATGTTCCTTCTGGAGGCCCTCAAGGAGAATTCTTGTCTTGTCTTTTCTGCTTTTAGAGGTCACCCAAATCCCTGTGCTGGTGGCCTCTCCCTCCCTCTGCGCTGGTGGCCCCTCCCTCCCTCTGCACTGGTGGCCCTCTCCCTCGTTCTTCAAAGTACAGCTCTCCAAGCCCTGCTCCCATCTGCACATCTCCTCTGGCTCCAACTCCCCCTTCCTCCCTCTCATAAGGGAGGGCCACCCTCCCAACCCAGGGTCCTCTCCCGTGTCAAGATCCTTCACTTTATCACAACTGCAAAGTCCCTTTTGCCATGTAAGGTCATGTATTCACAGTTCCCAGGGATTAAGAAGTGGGTTGGCTGCAGTCACAGGGTGCCTGGCATCAGAGAGGCTTAAGCAGAGTGGGGTATTTCCATCTCCTACGGCCACCCAAGCTGCGATGACAGCTTTGCTCTGAACCACTCCTTGTCCCCTGGTGATATGGTTTGGCTGTGTCCCCACCCAAATCTCATCTTGAATTATAATTCCCATGTGTTAGGAAGGAACCTGGTAGGAGGTGATTGGATTATGGGGGCAATTTCCCCCATGTTGTTCTCATGATATTGAGTAAGTTCTCATGAGATCTGATGATTTAAAAATGTGGCACTTCCTTCCTCGCGCTCTCTCTCCTGCCGCCTTGTGAAGATGTGCCTTGCCTCCCCTTCACCTTCTGCCATGATTGTAAGTTTCCTGAGGCCTCCCCAGCCATGGGGAACTGTGAGTCAATTAAACCTCTTTTCTTCATAAATTATCCAGTCTCAGGTAGTATCTTTATAGCAGTGTGAGAACAGACTAATACACCTGGTTTGCCAAGTCTAGAGTCCTCCCCCACCCTGAGTCCACACTGTCACTTGGCAGGGACAACAAAACACTTCCTAAAATGCAAACCCGTTTGGGGTGGGATTTTTTTTTCCTCATTGCATTGCAGCTTCCCCATCTTCCTAAACAGAAGCCATGGAGCTCACTTTCCTTATCGAGGGCACTGCATTGGGGTTGGGGGCAGGCAGCAGCCCGACAGATCTTCTGGGATGTCAGTTTCCCCCACAGGATCAATTGCTCAAAGAACGCAGGTGTCATTGGAACGTGCATCCATTCACCCATTCACCCACTTGGCAATCACCAGGATGTGCCAGCATCGTGGATACTCTGGGCAAAGCCAAGAAGACTTGCTTGCCTTGAAGTGGCCAGATGGAGCAACTACCAACACTTGCTAATGTTCCCATCTTCTAATGGGATGTTCTTCTGTAGGACTGAGTTATAGAAAACTATCACCTTTACACCAGTGGCCCAAAATGCCGAGCTTTATGAGTTCATGGGATGTCTTTAGGAGAACTTTATCTCCATCTCAGCTGCTGCCTTTATTGCTCCCTTCTCTCGCACCCCCTGAATCTCTCTCTCTCTCATACACACACACACACACACACACACCATTTCCAATGTATGAGCTCCTAATTTACTATAGAGTAGGAAAAGAAGTTTAGAATATCCGTTATAATTTTATATAAAGAAAGAGTAACCAGGCTATGACTGTAAGGCGGGCATATTAGTGCAGAGCATTTGTGAAACCTCATGCCTTGTCTGCTTCCTTCATGCATCTTGTCTGCGGACGGAGTGGCTGAAATTCTCAAAGCTGGGGGTTAGTGACTCTTCTAACCCTCCACCCTCCCTTCATCCCTCGCTGTGCCCCAGCTCCCAGATCTACCAAACCCAGCTCCTAGTTCTGAGCCTAATATGCACTTAGTGAACATGAAGTCGGCCATTAGCACTAGCCCCTTACCTCTCTCCGGCTGGCCTTGCCTCCTCCAACCCATACCATACACCACAGCAGCCTCAATGATATGTCCACACAGAAAACAGTCCCACATGCTTGAAACCCTTCAGTGGGTCTTCATTTGGGGAGGATACACCCTAGCTCCTCTGGCCGACTTTCAAGGAGCTTCCTGGCCTGACCAGCCTCTTTGGGCACCAGATCCATCTCTGCCCCAGGGTCACAATTAAGAAATGCCCATCACCTACTCTCTGCTCAGCCATCTGAGGTCTACACTAGCCCACATCCCATTCTTCTCCCCTTGGAATTTAAGTTTGCTTTTGCTCCTCAGGGTTCCCACCCAGCTCACCCAATCTCAAGGCATGGTCAGAACAGGCCCCAGACAGCCTCACCAGCCCTGGGTCCTGTATGTCCCTCCCCCTGCTACCCTCCCCTCCACCCCAACAAGTCACCATCACACTGAGCAACCAGAGTCCTCTGGTTAGGGTGGTCTTTTTGCCCTCCTGCCTTTGCCCCTGCTGTTTCCACTGCTGCTATGCCCTCCTCATTCCCCTTTGGCTGTCTGGTAAACATATCTCCTCCAGGAAGCCTTCCCTGATGATCCATTTCCTGGGCAGAGTGAGCACCTCCTCCCACTGGACTTCTGCAGTATGATCTTCTACCTCTCCAGCACAGAAGCCCTGGAACGTGTATCACTAGCAACAGGTGAGAGCAAAGTGGGGCACCGTGTCTTGTGCATCAGGGCCCCATTCCAGTGCAAGCCTTTTTCAGACCAGGAGGATCAAGAGGGGCAAAGGAGGTTTGCAAGATCCAGGTTGGTCAATCAGTGTTTCTTATTCCCCTGGCCATGGTAGCTGGTTTAGGGTTGGGCATACGACCCCAGTCTCACCAATCAAAGTGGATCCAGGGATTAAAGCCTTCTCAGAGGAAGACAGAAACGGGAAATGGAGAAAGTGAGATCGAGTTCTGATATCATTTGAGCTTCTGAATCCAGCCATTCCTGAAGCTGAAATCCCTGAGCTTTTCAAGTACACAAATGCACAAGCCAATTGCACCCAAAATGGTCCTGTCCAATACAGAACTCAAACATGAGCATAGCTCCAGGATTTTGCCATTCTCTTTGGGGAATAAGGGATATAGATTAATCAAGAGCAGGCCTCATGTGTCCAGGACCCTGGGCAGCTATGGTTTACCTTCATCAAGTCATCCAGTACTGAATGGCTTTACCCCAGCAAAGAGGACACGGTGCTTCTAAGAAGGGCACCCATTGGCAGAGTCCGCCAAGGGACATGGTCCCTCCACTAGACTTTCCAGTAAGAGAAATCACCTCTGGGGATGACAAAATTCACAAGAAAGATGAGAGATAGATTGAAAAAATGACTTAGACAATTTGGCACTATGGTACATCAAAAAAAATGCCTACATGGTAGTTAGGCTGGTCCCAACGGTGCCAACACCCCTTGTTGACTTTGTTCAAGTCACTTTCTTGTCTAGAAACCACATCCCACATCCCTATTGAGTTATAGAAACCCAATCCTCTATAACAAAGAGGATGGGTCTGAGTGTGGTAGAGATAATGTTCTTTGCCCCACAGACCCATCCCACTTTCTTCCCTCCTGGACCCCTGCTGCCTTCTGAGGGAGTCAGGGATCAGATTGCACAGAAGCAGTTCTGGATGATGAAAAGTAAAAAGAGACGTGTGTGTCACTTCCAGGCTGAGGCCATGAGAAGCACCATGTGACCCTCCATTAGCACATGAGATGCAAACAGGCTGGATCCCTGAATCACTATGTAGAGCACAGCTGTCCTAACAAGTCACCCCCTTCACTTTGGGATTTGAGTGAGAGAAAATAAGTTCTCACAGCAATAAGCAATTGAGGTTTGGAGATTTATTTGTTATGGCAGCAAAACCTAGCTTATCCTGACTAACATACCAGAGATGGCAAACACATGACACACACACCATCACTAAGAGACTGGCAGCCATCCAGACATTACTAATCCATCTTGGCACATTTTCCTCCCATCTCAGACATGCTCCAGGCAGCCCATACCAATGGACTACCTAAGGACTGTAAGGTGGGTAAAGATCCCTCCAGCTCACAAGTTACCTACCACTCAGGTGGTTGAGCAATTTGACTGCCCCTCATTTGACACACAACGGTCAGGCTTGGGAGTCAAGGGGAAGCTGTCCCTCTGGAAGGATCTGACCTCGCCCCACCACTCACAATTCAGGATTGTCAAAGCCTCGTGTCTTCTCACCTCCTTCCATCACCTCCTTCCCTGCCATGCCCCAAGGGGCTGCTGGACAGAGGCTGCCCCCACCCCAGCCTCTGCCAACTCCCCACCCCTCATCGCCGATTCAGGAAGCCTCCAGGATTTTGGCATCAGTGACATTTTTCTCTGCCTTCTTGCTGTTCCGTAGTAGAGCCAAGTAGGAACTTGTTCCTCTGAAGACTTTGGAGAGGAGCTGCGCTGCCCCATGCTTTCTCATTCTTTCTCAGGGTGTGCCCCAGCCTCAGACCCATGAAAGGCAATTTCACTTTCGGTGGGGCTCCTTCCAGGAGGAACACTAGGACCCAAATGGGAGCAGATGTGTTGGCGGTCAGCTCCCTCCCCGAGCCAGAGCCGAGGGAAGGGCCGTCCTAGGACACAGGCTCCAAGCAGATGAACAGAGGCAACATGACTTTTTACAATGGGGCTTTGATCTACCTAATGTCACAAGACAGGCTGGGGACAAATGCCAGGCTCTGTGTGACTCCCGGTTCCCACAGGAGGTGCCCTGTGCAGGTATTCACACGGGGAGAGTCTTGGCAGGCCCGGCCCCTGGGTCTGTGCCCATCACAGACACAGCCACGGCAATCAGGTTTTGGAAAATCGTGGGTGAGGTTCCTTTGGCCGAGGCTCCAGCCTCCTGCCTGAAAATAGCATGGGGAGGGAGGGAGGGAGGCCGCCCCCAGTGGCAGTGGGCACCCTCCTGGTGTGAATGAGGGTGAGTGTGAGGAATTCCTGTGGTCGGGGCAGACGGCGGGGCACAAAGGCTAGGCTGGCGTCCTTGACAATACCCGCTCTGTCCCTGCAGTTGGTGACCTTCACCAAAGTGCTTCGTGAATGGGCCGTGGCTGCTCCCAGGTGTGTCCAAGCCGCCGGCGTTGGAAGCACATGAAGAGGCCGGGACCGTGGGGAGAGTTCACAGGACGTTTTGTAATTTGGGTGCCCATGAGGGCTGCCCTGGGGCTCGGGCCAGGCCGATGGAGGCTGCCAGGGGCCCATCCTTGGGCTGTCAGCATGCATTATCCCCACCTGTGCTCAGGAACAATGGCCACACCTGTAACTCGCTCCCATCCCCGGGTGGATGAAACGGCCTGTGCCTCCTGCCTGCAGCTCCGGTTTCCCTGCCGGGTGGCCCTCGGAAGGCTGCAGCAGGATGTACAGGCAGCCCAGAAAGATAGCGAATGGTAGGGACTGAGGGAGGTGGGGCGTGGCTCTCCGCAGGCCAGGAGTCTAGTTTAGACAAGGACGTCCCAAGGTTTCTCCCAGTCACTTTTACGAAGCATGCTACTCACACCAGGGTCCTGACTGCCCCGACTCCCTCTCTCACCCGTCTCTGAAACTCCAAAGCCTGGGGCCACCAGGAGCAAAATCTTGGCAACCTCCCTTTTTTCTCCATTTTTGCCTCTCAGCACAGTGAGGTTGGCCCCCTGATGTGTAGACACAGCTACATATTTAACACACTTAGATACCTTTTGCCAGGCATCAAGTATTTGTGTATTGTGCAAATACTCGTTTCAGCCTCACAACAACCCCAGGAGAAGCTGCTATCAGCATCGACTCCATTTCACATTTGGGGAAGCTGAGGTTCAGAAAGGTGAAATCACACAGCTGGTAACAGGCAGGCCTGGGCTGTGAACCCAGGCATCTGGCGTCCGAGACCTTGCCCACCCCCACCGCCTCCCACCTGCCCTGCTCCCGCCGACACCACAACCCAGGGCTCTTTGGTGACACCTGGAAGGGGTCCCCTGAGCACGTCTTTCATGCCCATGCCCTTCCTACGGCCCACATTCCTGGGGCTCGGACCAGGTCATCCTCATCGCTGTACCCCAGCCCCAGACCAGACGAGTGTTTGTTAACTTAAAGGGAACACAGCTGGGAGATCATAGGTGTCATTTCTGGAGCTTCCCCCTGGAGCAGGCATGCCTCAAACACTTCCATGGACGCCCTCATGTTCCTTTCCCAGCATCCCACAGAGAAGCATGAGCGCCATTCCCATTTCACAGGCGAGAAAACAGGATGAGAGCGATACGGTGCCCAGGCAAGCATCACCCAGCTCCTCGTCCGCAGCAGCCATGGGTTCCAGACTCAGCACCTCTTCTGCCTCCATCCTGAATGAAAAAGGGAGGGGCAGAAAGGAAAGGAGAAGGGGTGCGGGGTCATTCGGAGGCGGTAGAGACCTCATGCCACCTGCCAGTAGCAGCCCTACCTGACTCCAAGAGGACAAGGCCTGCACTGGTCCTCACCCACCTCGGGGCTGGCCAGCTTGCCATTTTTGATGACCCCACACTGAGGCCTTAGTCGAAGGTGGCATTTCCGGGTCTGGGGGTTATTTGTTGCAGTGATGGAGAGATAAACAATGAGTTCCAGAAGTCGGCTGGCCAAATCCCAGCCCCACACAATAAACCCCACCTGTGGTGTGCAGGCAGGACGTGAACAGGTGTGTCCTCACCAGAGAAGTATTTAGATACCAGAAAGCCAGCTTGCCTGTGGTGTGCAGGCAGGATATGAACAGGTGTGTCCTCACCAGAGGAGTATTTAGATACCAGAAAGCCAGCTTGCCTGTGGTGTGCAGGCAGATGTGAACAGGTGTGTCCTCACCAGAGAAGTATTTAGATACCAGAAAGCCAGCTTGCACAGCCACAACAGGCCCCTTATCCCAGGCAGGGGGGACAGGAAATGGATGGAAATTTGCATCCTTTTGAATGCATCCTCCGCTTAGTGGGACCAAAGAGACTACCTGAGCCTCAGCGTCAGCTGCGTGCGGACCGACCCCATGCGGACCGACCCCGTGCGGGCAGACGTCTGCTGGTGCCGGGCACTTGGCCAATAGGAGAGCCTCGGGAACGGAATAATGAAGAACTGATTTACCCAGCAGGGCCCTTTCTGTGTCTGGGAAGCTCTCGCACCTTCTTGGAGGGGGCAGGCGTGTTTCCTTGGGAGGAATGCCGTTACACAATCGGTCTGTCAAGAGTCTGCGTTCAGGAATCCAGGCGAGGTGGCTCCAGCTGCGGTCTGCTCCTTTGATTCACACACTCCCCACGGGCAGCCCCAGCCCCTTGGCTCCCTGCTGCCCTGTGAAACACACACCACCCGTGAGGGACCCCACGCAGGAACCAGGCTTGGGTCTGCAGCAGACAGAATGCAGCAGGACTCAGGCGGTGCACCCACGCCGTCTGGAGGCCTCAGAACTAGAATCTCACAAGAAGTCTGCCGGCAGATGCTCCTGCTCCTGCACACTGTACAGATGAGCACGCAGGGGCCAGTAAGGAGCACGCAGCCTCGTGGCCAGCAAGAAGCAGAGCAGAGACGTGGACCCAGGCCTGCAATCACCGATCACCCTGCACAGGTGCGATGTGCTGCAGAGTGTAGGTTAGGACATGGGGTGGAAAGTGTGTCTGGGGGCTAGACCCAGAAATAAGACCATTGAAAAGAAAGCTACATCAAAATAGCAAGAGAAGGGAGGCAACTTGGTGGGATGTTTACATGTTCAAGGAGGGCACTTCCGAGCACTCCATGCTGGGGACTAGGTCACTAGATCACAGAAGCTCCACTCAGCTCCCCCGTGGAACCACCTGGGAGGATCTGTAGAGAAGACTCCCACGTTATTCAGGAATAAGAAGAAATGAGCCGGCAAGCTGCAACAAGACATGGAGGAGTGTGAAGTGAAATCAACACTATCACGAGGTACAGGGACAGGTTGGAGAATTCCTCTCCATCAAAGTCTTAGGTAGAGTTAGCACTAAGAGGAATGCAACCCATTCATTTTACTGATGAGGAGACAGAAGGTCAAGGTGGACCACGGTGGGGTTTGACTCAACATTCTGGATTCCCCATCCCGATGGTTCCTTCTGTATCACAGATCCTAGCTTATAAATACAAAGTCCAGTTTTTCAAAAAGGCATGTAATTAAAAAAAAAATCCCAACTCTCAGGTGTCTGATCCCCAATTCATCATTTCTTCCTGTGAGCCGAGAAAGAAGCCAATCTGAAAAGGCTCCCCACCGCATGGTTTCCACTCTGTGATGTTCTAGAAAGGGCCAAACCGTGGAGACAGTAAAGACAGCAATGGTTGCCAGGGGTTAGAAGGGAGGGAGGAACAGGAGGAGCATCAAGGGTCTCTAGGGCAGTGGAGGTCTTCTGTTTGATACTATCATGGTGGATGGATGTCATTATGCATTTTTCAAAACCCACGGATTGTACAACACAAAGAGTGAACTCTAACCTAAATATGGATTTTAGTGATTATCCTAGTAAAAAAATTAGGACTCAGTAATGTATCAATACTGGCTCATCGATTGTAACAAGCATACCACACCAATGCAGGATGTTAGTAATAGGGGAAACAGAGAGGGTGGGAGGTATATGGAACTCTATGTACGATCTGTTCAATCACTCTGTAAATAAAAAATATTTAAATAATTTTTTAAAAAATATCCACAAGGTCCACATCAGGGCTGAGTACCGTCCAGGACTTACCTTGGGCTGAGTCTCGATCCCAAAGCTCTCTCCCAGACCCTAGTGAAGAGGAAAGAGTGAATGTATGAGCAGGCCTGGGTCCCAGACTGTCTTGCTGGCTGCTGTAGTCACAGTACCTAACAAGGGGCTAGTATACAGTACGTTCTCAATAAATATGTGTTAAATTTATGAATGTTTGGGGCATTAGAAACCCAGGTACCACCTGGGATGAGGAAGTGAGGTTCCAGAGGAGTGGGGAGAAAAATATCAGGGTCATGATGGGCATTTTGGCCTCCTTGAGGGGACCCAGAGGAGGAAGGAGCTGGTGCTCCTTTCCCCATAGAGTGGGGAGAAGCTCCCCCTAGGTCTGCCAAAGGCATCTCGGCACACAGGAAGAAATGAGGAATCAGGGGTCAGACACCTGAGTGTTGGGACTTTTTTTTAATTACATGCCTTTTTGAAAAATTGGACTTTGTATTGTAAGCTAGGATCTGTGATACAGAAGGAACTATCAGGATGGGGAATCCAGAATGTTGAGTGAAACCCCACCATGGTCCACCTTGACCTTCTGTCTCCTCATCAGTAAAATGAATGGGTTGCATTCCTCTTAGTGCTAACTCTACTGGTCTAAGACTTTGATAGAAAGGAATTCTCCAGCCTGTCCCTGTACCTTGTGATAGTGTTGACTGCAACCTTCAGAACAGAACATCTCCACTACCTTGCTTAAAATAGAAAAAGAAGCCATTTCTTTAGGTTTTATACATGGAACTCTGACTTCTTCCTTGGATGTTTCGTGTGTTGGAAGCCACTCCCTTCCCACTCTCACCTAAAGACCTCACAAGCTTAAGAAAACAATAAAAAAGCAAATAAATAAATAACTAATAGCAATTGATTGTGTTCAATTCCAGAAGGTCAAGAAATAGAAGAATCTAGTAAATTACAAGTAATAAACAAACACAGCAACATGCCTGGCACTGCACAACATGAAAGGTACACAGTGTTGAATTAAGACACAATCTTGGCCGGGCATGGTGGCTCACGCCTGTAATCCCAACACTTGAGAGGCCAGAGGATCACCTGAGGTCAGGAGTTTGAGACCAGCCTGGCCAACATGGTGAAACCCCTTCTCTACTAAAAATACAAAAATTAGCCAGGCGTGGTGGCGCATGCCTGTAATCCCAGCTACTCGGGAGGCTGAGGCAGGAGAATCCCTTGAACCCAGGAGGAGGAGGTTGCAGTGAGTCAAGATTGCACCACTGCACTCCAGCCTGGCAGCAGAGCTAGACTCCGTCTCGGGAAAAAAAAAGAAGAAGAAGAAGAAGACATACCATATCTCTTTCTCTCTCTTTCTCTCTTTCTCTCTTTCTCTCTTCCCACCATGTGAAGACACAGCAGAAAGACACCCATCTCCAAGCCAGGAAGAGAGGACTCACAAGAACCCAACCCTGGCCAGGCTCAGATGTCAGGAGTTCGAGACCAGCCTGGCCAACATAGCAAAACCCCATCTCTACTAAAAATACACACACACACACAAAATTAGCCAGGCATGGTGGCAGGCACCTGTAATCCCAGCTACCTAGGAGGCTGAGGCAGGACAATCACTTGAACCCAGGAGGCAGAGGTTGCAGTGAGTCAAGATCTCACCACGGCACTCCAGCCTGGGTGACAGAGCAAGACTGTCTCAAAAAAAAAAAAAAGAGAGAGAGAGAAAATAGAAACCAACCCTAATCACACATTGATCTTGGACTTTTAGCCTCCAGAACGAGCAAAAATAAATGTCTGTTGTTTAAAGCCCCTGGTCTATGGTCTTCTTTGTAGCAGCCCCAACAGACTAATATTAAGTGGTTTCTAGGAGTTGAGGGTGGGAATGAGGCACCCTCAGGGGTGATGGAAACATTCTGTATCTTGACTGTGCAGGTAATTAAACAACTGTGTGTGTTTGTCAGAACTCACAGAAGTATACACTCAAAAGCATTAACTTGACAGGATATAAATTATACCTCAATAAAGTAGCAAAAAACTACACATTACTTACAGGGAGACAAAGATAAGAATGATGAAGACATCTCATCAGAAACAATACAAGCCAGAAGAAACCAGTGTGCGGCGGGAGCTGCGCGGCAGAAAAAAGACCCGCCACCTGTTGGGCTGGGGTGTAGGGAAGCGTCACGGAGCAGGTGCCCTTGAGCTCAGACTCCAAGGGGGAGAACAGGCAAGGTAGCCAGAAAGAGCATTTTAGGAAGAGGGAGGCAGTAGCCTGGACCTCAGCTCACAGCTTGGAGGGGAGGGGAAGTTCAGCCTGCAAGGTGGGCTCAGGCTGGAAACACAAGCTGGGACTAGACACAGAAGAGCCTCCAACTCCAGGCCGCAGACGTTGAATTTTACTCTGGAAGTCGCTGAGGTACAGCAACATGGACAAGAGGCAGCAGCAACATTTTCCCCTTGCCATGCAGATGCCAAGCATATGTAGTGGCATTCTGCTGGCCCTAACCCAGCTTGGCACCTAATTTTAGCCCCCAAACTGTTAGATGTTGCAAAGCATCCATTCTGGGGCTGCCGTGGGCCAATGTCAGAGAGCTGGGAGCATAGGAACCGTTGAGATAAGCTCCCAGGCCAGGAACAAGCACTTCACCTTCTCCAGCCACATCACGAGGCCCTCCCTGGCCTGCCTGGCCCCCACCTCCTGACCTCATCAGCTCTCGGTTGCACTCACTCTGCTGCAGCCACACTGATCCCCTTGCTGCTCCTCCAACACACCAAGCAAACTCCTGCCTCAGGGCCTTTGCACACACTGTGGCTGCCGTAGCCAGGAGCACTCCTCCCCAGGTACCAACAGGGCTCACTCTCAGACATTTCTCAGGGATCTATTCAAATGCCCCTTGTCAGTACAGCACGCCCTGACACCATGACTCAGACAGCCCCCACACCCACCCCCAGACACCCCCAGCCCCTCATCCTAGTTAATCTCTCTTCCTAGCACTCACTTCTTTGTTTCTCCAGGACAGTGGGCCCTGAGTGAATATCTACTGAATGAGTAGGGGACACCTTCTGGAAACTCCTTTCACCCAAACTCTGGCTCTGATGGAAACTACTCGTGGCAGCCAGATGGGTGTCAAGGTGGGTGGTGCAGAGGAGGAAAGTCCAGGGATTGGGGATGAGATCCAAGAGGAGTCACAGCCTGCAGGGCTGGAAGCTGCAGTTGCCCAGTGTAGGAGATCCTCCCTCCTGGGTCACAGCTGTAAAATGAGGATGCCAGAGACTCTTGCCCTACAGCCCAGAGGGCCCATCAGATTGTAACTCATCCTGTGTCTGCTCAGTAACATGTAAAAAGTCTGTATTAGTCTGTTTTCACATTACTATAAAGAACTTCCCGAGACTGGGTAATTTATGAAGAAAAAAGCTTAATTGACTCATAGTTCTGCATGGTTGGGGAGGCCTCAGGAAACTTACAATCATGGCAGAAGGTGAAGGGGAGGCAAAGACCTTCTTCACATGGCAGCAGGAAAGAGAGAGCTAGCAAGAGCAGGGAAGACTGCCTTATAAAACCATCAGAGCTCATGAGAACGCACTCACTATCACAAGAACGGCATGGGGGAAACTGCCTTCACGATCCAATCACCTCCCACCTGGTCCCTCCCTCGACACATGGGGATTATAATTCCAGATGAAAGTTGGGTGGGGACACAGAGCCAAATCATATCAAAGTCCGTACTGCATAGCAGGTCCTATACATGGTACTGGGGTTACACCGTGAGCAAGACAGACATATTTACTGCCCTGTCTACACTAACACTTCACCCCAAGCACATAGTCCAGTAGTGGGGACATATAGTCAGCTGGACCATCACAATATTGACTAATAACAGGTGCAGTGCAGGGCAAGTTCAGGGCTTGGGGATCCTATAAAGGCAGGCAGCCCGGCCTGATACAGGGAGGTGGTCAAGGATAGCTTCCTGGAGTGAACGACCCCCTGTACAGAGTGACCTTCATTAAACAAAAGCTTATCATGCATCAGCTTGCCATGGCTCCACAGGGCCCAGAGGCTGAGGGGTGAGGTCCCCAACTCAGCAGGGAAGGCCCTCCCAAGCTACATCCCTTCCACCTCACCCCCATGGGGACTGCACCAGGGCATCGCCAGGTTTCCCTCCATGCCCCATGTATCAGTTATTCATTGCTGTGTAACAAATTCCCCCATCATGGAGGGTTAAACAATAGACATTTGCTACTCTCACAGTTTCTGTGGATCACAGGGCTGGGCTAGGCAGTGCTGGCTGAGGGTCTCTCATGAAGATACAAGCAGATGTCAGCTGGAGGGGTAGTCCTCTGGAGGTTTGACCAGGCCAGAGGATCTGCTTCCAAAGCAGCTCCCTCATGGCTAGTGAGTGCTGGCTGCTGGTAGGAATCCTCAGTTCCCCGCCAATGTGCCTCTTGAGTGTCCTGATGTCATAGCAGCTGGTTTCCCTCAGAGAGAGGGATTCATGAGGCCAAAGCAGAAGCTTAATGCCTTTTATGGCCTAGACACATGCTGTCACCTCTGCTGCACTGACTCCATCATACAGACCAACCTGGGCTCAAGGTGGAAGGACACCACACAAGGGTGTGAATGCCAACAGGTGACCAACATGGACTTGGAGCTGACTGCCACATACTTCATCTGTCCCTAGAGGCTGAGCAGAGCTGTCTCCCTTGGCCTGCTGCTCTGTGAATTCCTCCTGGGTCTATCTCAGGATGAGTTAGGAGCTCCCTGGGGTTCCCATTTCACTGGCCTCAACCAAACCATGGACCCTGTCCTGTTGCAATTGTTTCTCCCCTGATCTTTCTTCAGAATGGCACTAAGACTCAGAGTAAAGACCATGTCTGACTCACCTATGTCCCCAACACTCAGCAGCCAGAGCATGTTTCAGCACAATGTGTGGTTCAATGAGCATCAGTTGAGTGGGGGGATGGATGGATGGATGGGTGGATGGATGGATGGATGGATGGGTGGGTGGGTGGATGGATGGATGGATGGATGGATGGGTGGATGGATGGATGGATGGGTGGGTGGATGGATGGTTGGATGGATGGGTGGATGGATGGATGGGTGGGTCAATGGGCAAGTGAATGGATGACTGAATGGATGGGTAGATGAATGGTTGGATGAGTAGATGAATGGTTGGATGGATGAGTGAATGGGTGAATGTGTGAGTGGGTAGATGGATGCCTAAGTCAGTGAACGGATAGGTGATTGAATAAAAAGATGCATGAATGGACAGACTAAAAAAGGGCTTTTCCCATATTTCTCCTGCAAGGTAATTGCTTGGGATTCTTAGAAATTTTAAGCCAAGAGAGACCTTGAAATTCATCTACAGACACATCCCCAGATCCAGCAATGCCATCATGTATGAACAGGCCTGATTCCAAGAGTTGGTAAAAAGAGTTTCTTTCTCTCCCCATGATCCATCTCCTGGCAGCAATGCCCCCACCTCCTTCTCACATGTGGGCACACATGCATGTGTGCACATGGGGACACACCACAAGGATGCTCACATGCCCCAGACATCAGGACACTGCTGTCATAAAGCAGCCTGCATACCCCCATGTTAGCCTCACTGGGGCTAGTAGTGCCACACAAGGCCAGCTTCCCCTGGCATCTTGTCCTGAGCTGGGAAAGGGCAAGGCCTGGAGATCCCCAGGGAAGTGGGAGGGGAGGATATCCCTGGCCCTTCTCACCTGACCACCTGCTCTGCCATCTGGTCTGACCCAGCTCTCACAGAGCCCTTCCCCCACCCCTCTGCCTCCCTCTGTTCCTCTCCCCAGAGGCCTCTGTGTGGACCCCAGATCCCCACAAACCCTGTGACTAGGGAATTCAATACTTGCAACAGCTTTTGTTCCTTTTAGGAGGATGGGAAATATTCTTTCAAGCAGACCCCCTTACGGGAAGTGCAATAATACACAGCCTCGGCCTTGCTTCCTGCTTTCACCCAAGGTCTTGAGTGAAAGCAGGAAGCAAGCAGCTCATTTCTGAACAAATGGTGAGGCTGGGAACTGGAGTGGTCTGGACTTTGGGGGCCTAAACGTTATGCAATCTGGAGGGCTTATTTAAGAAAAATAACACCAAATTAACAGCTACAAAGTGCAAAAAAAAAAAAATCATTTAGAATGAGAAAGAAATGACAAATTTGTAAAAAGCTGAACAAACCATAAGTATCAAATCAGAAAAATAGCATATGATTCCACAAGTAAGTAACTGCCTCGGCCACCTCTATAATACCCTTTTCCTACATTTTTTTTGGCTGCATATTCTTTGATTGCTTATTTGTATGACAATGATTTCGTAATATGATTTTCCACAGAGCGAATAAAAAATGCTTCAGTCTGTCCTCCAGCACATGTTTTTTGTTTGTTTGTTTTGTTTAAAAGCAGTTTGTTTACTTTTGATGTCTTAGGGAAATTTCTTTCAATTACATGTGTTGTTATTGGCAAGGCCGTATCTGAAATGTCCTCTACAATTTCTTGCCTGGGCAGGGTATCTGTAAGAGACACCAGTTCTTTGACATCATTCACCCTCCTGATGACCACAGTTGGGCAACCAAGCCAACTGAGCCAGGCCCTCATTCCCTCTGGTCCTGGAGGGAAGAGATGGCCATAAAGCCTGGGCACCATGGCCCTGAGCAGGAAGCGCAGCAGCGACTGCTTCATCTTCCTCCTTGGAGCCAAGAGAGAGAGTCAGTGATCCATGAGGTCCACCTACCAGGTTGCCACAGCCCACAGTCCCACTCACAGTCAAGGAGCATCCTTCAGCGTAGGGGCAGGGAAGCCCACGCTGAACTGTGGGATGGGCCCATGCAAATGAAGGGCCTGGAGCTTCAGCGTCATTATCTTCATTGACACCCTGGTGGTGCCTCCTACAAATGCCCAGAGGCTCAGCCCCCAAAGACTCCTCCAGTTTTCCCTTCCCACAGCCTGGCCACCAGATGAGGTCAGAGAGGCAGGCACATGCCTGACACCCAAGGCTGGGCTGAATGTTCTGCTGGAAAGAGAACAGAGGGTGAACAGAGGACAGGCATCCAGGTGAGGGTTGTGGCCATGCCCACAGGCCCCTGAATTTTGAAGAAAATCATTCACAGCCCTAATTTAGGCCTTCAAAACCTGCAATTCCAGACATTCCCATGCGGAGGTGCTCAGTCCAATGGTTGAGGACATAGAGACCTCATTGCAATGCAAGTGTTTCTCCTGGGTCTTTAAGAGAATCTGAGTCGGGCAGGGGCAACCCCACTCCCAGCAGCCTTTGCTAAGCACCAGGGAGGGTATTTATACCAGCTGTGGGAATTGGTAAACGCCCCAATTTTATGGATGTGGGAGAAGCTGCCCATCCCTAAGCTCCCTAACTCAGCCCCCTGCCCTGCCCCCACCACACACACACACTGATCCCACAAATTCTGCCACCACTGGGAAAAGCCAAATGTCTGGGCCAAACTGAGGTTGAACTTTACTCCCAAGGAAAGACTATTGCCCTGGAAGGATGAGAACGGGGCTGAGGAGATCACCACAAGGGGGCAGAGGGCTCAGCTTTGCTTAGACACAAACTTGCCCTGTACTTCTGGAAAGTTCTCTACTACCCCAAGCCTTGATTTCTTCATCTGTAAAATGAGTGTGCAAGAAGACAACATCTCTGGATTGTGCCCAGATCCATGGAGCTACGACAAAGCCAGTCTTAACAAAAACACAGCCAGGATCACCTGTGTCAGCAACCAGCAGGTGCATGCTCCCCCAGCCTTGGACTCAGGCCACTCCTTTGGGCTGAGATTCCAAAACTCTGCCCCTGGTTTACCTCATCCTTATTCGGCACCCAAAACTTGGTCTGTTCTCGCCATACCACTTGCTGTGCCCCGGGCAGGTTATGGGCTAGCTTGATTCCAGAGGCCTGTTCACTGTTTCCACCCACGGGAAATGCTCTAAGCCTCACCCCCCATCCCCCTGGGCTTGCACACAGGCCCCTTTCTCTAGGAGGCCTTTCTTTGCAACCGTGCCCAAAGAGATCCTGACCCTCAGTTTCCTCTGCTGTAAAATGGGGACATTTGGAAGAACTGGGCTTATGTCATCTCATGCCATCCTACATCGAAGAGGTGACAAGATATTTACCATATTTTGTTTTCCTTTTTTTTTTTTTCTTTTTTTTTTTTTTGAGAAGGAGTCCTACTCTGTCACCAGGCTGGAGTGCAGTGGCGCGATCTCGGCTCACTGCAACCTCCACCTCCCGGGCTCAACCGATTCTCCTGCCTCAGCCTCCCGAGTAGCTGGGATTACAGACACACGTCACCACGCCCAGCTAATTTTTGTATTTTTAGTAGAGACAGGGTTTTACCATGTTGGCCAGGATGGTCTCGATCTCCTGACCTCGTGATCCGCCTGCCTCGGGCCTCCCAAAGTGCTGGGATTACAGGCGTAAGCCACTGCGCCTGGCCTGTTTTCCTCTTTTAACAATAGGTACAAGCTGCCAAATGATCCCAGAGCCCACCTGCCTCCTATAGCAGCACATGAAAGGAGCTTTGTCAATGTCAGTCGGGCCTGCCTCTGAACCCTGTTTCTGACCAGCAGTCTTCCTTGTCCCCACTGTCGCAGTGTCCCAGGATGGGGCTGACACACCTCTCATGCCTGAGCCTCGGTGTTGTCATGACCATGTCATCTCTACCACTTAGTGCTGGGCCATCGGGGACAGGGCTTGCCTTTGCACATCCACAGTGCCTCTCAGGGGTTCACTTCGCTGGTGGGGAGATTCTTGAGGATTAAAATGCTCCGTTCCCCCAGTGTTTGATTGGAAAACCCAACAGAGGTGTTCGTCCCCTCCTGATTTCTCTGGACAGATGAAAAATGTGGGTGGTTTCCAGGGGTAACCTAAGCCGGCAGAGGGTGGGCAGGAGGGGTGGGCAAGGAGCGGATCAAGTGACCTATGAAAGGGGACCCTCGCCATCCACCCACCTCCAGACTGGCTGGGGAGGTTTTCTGTGGGATGGGAGAAGAGTCCAGATGTGGCCAAAAGGACTTACTGCCTTTGATATTCTATGCCCTGCTCATGCTCAGTTTCCCCTTTTGCCCTATTTCAGCCTTACACCAGGCAGAAGGCTGTGAGTGTTTTCTCTTAAAAAAAAAATAATCATCACAAACCTCTTTCGATTATGCTCATTCTGTTACCATTGAAGATGTGGGAAGAGGTGTACAAGGCTTTTCTTTTTTTTGCTTTTTTTAACAATAGGTACAAGCTGTCAACTCATTCTAGGGAAACCCCACCTCCTACAGTTTCTGGAAAAGACACTTTAATGTCAAAAGGGAAAATGAGCCTTCTGATGTGGTTGCTTAAATAGCCCCTGACCAATCTAATTTGAATACAAAATGGCCTATATCAATTCATTTATTTTTGCAAAGAAGGAAGAACTCTTCCCAGGAAGCTGGAGGTCTCCATCTCAACCCACAGGGTCAGTTCAGAATCATCCTCCTTCCCCACAGCTGCAGCTGTGATGGGAAAAGGAAGGCTGGCCAGGAGCCAGAGAGTCGTGCTTCAACCTCTGGTGGCCGTGGGAGTGGACTCAAGTACTTCACCTCCCCTCGTGGAAGCTCAATACCCTCATCTATAAAATGGAAGCATCCCTGCTGACTGCAGAGGACGGATTTGCAATGATGACACATCCTCTAGAGAGACATATCCTCTGAAGTCCTGAAAAAATGTGACACAGAACATATTGTGGCAATTTTGACTTAGAGGAAAGTTTAAGTCACCATCAAAATTCTGCATGGATGTTGTCAGGCTGAATAAAAGATCAACACCCAGCTATGTGCTGTATACAAGAAATCCACTTTAAATACACATATACACATAGGTTAAAGTAAAAGGACGGAAAAAGATATAAAGAGGGATGTTTCATAATGCTAAAGTCACTTAACCAAGATATAACCATTCTAAATGTGTACGCAATGAATAAGAGTGTTTCAAAACACACTAAGCAAAAACAGACAAAACTGAAAAAAGAAATGTAAAAATCCACAATTTTAGGCAAAGATTTTAACACTTCTCTCTCACTAACTGGCAGAACAACTCCACAGAAAATTAAGAGGAACACAGACAACTTAACACAATCAACCAACTTGACCAAAGCAAACTCCTAGAAAGGAAAGCAAGCCGATAAAAGACATTGTGGCTTCTGTCTTATTCTCTCTTGAATCATTCATTCTTGGGGAAGCCTCCATCATGTCATGAGAGCACTCAAGCAGCCCTCTAAACAGGCCCATCTGGGAAAGAACTATTACTTTTAGATGTCTGCAGCCCAACACTTTGATTGTAAACTTATTATGAGAGACCTTGATCCAGGGGTGCCCAGCTCAGCTTCTACCAAATTTCTGACCCACAGAACACTGCGTGAGATAATATGCTTATTGTTTCAAGCCACTAAGTTTTGGGGTAAATATTTATGTAGCATAAGATGATCAATACAAAGGGGACAGGAAAAATATCTGAAGAAACAATGGTTGAAAATTTTCCAAATATAATGTAAACTCTAAACCCACAGACCCAAGAAGCCTAAGGAATCCCACGCAGGATAAAAGGTAAAGACAACTACACCAAGGCATATTGTAATCAAACAAGTGATAAAGAGAAAATCTTGAAAGCAGCCAGAGAAAAAGACACATTATACACAGAGGGAAAAAGACAAGAACAGTAACAATTTTCATGTATGGTGCAGCATATAGTCCATCATAATGAATATGAAAAAAGTGTGTATTCTCTCCTTGGGGATGTTGATTTTTATAAGTATCAATTCAACAAAGGCAGTTAATAGGATACTTATGCTTAGCTTTTCCATGTCTTCTCTCAGTTTCTGTCTAGTTGTTCTATCAATTGCTGACAGATAGGTACTAAAATTTCCAATCATATTTGTGGATATTTTTTCACCCTGCAATTTTGTCAAATTTTGCTTCATTCATGTTGAAGATCCATTAACAGATATATATATATAGCCTATTGTATCTTCCTTATGAATGTCCCTTTGCTATTAAGTAATTTATTACATGTGTTATTATGTTTTTTATGAAATGTTCCTCTTTATACCAGTTATTGCACCTTGCCTAGAAGTTTATTTTATCTGATTTAATATAACCCCTTCAACCAACCTTCTTATGCTTATCGTTTGTATGGTATATCATTTTCCACCTATTTACTTTCAATCTATCTGTGTCTTTATACTTAAAATGTGTCTCTTGTTGACAGCAGGTTGAGTCTTCTTCCTCTCTCTCTCTCTCTCAGAATGTTAAATTTTTTAGCATAATTTTATATATAGTTGAATTTAGGTCCATTTGTCTTCTCTTTTATATTCCCCTATGTTTATCCTTTCCTTTTTTTTGTTCCATTTGGTCCTTAATAGAATATTTTTTGAAATTCTATTTCTCTGTTGACTTAATTAACTATGTCTATTTGCCATTATTTACCAGTGAATTATTTTCTTGTAAGAAAATCTAAGTAGATTCAATTACATTCTAATTCATCAACAATCATAAAAAGTAACTTTAAAAAGATAACACTTAAAATAGCATTAAATAAAGAGCGGCACCTAGGAAGAAGTCTAACAAAAGACATGCAAGACCTATGGAGAAAATTCTAAATCTTCATGGAAAGACACAAAGGAAGCATTAAATAAATTAAGAGATATGTCATGCTCCTGAGTAGAACTCAGTATGGTAAAGATGACAATTCTACTCCAGTTAATGTATGAATTAAGGCAAGTCTAACCAAAATTCCAACAGATTATTTCATAAAACTTAACAAGGTAATCCTAAAATTTATGTGAATGATTAAGGTGCTAAAAACAGGAAGAAGGTCTTGAAAAAGGAAGACGAGGAAAAGAAGGTAGGGAAGGAAGGAACGAGTGAGAAAGAGTCATACCAAAGATAAAGATTAACAGTAAAACTATCATAATTAAAATTGTGTGGTATTAGTGCATGAATAAATAGATTGATGGGACAAAATAGAGAGGAATTTTATGGAAACAATATATAAGAATATATCTGTAGAAAAAAAAGAAAAAGAATTCAATACATGGATTGGGGACAAATGGCTTTACAAAGGAAAACAAGATAAAAATATATCCTTTCCTTACACCTACAAAAAGAAATAAATTTCAGTTGAGCCAAAGACCAAACTGTACACGGAAAATCTATACAATTTGAAAATAAATTCTGATAGAATGCCTTTCTGACACCAAGATAAGAAATTATGTATTAAACTAACACAAAAAGTACAATCAAAACAAGATTTAATTTAACTGTATCAAATGTAAAAAAAAAAAAACACACAACAAAAAAAACTTTAGTATGACCAAAGATACTGTGGGAAAAATGAAGAGAACAGGCACAAAGAAGAAGATATATGCAATACTTATAATTGACAAAGGATTTGTATTAGAATATATTAAAAATGTCTACAAATTTTAAAACCATGGTCAAAGGATACAACGAGTCAAAATATAGCGAAAGAAACCAGAATAGACACTACAACCAACCTCAATGATGATGAAGGAAATGGGAATGAAAGCAGTAAGCGATGCCCCATCATATCCGTCAGACTGGCAAAAAAGAGAAGCTTCATAGTGTTAAATATACACAGCGATTGTAGAATAGGAATTCTCGCACATTGCTTCACATCTGTGTTTGGGACAGGAGGAGCCCAGAAAGGACAGGCTGAAAAACATCGTTTTTTTAGCTAGATCATCGATTGCCCAAACCTTGGTTTTGACAGTAAGAAAGACAGGGGACTGGGACTCTGCCACACTCCAAGACACTCTTTCTACTGGACTAGTCCACAGCCAGAGACTCGGGGCTCAAAGGCATCTGCTGAAATCACTGATCCTTTTGCCCTTGGTCCCCATACCAGCCAGAGCCACTATCCCTGGCAGACGCAGCCCCCAGACTTTTAGCAGTCTGCAGACCAGTGAACTCCAGACTGCAGAACACTAATTCTCTTCCCCAACACCCCAACACCCAACAGCCTCTCCTGGGAGAAATCCAGGAAAGCATCAGGAGCCCATAGGAACTGCACATAAATGGGAGGCATGGTGATGACCACAGGGTTACAGGATAAAAATCTCTATGGGAAGAGGTTACAGAACAGAGAAAGGCAATGGGTCTCTCAGGGCCAGGTTCCAGCCTCTGAGCCACCACCTGCCACTGTGAATTTCGGAATGTGGGACAAACGCAATGCCCTTGGTTAGAGATCACAGCCAGTGTCAGTTCTGGCTACCCAGCATCCCTTCCCACCTCTTCTGGGAACCGTAACCCAACTTTCCTATAAGGAGGACTCCTCCTGGCCAGGATCCATTTCAAGAGTGGCTTCACCCACTGGGCCAAAAGTGGGCCATGTGACCCAAGCCTAGCCAATCAGACCCAGGCCTCAGTGATTGGTCAGGGACTGTCATGTGCCCCAACCACAGCCAATGAGACTCTTGTTGGGGAATGCTGGGAAAGACTCCTGCTGCTTCCTACTAGACGTGAGGCTTGCACTGCTCCCGCCATGGTACGAATGCAGGGGGGAAGCTGGGGAGGGGTCAGCAGAGCCCTGGAGGGTGTGGCCAGAGGGGGAGAGGGCACCAGCGTCCTAGGGCCTGTGGGGCCTGAACCAGGCCCCTCCCTACCACCCCCACCCCCCCCCCTTCCTCCTGCCCTTCGTGTTCACCATCCAATACATTGTGGCTGAATCCACTTCAAGTTGGGGTTTTTTTGGGGGTTTTTTTTGGTTGGGTTTTTTTTTTTTTTTTTGCCTCTCACAAAGGAGAATCCCAGATACCTAGAGGCCAGAGGTCCAGGGCGATGGGTGGGCTGTGTCGGGGCCCGGCCCAGCCTGGCCTTCCGACAGCATCCAGGCAGGCCCTCTTTCCCTCCACCGTCTTGGATGGGCTTAATTTATTGTAGGAAACCCTTGAAGGCGCAGGAGCTTTTGGAGAGCCGGGGACAATAGGCATAAAGCATGCATTTAAGCCGTCTGAATGGAGGCTAGATTTACTGTCTGGGCCAGACGGGATTTTTGTCCCCAAGTCATCTCGGAGTACATTGGCCACTAAAGATCTCAACAGAAGACGAAGACGGAACAAAAGAAGTAAATTTTAAAAGGAACTTTGTCAAGGAGTTTTAGATGTTCACCAGATAGAAAACCGCGGCTGCCCTCACCGAAATGACTTTTGGATTTGCCCAGTGGTTATGGATCAGAGGAAGATGCTAATGAAGTCGTTTAAATGCACGTTTGATGGACCCCAGAGAATGGGACCAATTTCATACAAGCCCACAGCAAGGTTAAGGAATGAAAGAAGGTGGCCGTTAGAGTTGCTGCCGGGGACAAGGCTCCATTGTCGGGGCTGCCTTTTTCAGCCGTGAAGCGTGAAGCGTGTTTTGAACTACAGTGTTTACCAACGTGTACATCCTAGTCTGGCCGACCGGGCCTGCAGAATTTATGACCAGGAACAAACCTCTTAGAGGGGAAAAGAAAACAGCTCTTACCAGCTGGGAAAGGTCTGTGGAGGGCCCTGCGTACTGCATTAAGCACTCTGGGCCCAGCCAGGCTCCATGGGGGGTGGGCGGCATTGGCAAAGCTGGGGCCTGGCATTGCAGATGGAAGGAGTCTTCTCTTTTGAGAAGAACTCAAAGGGGGAATGGGGCCTGCTTGCCCTCCAAGCTTCTTGATCGGTTTCAGTGTATCAGCATCTGGGCCTCTCTCAGCAAAGTCCACCTGTGAGCCTGGGCACTGCAGGTTGCAGGCTGGAGTTTCTAAGAAAGTTTTGGCACCCAGTTTGGATAATGGGGCCACTGTTGAGGGAACTGATGTTCGTGAGCTGACAACCCCCCGCCCGCCGGCCTGAGGATGGGGTTCCCTCTCTAAACCCCCATGTCGGCAGCCGCTGACCTTCATGTTCACTCAAGGCCCTTGACTGAAGGCCCCCATCTGCCACTTGGTTGCCCAAGTTCTATGTTCCGTATGCGCTGGCCCATGCATGGCTCCCCTTCCCTCAGGCAGACCCTGGTGCTACCATCCTGGCCTTGGCGAGCACCTGCCCTCCTCCGCATGACCTGTCCCACTTGTAACGTCATTACCAAGCTCCGTGATAGCTGCTGTCTGCCCAGACTGCGCCTCTGCTCTTTTCTCCCAGCCTCTATCCAAGTAGCCCCCTCTGCCTGGAACAGTGCTACTCAAAGTGTGGTCCCCAAACCAGCAGTGTCAAGGTTGCTGGGAACTGGGGAGACATACATATTCCCAGGCCCCACCTCACACTGACTGAATCAGAACCGCTGGGGGTGGGGGCTCAAGGATGTATTTCAAGCGCTCCAGATGACTCTTCTAGACACTAAGGTTTCAGAGCCACTGTCCCCAGACAGGGTGCCCCTCCTGCTCTGCCTGGTGACTATCTGTCTGCCTCTCTCTATCTCTCTGTTTGTAGGAGCTCAGATCATGCCCTGGAGAAGCAGGTGACATCGCGGAATTTTCCTGGTGAGAGCAGGCAAGAGGAGGAGCCCCTCCATCCTCCCACCTGGGTCTGGGGCTCAGAATCTTCCCTGCTTTCTTGTTGAGTGGCTGGAAACTCCGGGAGTTGTGGCAGGCCAGGAGGCCGGCTTATCCCCAGGAGGGGGCTTTGGAGGCTAGATTCATATCCTAGGGCTGTTCTAACAAAAATGATCAAAAACCAGGTGGCTTAGAACAACAATAATTCATTCTCTTGCAGTTCCAGATGCCAGAAGTCTGAAATGAAGGTGTAAAGCAGGGTGGTTCCTTCTGGAGGCTCTGAGAGAATCACCCCAGGCCTCTCTCCAGCTTCTGGTGCTGGTATTCTCAGGCTTGTAGGCGCATCACCCATGTCTGCCTCCATCTTCACATGGCCTTCTCCTCTGTGTCTGCCTGAAGTCTCCCTTCATTTCTCTTGTAAGGACATCAGTCATTGGATTTAGAGCCCACCCTAAACCCAGAATGATCTCATCTCAAGATTACATCTGCACAGACGCTATTTCCAGATAAGGTCACAGTCAAAGGTACCAGGGGTTAGGATATGAACATATCTTTTTGAAAGACACGATTTAACCTACAGCAGGTGCTCAGGGCAGTTGGGTGGGGGCCTGTGCTAGGGGCCCAACAGCCAAGGCTTAAAGCCGCACTCCACACCTAGGCCTGTGACACCTCCCACAAGCTTCTTCACCTCTCAAGCCTCAACTTCTACTTCTGCAAACAGGGAACAATAAAAGTATCTCCCTGCCCCCACCTTGCAGGGTTTCCAGTTCCAATGTCTACACACTCACCTGGGAGTTATCTGAAATTGTTGTTCACCTGCTTAAACCTTTTGAGTTTCCAGCACCCCCCAGAAGTCCCCACCCTCTAGTCCCTTAGCAAGATACTGGCCCTGCGTGAGCTTCCCACCTTCCTTGACAGCTGCATCTCTCATCATTAGGACCTGGGCAACACTGCAGAATATGGCAGGTCTTCCCTCATCTCTGTGCTTTGCCTCCATTCCCTGACTTCTCTCCCATCCTCCTCCTGTCACCTGGCCTCTCCCCATCCTACTGGCCTTAAAGCTCAGCTCCTGAAGCCTCCCTGATGCTCCTCCCTTCATAGCCCCTCCCAGCCTGGCCACGTGGGCTCGGGCAGCCCAGAGCCTGGGCCTCCTGGTCACACTCTGAGCACACAGCCCATTTTCTCTCCAGTGCTGGCTTGTGTTTGACACCATGCCTGACACATTGGGGGTGCTCAGTAGACCTGTGTGAGATGGACAGCCTCCCGTACAGATGGACGGACAGATGTACAGGTAGGTGAATGAACTTTCGTTGCCCCTAAAGCAGGAGAGACTCTGAGTTTCTGAGACAACGGCCAAGAACTTTCTGATAAGATCTCTGCATTTAAGGTTCAGAAAAACTCGATGAGGACAATATTTTTCTCCCGATTTTGCAGATAAGAAAATAGAGGCATAGAGAAGTCACTTGCTAGTAAATGTTAGAGGCAGCTTTCTAACCCAGGTCCATGTGAACCCAGAAAAAGAGGCAGTGAGCACCTGTTCACCCAGGAGCAGCTCTCAGAAGATAAGATAATACGAGGAGGAGGCAGCAGACCCCTATGCCACGCGTCCACCTGGGGCTGTCCATCACTTCCTGCAAGATCTTGCTGGTAGCCAGATTCTCAGAGACCCCCAGTGAGCCCCGCCTCCTGGTTTTCACACCCTGTGTAGTTTCCTTTCCCCAGGGATGGTCCAAGTGACCAGCAGCCCGTGGCAGAAGTGATGGAATAGCACTTCCAAGCTTAGGTTATGAAAGATTGCAGCTTCAATCTCCTGCCCCACACCCCGTCTCTCTCTCTAACCCCACTCCCTCCCTCCCTCTCTCATCTCTGACTCTGGGGGAAGCACACTGCAGCCCCGTGGAGATGCCCTGTGTAAGCCACTGAAGCCTCTGGCCAACAGCAGTGGGAACCTGAGACGTGTCCACAAGCATGCATGGGAGCTTGGAAGTGGATCCTTCAGCCCCAGCCAAGCCTTCAGACGATGCAGCCTCAGGGACAGTATGACTGCAGCCTCATGAGACCCTGAGCCAGAAACACCCCTCCAAGCCACTCCCAGATGCCTGGCCCTCAGAACCTGGGAGGTAATAAATATTTATGGCTGTTTGAAGCTGCTGTATCGGGGGACAATTTGTTACACAGTAATAGCTAACTGGTGCAGTCCTGGGACTCTTAGCAGTTTGGAGTATCAGTTATTTTGCCAAGGCGGGGAAGTTAACAGTGGTCATTGCAGCAGCTGCACTTGGGGACCACAATAAAGAAGCTTTCTCAGACTGGTTTGAACAAAGTGGTGAATTCTCTGCAAGGACACAGAGGTGTCTCTCAAAACCCAAGGATGGGACAGCAGGCCTCAAGAAGAACTGGAACCTCTGTCCCTTCTGTGCTTCTTTTTACTCCTGTGTTCTCTGCTTCTTGGAGCACTTGGCAGTTGGGAAGTGGCCATTTCAATTCTCGTGGTCAAGAAACCAGCTCAGAAATAACCCAACCAACACAGGTGGGGTCAGGTGTCCATCCTGGCTCCATTTGTCATGGCGGGAGATGGTGATGAAGAGAAACATCCAGGACCATTGGTAGGGCACCCGAATGAGATTCCAGGAGAGGCCAGTTCTAAGAGAAGGGTACTAGAAAGATACCCATTGAAGTCAATACCACATGTGGCACATCCTCCTTTCAGGTGGCAAGTGTGTAGCCAAAGCAAGGTTCAGGGTCCATATTTGAAAGTCAGAAACTGAATAAACTGTTTTCTCCCACCCCGAGCACTGTGGGGAACTCTGCTCACAAATCCACCATCCACCATCACCAGCCGTGCTCATCTGACCATTCATGCAGGCTCACACTTGACCTGATGTGGGTTCTGTCTCCTTTGCTTGAGAATTGAAAGGCCTGGGAGATGCAAAAGCTTTAGGCTCCAGCCATCTCCCCATGTCAGGTAGGCCTTTTGCCTAGTGTATCCAGTTGGTAATGCTGCAGAGATGCATGAAGCTGGAGTCAGAGGCCACCTGTAGTGCTGCCCTGACTTCAGACCTGAGCCCAGCCCAGCAGCAGAGAGGGGGCTGGGAGCCAGAGGAGGCCTCACAGTAACAGCACAGACAGGTGGGGGCCCACAACAGGCCACATGTGTTCAAACTCGAGTGTGGGCAGAGGAGCATGGGAAGCTCAGAGCCCTGAGCTCACCCCACACCCAACACGAGTGGGGTCACCCAAAATCAGCCTGTCAGCACTGTCCCAGCAGCCAGTCGCATGCTACATTAACAAATTTTGCACAGGCCAGCAAGCAGGATCGCTCACCAGCCACCCTCCTGAACTGGCCTATGGGGCCCCAGGATGATGCCATAGCCACAAGTCTGGAGTTCCTCAAAGTACCTGGTCAGCACAACTCAGTTAAACAATGGGCAAAAGACCTGAACAGACACTTCGCCAGAGAAGATGTACAGATGCAAGTAAGCATTTGAAAAGGTGCCCCACATCGTATGTCGTTAGGGAATGGTCCAATCCAGAACACTGATGGCACCAAAGGCTGCTGAGCATGTGGAGCAGCAGAACTCTCATTCACTGCTGGTGAGAAAAATGGCGCAGCCCCAATAGGGAACCCTAATGCAGACTCTGGACTTCACTGGAAATGACGTGTCAGTGTAGCTGCGTCAGTTGTAACAAATGCACCAGTCTGGTGGGCGTGTTGATAACCGGGGCTGCGCACGTGGGGAGAGAGGACCTGTGGGAATGCTCTACTTTCCACTCATTTTTGCTGTGAACTTAAAACTGCTCTTACAAAATAACATTGTTTGTTGTTGTTGTTGTTGTTGTTGTTGTTGTTGTTTTTAAGTATCTAGTCAGCTCCACACATGACCCGGGCAGAGTGGGAAGTTGTAGAGTGCCCCAAGGAGAGAAATGGAACCAGGTCTCATGTGGGGCCAAGTGTGGGCTCCCTGTCCTCTCAGCTGGTCCCAGGAACTGAAGGGAAATTTAGACAACTTGGAGAAAGACACTCTAGGGCTCGGGGCAAAGGGTGGTGTTGATGAGAACCATATTTTTTTATTGCTGGTGTAAGCACTTGTATTTTTCTGATTTTCCACTGGTTCGATAATAAGGGTAAAAGACAATAAAGCATACTTTTTAAGCTTTTGTTTAGAAGTTTTTTTTCCAATAAAACTTCCCCAAAAACCGATAGAAAAAACTGACAAAAGAATTCCTGTTTTGGTTCAAGTTCATGATGGGTGGGAGGCACCATGACCACCACACCTATGTTCATGCCTTCCATCCACAAATCAGAAGCTCCATGAGGGCAGGCAAGGAAATGACTGTCCTTTCCATCCTAAATCCCTGGTGCCTAGCAGAGTGTCAAACACATGCAGGAGTTTAATAAATATTGAACAGAAATATACTCTATCAGTGTATGGGTTCTGGAGCCAGACTTTCTAGGTCTGAATCCCAGCTCTGCCACTCAAAAACCAAGTTCCCCAGCAAGTTACTGGCTCTCTCTGGGCCATGGTTTCCTCATCTGTAAAGTGGGGCTAAGAGTGATATCTGCCTTATAAGGTTGTTGAAGGAATTCATAGTTTAATACACATAAAGTGCCTGAACCAGACATGTTGTGTAGTGATCATACAATAATATCATTACTGTCTCCATCCTCATCATCATTATTCCATGTTGAAGAGGATAATCCCCATCATGGTTCCCTTCCCCTCTGAACCCATTCAGAACCCAGAGTCTCTGCACGGTTATCTCAGCCAAAATCCCTGCCCTCAGAGAGCTGACGTCCCATCTGGGAGGAGACACAGAACAAATAAATAAATATGGAATATGTCAATGCTGAGAAGAACAGAGTCTGTGGTCCCTAGTGCACCCTGCTGCCTCTGACAGGGATGGGAAAGAGTGGACTCATAATAATTAATTTTATTTGTCAACTTAACTGGGCCACAGGGTGCCCAGATATTTGGTCATACATTCTGGGTATGTCTGTGAGGGTGTTGCTGGATGAGATGAACATTAAAATCCATAGACTGAGTAAAGCAGATTGCCCTCCCTAATGTAGGTCAGCCTCATCTAGTATACTATACACACACACACACACACACACACACACACACACACATACATATATATATATTTCTGTATATGTACACATCTTATTGGTTCTGTTTCTCTGGAGAGCCCTAATACAGATCTGCCCATTGATGGTGCTGCTATTCTCCCAGGGGGTTAGAGAACTTTCCTCACTTTGCCCCTGACCCCCATGGTCATCCTCTGTCTCTGTGTGTTGAGAGGACTGCAGTGAGATGATCTGGTGTCTACTCCAGCTCTGCAACCAGGATGACCATAGGAACCACATTAAAGTCCAATCATACCACAAGTGAAAACAGGTGCCATCATGGCCCCATTTTCCCAGCCCCATGCCACAGTCATGACTGGTCCCTAAACAACCCCTGCGGATCACTGCTACATTCCCCTGATGAGTCTTTCAGCCTCTGCCCTGGCCTTTTCAATGAACCCACACCACTTCTCCCAAGGATTCCATGGCCATGTTCTTCCTCTACTGTCAGCCCTGGTGGCCTCCTGTCACCCACAAGGTGAAGTCCAAGCTATGTGACAGGGTCAACTACATGATGTGGTCCAAGGATCCATCCCTGCCAAGGTTCAGCCTCATCTCTTGACATTCCCCTTCTTAAATTTTCAGCTCCTGTAAAGTTAAACTGCTAATAGTACCCCATGGGTGCCAGAATATTTCTTGACTCCTCATCTTTCAGCTATGGTTTGTTCCCTGTGGCCCAGGGTGCCCTTCTATTGCCACACTCTTCTCTTAGACAACTCCTGCCCATCCTTCCACATTCTGCTTATCAACTTCAGGGCAACTTCCCTGATCCTGTACACCACTCCAGATTAGTTTGGGGGCCCCTTCTGTCTCTGTAATGCAATGATGAGTCTCCATTGCACTTACTTCATTTTCAATATTATCTTAATAGGCATTAATCCAAAGAGGTTCTTGGTTCCAAGCCCTGGATCCTGGCCCATAGTTGACACTAGCAATGAAGCAATGAGTCTAGAGCTGACCCTCACCTACACAGTCTTCTGATTTAAGACATAAGGACAACTGTAATCAAGGGAAAGGAAGGGTGATCTTTTCAGTAAATAATGCTGGGGAGACCAGAGAGCCAATGGGGGAAAATGAACTCCTACCTCTAATTTATACCATGCACCAAAATTAATTTTACCTCCACCTATCAATAATGAGGCAGCAGACCCCCTTCTCTTGCCAAAGCAATGTCAAAAGAAAAACAATCCAGATGAACCACAGGATCTAAATAATACAGAAACATCCCAGTTTCAACTGGAAATCACACATCATACCAAGAATCATGAAGATCTCAAGCTGCATGAAAAACAACAATCAATAGGTGCCAACACCAAGATGACAGAGATGTTAGAGTTACCTGAAAATAATTAAAGTAGCCATGACAGAATGCTTCCAGGATCAATTATGAATACACTTGAAGCAAATAAAAAATAGAAAGCCTTTGCAATGAAATAGAAGATAAGAAGAACCAAATGGAAAATTTTAGAACTGAAAAATACAGTATGAGAAATGAAAAATTCACTGACACCTTGAACAGAAGAATGGAAAGGACAGAGGAAAGAGTGAAGTGGGAGACAGAATAACAGAAATTACTGAATCTGAACAACACAGAGAAAAGAGACTGAAATAAAAAATAACAGAGCCTCAGGGACACAACAAAAGGAACCAAGAGTCAAGAAACACAACAAAAAATCTAATATTTAAGTTTCTGGAGTTCCAGAAGGAAAGGAGAAAGAGCATGATAGTGAAAAAATGCTTACAGAAATAATGGCTGGAAACTTCCTAAATTTGTGAAGAGACACAAACTTACAGATTCAAGAAGCTGAACAAACCGTAAATAGGATAAACCAAAGAAATCCACACCAAGACACATACTAATTAAACTTCTGAAAACTAAAGACAGAAAAAAGTCTTCAAAGCACCAAAGAAAAACTGAGAAAACTGAAAGGAAAAATAGACAAGTACAGAATTAGAGTTAGAAATTTCAACACTTTTCTCTCTACAATTGATAGAACTAGACAGAAAATCAACAAGAATACTAAAACACTCAACACTGTCAACTCCCAGGATCTAATCAATATTTACAACACATTCCCCTCAATAACAGAAAAATATGCATTCTTTTCAAGTGCTCATGTAAAATAGATAGACCATATCCTGGGCCATAAAGCAATCTAAAAAACTTTAAAAAATATAAATCATACAGGGTATGTTCTCCAAACACAATGAAATCAAACTAGAAATCAGTAACAGAAAGATAACAGGAAAATCTCTGAACACTTGGAAACTAAACAACACACTTCTAAATTATCTTTGGATCAAAGAGGAAGTTTCAAGGAAGACAGAAAAATACATTGAACTTAATGAAAATGAAAATACAACACACTAGTGTTTGTGTGACACAGCTAAAACAATGCTGAGAGGAAAAATTATACTACAAAATACCTATGATCAAAAAGAAGGAAAAGCCTCAAAACCATAGTCTAAGTTCCCACCTCAAGAAACTAGAGAAAGAAGAGAAAAATCAACCCAAAGAAAGCAGAAGAAAGAAATAATAGAGAACAGCAGACATGAATAAAATTGAAAAAAAATAAAATCAATGAAAAAAGAGCTGTCTCTTTGAAGAGAACAATAAAATGGACACACTTCTAGCAAGACTGATAACGAAAAAAAGGAGGAGAAGATGCAAATTGCCAACATGAAGAATGAAACCGGGAATATCATTACAGACCCTGCAGACATCAAAAAGATAAAATAGAATACTATGAGCCACTCTACACACATAAATTTGACAACTTAGATAAATCAACTTCTTAACCACAACTCACCCAATATGAAATAGATAATTTGCATAGCCTTATAACTATTAAGGAAATTAAAGACATCATTTCAGAAATCTCCAAGCCTGGATGATTTTACTGGACAATTGTACCAATTCTTTGCAGAATAATTAACATGAATTCAAAAGCCATACATATGAGAAAGGAGAAATAAAATAGATAACATGATTATCGCTGTGGAAAATCCCAATGAATCTACATAAACAATACCTCCCAGAAACTAATAAGTTAGTTCAGCAAGGTGACAGACAAGATAAATATACAAAACTGATTGTATTTCTATGTATTAGTAGTAAACATGTGAACATAAAAATTAAAAATACAATGCTATTGAAATCACTCAAAAATTAAATAACTAGATGTAAATTTTTTTGATATACAGAACTTGCATGCTGAAAACTACACAACCACTATGAAAGACATCAAAGAAAATCTAAATAAATGAAGAGACATACCATGTTCATAGATTAGAAGACCCAACATAGTAAAGATGACAATCCTCCCTAAATCAGTGTTTAGGTATGGTTGATATACAGCAATTCCTGTCAAAGTTTCAGTAAGATTTTTTTGTAGATATACACAAGATTATTCTAAAATGTATATAGAAAAGAAAAGGTTTTAGAATAGCTAAAACAATTTTGAAAAATAAGAATAAAGTGAGAGCATTTAGTCTACTTGATTTTAAGCTTAATATATAGGCTTATATAATCAAATAATAATACAATAATCAAAAGTTCATGGTATTGGCAGACAAATAAACATACAGAACAATGGAACAGTACAGAGAACCCAGAAATAGATTCACAAGAATACACCCCACTAATTTTTAACAAAGGTATAAAATCAATTCGATGGAGAAAAATAGCATTTATAGAAAATGGTGCTGAAGCAACTGGATATCCATTTGCAATAAAATGAACTCCAACCTAAATTTCACACCTTTTACAAAAAGTAACTCATAATGAATTATGTACATGTGAAACTATAATACTTTTAGAAAAAAACAGAGGAAAAAATCTTCAGCATCTAGAAGTAGACAAAGAGTCCTTAGACTTGACTCTCAGAGCCGATCCATAAAAGGAAAACTTGATAAACTGGACTTAATCCAAATAAAAATTCTGCTCTGCCAAAGACCCTGCTAAGAGGATGGAAAGACAAGGTATAGACTGGGAGAAAATATTTGCAATCCACAAATCCTACAAAAGAGAAGTATCCAGGCTATAGAAAGAACCCTTAAAACTCAACAGTGAAAGAGCAAACAACCCAATTAGAACATGAGCAGAAGATATAAAGAGACATTTCCCTGAAGAAGATACCTAGATGCAAATATGTACATAAAAAGATGTTCGACATCATTAACCATTAGGCAACTACACATTCAAACTACAATGAGGTATCACTAGACACCTATCAGAATGGCTAAAATAAAAAATAATGGTATCAAGTGCTGGTGAGGATGTGAAGAAACTGGGTCACTCCTACATTGCTGGTGAGACTGTAAAATGGTACAGCCACTCTGAAAAAGTTTGGCAGTTTCATATAGCAAGAACCATGTGACCCAACAATTGAATTCCTGGGCAGTTACTCCTAAATAAATGAAGACTTATGTTCACACAAAAACTTGGACATAAATGTTTATAGCTGCCTTATTGTAATAGCAAGAAACTGGAGAGCAATCCAAATGTTCTTAACAAGTGAGTTATTAAACAAACTAAGATTACTTGGCAATAAAAGGAAGAACCTATTGACAGACACAACAACCTGGATGAATCTCCAAAGAATTATGCTGAGGGAAAAAACAAATTTATTAATCCACTTATATAACATTGTTGGAATGACAAATTTATGGAGATGGAGAACAGATTAGTGGTTGCCAAAGGTTAAGGAGGGTGGGGGACACGAGGAGAGTAGGTGTGTGTATAAAAATGCAACATGAGGAATCCTCGAGGTGATGGAAACGTTCAGTTAGTTCACTGGATCAATGTCAGTAGCCTGGTTGCGAGGTTGTACTATAGTTTTGAAAGACGTTACCATTGGGGGGAGACTGATGAAAGAGTACACGGGATATCTTTGTATTATTTCTCACAACTGCATGTGAATTGACAATTATCTCAAAATAAAAAGCTTAATTTTTTTAAAAAGCCAAAAAGTTTAAGAAATCAAAAAGAGAAAAGCTGTCAAAAGACACTCCGTCTAAAGACAGAGTGAAAAAGCAAGTCACAGAGTGAAAGAAGATATTCATGATACATAGATCCAACCAAAGACTTGTCATCAGAGTATACAAACAGTTGCTAAAGATGAGTTAGAAAAAGACAGACAAAACCGAATGTGTTGTTGCTGTTTTGTTGTTGTTGTTGTTGTTGTTTGAGATGGAGTTTCACTCTTGTCGTCCAGGCTGGAGTGCAATGGCGCCATCTCGGCTCACTGCAACCTCCGCCTCCCTGGTTCAAGTGGTTCTTCTGCCTCAGCCTCCCAAGTAGCTGGGATTACAGGCATGTGCCACTACGCCTGGCTAATTTTTGTATTTTTAGTAGAAACGGGTTTTCTCCATGTTGGTCAGGCTGGTCTCAAACTCCCGACCTCAGGTGATCCACCTGCCTTGGCCTCCCAAAGTGCTGGGATTACAGGCATGAGCCACCGCACCCAGCCCCAAATGTTTTTAAAGTGAGGGAAAGGCTTGAACAGGCAGTTCACAAAAGATGTTTAGATAGCCACTGGGAATATGAGAAGGTGCTCAATATCGTTAGTCATCAGGGAAATGCAGTTAAAACCATAATTATAGCACACCCAACAGAATGGCTAAAATTAAAAAAAAAAAACGACCATACCAAATGTAGGCGAGGATGTGGAACAACCAGAACCTTCCTGCCTTGTCATTGGAAGCAGGAAAGGAAATAGGCCATTTTGGCAAACTGAGTGGTGGGATCTACTAAAGTTAAACAACTACAGTGCTCAGGCCAGCATTTTCAGTCCTAGAGAACAGTGCATGTATGTGTCCACCCAGGATGCGTACTGGAATGCTATACACGTTTTAGTAATGACAGCCCAAGGGCCAGGCACGTTGTGGCTCACACTTGTAATCCCAGCACTTTGGGAGACTGAGGCGGGCAGATGGCTTGAGCCCAGGAGTTCAAGGCCAGCCTGGGCAATATGGCAAAACCCCATCTCTACAAAAAATACAAAAATTAGCTGGGTGTGGTGGCGCGTGCCTGTGGTCCCAGCTACCTGGGAAGCTGAGGTGGGAGGATCGTTTGAGCCCTTGGAGGTCCAGGCTGCAGTGAGCCAAGATCACGTCACTGCCCTCCAGCCTGGGTGACAGAGCAAGATCCTGTCTAAAAACAAAAACAAAACAAAACAAAATGAAAACAGCCCAATGCCAAAAACAATGAACAAACCCATGGTAAATTCCTACAAAGAGAGACTACTCAGGAATTTTTAAAAATAAAATAAAAAATCATGGATACACACAACAAAATGAATGAATCTCAAAAAGTTCATGTTGCTCAAAAGAAACAAATAGAAAAGACCACATACTGGAGGATTCCACTGTTATGAAGTTCAAGGGCAGGCAGAACTCATCTACAGAGACAAAACTCAGATGAGTGGTGACCTGCAGTGGGGGCTATTGGCTGGGAATGGGCACAGGGCAACCTTGCTGGGCTGGAAATCCTTACTACCTTGAGCCAGGCGGTAGTTGCATGGGTGTAAACGTAAGTTAATATCCCCTGGCTGTCCACCTAAAATGTGTGCATGCTACTTATATACGTTAAAACTCAACTGTAGAAAATAGTGTTCAATGGCTTTTAGGTGGATAAATGAGACACAGGGGAAGAGAAGGAGGGAGGGGCTGAGCTCCGTGGGTCAGGAGAATCAAACCCAGACCAGAAACTGACTCGGCTATTAAAACCAGCACCTGTTTCCAGGGACCCAGGAGGCCCCAGAGACAAGGGAGCACCCTGCAGATTCCTGGGCAAAAATCCTGCCCGGCCACAGGGCGGGCTGGGCCACAAGACTGTCCGTGGATGTGGGCCCAGCTTTCCCCCACTTGCAGGAATGCCCAGGCTGGCGCAGGTCTCGGCCTGAACATGTGAGCTCTCGGGCGAGGCTGAGGCAGGGTGGAGGCCAGGGTGGGGGAGCCCAGCCCACGAGGGCTCTGGGTGGACACCCAGCAAGCAGGAGGGGCTCCGTGGGAAGGCCGGGAAAAAACAGTCCCTGGCAGAAAAACTCAGGTCTGCCCCAGGCTCCCCTATAGCTGGCAAGGAGCAAGCATCTAATAAATGTCTGCTGAGCTGCGGTGAATTCCCAGGGCATGGCGACACTCAATGGCTCCATTCCCAGGGAGCTACTCTATGAGTTGCCTCGCTGATTGATTAATGATCAGGCTTTGTGAAACAGTTTACAAAGCACTTCTGACAAATCAAACTCGGGGTTCAGATCTCGGCCCTACCTCTCAATAGCTGTGTAGCTGTGGGCAAATCACTTAACCTCTCTGTGCCCTCATGTCTTCAACTTAAAAAAAAGGAGGGATGATAACAGCACCCTACTTCCTAAGACTGGGTGAATTCATATGTGTAAAGCTCTTAGAATAGTACTTGGCACCCGTAAGTCACACAGGCAGTTAGTGGCACACGCAGGTCTCAAACCCATCTCTATCTGACTCTAGAATCACTACATAGCAGTTCACCATGACAGCCACTGCCCCGTCACAGCCTCCAGGCACTTCACATGTGGCTGGTCCAAATAGAGAGGTGTCGAATTCTGAAGGCTTTTTCCAAAAAAAAAAAAAAAAAAAAAAAAAGGTGTAAAATATCTCATTAATAATGCTTTATGTTAACTAGAAGAGAAAACGTGTAATGTTCCCACACAAAGAAAAGATAAATGTCGGGAGGCCGTGGCAGGAGAATGGTATAAACCCGGGAGGCGGAGCTTGCAGTGAGCTGAAATCGCGCCACTGCACTCCAGCCTGGGTGACGGAGCGAGACTCCGTCTCAAAAAAAAAAAAAAAAGAAAGAAAGGAAAAAGAAAAGATAAATATTTGCAGTGGTGCATATCCCAATTACCCTAACTTAATTATTCCACATTGTGTACATTGATCAAAATGTCACGACTCCCAAATGCATACAACTATATCAATAAAAATATCAAAAAAGAATGCTTTATAGTAGTTATGTGCTGAGACAATTGCATTTTGGATCGATTGAATTAAATGAAATATATTATTAAAATACATTTTGCCTATTTGTTCTTTTTTTTTTTAATGTGACTACAAGAAAACGTGACATCATGCCTTTGAGGTTCACCTTGGATTTCTGTCCGACACCCTGCCCCTGAGTTTTGTCTTTGACACTCTCTCTCTCTCCCAACTTTTAAGCCCCTTGCTTCTCCCTACGTGAGGCACTTTGTTTCCTCCAGGAGAAGCTCAATCCTGAAATTGTTCCCATCTCATCAAAACTCACCCCCTGCATAAGAGCAGCCCGATTTCTGGTGGTCAGAGGGTGTCCCCAGAAAAGAGGTTTCATTTCAGCAAACAGGTCATCTTCTGCCAAAGGAGACAAAATGTGAATTGGGTGCCTCTGGGTATTGGCCACTAGCTAGACATGGGTACCCACCAGCCAGACATAGGTATCACTAGCCAGATGCGGGTATCCACTAGCCAGGCACAGGTATCACTGGCCAGACACAGGTATCACTAGCCAGACACGGGGTATCACTAGCCAGACACAAGTACCCACTGGCCAGACACGGGTATCCACTAGCCAGGCACAGGTATCACTAGCCAGACATGGGTACCCACTAGCCAGACACCGGTATCACTAGCCAGATGCGGGTACTCACTAGCCAGACATGGATATCCACTAGCCAGGCACAGGTATCACTGGCTAGACACAGGTATCACTAGCCAGACACGAGGTATCACTAGCCAGACATTGGTACCCACTAGCCAGACAGGGATATCCACTAGCCAGATGCGGGTACCCACTAGTCAGACAGGGGTATCCACTAGCCAGGCACAGGTATCCACTAGCCAAACACAGGTATCACCAGCCAGACACAGGTACCCACTAGCCAGACACGGGTACCCACTAGCCAGGCATGGGTATTGAGTGGAGGACTGCTATGGTCTGATTGTTTATGTTCCCCCAAAATGCAAACCCCCAAGGTGATGGTGTTAGGAAATGGGGCCTTTCGGAGGTGATTAGCTTAGGGGGACAGAGCTCTCATGAAAGGGATGAGTGCCCTTATAAAAGAGACCCCATAGAGAGACACCTCACCCCTTCCACCCTGTGAGAAAGTGTGGTTTACGAACCAGCCTGCCCTCACCAGACCCTGAATCTGCTGACGCCTTGATCTTGGACTTCCAGCCTCCAGAATAAACATCTGTTATTTACGAGCCGCCCACCCATCTATGGTGTTTTGTTACAGCAGCCTGAATGGACAAAGGCAGGACGTAAAGCTCCTTGCACAAGTGTATGTATATACACAAGCTGCGTATATTAAGGTGCCCAAGGGAGGTGGGCGGCTGGCCCTGAGCCTCCCCATTCTCCTGGCTCCTGGCTCCTGGTCTCTTGCTCACCAGGCAGGTGGACCCCTCAGCAGAATCCAAACCACCCATTTGATGCCAAGGGACTCCCCAGCCCCCATCACGGCATGGAAAACTACATGCACAAGGGCTTCTGGGGACAATGGATTTAGCCAACAGAATCTTGAAAGAGCGCAGGACTCAACCCCATACTGCCTCTGACCTGCCCCTTCCCTCTCTCTGCCTCAGTTTCTCCATTTGTGCAGGGCAAGAGGTCTGGACCTGATGCTCTCTGAGGTCCTTACTGCCTATTGGATAAAGTATAAAACAAAGAGCCATGGATGGAGTCTGGTGTTTCCCAGGCTGCAGCTGGGCTCTGGGCCAGGGCACACCCTCCGGACTCCATGGGCAAACAGATGGGGACAGTCAAATGGGCCACTTGGCAGAGGCAGGCTAGACAAGGCTGGGCTGGCTGGCACCAGGCAGGATGCCCCCATGGTCAGCCCGGGCAGCAGGGAGTGTCTGCAGGACGGGACATGCTTGGGGGCCCACGCCTCCAACCCCGAGGTTCCCCCACCACCTTCCCTCCCTGGGCTCTCTCTCCAGGAATGAGAGCCTCAGCAGCAGGCAGGCCCATGTCCCTGAGTGACCCCACCTAGGCTCAGGCCCAGGGCTGTGAGGCGCCAGCAGCTCATGGAAGCTCGCAGTGGGGTACAGGTCTGTGGAGACTCCAACCAGCCACAAGCCATCAGCCTCATCCTCAGCCCTCCGTCTTCAGCTCAGATGCCACTGGCTGGGGCCAGGAAACGAAGGGTTGTGGGATGACCTGCCCAGGTGGGAGCTGAGAAAGGCTCTGACACATGGCTGGTGCAGGGTGGCTGCCCTGGGTTCAGGTCCCAGACACTCTGCTTTCCAGCTGCACTATTTTGAACAAGCTATTTCCTCTTCCTGAGCCTCACTTTCTCCATCTGTGAAATGGGCATGATCCCAGTGTCTTGCTCTTAAGAGATGATGTCAGGACTACATAAGGAAATGAAATGCATGAAACTTTTGCTGAAAGACAGCTAAAACAAACTGATGATAAGAAAAGAACAGAAAAAAAACTGATCTGGTCTGTTCTTTCAAGAATTGCACCTCACACTGGGCATCAGGAAAGATACTGATTCGAGAATCCAAGGTTCCTGCTGGAAGGAGACCCTTCCTTGGGCCTGTCAAGAAAGTGACCCGCATTTGCCCCACTGGGCACTCAGCCCCAAAAGGTGGAGACTTAGCATAATGTCAGAACCCAGACATTTTTTTTTCCTATTGGAAATTTTTATTATCTTTAAATCCAATTCTGAGGGTACGAAAGTCACAAATGTAGCCTCTGTGAGTCACGAGCCGTCGGCAGAAAAATGCTATTGAGACTTGAAGAGGGCGGCAGAGATCTCCAAAGATTGGGTGGGTTTCTTTAAGCCTCTCAGAAGTTCTCATTTCACAGCCAGCTGACATGCACATAAAGGAGCAAGACTTTTCCCAAGGAAATGTCTCACACAGCCAGGGCAAGGCTAGTCACCCCCACAGATGCCTGTGATCACTGCATCAGGCCTGCTGTCAGCTGTCCCGCTGGGAGGGCAAGGTGCCCATCCCCTCCTGGCCACCAAGGTGTTTGTTTCTTTGGGTTTCTACCGATGAGCCAGGGGCTGCTGATTTTCTTGGCTGTTTCTAAGGCCAAGAAATGTGTCGGGCAGCCTCGGGTACTGAGGCAGGCCAAAAGAGTTCGGGTGCCAGGCCCCAGACATCCAGCCCAACTGCCCAAGGCTGCTTGCTCCCAGTCACATTAGTGACAGCCCATCCCTCACCATGAGCCCTCGCCAGGCTCTGTGTGAAGGGCCTGATGCATGAGGTCTCATTGCAGCCCCACAGGAACCCCTCAAATTGCTATCTTTATGCCCATTTTGCATATGGGAAAACTGAAGCTCAGAGAGGTGAAATGACATGCCCAAGACCCCACTTCTACAAAGTGGTAGAGCTGGGATTGGAATGCATGTCTTTCTGGCCCAGTATCTGCCCCCTTCACCATGCTTCTGCCTCCTGAACTTAAGTCACTAAGAGTTATTTGCCAGCGACTACTACATGGATAGCCTCCATTAGGAACAGAATGGGGACAAGCATGATCCCAGTCCTGAAGAAACTTGTGGCCTGACTGAATGAATAAGCGAAAAAATGAATAAACAAATGAATGATGTGGAGCCTCTGACAATAAACTGATTGAGTAAGTTTTCCTTCTTTGGAATCCTAGTTGCTCTAAATCGGCAGAATCCTGAAAATATTTAAATGTGCTTTTGGATCTGCCTGAGCCTTAGAAAAGGGCTTACTCAAGTGTCACGTTTTGGGGATAAGGCCCAGAAACAGGGACCAGGAGGCATGAAACAGGGCAAGAGGACAAGCCCATCTGAGGGTGTGTCTTACAGCTGGCGCTGCTGCAGAGTGCACACCTCGCCAGCATGAGTCAGATGGCTGAGAAGCTCCCAAAGGCACTGCAGCAGAGAACCCCAGAGCAGAAAGGACAGACTGTGGCAGCAGGAGTGGGTGTTGTCAGATTTTTGCCCCCATGCAGCCAGCTGTCAGCAGAAGGGCTGCAGTAAGGAAGGTGGAGATGATTTGAGGCAGGACACAGAAAGTGTCCAACACAAGGCCCACTGGTGCATTTGTTCATTCTATCGATGTTTATACTAAACCAGATGTTGGAGACAAATAGATATGAGATGGACTGATGGATGGATGGATGGATGGATGGATGGATGGATGGATGGATGGATGGAAAGGCTGGTGATGGAGCCCAGATTCCTCTGCTATTAATAGCCCAGGCACCTCTGCACTGGGAATGAGTCCAAAAAACAAAAGGAGATCCTGAGCCAGGTTGGAGCTGGAAAACCAACAAGACACCCTGAAACAAATCTTTATGTCTGATGCAATTGGCTTGGGGGCTGGGAGGTGGAAGGTGGCCTTCAGCCAGGAGACATAACTTATCTCCTGATGGGCCTACAGAAAAGCCTCCCAGCTCTGGAGCATGTGGGCCAGGGTTTTAATCTCGGCTCCCTTTCTTTGAGGCTGGCTGCATTACCTTGAGCAAGTCACTTGAATTCTCCAAGTCTTGTTTGCCTCATATATAAATGAGGATAGTAGGAGTTCCTGCCCTTGGCCATCTCTGCTGCAATTGTGTCCCCCTGTGGAGGAACTCTCATCTCGTGGTATACCTGGCAGCCCCTTCTCTGGGTGAAGAAACTGGACCTTGAAGTGCAGAAAGTTCTCTTAAGATCCCAAGATCATATCCCAGACTAGAATATCTGGTCACCAATTCTACCACTAGTCTACAGTGATAGATTAATGGGTAGGCCAGTGGGATTTGGAGCCCCAGCTGTGATTCTGAATATGACATGGGCTACTCCAAGACACACATGGAGTCTTTAAGAATACCCCATGGCCTGCTCCAAGTCTGGATTCATCTGTATTCTATTTACACCTCCAGATGTTGACCATCACTGAGTGGAAGGTGGCTACATCACCAAGGGGCATAATCCAGAGGTGTTCTTAGAAAATGAGATGAGCTGTCCACTTCCCAAATGGAGTATGCCAAAGGCACTTATGGACTGGGAGCCCTGCAAGGGGAACAAGAGCCACTCCCATTAAGGCAGAAAGGTAGGGAGGGAGAGATGAGTTTGTTAATTGATCAATTGATTGGCTATTGAATTGGTTAGTTGGTTATTTAATTGGTTGGTTGGTTAGTTGGTTATTTAATTGGTTAATTAGTTAGTTGGTTGTTAGGTTGTTTAGTTAGTTGCTTATTGAATTGGTTGGCTGATTGGTTAGTTGATTGGTTGGTTGGTTGGTTGATTGGTTGGTTGGTTGGTTGGTTGGTTGGTTGGTTGGTTGGTTGGTTGGTTGGTTATTTAACCGATTGATTGGTTGGTTGGTTGGTTAGTTGGTTGGTTGGTTGGTTGGCTGAATGGTAATTTAACCGATTGGTTGGTTGGTCCAAATGGTAAAAGTGATCGTCATCCCTGGAGTTTGCCAGACTGGCTGCATCATCAATTCATTCCTTCATAGTCAGGCAGTCATTCATTCAATGCATTCTGACTGCCTCCTGGGTGAACATTCTGGTAGCAGTGAAGTCTACCAGCTCCCACCCAGGTACAAGCAGTGTGTGGAGCCACAAAACCAGATTCTGTGAATATAGACAGCCTGTCTGCTGCTTCCCCCTGTGGCCTGGCCCAAGTCACAGGGAGTCAGCCCAAGTGGTCAAGCTCTGAAGCCTTGATCATGTGCCTATCTCTCTGGGGCTCAATTTTTTGGTCCATGAAGAGGGGGCAACATGGGCCTCTCTCTTCCAGGGCAGCTGTAAGGGCAGAGGAGATGGTGCCTGAAGCTCTCTGGGCTCACAGACGAGTGCTCTGGGTGGCAGCAGTGGAAAGGACCTGCTCTACTTGAAGGAAACCTGGAAATTGAGAAATGCTTCCTTCAAAAATGATTTTAGGACTGTTGGCAATGGACCCTGTGTTCATTTCCTGGGGCTGCTGGAAGAGATTGCCACAAACCAGGTGGCTTAAAACAACAGAAATTTGCCCTCTCACACTCCTGGAGGCCAGGATCCTGAAATCAAGTGATACAGTTTGGCTGTATCCCCACCCAAATCTTGAATTGTAGCTCCCATAATCCCCACATGTCCTGGGAGAGACCTAGTGGGAGGTAACTGAATCATGAGGATGGGTCTTTCCTGTGCTCTTGTGTTGGTGAGTAAGTTTCACGAGACCTGATGGTTTTATACAGGGGAATTCCCCTGCACATGCTCTCTCTCACTTGCCTGCCGCCACGTAAGACACGACTTTGCATCTCCTTTGCCTTCCACCATGATTATAAGGCCTCTCCAGCCCCGTGGGACAGTGAGTCCATTAAACCTCTTTTTCTTTATAAATTACCCAGTCTCAGGTATGTCTTTACTAGCAGCATGAGAACAGATTCATACATCCAGTGTGGGCAGAGCATTCCGCATGCCACCTCTGCCCCGCCCCACCCCTGGCAGCTCTTGGGAGGAAACTTCCCGCCTCCTTCAGCTTCTGGGGGCTCTGAGTTCCACGCCTTGTAGCCACATCACCCCCATCCCTGCCTCTGTCTCCACATGGCCTTCTTCTTTGTGGCTGGGTCTTTTCTTTTGTCTTTCCCAAGGACATTTATTGTATTTACTGTCCCCTCCCCCAATATAGGATGACCACATCTCAAGATCCTTACTTAACTATATCTGCAAAGACCCTATTTTCAAATAAGGTTACATTCTGAGGTTCCAGGGGGACATGAATTTTGGCGGGAACACCCACTATAGACACCCAGGCAGGGATGGGCAAGTGACCCACCCAGCGGCCTGGAGCCAGTAGGGGACCACCTACTCTTCCACTAGGCACAGCAAGGTCCCCTCCTGGCCCATCCAGGCTGACAGCCCCAGCCCCCAGCTCCGTGGCTCCTGTTGCTTGTGGGATGCACCATCCCCTCCCAACAGCAGACATGGAGTGGGGCAAACTTGAGTGGTCCTCGGTGGGTGGAAACTGCCAGATGGAGTGAGTATGAGCTACACAGCCACCGACAAGTGGGCATGGTGGTCCACTGCCAGGCATCAGGAAAGCAAAGTCAGACAGACCTCCAAGCATGGGCAAACCTTGGGGTCAGTCCGTAAAGAGAGGCACGGTTCCTTCAGGTGGGCCTGGTGGCAAGGTGGCCACTGCAGACAGAGAGGAGGGCCCCTGCAGAGCCAATGGGCCATGTGCTCAGAGCTGGTGGTGGGTGCAGTGTCCACACCAGGGAGAGGAAGGGAGATGAGAGCAGAGATGTCACCAGGATGCTAAGCTAAGGCTTTGGGCTTGATCCAGGGATATTCAGGGGAAAGGCAGGCTCAGAGCCTCTCACGCCATCCTTCGGCCACCCCCACTTTGGAGAATGGATGGGGACTAAGGCAGGGAGACCCATCAAGAGGCGATGTCTATGTGAGCCACACTGGGTTGCTGCCAGCACGATCCAGGATCCAGCAGGGATGGCAGGCAGGGAGGAATAATCCCCTCGGGGGACCACAGTCCTGTCTGCATCTGGGGCTGGGGGTCCTGGAGCCCCCAGGGCAGGAGGGCGGCACATGGATCATCTCCTGGAGACAGGCCCTGGCTCGGAGACACGAGCCCCCATCACACGCCGAGCACAGCCACGACAAATAATTCACCGGAGAGACTTCCTCCACAAGGGGGAGAAATGCCCAAAGGTCCCTTTGTCTTAAAACATTAATGTCCAAGTTTAAATTGGGTTGGGGGACGGAGGAGGGGAAGAGGGGAAGGCGGGGGCAGCAGAGCCGTCACTGGGCATCATTCATAAGCCACACACTGGGCCCTTCATCGGGCCCAAAACTCACCCTTGTGGCTACGCAAAGATTTATTGAAGCCTCAGCGTGGGCTCATTTATTTTCCTCCAAACTGATTTGAAAAGACCGTTTGCATCTGCCCTGGAGAAAAAAAAAAAATGTGCATATTTGGCAAACTTTGTTTGAAAAATCTGCTTGTCCCCAAAGAAGTGACTTCGTGTTTGGTCGGGGGCAGGGGCTGTGTGTGTTGGGGAGGGACTGGGGCTTGCTCCTTCCCTGTCATCTGCCGGCCAGGGAAAGCACCCAGAGCATGAACTCAGACATCCTCTCCTGCACACTGGGACCTACAAAGCCGTTACATGCGGGCCCTTTGCTCTGAGACCAAGATCTCCTTGTGACTTTTTCTAGCTCTCTCGGTGGCATCTGTGCCCAGACAGCTACAAAGTGCAAAGAAAAGTGTAAAACAGAGTATGGAAAAATAGACAATAATAAATTCAAATATCAGCTCACTTTGAGAAAGGAGTAAATGCTCCATTTGCCCCCTTCAGAAAAGAGAAATGTCATTCATGAATAAACCTTGACCCTCTTCATAACCTGAATATACAAAGAGCTCTTACAAATCAGTAAGAACAAGAAACACAATAATAGAAAAATGGACAAAAGATGTAACTGGGACATTCATAAAAGGAAAGTGGGATCAGTAAATACAGGTAACAAAATGTTTCACTTACCAATAATCAAACTTAAAGCATTCCTCCAATCAGTGTAAGCATAGACAACTAAAATATCATTTTGCACTTACCAAATTGGCAAAGGTGTGAAAGAACAGTGGTGAAATTTGGAGAGGAGAGGTACAGGTGGTGGGACCTATCATGGTAACCCCTTTGTGGAGAGCTCATTGACAACAGGTATCCACAACTCAGACCTAGGCAAGCTCTTTGACCCAACAACTCCATGGAATTCAGAGGTTTGGCTCCAAGGGGCATGAAGCCTTATCTAAACTCCCAGAGCATGAGACTGGCTCCTTACTGTGGTCTCCAGGCATGCACTTGCCCCTCAGCGGGCAGCAGCCCTGGCCACATGCAGCCTTGCATTCCAGGAAGCTGTGGACACGTGCCTCTCCCCGACAGTGGATGGTGTCTGGGCTCTGGGTCTGGTGGCTGCAGAGACTCCTGTGAGCGGTGGGTGGAAGCCACAGGGAGCTTGCACTCGGGTCTGGAGGAAAGTCCAGGAACCTTGGAGAGCAAGGAGCCCAGCCAGCTGCAGGGAGGCAAGCAGAGCAGGCCTTGGTCTCCTTCGACACAGATGCCTCTGCACAGCCTCACCTAAAGCAAAGCTCATTCCCCCAAGATTACGGCAGCCCCACCTGCCACCCCAGAGTCGTCTACCCCTGCAACAATGACCTCAGAACCTCAGTGCTGGAAGGACCCACAGAGAACACCCATGCCAAGCCCCTGGCTGACAGATGGGGAAATAGAGCAGTGACTCTCTCAAGGTTGTCCCAGCCATGAGTCAGCGTCAGGGGCCTGACAGCCTCAGACTCTCAGACGTTTCCCAAAAGGGATCACCAGAGGCCACGTGTCACCCTGCTGTTCACAGGGGTTCTCAGGCCACCAGCTCCTCCCACAGTGTGGCCCTGCCTATCAATATAAATGTGTCACTCATGAACGTTTATGCTCAAGTCCCCATTGCTTGGGGACACAAGGGAGACTGAAGTAGACAGGCTTCTGCCCCACTAGTGGGAAATGGCACCATGTCCAGGCCGACGGAGCCCAGACAAGGGTCTGCCCTGGTTTGGAAGGTCAGGGAGGACTTCCCTGCAGAGAGGTTGGGGGCTGTGTTTGAAGGAAGAAGAGGGCCTATGTGGGGTCTCCAGGCAATGGAAGACCCTCCTGAGGCGACACCTCCAAGCCAAGCTCTGCAATCTGGAGTGGCTCCCTTACCTGCGACTCCGCGGGCACACCCTCCTGAGCTCCTGCTACGCACCTGTGCATCCAGCTGTCCACAGAGGAGCCTCCCTGCCTTCCGATGGCTGGTGTCACCACAGTCTTGCCATGAGCCTGGCACCAGAGAGCTCTCCACACACCTCTATTCTTACACAGTTCTCATCAGATTCATTTTACAGATGAGAGGACTGAGACACGGAGTGTTGAAGTTTCCCAGGGTCACGCAGCTGGGAAAGGGGAAGTAAGAATTTATCTGGCTCTAAAAGGCATTCTCTCTGCCCTGACGTCTCCTGCTTCATGGTCCCTGCCAGCCCTCCTGGCTGGACCTCTAGGTCTATAGCCTGCAAGTCTCCGGGATCCGATAGGCTCGGAGTGAGGGGGCACCTGTGCCCTTTCTCTTCCCCGCCACCTCGCCACAGGCTCCCCACCCTCCCAGGCCCGCAGAAGGGGGCTCCTTATGGGAAGCCCACCTGGATGCCAGCCATTCAGGGGTGGAGGCTCTTGGGTGCACGCCCAGGAGCCCACGGGTGTGGAGCAGGCCCCGGGTGTCTCGTCAATCCTGTTTCAAGCCATTGGCCTTTCCCATGGAAGATGTTGAGGAAGACAATAAAGACAGCGACCCAGGGCAGAGGTGGGAGGCGGCAGTCAGGAGTGGAGTGGAGAAGGGTCTTGGGTGGGGTGGGGAGCATGGAGGGAAGTGGTTGTCCCTTGGGGTAACAAGCACCCACCTCTGCCAAGCCTGAGAACATGGTCGGCATTTAGTAATTGCTTGGTGATTAAGATTACCCCCTGCCCCGAAAAAGAGGCACATCCACTATGTACGTGATGGGTGTGACTAAGGAAGGTACTTGCTCTCTGATACCTCCTACGGCAGAGGACGATGGGGAGGGCCTGGGCCCAGGTCAGGGGGTGGACACCAGATCCAAAGGCCGGCCCCCAGCACCAGCTGCAGACCTGTATACAGAAGGCACTCAATACTTGCTTGTCAAGTGAACGCGTAAGCTAGGTGCACCTGCCCTTCTTCCCCACAAGGGGATGGCAGTTTATTCACCACTGAGTCCCGAACCCTGTGCCTCACGCAGAGCCTGCACACGGCGGGTGCCCAGGAAGCCCCTCTTGCCCTGTGTCTATGGATCTTATGACTCCAGGCACCAAGACCGGGGGTTGTACCTTCTTTAGGGGCACACGTCCCCCACTGCCCAGAGCCTGAGGCAGAGGCGTGTCCCAGCAGGAGACAGTCGCATTCATTCAACCAGCAGCTCCTGAGGGACAGACAGTCCCCACACCTGATCCACCTGTCTTCCCAGAGTCTGCATACAGGGGTTCCCTGGGAGACCCTGACTGCTGAGTCCTGTTGGAGGGAACAGCCTCCAGTCAGAGCCCCTGACCATGCTGCGGGGTCTGCAGGGACCCCACAGAGTCTCCTTGGGTGGCATGAGAGGGAGAAGACCCCTCCCATAGCAGCGGCTTGCCAGGGGGTCTCTGACACCATCAGCCAAGACACCTGTCTGTGGAGGAGCATGATTATTGTTGGAGAGCATGGAGGGAGCTCAGTCACCAAACAGATGAACAGATAAACGAAATGTGGTCTCTTCACACATTGGAATAGTATTGAGCCTTAAGAAGGAAGGAAGCTCAGACACACACTACAACACAGATGAAGCTAGACGACATTTGCTGGGTGAGATAAGCCAGACATGAAGACACACATGCCGTACAATTCCGCTCACATGAGGTGCCCAGAGAAGTCAAATCCACAGACACAGAAAGAAGAACAGAGGTTACCAGGGGCTGGGAGGAGTTGCTGTTTAATGGGTACCCAGGTTTTGCTGAGGACTCTGGAAATGTTTGGGTATAGGGAGCAGCAGTGGCTATACCTCATCATGAATGGATGAAATGCCACAGAGTTGTACACTCACAACTGGCTAGAATGATAAATATTATGTTATATTTTACCACAATTTAAAAAATAATAGTGGCTGGTCATGATGGCCCACACAGGTAATCTTAGCACTTTGGGAGGCCAAGGCAGGCAGATCACCAGAGGTCAGGAGTTCAAGACCAGCCTGGTCAACATGGTGAAACCCCGTCTCTATTAAAAACACAAAAAATTAGCTGGGTGTGGTGGCTGGCGCCTGTAGTCCCAGCTACTCTGGAGGCTGAGGCAGCAGAATCTCTTGAACCCCGGAGGCGGAGGCTGCAGTGAGCCGAGACTGCGCCACTGCACTCCAGCCTGGGCAGCAGAGTGAAACTCAGTCTCAAAAAATAAATAAATAATAAAACTAGTAAGGCAGGTGTGGCCTCAAACCAGGCTTCACTAGGTAGGAGCTGTGGGGCTGTGGGCAAGTCACTCAACCTCTCTGTTTCCTGCATGTAGCATGAACATCACAGCAGCGCCTCCCTCCGGGGCACCTGTGGGAGTCACCTGCACAGGCGTGTGCCAAAAATCACACATGCCATCCGTCGGATGACAGTGGCGGGCCCTCACTGGAGCCAGAAAGACTGGGTGAGCCTAGATTTGGACTCCCAGGCTCACAGTTCAGTCCTGACGTCACCTCTCAGCTTGTGCCTCTGTGCCTGGGGCTGCAGTTTTCTTATCTGTCCAAGGGCAGGCTTAGCACCTGTCCCATCACCTCACAGGGATGGCAGGAGGTGCCGGGCAGGCTGGTTTCATAAGAAGTTCCAAGACCAGGGACAGCACCTGCCTTATGGGCACACGTGCCCCACTGCCCAGAGAGCCAAAAGCAGAGACGCCTCCCAGCAGGTTGTGTCCACGTTCATATTTGTCTGACCAGCAGCTCCTGACGGACAGGCAGGCCCCACACTTGATTCACCTGTTTTTCCCGCCCCCATTGTAGAGTGAGTGCATGAGCAAACACCTCTTTTAGCTCAATACATTCTGTCCCCAAACTCGGAAATGCTGTGCCATTCAGATGGAAGCACAGTGCTTCAGAAGAGCAGATTCCTTCTCTCAACCAGGAAGGTGGGCCGTGAAAGGGCACAGAAGGAAATGTTTTGTGTGGCTCCCGAACCCCATAACAGGCCAAGAGAAGAAACAGGGAGAAAGAGACAGACAGAGGGAGACAGGGTGATAAAAGGAAAAGGAGGAGAAAGGAAAGAAAGAAGAAGAAAAAAGGAGAGGCCGGGCATGGTGACTCACACCTGTAATCTCAACACTTTGGGAGGCCGAGGTGTGTGGATCACTTGAGGCCAGGAGTTTGTTACCGGCCTGGGCAAAATGGCAAAACTCCATCTCTACTAAAACTACAAAAAAATTAGCTGGGCGTGACGATGGGCGCCTGTGGTCCCAGCTACTCAGGAGGCTGTGGCAAGAGAATCGCTGGAACCCAGGAGGCAGAGGTTGCAGTGAACAGAGATTGCACCCCTGCACTCCAGCCTGGACCACAGAGCGAGACCCTGTCTCAAAAAAAGGAAGGAAGGGAGGGAGGGAGGGAGGGAGGGAGGGAGGAAGGAAGGAAGGAAGGAAGGAAGGAAGGAAGGAAGGAAGGAAGGAAGGAAGGAAGGAAGGAAGGCAGGCAGGCAGGCAGGCAGGCAGGCAGGCAGGCAGAAAGACGGAAAGAAAGGAGGAGAAAGAGAGGGAGTTAGAGAAATCAGAATGAGCTAAAGACCCACCCATCAACATGTGTTTCCCTGTGTTATTAAAACACTTTGTCTTTACAACTCAGAAAATTAAAAAAACTCTGCCAGACCCAGGCTCTCCACATCAGTATTCATGACATCTGTCTTCTCCTATAAAACTCTCTGAATGAAGCCTCCCCTAGTAGAAAACGACTCTCTCCTCTCTGCCCGCTCTTTCTTTCCCCTTCAAAACAGATTGCGAGACAGATGATTGCATTGTTTTGTCCGATTTCCATCTGAAAACTCCCCTCCGTGTTGGCCACTGGGCGCCCCTATTAAGGCCCGGGCACTGAGGGGCCACGTGGGGTGGCCGAGCCTCTGTCGCCCGCTCCCTGGGGCCTTTCCATCGGAAGAGGAAAAAGGACCCAGCAGACAAAGGTGCGGGACATAAATTAAGCCCGAGCTTTTTAAGTTCAAACTGAATTTTCTTTATTTTTTCACAGCTGTCAGAGGAATCGGGTAGAACTCCAGTAACGCATGTTTAATGTATTAAAAAGTGGGGGGGAAGCAAACCGTCCACTCCGAATGTTCCGTCCGCCGACTTGCATTGGGAACATTATTTCGGGCCAGTGAACTCCGAGCAAGTCAAGTGTAGAGACATGGACAGGGGCCAGGGACCCCCCACCAGAGGCTGTCATATCTACTGAAAGCCCACTTGTCATAGCTGGACGGGGGCAGGAGGGGGACAAACGTCTCAAAGTGCTGGAGACTGCCGCCAAGTCGGCTGGCTTCACCGAGGCTGGCTGGCTGGAGCTGGACAGCCCACGAGGCCTTATGGACCACCATACCATCCCAGCCAAGCTGCGGCTGGCCACCTCACTCCAGGCCCTTCCTTGGGCCCATGGGGAGGGAGGGCTCTCTGGAACCCAGGCCTGGTGACGCAGCCAAGAGAGCGAGCTTTATACATAAGCGCCAAAGGTCGCTATGGTTAGGTCAAAAGACATGATGGGTAAACTGAGGCAGGGAGTCCAAGGGCTTCCACCCAGCCGGGGTCCTTCTCCCTGCGCAGCGTGGCCCAGAAGGAGCAGGAGAGGACGCGAGGCAGATTGGAGTCCCGGCCATGGCTGAGCAGACATGTGACCCTGAGCAAGTTGCCAGGTGACCAAGCTCGCCTGTGCCTCATGTTTGAGCTTTGAGTGAGGAGCCCACACTGCTGGCCGTGTGAGCTGTCATCGGCCCTGCTACTGTCATGACCACCACGAGGCCTCAGGAAAAGAGGAAAAGAGGACGGTGTGCCTTCCTCCCTTGGCAGCCGGGACACACCCCACCCACCAGTCCTCACCAAGTGCACGGCCCACAGGGCTCCAAATTCAGCCTTTTCCCAGGCCAGTGACGAAACCCCGGGGGCGGGGGGAGAAAAACAGCGTCCCTTCAATAGCACGTGTTCACCACCCCTTCCTCAACACCACATCCCCCGATGAATCACTGTCTGGGAGAGGGGTTCGCTCCAGCCAAGGTCAAGGCAGGTTTCCCAACCAGACTGGCTGAGTGAGTGCCCCGCAACATGGCCAGGTCTGATTCTTGCGCCGACAAAAGCTGACCCTCAGCGAACACGAACAGCTTCTCCAGCACTGACTTACTCAAGAAAGGTCATCTCCTCACCCCCTTTCCAGATACAGAAGCTGGGGCTTGAAGAAACTCCGTGGCTGACCCAGGAGCCAGGGTTTAGCTCTGAGGGTATTTCCTCTGCGTGTCTCACCCACCGTAAGCGGGCCGGAACCATCTGCCCTGGACGCCTGTGCCATCGGAAGCCACTCCTTCTGCTGGTCATTCACTAAGTCCCTCCAAGGCCCTGCTGCTCTCCCTCCACCCTCCAGTAAGCAGCCCAGGTCAAACAGAGCAGGGTGGAGATGGAGGTCCCCCCTGCCACCCGAGCCCGCCAAGGCCATGAGGACTCTGCCACACCTTCCCACCTTGCATCTCCAGGCAGGATGGTATCTGGGGCCTCCGCCGTGCACACCCAGCCCCGCTCCCAGGCACCCCACAGCAGTCAGACTTGGACCCGTTGAAATCTACTCATGCCAGTCAGATTAAACAGTGTCCCCCCAACGGGGCCCCATGACACAACCGTCAAGGCCTGTTCACTCAGGGAGGAGATGACCTCTGCTCCTGCCTGCACAGACCCAGAGGAACAGAGCTCCTCCACCCAGCCCCGGGCAGCCATGAGTCCGGGCCTCCCTGAGAGGTGCTGGGTGGGCCCCACCCCCCAGCACCATCCTCCCACCTGAGATCCCTTTGGACCCACGCGCCTAGGACTCAGACCAAGGGCAACGTTTCTAAAAGAACCCTGGACACTGCTGTGCCCTGGCCTCAGGTGCAACCTCGAGCACATCCTGGCTCCTTCTGGGCCTCAGTTTTACTGACTGTAAAACGGAACAAACATCTCCGGTGCCCCCCACCCCATAGGGTCACAGTGATTCTAAATGAGCAAAGTAGAGGTCCCTAGAAAATCATCAGTCATGACCTGGCTGCTGTCCTGAACACTCACCCGGGAGCCCAGAGAGAAAAGGCCAGGGTGCCCTGGGCTGAGTATTCCCGCTCCATGTCCTGAGGGCAGCAGAGCCCCAGCTTCCCAGGGACCCCAAAAACACCCTTCTTTCTGGGCCTCTGTGTCAGCATCTGTGCATTGAGGGGTCATTTCTAAGGTTCTTCCAGTTTTAACCCTTTTCTTGTTTAGGGGGAAAAAAAAGTGCGGCTCGAAGCCAGCACTCATTTAATTTTACATAAACACACTTCTTGAGGCTGAAGCAAATCTGACTGCTTTTCAATGAGAAAATAAAACATAAAAACTGTTCTTGGAGTCATTTCTAAACAGAACTAACATCAGACTCGCGTGAATCATCAGAATCGTCTATTTTGGAAAAAACGGATTCGTCAAATCAATCTTTGGCCAACAAACATCCGAGAACAACCACGCGTAGGAATTCTGTGTTTTCTAGGATGTGACATTTTCAGCGATCGAGAATGACTCTATTTTGTAAATGGAAATGCCGCTACTAGAAACAGAATGCTATGAGTAGGATATGACGTCTTTTGTTTCCAAAGTCAATATACTAGAGCGATGCAAAAATAATAATAAAATCGAGCTATTTCGTGGCGGAGTTATCTCGGGGTAAACACTGCAGTCGCAAGCCCCTGGTGAGTACTCTCAGGACAAATGGGAAAAGGCTTAAACTCTGTTTTCCTCTGACTCAAAACCCACAGGGTCCCCAAAGTGGCCACTTGCTGCTGCTGAGGGTCGCAGCTGGTTCCACCTCAACCTCTTTGACGCGAATGCACCCCGGGGCAGCTCACACCCCTGTGGTCGTCCTCCGAATGCCAGGCAGTCTCAGTGAGGAGCTTAGGCCAGCAGCTCGCAACGGGCAGGCAGCATCTCAAAGAAAACGCCCACAGTGCATGGGTGCCTGCCACGCTCAGAGGCCCCTGATGGAGCTGCCACAGGGACTGGGCAGTGTTCACAGAGCCTGGACCTAGTTCAGCTTAGAGACCAGGAGCTGGGGGGAAAACACCAACCCCCGGGGCACCGACAGCCTGAAACCATCAGGAGCAAAAGCCACACACAGCGGGGAGAAGAACTACCTGGACCCACCAGAGCCCCTCTTGGGAGGTTGAACTCAAGACGGCAGGAGCAAGAGCCGCCAGGGAAGGCGCCCCGACGGAGGGCGGGTCACCGGCTCTGTTACCGTCCACACTGCCATGTCCAGGGTGGTCAGCGCCGGCCCAGCCTGGTGTTGCACATCAGGAGAGAGAAAGGCTGGGTGCAATGACAGGTCTGCCTGAGGGTGAGAGGGGGCCCCCTGCTCAGTGAAATGCCAGCCAGAGGGGGTGAGAGGGAACCCTCGGTTTGGTGAAATGCCAGCCAGAGGGGGTGAGAGGGAGTCCTCCATTCGGTGAAATGACAGCACTGTCTGAATATGGCCTGCTTGATGGGCAGGGCACTGTGGGAAACTGTCCGTGGCTTTCTGCCAATCCCCCCACTTTACAGATGAGGACAGCGCAGCTCATGGAGGGGAGGTTGGCTGAAATCTCAGAGCCAGTAGAGCTAGGGACTGTGAGAGTCAAGTCCCCGCCACTCACCCTGCCCTGCACAAGCTCCTGCAGTACAAGGAGGACCAGGGACACCAGAGGCAGGCAGAGAGACGATTATCATAGGCTTGAGCACAGAGTCACCCCAGCACAGGGAACCAGGGCAAGGCAGGGCATAGTTCCAGTTGAGGAGCCACTTGGACCACCTGCCAGGCCCCTAGGTGGTCCTCCTCCCCAGACTGGCTCAGCTGTGAGGCTGCCTTAGGTGTCTGAGAAGCCAACCTTGAACTCCGCAGCTCCATGTATGGCTCCGCAATGAAGCAGGTGACAGCAAGCACCCAACCTTGGTGAGCCTCAGACCTCCCCCCAGGTAACCCCTGGCTCCCTCAGGGCTGCGGGCACCTTCTCTACAGCTAGGGACTTCTCCAGGCCTCTCTCACCTGCCTCACGCTGGCTCAACCTGCAGCCTGGCTTTGGACATCATTCTCCCGGGAAGCATTCCCTGGCCCCTGAGAGCAGGACATGGGCCTCCTCTGGACTCCCCTACCACCTTCCCTGCCACCTAGAGGAGCCACTTCTGCCCTCCATGTTCCCTTCCCCTTTGCAGGACAAGGGCAGAGACTGTGTCTGCTTCTCCCCTAGGGCCTAGAACAGTCTCAAAGACCCAGCCGACCAAGGCACATTCCCAGATCCCAGAGCCAGCAGGCTGAGGAAGGACACAGCCTGCAGATGAGTGGACAGTAGAAAAGGCCCAAGTTGTGAGGTCTTGCAGACCCACCTTGGGGTCTGAGGAGTTTGAGGAGGTATAGTCAAGTCATGTGCCTTTCAGGGGTCTGTGTCCTCATCTGTGGTCAAGATAGCAATGCCTGTTCCCAGCAGATCATAAGTCACATGAATGACGTTTGCAAAAATCCCCAGCAAAGTGCCTGGCACAAGTATGCACCCCGCCAAACACGTATGCACACATGTGCACAGACATGGGACAGACATGGGCATGCACACACAAATACACTTGTGTACACATGCAGGTATGTACACCTGCCCAGACACACGTGTGTGCACACAAACGCACACACAACATGAACACATTTGCAGTGTATGTGTGTGTGCACGCATGTATAGCCACACACATGTGCACATATACATGCCTACAAAAACACACATGCACATATGCACACACACATATGCACACACACACACACGGACACACGCACACCCATTAGCTACTGCTCCTCCCCAGGATGAGAGAGCCCTTGCTGCGCTCATCCACTGCTTTCAGCTTATGGTGTGGGGGTTCTCCCAGGGCAAGTCTCTTTGCAGAGAAAAGACAAATCCAGGGCTCACCCCTTGTCCTCCTGAGCTGATGCCCTTCCTCCAGAAAACTCCGCCTGTGCCCCCAGCTCAAGCGAGGATGTCAGCTCAGATTTGGGCATTTCCTAGGGCAGGTCCGGCTGTAAAATCTGACACTCAGAGTCCCGGTGCCATTGGAGGCCAGAGACGTTAATTGCTTTTCTGAATGACGCTTTTAGGGGCTGAGGGCAGAACTGGGCTGGGGCTGTCAGGCCTGAATGGAGCCAGCAGAATCAGCTCCTTGCGTCCTCCCTGGAGAACAACAAGAGGGCCTCCAGCCCAAGCCTCTCCTGCCGCGTGCTGACCGGTGCCCTGCCTCCCTGCCGGGAGACCTCCGCGGAAGGCCCCTGCGCCCTGAGACAATAGCAGCACCTGCCAGGCCGTGCTCTCCCTGGGGAGCCCTGGCCCGTGCCGGAGGCCGGGCGCCTGGCATGAGGCCACCATTGTTTGCCTCCCTCCCTCTCCAGGACTCCTCCACAAAGTGACAGGGCAGCCCCCGAAGGTCACCTCTGGGGCACTCCCGGCGGCTCCCCGGCATCTGTCTCAGACGGTGGGCAGCAGGAGAGGGGCCGGCCCAGGCCTATTGTTTGGGCCCAGAGCCGCTCCCACCCGACGGGAGAGGGGCCCATTGTCCCAGAGCAATCTGCCTCACTCCTGCCTCCCCATTTTCTCCAAGAAAAAGGGGAACCACGCATGCAGCACACAGCCGGGAGCCCTCTGTCAGATCTGACTCCCGGCGCCCCTGCTCCCCACCAGGGGGCTGCTGCCCTTCACCCCTCACTCCTCCCTTGCCATACTCATTTTTAAAGTTTGAAAACTTGAGTCCGGGTCTCTGGAGCCCTTCGCAGTTCCTGCTGAGGGTCTTCCAGCTTCCAAAGCGGGCATCCAAGCACCAAAATATGTTTGAACAGGGACACTGCAGGACACGCCTTTTTATTCCCACCTGATATGATGTCATGCTTCCCTCACCCACCTTCCTGCCTCTCCAGATTGCCCACGGGCAAGCTGCTGATTTCTTTTGTCAGGCTGGAAGGCCCTAAGAGGGGAACAGCAAAAGCTGTTTCCTTGTAAGTCTTGAAACTTCCATTGCAGCCAAAAAAAACAAAAAACAAAAAAAAAAAAAACCCTTCATTTTTTCACAAATGTTGTTAACAAGGAGATTAGACAATCAAGGAAATAATTTGGCCTCCATAGTCCTCAAATGATATCCACCTACATAATCCCAGGCCAATGCTTGAGGCTTTTGGACACAGACTTAGTCTGGTGTTTCAGAGCCATCCTAAAAGTCTGGCAGCAAGAAAAAAACCAAGGTGAGTTATTTCTACTCCCAGCTCAGGGGGTCCTCTGCAGCCAGCACCACCACGGGCAAGAGGTAAAAAGCCCAAGACTAAAGGCCGGCCCAGCCGCACTGAGATGCTTGTGTTCCTTCAAGTCTTGCTCGTATGAATCTTAATTAAACACAGCGAGGAAAGTTACTAAAGTTAGTTAATGAAAGGCAGGATTGGACAGGGGCTGTGAAGCAAGAGAGGATCTGTGCTGCTTGAATCTTGGGATAAAAATTAAAAGGCAGTGTTCCCCTGAAAGCATCACATGCTCACTATGGGGAAAGCCCCAAGGGAAACCACGCCTCCACACCCCAACCGTGAGGGGCCCTTGCCAAAGTCCTGAACGACAGAGCCCAGTTTCTCCCCTTCTCTCCAGGACCCAGCACAGGGCCCACCCAGAGCAAGTGCTTGGTTGTTACTTGGAAGAAGGGATGGAGACATGGAGGGATAGAAGGATGCAGTGATAGAGCAATGGTGAGATGGAGGGATGGAGAAATGAGAGACGGATGCATGGAGAGATAGGAGATGGATGGATGGATGGATGGATGGATGGATGGATGGGTGGGTGGATGGATGAATAAATGGAGGATCAATGAGTGGATGGATGGAGATATGGATGGATGATGGGTGGAGGGATGATACATGAATGGAGAGATGGAGGGATGGAGAGACTGCTGGAGGGATGGAAACATGGACGAATTAATGGAAGGACAACTGATGAATGGATGTATGGAGGGGTGGAGAGATGGATAGATGAGTGGATGGATGGATGAAGAGATAGAGAGATGGATGGATGGATAAATGGATAAATGAATAAAGGATAGATGAATGGATGGATGGAGAAGTGGATGGATAATAGGTGGATGGAAGGATGAAGAGATTGATGGATGAATGGAGGGATAGAGAGATTGATGGATGATGGATGGATGAAGGGGATGGATGAAGGGATGAATGGATTAGGAAGGGATGGAGAGACGGATGGATAGATGGAGAGATGGAAGGATGAAGGTATGGACAGCAAGCACACAAAGGTCACAAATTGCTCATTTGTGTCCTCTCCTTTGAGGAACATCTACAAGATAGGCTCACCCTATCTAAGCCTCAGCCCTGAGGAAGGCCAACCACAGTCAGCCGGCCATGTTGGTGGCCTTCTTCCCTAATGGCTCCCTCCTGTTCTGGTCTTTTGTAGACAGAGAACCTCCTTGCAATCAGACTCACACACAGCATCTAGCAGACGGCCAGTTCCCCACCTCTGGGCACGTCCTCCTTCCCTTGCCCGGAGAGCCCCCGTCTTATCCAGGCATTATCTGCTCTGTGCTTCACCAGCCCCTCTCCAGCCCAGAGCAAAGGCTGCTCAGGCTTCACCCTCTCCTGGCAGCTCCCGTCTGTTGCTGGAGATTGGTGTAGACATGACGCATGGGACACACCCTGACCAGTGAGGCACAGGGAAGACTGCTGAAACTGGGGGCTGCTCCCGGAAAAGGGTTTCTTGCTAACAGAGGGGAACACCACAGGGAAGTGCCCCTTCCCACTTGGATGTTGTCCCGTAGGGACGTGATGCTAGAAGAAGCTGCCACCATCTTGCAGCTGAGGAGTCACCCAGATCACTGATGTCATGAGTGCTTGGATGAAGCTGCCCTGGAGCCATCCTCATCCAGACTTATTGAATCCTTTCTGGTTGGGTTTCTGTGCTATGAGGTCAGGAGCACATATCTAGTGATGGGGTCTCACTATGTTGCCCAGGCTGGTCTCAAATTCTTGGCCTCAAGTGCTTCTCTCACCTCAGCCTCCCAAAACCTTGGGATCACAGGCATGAGCCACTGTGCACAGTCCCTGAGCAAGTATCCAAATGGCCCATCATTTCCCATCAACCCCAAGAAGTCAGCACTGATTAACATTCCTGAGTTAATGAGGAAACAAAGACTAGCAGAAGCTTCTGGACCCACCCTGCTCTACCTGCCAGAGAGCTCGACTGCTCCAGGGTACCCGGGGTGAGCCCAGCTCCATCTTCCCTGAGGCCACCCAGCCTGCGAGGTGCCAGCGATGTCCCTGTAACTATGGCTGGATGTTAAAGGCATAATACAAAGTGAAAGAAGCCACACTGAAGAGACTGCCAACTGCATGGGTCTATTGATGCGATTCTAGAAAAGGCAGAGCTATGAGGACCAAAAACGGATCCACCACTGGGGGGCTGGGGTGGGAGGACGCACGAGGGAGCTTTGGAGGTGATAGAAATCTTCCGTATCTTGATTACGAGGGTGTCTGTGACTACTTGCATTTGTCAAAATTCACCAAAGCATACACCTTGAAAGGATGGATGTTACCGCATGTAAATTATCCCTCCATTGGCCTGGCTTCCTAACATGCTCCCTTGGCTAGGTTGGGGTTTCTGGGGCCATGACCTGAGCATCCCAGGAAGAGCCAATCCCAGGAAAAGCTCATCCAGGGGACACTTTTCTTGATTAACGAATCTCTTCCCTAAAAATGAAATATTCGTGGAAGCCCAGAGCACAAAAAGGACCAAAGCAAAGACACCTTCTCCTCCAACCAAAGGCATCCTTGAAAAGTCCTGGGGTGCCCCGGACCATGTATGCTAGTCAAGGGCAGGTTCCACCCAACCAGAGAGGCTGGCAGAGTAGCCCCTCCAGCGGTGAGAGGACCCCCCCGGCCTGCTGGATCCATGAACCCAAGCATAGGAGGGGCCTAGGCCACTACCCGACACAAGAAGGGGGCTGTGCTGTGGAGATCACGCACAGGCAGGGGCCACCGGGAGTGGAAGGCACAGCACTGAGCCCGGAGCACCGTCAAAAGAGAGGCTTGGGCCCAATCAGTAGCTCCCCAGCAGCCTTCTGGAGAGGCGGCCACGCACACGGGCTTCCAGGACCCAAACCCCACCACTCCTCCTGCTCCGGCCGGGCCACCCTGGGCCCGTCCCTCTGCTGCTCTGCGCCTAGGTTCCCTCAGGTGTGAAATGGCAATGGTAACAGCACCTACCTCACTTGGCCTGTGCCTGTTAAACAGGATAACGAGCACAACCATCCAGGCGTTAACAACTCACTGAACACCCAGGCGGCTGTCCTCGCTGTCACCTCATGGCGAACAGGAGCTGGGGGTGAGCAAGGGGCCACGTGCACCCCCCACCAACCTCCCCCTTCAGCCCCAGCAGGCTCATCTGGTTTCTATCCGAGGTCTCCATGCGATTGGGCATGAAAGGAAAGCGCTGGTGCTCAATGAAGTTTGAAAACTCCGGTCTCTGTGGCCCCTCCGCCGGCCGCCTGGGACCCTGACCACCACTTGCCTCAGGCCTGGAAACAGGCCTAACGCTGTCCAGGCAAGCAGAATCAAAGGCCCTCTGTCGAGCGCACATTTTCCAAGCGCTTGGAGGGTCTGTGAGGTCCTGGGAGGTGGGGAGGACGCGAGGTTATAATTGGCCTCCCCTGGGCCAACAGTACTTCTTAAGAAGGCGCCGCACAAAGAGTGTCCAATTTCCCAACCCGGCAGACCGTGGGTTTAATTAAGGTCCATAAAAATGTAGCCGGCAAAGTGTAAGAGGTATTGCATCTTTCCCAGTCAATATGGGCATGTGTCTTACCTGGAAAAAGTGGTTTATGCAGAAAGAATTTCCCAAATGGGTTCCATATGCCTGCTTTCCCCCATAGCGGGGCCTTCCACCGGGGCCGGGGTTGGGGGCTGGGACATGGGCCCTCCTCCCAGCACGGCCTCCTCGCTCACCCTCTGCCGGCTGCCGCTGTTTAAACAGAAGACGTCATGGCGAGTGATATACGGTGGATTCCAAAGATTGTTTCATCCAGGGGAAATTGCTCCTGGAGCCAGCTCCATCCCAGGTAAGCCACAGAGACCTACTGTGAAGTGAACTGTTCACCCTCCCGCAGGCCCTGAAGCAGGAAGTGCTCCTCATGCCCACTGCTTACTGTCAGTTACTCCATGGCCCAACAAGGGCGCCAGCACAGGGCCAGGCACTCGGGACCCCAGAGATGGAAGGGACCACAGGGGTGTCTGGCTAGCGTTCCCCATCACACTTTCCAGATGGGACCACTGAGTTCCAGGGAGGGGACACAACTAGCCCGGGACAACGGATCTTGGAAGCCGTAAGAGTGGCATTGATTCGGGGTACCATGGAAGTCAAAAGGTAGTCAGGAGAGGCAGAGAGGAGAGAGGGGGAGCGAGAGGGCATCTTTAACGCCTGTTCCCAATGCTAGATGCAACCCCAGATGTCCTAGTTATCTGAGCCAATATAAATTCTCTGCCCCTCATGATGGTGGCTCCCCCCGTCTCTTCATCCACATGTCACCTCCTCCAAGGAGCCTACTGGGCTGCCCCACACTTCACACAACTCTCCAGCTCCTCCCTCTGAAATGTTACTTTGCTCATGGGTCGGTTAACTTACCCACTGGCTATTGCCATCAGTAGTACTGATTCTCAGGAGAGCAGGAACCATACTTGTCTTGTTCATTGTGGTATCCCCATGGCTGGGACAGATCTAAGCATATAACAAGTGCTAAATGATGACGATTTATTCATCATTATCACCACCATCACCATCACCACTATTGCCATATCATCATCATCACCATCGTCATCACAATCACTACCACCACCACTACCCCATCATCATCATCATCACCATCATCATCACCACTGCCACCACCATCATCACCATCACCACCATCACCATCATCATCATCACCATCATCACCATCACCACCATCACCATCACCATCATCATCACGACTGCCGATAGCATCATCATCACCATCACGGATCATCATCACCATCATCATCATGAGCAGTATCGCCATCATCACCACCACTGCCACCACCATCATCATCATCATCATCACCATCACCATCACCATCACCAGTATCACCATCATCATCACCATCATCACCATCACCAGTATCACTGTCATCACCACCACTGCCGCCTACCATAATCATCATCACCATCACCACCATCACCATCACCAGTATCACCATCATCATCACCACTGGCCACCACCATCATCATCACCATCACCACCATCACCATCACCAGTATCACCATCATCATCACCACTGCCACCACTACCATCATCACCATCACCATCACCATCATCATCATCATCATGACCATCATCATCATCATCACCACGTTTACCACCATCATTATCACCACCATCAACACTATCACCATCAACACCACCATTCTCCTCATACCATCATCATCATTATCACTACCACCACCACCATCACAGCACCAGTTCAATTTAACCCCCTTTGTGTACCAGTCAGGGACTATTCCAGGTTATCTATATGGATTAACCAATTTCATGCCCCAGCCCTGTGAGGTAGGACTGTTACTATCCCATTAGTATCCCATGGGGCTCTAGGCTTAGAAACTTTCCTAGAGCACCATGACTCAAAAAGGCCAGAGCTGGAATATGGCCCTGGAAACAGCCTGTGGACTGATGGACCAGCTCTGAGCAGCACAGGGCGGCCCTCTGCCCTCACACCTCATTTCATCTCAAGGTACCTGGCAAAGCAACTCTGGTCATTCCTGCTCTGCCAAGGAAGAAACCAGGGCTAGAGGAGGTCCAGCTACTCACCCATGGTTACCAAGTTGCATGGCTTCCACTGGCCACATGCCCCCTGATGATGAGATGCCAGCACCGTGGTCTCTGTGAAGAGGAGCAGCTGACCACCCGGGGCTTCAGGGCCTGGACCTTCTGACAGCTGCCCCCAGCCACCCCTCCACACCCCAGTTCTTCTCTTGCTCTCAGTCTGTCTTGCACACACAGCTGATCCTGCCTTCCATGGCCTCACTCCAGCCCTGATGAACCCTGATTTTGGCTCTGAAAGGAGGGGCTTTATCTGCTTGGCAGATAAACCCATGAGGCCTCTAGGATGAATCTCCCTCACCGACCCTCACTCCTTCCTTCACCCATCCCTCCACCCTGCTGACTCACACCAACAGGAATCTGCAGGCTCAGGAATCATCCAGCAGGACTGAAATATTGGGGAGAGTTCTGGCTGAAGTCCCTAAGGAAGCTGTGACTTCAGGATTTGGCGGGGAGGGGCTTTCAGGTAAGTATTTTGTGTGTCTCTCACAGAAAGAGCCTTCAACCAACATTTGGAGTGCTGAACCAAATTGAATTCAATTCTTTCTCCACCTCTGATCTGCCTCCGTTTCCCATTTATACCAAGTGATTGGGCGGCACCACCACACAGGCCCCACCAGGGTTTGGAGGGATCTGTCATTGCATGGCTCCGGGTGTAATTCTCAAATGGTCCCAAGAACCCCTTCAAATATTTGAAACAGAAATCTGCGGGGAAGGTATGTGGCAAAGTTTTCAAAGCAGGCCACTCCGATCCTTTCTGCAGGATTTCCAGGCAGCCTGCCAGCCTCCCTTTCCAATTAAATGCCCCATTTGGCTGGTGGGTGGGCCTCTGGGCTGGAAGAGAGAGATGCCTGCTACCACCCCTGTCTGGACATAATTTGGGAGACAGGAGATTTCATGAGCCAGGGGAGAGAAGACACCTGAGATATGATCAGGATAGACGCATCCCCCGACCAGCTCCTCAGGAAGAAAGAGCCCCATGTGTCCACCAGCCCAAGGTCTCACACAAAGGACCCACTCTGTGAATGCCTGGGGATTGGGGGAAGTAAGAGGGGAGGAGGGACAGAGACTCCTGGCGGAGCCAAGGAGAGTGTGGACCCTTCAGCTCTGGGACACCTTGCCCAAGACAAAAAGGTGGCTCAGAGCCGTAGCTGGCCTTGGGCTATGTTGTAAACTGAGAGTCAGGAGCAGTGAAAATGCAATGATCAGAACAAATAATATTACAGAGAACTCTACCTGGCTAAGGCATCAGGACGCATCTAGGAGGAGCTGTGGGTTGACAGGGAAGCCCAGGAGGGCCTGCAAAGGAGGCTGTGGACCCCATGTGTGCACACACACATGTGCATGTGTTTGTGGAAGTTTGCACATACATGTGCAAGTTGAGACGAGCCTTTGAAGAAAAAAATAATAACGAAATGCCTATGAGCAAAGCCAGGTGCCAAGAAAAGAAGCAGAAAGGAAGATGAAAGGCAGGAGTCCCCGCCTCCCCAGCCTCCGGAAGCTTCCACGGGGCGAGAGGCCTCCTGGTGTGGCTCTCATTTTCAGAGGCCCGGCCGCCTGACCGCCGCAATGCTGGGGCCACGTGGCCGAGGGGACACATGGAGCAGGGGCCAGTGACCCAGAGGAGGTGATCTTGGCCACGATCTGATTACCAGATGGGTCCTTTCCCACTCCCTAGAAAACAGGAAATCCATCTGAAAGGCAAGACAAATCGCCGCCCCTGCCTCCCGCCCATCTGCCATGATATGTGAACATGCAGGCTGTCAGCAGCTCCAGCCCGTGATTGATTCCCGGTATTTATAGGCCGGGGTCTATTATCAGCTGTGCTATCAAAGGCTTAGCCAGGCTGGGCTGACCCCACCGGCTATTTCAATATGCCACTCCTTTGAGACAGCTCTAACTCTTTAATTCAATAGCAATACTATTTCATGTCAGTCCCAAAGAGAGAGTTTCCTGTTTTGCAAAGGATTTGTGCCTGATTTCAAGGCAAATTAAAGACAGCTTGGAAATGTCACCTGCACTCAAGGTCAAGGGCGCTACAGCCTCTACTCTCAGCCCAGGGTTTCACCTGCAAGGCTGCACCCAAGGCTCAGACACTGTTGAGAGGTAGAGAAACAGGATGCCCATCCTCATCCCAGTTTGCCACTAAAGTGCAGTGTGGGCTGGGCATGGTGGCTCATGCCTGTAATCCCAGCACTTTGGGAGGCCGAGGTGGGAGGATCACTTGAGATCAGGAGTTTGAGACCAGCCTGACCAACATGGAGAAACCCCGTCTCTACTAGAAATACAAAATTAGCCAGCCGTGATAGCGCATGCCTGTAATCCCAGCTACTCGGGAGGCTGAGACAGGAGAATTGCTTGAACCCAGGACGCGGAGGTTGCAGCTAGCCGAGATCATGCCATTGCACTCCAGTCTCGGCAACAAGAGCTAAACTCCATCTCAAAAAAAAAAAAAATGGGCCATGTGACATTGGCTACGTTGCTTGCCTTCTCTGTTTCTGTCTCTTCAGCCCTACAACCAGCTCTTCCATGCTACAACATGAAGTCTAAGCTCTTTAGCTCAGACTTCCAAGCCCCTAACAACGCTGTAGTCTCCCCTTCTCACTACCCACCACCCCAGTCACCCTGAACATCTCCCTGGTCTCAAAACCTCACCTCTGCCTGGTCTCTCTCAGCGCTATTCCTCAAGTGGCAACACTGCCCCTCACCACTACTCACTGCAGGTCAACCGCCAGCCAGGTCTTCCCCGGGCATTCTCTGCCTGCTTTTCCTAACACCCTACCGCATGGGCTGTCAGCATCCCCACTTTACAGATGGGAAGACTGAGGTGCAGAGAAATCAAGGGAGAAAGGGACAGTGCCACGAATCATGCAGGCTCTGCCCAGCTGCAGAGCCCTGAGAGCCTTCTGAGGAAGGGTCCGAGAGGCCCAGGAGACCCAGCTGCGGCTGTGAAGTCATCCTATCACAGATGGAGAGTGCTTTGTACGGCCAAGTGGCCACTTCCAGCCCAGCCGAGCAAGGGCATCACCCACAGGCACAGGCAGAACCATGGAGGAGCGCTCTGCACCCCCAGCATCACAGGGAAGCTTCCACCCATGGAGGGACCGATGGGCAATGTCCAGGTGGAAATGGGAGACGACGTCACAAGATTGCCAGGGGACATGAGCCCACATGGCTGGCGCCACCCAGGAACCCTGCCCCTGACGGCCCAGGGAGCAGTGCTGTGTAGTGGTGCCATTTTGCGCCTCTGTCTCTGCAGATGGAGACACTGAGATTCAGAAAGATCTCACCATCTTCCCAACATCACGTGGTTGAACGGGGTTGAAACTCAGCCAAGAACCCACCTTCCAGCCAGGGCTGTGTCCACTGGGAGGACCATTTATTTATTTACTTATTTATTTAGAGACAGGGTCTCACTCAGTCTCCCAGGCTGGAGGGCAGCAGTGCGATCATAGCTCACTGCAGCCTCGAACTGCCAGGCTCAAGCAATCCTCCCACCTCAGCCTCTCGAGTAGCTGGGACCACAGGCGTATGCCACCATACCAGGTTAATTTTTAATTTTTTTGTAGAGATGAAGTCTTGCTATGTTGTCCAGGCAGGTCTTGAACTCCTGGCCTCAAGCAATCCTCCCATCTCAGCCTCCCAAATTGCTGGGATTACAGGTGTGAGCCACCACACTCAGCCTGTCTGTTTTTTTCAAACTAAGTTTTCTATTAAAAACTCCATTCAATGAAAAGTTTCTTTAATACATCAATTTTATTATTATTTTGTTTATGTCTGCAAACTACTATGGTAAACAACATGAGCCCTCATGGTAGGGACCCAGGAAGGTGCTTGCATTCTTGGGCAAAGTTGTCTCACATGCCTGCCCTGGAACAGGCCGGGAAGACACCACCTTCCAAGATGCCTCTGATGTCCAGTGTCAGGTTCTACCAGGGGCAGGATGGAGTTTAGCCTCTCTCCACTGTCTTGAGACTGCCAGTCCCCAGGCAAGGCCAGAGGGGCAAACTTCAGCCATGGTAGCGGCCAGGCACCATTACTGTCCACCGGGAATCTCCATCTCCGGCCCCCGCCTTCTTTCTACCTGCCCAGGGCTAAAGGACTTTGGAGTCAGGGAGAGGAAGCCTCTGGTAGAGTTTGGGATCATGCAGCCCTGCCTTCTGGCTCTTTAGCTCGATGTTGCCCCAAACCCAAGCTTGGGCACCTGCCTCCATTCTTTCCCCCGCCTCCTGGCCTCATTCATCCAGCACTGACGAGGGCAGTCTTGGGCGCAGAGCAGTGAAGCTGTCCAATGCTGAGGAGACTTGTCACACACCCATTATAGGCCAAAGTTCATTCCAGGTATAAGTCACAACTCCCCTATGAGGCAGAAGCATTCATCTCCTTCTAGAGGTGGGAACACTGAGGGACAGAGAGGTTAAATAACCCAAGGTTACCCAAATATTGGTGCTAGAGACAGGATTCAAGCACAGGCAGTCGGCTCCAGGGCCAGTGGGTTCCTACAGCCCTGTGCTGTCTGTCAACAGTGTTCCAAAAGAGGTCGGAGGGACATCAGCTCTCAAATAAGGCAGGAGAGAAAGAGGCAAATGAAGCAAGAGATAAAATGTGGAGGGTTTGGATGGGATCCTAGGTTTTCCCTCCTGCACCCCCATCCCCAGAAAAGGAAAGAGTTGAACTAAGTGCTAGAGGCCACCTATCCCTGCAGGGAAAATGCTGTCTCCTGATGGGGCCCTACCTCCTGGGGTCTTTGCTGAACAGTCTTCATAATGATGATGACAATGAAGATGACAACAATGGTGACAATGACAATGATAATAATGACAGTGATGACGATGATGGTGGTGGTGATGATGATGATAATGATGATGATGGTAGTGGTGGTGGTGGTAATGATGATAATGATAATGGTGATTATGATGACAATGATGATGATGGTGGTGATGGTGGTGGTGGTGGTGGTGGTGATGATGATGATGACGATGATAATGGTGATGATGACAATGATGATAATGGTGATTATGACGACAATGATGATGATGGTGATTATGATGATGATGGTGATGATGATGATGGTGGTAATGATGGTGACAATGATGATGACAATGGTGGTGATGATGCTGATAACAATGATGCTGATGGCATTACTATTAAATGGCTATGACTGGGGTCCTGGCCCCCATTCCCTCTCACCTATGCAAGACCTTTCTCCTGCAGCTAGGCCCTCTTTTTCTTTGATATTATCTCCTTCTCTCATTCCCAAGAGCACATAGAGGCTGTGTCAGTTGTTATTGCTGCTACAACAAAACACCACAAACTTGGTAGCGTAAAGTAACAGACACTTATCACTCTACAGTCCCAGAGGTCAGGACAGGTCTCACAGGGCTTGAATCCAGGTTCCTTCTGGAGCCTGCGGGTGCAAATCATTTCCTTGCCTTTTCCAGCTTCTGGAGGCCACCAGCATTTCCTGGCTCGTGCCCCTTCTCCATGTTCCAAGCCAGCAACACTGCATCTTTCTGTGCCTTGCCTCCACCATCACAACTCCCTCTGATTCTCCTCTTACTCCCTCTCTTCCACTTTTAAGGACCCTGTGATGACACTGGGCCAAGCTGGATGATTCAGGATGGTCTCCCTATCTTGAGGCCTGCTGATTATTAGCCTTAATTCCATCTGTGACTTTAATTCCCCTTTGTCCTGTAACCTAACATGTTCACAAATTTCAGGGATTAGGATGAAGACATTTTTGGGGGCCACTATTCTGCCTTCCACACACAAACGGTGATATGGTTTGACTGTATGTCCACCCAAATCTCATCTTGAATTGTAATTCCCATAATTCCTGTAGCTTCCATAATTCCCACTTATCATGGGAGGGATCTGGTGGGAGGTAATTGAATCATACGGGTGGGTCTTTCCCATGCTGTTCTCGTGACTGTGAATAAGTCTCCTGAGATCTGATGGTTTTATAAAGGGGAGTTCCCCTACACATGCTGTCTTGCCTACTGCCATGTAAGACGTGATTTTGCTCCTTGTTCACCTTCAGCCATGATTGTGAGGCCTCCCCAGCCATGTGGGACTGTGAGCCAATTAAACCTCTTTCCTTCATAAATCACTCAGTCTCAGATACGTCTTTATTAGCAGCATGTGTTCTGGTTATTCTGTTTGAATAACACTGCCCCAAGATGGAGTCACTCAAAACAACAATCATCATTTGTTATCTCTCATGGCTTCTGCCGGTCAAGCAGGCACAGCGGGGATGGTTTCTCTCCACCCAGTGACATCTGGGGCCTCAGCTGGGGTGGCTCAGAGGCTAGAGACAGAACCACCTGAAGGCTCATTCACCTTCATGTCTGCCAGTTGAGGCTGATGTCAGCTGCGGGCCTGGCAAGGGCTGCTGGCCAGAACCACACATGGCCTCTCCATGTGGCTTGGGCTTCCTCACAACATGGAGGATGAATTCCAAGAAAGAGAGAGTCAAATGAAAGCCATATTGCCTTTTCAGCCCTCAACTCAGGAGCCACAGGGCGTCACTCCTGCCATATACTCTGTCAGCGTACAGGTCTGCACAAGCTCAGGGACAGGGTCACTCTTCCTCTCAAAGGGAGAGTGTCGACCTTACTTTGTAAGAAGAGCAGGTGGAATGGGAGATATACAGGGGGCATCATCTTTGGGACCTGCCATCTTCCCTAGCACCTCAGACTGAGCCTGAGCCAGGCAGAACCCTTGAATTTTTCCCCAGACATGGCGGTCCCCTTGCTAGATAATGGCATCCCCATCCTCATGGTATTTCAGGGCAAAAGTCTGGGCATTGTCTAGAGGGTGGCAGGCCATGCAGGTCAGACACTGGAGGGACCTGGGCCACGAAGCCTGGCAGTTGGAGACCCTTCTGTTGGTTCTCACTGTGGGAAGTCACGAAGACCCCGCAGATCCTGGGCAGCTGTATGACCTGGGCAAGCTGGCGGGAAGCGACAGCTCCACAGACTCCGAGACAGAGAGGCTGCAATACTCCTCCGCCCGATTGCCTCATCCCCCAAAGGGCTTTGATAAATGGAGAGATAGGCCCGCTAATTCTTGGGTGCTGCAGGGGGAGGATGTCCTGTCACCACTAAAACGGGCCCGGACTCCTTATCATGCTGTCACTCTGCAAATCACCAAAGACAGGCTTACGTCACCCCCTCAGAGGGGCTTCAGAGGGGCCTCTAATCCTAATGGATTTGCCCAAGTGGAGATAAAGAACCTTCTTGTTCCTCCCATAATGCAGTAATTCACTTTACAAATAGAGCCAAGGAGAGTGGTTGGGAGTGGGGGCTGGTCAGCCACTCAAAGGGCCAGTTTTCCCGGGCAGGGGATGACATTCTGGAACATTCTGCGCAGGAAGGCTGATAGCACCAATCCAGGGGTGGCAGGGATGACTTCCCTGGGGATGCCAGGGTCATGAAAATGGGGCTCTCAGACCTGAGTTCAAAACTGAACTCTCACTACATATCAGCTGTGCCATCGTGAATGTATTGCTTAGCCACTCTTAGCCTCAATTTGCTTATCTGTAACACAGGATAATCAGTGTAGCCATCTTCAAACACTGCTGTGAGACTGAAATGTGGTCCAACGCAAGGCACAGGGCACAGGGGAGGGTGCACATAAAAGGTTTCTGTTCCTATTGACAAGGCTGCTGTGATCGCTGGTGACCAAGAGTGGAGAATACAATGGCACTAGGGCTGCCAGCAGGGGAGCCATAGCCCTGGGTTCACATCCCAGCACGACCACTTACTGGCTGGGAAGCTGGGGTGTGTTCACCTCTCCTGCCTCAAATCTCTCTATGGCAACCTGGGTGGTGTTCATTATTCTGAAATATTGGAATGATCAATAATCCAATTTTGGCTTAACCAATAATTCTGAAAATATACAGAAGCGATGTGAAATTAAGGGGATTAAATGAGGGGAGGCATGTGAAAAGTGGGTGCCAGTCCTTGAAGGATGGGGGCAGCTGTTCTGCATGGTCACGAAGGTTAGGAGGACAGGGTCCACCCCACCCTATGGGAGGGAGGCAAAGCGTCCTGGTTGGAATCTACCCCCAACTCCAGTAAAGTGGATTCCCTGGGCAGGGGATGCTGAGAGGGTGGGGTGAAGCCAGGCGCCAAGGAGCCTGGAGCTTACACAACTGGACAGGGGCTCTTTAAGAAAAATAAGGCCGGGTGTAGTGGCTCATGCCTGTAATCCCAGCACTTTGGGAGGCTGATGCAGGTGGATCATGAGGTCAGGAGTTCGAGACTAGCCTGACCAACAAGGTGAAACCCTGTCCCTACTAAACATACAAAAACAATTAGCCAGACGTGGCGGCACACGCCTGTAATCCCAGCTACTTAGGAGACTGAGGCAGGAGAATTACTTGAACCCGGGAGGCGGAGGTTGCAGTGAGCCGAGATCGCGCCACTGCACTCCAGCCTGGGTAACAGAGCGAGACTCTCTCTCAAAAAAAAAAAAAAAAGAAGAAAGAAAAAGAAAAAGAAAAGAAAAGAAAAAGAAAAAGAAGACAAAATTGCAACTACAAAACTAGACACCAACCTGAATATTTACTAGAATGAGAAGGAAAAAAATCACAAGTCGAATGTTACAAAGCTCACAAATATTGCAAACACCACAAAACACAGGAAAGTGCTGATGTTTTTATTTCTTAACTACCTGACCCATTTCTATAATACCATTTTTCTCTGTTTTGGGTTACATACTGTTTTACCACCTCCTAACATGACAATACTTTTATAATTATAATTTTTTCCTGTAAAGAGAATAGAAAGATAATTCGATTTTACTCCAAAACATGGGTAATTGAAATTCATTATTATTGGTGGATTAAAACAGTTTCGTTCATGATTCTGACTATCAGAGTTTTTGTTTCTATCGTGATATATGAAGAGGGATTTTGATATTTTAAAGCCTTACGCCTTTCAGCTTATTCTTTTGGCTTCTACAAGGATACTTCTCATCACATTTAATTCTGGAATAGTCAATCATTCTGAAAAAATATATATACATATATATACAGAATTAGCCGGGCACGGTGGCTCACGCCTGTAGTCCCAGCACTTTGGGAGGCCGAGGCAGGTCGATCATGAGGTTAAGAGATCGAGACCATCCTGGCCAACAGAATAAAACCCCATCTCTACTAAAAATACACAAATTAGGCTGGGCATGGTGGTGCGCGCCTGTAATCTCAGCTACTCAGGAGGCTGAGGCAAGAGAATCACTTGAACCCGGGAGGCAGAGGTTGCAGTGGGCTGAGATCATGCCATTGCACTCCAGCCTGGTGACAGAGCAAGACTCCATTTAAAAAAAAATTTATATATATATATATATATATATATATATATATATATATACACACACACACATTTATACACAGAAGTGATGTGAAACAAAAGAATATGCAACAGATGCATTCAGATGCATTTTTTCATCTGTTACTACACTGGATTGAGCTACATAGTTATGGAATCGAATTTCTCTCCCACCCAATACCTTGAGTTACTGATGGATCTACCATAGAAGTTCTCCCCGTGTCTCCAGACTGTTTCACTGCACTGGGGCAGTCTTGTGTTTTCTGTTGTCTGGAGCTACCAGATTGTGTCAAGACAAGATGCAACACACACTCTAAAAGGGATCGGGGACAGGCGCGGCGGCTCACGCCTGTAATCCCAGCACTTTGGGAGGCTGAGGTGGGCAGATTGCCTGAAATCAGGAGTTTGAGGCCAGCCTGGTCAACATGGCAAAACCCTGCATCTACTAAAAATACAAAAATTAGCCAGGCTTGGTGGTGGGCACCTGTAATCCCAGCTACGCAGGAGGCTAAGGCAGGAGAATCACTTGAGCCCAGGAGGTGGAGGTTGCAGTGAGCCAAGATTGCACCATTGCACTCCAGCCTGGGTGACAGAGCGAGACTCCATCTCAAAAAAAAGAAAAGAAAAGAAAAAAGAAAGGGATCAAGTGCCTTAGGATGTGTGTGCATGTTTTATTCAGAGAGAGATGTGCTTTTATGCAGGTGCTCTGCAAACCCAGGAACTCTGCTAAGTTTTATTTTGCCATGATTCTCATTGAAAGAGGAAAGTGCACAGAGGGTAGTGTGGTGTGTTTGCGATCAAATCCTCTGCAATGTGGAGTATATTTCTGAAAGCAAAGACCTTTCTTTCTGACCAGAGCTTCTGTGGGAACTGAATCACCCACTCACAACCTCGCACATCAGGTGATAGGTCGAATGTTCTCCCGCCTAACTTCAGCTCCACTCATTTCAGACTTCACTTGCCCTGCCCACACACACCCAGGGCCTGGGCCGTGAGACGCTTTCCCCTCCAGCACTGCTCTGTGGCCACGCTAGGGTGACCTCCCAGTGGGTGCAGGTGTGTCTCTAGAAGCCAGCCTGGGGCCAGCGGCAGCTCAGCTCTCTACAGAAGTCACCAGAACTCCACAAACATGACCAGCAAACCCACTTCCCTTGCCTAGACCCTGCCAGCACCCGGAACCTCCAGATCCTCCCCTCCCCCAATAGAGGGAAATTAGAAAGGAGAGACAGACACTTTCCCTATTGTCAATAAAACATCTTACATTGGTAAATATAAAGACATACGCACAACCATGAGAGCGAATTCCTGGGCCCTTGCAGTGGGGGGCCATGAAGCTGGAGCTTCAGGCTGAAGGATTCCTCTGGCCAGCTCAGAGGAGCTGGGGGCAGAAGCAGCACTTGTACCCCACTCCCAACCACTTCCCAGAGGAAACCTCTTCTACCCCCACCAAATTGTTGGAAGCAGGATAAAACCGTCAGAAGCCCTTTATACCAGCCCCATAAGTTATAAAACACAGGTCAAGGTCCTCTTAGTTCTGTGGTGGTGTAAAAGTTGCAGGTTCTTCTGGAGCTTAAATAACTTGACAAGGGGCTCTTTAAGAAAAACAAGACAAAACTGAGGCCGGGCATGGTGGCTCACACCTGTAATCTCAGTACTCTGGGAGGCCGAGGCAGGTCAGGAGTTTGAGACCTTCCTGGCCAACATGGTGAAACCCCATCTCTACTAATAAATAAATAAATAAATAAATAAATAAATAAATAAATAAATACAAAAATTAGCTGGGCGTGGTGGCGCACACATGTAATCCCAGCTACTCGGGAGACTGAGGCAGGAGAATCGCTTGAATCCAGGAGATGGAGGTTGCAATGAGCTGAGATCACGCCACTGCACTCCAGCCTGGGCGACAGAGTGAGACTATGTCTCAACAAAAAATAAATAAATAAATAAATAAATAAAAGGAGGGGGCCTTTCTTTTCCCTGCCATTTATAAATTTATCGACTCATTCTTGGTCAGGGTGGACTCACTGATCATGCTTTGATCATTGATTTATCTTCATTACTGACACTAGTCATTGTCACGCTCAAATTCCCAGCCTTGGCTGGCAAGGGCCCTCCTGGACCCCCTGACTCATTCCTAGATGGGAGGTCTTCATGTCACCCGGAAAATGGGCTTCAGGGAGTACACGAGCTGCTTGAAGTTATACCCAAAAGATGTTTTGTGAGAGGATGAAAGTTCAATTGCTTTCATCAGATTCAAAAGGGGACTGGGGCCTTCCCATAAAGACAAAGAAACGCTGGATCACAGATATGGGTGAACCTGTCAGCTATCCCAGCCACCTCCAAGTCACACCTGAGACCCCAGCGTTAGACACCATGGAAGTGCTGGCGTCACAGCAGGCTTTCCTTCGGCAGCCTGGTGTGATGCTGACAAGGCTGTATAGGAGGTGCCTTGGCCAGACCGGGGCTGAGGGGGCTGGGTGGGTGTGGAGAAATGGGGCATTTGACTGTCCTCATCCGTTTTGGAGCAGCTGGGACGTCTCTCACTAGGGGTCTCAAAAGGCCCCTTGGTTCTGAAACTTCCACAAGGTAACCCTTCTTTTGTTTTTTGTTTTTTGAGACGGAATCTCACTCTATCGCCCAGGCTGAAGTGCAGTAGTGTGATCTCGGCTCACTGCAACCTCCACTTACCGGATTGAAGCGATTCTCCTCCCTCAGCCTCCTGAGTAGCTAGGATTACAGGCGCTGGCCACCACACCCAGCTAATTTTTGTATTTTTAGTAGAGACAGGGTTTCACCATGTTGGCCAGGATGGTCTCGATCTCTTAACCTTGTGATCTGCCCACCTCGGCCTCCCAAAGTGCTGAGACTACAGGTGTGAGCCACCGTGCCCAGCCAGTAAGCCCTGCTTTACCTGTGTGATTTCTCCTTGCTTCTCTTGTACTTTGAGGCCAGATGCCCCGACTCTGCCTGGGTACTAATGTCCTGAGAACTTCACCAACAAAAACACACTTTCCTTAGGGACACTGTGGCACCCATGATTTGCAGGAATCCCTTGGGGCAGGCACTCTGCTTCGGGCTGTCCATCTCGCTCAATTCTCAGCATGAGCTTAGGTACAGACTCATTGCCCCTCGTTTTACACACAGGGAAACTGTGGCTCAGACAAGCTTCGCCCAGGCTCCCACAGCTTGGAAGTGACCAGACCAGGCCTTGAACCCAAATCCACCATTTCCAGCATCCATAGACCCAATCCTCTCTCCACCAACAAGCACACTTCAATCAGGGCAGAGTTCAGCTCAGGGCAGAGTTCAGCTCGAAGCCATTGGAAAGCCCCAGATGGCAACATGGCGCCTATCCTATAGGCTGCCCCTTATCCATACTCTTTGCCACATGACTTTACAGTTTCCCCACAGGCATGGCTTGGCCATGGGACTCATCTTGAACCAGGTGAGTTTGCTGATAGGGGCAAATAAGGTTGGAAAGAGGGTTTTGTGGCCGGGTGTGGTGGCTCATGCCTGTAATCCCAGCACTTTGGGAGGCCGAGGCCAGTGGATCACTTGAGGTCAGGAGCTCGAGACCAGCCTGGCCAACATGGGGGGAAACGCTGACTCTACTAAAAATACAAAAATTAGCCAGGCATGGTGGTGGGTGCCTGTAATCCCAGTTACTCAGGAGGCTGAGGCAGATGGATTGCTTAAATTCAGGAGGCAGAGGTTGCAGTAAGCCAAGATTGCCCCTCTGTACTCCAGCCTGGGTGACAGAGAAAGACTCCATCTCAAAAAAAAACAAAAAAGAAAAAAAAGAAAGAGGGTTTGGGACTGGGCTTGCTCCCCTGCACTTCAACCAGTGCTGTGAGAAGATCACACCCAGGGAGCCTGCTGGTCTCAGGAAGAGGGGACACATGGACCATGCCGTGGCCCAGAGCCAAACCCAACCAAGCCCAGCCTAGATCAGCCAAACCCCAACCAACCCACAGACCTGTCCCTTGGAGCTGAGCCACTTCAGCCAAACAGACCCACACAGGACATAAATTCTGATTGCTGCATGCCTCTGAGCTTGAGAATGGTGTGTTATGCAGCGTTATTGCGGCCACAGTGAGAACAAGCCTCTTCATCTCCCCCTCATTTTTAAAACCGGCTCAGTGACAACACTGGAAATAGATCCCCCGGCCTTCCCTCCAGCCTTGTGTGCATTCATGCTGCTGGTCATGAGACTCGGTGCCCCTCTGTGTGGAGTTGGGGTGGGGAGTTCTGGGAAAGGTGCTAGGTGAAAACTGCACCAGCAAGAGAAAGACAAGCTTCCTTCTTGAGTCCCGTGTGGATCTGCTCCAGAGCCTGTGGTTGGGCTTTCACAGTGGCTGTTAGAGGAAGGAAAAGGGGAAGGAGCACAGCCAGGGAGGGCACAGATAAGGGGCCCTTATGAATGCATCCCCTTTGAAAGAAGTAGCCTCTGAACCAAGACCTAGAGTGTGATGGCCTTGTGAACGGCTAGTGTGTACGGCTGCAGCCACGGGGTCTCGCCCGAGCTAGAGGATTCTCGGTTGTTGATCTGATTCTCCCATTTGAGGCCTGGCAGGGAAAGTGCAGACCAATTATGCGGGCGCACTGAGAAGAGAACAGGACAGACATCCCTGGGGTCTTTTCCACCTCTCCTGCTATCCAAGGGAGAGACACTTCCCACAGGTCCAGACACGGAGGGAAGGAAACCAGAAGGGTAGCACCAGGTAGGCCCATCTCCACACACTGCGGCCGCCTGGACCTCGGAAAGCCACCTTGATGCCTTCACTTACACCCTGGAGGTGATGCTGGCCACGGTGATGATAAGGATTAGACAAGTTGGTCTGTAGGGCACTCAATATGTTAGCATTCTCTTCTGTGGTCGGTCTCCAGGAGAGAGGACGGTCCTCACAGAATCAGTATCCAAGGACACTAAGTGCAAGTGAGTTGTCGGGATGGGCTCTCTCTGAGGTGCCACGTGCCCTGCAAGTGCCCACGCCTGCCTTCAGAGCATGCACAGTGAGGGGGATGCTGATGGGCTCAGAACTGCAGCCACATCTGGGTCCGGTTGCCCTCACGGCAGAGACACTAGGGACTGAGGCTGCTCTTTGACCTCCTTGGCTTCAGTGTCTCCACCTTTCAGGGGTGCTTTGGAGGAAAGCCTCACACCAGGCTGTCATGAGGCCATGCGTGAACAAAGAGACCACACGGGCCAGCTCCTGGCCCACGCTGTGCAAGGTGGAGGCCCTGATCATCACCCATCAGCAATGGGCTTGGACAGGAGGGGAACTGGAACTGGTGCTGGGGCCTCAGGGGAAGGCAGAAGGCACAGGCTCGCAGAGATGGCTCCAAGAGGTGGGAGAGTAGGGACCTGGGTCTGTCAAAGTCTCTGCACGGAGGGAGTTCCCAGCCAGGCCACTCCATTGTCTGAGGACTCTTATCGGCAAAGGCAGACAGCCCTGTTCACAGACATCTGCCAACCCTTGTCCCAGGCTGGAGCTTGGGTTTCCACCGGGAGGCAAAGGCCAGCGTTGGAAGAAGGGGCCAGGCTCTGTTTACACACAGCAGTGCTGGGCACCAGCTCCCATGGGATCGTGTGTCTGTGTGCACAGGTGGCCAGGAGCGCTGCACCGAGGCTCACACAAGGCCTGCCCCGAGGTGCTGCCCATCCAGCCCTCCTTCCCTCCTTCCTTCTCTTCTCCCCACCTACCCTCCTTCCTTCTCTTCTGCCCACCTTCCCTCCTTCCTTCCCCTCCTTCCCTCTTTTTTTAAATTCCCTCCTTCCAGCCCTCCCTCCCTGCTTTCCTTTCTTCCTTTCCTCTCTTACCTCCTTTTTCTCTGTTCCTTCCATCCCTCCTCCCTTCCCTTCCCCTCTCTCCTCCCTTCCCTGCTCTTTCTTCTTTCTTCCTTCTGTTCTCCCTTTGTTCCCTCCTTCCTCTTTGCCTCCCTCCCCGCCCTCCTTCTTTCTTTCCCTCCAACAGATAGATATTTGGGTGCCTTTTTTGTACCATATCTGTGCTATACAACAAGATTTTAACAATAAGACTCCATTTCAGTCCACAGGGAGCTCACAGACCAGAGGAAAACTCAAGCAGGTGATGATAGTACAAGATGTGTGACAGGGGCGGGTGCACAGGGCTGTGGGGGCCCCAAGGAGGTCACCTAACCCAGCCTGGGGCCAGGGAAGGCTTCCAGAAGAAATAATATGTCGCTAATCCCTGGCAAGGGATTCTTTATGGGACTGGTATTGAATATGCACTTTAGGATTGGTTAAAACACATGCTGGTCACAGCAGGTAGCCACACCACGACCAGTATGGTGAGCATTAAAGAGACTGACCAGCCAGCACAGTGGCTCACACCTGTAATCCCAGCACTGTGGGAGGCCAAAATGGGGGTATTGCCTGAGGTCAGGAGTTCGAGATCAGCCTGGCCATCATGGCAAAACCCCATCTCCACTAAAAATACAAAAATTAGCTGAGTGTGGTGGCATGCACCTGTAGTCCCAGCTACTTGGGAGGCTGAGGCATGAGAATCTCTTGAGCCTGGGAGATGGAGGTTGCAGTGAGCTGAGATCACACCACTGCATTCCAGCCTGGGCAACAGAGCGAGACTCCATCTCAAAATAAATAAATAAATAAATAACACTGACCATGTCTGGAGCCACTGGGACTCACGCACGCTTGCAGGCATGTATGTAGGTGCAGCCATTTTGGAAATCTGTAAGACAACTTCTGATAAAGATAAGCTGCTACTTACCTTAGGACCCAGCAGATCTACCCTAAGCCCATAGCACAAAACTTAGCATACGTGTCCATCAAAAGACTTGTACATGAATGTTCATAGCAGCTTTATTCAAAATCATCAAAACCCAAAAACAACCAAGATGTCTGTCCACAGTAGACCTTGCATGTCCACCCAGTGGAAGCCCATTCACCATGAAAAGGAATGGACGTGGATATACACAGCCATGGATGGACCTGATGGGCGCCATGCTAAGAGACAAAGCCAGACATGAAAAGAGGAACATGCTGTATGTTTCTCTCATACAAAATTCAAAAACAGGCCAAACTCATCTATGGTGATGGAAATCAGGACAGTGGGTACCTGGGGGAGAGAGAAGTTAGTGAAATTAGTCCCTAAGAGAGACCTCTGATATGCTAGAAAATGCTGTAACTTGGTCTCTAATTTGATTGTTACATGAATATATACGTTGAGATATATACACTTTAGCATTTATGTCTTTTACCATATGTAAATTACACTTCCGGTTTAAAATTCTATTAAGTGAAAAAAAAAGAGGCCACTATAGCCAGGGAGAGCTCTGGGCCACAAACCAGGGTGCTTTAAAGTGGAGTCAGCAGGAATGGATGCAGGACATCGGGAGGGTTGGGGGCAAGGACTGGGGTGCAGACAGAGGCTTCAGAGAATTCACAGTACAGGTCAGTGAGGGAGCCCCAGCAGAGAGGCCTTTCTTTTTTCTCTTTAAGAAAAAAGATATAACCTAGAAGCATTCCTAAGTGCCATGGCCTAGTGACCATCTGACATTGAATGCACCCAGAACTTGGAATTCCGGGCCTTGGAACTCATTGCAGTTGCCCTTATAAATCCCACAACTCAAGGGAACCTCAAAAAATATCCCATATCATCCTACAACGAAGGGTATGGTGGCCAAGCTCCATTCTTAAACTTCCAGTGAGCTCTTTGGTCTCCAAACCTGTCATAACCTGACAGCCAAGGGTTACCAGACTTCTGTGAACAGCCTCCAACATGAAAAGCAGAGACAAAAACATCAACAGAAACACATAACTGGGTGGAAACAGACTTTTCAGAAAAAAAAAAAAAAAAAACACTTTTTTTTTGTTTCTTTTTTTTTTTAGACAGAGTTACTCTGTCACCCAGGCTAGAGTACAGTGGCGCGATCTTGGCTCACTGCAACCTCCGCCTCCTGGGTTCAAGCGATTCTCCTGCCTCAGCCTCTCAAGTAGCTGGGATTACAGGCACCCGCCACCACAACCGGCTAATTTTTGTATTTTTAGTAAAGACGGGGTTTCACCATATTGATCAGGCTGGTCTTGAACTCCTGACCTTGTGATCCACCCGCCTCAGCCTCCCAAAGTGCTGGGATTACAGGCGTGAGCCACTGCACCCGGCCAAAAAAAAAAAAGAAGAGAGGGAAAGGGGATTAGAAAGAGATAGAGAAGAAAAGAGAGAGGGGGCAAGAGGGAGGAAGGAAAAGAGGAGAGGATGGATGGCAAGAATGAGGAGGAGAAATAAGGACAATGGTTGTGGTGGCTCACGCCTGTAATCCCAACACTTTGGGAGGCCGAGGTGGGTGGATCACTTGATGTCAGAAGTTCCAGACCAGCCTGGCCAACATGACAAAACCCCATCTCCACTTAAAAATATAAAAATTAACCAGATATGAGGTGGCGCACACCTGTAATCCCAGCTATTTGGGAGGCTGAGGCATGAGAATCACTTGAACCCGGGAGGTGGAGGTTGCAGTGAGCTGAGATTGCACCACTGCACCCCAGCCCAGGTAACAGGGTGAGACTCTGTCTCAAAAAAATAAAAAAAGAGAAAATCTAGAAAATAAGTACAGAAGATCCAACATCCAAATAACAGGAATAACAGGAGCTATAGATGTATACGAGAGAGGAAATTGCAGGGAAGAAATGATCAATGAAATAATTCAGGGTAATTCCCTGGCACTAAAAAAAAGGCCCGCAAAATACCCAGCATAGGAGGTGAACATAGACCTACCCCATGGACACATCATTGTGGAACTTTAGTACACTTGGGACAAAGAGAAGATTCTACAAACTTCCAGAGAGAAAAATCACATGACATACCCAGGGCTGGTTATCAAAACAGCTTCAGAATTCTCAGCAGCCCCACTGGAAGCAAGAAAACAATGGAGCAATGCTTTTGAGCTTCTGAAGGGAAATTATTTCCTAACCCAACCTTCTATGCCAGCCACATTATTAAGCAAGTGTGAAGGTGGAATACAGATCCCTTCAGCTGGCGAGGTCTCTAACAAATTTGCCTACGAGCCACACTTTCTCAGAAAGCTACTGAAGGATGTGCTACACCCAACTGAGAAGGTAAACCAAGAAAGAGAAGACTCGACATACAGGAAGCAGCAGGTGAAGGCAGTCCCCCAGAAGATCACTGATGGCCGTGACGCACTCCACATAGAACGCTGCCGTTACAGATGACAGCCATGTGACAAGATTTCTGCTGCCACTGTGCCCCCTTTTGACCTGAGGACAGAGTATGGGGTGAGGATCTTATCTTCGCTTGGCTTATGTTGACCAGGGGCTGGCAAAGTTCCTGCTCTTTCTCCTGCTGGGCTGCCTCCACCAGTTGAGAACTTTGATCTATTCTTGAGAGCAGGAATTGGCCACGGTGAGCTTAGAAGCAGATGATGCAAAGCAACCTGCTCTCTTTAGCCATCCTTCTGCCATGATCCCAGAGGTCAGCCTCATCAGATAGCCCAGCTATCGTGAGACCTCAGTTTCCCAGGGCTCACTCATGCCTTTGCCCATTGACAGTCTGACCTTCAATTCTCTCAGAGAGGGGCAGAGCCTGGCTTGCTGCCCTGAGTTTGCCAGAACTCAGCTGGCCTTTGTGTTTTATATTTTTTTGGGAGCTTTCAACTCTTGGTGACAACATTGCCATTTCCTTACACAATTTGTTTTGTGCTTCCTTCAATTTTTTAGAACTAAACAATGTGTTGTAAGCTTGTAGATGCTGGCCAGATGATCACCAAACCTGTTCCTCCCCCATTCCTGGGCACTCAGCTGGACTGCATTTCCCAGCCTCCCTTGCAGGTAGGTACAGGTACATGTCTGTGTTCCATCCAGTAGAATGTGATGGAAGTGATGTTTACTACCTCCAGGCCTGCCGAAAAAAGCTTCCTACACAATCCAGTCTGCTCCTTCTCTCTGTTTGCTCCTCTGCCGATCCAATGCAGTGCACCAAATGGAGGACTCCATGGCTGTAGGGGATGGCAGAGCCATTCAGAAAAAAAGGCCTGGGTCCCTGCATGGCTGCATGGAGCAGAGCCCAACCCAACCTGCCCTGCACTGTCATGAACAAGAGATACACATGTATTGAATTAGGGTGCTACAATTAGTGGGTTGCTTGTTAAAACAGTTAATATACCCTGATTAATAAAGGATATTTACATAGGTGGTAAAACTCTAAAGGAAAATATAGGCCATTCGTTTTAGGAGCCAGTTTCCTGATACAGAGGAGATAGGTACTTGGGAAATGTCTTTGCTGAACAAATGAATGCACAAACACAATTGCTCTTTGACTGTGGCTTCAAAGTCATGTCCGCACAAGCGTGTGGCCCGGAGGGGAACGGGAAAAATGTAGACAGTTGATTTGTCAGGGTACTGGGAATGTGGGTGAAATTTTTCCTGTTATTCTTAGGATAAGGTTATTTTGCAATAAATACGTAGAGAATGTGGAGTCAGGCTCTCCCGCATTCTGTGTGGCATGCGTAAAAACATCTAGGCACACAGCGCTCCAAACAGATGTTTCTTTGCAAGCAAGAGCTCATTTCTCCTGAAAGCAGTCAGGATCCAGCAACCAGGCATCCCCCTCCTCCAGCAGCCCAGCTCTCCAAACCCACCCTCCCCAGTCCCACCCTACACAAGGTCCTCAGCCCTGCCCCCAGATGGAAGCCCCCCACCTTCCACCACCACAACACATTCTGCAGCCTCAAGGCTGAGTTCAGTGTCACCAGGGCAGAATTCCCCACCCATCCTATGTCCCCACAGGTCTTTGACCCTCTGTAGTGGGCATCTGCCTATTCAGCCTGGCAGTGCCCAGAAGACAGCTTGCCTAGGGGTGAAGGGATGAGGGCCCCCCAGTCAGATCAACCAGGTCTGCACCCCAGATGCCCATTGACCAGCTCAAGGGTGGGAGCAAGTTGCTTTGCCTCTCTGAAGCCCAGGGATGATGACAGCCCCTTCCTGAAGGATGTCTGTGAAGAGCAGATGAAGGGATGCATGGAATGTTCTTAGAAAGGCCCCCAGGCCCATATGGATCGCTCAATAAGCCTTGGCCCCAGGACTGTCCTCAGAAGTAGAGAATGCATCTGTGTCTGGCTCTTACAATGACCTGTTAACCCCTCAAGAGTGATGCCCACATTCTCCTCCCTGGTAACTGGCCTGGAGCCCAGCGCTCAATGAGCTGCACATGGAACAGAACCGAGAGCTCAACTAGCTGCAGAGAAGCTGAGTTAAGCCTGTGTCTGTTGATGGCCACTTGGCCACTGGATTCAAGGCAGGATGTGCTGGCACCTTGGGACTGCCCTCACCATCAGTCCTGCCTTGCCCAGAGGGCTGGGCCAGGAGAAGCCGGCCAGTGCAGGGGCCAGCCAGAAAGCATGTCCTGGGGAATGGCTGAAGAAACTAAGGATATGTACCCAAAGAAGAGAAGACCTGGGAGAAGATTCTATCTACCCAGAAATGGTGGTTGAGCACCTACTGTGTTCCAGGTACTGTTCTCAAATGAGCAAGACAGAGAGCAAGACAGACAGATGGCCTGCCCTTGTGGGCTTGCATTCTAGACAATAAATAAAAACAGAACCAGACAATCCAATTAATAAAAAATAGAACCAGACAATATAATAAATAAAAAATAGAACTAGATAATCCAATTAAAAATAGAACCAGACAATCCAATAAATAGATACATAAAGCAACATCAGCTGGTACTAAGTTCTATAATGAAAAATAAAGGCAGGCTAGCAGAAGAATAGAGAGTGCTGAGCCAGGCCAGGTTGGCAGGGTTGAGGGGGTGGTTTGGTGTCAAGGAAGGCATTTCCCAGCAGATGACACTTGGGCAGACACTTGAAGGAAAAGAGTAAGCCATCATCTGGGTATGTAAGTGGTTTGCTAACCCTGCCCTGCCTGTGCACATGCCAAAGGGAACTACATTTCCCAGAGTCCTTTGCCCTCTGGCTTCTGGGTACGTTCAGCAAATGGGAGGCTCCAGGGTAAGAGTGGAGGCTGGGAGGAAGCAGAATCTCAGCTACTTTCTCCCCTCTCTCCCTGCTCCCTGTGGCAGCCCCAGCAGGTTGGTGTGGGACACAATACCACCATGATGCAAATGCTCTAAGGTGAAGCAAGGTTCCATTTCTCCTCAACTGACTTCTCTCTCCTTCCTGACCTTGGGACTCCTTTTTCCTCAACTCCATCTTCCTTTGCTCCATTGGCTCATAAGTGAGAAGGAGCTGATTGGCTGACTGGGGGAGCCAAAGATTCCCAACAGGCATTTGCCTAAGCGTCTGCCCTTAAAATCACTCAAGCATCTGATGTGTTCATCTTCTTCTTTTCCAAACCTGACATCTCATTAAAAAAAAACAAAAAAAACACAACAAAATGATGCCACCACGTGACTGTATGGTCAACAGCCTAGTTGAAGAATCTCAGACCTCCCTGAGATGCACGCCAGCCCCAGAGATGGGCAGTAGACTCATCTCTCCTCCAATCAGAACCATGGTGCACCCAGTGCATTTGGGGGACCCATTTGGACAGTCCAGGGCTGTGTGTGCTGTAGAGATGGGGGCAACACTCCCCATCCCTGTCGTGGCTAATTTTATGTGTCAACATGTGATATGGTTCGGCTCTGTGTCCCCACCTTAATCTCACCTTCAATTGTGATAATCCCCATATGTCATGGGAGGGACCTGGTGGGAGGTAATTGAATCATGGGGGCAGGCTTTTCCCATGTTGGTCTCATGATAGTGAATAAGTCTCACAAGATCTGATGGTTTTACAAAGGGGAATGCCCCTGCACATGCTCCCTCTTGCCTGCCGCCATGCAAGATGTGACTTTGCTCCTCCTTTGCCTTCTGCCATGATAATGAGGCCTCTCCAGCCACGTGCAACTGTAAGTCCATCAAACCTCTTTTTCTTTATACATTACCCAGTCTTGGGTACTGTCTTTATTAGCAGCATGAACATAGACTAATGCAACCTGGATGGGACACAGGGTGCCCAGATATTTGGTCAAGCATGATTCCAGGTGTTTCTGCGAGGGTGTTTTGGATGAGATGAACATTTAAACTGAAGGATGTTCAGTAAAGCAATGTGCCCTCCCTAATGTGGGTGGGCCTTACCCAATCAGTGGAAGGCCTGATTAGAACCCAAATGCAAGAGAGAATTCTGCTGCAGAAGGCCTTCAGGCTCCATCTGTGAGGTCAGCTCCACCTGCTTCTACCACAGACAGCCTTCAGACTAGAACCATGGCATCGGTTCTCCTCACTCTCCAGCCTGTTGGCTCATCCTGTGGATTTTGGACTTGCCAGTTCCAACATGGTTCAAGCCAATTCCTTATCACAAATCTCTGTCTGTATATCAGCACATCCTGTGGGTTCAGCTTCTCTTGAGAACACTGACCAATCCAATCACCGTTACTCCCGATGACTTGTAGGTGAAGCCCCTTAAGGAAAATTTCTTTCACAAATGAGAGCTAGGGAAAGATTTACTCTTCCTGAGCAGCTAAAGTATTTTCTCCAATGGCCACGAGAACCTTAAACCTTTCCTTCTTTCCACGCTCCCATTGGCCGCCAGGAACTTGCAGCTTGGCTACAGCAATCATGAAGGACCTGGTGGGTAACGTATCTGTCCCTGGACTCGCCTTCCTAACGTAGCTGCTTTTTTCCCTCGGCCCTGACTTTCTACTTCTAGGTGAATATTACTCTTGTACTGCCTGTTTTTCCCACAAAGTGCAGGGAGTTCAAAATGCCAGGCCACATGTCCGAGGATTTTCCCTCCCCTTCCGCTGGCCCCTGGCCCATCTGCTGGCTGGGAAGGAGCTGGCTGCATCTCTCCTTTTGAACTCCAACTCTGGAGGTGGGAAGCTGGCTGGAGCCGCCCCCAGGGCAGAAAGAGGAGAAAGGGCATCAGAAAGACAGGTGCTCAAGACTGCAATCAGGCAGCTGTCCACACTGTCACAGTGAGCACCCGCCGGATACCAGGTGTATTAGTCAGGGTTCTCTAGAGAGACAGAACTGATGGAATATATCTACATGGGAGTGTATTAACTCACACAATCACAGGGTCCCACAATAGGCCGTCTGCAGGCTGAGGAGCAAGGAGAACCAATCTGAGTTCCCAAACTGAAGAACTTGGAGTTCGATGTTCGAGGGCAGGACGGATCCAGCACAGGAGAAAGATGTAGGCTAGGAGGCTAGGCCAGTCTCTCCTTTAACATTTTTCTGCCTGTTTATATTCTAGCCTCGCTGGCACAGCTGATTAGATTGTGCCCATCCAGTTTAAGGGTGGGTCTGCCTTTCCCAGCCCACTGACTCAAATGTTAATCTCCTTTGGCAACACCCTCACAGATACACCCAGGATCAATACTTTGTATCCTTCAATCCAATCAAGTTGACACTCGGTATTAACCATCACACTGGGGGCTGGGTGAGGGGGGACCTGGGGATGTGGGTGAAGACATCAGGAAGGACGTCTTGAGGAACCTGCTGCCGCCAATGTTAAGATCACTGCTGGGATGGCCTGGGCTGCTGGGGACAGCTCACTCAGGCCTGAGGCCTCAGGGCACCTGGGAGATGGCATCACCTGCCCCCTGCCCATGCCAGCTCCAGCCCACCTCAGCTTACCTCAAACTCCCATGAGCAGAAGGCTTTACAAAAGGTGGATTGTGAAACCCCCTCCCACCCATAAAGACACCCCATATAGATGCCTGATAGCAGCCAAGCCCAAGCCCTCGTCCTGCCCTGCTGTTGACTGTGAGAAGAGGGAGTGGGGGGAGAGGGTGGCCATTTTTCACTGCCTGATTCCCCTGCTAATTTCTGTCCTTCTGAGGACATGACAGGAACAGCCAAAGGTCACAGGGATTTGTGTTCCCGACAGGCAGCAAATGCTTTTGAGGAGGCGGAGGATGGGGTGCTGGGCCAGGCCATCATTGTGGGTCCTAGCCTCAGAAGGATTCCAGGGAAGGGAGGACAGGCATTTGGGGAAAAGAGCTGCCTTCTAGACAACACAAAGGCTGTCCGTGTGTCCTCGGTGTTTCCAGACTTTTGGAGGTGGGGCAGCCTGTGTCTGTCTTATGAGTGAGGAGGTTAGAGGTAGGTTTCCCAGAAGGGTGCATGGGTCAGGGACTAGATGAAGCTGTGTAACAAAAGAGGCTCAGAACAGATAATAGCTTCATTCTCCTCCATCTGCTGCCTGCATCACCTGCAATCCATGGACTCTCCCTTTGCCATCCTTAACAATGGAGACAATAACTCCTCCCTACAGGAAAAGCAGAATCTTAGCCACGCTTAGCCACCCCTAACAGGGCAGCACAGGGGCTCACTGATGCCCTTTCTCCTCTTTCTGCCCTGGGGACGGCTCCAGCCAGCTTCCCACCTCCGGAGTTCAAAGGAGAGATGCAGACACCAGTCACTGCCTTCCAGCAAGACCCATGTCCCATGCAATCCCAGCCGAGCTTGGCCAAGCCCTCTCTCACCCCACCACATTCCCGGCTCACAAAGCTCTGGGCTAGCACTCCACAACTCCGTAACTGGCACCCCAGTCTCTATGAGTACAGTGGTCCTCCCTTATCCACAGGGAACACATTCCAAGACCCCCAGGGGAAGCCAGAAGGCATGAATAGTATCATATACACTTTTTATGTACATACATACCTATATACATGTCTCCTGTACATGCATACCATGATAAAGTTTTATCTAAAAAATAGACACCAAATGAGATTAACAATAACCAATAATAAAATAGAACAATTGTAACAATATGTCAACATCACTACTTTTTTTGGGGGGGGGTGGTAAGGGGACGGAGTCTCCCTCTGTCACCCGGGCTGTAGTGCAGTGGTGTTATCTCAGCTCACTGCCACCTCCACCTCCTGGGTTCAAGCAATTCTCCTGCCTCAGCCTCCCAAGTAGCTGGGACTACAGGTGCCCACCGCCTCGCCCAGCTAATTTTTGTATTTTTAGTAGAGACGGGGTCTTGCTGTGTTGGCCAGGCTGGTCTCAAACTCCTGGCCTCAAGTGATCTGCCTGCCACGGCCTCCCAAAGTGCTGGGATTACAGGCGTGAGCCACCGCGCCCGACCTCAGCATCACTACTCTTGTGCTTTGGGGCCATTATTAAGTAAAAGAGGAGGAGGGTACCTTAAACACAAGCCCTGCAGTATGGAGCAAATGGATCCCACACTGAGAGGGCTCCCAAGTAACTTGCAGGCAGGTAGCATCAAGGCGTGGAGGTGCTGGACAAAGGGATCACTCACACTTCAAGGGGGATTGAGCAAGATGGAATGGGATTTCATCACACGACTCAGAATGGCATGCCACTTAAAACTGAGGAATTATTTATTTCTGAAATTTTCCATTTCATACTTTCAGACTGGGCTCAGCACATGTGCCCAGGCCACCCAGGTAGAGGTGGAGGGCATGGGATTCAAGCCCAGGCCATCGTTGGCTCTGAACATATACCTGAAACAACCTCCCTACCAGGTGAGTCTGTGCAGAATCCCTTCTCCCTCTCTACCCTCTCCCTCCCTCCCGGCCCCTCCAGCACCACACCCAAGACCCTCAGTGGGTGCCTGAAGCCCACTGTTGGGCTCTGTTTTCTCTAAGGACTTCCCCATACCCCCATCAAGCATCCGGGCCCCATTCTGTGCCCTGAGCACTTGGCATCTCCAGAACCCCTCTGCCCTGCTGCTCCAGGACCCAGAACTGCTCTCTCTCTCCCCATCTCCGACCCCACTTCTGGTAACAAGCATGTAATTCCCCCTCTTTTGCTCACACTCCACACACACACATCGCTGGATCCCTGGTGACTATCCCTGGGCTGTCCCCTGAACCAGGGGCTGGGGGCCTACATTTTGCCCCGGCAACTCTCTCAGATTCCCGCTTCCTCTCACATAACTGTTACAGTCCCAGCTACCCAAGCCTCTGCCCAGCTTCGTCCCACCCCATCAATCAGTCACCTACATCACTCCCAGGAGCCATTCTCAGGAGCAGGTCCAGGAGCAGCACTCCCTTACTTAAACACCCTTGATAGCCCCCTCCTGCCTGTACACCAAAATCCAAACTCCTAAACAACCCTCAAAACCCTCACAATTTGGACCCAACCTGCCTTGCCATCGTACGTCTCTTCATCCCCTCCTCTATGCACTAGCATCTGAACCAGAGGGTCTCAAATTTTGCAGGGTATGGGAATCAGGCAGGGGAATTATTAGTCATATTCCTGGGCCCTGCTCTTGGAGTCCAGCTGGTCTTCGGGCCTGGGAATCTGCACGTGTCACCAGCTCCCCAGGTGGTCTGGGGAGACCTACAGAGGATCATATCCTGAGCTTGCCGGGAGCTCTGTAGCCTCCAGGCCTTTGCTCACACCGTTCCTTCTGCCTGGAATGCTGTTCCCTTCCTACCAGCCTAGCAGAGTCCCCCCAGTCCTACCTCTAGGGACACCTGCTCCAGAAAGCCTCCCACAGACCCCAAGAGAGAGCAGCGCTCCTTCCCTTGTGTGTGTTCCAGGGCACTCTGCCCTCTCTTACAGCCTAAGACTGTCTGCCCAATGTGGGTGCTATTTACATGCCATCGGTCTGTTTGTCTGTTTGTTTGTTTGTCGAGACAGGGTCTCACTCTGTCACCCAAGGTGGAGTGCAGTGGTGCAATCTCAGCTCACTACAGCCTTGACCTCCCAGGCTCAAGCAATCCTCCCACCTCAGCTTCCCCAGTAGCTGGGACCACAGGCATGTGCCACCACGCTGGTTAATTTTTTTGTATTCTTAGTAGAGACAGGGTTTCACCATGTTGCCCAGGGTGGCCCCAAACTCCTGGCCTCAAGTGATCCTCCCACCTCAGCCTCCCAAAGTGCTGGGATTGCAGGTGTCAGCCCCCGCTCCTGGTCTACGTGCCATCTTTTACTCACTCATCTGGGAGCCGTTGGAGGCAGGGGACACTCCACCCAATCCCCGAGGCCGGGGCTTGTAAGTGGGGGCAGGTGCGCTCTGAGGCTCCAGACCTTGTCAGGGTCCCTGCCGCCAGCACACTGCTGGGGATCCCCCTGCAGGCACATCGGGCTTAAAAAGGAAATACACTATTTCATGACTTCACTTCTTTTATTTTTAGAACAAGTGACTCATCTCCACCACAGGGGCTCTGTGAGCTGCTCCCGGACAGGCTTACAGAGGCCAAGCAGGGAGTGAGAGGCTCGAGAGGGCTGCAGCTGCCCCTGCCCACACTCTGAGGCCCATGAGTGGCTGAGATGCAAGGCAGTCGGTCGTTCCCACTGACCTGCCCCTCCAAAATAGCAAGTCTGGAGAAGCCGGGCACCTGCAGAAGAGGTGGCTGCGGCAGAGGGTGCATCCATCTCGTCCCGCCTAGGAGGGGAGAGGTGGATGAGATCAGAGAGTTGTTTCTCAGGGTCTCACCTCACCATCTTTTCCTCCACATGCAGACCGGCCATGGCCATGGCCACAGCCACGGGCTGCCCAGGTGTGTTGCACCTGCCTGGCTGCATCCTTTCTCACATACCTGCCTCCACAGAGGAAAAGCTGGGAGCAGTCTGGGGACCCAGAAGAGCCACCCCTTTCCCGGGGCTGTGGCCCCGTTGGTGGGGGAATGGGGAGGAGGAATTCCTAGTGATGAGATCCGTGCCCAGGACCGAGGGCCCACAGCTCACCTTTGCCTGGCCTCAGTCCACCTCACCCCTTGGTGTGATAGCTCACTCCTGTAATCCCAGCACTTTGGGAGGCCAAGGCAGGTGTATTGTTTAGCCCAGAAGTTCAAGACCAGCCTGGACAACATTGCAAGACCCTATCTCTACCAAAAAAAACAATTGGCCAGGCACAGTGGTGCACATCTATAGTCTCAGCTACTTGGGAGGCTGAGACAGGAGGATCATTTGAGCCTGGGAGGCAGAGGTTGCAGTAAGCCATGATTGTACCACTGCACTCAGCCTGGGCAACAGAGCAAGACCCTGTCTCAAAACGTAAGGGAACAACAGCTCCCTAAGCTTACTACTACTACCCTTAACTACTCATTTCTTAGAGCCTTGCTCACTATACTTTCCAATCTGTGTAACCCACTTGTTTCTTCATTTTTAAAAAATGCATGCTCATTACAGGAAAACTAGAAAATCCACAAAAAATTCATATGGGGCAATAAGGATAGGGTATGCGCAACATGCTATTAATTATGGGAGAAAATGAGGTTGGTGGGAGAAGACATTTGCATTTGCCTGGAAGCACACGGGATATCTCTGGATGAGACACAAGAAACAGGCAGCTCGGGCTGCATTGATGGAGGGAGATGAGATGACTTGGGGTAGGCAGAATCCTTGCTCATGGTATATCCTTCTGCAGTTTTCAAGGAAGAGGAGGAGAAAGAGAAGGAGAAACAGAGAACGAAGATGCAGAAATTAGGAAACAGTCCCCAGGACCACCCTCACTTCTGACAGCAATTGGAAGTTCAGGGGTCCTCAAGTTCATCATCCTCCATTTCAACAACCCACTGAAAGTTGTAATGGTTACAGTTATGGTTTATTACAGTGAAAGGATTAAAATCAGCCAAGGGAAGGCATGCATGGGGCAGAGTGCAAGGAAGTTCCAATCTCCTTCTCCCAGTGGAGTTATGGACCGCATGAATTCCTCCCAGCAATGGTGCGTGATGAGATGCGTCGAGTATTGCCAAGCAGATGTCCCCGGAGCCTTGGTGTCCAGAGTTTTTACTGGGGCTTGATCACGATCACGTGGGCATGATGCACTGATGCCCAAGTGACTGACCTTTAGTTTTCTGCCCCTCCAGAGGTCAAAAGGAGACCACGTGACCCAAATGTCCCCTCATGACAGGCAAACAAAGATGCTCTTCTCAAGCAGGACATCCCGAGGGCCTGGAGATCCCCTCCCAGGAACCAAGGACAAAGACTAGACTTCTCTTTGGGTCAGATTCTTTACTACACTTTACTACATCCTGTCCTATAAACAGGATGACCAGCCATCCCAATGTGGCCACGACCCTCCCCATTTTAGTGTTGAAAGTCCCATGGCCCAGGGAACCCCTCCACCCCAAGTACTCACCCTATATGGAGGCACCCACCATCGCCACCCGCAAAAAATGTGATGGCTTTTTTCTGTGTCTTCTTGGCTCCACGGTAGTGACAGGTCCAGGAGCACAGGACTTGGCAGCCGTGGGGAAGGAGAGTCAGCTTCTGTGCTCTGACAGTCCAAGTGGAGTCCCCAGCCCACAGTGGTCCCCGGCCACAGCCCCTCCAACGAGGCTGTTCCTCTAGCTTATCTAGGCCTCCTAGTCTCAGCAACATGGCAAAGCCACCAGCTTCCCCTGCAGGTCACCTGGGCCCCCAGGCCAAACACCAGCTTTGTGTGGGCTTCTCCACCAGCCTCGACACTGTCAGGGTCTCGTGTCCATAATAAATCTTGTCTACAGCACCCATGGCGATTGCACATGAAAACAGACTAAAGGAAATCACTGTGAGCCCTAACTTGATCACCCACAGTGGCCAACCATGTTTCTGCTCTTTATGTTGCTCTTATAAATGGGGTCTTTCATGCTTCTCATCTAGTGGATTGCTGTGTGTATGGTTTCTCTGTATTGATCTAGACCCACTCACTTGACTGAATTCTGGTATTAGCATTTGCAATTGCTTCTGGTTGACTCTCTTCCATTTTCCAAGAAAATCATCCATCTCTCTGTAAATAATGATTTTCCTTCCCAGTGTTTGCACCTCTGATTTCTTCCTCTTTTCTAATTGTTTTTCTAATACCCAACCATCCTTGCATTTCTGGAATCCATTCCGCTCAGTTGTTGCAATGATTTACTCCCCTAATGTGCTGCTTAATTCAGGGACTTAATATTTTTACATCAATGTTCCCAAACAACACTGGTGTGTGTTTTCTCTTTCCATGCCATCTATGATGGATCTTGGCATCAATGATATGCTTGTTACATAAAAAGAAGTTAAAAATATTCCTTCTTTTATGCTTTAGAACAGTTTAAATAGTGTTTAATTACCTGTTCGTTTTTGGTGTGGTTGGATCCTCCTATAAAACATTCTAGGCCTGATGCTTTTTTTTTTTTTTTTTAAGGAAAGTCGACTTTGACAACTTTCTATTTCTTCTATGGTAATCAATTTGTTTAGACTTTACATCTCTTTTGGAGTCTTTTTTAAAATAAATTATATTTTCTATGTTTTCAAAGTCTCAAAATCTTTTATGTATCCCAGTGCCAGTTTCCTGTGGTTATTTGCCATTTTATGTCTCTGCGGTTGTTTTCCCCATAGACTTTTATTTCATTTATGTTTTCTTCTTTTTTCTTGATAGGATTGACTAACAGCATCCTTTTTTATGCCCCTGAAAAATCTGGCACTTGGGTACATTTGTTAATTCTATTGCTTCTTAATGCATATATTTCCTCTCTTATCTTTATTTCTTCCTTCTGTTTTTCTTAGTTTTTTCTATTATGTTCAATATATTGAGCCATATGCCTAATCCATATGTTTTCATTCTTTCTATTGGTTAATATGAATATTTAAGGCTATAACTTTCCCTTCAAGAATTGCTTTAGCTGCATCTCATAGGTTCTGGTTTGCAGTCCAAACATTATCACTCAACCCATTTATGCCTAGTGTTCCATTATTGGAATGCTGAGCATGTGGGAGTTATTTATATATCCTACTGCTCAAGGTCATCACCAAGGTCTGATTGCAAAAATTTAAAAAACGGCAACCTCAGGCATAAATGGACTAAGAACCTCCTCCAAGAAGCTCCCTCCTGCGTTCCTGTAACACACCATGCATTCACCCGCCACCCTTTTACTGCATTATGAAGGTCCAGCACAGCACTGTCCATAACAAAAATAATATAAGCTACCTATGTGATTTTAAATTTCCTACTAGCCATATTAAGACCTATTAAAAGGAATAGGTGAATCAACCTAAATGCCCATCAATGGTAGACTGGATAAGGAAAAAGTGGTACATATACACCATGGGATACTATTCAGCCATAAAAAAGAATAAGATCATGTCCTTTGCAGGAACATGGGTGGAGCTGGAGGCCATTGTCCATAGCAAACTAACACAGGAACAGACAACCAAATACCACATGTTCTCACTTGTGAGAACACATGGTCACATAAAGGGGAACAACAAACACTGGGGCCTACTTGAGGGTGGAAGGTGGGAGGAGGGAGAGGATCAGATAAAATAATTCTTGGGTACTAAGTTTAGTACTCAGGTGACAAAGAATCTGTACACCAAACCCCCATGAGTTTACCTGTATAACAAACATGCACATGTACCACTGAATCTAAAATAAAAGTTAAAAGTTAAATAAAATATCATGGCCAATAAGTAATGAAAATAAAAGAAACAGGCGAAATCAAATTTAATATTTTATTTAACCCAATCTGTCCAAAATAGTATTATTTCAATGCGTAATCAATATAAAACCATTACTAATGAGATTTTACATTATTTTTCTGTGCCAAGTCTTCAATAGCCAGTACGCATTTTACTTACATCATATCGCAATTTGTGGTGGCATTTTTACTGTTCAATAACCACACATGCTTAGTGCAGGTCTAATATCTGTTTCCAGGTCTCTCTGCCCACTACCCTTACCTCCCTGACTGCAAGCTACCTGAGGGCAGGTGCTTTGCCTTATTCAACATTGTATCTGTGGTGCCTTGAATACTGCAAGCACTCAATGAATGCTTGCTGACTGCTTGCAGACAGGGTGGCTCAAACAGCAGACATCTATGTTCTCACAGTTTTGAAGGGTGGAGTCGGCTGGTTCTTCCTGAGTCCTCTCATCTTGGCTTGTACGTGGCCATTTTCTCCCTGTGTCCTCACCTGGCTCTGTGTGTGTGTGTGTGTCTGGGTCCTAATCTCCTCCTCTGATTAGGACACCCATCCTTTGGATTAGGGCTCACCCTAATGACCTTATTTTAACTTTATTCCCTCTGTAAAGACCATATCTTCAAACACAGTCTCTTTCTGAAGTATTAGGCATTAAAGGTTCAACATATGAATTGGGGGGAAGACATTCCAGCCCTAACACTATCCTTTTATGCCTTTTATACATCTGCTGTCCATCATCATTATTCATTTATCCATCAATTCTTCACTGTCTCCGTTCCATGGGCTACGGTTTACATCTGTGGCTACCAGCTGTGAGCAGAGGCATGTTCCCATGTGTCTCTAAGAAGGAGCATGTCTGTCTCAGCCTTGGACTTCCTTATTAAAACATTTTCTTAGGAGGCCCCAAGGAGCCATGGGGAGCCATGGAAATCTCCAACCTCTGACTCCAGATTGGAGCAGCCAAGGACAGCTTGACTCAGCTGCTATTCCTGAAGGGCAGACAACAGCAAAACCAGCACATAAGGGTACCACAAAGGTGCCCAAATATCCAAAATAGGGTCCAAGACAAAGACCATCATTACAAAGAATGGCCAAGGGGCCCGTGGCAGAGACCACCCAGTTGCCTGCCTGATCGCCATTTTGCCTCTGTTTCTTTATAACAAACTTGGCATTCAGGATGGCTAGGAGACCAGCTAACAAACGCCACTATCTCTCAGCCTCCTGTGCATCCAGGGATGCCACGTGACATCATTCTGGCTTATGAGATGGAAAACTAAGGGTATCTGGGGACATTGCTTTCTGTCTCTGTCACCCTTTCCTTTCTCTTCCTGCCTGGAACTCGTGTAAGATGCCTGCAGTAGCAGCAGGTTTCTTGTAGCCGTGAAGATCAAATCTACATGCTGAGGGTAGCAGAGCAGAAATATGTCAGGGTCTGAGACCCTGATAACTTCACAAAGCTGTCACGCCACAGCCTGGGAATGCCAAATGCCAGACTTCTTGCTACGTGAAGAAAGAAAAACAAAATACTTTTAAAGCCTCTCTTTTTTAAGCCACTGTTTGTCTACGTGTCTGTTACCTGCAGCTGAATGCATCTGCTGCCTGAGATACGGCCAGGGCACACCCTCTCATTCATTCAGATGCCATGGCCTGATTGCCTGTTCTGAGCCAGGCACTGCGTCACAAGGCTGGAGATGCTGACACGTGGATGCAGAATACATGAATTCATCAGAATTGTGTCCATTTTCCAGGAACAGAAACCAATGAAACAGACTTAAGAAAAAGAAAAGAAATTATGGACCAGTGTAACTGAGATAGGGAGTCGGAGGAGGTTGGCAGAATCTTCCCTTCCACCATTTTTCCAGGTGGCTGTGTTCTCATGGGGCCGCCTTGAGCGTCTGTCCTCCCTGCCAGGCAGTCCCAGTAGAGGAGTCTGTTCTGACCCCTGGCTCCAGCAGAAGTCCCAGGATTCTGAGGCCGGGCATGGTAGCTCATGCCTGTAACCCCAGCATTTCGGGAGGCCAAGGCAGGCAGATCACTTGAGGTCAGGAGTTCAAGACCAGCCTGGCCAATATAGTGAAACACCATCTCTACTAAAAAATACAAAAATCAGCAGGGCGTGGTGGCACACGCCTATAATCCCAGCTACTCGGGAGGCTGAGGCAGGAGAATTGCTTGAGCCCCAGAGGCGGAGGTTGCAGTGAGCCAAGATTGCGCCACTGCCCTCCAGCCTGGGTGACAGAGTGAGATTCCATCTCAAAAAAAAAAAAAAAAAAGATGATGAAGTCCCAGGATTCTGGCTCACTGGACCAAGAGGTGACCTCAGGTATGTGTGTAGGTGCCATCCTACACACCCATGTGGACACGCAGGCCACACACAGGTTTACACAAAACTCTACAACTGGCAAGACATCGGCACATCATATGAATGTCTAACTCCTTCTATCCAGCGTGACCTGGTTTGCCCAGGACTGAGGGGTTTTCCAGGACATCGAACTTTCCATTTTAAAAACAAGACAGCCCTGGGCAACCCGGAACAGCTGGCCCTCCTAGCTCTGTCGGTACATGCTCATGACAACCATGTGATTTTTCTTCCTTAAAGAGATCAATGAAATGGTACCAGATCATGTTTTTAAAAAGCGAACAATATTTTCCTTAGAGATCAATGAGAATATCCCTCCCCACAATCCTACGATCAGGCGAGAATATTCAGGCAGAGCCCTGGGCTGCCGGTGGAGGTGGCAAATTGTCCGTGACACGGGGGAGTGACCATAGAGTTCTGCTGGCCTCTGGCTGATACAACAGAGGCCAAACTGAAATGGAGCACGGTAGCCCCTGCCCCTGTGCAGACTTCAGAGCGTGAATGAGAAGGGACCCTCTGCAATAGGTCATCTTCACGTCACCCCCTGGACACCTCAAACTCTTGGTCGGTCCCACCCCAGATGGTCTCGGCTCCTGCTCACCAGCACCCCCGTGTCTGTAGCTCTCTTGAATGGAGGATCTGAGCACAGCAAGTCCTGTAGAAACCAAAAAAAAAAAAAAAATTTCCTTGGCATAGGTGAGTGTATCGGGTGCCGCAGAAACAGTGATAACAGCGTTTCTGGTCCTCACCTGGGTTCATTCAGCCAGGACACAGCAAGGCAGAGGCTCCCAGCCAGTGCCCCACTCCATGCCCACCCTGGGGGTCCACTCGTCCCAGTCAGCAACACCAGCCCTGGAACCACCATCTAAGCTCCTGCTCTTGCTGGACGCCCCCAAGTCCTTTCAGAATTCACAGGAATCACCCCCTCTGCGAGCTTCGTGTTCAGAGGACTTGGCCCACGTTCCCTGAGCGAGCATCCCTAGCATACCCATCACCTCTCAGGGAGCAAGACGTTGCCACATCACCAGGCCCAGCCTCCCAGAGACGATATCTGGTTCGATGCTCCTCCCTGGAGCTGCCGCCCACAGTCCCTTCCATCTCACAGTTCCGCATGCAGTCAGCAGCCCTCGCTGCAATCCACGATCTGCTGGAACGATCCCAGGAAATACAGTGTGGAACTTGGACATGGGTGTTTGCCGAATTTCCCCCAAGAGGCTCGAATGTGGAGCCTTTGAGCTTCCCCAAGCTGTGGGTTAAGTCACTGGCATCACGGCTAACGTGCTACGGAGGTGGAGCAGGAGCACTGGATGCTTGGCCTCAAATCAACTTCCCTGCCCTGTCAGCCTTCCTGGGCACTTCCCAGCCACACACTTGCAGGAACAGATGAACAGAGGGCATTGATGGGTGCCTTGGCTTGTCCCCTAAATTGTCCCCTACATGATATCCTGCTGAGGGAGGGAGGCAGGGATCATTGTGCCCTAACTGTTCAGACCGTTAGAGAGTGTGCAGAGGGTCAACCAGAGCCAAGTGCGTCTGGCTTGTCAACTCAGCCTCACAAGTGCGTCCTGAGACCCTTCCCAGGGGTCTGCTCTGGAGAAATCAGGACAGCCATCGGCACTTATCTCGTCCCTTGGGAGGCAGGAGGAGACTAGTTATGAGGGTGGTGAGCTGAGACAGGACGTGGCCTTTGGTAACAGGGCCAGCTTGTGATGAGGTCACATTTGTCTCTGTGGCACCTCCACCTGAGTCCTCTGGCTTACCCAGCTCTTCCTGCAGGCATATTTATAAGGAATTGGAGGCAGAGAAGGTCTTAAAGCAAGACCCACCCCCAGGACCACTCCCTGCAACCGGGGACCCCAGAACCTGGTGATGGACCTGCAAGGCCGGCCCCTCCATCTCCCCACATGGCCAGCTGCCTCTACGGGACAGCCCTGGTCAGTCTGGGAAGGCACGATCCATCTCAGGCCTCTCTGAGCTCCTGCCCCAGGGGTGGGACATGGGGATCATGCGCCTGCCCTGCTCCCCTCCCTCCCACCACCACTGGAAGGGCCGGCTGAGTCTCGGGACAGGGCGCGTGGAGGCCGCAGCCTGCAGAGGCTTAGTCCTGCTTGGGTTTCTGGGGCCGCCGCTGGGCCAGTCTGTAGTCGATGTAGGTCCCGAGGCAGGACCACAGGATGAGGCGTGCTAGCAGGATCACCACCAGCAGGGCCAGGAGCGGGTCAGGGCCAAAGCTGCCACCTGGCCAGGAGGTCATGCCTGAAGTCAGCCCCAAAGGGCAGCAGCAGCCTCTGCCCTGGAACCGAGATGCAGTGGGGCCCTGCCACCCTAGCCCGGCACTGCCAAGTGGCTGCTGTGCAGACCCAGGACAGGAAGCTCCGTCCAGCCTGGGGCCTCTGCAGCCGGCGCCCCCAAGGGACCGCCCTGTTCTCTCTGGTGCCACCAAGCAGGCCAGATCTGCCCGCCAGACTCCAGCCCGGGGCCTCCCTGGCATGTGAGAGGACAGACTGGGGACGACGAGCAGCCTCCTTGGTCAAGAGGCCCGTGTACCATTCATCCAGAATTAACCACTCTCCGTGCTGACAATGACAGCATTGTCCAGGGGCCTGGGGGGCGGGAGGCCGCCGGGAGCCCGCCCCCCTCGCTGTCCCCGCGCCCCCTGCTCGCCAGCGCTGACGTAATCTGCAAACATCCCCGGCGGCAGCTGCTGGGCGAAGCGGCCACCTCCTCCCGACGCTTTCAGCAGCCCACGCGGCTCTTCCGGCCCCGCCAGACAATTGGGCCCTTTCTCTCCCCAATTAGCTATCACTTCTGGAGGCCGCGCCGTCCAGCGCCGGCCCACGGTCTCCGCAGCAGCAGGCCCGGGATGGGGCGGGGGCCGGGAAGCTTGGCAGGGAGGCTGGGGCCACCACGGGGAAGAAGGACGGAGCCTGAGGATGAAAAGCCAAGGAGAAAAGGGGAGAAGATGAGGACAGGCGGCCACAGCCCACAGGCGGCCCCAAACACAGCTCAGCAGCACAAGGACCGCGCTCTGGGCCTCTGATGGCAAGGGGGTCAGCGCGGGAAACCGGCTTCATCCCCCAGGAAGGGGACCGGTGGACCCCCAGCAGCACCTCCCTCCAGCTCGCCCCTCCAACCTCCATCAAGAAGCCTTAGGTGGGACCTGTAGCCCTAAGCTGGGGCGCACAGGCCTGCAGGGTCCCCTGACATCCTCACAGTCACCCTGGACCGGAGGCCAGTCCTGCCTTCTACTAGCTGAGTGACCTCGGGCAAGTTGTGCAACCTCTCAGAGCCGCAGATCCTGCCTTAGAAAGTGAAGCAAATACCTCCTGCTTTGAAGGATTAGGGGAGAGAGCACTTCTCAGGGGCCACGCCCAGCGCCTGGGCACAGAGATCCTGGCCCCTGCCTCTCAGTGGATGCCTTCAGAAAGGCCTCCACATCTTTTCTGAAATAACAGTGTCTGCCCAGCCTTCTCTGACTGCCACACGCGCGCACACACACACACACACACGCATACACATGTATACATGTGTGTGCACACAGACTCACACGTGTGCACACCCAATAAGGACACATTGACCTCTACAGGCTCTGCCCCCCAAGTCCAGCTCTGGCCTCTCACAGCCGAGTTTCTGTGAGTGAGAGATAAACCGCCAGAACTGCCCCCTCTAACTCCAAGCCTACATCCTGTAAAGCAAAGGGGCCCCAGTTGGAGCTAGGGGGCTGAGCGTGAGGAACAGAGGTCTCTGGCGGCTGGGTCCTGGGAGTCCGGCCAGTTCTCACCAGCAAATGTCCAGCCTGAGCTACAGAGAACAGCAATGGGGGCCTTCCTGGCCACAGGGATCTGGGGCCCATCGCTGGTCGCCGGAAGCCAGCTCTTCAGTTCCTTCCCAGTCTACAAAATGAGTGTCCTCCCTGCCAAGCCTTTCCAGAAGGTTCAAACGGGACCACACGTTCAAACGGGAAGTGGAGCATGATGCCAACTCACCTTGGGCCGGGCACCGCCTAAGCTGCCTTCCCGCAGCCACCCTGGAGCCCCTGCCTGGACTGGCAGAGGCTGTCTGGGAAGCATGCCTGGCCCTTCCTCCATCTGTGGTGTGCCCTGCACCCACTGGGCTGCCTGGCACTGCTGTCAAAGGCCACTCACTTAGGGAACGTTGAGCTCTGGGCTTGTTTTCCACGCGCAGCGGTTTGAAGATCACTTCGAACGTGGGTGGGGAGTTAGCTCTCTGGACCCCGTCATAGAGTAAGTCATCGATAGAGCATTTGCTTGATGGGGACTTCCAGAAGGCCAGGGAAAGTCCTGCCGACTTCCTGGGGAAGCCCATCCGCACGTGGGGTGAGGGTCCCCAGATGGGAGCAGCTGTGTATGCAGGGAGGGGGCAGAGGCTGCTGCCAATGGGCATGTCCCTTACCTGAAAGGGCCACCTCTCCAGGTGACATGTCCTGGGGGAGCCGGGGCCGTCTGCTCCGGCCAGAGGCGCTCAGCTCAGGCCACACCAGGCAGGGCACCTCCCAACCTGGACAGGTGGGGACCAAGGTGGCCTTGGACAAAACTCTCTGTGTTTGCCAAGCACCCAATCGGACACAGAGAGTCAACCACACCCCAGTCACATGGTGTCCACACGCAGGGGTCAAGGAGGCCCGGCCCCTCCCCCTCAGACGTCCCTGGGCCTCTGGGAGTCAGCAAGGACGAGGACGGCATGCCCTTCGAGACAGGAAGGGAGTGACCTCCTCCCAGCGGCATCCAGGCTCGGCTTCTCCGGAGAGGAGAGGGGGCTACTTGCTGGATAAAGCGGCCGGGGCCACAGAGAAAAAGCAAGTGACCATGAGCACGTTGCAGACACAGTGCACCGACAGCATTGCAGCACGGGGACTGTGAGACCTCCCATTCTCGGGGGAAACTCCCCAAGTCCCCCCACCATCAGCAGTGATGTGACTGGGGCGGCGACCTGTGCTGGGAGCCTCCACCAGCTCCTGCGCCTCAGGCCCTGCTGCCCTGCACCTTCGCTTCCAGTAGGACCCTTCTCCAGGGCATTCTGGGCCACAGGAGCCACCCCAGTGCACAGAGACCCGAAGGCCCAGGAAGTTCCCTCCCCCAGGCAGCCCTTAACCTAAGGCTGACCTGGGCAGGACGTAGCCCAGCTTCCCTGCTTTGGACCAGGACAAACTAGAGGCCACTCTGAACCCCCAGAGCTCCCCCTGAAAATCCCAGGGACGTGCGGCTGTGCCTGGAGTCGCCCCCTTCCCAGACTGCTCCCCTTCATCTTGCCCTCCCTGCTCCTCCCTCCTGTGTCTCCCCATCACACCACCCCCCGAGTTACCCGCCTGTGAATATAATCCAGGATAAGAGTGACGAGCGCCTCATCAGCGCAGACCCAGACCCCGCCAATGGGAACGCATGGAGCTGGGCGGTGGTGGCTCCCAGCCCCGGGCCTCTGAGGATGGATCCGGGGATGCTCCCAGCCCCGGGCCTCTGAGGATGGATCCGGGGATGCTCCCAGCCCCGGGCCTCTGAGGATGGATCTGGGGATGCAAGTTGCCATCGGGACCTCAAAGAGCCAAGGCATCTTCCTGCACCCAAATGTTCAACGCTGACAGAGCAGTGAGTGACGCACCCTCACTCACTGTTTCCTGATGAAATGCTTGGCAGAGGAAACCTCTCCACAGGTGAGCTCCGTGGGGAAGGCCTGGAGTGGAAGTAACAAGGAGGTGCAAGTTCTTGCCCCCAAAGCCTGGTCCCCGCCCAGGACCAGCCCTCAGTACAGGTGACAGCCTGGGACAGAGCCCCAAGAACCTTGTGAACAGCTTCCTGTGAGCCCCAGGCAAGCTGGTCTCCACTGAAGCATCACTGGGCCTCAGTTTCCTCCCCTCAATAAAAGGGGAAAATAATCCTAGCACTTTGGGAGGCCGACGTGAGAAGGTTCAGGAGTTCGAGGCCAACCTGGGCAACATGACAAAACCCCATCTCTACAAAAAAAAAAAAAATACAAAAATTAGCTGGATGTGGTGGTGCACACTCGTTGTCCCACCTAGCTAGGAGGCTGAGGCAGGAGGATCACTTGAACCTGGGAGGCAGAGGTTGCAGTGAGCCATGATCAAGCTACTGTACTCCAGCCTGGGCAACACCTTATCTCAAAAAAAAAAAAAAAAAAAAAAAACGGTGAGGGGATGATAATCCCTTCCCAGCTTCTGCAAGCAAGGCTGGGGATAAGAGTGCTTTGCAGGGGAAATCCCCGCCCAAATGTCATCGAGATGAGCTGGACTTGGCTGACTCAAATGCAGGACCCAGGAATAATACTGAACGCCCTCCCCCAGGGACCACCAGGCACATCCCCCAGGGCCTCAGTGTGTTGGTTGGTTTTGTTATTTTCATAGCACCAACATCCTCTGAACTCTTCCATGTGTTTCTAGAACTCGAGCTCTCGCCGAATCCCCCAGGACTTAGCACAGTTCCAGGCACCCAGAAGACTCTCAGCAAGGACGGCCACGTGCATTGGAGCTGGGAGGCCAAATTAAAAGAAGCACGTGTTTTCCTTAGAACAGATTCCGCCAAAATTGTAAAACCACCACCTACAGCCTTGTTGACAGTGAGACATTCTCAGACATGTCAGGGTCCTGTTGAAAATCATTTTTTTCTTTGTTTCTTTTTGCAACAGCAAAATATGCTTGCTTTAACCAAAAAAAAAAAAAAAAGCAACCATGGCAGAGATGGGTGAGTTGGGAGAGCATGAACATCATCAACTCTTACTCCTGCCAAGACGGAGCACAGGACATGAGGACCCCGTCCAGGGCCCACGGGGAGCCTGAGTTCCCACCCCACGAAGGCCTGTGGCCCATCACCTCTTCCCCTGAGAATGCTGCATCTCAAAACCCCAGCCGGCGCAGGCTGCCGAAATCAACAGAACATGCATTTCAAACCGGGTTTCCACTGAAATGCTCCCTACACACAGACGGGCGAAAATTAATTTTCTTTCTTCCTGCGCCACAAAAGCAGATTAAAATCACGAACAGTGGGACGAGTGGGGGGAAGTGGAGGGCTTCCTCATTGAGGGAGACCCCTGCCCGGGAGGTTTCTCTCCCTAACAAGGGATGGCCTCAGCCGTTTGAAACGCCCTGCTGCAGGCATAAAGCCCGACCCAGGAGAAGGCACTTGAGAAAAAGGACGCCGCTGCCCTCCCAACGGTTGAAAGCTGGTATGTAACTTTGCTCGGGGTGATCAAACAGCTAGTCAAGGACGCTGTCAGGAACAGAATGAAATTCCAAATAAATTAGCCATGTCCAGAAGCCAATACAACACCGGATTAAGGCTCACAAAGAAAACACAATTTATTCAGCCTACCTTGTCAGAATTCTTAATAACCCCCCTTCCTTTCCCTCACCTCAGGCTGAGAGTCCCTGGGTGTGAAGAGACAAAGTGAACCCCACTCGGGACGCTGGGCGTCTGGTGTAGACGCTGGGCATCCAGTAGATGCGCTGGATGTCTGGTGGAGCATAAGCGTTTACAAAATCGTGTTTTTAGGAACATTTCAGCGGGGGCCATACACAATCGCGTAGGGAAGGCAAGCTGTCCCCAAGTCCCACTCACATCTGAATGAGCGGGTTCATACATTAGAATACAGGAGGAGGCGGGCAGAGACAGGAATATTAACCATTTCAGCTTAACTCTTTGGGGTTTTAGTAGCATCCCTGCCGTCGCCTCAAATGAAGTGTGTTCTGGCGGAGGTGCCTGAAAGCTCTGTCTTCATTTGCACATGATTTTATCTTTTAAGGCAACAAGTAGGTGAATGGTAACTATCACCCTTTGCAAATCCTAACTGTCCTCCGTGACAACTCATTAATATATTCAGCAGCCCTAAAGACAATATCTTTTTTTTTTTTTTTATCAATGAACCCAGACGACTTTCGCAGCCAACAAACGTTCTTTGAAAGAGTTAATAGGCAGAGGTTTGTGTGCGGACTCTGGAGCAGGCATCTTTGAAGGGTCCCGGGCCTCCTCCTTGTCTTAGGCTGTGATGATGTATCTGGTTTGCCCAAAGGCCTCAGTGAGAGTATGGGGCCCTTTCTTTGTCCCCAGAGAGGGGGGTGGAGGGGCCGGGGACGGGGAGTTTGCTCTGCAGCACCGAGCCATTTGCAAGAGATAAAGCCGACAGGGAATTTGAAGGGGAGTTGGGAGGAAGTGATTGGGCCATTACTCTGAGACGGAATGTCAAGATGCTTGAGAAATACACAAAATAAAGATTTTCCCAGAAATTCTTTTAAAAGAGATGACCTAATGGTATTAAATTAAAAAAAAAAAAGATAAAAGAATTGTGCTAAGCTTGGGGAAATCTCTGCCATTTCCCAAGCCTAGATTCTCTCTTGATTTCTAAATAAAACAAGAAGGCAAACAGTGGGGACAAAGACAGGGAGACATGTTTGAGGCCTGCCATGTGCACACAAAATGATTTTTGCGAGAGTGGGCAGGAGTGTGCCTTGGAACAGGACCCCAGCCCAAGGACAATGGGCATGAGAACCCCATGATGCTCCAGGGCTCTGAAAGTGGAACTGAGCTACTGGGAGGTGCCCTGTAGTCACCAAGTATGTGCCACAAGGAAAATCTCCTGTCACCTTAGAAAGGCTGTGGTCTCCTTTAAGTTCCATATAGATTCTGGATATTAGACCTTGGTCGGATACATAGTTTGCAAAAATTTTCTACCATTCTCTAGGGTGTCTGTTTACTCTGTTGATACTTTCTTTTGCTGTGCAGAAGCTCTTCAGTTTAAGTAGATCCCATTTGTCAATTTCTGCTTTTGTTGCAATTGCTTTTGGCATCTTCATCATGATATCTTTGCCCATGCCTATGTCCTGAAAGGCTTGCCTAGGTTGTCTTCCAGGGTTTTTATAGTTTGGGGCTTTCCATTTAAGTATTTAATCCCTCTTGAGTTAATTTTTGTATATGGTGTAAGGAAGGGGTCCAGTTTTAATGTTCTGCATATGGCTAGCCAGTTATCCCAGCACCATTTATTGAATAAAGAATCCTTCCCCATTGCTTTTTTTGTCAGTTTTGTCGAAGATCAGATAATTGTAGGTGTGTGGTCTTATTTCTGGGTTCTCTATTCTGTTCCATTGCTCCATGTGTCTGTTTTTGTACCAGTACCATACTGTTTTGGTCACTGTAGCCTGGTAGTATAGTTCAAAGCCGAGTAGAGTGATGCCTCCGGCTTTTTTCTTTTTGCTTAGGAACAACCCTATTAAAAAGTGGCCAAAGGACATGAACAGACAGTTTTCAAAAGAAGACATACATGAAGCCAACAATCATATGAATAAAAGCTGAACGTCACTGATCATTAGACAAATGCAAGTCAAAACCACAATGAGATACCATCTCACACCAATCAGAATGGCTATTATTAAAAAGTCAAAAAAAAAAAAAAAAACCAGCAGATACTAGTGAGGCTCTGGAGAGAAAGGAACACTTATAAACTGTTGGTGTGAGTGTAAATTAGCTCAACCATCGTGAAAGACAGTGTGGCAATTCCTCAAAGACCAAAGAGAGAAATACCATTTGACCCAGCAATCCCATTACAAGGTATATACTCAAAGGAATATAAATCATTCTATTATAAAGATACCTGCACATGTACATTCATTGCAACACTATTCACAATAGCAAAGACACGGAATCAACCTAAATGCCCATCAATGGAGAAAGAAGTTGTGGCACATATATATCATGGAATACTACACAGCCATAAAAAGGAATGACAACACATCCCTTGCAGGGACATGGATGGAGCAATAGGCCATTATCCGTAGCAAACTAATGCAGGAAGAGAAAACCCAGTACTGCATGTTCTCACTTATAAGTGGGAGCTAAATGATGAGAACACATGAACACAAAGAGGGGAACAGACACTAGGGCCGTTTAGAAGTTGGAGGATGGGAGGGAAGGAGGGAGAGGATCAGGAAAAATAACTAATGGGTACTAGGCTTAATACCTGGGTGATGAAATAATCTGTACAACAAACCCCCATGACACAAGTTTACCTATGTAACAGACCTGCTCATGTACCCCTGAATTTAAAATAAAAGTTAAAAAAAAAAAAAACAGAGAGAGAGAAAGAAATGCTGTGGTCTCACAGCCACCCTGAGCGACATGTGTTCAGAGCCTCCCAGAGACTCCATTGTCAGTGGGTGACAGTGTTCACTTACCAGGAAGAGGAGGCTGCTCAGGCTAACCCAGCCATGACCCCCGCTGGAGGCTAGCTCTGGCACATCCTCTGGCTGGAGGCTAGCCCAGGCGTGACCCCTGGCTTCAGACTAGCTGGGGCTTGTCCTGTGGCTAGCTGCTAGCCTAGGCATTGAGAGGTGAAGCCAGCTGGACTTCCTGGGTCGAGTGGGGACTTGGAGAACTTTTCTGTCTAGCTAAAGGTTTGTAAATGCACCAATCAGCACTCTGTAAAAATGCACCAATCAGCGCTCTGTGTCTAGCTAAAGGTTTGTAAATGCACCAATGAGCACTCTGTAAAAACGCACCAATCAGTGCTCTGTGTCTAGCTTAAGGTTTGTAATTGCACCAATCAGCACTCTGTAAAAACGGACCAATCAGTGCTTTGTAAAATGGACCAATCAGCAGGACGTGGGGGTGCCAAATAAGGGACTAAAAGCTGGCCACCAAAGCCAGCAGCGGCAACCCACTCGGGTCCCCTTCCATGCTGTGGAAGCTTTGTTCTTTCGCTCTTCATGATAAACCTTGCTGCTGCTCACTCTTTGGGTCCACACTGCCTTTATGAGCTGTAACACTCACCACGAGGGTCTGTGGCTTCATTCCTGAAGTCAGCGAGACCATGAACCCACTGGGAGGAACAACCAACTCCCACGTGCCACCTTCAAGAACTGTAACACTCACTGCGAAGATCTGTGGCTTCACTCCTGAAGTCAGCAAGACCACAAACCCACCAGAAGAAAGAAACTCCGGACACATCTGAACATCTGAAGGAACAAGCTCCAGACACACTATCTTTAAGAACTGTAACACTCACCGCGAGCGTCTGCGGCTTCATTCTTGAAGTCAGGGAGACCAAGAATCCACCGGAAGAAACCAATTCCAAACACAGCATGACCCCCGTTGGAGGCTAGCTTGGGCCCATCCCGTGGCTGGAGGCTAGCCCAGGTACATCCCCCGGCTGGGGGCTAGGTCAGGCACATCCCCTGGAACCTCACCAGGAAGCACAGTGGCCACCTCTCCTTCTAAGGCACTGGGTCTCTCTGCCTGACTTCTTCCACCTTCTCTTTCTCTCTGCTCATTGGCTCCCTCTGCTCTGCCTGAGCCTAAAGGCACTGTCAGCCTCACCCATAAATAAGTCCAGCACCCACACTTTGCTGCTGGCCTCCCAGCCCCAGGCTCCCGAGAGAGAATCAGAAGAGCTCAGCAGCCCCTGCATTGGTTCCACAGGCAAAGTCCAAGCTTGACCAACCCGCTGAGGGCTGAGGTACACACATGACTGTGGGCGCTCCAAGAAGGCAGACGAGAAGCAGAGCACATGTGGCCGGCCCCCACCTCTAACCTATTTGCACACACACGTGCAACACATTTCCAAGTCCCGCTGAACACTGAACGTCACGTTACATTTTGTTACATTTCCTTAGCAGTGAGCACTGTTGGGCGATTAACAAAGACGAAAACACCAACAACCTGTATAGTCACAGAGGGTGTGACAACTCACACGGTGCCTCCGTATCCAACGTCCATTTCTGGCACTTGTAAAGCATGCGAGGCTCAGAGAGGTGGAACGTATCTGTTGCCTCTGGGATCCCTGACTTGAAAGTTCACACCCAGGCTCCTGTCACTGAGCAGAGCCCCAGGCAAAGATGCTGAGCCAGGGGAGGTGGCTCTATCACTCCTCCCCCATGCCCCGGCTTCCCTGCCCTGCAGGACGACTGCCTGTCCCCACCCTACTGAACTCAGGAGTGGCCAGTGAGATAAGGGAGGAAATACTCCTGTCGCTTCCTGGTGTGGTGGCTCACACCTGTAATCCCAGCACTTTGGGAGGCTGAGGCAGGCAGATCATGAGGTCAGGAGTTCGAGACCAGCCTGGCCAATAGGGTGAAACCCTGTCTCAACTAATAATACAAAAACCATTAGTCAGGCATGGTGACATGCTCCTGTAGTCCCAGCTACTTGGGAGGCTGAGGCAGAAGAATTGCTTGAACCCGGGAGGAGAAGGTAGCAGTGAGCCAAGATCACGCCACTGCACTCCAGCCTGGGCGACAGAGCGAGACTCTGTCTCAAAATAAATAAATAAATAAATAAATAAATAAATAAATAAGCCAGGGCATGGTTTGCAACGTTCTCTTTTCCCTCTTCCTTTTCCTTCCAGGAAGGAGGCTGCCCTGCCTGGAGTGAAGAGTGCATGGAGCAGTCTCAGCCGACCCAGGTGGGATGCGTAACATGGCCGAGAAATCCACCCATGCTGCTGAGAGCTACTGCGCCATGGGGTCATGTGTCACCTAACTGACTTAGCCCAGCCTGACTGATCCCCCGTGTGTGACCAGACATCAGCACATTCAGAGGACCTCATACTGAGAATTGGTGGACCTTTCAGAATGGACATGACCACTCAAAGTAGGGACATTACTCGCTATTTGATGGCCCATGTGGGATCAAAGGCCACTGGGGTTCCCTCAAGGCACAGCACACTTAGAATCCCATAAGTCCTCAGTTCTAAGGCATGTATTTTTCATACTTTGATAATTCTGAAATCAAGTATAGCTTCTAGTAGATATTAAAACTCATTTTCAGATCCTGCAGAAAGGAGGAGACAGAAATAAAGTTGCCATTCCCTGCTTTTGTATGAACCCAGCTGAGCATAAACCGTAATCTATTCAACCTCTACCGGGTGTTTGCCTTGCGTCCCCACACGTGGTTGACTCATAACCTAAGTTTGAATCCCTAATTTTCACTTTAAATAACTTCAGCTACTCGGGATGCTGAGGCAGGGGAATCGTCTGAACCCAGGAGGTGGAGGTTGCAATGAGCCGAGACTGCGCCACTGCATTCCACCCTGGGTGACACAGCAAGACTCTGTCTCGGGAAATAAAATTAAATTAAATTAAATCAAATCTTCAAAAATATTGCAGTACAATGCAGCACTGAAACAAGAAGCTGTTGTGTATGTGAGATTTCCTGTCCCACATTGGGCAATGCAACTGAAGGCAATAGAAACCAGGACATTGCTCAGAATATGCCATAAAGCTCCACCATGCTAAGAGTTTAAAAAAAAGAAAAGAAAAGAAAGAAAGAAAAACAGAAAACCAAAAATAAAAGAAGAAAAATAAAGCTCCACCGTGCAGCTGGAGATGTTAGCATGAATAACCTCTAGATGAACATAATCTATCAAAAGGTTTTTGCTGTCAGAAGAAACAACAGAAAGTAGAATCAGACCCAGACCTGTCAAAATTATCAGAATATAATATAAAATAAGCATGATTAAAGGATTAAGAGAAAATATTTAAAACATAAAGAACAAGAGATTATAAAATGACCAAGCAGATTTGGAAAGACCTAAATGTAATTCCAGAGATGAAAATATATTAAGTGATACTAACAGATGGTCAGACATGGCTGAAAATTATGTTGGTGAACGGAAAGACAGATCTGAGCTATGGCCCAGAATACAGCACAGAGAGACAATGGGAGACAAGAAGGAGCTGCCAAGAGGCATGAGGGGTGGAGTAAAAGCTACACTGTATGGTCCTAGGAGCTCCAGTAGAAGAGAATAGAATAGGGCAAAGGCTAGATCTGAAGGGGAAATGGCTGAGAAGTTTTTAGAACAGATGAAAAACATCAATCCCCAGATTTGGGCATCCCAAAGAATCCAACCTAGGATGAGTGATAAGCAATCCATAGCTGGGGACATCATAGTGACACCATACAATACCAAGAGGTGTTTTTAAATGTACCTGGGATTTTGTTTTAATCAGGTACATTAACATGACAGACATGGAGACAGCTGCCTTAAAAGAAGTTTATTACTTACAGTTCCCAGGAGCAGGGGGCATGCCATGCTATGCAGTCTACATGAGGAAGGACGAGGGTTGGTCAGGAGGCAGAGGGAGCAGGGGAACACAAGGGGAGACTTTACTATCACTACTATTACTATTGACATAGTAATAATAGTAATAAAGTACCATAGTAGTCAAGACTCTCCCCTTGGTGGTGGAAAGTTAAGTGAGGGTGTCTCCTATGGGGCAGAAGGCAAAACACAGATGTTGGGGGTTGTGGCCAGAGGGTTTGTGATATGATTTTTGTGCACCCATGAAAACACAAGGATAGTAAGGATAGAAACAAGCCTGGCTATAGTTTGGCTCATGATTTCAAGATACCAAATTACAGGACATCAAGAATGATTATTACAGTGGAGTGTAGCTTAGAAGCAGCCAGAGAGGCAAGGTTGGCCCACAGCTGACTTCTCAACAGCAATGGATGAGCGGAAGACAGTGGAATGACATTTTTAAGGTGCTAGAGTGAAGTGACTACCTAGAATTGTATACTCAACCAAAAATGTTTAAATAAAGACACATGCTAGAGGTTTCTCTTGGGAACATACCTACGAGTATATACGCTTAGCTGAAGGGAATATGCATCTGGCTTCATGGACGCTTCCAACAATAGCTTAGTTGGGGTTCCTTCCAGTTGCTTCTGTGAAATTAAAGAATTCAGACTTAAAGCTGTTGGAACTGTATTCAGAGCCTTGAGAGGAACATGGCTATGCAACTTGAGTCACATGGAATGCAACTGCAACTTCTACCTTTTTTTTTCCCTATAAATAATTAAGAAGACCAAACGACTTCAGAGATAAGAATCCCTTGAATTTCTACCCCTCCTCATGGAGTAATAAAGTATTTTCCTTGGAATGCAGCAATCTGTAACCGATCAAGTCACTGTACGCACTGATCGTGTATGAAAAATGTTGTAATCCTGCTGAAATTTCTCTGTCTCTGCCTATGTAAGAGAAATCTTAACTTCTCCACTTTGAAACAGTGACCCCATTTGTTTGGAGTCAGTGTTGCCCAAGTGGCTATCCTCATGCTTTGGGCTCAAAGAATCTCTACATTTAATCATAGTTTCTGAATCTCACTGTTTAAGGTTGACACTTCTCATCCTCACCAACACGGGCTTTTGAGTGCTTGCCAAGCTGGTGGGTGAGACATAGTGTCTCGGTATAGTTCGGGGTTGCATTTTCATATTGACTTTTCTTATGCTGATTGCCTTTGGGGTTTCTTCTCTTGTGAAGTACCAGTTGAGTCTTTGGTTGTTTCTTTTTCTTAGGAATTTGTAGGCATTCTTCATTGTATTAACCATTACTTCTTTTTCCTGTATTCTGATGCTTTGACATCTGGGAACGTGCTGACCCTGGAGGGATGGCCCCTCCCAGGATTAGCCAATTTCTAGAAATGAAGTCATCTGTGAGTGCACCTTTCAAATGTAAACCAACTAACTAATCCAGAGCTCACATTTGCAACGACCTCTTCTATCAGGTTCTCATACTCAGGGCTACCATCCTCCTGCCATAATCACCCCAGGGCCAGGTACCAGACAGGCAGGGACAGTCCCTGTGCCCCAGAGCCTGTAACATTATTCAAACTAGCCCATCCTATGCCTACTTGCCCTGCCTCACTCGTTTTTTCCTACAGAAACCACAATCAAGGCTCTTGCCCACACTTTCCCCTTAGTCCCTATCCCTCCAGACCAACTCCCCTGCTTCCCTGTGCCCCCCATCCACCCCGGGGTGCAGCATGTCCCCTCCCCTGCAGATCTGTGAGTAACAAACTATCTTTTCAATAATGGTTATCTCCTGATCTGTTGGCCTCATCATATCTGAATAATAATAAAACCTATAGCAGCCGGGCGTGGTGGCTCACACCTGTAATCCCAGCACTTTGGGAGGCCAAGGTGGGTGGATCACGGGGTCAAGAGATCGAGACCATCATGGCCAACATGGTGAAACCCCGTCTCTACTAAAAATACAAAAATTAGCTGGGCGTGGTGGTGCACGCCTTTAATCTCAGCCACTTGGCAGGCTGAGTCAGGAGAATCACTTGAACCCGGGAGGCAGAGATTGCAGTGAGCTGAGATCATGGCACTGCACTCCAGCCTGGTGACAGAGCGAGACTCCATCTCAAAAAAACAACAGCAACAACAAAAAAAATTTTTCTTCATACAAATTATTTGTCAGTTCTAAGCATTGCAGTATCTTCTCCCAGTTTGTAGTTTGTCTTTTCATGCTTCTTATGGTGTTTTTTGTTGGTTGGTTGGTTGGTTGGTTTTTGAAACAGTCTCGCTCTGTCGCCCAGGCTGGAGTGCAGTGGCACAATCTTGGCTCACTGCAACCTCCACCTCCCAGGTTCAAGCAATTCACCTGCCTCAGCCTCCCGAGTACCTGGGATTACAGGCATGTGCCACCATGCCCAGCTAATTTTTGTATTTTTAGTAGAGATGAGGTTTCGCTGTGTTGGCCAGGCTGGTCTCAAACTCCACACCTCAAGTGAGCCGCCCGCCTAACCTCCCCAAAGTGCTGGGATTACAGGCGTGAGCCACCGTGCCTGGCCCTTACCATGTTTTTTGATGAACATAAACTCTAAATTGTAATGTGGTCAAATTCATCAATTGTACTGAAGGCCCCAACTGGGACAATAAGGCAAAAAAAATAAACTCATAAAGACTGGAAAAGAAGACAAAATCCTGTCATTATTCACAGATAACGCAATTATCTATGTTGAAATTCCAAAATAATCTACAAACAAGTTATTCAAAATAAGAACAGACTCTACCAAGGTTTCGAGTTAGAAAGTCAGTGTGGGAAACTCAGGAAGAAAGTACTGCCCATTACTGTCTCTTGAGGACCTGAGGCTTCATCTCTACAAACACTTCCCCAATTACAGAAGCCAAGGGAGGGACATGTGGCATGTCCCAGACAGCTCTTAAAGCTTCTCTCAGGAGGTGACACACCCCACTATGCTTGCACACCATTGGCCAAAACAAGTCACGTGTTCAAGCCTAACAAATGTGATTGGATAGTCAGTCCCATGATTAGGTTACACCATATAAGACTCCATCATAGCCAAGTGGAGTGAGATTCTTCTGCTGGTTTTGAAAAAGTGAGCTACCATACTGTGAGAGAAGAGGCCACAGGTTAGAATCTGAGGGCAACCTCTAGAAGTTGAGAGTGTCTCCAGCTGACAGCCAGCAATAAAACAAGGACTTCAGTTCTACACCAAAAGCAACTGAATTCTGTCAACAACCCCATGAGCTTGGAAGCATATTCCTCCTCAGAGCCTCCAGTTGGGGACCACAGTCCCAGCCGCCATCTTGATTTCAGCCTTGTGAGAACCCAGGCAGAGAACCTAGCCAACCTGGACTTCTTGCCCTAGAAAACTGTGAGCTAATAAGTGGGTATTGCTCTAAGCCACTAAGTTTGTGTAATTTGTTATACAGCATAGATGACTAATACAGAATTTGGTGGAGATTGGAAATCCTACCATGTGCCTGAACTATTTAAAGCTGCAAATACTGTGGTAAGAACACTAATGATCACCATAGGCTCCTACCTCATACCTCACCCAAAAATCAGTTTCAGGGGTTTAACAGTTAAACATCAAAGGCAGAACTATGAAACATTTAGAGGACAATACAGAGTAACATCTTAGAGCCTCGGGGGCAGGGACATCTTAACAACACATAAAAAGTACCAATCCTAAAGGAAAACAATGGACTAATTTGGTCGATGTATTTTTAGGCAAATGAAAATTAAGATGTTTGCACTAATTAATGCCAATAAAGACAATTCCAAAGGATATATTTCAGGTCAAAGAGAAATTACCACAGAAGGAATATGTAAGGTGCAAGAAAAGATTGTGTGCAAAGAGCATGGGGAACATTTGGGGAAATCTAAGCAAACCTGACCAAATAAAACAAGAAAAGTCAGGTCTGCTTGTCGAAGTCAAAATTAGAAGTAAACTGTATTAGGTCCGTTCTCACGCTGCTAATAAAGACATACCCGAGACTGGGTAATTTATAAAGAGAAGAGGTTTCATTGACTCACAGTTCTGCATGGCTGGAGAGGCGTCAGGAAACTTACTGTTATGGGGAAGGGGAAGCAAACACATCCTTCTTCACGTGGCAGCAGCAAGGAGAAGTGCTGAGCAAAAGAGGGAAGCCCCTTATAAAAACATCACATCTTGTGAGAACTCACTCAGTATCAAGAACAGATGGGGGAAACCGCCCCCGTGATTCAAGTATCTCCACCTGGTACCTCCCATGACCTGTGGGGATTATGGGAACTACAAGATGAGATTATGGGAACTACAAGGCACACAGCCAGACCATAACATAAACGATATAACACAATTGCATATAAGTCAGAAGAGGAGAGACAGGAGATGATTCTATGATTTTGTACCATTTGGAAGAAGCATGAAATATTGATTAACTTCGACCTTTACAAGTTTAGCACACCTGGTCAAAATTTCAGATCAATTTAACAATTTGTCCCTGCCAGGTCCTGCAGATCAAATTCTTCAACTATGATTAACTCCTGAAGGTCAAATTCAGATTTTATTTTTTAGCAGTTTTATTTTTGAGGGCATTTTCGTTTCACCTCTTCCAATGGGTAGATGTTTCTTTCATGATACACCACAGCCTATTATTGTTAAGGCTTCAAGCCTCCCAGCCACTGACCTCTTCAAGCAAGGTAAGTTGTTATCTGTGGCCCCTGAATGTTCCTCACTTCGCCAGTACTTACAGTGAGTGGTACAACATCAATGCAAAGATAGCTATTCAGAGAAATTGCCAATTGTCATGGGCCTCTGAAAAGGGAGCTTTTTCCACAAAATCCAACATTTCCCTGGAAACATGGCTTCACCTTCTATTCTTATGATTTACAGAAGTCACAAAGAAAGCACCTACTGCTATTACTGGAATTTCAGCTCATAGTGTGGTCAAAATCTATAATTTCTGTTGTGATGTATGCAAGCATTACTTTGAATGGCATCTGACAGAGTTTGGTGGTCCAGGTCATTACTGGCAAATCAAGAGTCCTGTTTCAGCCACAAAATCAAGTGTCATCGCAGCCATGCTATGGAGAGGGAAATATGGGTTTTGGGTAATGTAGATATTAAAATATATTGTAACCGTGAGACCAGCTCAAACTGATCAACCATTGCGTAAGTTGTTACTGGTGATGCAGAGCCGGAATTGCCCAGGCGTGCACAAGAGAAAACACTTTAACCTCCTGTTAATGCTGCCAGCCTGGCAGACCAGCTGTGTGGGCATCAACTGGGACTAGTTATAAATGCCATAAAAGCTCCACCCACCCCAGATCAGAGAGACAGATTTGAACACTGCCTCCTGTCTCCTTGCCATTGACTCACAATAAAGCTCTTTCTTTTTTCCAAAAGCCTGTGCCATAGTATTGGATAGTGAGCCCACCACTCAGTAACAATTTGTTGGCCTCATATTTGGCCAAATGTATATGGCACAACTGATTTTAAAATAATCCTTTCTGCCGGGCACAGTGTCTCATGCCTATAATCCTAGCATTTTGGGAGGCCAAGGTGGGTGGATCGCTTGAGCCCAGGAGTTCAACACCAGCCTGGGCAACATGGCAAAACCCCATCTCTACAAAAAATACAAAATTTGGCCAGGCATGTTGGTGTGCACCTGTAGTGCCAGCTACTAGGGAAGCTAAGGCAGGAGGATTCCTTGAGCCTCGGACGCAGAGGTTGCAGTGAACCGAGATCACGCCACTGCACTCCGGCCCAGGTAACAGAGGAAGACCTTCTCTCAAATAATAATAATAATAATGCTTTCAATTCCCTTTTATTGCCTACATCACAACAATTTTCTGTTAACTAATATGATGTTTTGACTTTTGGTCTTAGTATGTTTTAGTACAAATATTCAGAGACAAATTTTTCATCTAAGAGACAAATTATTCAGTTGATCCAAAATTTCTAGGGTCACCACCATAAGAACAGAAATTGAATATATAAGTTCCAAAGTAGTGGAGGAGGAGAAAATAAAATGAGAAGAAAAATAAACAATCTGGGCCAGGCGCAGTGGCTCACACCTGTAATCCCAGCGCTTTGGGAGGCCGAGGCGGGCAGATCACAGGTCAGGAGTTCGAGACCACCCTGGTCAACGTGGTGAAACCCTGTCTCTACTAAAAGTGCAAAAAATTAGCTGGGCGTGGTGGCAAGCACCTGTAATACCAGCTACTCAGGAGGCTGAGGCAAGAGAATCACTTGAACCCGGGAGGTGGAGGTTGCAGTGAGCTGAGACCGTGCCACTGCACTCCAGCCTGGGCAACAGAGCGAGACTCTGTCTCAAAAAAAAAAAAAAAGAAAAAGAAGCAAAAGCAATCTAAATGAAGCTACAAAAAGAGAGAAAAGACTACCCATGGGGCAAACTCAAAGAGTGGAAACAAATCCCCCAAAGTTATGTTGAACGTAATGGCAACCACCCAGGCCTGGTCAGTGCTCTGAACTTGACCTAGAGAAAAGACCTTCCGCCTGCTGCCTGCTCCTCGTCCTTCAGGTTGCAGAGTTCATGCCGCCTTCTCAGAGAGGCCCCTGCTGACCTCCCTGGCTGAGCTCGCTTCCCATCTCTTTGCTTTCATAGTGTGGTCCTGTTTGGTTAGTGCAGGCCATCCCCGCTACATGCAGATTCCACACTTGTGACTATGCCCACTCGCTAAAAATGCATGTGTAGCCTCAAATCAACACTCTCAGTGCCTCTAGCCACATATAGACATGTGCAGGTGGCAAAGCGTCTGCACTGCTTGACGTCCATGTTCCTAGCTGAGGCTGAACCAGCCGACACACAGCCTTCTTGTCTTGGCTCTCAACCTGTTGTACTGAAACAGGTGTCATTTCTGCGATGTACTTAATGCCACTTTATCCACGTGTTTGTGCATTTTGCTTGTGATTCTACCACTTAAAGTGCCGTCTAATGTTCCTAAATTGGAAAGGCTGTGACATGCCTAATGGAGATAGACTTGCGCTAGGTGAGCCTCTTTCAGGCATGAGGTATGGTGCTGCTGGCCATGAGTTCAGTGTTAATGAGTCAGCCACAGATAGAAAATGAGGTGTCTTCCAACAGAAACACACATAAAACAAAGGTACGTATTGATCAGTTGGCAAAAATGTAGCCAAGGCTTGTAGGAACCTAACTGATAAGGTTTGGCTCAGGGGCCCCACCAGGAATGCATCTCCTTCTTTGTTGTAGCCAGTTTCTAAGATGGCTTCCATATTCCTCCCCACTGGTATCCACACCCTTGTGTAGTGCCCTCCCTCACTTAATAAGACTGACCTCTGCAACCAATAGAAATGATGGGGTGTGATTTTCCAGGCTAGATGATAAAAGATGTGGCTTCTTGGATCACATGCTCTGGGGAAAATCAGCCACCACGTTGTGAGGACACTCAAGCATTGCTGTGGAGAGGTCTCCGTTGCCAGGAGCTGAGGCCTCCCACCAGTTTGCCAAACACATGAGAATCTGCATTTGGAAGCAGATCCTTGGCCTCAGTCAAGCCTTCTGATGATGCAGCCCAGCCAACGCCTTGACCACAACCTCATGAGAGACCCAGAGCCAGGACTGCCCAGCTAAGCCACTCCCAAATTCCTGACCCACAGAAACTGTGTGAGATAATAGATGTTTCTTCTTGTGTTAACCCATTAAGTGCTGGGGAAATTTGTTGTGCAATAATAAACAACTGATACATACCTCTTTGGTTTTTCAGAGTCCTTCCCTTCCTCAGAAGCCAGGGTCAAGCCCACCTCCATTCCCACTCCTGGGAAGACTGCTCTGAGGGTTGGCCACAATTTTACCCTCCCCTGGGCCCCACACAGTGAACTTGACATACACTTTGGTACGGTGTCCACTCCCATAACCTCAGGAGCCCCTGAGGACAAGACCCTGCTGGCTCCCTCATGCCCCTGAACCTGGACCATTGGTACAGGAGTGCAGATGATACTAATGATAGCATCAGAGAGCAGAGCAGACTTGGGACTCCTCAGCAGGAGAGTGACTGGAGCAACTCCTGCCTCTAGAGAGAATGAGAATTTGCTTTTGCCAGGCCCTTGCTACGCAGAGGCAGGGTCAAGGTACACACTTGACAAGTATCCCACTGACTCCCTGGGCAAGAGGGTATCCTTGGCATCCCCATCCCACCGACAAAGGCAGCTTCAGCTCATTGCCCCAGGTCACTCAGCTCGGCCATGTCTGACCCAGGACTGGAACCAGCTGTTGGCTCCAGTGTCCACCCAGCCCTGCCTGCCCTGTCTTGGGCACTGCCACTTCTGCTTGCTCCTTGATGCCCCCATGCTCCAAAGGCCTTCATTCCATGCACCCACACGCGTGCACCAAAGCTGGGGGCTCACACTACCAGCACAAACTCAGCACACCCACCTGGCCCCACCCCAGGCCTCTGATGTCACCAGACCTCCAAAGCCAGGAAGAGATACAAATGCATTGAAGTACAGTCACAGGGGAACACACGGTGACAAGAGCCACACCCTCCACCTGGAACCTAAGCCACTTGGAAGGCCACGCAAGGAGGAAGCAGGGCAGAGTTGGGAACCTGAGACCAACCCAGAACCTATTCCTGTATCAGCTCATTCACTCACTCACCGTTCACATGCAAAGTCCCTGAGCACCTACTGTGTGCCAGGCACAGTGCCAAGCCCTGAAAATGCAGCAGGGAATGCAACAAGCTCTCCTGGGCTTCCAGCCCTGCTGGGAGAGAGACTGTGAGCTAACCAAGCCCCAGCTCTCCCTGGACATGTCAGGTGCCTGTGAGTGAGTCTTCGGCCTCTCTAGAGCCTCAGTTTGCCTTCTCGAAATGCGGAGTGATGGCAAGCAGTGGCTCTCACCCAGGGGACCCACAGAGGGACATTTGGCAATGTCTGGAGACATATTTGGCTGTCATGCTGGGCAGGGCTTGCGGGGGGTGCTACTGGCATCTGGTGGATAGAAGCCAGGGATGCTGCTGAACATCCTACAACATACAGGACAGCCTCCACAAAGAATTACCCTGTCCAAAATGTGGATAGTGCCACCACAGTGGAGAAACCCCAGCTTGGAGGGATTGGTGAGGCTGCAGGTGGAGAGGCTGCAGCACCAAGCCTGGCAGCTGGACAGTCCCTGACAAAGGTGTGTTCCCTTCTCCAGCCATTCTTGAGGCCCTTGCTGAGACCAGGGGACCCTGAGCCCTGCAGGAACCCAGGCCATTGATGTATACACAGCCTCTCTGCCTGTCCACCAAGGTCCCAGGGCAGGGCCGTGTCGGTGGAACCCACGGCCAGCTCACGGACAGGAGGAAAGCAGGCCAGGCCTGTTCCTCACCTCTGCTGGTCCTGGGTTTCTCGAACTCCCATCAGGACTCAGGGTCTCCCCTCCCACAAGGTCCCAGCAAGGCTGCATGCAGCCTGCACTCACCCATCAGTCCTCGCTCCTGCCGCACCTCCCCGGCCGCCAGTGCCATCCAGGCCTCCCCAACTGAGGGGCAGGATCTTCCTTCCAAAGTTGGGCAGTCCCAGGCAAGTGTCCTCCCTCTCTGGGTCTTGGTTCCCCACATAATGGGAATCAAAATAACTGCAGCCCCAGGTCACGGCATGGGCTTGGGGTGGGACCTGAGTGTCCCTCCTCAAACACAGAAGCTTCCTTCTGACCACCAGCGCTGCTCTCTGTGAGATCACATTAGTTTGTTCTCATGCTGCTAATAAAGACATACCTGGGACTGGGTAATTTTTAAAGGAAAGAAGTTTAATTGACTCACAGTTGCACATGGCCAGGGAGGCCTCACAATCATGGCAGAAGGCAAAGGAGAAGCAAGACACATCTTCCATGGGGGCAGGCAAGAGAGAGCATGTGCCGGGGAACTCCCCTTTATAAAACCATCAGATCTCATGAGACTTATTCACTACCACAAGAACAGTACAGGGGAAACCACCCCCGTGATTCAATGATCTCCACCTGGCCCCACTCCTGACATGTGGGGATCATTACAATTCAAGGCAAGATTTGGGTGGGGACACAGCCCAATCATATCAGGGATCCTAACCCCGGAGAAAACAAAGGGTCAAGCACTGCTTTTTCTGCATTGCATTCACTGTGGGCTTCAGACACAGCAGAGTCAGGAGGACTCCTGTCCTTTGACCTGAGGCCAAGAGCCTGCTCTGACCCCTTGTCACCCTTCCCAACTGTGCCCAGGTCAGAAGTCTGTGCCCAGGCCTGCTCCTCCTGGAGGCCCCTCATCCCCAGTAAGAGCCCGCCACGGACTAGACATGTTGGGCTACACGGGCCCTGCACCAGGGCAGTCATCATCTTTACCAGCACAAAAACTCCCTCGATGACAGGGCCTCAGCAGGCCCCAGCCTTGACCCTGGCTTTCACGGTCCATTGGGTTTTGTTATAATTTACAATTTCCACTAGATGGATGGTTCCAAGTTCATTCACTTGTGCCACAAACATTTATGGGACCACCTACTGAGTACCGGGTGCTGTGGACGGGGATGTATGTGACTCACAACTTCATCGGGGCATGGAGAGTCTGTCCACCACCGTCAGGAGCATCGTGAGGAGTTGATGCTGTTCTGGGGACTCCACGTGAGAGCCTCCTGGGTCACTGAGGGAAGAGACACAAAACACAAGAAATTTGCAACCCGGAGGAGACCCACTGTCCAGGAGGGGGACCGGCAGCACCCTCACCCTGAAATAAGCTCCTGCCAATGACATTGGTTAAATCACACCCAGGTTCCCGCGTGGATGCAGATTTAGGCGGCCTGACGTGGTGAGACCTGACCTGGGAAAGTTACATGGCATCGAGGGATCGATTCCCAGTTCTGCCACTCACACTGTTCCACCTTAGACAAATAACTCACTCCCCCCACCCTGAGAAATGGGGCCAGGAACCTGCTGGCGGGTGAGGAGAGTGGGTAGAGTCTGATAAAAATGTTTGTGTTTGGGCTGGGTGGCTCAGCCCACACACAGATAGGGAAGGTGCCTCCAGGCTGGACAGAGAGGAGGAGGAGAACTCCTGGGTCACAGGCAAGCAGCAGCTGCCCGGGGCTGGAAAGGACAGCAGTGGTGGCTCATCCAGCAACTGCATTTTCTAAGCAGTGGGCAGGATCCAGCCTTGGGGTCCCCTAGACAAGGTCACTGATATGGTTTGGCTCTGTATTCCCATCCAAATCTCATGTTGAATTATAATTCCCAGTGCTGAAAGAAAGGCCTGGTGAGGCCAGGCGTGGTGGCTCACACCTGTAACCCCAGCACTTTGGGAGGCTGAGGTGGGCAGATCAGGAGGTCAGAAGATCGAGGCCATCCTGGCTAACACAGCAAAACCCCATCCCTACTAAAAGTACAAAAAATTAGCCAGGTGTGGTGGCACGTGCCTGTAGTCACAGCTACTCAAGAGGCTAAGGCAGGAGAATCACTTGAACCCAGGAGGCGGAGGTTGCAGTGAGCCAAGATTGCACCACTGCACTCCAGCCTGGGCAACAGAGCGAAACTCTGTCTCAAAAAAAAAAAAAAAAAAAAAAAAAGAAAGAAAAAGAAAAAGAAAGGCCTGGTGGGAGGTGACTGGGTCATGGGGGTGGATTTCCTCCTTGCTTTTCTGGTCATAGTGAGTGAGTTCTCACTATGAGTGAGATCCAGTTGTTTAAAAGTGTGTGGCTCTTCCCTCTGTTTTCTCTTCCCCTTTCTCCAGCCATGTAAGACATGTCTGCTTCCCCTTCGCCTTCTGCCATGATTGTAAGTTTCCTGAGGCCTCCCCAGCCATGCTTCCTGTACAGCCTGTGGAATGGTGAGCAAGTTAAACCTCTTTTCTTTATAAATTACCCAATCTCAGGTATTTCCTTATAGCAATGTGCAAATGAACTAATACAGTCACCCTGCAGTTCTGAGGACAAACAGTTGGGCAAAGGCTGACACCAGCACCAAAACCCGCAGGGTGGCCCAACAGCTTCACATCTGTTGTTCACAGGTGGCAAAGAAGACTTGGCCAAGCCAGCTGCCCAGGTGGACAAAGGCAACTGTGACAGGGAAAGCCTGGCCAGCTGCTGGTGGCCACAGGACGTGGGCACTGCAGGGCACTGTAGACAAAAGTGAATTCACACCAAAGGGTCACAGACCTAAATGTAAAACCTACAACTACAAGCCTGGAAGAAAACAGAGCAGAAGTTCTGCAACTTTGAGACAGGCATGAATTCTTAGGTAGGACTCAAAAAGCACAAAGTATAAAAGAACAAAATCATAAATTAGACCTCATCAAAACAGAAATTTCTCCTCAAAAGACACTGCTAATAAAATGAAAAGACAAGCCACAGGCTACGAGACAATATTTCCAAATTGTGTACATTATAAATATCTCTCATCTAGAACATAGAAGAACTCTTACAACTCAGTCATAAGAAAAACAACGCCTATTTTTTAAATACACAAAATTTGAACTGACACTTCACCAAAGATGAAAACAGACAGCAAATAAGCAACTGGATGGCAAACTGAAAAGATGTTCAACAACATTAGAGAGTCAGGAAAGGCAAATTAAAACCACCATACACTTACTAAAGTGGCTAAAATTTAAAACTGACAATACCAAGTGTTGACAAAGATGTGGAGCAACTGGAACTCTCATACCTTGCTGTTGGGAACGTAACACGATGCAGCCATGTCAGGAAAGAGTTTGGCAGTTTCTTATACAGTTAAATGTACACTTAACATACAATCCAGTGATAATCCCACTTCTGGCATGTGCCCAGAAGAAAACATATGTGCACCCAAAGACCCGGATACAAATGTTTGCAGCAGCTTTATTCATAGCAGCCACAAGTGGAAACAACTCAAATGTCCATTAACTGGTATGTGGGAAAGCAAGCTGTGGCATATTCATACAACCCAGCCTTCGTGCAATGGTCACACAATATTCAACAGTAAAAAGGAACTATCTACAGATACACACAACAACATGGGTGAATCTCAAATGCATATGGCAAGTGATAGAGTCACAGGCAGAGAGCTGCACAATGCACACTTCCATTTCTATGACATGCTGGAAAACCACAGGAATAAAAACCAGGTCATTGGTTTCTAGGGGCTGGGGTGGGGGCAGGCGTTGACGGCCAAGGGGCAGCATTGAGGGACTTCTGGGAGACAGCGCTGTACTATGCCTGGACTACAGTGGTCGTTGCACGATTGTGTCTTTGTCAGAAGTCACCAAACTGTAAAAAGAGCCACTTTTGCTGTGTGCTAATTATGGCTCAATAACACTCCACCCAAAAAAAAAAAAAATCACTTCACTCTCCTCATCATTGAAAGTAATGACATTGAAGGAAGAGGAGCAACACTCTTTACGTGGCAGAAATGGTGCTGAACAACCAAGGAGCTGCATTCCCTGTGGTCAGGTACCCAGGGGGCCCTGGGTTCTCTCCATTTTACAGATGAGTAAACGGAGGTCTGGAGGTGCCAGGTCACCCAGTGCCACCCAGGGAGGCTGGAATGGAGTTGGGACTTCCACCCAGGCCTGACTGCAGCATCACCCCCCAAACCACTAAGGCTGTCCTGAGAGAGACCTTGGGGATCAGCAAGCCAGCCTCCTCCTCCCGTTTTCCGGAGGAAAGCATGAGGCTTCAGGGGGCCCGACCCATCCAGGCTCACGAAGAGAGGGACAGAATCAGAATCTGGAGGGAGCCAGGTCTCATTTGTCAGCAAACGCCTTCCTACGACAACCTTGGGAATAGAAAAGACCCCAAGACATGACAGGAACGAGATCCGAGGCCACGTGCAACACAGGTGCACCAGGGTAAGCCCCGCCCCTACCCTCAGGGAGCTTCCAGCCCCATCTGGCACAAGGTCACCTCCCAGACCCTGGGCAAGTGGCAGCCCAGACACACCCAGGAGTACAAACACCTCTCCACAGTCCCCTCCTGGGACACTGGGCCCCTGAGGATGATGGAAGCTGCGGGTTCCCCATGGGGGCTCTGGGGTTACAGCAGGGAGGGAGGGGGACCCATGACATGCCTTAGGCCTGTCCAGGAGGGATTCCAGCCCCAGGGAGAAGGCAAAGACAGGAACGCCGTTTCCAAGCCGGAGAAGCAGTGAGAGTCCACACCGCGTTTCCCGGTCTGCAGGGAAAGGCAACAGCTGGTGGGTGGGTCAGAAACCAGACCTTTCTGGGCTGGCTTCAGGACCTCTACACCCCACCTCGGTTCTGACCAACAGTTATGGGAGTCAGAAAATGCAAGTGCTCAGCTCTTTAGCCCAGGAATTCCCAGCCAGCAGGCAAAGCCCTCGGGAACACACGTGCAAGATGCCCCACCTAGAGGCAGGAATGTGGCTGAGGCATTTGCACCATTAGGCAGGTCTGAATACCTGAGGAGGAGAGCTGCTCCCTCAGCGCTTCCCACCCTAGCTTCCCATCATGGCTGGGCCACCTACCAGCTTCTCTGTGCCTCAGTTTCCTCATCTGGGAATTGTGGATTGCAATCCTATCTACACCCCAGTCTCTAATGGAGATAGTGTATGCAAAGTACATCTACGTAGGCCTGACACACAGCTAGTAGCCGTGTGGCAGCCAGCCCAGGGTTGTTCTTGGGAACATGGGACAGCCCACTGCCTGGAAATTTGGTGGCTCTAGGATTGGCCAGACATCTTCTGTGGAAAACCAGGCGGCCCATGCTAAGACACGGTGGCCCATCGAGATATCGCAGTCTGGGAACCTTTCCGGGCCACCCCTGGGCAGCTCGGACAGTGCCAGGGACCTTGGCCAGCTCATGCCTAGAGGCTCCCCTGCCAGGCTGCCTGCACCCTCCTCGAGCAAGGCCTGGCCTAGATGCACAGACACCCAGAGGGAAGGGGCTCCGGGACAGCAGAGGTTGGGGACAGCCTTCTGAGCCTCTGTTTAGGACCAGCACGATGCTAAGAGGACCTCCAGGACAAGAGCCGGCAGGGACCACAAGCCAACAGGCCTCTGACATCACCAGGCCTCCAAAGTCAGGAATAGATAAAATACATCGAAACACGGTCACAGGGGAACACAATGCTGGGGAGGACACCCTCTGAAGGAAGGAGGGCTCGGCTCTTTTGAAACATGGATGGAAAACTCCAGAAGACAGATATCCTTATTTATGAGGTGCCCCGATCCCTGAGCAGGCAGTAGAACCGGCCAGCCCTCGAGGCCCCCCACTGAGCTTCTGCAAGCTGCATTTCCTGGGCTTCTGCAAGCTGCATTTCCTGGGCTTCTGCAAGCTGCATTTCCTGGGCTTCTGCAAGCTGCATTTCCTGAGCTTCTGCAAGCTGCATTTCCTGGGCTTCTGCAAGCTGCATTTCCTGGGATCGGATAGCACTTCCTCCCCGACTCCCTGGGAGCATCCTCTACAGTGGGGAGCCTGAGTTAACAGAGGCGGCCGCTGAGGCTTATGGAAGTCATGTTCCCTCTCAAGGCCACACAGCCAGACATGGCAGAGCCAGGACTGGAACGTAAGATTCTGATTCCAGTGCTCCATCTCTTTCCCTGGCCCGCCTCCCTGCACATGCAGATTCCACCTACCTAGCAAACCCCCACACCCACTCTCATCACGCCATCAAGGCCCCCACCCAGGAATGGCAAGGTTCATCACCTTGAAGGAACACTTAGATTCCTTCTTCCATTTAAAAAAATTATTTTATTATTATTATTATTATTATTGAGACAGGGTCTTACTCTGTCATCCAGGCTGGAGTGCAGCAGCACAATCTCAGCTCACTGCGGCCTTGAACCTCCCAGGGTTCAAGCAATTCTCCCATCTCAGCCTCCCTAGTAGCCAGGACCACAGGCATACACCACCACACCTGGCTAATTTTTGTATTTTTTGTAGAGAGATGGTCTCACTATGCTGCCCAGGCTGGTCTCAAACTCCTGGCCACATGTGATCCACCTGCCTAGCCCTCCCAAAGTGCTGAGACTGCAGGTATAAGCCACTGCACCCTGCAAAGAATTCTATTGATCTAACTATGCCGGAGTAGAGACAGATCAATATTATACATTGTATTATTTCCTGGGCCCGCCATAACCAATTACCACAGGTGGCTCAGAATTGTGGGAATTATTCTCTCACAGCTCTGGAGGCAGAAATCCAAACTCAAGGTGTCGGCTGGGCTGGGTCCGCTGAAGGCTCTCAGGGAGGGTCCTTCCTTGCCCCTGCCAGCTTCTGCTGGTTCCTGGCGTTCCCTGGCTTATGGCCGCATCCCCCCAACCTCTGCTTCCATCGGCACATGGTCTTCCCGGCCTGTGTCTCTGGATCTCTTCTTCTTATGAGGATACCAGCCATGGGGTCAGGGCCCACCCTGCTCCAGAACTACCCCCTCTTCACTTGACTACATCTGCAAAGACCCTATCTCCAAAGAAGGTCATATTCTGAGGCTCCAAGTGGATGTGAATTTTGTGGGGATTTTTTTTTTAGTTAACACATAATAACGTACATATTCATAGGGCACATGTGATATTTCAATACATGTATATGATCCCATTTCAACAAGTAACGATCACAGCAGGTGACTGGTATGTCCATCGCCGCAAACATGTATCTCTTCTTTACGTTGGGAACATTCTGATTCTTCTCTTCTAGCTATTTTGAAATATATAATAAATTATTAACTGTAGTCCCCCTACTGTGCCATAGAACACTAGAGCTCATTCCTTCTGCCCAACTGTAATTTTGTACCCATTTACCAATCTCTCCCTATTCCCCTCTCCCCGTCACCCTTCCCATTCCCTGGTCCCCAGGCTCATCCACTTTTCCTCAAATGACAGAATTGCATTCTTTTTTATGGCCGTATAGTATTCCATTATGTATTTGCACTTCATTTTCTTTATGCATTCATCCATTGATGGGCACATAGGTTGATTCCATCTCTTAGCTATTGTGACTACCACTACAGTGAGAATGTGGGTGCAGATGTCTCTTTCACATGCTGATCTCCTAGTCTTTGTATACATACCCACTAGCAGAATTGCTGGGTCATATGGTAGTTCTGCTTTTAATTTTTGGAGGAATTTCCATACTGTTGTCCATAATGGCTGCACTATTCTAAATTCCCACTAAGAGTGTATAAGAGTTACTTTTCCCTGTATCCTCACCAGCATTTGTTGTTTGGTTGTTTTTGTCTTTTTGATAATTTTATTTCTATTTTAAGTGGGATGAGATATCTCACTGTGGTTTTGTTTTCTGTTTTTTGTTTTTGTTTTTGTTTTTGTGATGAAGTCTCGCTCTGTCACCCAGGCTGGAGTGCACTGCCACGATCTCCACTCACTGCAACCTCCACCTCCTGGGTTCAAGCAATCCTTCCACCTCAGCTGGAATTACAGGCATGCATGACAATGCCCAGCTATTTTGTGTATTTTTAGTAGAGACAGGTTTCACCATGTTGGCCAGGCTGGTCTCAAACTCCTGACCTCAAGTGATCCACTCGCCTCGGCCTCCCAAAGTACTGGGATTACAGGTGTAAGCCACCACGCCCAGCCCTCATTGTGGTTTTAATTTACATTTCTCTGATGATCAGTGATGTTGAGCATTTTTTTCATATACTTGTTGGCCCTTTGTATGTCTTCTTTTGAGAAATGTCTATTTAGAATACTTGCCCATTTTTAAATCTTATTTGGATTTTTTGCTGTTGAGTTGTTCAAGTTCTTTATATGCTTTTGTTGCCAGGGCTTTTGAAATCTCAGCCATAAAATCTTTGCCCAGACCAATAGCCTGAAGTGTTTCCCCTATGCTTTCTTCTAGTAGTTTCATAATAAGTCTTTAATCCATTTTGAGCTTTTTGTGTGTATCGTGTAAGGTATGGGTCCAACTTCATTCTTTTGCATGTGAATATCCAGTTTTTCCAGCACCATTTATTAGAAACTGTCCTTTCCCCAACACATGTTCTTGGTGCCTTTGTTGAAAATCAAGTGGCTATTAATGCATGGATTTGCATCTGGACCCTCTATTGTGGTCCATGTGTCTATGTGTCTGTTTTTAGCCAGTACCATGCTGTTTTGGTTACTATAGCTTTGTAGTATATTTTGAAGTCAGGTAGTGTGATGCCTCCAGTTTTGTTCTTTTAGCACCAGATTGCTTTGGCTATTGGGGTGTTTTGTGGTTCCATATGACTTTCAGGATTGTTTTTTTTCTATTTCTGTGAAGAATGTCATTGCTATTTTGATAGGGATTGCACTGAATCTGTAGATCACTTTAGGTCATATGTGGGGACATTATTAACCATCATTTCTTCAACCTAAAAGTTCATTTCTTTCTTTTGATTTTAAAAGACATTAAAACATCACTGTGGGTCCCTGCAAGTATCATGGGCCCAGGCGCAGTGTGTCCTGGAGGTGCCACCCCATCTCCATCCACCCCAGCACCTGGCACATTCTCCCGGCACACAGTAGGTGCGCACCAGGCTGCCTTCCTGCAGGGGTCCCAGCAGCTAGAGAGAGGTCAGCTCGCCTGTGCTTTCTGCTCCCCCTCCCCAGTTATCACCTGTGCCTCCTCCTGGGTGCTGGGTGGATAATGTTCTTTGCTGTAATCTGCTCCTTCCGAGGGTGCCTTCCCACTGGCCGCCCTGCACAAACAGCCCCACTCTGGCTGCCACCCGCCCGGCTCCAGACTCCTGATATGAATGCAAAGGTTAGATATTCTTGACACCGCTTTAATTTTTCAAATAGCAAGCCAGTTACCAAGCACGTTGGCACCTGGGCTCGGTTCCCCCACGACTTGGCAGGGCCCACGCAAGCTGCTGGCAGTGATGGATGCATGCCCCTCGGCACACCCCCCCCCCACCCACCCACCCGGCCGCAGCCACGCCAGCCCCAGGACCTCACGCAGCCAGTCCCCGGCAGCTGTAAGGCCCGAGTGCCAAGACACAGAGTGGGCTTTTCCAAGCGCCGGGATCCGGCTGGGCGGGCTTCCCAGCACGGCCTCTGGGAAATGTGTGCAAGGCCTCCGTCAATCTGTAGGGACTAAGCTGCTAGGAGGGCCTGGGGCTGAGCGATTTCATGTTTTTTCCCACCCACCTGGCCTCACCCTCCCTCAGCCTCCTCGCCAAAACAAAATCACTTTAAAAATAAAAAGTAACAGGCAATGCAGAGGCTCTCAGAGCTGGATGGAACTTAGCCATCAGAGGGTCCCATTCACTCATGGTACAGTTGGAGACACTGAAGCTGCAACCAGGAGGCTGAACAGCCAAGACTAGAGCCAGGGTTTTGGCTATCAGAGGGGACAGTCGCTCAGCAGTTCTCAGGAGCATGCGAGCCAGGCAGCCGGTCCGATTCCTAGCTCTGCCACTCGTGAGCTCTGCAACTCCGGGCAAATCTCTTCACCTCTCTGTGCCTCAGTCTCCCCATCCACAGAGTACAACCCACACAGGACCTGCCTCTCAGGCTATTGTCAGGACGACGGTGTCATCAGCATATGGGGAGAGGTGGGCCTCAAGCAAGGCTGGACAGTCGCCGCATGGGGTACAGAACCCTGGAATGGTAGGGTCCCTGAGGAAGGTCAGAGTCAGACCCCTGCGGCAGGTGAGACACAAAGGCCATTCCGGACCGCACTCCACAGTGAGGCCAGCACCCGCATCCATGCACCAGGCCACCAAGAAGGGCCGTCTGTCCGCCAGGCACCGTCTGGTGCTGCTAGGTCTCTGGGAAGGACTCCAGCTCCTGACTTATGGGCACTGGCAAGTACTAGGTAGACAGACTGGAGCTCGAGGGGACATCAGAGCCCTCTGGACAGGCCCAGAGAGGGGCTGCATGTGGCCCAAAGCACCCAGCCCAAGGACTCAGACCCCACCAGGTTGTGTGCCCTCCTCAACCTCATAGCAGATAGGGCTCTGAGGCAAAGCCCCTCCCCTGCCTGCCTCCCTTTTGAGAAGCCTGAAGCCCCATCTGATCAGCCCTCGAATGTCCACTAAATGCCTCTAAACAGGAGGTGGGGTTCAGCCTCTCACAGACAAGTGTGCCTGAGAGCCTCAGGTGAGCCAGGGGCCACTCAGCAGAGGCACAGGCTGGAGGGACAGGGCCCTGGACAGGTGCAGTTTGATGAGGGTAGAAGGACACAGATGACGCCTGGGCCAGCGTCACCCACACACCAGCCCCTGGCCACACAGCTGCTGATCACTCTGTACATGGCTGGTGAGACTCATAAACTGTGGGGGTTTTTTTTAAATATATTTAATTTTAATTATTTTACATTTAAAAACTGAAGCAATAATTGGATTATTTGTAACTCAGAGGATAAATGTTTGTGGGATGGATACCCCATTCCCCAGGACGTGCTGATTTCACACTGCATGCCTGTATCCAAACATCTCATGGACCCCACAGGTACATACACCTACTACAGACCTGCAGAAAAATTCATTAAATTTAATTTTTAAAAACTGAAGCCATGTGGGCCAGGCGCAGTGGCCCACGCCTGTGATCCCAACACTTTGGGAGGCCAAGGCAGGCAGATCACTAGGTCAGGAGTTCGAGACCAGCCTGACCAACATAGTGAAACCCTGTCTCTACTAAAAACACAAAAATTAGCTGGGCGTGGTGGTGTGCACCTGTAATCCCAGCTACTCAGGAGGCTGAGGCAGGAGAATCGCTTGAACCCGGGAGGTGGAGGTTGTAGTGAGCCAAGATTGTGCCACTGCACTCCAGCCTAAGCGACAGAGTGATACTCCTTCTCAAAAAAAAAAAATTAAAAATACTGAAGCCATGTGAAATAGCCTCTTGTTCAACACAACTTTATTGTCTAGGTAGGACATTCAACATGTAGTGTCTGAAGTAAGAGGTGCTCTCAATGTAAGTACCAGGTTTTTAAGACTAGTACATACAAAAGAATGCAAAATATCCCAATAATTTTGATTATGTGCTGTTTCAATATTTTGGATGGATTGGGTTAAATAAAATGTGATTAAAATTCATTTCACCAGTTTCTTTTTACCTTTTTAATGTGGCTACTCAAAAATTGTAAATTATCTCTGTGGTTCGCATGACAAATGCTGCCCAACTTACGATGGGGTTACGTTCCAGCAAACCCATCCACTGAATCAAACGCATTGAATCCACCTGAACATCATAGCGCAGCCTGGCCCACCCTATGTGTGCCCAGATCACTGCCATTAGCCTACAATTGGGCAAAATCATCTAACACAAAGCCTGCTTTATAATAAGATGTTTACTATTTCATGGAATTTACTGATGTTCTACTGAACGCATATGGCTTTCACACCATTGTGAAGTCAAGAGATCCTTAAGCTGCATCCTAAGTTGGGAGCCATCTGTCTACAGCTGACCCTTAAACAACACGGGTTTCAACCTATAGGCAGGTTTTCTTCCACCTCTACCACCCCTGAGGCACAAAGACCAACCTCTCCTCCCACTCCTCCTCCTCCTTCCTACCCCTCCTCCTCTGACTTAGCCTCTTTGATGTAAGATGACAAGGATGGAAACCTTTATGATGATCCACTTCCACTTACTGAATAGTAAATATATTTCTCTTCTTTATGATTTTCTTAATAACATGTTCTTACTTTATTGTAAGAACACAGCATGTAATACATGTAACATACAAAATATCTGTCCATCAACTGTTGATGTTATCAGTGAGGCTTCTGGTCAACAGTCGACTATTCGTAGTTCAGTTTTGGAGGAGTCGAAAGTTACATGCAGGTTTTCACTGCATGGGGGAGGGGGTCGCAACCCTAACACGTGCATTGTTCAAGGGGAAACTGCGTGTCTGTTGGGCCCCAGTGTTTTGGGGCCTTTGCTGATTTGCTCCTTTTGAACTCGCCAGTAAAGGTGGTAATAAACGTAGCAGAACCCTCGCCGGCCCTCCCGAGCACCAGTCTGGGAGCTAAGCTTACATTCTCCAGCTGCCCTCAATGCCCCCGCATTCCGACAAGATAGGATCCATTGATCCCTATCCGGGCCCAGAGAGATGGAGTAACTTGCCCAGGTCACACAGCAAGGCCTTGGGGGACCTCATATCTACAGGCCTGAGGTGGAGGCCCTGGGAGGGCGCCTGGTCTCCTCTCCTCCCTCCAGCTCCTCAGCCACATTCTGCCCTGGATTTTCTCGGGGATTGGGGGCCTTTCTCAGTTCCTAAAACCAACAGTGAATCCAACCCCAGGAGCGCCTCCTCTGGCCGCTGTCTACTGGAACCAGGGGAGGAGAGAAGTGAGACCAGAGACTGCAGACCTTGAAGGCTAGAACAGGGAAGGGGGAAGTGGGCCAGCGGGGAGGGTCGTGGCGGGGGCACCCAGGGGTACAAAGGTACTTAGCCCCTGCAAGGGCCAGGAGGGAGGGCAGGGGGAAGTAGGAGGACCCCACCCGTCGCCCACTCAGCAAAGGACTCTTGGGCACCTGGCGCGCACTCACCACCATGCTCAGTGTTGGGTGCAGTGGTGGGTGGGGCCTCAACCTCACAGAGCTGGCATTCGGCGGCAGGGACAGGTGCTGACCACCCTAATGGTCAAGCGGAATGCTTGCAGGGTGCAAGGTCACAAAGTTCTGGGTTCAAACTCTAGCTGGGCCCCACTATGTGACCCTGGGCTACCGTGGGCTGCAGCCCGCTGGCGTGAGGAGAGACCTCAAAGGTGCAGGGAACTCTGGGGCTTCCCCCACCACGGGTAGAGGAGATTCAGAGGTCTCCGCAGAGCGCACAGAAAAGCCAGCTCTGCCCCAGCCCCCTCCCCGCCCTCACACCCAGCCTGAGCACTTCCTTCACTCCCTGGATCAAGGCTGCATGCAAGATGTCACCGGCTCACTGGCTCTGCAACCTACGTCTCTGCAAACCACTGATGCCGCCCACTCCCGCCTCTCACAGGGAGCTGACTCGATTTGCCCGAGGTCCCTGAGCTGGCAGGAACAGATCAGAGTGTTCTGGCTCCCCTCCCCCCGCCCCCCCGCCATGGGTCTAGCAGATTAAAAGAAAACTTCCCCAGGAAGGCTGCAGAGACACACCCAGCCCTGTTTCTGAGATCACAGGCGAGGAGCCCAGAGGCAGGGACAGAATGACAAATGCTTCTTAGGGGACCCAAATGCCTCCCGTTCTGGGTACAGAGTGCTGCCCTATTATCCACCAATGCAGAGAGCACTGCTGCAGGGCGAGGGCTCCGGAATGTTTGCAGGACGCATAGCAGAGCTGTGAGTCAGCCGAGGCAGGGAGGAGGCCGCACAGCAGGGCGGGCAGGTGGGGAGCCGGGCGTGAGGTCAAACCCTCCATGCAGAACTAGGGTAAACAATGGCCCAGGACCAGCCCTTGGGCGGCATTCTCCATGGCCCAGCCCAGGTAACATCGGAACTGTGCCCAAGAGGAGGAAAGGCACTCGCCAGGAGGGAAGCCATTTGCCCTGGGTCCTGCCGGGATTTGGGGCCAAGATTCTGGACTCCCAGCACAGTGCTCTCTCTTGGCCAAGCGCTGCCTGGGCATGGCTGTCCCTGGATATAAATGAAACCTTGTAGATTTGAAGAGTATTCTAGCCGCCCCGGAAGGCTGGCTGCTCAGAGGTGCTGTCTCACGATGGGATCATATACGCAGACATGGGGCCCTACCTCAAACTGGCCGTGCGACCTGGGGCAAGCCACTTATGGGTCTGAGTCCCAGATGCCCCACCTGGAAAAGGGACAGGAATTCCTACCACCCCAGGCACATGTACAGTTCCAATGAGATAAGAACCGAAGCACCCGCTGTGTGCCAGGCACTGGGTAGGGGCTTTTCACGTGGTATCTGTTGTCTGTGCTGTACCCTCTCCACGTTAGGGAGGCAGAAACTGGCATGTGGAGAGGCCAGCTTGCCGTCGGCCACACTCTGAGGATGTGGCAAGGCCAGAATCTGCAGGTTCATGCCCTCTGCAGTGCAGTGCCTCCAGCAGGCTCCCAGAGGGCATGGGACCCTCCGCCCCAACCCGCCTGTGAGCCCCTCAGAGCCTGGGAAGACACGTGCGGGTGCAGCTGCAGGGAGGGCAGGGCTGATCCAAAGGCTCCTTGGGGTGGGGAAGGATGGCTGAGCCGGGATCCACTTTCCACATGGGTCCTGAGCACACTGCTCTTCACTCCAAGTTCTCGGCCACTTGGGATCACGCTCTTCTTTAATTCTCCAAGCAATGCCTCCCACTGCCCTCGGAGCAGTACACTCCACCAGGGGCCTCCCCAGAGTCCCTGGGGATCGGGCTGAGACAGATGGGCAGGGGCTTGACTCCCTCCGAGCTGCCCTCCGCCAGCTGCCTCCACTCCTGTTCTCAGGCCCACCTTGCCCCCTGCCCCTCACTGGGCACCCCAGGGTCATGGTGGGGGCAGGCGGTCCCAAAGGCCTAGGCTCTGGATGACTTGCATTGAATAACGTTCCACTGCTCCCAGGACCCCCGTGCAGGGTAGCACTGTCTCCCTCTCTCCAGCACCTCTGCCTGGCTCCCACGGCCCTCCCCCCCGACCAAAACCACCAATTCCGAGCCTCAATGATACAGAGTGGTCCAGCCAACCTTTCACCAGCTACCCAAAAATCCCAGGGGAGGTAGTCAGCTGGGCTTGATGACAGCCACCCCAGCCCTGGGGGAGCCACTCCCAGGCAGGACACCTCCTGCCTCTCAGGTCATACCCCTTCCTAGATGCCCACATCTGTATGATGGGGATGAGAAAATCTTCTCTTTATGGAAGAAAATCTACAGAGAGCCCTGAGCAGGAGCCTGGCATGGATATAACACGCACCCAACAGCTGCTGCCACTTCCTTCCCTGGGAGGGCCTTCTGCAGCTCGGCGCCCTCAGCCTGTGCGTGGCTTTGCCCCCTGCACATTTGGTAAGTGAAGCTCAAGGCTGAGACCAAAGGCACACAGGGGCGTGTGCATGCTTGAGTCTTATGGGTACGTGCTGTGTGCCTGTGTGCATGCATGCCCAGGCAGGTACGTGTGTGTGGGTGTGCAGAAACATGTACGTGTGTGCATGCATGCCCAGGCAGGTACGTGTGTGTGGGTGTGCAGAAACATGTATCTGTGTGTGTTGTGTGCAGAAGCATGTACATGTGTGTTGGTGTGCAGAAGCATGTATGTGTGTGTGCATGTTTGTATAGATGTGTTGTGCCTGTGTGTGCATGTGGGCAAGTATATGTGTGGCTCACATAAGAAAGTTCCTTAAATTATAACACCTTGGAGTATGTCACACTTATTGCTGCCATGATTATAGCAGTGGTCACTTTTGGGTGCCTGGTGAGTGCCCAGCTAAGCACTTGCCCGGTGAGGGTCCCAGCCAGGATTGAATTCCAGCCTTCGTGACTGCAGACGGGCACCCCCCACCTGCACCTGGCATGTCAGGGACCTAGCACACAGGAGCGTGTGACCACCTGACCCAAGAGCTCTGCAGCAAAGGGCCCAAGCCCATTTGCTGGATCCTGAGCCGCTATTGCGGCTGGACTCTCACACGTGACCTGTGCACCCGACCTGTTTGCCACATGGCACCAGGCCCTTTCTGACCGCACCCCCCTCTCGTCCCAGCCAGCAGGCATCAGCAGGACCCTGGGAAAGCAACAGTGATGTAGTCAGGGCCACCTCCTCATCTCCTGCTCCATGCTAAAGAGAGAGCCAGACCAAGACTGGAGGTCTCTAGGAGGGACAAATAGAGCCACCAAGTCCTCGCAGAGGAGCAGCCCCTGCATGCTGCTGTGAGCGTGGGGTACCCCACCTCCTCACACCAGCCCCACCAGCAGGAGGTCGACGGCCACGTTCTACAGGTGAGGAAACTGAAGCGCAATGTGGACCCTGCCTGAGGTTACCCAGCTAACATGCTGCAGCCGCGGTGCGAAGCCAGCCGTGGCTTCCATTCAGACATGCTACTCCAAGGAGACCCCCAGACCTCCCCAGCAAGGCTGCCCTCTCTCCCCACCCTGCTTCCCCAGGGGGCTGAGTCTCTGATCCCATGAGAATGCAAGCCACAAGGATAGGACTTGGTCTGTTCTGTCCCCTGCGGTGCCCCAGCACTGTGAGGTGTGCTTGGCTCATGGAAGGTGTTCAGAAAGTGCTGAATGAATGGATGAGTGTGTGAGTGAATGAATGAATGGGCTGCTTCAGTCTCGGCTCAGAGTCAGGGTCCTGAGGTCATTTGCGGGTTGGAATCTTCATTCCACATTGGGTCGCACAGCCTTATGCAAAAGTCACTTTACCCCTTGGCTACTCCACCCGTAAAATAGTGACAGAGCTACTACAGGGGCTGGTGGTGGGATTACAGGGGTGAGGCCAGTGCTGGGCACAGTGGTACTGGCTGCCACTCTCCCCATCTGGATCTCAGGCCTTCAAAGCCAGTTTGTCCCTAGTGCCCTAACTCCAGAGGTTCCTCCAGAGTATCTCTCCCAAGAAACCCATGGTTGGTATCCAGGCCCCTGAGAAGCACCTGAGCTGCCCTCCTCATGTGTGTTAAGTCCATCCACTTAACTTTGGGGAGAGGCCACCCAAATCCTCACGTTCTGAGAGACAAGAGTCTTTGCCAAATGTATCAGTCAGGATGAAATTTGACCCCACGTAAATTTCCTATCATGTAAAAGAAGTCCAGGGATAGGCAGTCTAAGGCACCAAGAAGTCAACAGGAACCAAGCTTCCTTCCAACTAATTCACCACTCCCAGGGTGTGGCTCTCAACCTCATAGTCTAAGATGGCTGCAAGAGCTCCAGCCATCACATCCACATTCCAAGCAGCAAGGAATGTGGAAGGGAGAAAGGAGGTGTGCCTAATTCCCTGGAAGGAGACTTCCTAGAAGACCCACGCTGCTCACATCTCATTGGCCAGAACTGAGTCACACACTCAGTGGTAGAGCATGACAGTAATGACCCCTAATTTATTCACACTCCCTCATATGACTGTTTGACAATGTCACTCCTCCCACCAGGAGATGAAGTTTATTTCTCCACCCCTGAATCTGGACTTGGCCTGTGACTTGCTTTGTCCAAAGGGACGAAGCAAACAGGATGCAAGCAGAGGCTGGAAAAGCTTTTGTGCATGCAGGCTGCTATGTCGGTACCGGGACCTCCCGCCAGCACATGAGCAAGGCCGGGCTGATCTCCTGAGGATGAATGAGCACATAGGGAGAGCATCGCTGTCCCAGCAGAGGCCCCCAACATGGGAGAGAGGCCATCCCCAACCATCCAGCCACAGCCAGGCCAGCCCGGATCAGAAATCTTGCTTAGCCAACTCACAGAACCTGGAGAAATAATGAACCCTCGCTGTTTTAAGCCACAATGTTTTGAGGTGGTTTGTTACACTGCAAAAGCTAGCTGATACACTTCTCCAGCAACAGGGAGGCTAGGCAATGCAGCCTACTCAATGGACCACAAAGCTCCTACACTGGATTTTTGAGTCTAAAGGGAAAGGAAGTAGGCCCAGTGGCTCACGCCTGTAATCCCAGCTACTGAAGAGTCTGAGTTCAGAGGATCACTTGAGGCCAGGAGTTTGAGACCAACCTGGGCCACACAGCAAGACCTTGTCTCCAGCAAAAACAAAAAAATTGTTTTAATTAGCCAGATGTGGTGGCTCATGCCTGTAGTCCCACCTACTCAGGCAGCTGAGGCAGGAGGCTCACTTGAGCCCAGGAGTTTGAGGTTTGCCAGGCTGGAGTGCAGTGACAAAATCATTGCTTAAGCTATGATGCTGCCACTGCACTCCAGCCTGAGTGACAGAGCAAGACCCATCCCCAAAAAAATAAGTAATTAGGCCAGATGCAGTGACTTATGTCTGTAGTCCCAGGGCTTTGGTAGGCCAAGGCGGGCAGATCACTTGAGCCCAGGAGTTTGATACCAGCCTGGGCTACATGGTGAAACCCAATCTCTACAAAAAATACAAAAATCAGCCAGAGGTGGTGGCATGTGCCTATAGTACTAGTACAGTCTAGGCACTGGACTATACTATAGCAGTAGTCCCAGCTACTTGGGAGGCTGAGGTAGGAGGATCACTTGGGCCTCGGAGGTCGAGGCTGCAGTGAGCCATGATTGCACCACTGCATTCCAACCTGGGTAACAACGCCAGACCCTGTCTCATAAATAAATAAATAAATAAATAAATAAATAAATAAATAAATGGAAGGAGAAAGTGAACATAGGACCCAAGCTCAGTAGCCCCCACCACACCCAATTCCTGCTCTGGCCTTGCCCCCAAGAGTGCAGAAGAGAGGCATGGTAGTCCTCCCCTTGCTCCGAATTTCTGTTCCTGTATCACCGTGATGCCAGGCCATTTCAGGAAGGGGCTCTGAGCCAGCCATGCTGAGGTCTCACCACCATCTCTCTGTGGGTGACCAGTCACACAGGATCTCTTCCTCAGATGGTCTTCCCTGTGGTCTCCCCACAAAGCATCCTCCATCCTAGACTCACTGCTGCCCCAGCTCCTGCACTCAGCTGTCCCCAGAAGCCTGAGCCAGGCACCCTTCGTGCCCCACACACCCACCACCTATGTCCAGCCGCTCGGGCAGCCCGGGGCAGCCATGCCTGTGACGTTCAATACCCAACTCCTGGAGTCATGTAACGCCCAGAGGGACAGAGACAGAGGCCCTTCTCGCTCCCCTTCCCCAGCGCCTCGCTCAGGGCTGAGCACAGGATGGATGCAAAGAACAGGGAAACTCCACGGAAGGAGTTCCTGAAGTTTCTAAGGACACTTTCCGTACAGTTCAGGAGGGGACGCTGCACTGTCCCTGATGCTCACCACGGTCTGTCCCTCCTGTCCTAACCACGCTCCCCGTACAGCTCAGGAAGATAACACTGCACTACCCTGATGCTCACCACGTCTCTCCCTTCTGTATTCTTCAGGCTCCAAAACGCTTTCACATTCTCTCTCTCAGCCTTCAAAGTAACACTACCTAGGGCTATACCAGGCGACATTATTCAGCTTTACAGAGGAAAAAACTCTGATCCCCAGGATAAACGATAAATGGCTGCTCATCCCAAAAGACGTGGCCATATTTGATTATTCTGAGTCATCCCAACCTGACACAAGGTACCCTTGGGGACAGGGGGGCAGACAGAACACCCTGGGAAGCCCCCAGGTGGCTTCCATGTGACGAGAATTGGTAAACTGAGGGCTGTGTTGGGGTTTGCCCCGTGGGCCGGGTGCCCTGGGCAGCCCAGGCCTGGCAATAACTCACCCTGAGCTACCTCAGTTTACCTGGCTGTGAAATGGACTGGGAAGACCAGGTCAGGGGTCCCAGGCAGGGTCGGGGGTCAGGGGTGGGGTTCGCTGTGGCAGACAGGTGAGGGCCTGCCCCACCTAAAGCTTCTGCTACTCAGCAACCTCCAGTCACTGCTGGAGGGGGCCGGCCAAGCAACACCAGGTCCTCTGGAAATTGAGATGAATTCATGAAACCTCCTGTAGCGGCCTGCATGGTGGCTTCGAAAGACGTGTCCACGTCCTAACCAAATGTGGCCCTATTTGGAAACAGGCATCTGCAGATGCAATTAAGGACCTTGAGGTGAGATCATCCTGGAGAACCCAAAATCCAATGACCAGCCTCCTCCTGAAGGCTCAGAGGAGAGACACAGGGAGAAGAGATGGGGGCCACATGAAAACAAGGCGGAGACTGGAGCGGGGCAGCCACAAGCCACAGGGCACCTGGAGGCACCAGGGCAGACAGAGGCCGGGGTCCCTCCCTGGAGCAGTCGGAGGGAGCGCAGCCCTGCCTACATCTAGATATCGGGCTTCGGCCCCAGCACTGGGAGAGAAGGCATTTCTGTGGTTTCCAGCCCCCACCAGTTTGTGATCTTTTGTTACGGCAGCCGCAAGAAATCTCCCAGCTGACACGGCCGGCTCGTTTCTTTCACTAGTACTGAAGGCGCCAGAACATATGTCACGGCCACCCTTGTCCTGGGGGTCCCGGCCAGCAAGGCCTGGACTCCAGATCACAGCCCTGCACTGGAAGTCAACGAGGAAACAGCCCCCAACATGTGACGTCGAGGAGGCGAAGCCCACCTCCCAGGCCGCAGGCTGCTCTCTGGAGAGTGGACGGTGACACGCCTCCTTCAAGGACCCTGGCTATGACGGCCTTTGTAAACTGCAAAGTGCCTTCCAGGTTACACGGTGGGGTTATGAATGGGACTGAGTTCCTATCTCCCGAGAGTGAGAGTGCGAGTTCCTGACCCATGCCCCACCCCAGGAACGGCCAGGGCACAGAGGCCAGTGCCGGGAGCCGGACGCTGAAGGTCCCGCAGTGGCCTGCAGCACCCCTGGGGCTGCACCCGCCTGCTGGGAGAGGAGCGGCCCCGCCCTCCCCCAGGGGAGGCGGCCGTCACATGGCAGAGGTGCCAAGCTGGTGAAAGGCCGCCCTCCCTGTCCTGGCACCGCCGTCCACTGCAAATGCCTGGCCAGAGTCGGTGCCAGCAGCCTTCAGGGGCTGTCATGTGCCCAGGCTGCTGGCAGCTGCTGGTCAAGGGGCCTTGCCCTCCCTCTCTCTGGACACACCTTTGATTCGGAGGAATGTGTGTGTGTGCTTTTTATTCCTTGAAGGGGAAAAAGCTCTCTCTCGGCAGAATTCTTCCCGGGACCCCGGCTGCTGACCGCTGGTGAGGGGTCCTGGGAAGGTCAGGCCTCCGAAGGGACCTCCGCCCCTGCCTTCCCACCACCCTCCCTGACACCGCGAACACACTCCGTGCCTTCTGTTGCTTGGGAAGGATTAGAGGGTCGTGGCTTTAAATCCCACCTCTGAGATTATAAATCCTGGAATCCAACCCTGCCTCCGAGCTGGTGACCCTGGGCAAGTCCCTCCATCCCCCTGACCCACAGCTTGTTCATCCACATCATAGGGATATTCCAGAGGGCTCGACAGAGGACTAAGCACAGTGAAACCGTGCTCCTTCTCAGCTCCACAAGGGCACTCTGAGAGTTTTCACCTTCCGGGGGTTATTAATGATGACGCCAGGGCGACAGGTGTCGCCCGGGACTTTGGGGCAGACTGGGATGTTTGGCAGGCTCTGATTAAATAAGATAACGTACATCAATAAGATAACATCCTTGGCTCAGGCCTCCTAGCAAGTGCTCCGCAAACACTAGTGATCGCCACTCCCAACTTCTCCCAATCCAGGCTACGTGCCCGTGGTCCTGTCACCAGCTGCTCCAAGCTTCAGTCTCTGTAGGACAGAGCTGATCACTTGGAGCTGAGCCTTCCTAGGCCACGCTGGTCGCAGAGCAACTGCCCTGCAAGGGAGTTTCATTTATTCATAATAAATCCTATGTTAAGGCTGAGAGTGAGAAAAGCCTTTTTGTTTCTGGCATTTTCTCTCCTAAGCAAAGCCTGGTGCAGACAGAAGGAAATCATGATCCGTCCATCTCAGCACCAGGAGTTCTCGGTGGAGGGCCCATTGCCAGGTAGAGGGACTTCTGGAAGAGCAGCCATAGGTTCCCAAGGAGCTGGAGGTCATGCGCCAAAGGTGCAGGTTTTGCTGGGTTCACAAAGGGGCCGAGGGGCAGGGGCCCAGTGACCACCTGGCCTCAGGCCCCAGAAGGACCCCTGTAGGCAGCTCGGCATCACCAAGGGCAGCTCCCAAGAGATCATCAGGAGCCTAGAGGCCACCCCCATGTGAACAATGGGGCCCTGGATCCCTACGAAAGAGGGTGGCAGAGCTGGACATGAAGCCGGCACCTGGCACAGGTCCTTCTCTTTCCTGGGTGAGGCCTGGGGCTCTCCCATTCTGGAAGGCATGAGCATAAAAGCACCTCCCTGTGGCACCCCCAGCCCCTACGCCCGGGGGCCAGCTTGCCTTTTTGCTCCACACACCAGGGTCATCCTCACGCAGTCAGGGAAAACATCCCTACCCCTCGGTCCCCACAATATTCCAAACCCATCACTGAGCACTTCCGAGCGAGAGCTGGGCCACAGCCTCCCTGACCTTCCAGAAGGGCTGTCGCACAGCCTGTTTGCTAACATGAAAAAACCGGGCTCAGAAAGGTTAGGTAACTTGTTCAGATCACACAGCTGCGAGGGCTGGGCTCGAGCCCAGGTCCATCTGGCTCCACCGCCTATGTTCTGGGCTGAGCTATAAAACTGCACACCCCTCACCCACCTCCCCACATACTGGTCCGTCTATCCCTCGGCCACAGTGCTCAGAGCTGCCTCTGGCCCCAGAATGCATGGAGGTGGAAGGAGACCCAGGAGGAAATGAGACTCATGGAAAGGGAATAACGTGATGAATGCAGCACTAGAGCCCAGAGACAGGGACAGGGGAGGCCTCCTGAAGAGGGGCGTCGGGGTGGGGCAGGTTGGCCAGGTGGGGACGAGGGGACAGCAGAGGGAACAGCAGTGGACACGCACAGAGAGAGACAGCAGAGGGAACAGCAGTGGACACGCACAGAGAGAGACAGCGGTGCCATGTCCAGGCAGCTGCAGGACGTTCTCGAGGCTGCCCTGAGTGAAGGTGTGGGGAAAGGAGGGGCCGGGCTTCGCTGGGCATTCTAGGCTCAAACCAGGGGTTGGGGCTTTTCTCTTAGATTGAATCCTGAAGAGCCATAGACAGTTCTAAGCCCAGGGTGAGTGACAACACTGACCATTTGGAAGTGCCCACCAGAGGCCACGTGTCCCAGAATGAGAGGAGTTAGAACAGGGAGTTGCCGGGAGGGGAGATGGCACTGAGCTGAGGGCGGGGAGGGAGAACAGGCGGCCTAAGGAGGTCTGAGACGGGACTGGGCGGCAACATGAACCAGCTGGGGGTGAGACCGGGAGCCCACACACTGAAGGCACATTGGTTTTTAATGCCTTGCAATTGCCTTTGATTCTGCAAGAGAACGACATTTCTGGAAGCTCTGCTAGAAAATCTGATTAGTGCAAAACGAGAATCTATTCATGAGTGTGGCTGCTCCCCAACTCCCACCCCATCGACCTGCCCAACCCTCCTGTCCAAGAAGCCGCCTGAGGATTCCCAACCCGACCAAAAGCTGCACTTTGGCACGAACCTTTTGTAGGTAGAGAACGTCAAAAATGCAAGTCTTACAACGAGGACAGGACAGTGTCCTGGCCAGGCCTGGAGGCCGAAAGGTGGAGAAGAGGACACCCAGACCCCATGGTTGTCCAGGACGTAGAGAGAGCCCCTGTTTTATTGCTGTTTTTGCTGGGGGGGTGGGGAGGAGTCTCGCTCTGTTGCCCAGGCTGGAGTGCAGTGCCGCGATCTCGGCTCACTGCAACCTCCGCCTCCCGAGTTCAAGCGATTCTTCTGCCTCAGCCTCCTGAGTAGCTGGGACTATAGGCGCCCATAACACCTGGCTAATTTTTTGTATTTTTAGTAGAGATAGGGTTTCACCATATTAGCCAGGATGGTCTCGATCTCCGGACCTCGTGATCCGCCCAACTCAGCCTTCCAAAGTGCTGGGATTACAGGCATGAGCCACCGCGCTCAGCCTGATTGCTATTTTATTCTGGGGGAAACACACCAAAGTAGGAATGTCAGAATCAAATCATTGGTGCCTTTTTAGGGCAGACGCCCACAGTCTTGTGAAGACACCATGGTGAAGGGTTCACAAGGGGATTGAACTCCCAGAAAGGATAATGAAGTGTTCACACCAGAGCCTGAGGGAGCCAGGGAGGCCTCCACATGGGCCCCAGCCCTGGCATCAGGAGAATTCGCCCCACCCGCTGGGGAAGGCGGCGGCCCACCCAGCCATGGCCCAATGGCCAGGCGGAATCAGCACGCTGGGCTGAGCTATCTGGGGCCAGAATTCGGAATGCCACACGTAGCAAACAGTTAATGATCAACTGGTCACCCCTATCCAAAAGACCTAAAACTAATAGGGCTATAAAATGTGTAAAATATCTGCCCCCGACCAGACCAGACAAGACAGCTTAGGGCAGTGAACATTTCTCTGTGTTCCCTTTCAATAACCTTGTGCTGGGAGGCAGGCCATGGGGCCACTCCTGTGGGAAAATTTTCCCGAAGCAAGCCATTTGGTCAGAAAGGCTTCCCATGCTCTCCTCAGCACCCCGTCCCTGGCCACGACCCCTCTCCCCTTGCAGCCAGAGCTGAAGGGACACAGATTCTTTCCCAAGTTGCACATTTTGGGAAGAAGGCTGGAGTGTTTTAAATGAACCATGTAAATGCCCCTTGAAGGGGAAAGGAGGGCGCCAGGGGAGTGGGAGTGGACCTCCCATCCATGCACAGGCCTTCGCTCTCCTGTCCTGACACAGAGAGTGACTTCTGCTAGAGCTGCTGACTTCTGCCAATTTATATGCTAATTCCAGAAATGATTCTTCCTACATTAAATAAAAGCTGAGGAATGTTCCAAAGGTCTGAACAGACTGTACCATTAACAGACAGAGGAGAGCTGCGCAGGCCCTGCCCACAGGAGTTTTGAGCGTGTGAACTTGTGTGCAGCTCACACTCTTGCCTAATTTTAGGCGCACGTGCTCCTTCGGCTGACTTGCCAAAATAAAACTGCTTCGGCATCCAAAGCCTCCCCATGCCCATCTTGACCTTGTGGTCCCCTTTTGGAGTAACCTTCTGAGAAAGCAGAGACTGCAAAACAGAATTGGAAGGGGGCCACATTGAGTTCACACCCCAGAGTGATCACCTGACCCTGAGTCTGTCAGCATCATCAGAGTATGGCCCCCCGACCCAGTGCCTGAGCCCCCCGCCTCCTCCACAGCCTCTTCATTTTCCCCACCCACCCCTACAGACACCAGTCTTCCCACTTCAACAAGCCCTTCCTTCTTCAGACGCTTTGCACATTCTGTTCCTCCCACTGGGACTGCGCTTCTCTGCTCCCGACCAGGTCACTCTGGCTCATCCAATTCATCTCAGCTCACTTGCCAGAGAAGCCCACTCTGAGCACCAGGTGAGGGGGGCCTGGTTATACACTCTTAGTGAGTGCTGTACCTTCCTTCCTGGTGGTCCTCACAATTCTAGTAGATTTGCATAATCATTTCTTCAGAGCTTCCCAGCCTCCTGAGAGCAGGAACTAGGATCCATCCTGTATCCCCAGTACCAACAAGAATGTTTGTCATAGACTACAAAGAGGGAAGTAGGGAGTTTGGATAGATATTTGGGGAATGTTTGGATGGATGGATGGATGGATGGATGGATGGATGGATGGATGGATGGATGGATGGATGGATGTATGGATGGATGGATGGATGGATGGATGGATGGATGGATGGATGGATGGACAGACGGATGGATGGATGGATGGATGGATGGATGGACAGATGTTTGGATGGATGGATGGATGAATGGATGGATGAATAGATGGGTGTTTGGATGGTTGGATGGATGGGTGTTTGAATGGTTGGATGGATGGATGTTTGGATGGATGGATAAATGTTTAGATGGATGGATGGATGGATGGATGGATGGATGGATGGATGGATGTTTGGATGAATGTTTGGATGGACGGGTGGATGTTTGGATGGATGAATGGATGGATGGATCGATGTTTGGATGAATGAATGGATGGATGAATAGATGGATGTTTAGATGGATGGATGGATGTTTGGATGAATAGATGGATGTTTGGATGGATGGATGGATGAATGGATGGATGTTTGGATGGATGGATGGATGGATGTTTGGATGGATGGATGGACGGACGGGCAGACGGACGGATGGATGGATGGATGGATGTTTAGATGGACAGATGGATGGATGGATGGATGGATGAATGGATGGATATTTAGATGGATGGATGGATGGATGGATGGATGGATGGATGGTGGGTGGAGAAAACTGGTCATACCCCAGAAAGACAACTGTCTTGGTAGAATAATTTGTATTTCCTGCCTTTCTCTCCCTAGAACTCTACAAAGGTCTCAGTCAGGGACCCCACTGGCTGTGTCCCCCAGTCGTAGCCTCAGAGACAGAGAACCCCACCAGGCCAACCTCTTGGCCCCATGTTTTCCAGCACTGTGCACTGCTCACACAGTTCTCTCCTAGAACACTTGCACTTCCAGAAGCCCTCTCTCCCAAGGATCCCAACCTCTTCCTCCAAGTAGATGCTAGGGCACTGCATCTGCCAACTTCTCTCTCTTCCATGCCAGGACACACTGAACTCAGCCTCACACAGGCCTGAGGTCTGTGCCAGAGTTGGCCACTTCCTAGCTGATGACCCTGAAGCCACAGACTTTCCTCTCTGAGCCTCGGTTTCCTCATCTGTATAAAGGGCCTCATAAGGGAAAGTAGGAAGGATTAAATTTGATAATGTGTGCCAGATGCCAGTGCTGTGACTGATACAGGAGATGATTAACAAAGTAACATGAGGATTGATGTATTGATTGATTTATCAATTGATTGATTTGCAACTCTGAAGGGAGCAAGTGTTCTTCAAGGCAGCCAGGTGGGAGATGCCTAAAGGCAGAGCATGGCAAACGGTGGTGCTGCCCTGTCTTGATCTTGGTCAACACCTCAGCTATCTCCCACCTCAGAGTGAGCAAGAAAATGGCCACATCTCCCAGCTCTTGATCTAAAGAGTTTGCAGTGCCTGATTAAAGTGATCAGTTGTCTCCCTTGCAGACTCAAAAATGCCTGGAGCCACCCCTGCAGATCCTCACTTCTCACTTCTCCACTGCACAGCTCAAAGGCCATGGACATCCCAGCCATCAGGACTCAGGGCGAGCCTTAACAGAGTACATTGGATCTCATCCTTCCTCCACTCAAACCGCCAGGAGCTCCTCTGCTCCACACAAGGCCCCTTCAGGGAACCTCGAGGAGCTCAGCATGCCCCACCTCAGGGCCTTGGCATGTGCTGCTCTGTCCTGAGGTCTCCACTGGGATCCCTGCCTCCCTTTCCTTGGATGTGTGTTCCTTCATCAGCCAGGCCTGCCCTGGCCCAGGCTAAATCTCCACTGGAGCTCACCACTGCCTGATGCACCAGACACTTGGTCTGCTTCTCCTGGCCACTCTGACTAGAAGAGCCCACCAAGGCAGGCACTTGGGTCTGTCTTGTTCACAGCCATATCCCCAGCCCCTGGCACCCAGCAGCATTCAATAAATGGTAATTGAATGGATAAATGAATGAATGAGGAGGTACCTGTTCATTCATTTAATGCTAATACTAATACTGATTAACAATAATAATAGCAGGAGCCGGCTCTTCACAGATGCTGGGATTCAAAGGTAAACCAGACATAGTTCGCATTTTCAATAGTCAACAAATGTGTAATTAGCCAATAAATAAGTTAATAAGTGATCAATAAATGCATGATCATAGACTGTGGTGGGGCTCCCAAAGGGGCAGGGGCAGGTGCTTGGATGGGCACCAAGGAGCTCCTCCCCCAGGGAGTGGGTCTGAGACCTGAAAGGCGTGTGAGAATGAGAAAAGCGTGTCGGCAGAACAAATGTGTACAAGTCTCCTGCAGCTGCTGTAACAAACCATCCCAAACTGGGTGGCTCAGAACAACACAGACTTATTTTCTCAGTTCTGGGGACCCGAAGCCCAAGACCCAGGTGTCAGCAAGGCCGCCCTCCCTCTGAAAGTGCTAGAGGAGGGTCCTTCCTGACACTTCCAGCTCCTGGGGGCTCCAGGTGTTCCTTGACTGTGGCCACATCACTCCAGTCTCTGCCTCTGTCTTCGTGCATCCTCCTCCTCCTCTCCGTGTCTTCACCTCTTCTCTCATGAGACACCTGGCATTGGATTTTGAGCCCACACAGATAATCCAGGATGATCTCATCCCTTACCTTAATTTCACCTGCAAAGACCCTTCTTTCCAAAAAGGTCACACCCACAGGTTCTAGGTTAGGATTTGGACATACGTTAAGGGGGTCATCATTCAGCCCAATCCAAACATCCTGGACAAAGGCCCTGAGGCTGGGAGGTGTAGTGCTGGCCAGTGACATGGCAGGGGTGGCAGGCTCACAGTGGGCAGGGGCTCGTGCACGCAGGCTGGGGACCAGGGTGGAGGGCTGTGGACGGCCATGGCTGAGTTTCACAACGGGGAGGGACATGATCCAATAGCTGCTGCGGGTGCAAAGACAGAGCAGAGAAGTCAGCAGTGGAGAAACAGGTGGACCATCAGGGACCACTATAGTCCTCCAGGTGTGTTGGATGGCGGGGCTGGGACAGGGGAGAGGGAATGAGGAGAGGCAGACCAAAAATGTGCTTGGAGGTTCAAATGGACTTTGTTGATGACTGCAATGGGGTGGGGTGGGAGCATCAACACCGAGCCCAGGACACGGGCATGAGCAGGTGGGTCACAGAGGCTTCTCCCAAGATGAGGAGGAGGGTGTGACCAGGTGTGATACTCTGGACAATCCTGAGGTGTGATACTCTGGACAACCCTGGGGTGTGGGGGCCCCATCTCACAGAGCTGGGATAAGAGGAGGCTGAAGCAACATTCAGGTGGGGCTGTGCCTGCATTCACTGTGGCATCCAAGGCAGTATGGTAGTCAGCAAACCCTGGTGCTCAGCAAACCCAGGTGCTTAGCAAACCCCACTGCTGAGAAAATCCTGGTGCTCAGCAAAACCCAGGTGCTTAGCAAACCCCACTGCTTAGAAAATCCTGGTGCTCAGCAAACCCTGGTGCTCAGCAAACCCCAGTGCTCAGCAAACCCTGGTGCTTAGCAAAACCCAGGTGCTTAGCAAACCCCACTGCTCAGAAAATCCTGGTGCTCAGCAAACCCTCACAGCATAGTCCCTGGATGGCAGAGCCTTTCTCAGTGTTTCTGGCATGAATACTGCATTCCAGGCCATGGGGTTTGCACTGTGAGAGACCCGTGGACCTGCCCCAGGTAAGCTCTTAGTGCAGCAGCCACTGGTCCTCTCCCAGCAGCACGGGCTGGGCCACTCCTGCCATGCCAGGTTTCAGCCTCCCCAACACCAGGGGACCTGATGCTAAGTTCTCCACAGGCCCTTCCCACTTTAAAGTTCTCCAGCTCCCAAAAAATCAGGGACTTTCCAATTTAGAAAATACCCTCACTGGATGGCCCTACCCATCCAGCCATTAGCTTCTCAAGCAGGCCAGGCAGTCCCTGGGCTGCCCACCTCTCCGCAGGCATCAGCCCCAGCACCACCTCTTGGATATGGAGCAGACACAGCATTGCCCACTGCCCTGGGCCCTCCTTACTCCTTCTCTGTCTGGACCAGTTCTTCCTCTTCCCTCCCCACATCCTGTTGCAACCATTCATGCTCAGGGATCCTCCTCTCCCCAGAAGCTGTGGCCTCTGAAAACCCCAAACTCTGCCATTTGCTGTCCCACCTGCCTTTCTGTGGCTGGGCCCCCACACAGCCAGATACAGATGCTGTCCCCTGCCCTGGTCACTCAGCAGGTGAGGGCTGGGCCCTGGGAGCCTGGCCTCTGGGTAGCCCTGAGTGGGAAGATGGTGGAGGGAGGCCTGTCCCCACTGGAGCAGTTCACCAAGGACAGGAGGCTGGGACAAGCTCCCTCCGTCCCCTGCCCACGGGCTCAGAGAATCACCCAGAGGCACCTTCCCACAGCGCCTCACTGGGCAGCCGGGCCTGGGAGCCAGGGCCAGCAGGCCTCAGGGGACCTGGAAAGTTTGGTTTTGCTTTGTGGATCTGGACAAACTGGAAATGTAAAGGGCTGCACTGGACGTACCCAGCTGGGCAAACTGGAAGTGCTTCAAAGAGCTGGGGGCAGGGCCGGGCGGCCGGTTCACACGGCTACGGCCAAGCTCAGCCCATCACTCAGGCCACCTGCCGGAGCCCATGCACCACCTCGCTGCTGCCCCTCCCCACTGCCAGTGGTCATGGACCCTGCCCACAGAGCCCCTCGGCAGCAGGGAGCTCCGGGCCAGCCAAGCGCAGGCCTCCTCCTCCATGATATTAATCAATCACATCCTGATAGTGATCAATGGAGGGCCCCTGGCAGCAATGGGCTGGCCAGCCTCCAGGCTCACCGTCCAGAGGCAGGAACGCCGAGGATGGCAAATGTGATCTTTGGCAAGGGACAGCACATTGTCTTACCGCTGTGGGAAAATGCTTAATGCGCAAACATTTCCTTAAAACGAGCTGACAAGGAAACGTTCAAGATGGCCTTATTAAAGATAATCATCCTGGCTGAACAGGACAAAAATAGATTAAGTCCCTTCTGAACTCTGAGAGCAGGATACGTGGCCCAGCAGAGCATCACTAAACCAAGGCGGGTGGCAGCGGGGAAAGACTCCACGGCTTTCCCTTGGGTTTCACCACTTGGAGAAGCTTCCCAGTCGGCTGGCGTGGAAGCCCAGCTCCTCACCCCACCCCAAGCACAGGGCAGGCGCTGAGCCCCGGGCTGGCAGAGGTAGGGAGTGGGCTGCAGGCACGGGGCGGGGAGGGGGCCTCCGGAGCTGCACACAGGAATGTCAGGGCCTGGCTTAATTTCTAAACCTGCCATATGGCCCTGCGTCCTGGGACCCAGGCTGGTGGCCAAGGAGGAGCCCTGGGGCTCGGTCCACAGCCCTCCAGGCCGGCTGCACAAAGCCATTTTTCAAAGGTGTTTCCCAACAGTCTCTCTCAAAGGAACTGCCCTTTGAGAAGCTGTCTTGGGCTCGAGCCAGGCAGGGCTGTCTGGGGGCTCTTGGCAAACGTGCCAGCCGTCCCCAGATCAAAAGTGCCTTTCTTGGTTTGCTCACTGCCTCTCTGTGCCAGGTGAATGAGCTGTGGGGGCACCCCGGGCCGGGCAAGGCCAGAGTTGTCTTACCCAGACTCAAAGATGGGGGTGGGGGCTGACCACAGGTGCGGTGTGCCCCACCAATCCATGGAAACCCCAACCCACGGGGCAATGGCTCACGTTACAAAAGATCCATGGAGGGGCCCCTTCAAACCGAAGCTCCCCAAGGACGTGGCACTGTTGCTCAGGGATCATTCGCCATGTGACACAGAGAGGCCCAGACCAAGGAAATGTAAGGCCAGAGGGCTCACAGGCCCTGCCAGCTGACGTGGCCTCAGTCTAGACAGAGAGACAGGCAAAGTGGGCACGACGGGGGTCTGTGAAACCAACCCAACCTTCATTCACCCACCACGGGACCCTCCCTTCTGGGCAGAGACAGGTGCTTTCGACCCAGCAGGTGGGCGCTGACAGCTCCACTGCCACACAAGCCCCTGGCATCTTCTCGCTGCAGACACACTTGGTGGCAAGTGCTTGCGTGTGGACGCTGCGTGGCCCGATGTCCCATCGGTCAGTGTCCAAGAGGAAGGCTCTGGGATGCCGCTTACTCAGAGAGCCCTGCACGCACCACTCCCAGCTTCACCTGTGCTGCCAGGCTGGGACCAAGTCCACCTTGGAGATGTGGCTGGCAACTGTCATCGCTACCAGGTCCATCTCGCCGCCACTCACTCCCCACCGCCCTCCAATAATGCCAACAAAACTCACAGTGGAGCCAGGGTCTCGGGGGAAAGAAGAAAGATCTGCAAGAGCCTCCCCGACCATCTCCAGATGCCTGAGCCCCAGAGCTGACTTGCACGGAGGCTGATCTGCATCGAAGGCTGGCCCCGGGCCAGGCACCTGGGAGGGCTTTGGGCCCATCTCCCACCTGTCCTCGCCTTAAGCCAACAGGGCAGGAACTGTGGTTATTCCCGTTCTGCAGATGAGGCACCCAAGGCACAAGGAGTCTGTGCAGCCAGCGGGTGGAGGAGAAGCTGGGGCCACCCCCGGAACATTTCTGAGGACACCATTCCTGGCCCTGTACAAACCGACTCTGTCATCTCCATTCGCTACAGAGAACCAGCAACTGATGCCAGTGCAGTGCAGAGAAATAACGGGCCCATTTTACAGATGTGGAAACTAAAGTTCAGGCAGGTCCAATAATTTGCCCAAACACCAAACAGCTGCAAATGGCAAGGCTGGGATCAGAAGGAAGACTGGATGCTAGAGCCTCCCTGGCCCCCATCCCTTCATTCCTGATACCTGCACCCCACTCTCTGGCCTTCACCCCTCCCAATGCCTAGCATGCGGCCATTCAAAGCAATGCTGGGTTCCGCCCCTCACCGTAAAAATCAAAAAGCTGCCTGCTCGTGAATGCTTGTGAGAGAGAAAACACCTGGAAAGGTAGAATCAGGTGCTCCTAAAATTCACATCCACTTGGAATCTCAGATGTGACTTTACTTGGAAATAGGGTTTCTGCAGATGTAATAAGTTGAGGTTATACTGGAGCAGGGAAGGCCCTGAATCCAATACAATCGGTGTCCTTATAAGTAGAGAGAAATGTGGACACAGACACACAGGGGAGAAGACACATGAAGGGGGAGACAGAGACTGGAACGATGCAGCCACAAGCCAAGGAACACCAGAGCCGCAAAAAGCCAGGAGCAGCAAGGAGGGACGCTTCCCTAGGGCCTTCAGAGGGTGCCCAGTCCTGCTGGCACCTGCACCTGGGACTTCTGGCCTCCAGAACTGCAACACAGCACATCTCCATGGTCTAAAGCCACTCAGGCTGTGGTACTTTGCACAGCAGCCCCAGAAAATCAGCACAGCACCCAGCACCCTGCATCTGGGGGTCAGCTCCCACCTGTTCCTACCACATTATTGGCCAACTGAGGATGGGAGTTGAATTTTGTTCTGGAACAAATAATAATAATAAATGCCAGAACTCGCCACCCCTGTGCTCGGGTCCCCACAGCCTGGAAGTGTGGCCTCTCTGGAAAGCATTCCTGCTTGCCCCAGCCAAGTGGGTGGCCCCTCTGTAACCTCTACCAGATTCACTTTTCCCCCATGTCTCCCGTCCAGCCCGGAGTCCGCCTCCCGGGGCCACTGCCCCCATGCAGGATGGAGCAGAGCTCGCCATCCTGCCTGCCCCATGGTCATGTGGAGTCGCTGCCTTTCAGTTATACGGCAGGACTACTTGCCAGGTGGAAAGTGGGACCATCGGCCCTGGCGCCGCCAAACACATTCTTGGCAACTGAAACAAATGCCAGAGGTAGATGAGCCAGGCAAGACTGCCTCCCAGAGGGGGCACACTGCCGGGCCTGCGAACCCTTCATCAAACCCCAAGGAGCCGGTGAACGTTTGATGAGGGTCCTGGGGTCTCAGGCCCTTCTGCCTGGGCCAGTCTCATGTCCCGCTCGAGTGACGTGGGTCAGCAGTTTCCCTCCAGCCCAGCCATGGCCATCGTTGCCCACCTGCCACCTCTCAAGGGAGGAGGGCCCCCACTCCTCCTTCCCAGCTCTACTGAGAGGTCTCCTTGCCTCCAGCCACAGAGCCCCTGATGCACCCCTTCCTCCTGGCCAGAGCACAGGCTGTGCACCGCCTGTCCCCACAGCTGAGCTAATACCGCCACCTTTGGGCACTCAGACTGAGGCAATATCCCCCACCCGTGTTCTCCTGTCTTCACTGGGTGACTTCTAACCTCAGACAGTTCCCAAAACAAATGCAATCCCTTTTGCCTGTCAGAGTGGCCAACACCACCCTGGTTTCTGGAGGCAGCCAGCCCAGGTGTACTCAGGGGCAGGCGTGTTCCAGGATGTTCTGAGCCCCAGCTCCCTCCTCTGTAAGTCAGAAGTGAGGATGCATGAGTATGCACAGCACACTTCCACACAGTGTTCCCGCTGTGGCCACCGACGGAGGTCCAGGGTCCCCCAGGCTCTGCTCTGATGCTGGCCCAGCACCCAGAGTTTTCCTTGACCATTTTTCCAGGGCTGTGCCAGAGGCTGGGTGGGCTATGCCAAGGAGAAAAAGCAGGGAGGGGGCGTGGGCAGAGCTGATGGACAGGCAGGGCACCCGGGGCCCAAGCCACTGCTGCACTCAAGGAACAGACATTGGGGTGACCTCAGCAATTGCCTGGATGTCTGGGCCTCAGTTTCCCCTCTCAGTCCTCCCTGCCCTGTCCACTTCCAGGAGAAGGGGCTGTGCAGTGCGGGGGGAAAGGTGGAGCTGTCCAACTTGGCCTCTGACAGCTCCCAACCTATTTCCCCTTCTGGGACTTTGGCCCTGTCTGCAAAGCGTGACCCCCCTCACCAGTGGCCCACTGCATCCCCAGACACAGAGCCTCTTTTCTTTGCCCCAGTGAAGGCTGAAAATGGCCTTTCCCTAAGCGCACTCACCAGCAAGGGGTGACTGCAAGAGCCTCCTGGAGACCCGGATTTCTGGGGAAATGAGGTGGAATGAGTCGCATACCCACAGAAGCGCAGGGTCTTTTGAGCACCTCACATGCCCGGGGGCACTGACGTGGCCCACCCGGGGAGAAGGGAGTCTGAGTGTCCCCACAGTGGCTGGCAGGTGGACAGACCCAGGGGATGCTCCAGCCCCACCCAGCGGGAACCCCACAGCCAGAGAGGGCCCCATCAGTACCCTGCACTCCAGGTGGCCGGCTGGCCTGGTGGTGGGAGCCAGCAGCCCACCTCATCACACCCTCTCCCCACTAAAAGCACGCTACCCTCTCTCCTGGCTAGAATCTAACAAGTGTTGGTTGTCACTGCCACCACACAGATTCCCCTAGGGTCTCTTAGGCAAGGGTTGTAAGGTTCCCAGCACAGGCCCAGGAAGGCTGCCAGGAGGAGGAGGAGCTCCTGCCAGGAGGGGACTCCCCCTGCCTTCCCAGGCCTGGTGCTGAGCGAGGCAAGGAGGGTACCAGGGCCTGGGCACTGGGTCGCCTGCCGCTAGGCTCTGCTGCCCTCCGCTGGCTTACCCAGGAACTGCGTGTGCCCAGGGCAGCATCTCCAGGTGTGTCTAGCCTGCCTACCTACTCTACCTGGCCATGCCTCTGGACATGCAGGGCCTCTGTCGCAGGCCCTCACCTGTATGCAAATTATGCTCTGAGGGCATCTTGTAGGTTACAAGCCTCCGGTACCCAGGCCCAGCTGGGACGGGCTCAGTCATGCCTGCCCTCATCTGCTAGGTCTACGATGCTCCTTCCCTGGTGCACACTGGGGGTGGCGATCGCTATTCAACACCATCTGGGGCTTCTTCAAAAGGTGATGACGTCACCCCTGAGACAAGGTGGGCATTGGGACCCAGCACCGATGTGGGACCCAGAGGTAGGAGGCTCGCAGCCCTGCCAGGAGCCCCCTCTGCTCACTTCCACCTCATCTCACACACCAGGAACCTGAGGCCAGTGGAGAAGGGGCCACAGTGCCTGTGCCCACAGAGCTGGGCTCATATCCAAGACTGTGTCCCCTCCAAGCCCAGCTCATCACTCTCTGCCCTGCCAGTGATTGACAAACCAGTGGACCAGCCAGCAGGCCTCCTCTGAGGTCTCCCAGACTGCCTGCTCCTGGAGCAATACCCAAGGTGACTGATGCCCCATGCGGCTGGAGCACTCCCCACTTGGGCAGGCAGCTTTGCACCAGCACCACCCCACCATGCCTGTCCCATGGACCCCCCAACCCTGGGCCCAGGGCAGGTTGTTCCCAGATGCCGCAGCCCCTTGAGAGGTCACAGGGCATCCCTCTGCCCAGGTGGTACCCCCAGCCCAGGCTCGGGCAGCATTCGAGGCCACCGCTCCAAACAAAACTGAGAGAGAGGGGCCCTGGGGACAGCCCCAAGCTGCAAGCTCTCCACAGGCTCCCGGAACCCAGGGGCTCAGGCCTAGATGTGTTCCAGAAGCACCCCTGGGCCGCTGCATGGAGAAACAGCAGGGCGCAGAAGCATGAAATCGTTGCACTTGCCCCATGTGGCCTTGGCTGCCTGGAGGTCGCGATGTGAGGTCTTGCAGAGCTTGGCACCGGGAAGTGGCTGCTAATGAGCACAATTCGGGGGCTGCACTGTTCTCCTGTCTGCCACAACAAATCACCACCAACCCGGAGCTCAGAACAGCAGAGGTTTCTTCTCCCACAGTTCCGGGGGTCAGAAATCAGGGCATTGGCAGGGCTGTGCTCCCACCGAGGGCTCTAGAGGAGGGTCCTTCCTGCCTCTTCCAGCCCCGGAGGGCTCCCAGCCTTCCCTGGATTGTGGCCGCATCACTCCAGTCTCTGCCCTCTGTCTTCACGTGGTCTTTTCTGTGGTCTCTGCCTTCTCTATTCTTATAAGGCACCAGCCATTCTATTCAGGGCAACCCTAAATCCCGCATGGCCTCACCTCAAGGTGTTTAACCTAATTACACCTGCAAAGACCCTATTACCCAAATAAGGTCGCATTTGAGGTGCCAGGGGTTAGGACCTGGTCATACTTTGGGGGATCCCCGCTCAGCCCACTACAGTGATGCTAATGCTGGGATGTGGTTCTCATTGTGTGACCCCCGGCCGGCAGCATCAGCAACACCAGGGAGCTGGTCAGGAGCGGAATTCCCAGGTCCCTCCCAGGCCTGACAAATTGGAACCCTGGTGCGGGGCTGGCAGCCTGTTCCACGAGCCCTCCAGGAATCCCGATGGACACGAATGTTTGGGAATCACTGGAACAATGCTGGAAAGCTCCCCCACCACCCCGCTTTCCATATGTATTGGAGAGTCTGTTTTGGGTGGATCGGGTGCCATGCTACGGGCTCATTTATTGGGACCGACGGCATCTGGGACATTCCATCCAGGAGCACTCACAGGCCCACAGCCAGCTGTGAGACAGGAGGGAGAGGTCGATGTTGGGACAGACAGAACAGGTGGTAGGAGCTGAGAGGGGGTTGTTCTGATGGGGGAGATCAGGAAAGCCCTCCTGGGGAGGGGGCTGGGCCGACCCCATCCCCTCCCTGCCACGGCTAAGCCACTAAACTACACCAGAGCTGAGGTACAGCTGAGCTTAAAATCAGAGCTAAGCTACCGCTGACATTACACTCATAAAAGACAGGCAGGAGCCCTGCATGGACCAACAGAAGGCGCGGCCGTCCCGGGCCTGGGAACTTCCTGGCACTCCCTCCAATGTGAGCATGCCACAGACCACAGTCGTGTTCATGAGGCCTCTGCCCCATCAGGAGCAGAAGTCACAGGTGCCTTCAAATCACGCGGTCGCCACAGCCGGCATCTCCACGCGTCCTTCCTGCTCAGCGCCACGCTGCAGCTGCACAGGCCTTACTCTGTCACACCTTGGGGTTTGGGATATTCTGTTAACTGCTGCTCGATGTAATTATTTTCCTTGTGGCTCCGTGGATTTGGGGCTGATTTAAAGACATTATTTGAGGCTGGGCGCAGTGGTGTGGCACTTTGGGAGGCTGAGACAGCCAGATCCTTTGAGGCCAGGAGTTCAAGACCAGCCTGGCCAACATAGTGAAACTCCATCTCTACTAAAAATACAAAAAAAAATTAGTCAGGCGTGGTGGTGCACACCTGAAATCCCAGCTACTCAGGAGGCTGAGGCAGGAGAATTGCTTGATCCCAGGAGGCAGAGGCTGCAGTGAGCCAAGATCGCGCCATTGCACTCCAGCCTGGGTGACAAGAGCGAAACTCCATCTCAAAATAAATAAATAAATAGAATAAAATAAAGACATTATTCGAAGAAAGGGCCACGGATTCAGTACATGCCTAGAGGCCCTGACACCCAACTGGCTACAAACCTTGACTCCCACCCTCTGGCCAATCCAGAACTTCCTGGTATTTTAAAGTAGCTTGTAACTATTTGTTTCACCATCAGGATAAGATGTGTGTGTTCGTTCGTGACTTTAAACATCTTATTTTTCCTCATAGTTCTTAAAGTTCAGCCTGGGAATGGTTTAAAATACTAAAAGGGGGCCAGGTGCGGTGGCTCACGCCTGCAATCCCAGCACTGTGGGAGGACGAGGTGGGCGGATCACTTAAGGTCAGGAGTTCAAGCCTGACCCAGCCTGGCCAACATGGTGAAACCCAATCTCTACAAAAATCTAAAATTACCCGGGCATGATAGTGGGTGCCTGTAATTCCAGCTACTCAGGAGGCTGAGGCAGGAGAATTGCTTGAACCCAAGAAGTGGAGGTTGCAGTGAGCCAAGATCAGGCCACTGCACTCCAGCCTGGGTGACAAGAGCAAAACTCCATCTCAAAAATAGTAAAATACTAAAAAGGACAACAAAAGGAGCAAATGCCCCACTGACCCACCAACCACAGGACACGTTCATGTCTGCAGTATTGTTTCTCTGCAAACACACCTGTAACGGGATTTAAAATGGGCATTTCCATCTGAAAACCAGAGACATGAATCCCAAGGCAGGAGCCCTCTGGACATAAGAATTTACAAAGGAAATGAATAAAAACCAGCTCCCGACTTGTAGGCCTCTTCACCCACTGGAGACGAGAGAACACCCAGAGGGACCCAGAAAGTGGGGTTAGTGCAAACGATGTGGCCACTCCACCAGCTAACACCCAGCCTGGTGAGAGGGCTCAGGGCCACCTGGAGGGTGGACTGGTGCCCCCCACATGGAGATGGTGCCTGATGCCACAGCAGCCCAGCCATGCAGGGGTGGGCCGGGGAGGGCACCTCCAGCCTCCAGCCAGTGAGCCCAAGAACACCTGAGGCTGCTGGGATCCAGGTGGGGACCACGCAGGAGGGGCAGAGGGCCCTGGCATGAACTGTTTGAAGACTGGCTTAAGGACCCATGGGAGGACCAGGATCCCCAGTGCCTGACGTGCTGGGCCAATGAAGGGCACAGCAGAGGAGTGGACAGGCACCCAGGGAGCCCGATTCAGCTGGAGGCCACCCGCATCACCCAACGTCAGAGCCCACCTCCATCGACCCAGGAAAGAAAGGCCCCTCGCCGACCCAGGAAAGAAAGGCCTCTCGCCTCTGATCTCTCCCGCCAGCGCCTCGATCAGCAAGTCTGGAAGGAAGAGGTGCCAGGAGAGAGGAAGTGGCCGTTTCCCACAACTCCTGTCCCAACAGAGTTCCCATGAGTTCCGCGGCTGACCCACATCCCCCTCCTTCCCGACATGCCTGGCGCCCCTCACCTGGCAATGGGAGGGCCCAGCTGCACCAGGGATGGGTCCTGCAACCACAGCTTCGAGGGTCCCTCACCTGGAGCATTGCTACCGGAAGCTCTGCCTGCTGCACCCCACACTGCTTCTCCCTCCCTCACTCTTCACTCCACTCTGCACTTATCAAGGTCATTACCACAGGACACGGGAAAGGAGAGAGGCCATATGCCCACCGCCATCCTGAAGATTGAGAGCTAAGGACATGAGTGTAGAGAGGCCGGTGGTCCACCCAGACCGCAGTCACTATGGCTGAGCCCAGGCCTGGAAACCGAGGAGCCGCCCCATGGGAAGTCCGTGGCCACAGCTTGGGGCTGCAGGCAGAGTGGCCCTGGGCTCACGCTCTACCTTGCCACCTGTCTGCATGGGTCCCTGAATCTCCTTGTGCCTCAGTCTCCTCACCTGCAAGATGGGGACAGTGACCCCACATGCAAGGAGCTCCAAGGGTTGAACCTGGTGGTTGAAGCTCACAGCCCATGCCGGGGTCGCTAGCTCGGCTTCCTCATTGCCATTCTCCCAACAAGCCCACTCGCCTCCCTTTCCAAAAGACAGGACAGATGCCAGGAAAAGCCGATTTCAAGTCCAAGACCACAGCCAGTAGCAGGCAGGACCCAGGCCAAGCCTCAGACTCTAGGCCAAGTGTCACCTGCCACCTTCCACGGTGACACACGGAGCCACTGGGACTGGCTGGCCACCCTGCCGTGGTGGGCAAAGGGCCGTCCTGGGAGTTGCATCTGACGCTGCAGCATTGGTTCAGCGAGTGTTTATCCGGGGCTAGGACAAGCCAGGCACGCAGAGCTCACGTTTCCACCCAGAGGTACCAGGGGGTGGAAAGCAGAGAAGGTTGGGGCCGGGAGGAGCAGCGGCAGCACCATTCACCAGCCAGGCAGCCTTGGCAGGTTATCCACCTTCTTTGATCCTCAGTTTCCCCATCTGTCAATAGGGCCACAGCGGGTGACTCTGTAAGATTAAACACATCCATCTGCCAGCCTGCAGGTAAAGGGCTCCAGAAAGCACCTAGAGGCCAGCAGGCCCCCAGCAACATGACTTCCGTCTACCAACCAATTATCACTATTATTACTCTCCTGAGATTCCTTTTAAGGGAAATGAAATGCAGACAATGGGCATGTGTTCCCTGCCTTCAACACTAGAAGGTGCCTTCATACCCTTCACCCCCTGGGCCTCCCACCATGAACCTTCAAAACACACGGAGACCAAATCGAGGCTTCTGTGGGTCCTGGCTCACATCCCGATGTTTCCCAACATGGTGCTGGGGTCACCAACGCTGGGTGGTAGCCTTCTCCAGGCCTAGCCCACCCAGGGATGTCTCCGCCAGGAAGGGCAGGGCTCACCAACAAGACCCGTGCCTCTTCAGGTAGAAACCTTTTCCCTTTTCCCAAAGGCCCTCAGGAAGCTCCAAGCTGGCCTGGAGTAACAGTGGGTCTTCGGGCTTCATATCCAGCCTCTTCCTCCTCCTCCTGGTCCCAGCCTTTTCTCTGCTGTCATCCCCCTGGTACGTCCAGGTGAGAACGTGAGCGCCCCATGCCTGGCTCACAGTAACCTCAGATAAACACTGACTGCATGCTACAGCACCAGATGTAAGCTACCTTCTGTTCTTTCTGGCATTCGATGGCATGCATATCTACAAATTTCTCCACATCACAAGGCCTCACAGGGTGAGTGGAGGGGCTCAAAAGCCCAGGAGCATGGAGCTGGGGGATGGGAGGCATCAGCCGGGAACTTCCAGACCCCACAGAGGCCGGGACCCCATCTCTGCTCTCTTCATGCTCAGGGGCTCTTGCTGATACCCGTGCCCCTGAGTGTGGCAGGGTCCGGCCAGGCTCTCCACATCCAGTCGTGCACCCTGCACACATCCCATAGCCAAGGCAGATGGGCCAATGTCCTGCCTGGCTCCTACCGGCCAAGCCACGTGTCCGCCAGTGTGGCCGGGGGCACGGCAGCACTGAGCAGCCAGCACTTTTCCCTGATGCCCCTACCCAGAGAGGCTGGGTTCATTCCAACCACCCAGAGAAAGGGCCTTTCTGTAGCTGCTCCTCCCAAAGCACTGCTAGTTTCAAACTGGCCCCTAGCAGCTCTGGGTGCTCCTTACAATTTGCCGAAAGAAAAGAAGGGAAGGAGGGAGGGAAGCTGGCGCTCCTAGGCCAGTCGACCCCCACATGTGGCCCCTGCCAGCAGCAGCACCTGAAACTTTTCACACGTGTACTTCCTCAAGCCTGGCCATCTCAATCAGAAACTCTGGGGCAGAGCCTGGGAATCTGCATTGTCAACATTCCCCAGGGAGTTCTGACGCACGCTCATGTCTGAGGGGCGCTGGCAGACACCTGCCCGGCACTGCATAGGTCTCAGCTTCAGAAATAAGAACCACTCTATAATGTTCACCATGGACTTGTGTTATTGGGCCCCCGCCCACCTCACAAGTCAGTGTGCCCGTCAGCTGTGCTTAAAAAGGCCACAACCTGCAGGGCCTGGGAGGCAGGCAGGCAGGCTCACCTGGCAACAGGTGCTGCTGGGGCCCAGGCCCAGGTGTGGATTAGCCAACTGTGGTCGGAACTGTGGAGGCACCCAGGCCTACCCAGAACCCCCACAGGTGTGGGTCCCACCACCCTGTGAGGCTCCGATTGAATTACTCAGAAGAATAGCTGGCCCCCCACACACACCCTGAAACGTGAGTAGAGGGCTGGGGAGAGGCGTGCAGGAGGCTGTGCCCGCTGCCCTGGGCCGTCTGCTGGCCACTTTGATGTGAGGAGTGTTGTCTGGGCTCCACGCCTCCTCTTTGATTTTTAGGAGCAGTGCAGTGTGCCCAGTCCCATTTGGTGGTTTTTAAGCAAGAACTCTTCTAACCTTTTCCTAAGAACCACTAATTATCTCAGGCGGGAAACCCAATCCAAGCCGTTCTGGCAGTAGGGAAGATTCCCCCTGCTGTGCCCAGCTGGACAGAGACCACATGAAAGGCCCCAGCCTGCTCGCTAAGACCCCGCTCCCAGGCCCCAGCGACAGACTGGGCATGGGTCTTGGACCCCATCCAGCCACCTGCACTGGGGACAGCATGTGGGAGGGAACCTGGGAGAGGAACCTGATGGCCACTGAGTGCTCCCACTAGTGATACCAGGCCTGCGGGGCCGGCAGAACTGCTGCTCTGGTCAGCCCTGTGCTTGAGCCCTGGGGGCAGAGGACCTGCCAGCCCGGCCCTGCCCAGCCCTGCCAAGCCCCGCCCCACTTCTGCCCCACTGCTGCCCCTGGCACTGCACCTCCTGCCACTGCCCAGCAACGTCCCTGTGGCTGACCCCTGCCTGGCCTCCTCATTCCTGCTTTGTCACTTCTCTGGCTCTTCCCTGGGTCTTCCACATCAGTCCACACAGGATCCTCCCACGTGAAAACCACCACAATATCCTCTTGACCCCGCCTCCCCTTTGCAGCGAGATTCCCTGAGGGCCGTCCATCCTCACTGTCTTCAGTGCCTCTCCTCTCGCTCTCCTTTTAATATTTGGCACATGCAAAAGAACACATGTAACATGTGCATGTTCCTAAGGTTAATACCATGACCATGAGCCCTGCCCAGCCCCGCCAGGACAAGAACTTCCCCTGGAACTTGCTCATGGCAGTCAGTCCCTTCCCATCCCATCCCCATTTCCCCAAGAGGTGGCCGCTCCCTGGACCATAGGCTTCTGGCCATCTTGTGTTGAAGTAATCTCAGCACTAACCAGACCATAAGCTTCTGGCCGTCTTGTGTTGAAGTAATCTCAGCACTGACCGGACCATAGGCTTCTGGGCGTCTTGTGTTGAAGTAATCTCAGCACTGACCAGACCATAGGCTTCTGGGAGTCTTGTGTTGAAGTAATCTCAGCACTGACTGGACCACAGGCTTCAGGCTGTCTTGTGTTGAAGTAACCTCATCACTGATGTATGCGTGCCTACATGGTATGTTGTTTAACCTTGCTTTTGAATTTTACATGAATAATACCGTGCCGTGTGGAGACTTCTGGAACTTGTTCACCCAACATTATGTTTCTAAGATTCTTCCAGGTAGCTCTTTGCAGCTGGAGTTCATTCATGTTCACGGCCGTGTAATACTCCACTGTCACCAAGCTGCAGCGTACCTGTCATTCTGTTGAGGACGTTTCAGCTGGCAGATGTGTTGCTAGTACTGATACTGCTCTTAGGATCACTCTGCCGACCGTCTTCCAGTGCACACGGGCAGCAGTTTCTCTTGTGAGTGTATCTAGCAGAGAATTACCAAGGTATGTCCTATTCAATTGCAAGAAATGACACCAAACAATTTTCCAAAGAGGTTGTTTCAGCTTAGCTTGACTCTTCAGAATAAACATGTAAGTACTAACAATTAAGATGGTCCAACCTCTTCCATTTTGACCATGGAGTGAGTGAAATGTTGTGTTTCAGTTTCATTTTGCATATTCCTAATAACTAGTAAGACGGAGCAACTTTTGACATAGCTATGGAACCCGGGTGTTTGCTTTTCTGTGAAAAGCCCAACTTTCTACTGCTTTGTCTTTTTCTTCCTAATTTGTAGGTACTCTTTATGTGGTCTGGATATAAGTTCTTAGTTGTTCTCAGTTACCAAAATCTTCTCCCAGTGTGTGGCTTGCCTATTTTATGGCCTTTTTTAAAGAAAGAAGTTCTTAATTTAAATATATTGAGTTCATCTTCTAAACGTTCTAAAACTTGCTTTTCACACTTAAGCCCGCCTCCAGTCGGTATGTACTTTTGTGTTAGGTGTGAAACAGGGAACTTATTTCTTTCTTTTCCCACCTGGGCTGGAATTTCTGGCAGCATTTATTAAATAACAATCCCTTCCCTGCGGGTTTGCTGCCATCCGTCGCAGTTCCGCATTTGTGCAGGGCTCCCGGGCTCTCTCCCCTTAGCCGATCCGCCCCTTGCGCCGGTGTGCGGGGCTCCCGGGCTCTCTCCCCTTAGTAGATTCGCCCTTGCGCCGGTGTGCGGGGCTCCCGGGCTCTCTCCCCTTAGCCGATTAGCTCCTGCACCAGGACCACACTGCTGTGGCTGCTGTCCCAGCAATGTAAGTCAGGAATAATGGAGCAGCAATTCCCTCAACTGGATTCTCCCACAGAAAGGATTTTTGCTCTTGTTTTTGTACTTTCATGTTAATTTTTCAATCAACTTATCAAATTTTGTGGGAAAAAAATGGCATTATGTTTAGAATTATAATGAATGTATGGATGAAATTGGAGAAGGCTGACATTTTTACAATATCAATTCTTTTTGACCATGAAGATAGAAAAACTGTGGTGGCCAGAATTCCAAGATGACCCCAGTGATCCTTACCCTTACATAATCTCCTCCCGTGAATAAGTCACTCCCGGAATTGGGATATGTTAGGTGGCACACAGGACTTTTAAGGATGGGCAGTTGTCCTGGTGGGTCTGACCTAATCAGGTGAAACTGTAAACCACACAGGCTTTTCCTAGAGATTCAAAGGGTGAGTGGGAGTCAATGTGAGGCAGCTTCTTTGTTGCTGACTTTGAAGATGGAGGGGACCCTATGGCAAGGAATGTGGGTGGCCTCTAGTCCCTAAGAGCAGCCCCTGGCTGACAGCCAGCAGGAAACGGACATCAGCCCAACACCTGCAAGCAACTGCATTTGGCCAACAACCCAAGTGAGTATGGGAGCAGACTCTTCCCCGGAGCTCCCAGAAGGAACCCAGCCCACTGACACCCCAATTTCTGCTGAACGGAGGACCTACCAAGCCGTGCCTGGATGTCTGACCTGCAGCTTGGAGCTAAGAAATGAGGTTGTGATAAGCTACCAAGTATGTGGGGACTTGTTACACAGCAACAGAAAACTACATAGTCTCAATTTACTTGTATCTACAGTCATGGGCTTTAATGAAGTTTTATAGTTTTCTGTATATAGGCCTTGAATATCTTTCCTTCCATTTATTTTTAGAAACTTTAAGAATTTTTAATCTTATTTAAATATCTTTTAAAAAATGAATATAACTGAATCCTTGAATATAATTTATAAGCTTATTGCTAGTGTCTAGAAAAGCAATTGATTTCAGTATATAATCTCAGGGCAGGCCAGGTGCAGTGACTCACACCTGTAATCTCAGCACTTTGGGAGGCCAAGGTGGGAGGATCACTTGAGCCTAGGAATTCAAGAATAGCCTGGGCAACATAGAGATACTCCATCTCTACAAGAAATAAAACAATTAGCCAGACCTGGTGGCATGTGCCTGTAGTTACAGCTACTCAGGAGGCCAAGGTAGGAGGACTGCTTGAGCCCACAAGTTGGAGGCTGCAGTGAGCCATGATCACACCACTGCACTCCAGCCTGGGTAACAGAGCAAGACCCTAAAATAAATAAATGAATAAGTAATAAAGTAAAAACTTTTTAAATCTCATAGCAAACAACTGTGCTGAATTCTTTTTTTTTTTTTTTTTTTTTTTTGAGACGGAGTCTCGCTCTGTCGCCCAGGCTGGACTGCGGACTGCAGTGGCGCAATCTCGGCTCACTGCAAGCTCCGCTTCCCGGGTTCACGCCATTCTCCTGCCTCAGCCTCCCCAGTAGCTGGGACTACAGGCGCCCGCCACTGCGCCCGGCTAATTTTTTGTATTTTTAGTAGAGACGGGGTTTCACCTTGTTAGCCAGGATGGTCTCGATCTCCTGACCTCATGATCCACCCGCCTCGGCCTCCCAAAGTGCTGGGTGAATTCTTACTATTCTTAATAATTTTGGCTTTTCTATGTAGACATCATATTTGAGAATAAAGCATTACGTTTCTTCTATTGCTGTTTTTATGTACTTACATATTTATTGCATCTTAATGAGGCAGGACCCTCAGCAGCATGTAGATTTTGCTGTTGCTGATTGTAAAGGCCCTGACAGTGACAACTTCCATTTGGAAAGCTGTTTGCTGAAGGTTTTGGCAGCAGGGCGTCCACACAAGAGGGGTACACAGTGTGGGAGTCAAAGCCCCAGTCGGATGAGCAGGGCATCTCTGTGGGGAGTGGGTGGCAGTGATGGGAGGCTGGGGACATGCAGGAAAACTGACCCAATAATAGATTAAGGAGAATGAGAACCATTCCCAGAAAGGGCCTTACAGCTATGGAAAGAGAGAAAAACTGGAACGTACCCTGTGGTGCTGGGCTAAAATCGGAGGTATTAGTATCATTCCCAGCTGTGAATAGATGAGACAGAGAGAGAGATGGAAGTACGTGCACATATCCTCTAGCTCTGTCCACTAAGAGCTCCCGGGTGCAGCAATCTGCAACAGCCAGGAGCACGCCTCGCACCCACATCCTGGTTCCTGATGCTACTCTCCATTCAAAAGAACAGGTCTTCTTAGAGCTGCAGCTCACTCCAATAAATGAAAGAGAAAGGGGCAGGCAAGTATAAAATAAGGCTTGAACATCTTTTTGCACCAGAAAGTAAAGAAACAGCTAAAGAACTGTAGGTACATAACAAAAAAAACACAAAAGGCAGAAGAAGGGGCTCCCACGGGCCAAACAAGCAGGACCTGAGCCTGAGAGTAAATGTCATAACAGACCACAGCCCTGAATACAAGAAGGGACCAGGATCCACACAGGTGGGAGCAAGGAAGGAAGGAAAAAGTAAAGGCAGTTTGACAGGGATGGGATATTGGCATCGCTTCACACTACCTCCCCACTCATTCATTACAAAGGGGTCGTTCACTGGGCAGTGGAGAAGCTGACCAGGGCCACCTTCACCAAGCAACAAGAGAGAACACCAGCAGGAGGCTAACTGCATTGGGCAGCCCCTGCCAGGAGGCAGTGTCCATCCTGTGACACTCCTAGACGAAACGCAGACCCAGAACCTACCACAAGGAAACGTCACATGAACACAACCTGGGAGCCATGGGCTTATCTCCAGAAGTGCCAAGGTCGTCTAAGCCCAGGGAGACGGAGCCACCGTCCAGGCGGATTAAGTCGCCATGACCACAAAGCCACGTGCGACTCACTCCTGACATGAATGCGGGTTGGACGCCGTCCCAAAGCACAGAGGGTGCAGGGCCAGAACGGCAACCACTCAAGTGACTCAGAAGGAAGCTTCTCTTTACTGTGCTTACAACTTTTCTCCAAGTTTGCGGTGGTTTCCATATTGTTATTGTTATTGTTATTGTTATTATTCAACACGAGTAAAAAGAAACTCATGACCTTCTCCTTGGACTCGCTCCTCTCCCCAATCTCGATACCGACTGCACTGTTGTTCGGGTCGCCCCCTCCCCCACCATCCCACAGGGGCTATGGCGTGGGCTCAGCACCTCTGAAGGAAAAGCAGATGAAAGAACTTGTGCCTCCCAGGCGAGAATGCACAGTGCAGGGGCAACCCTGGCAGGGCCCATCCCTTCCTGGTCCCGCTGAGCTCGGGCACAGACCGGGCACCAGGCTCGGTGTGGAGTGTGATGGGGAGTGGTGTCCCCGGAGTTGTTTCTGGGAGTTGCTGGGTCCACCTTACCTTAAATGTAGTCAACCAAGTCCCATCCCACCACTAGATGGCACCCAAACCTCAGCAGAAAGGGGGCGTGGGTTGGCCCCTGAAGTGAGAAAACCATTGGTCAATCTGGACCTGGCGTGCTTCAGGTGACAACAAGGCTTTCCACACACTGCTCGCTCGCCCCACCTCCCCACCCCAGGCCCCCTGCCACACACCTGAAGACACAGGAAATAAGGTCACCCATTGGCTTATACATGCCTTTGAGCAAAACAGAAAAGGTGCCCCTCACTGCAGGTAGACAGCCCCCCGCCAGGATACACCTCACAGCCATGTGCCCTTGTGCAATGCACAACCCAAGCAACCTTACTCAACAACCCTACTCCAGAGAAGCAGGACTAGAACTGTGCTGAAGTGAAGAATGACAATCCCATTCTTTGCAAGACTTATTGATGAAAATAACTGGCAATCAGAACCCTAAAGAAACACACCCAGTCACACTCATACAAGCCATGAAATAATAAAACACAGTCAAGGTTCTCTCCATGTCAAACCACCAGCATCCCCACCTGAATGCCCCGGAAGTCTGACGGTTAACCTGTGCAGGCCCTGGTCAGGCCTGTGGTCCCCAAGGGCTGCCGGCAGCAAAGGCACCACGGAAGCTGCAGGGGACAGGGGAGGCCGCTGCTTCTTGCATTTTTGTCTGAAAGGTCCCTGTGGAGTCGACGAGGGAATTCTCACTGAAGCAGCTATAAAAGAAAGCGGAGGGCACGGCGCCTCCCTGAAGCACCAGCAGCTGTTCTGTAGATGGTTGTTGGGCCACACGCAAAGGACTTGGTTCCTGTCCCCAGCTTAGTGGTCCGTCAGAGGAAAGGTCTCTTCCTGCCTGGCTGGCCACAGCATGGCCGCCTCTTCCATGACGGGCACCTGTGTAGGCCAGCCTCTCTCTCCTGCCGCCCCTGCTGGGACGGCAGCCCGGACGTCACCTGCACAGCCACAGGTGCGGGTGCTGGCTCAGCCTCTCTGTGAGCTCATCCTCCCCGGGCTCCTCCAGAATATCCCTGTGGAATTGAGGAAAGATGCACACAGGGGCCTCTAAAGGAGGGAGACCCTGGCCTGCCCACAAGAACAAGGGAGCAGAGCTTAGCAACACATGCGAAGTGAGTGTCACAGGGACACAGAGACACGGGGACTCAGATGAGCCTCAGGATGGATGTAGCCACTAGAAATATCTACACGGCATTCTTAAAAGCCCAGGGGCCACGTCTTCCCACTGGCTGGCAGGACCGCAGGGCTTGGCTGCAGCAACTCGGCAGCCCCTGGTGGAAGGCACAGAGGCCCCACAGCAGGGCTGCCTCTGGGTGGTCACTTTTCTGGACTAGCAGAGGAACCATCTCAAAGCTGCCAGGAGAAGAGATGGGTGCGTTTTCCTCAGGTCCCTTGTTTACATCCAACAGGATCCAATGGACCCTGAAGGATGGTGCCTTAAATATGCCCAATCCAAGAGCAGGAGAGCAGGACAAAGGCTATGACGCCAGTGGCAGGAAGAAGAAGCCGCCCCGATCCCGGCTCTGAGCTGCTCTCCTAGAGCACAGGACCAAAGCCAGATAACCGGGCGGAGGGGGAGGACAGTCATCAGGGCCTGCCCGCCGCCTCAACCCCTCCACCCCCCAGCTCTTGGCTTCCCATCCCAGGGGGCCAGACAGAAGCGCCTTCCCCACCCACACACCTGAACAGGAGCTCCACAGTCATCTGGTAGGTGGCCTCTGGGGTCCCAGCAAGGGGCTGCAGGTGGCTGCGGGGGTCCCACTTGTGAAGGAAGTTCTGGCAAGCAGGAGGAGTGGCCAGTGAGTGTGGGCCCCGAATGAAAGCAGCCTTGCCCCATCCCCGGCCCCTCCAGGGTCAGCCACAGGGCACCCGCTGAGGGGGCTGAGCCATTCACCCTGGACACCCAGGCACAGGCCCCACGAGGCTGCTGGCTCCTCCTGGAGCCAATGTCCAAGTCCCTCCTTCAGCCCGACCTGGGGGCCTGAGAATCCCCACAGCCCAGATGTCAGGAGCACCCCCCAAGGCCCCAGCAGCCCAGATGTCAGGAGCACCCCCCAAGGCCCCAGCAGCCCAGATGTCAGGAGCACTCCCCAAGGCCCCAGCAGCCAGGGCGGGCAGCACTGAGCCCCACGGGAGGGGCTCAGCCTCACTCAGGACCCGCCTAACCCAGCACGACTCTCCCATCAAAGTTCCAGGCAGGCCCGGCCGGTGGCCTCAGGCCCATCGAGAGTGAATTAGAAACAAACGACCATGGAGAACAGCCTGGGTGGGGATCTCTGATACCTCCAGAATCAGGGCCAGAAACAGGTTGACCCAGATGACAGACGACACCAGCCACCACAATACAAAATAGATCTTGGACCACCTGCGGAGGACAGAGACCCACCCTGTGAACCACGATGAGCAAAGCAAGAGCACTCGATACAAACACCACTGCTGCGTGGCCAGGACAGCTCTCGGGCAGCCGGCCCACACACACCATGATGCAGAGCGCGTTACTATTTCCATCTCAGAAACAACCCAACTGAGGCCTAGAAACGTGCAACAAGCTGCCGAGGTAGCTAAGCCAGCAGGAGGCGGTGCTGGGATTAAAACCCAGGACCATCAGCTGGGGCCAGTCTGAGCTCTTCAAGCTCAGAGCTGAACTATCTCGTTCACTCAGCCTTCCCGGGGCTCCCCCACCCCCATGGAATTCCTCAGAAGCCCCAAACACACCAACGACCTCCAGGAGGTGTAAACCCAGAGTCACTGGCCACCATCCTGAGAGTCACGATGTGGCTATGCAGGGGGCAGGGACAAGGCAAGCCAGGATGCCACGCTGGCCGACTTCCCTGTCAAGGCCCGAGTCCCCGTCCCAGCCACGCTCCGGGCGTCCAGTGCAGATGCAGCGTGCCCGGAGGTGAGGGAACCCCCAGGCTGCACGGAGAATCACTGCCGTCAGGGAGACGAGGACTCACGGGCCTGAGTAGCGCCGATATGCATCCAGAAACACCTGCCAGTTGTTCACCACCATCAAGTTCCACAGAGTGACCAGGGCAGCCTGCGGGGGCAGAGACCAGCGGTCCAGGAGGGCCCAGGAGGTAGGGAGGGGAGGAGCCCGGGGAGCAGGGTGCTGGGACAGGGCGCAGGGCTCACCGCAAAGTCATCGAAGTTGTTGGCCCAGTACTCCAGCTGCTCGAAGCTCCCACAGGGCGCCGAGCCATTGGCAGGGGCCAGGCTGGGGAACACAACACACCTGGGTCAGGGGCGGGGGCTCCAGGTTCTGAGGCCTGATACCTTACACCCCTTTCCTCTGCTGGCGTGCTCAGCCTGGCCTGAAGGTACAAATTGGGATACAGAGGCTCAGAGGGCAGGGAAAGTGCTGCTCTGAGCAGGCCACGAGAAATGTGTTTAGCAGACTCCAGGCAAGGGCTCCTAGGAGAGGTGCGGAGCGGAGGTGGAAATTGGGGGTCGGGAAAAGGGGGTGGAGGGAGGAGACGAAGGAACTGGGAGAACACCCTCCCATCCTGAGATGCTGAGCCCACTGAGGCCACCGCCAAGGCTTCCCGCCCACCCCAGCACCCCTGAGACACTCCCTGTGGCACCTCGGACCCCACCTCACCTGCTGTTTCCAGGAAGAGCCACAATGACGCCTCTAAACAAGTTGATCCCAATGATGGCAAATACGTAGTAGACCACCTGGCGGGCCAGGAGCCGGGGACTGATCAGCCCCACCCATGGGTGCACCCACCACCACCCTCCCCAGACAGAACCGCAAAGCCAGAGGATGACTGTGAGGCCAGGACCCTCTGCCCAGGGCTGGGATTCCAGCCTGGCTGCTACTTCAAAACACACGCAGCTGGCCTCCCCCAGGGCTGGCGGGTCCACAGACACAGTGGGGCTCAGGCAGGCGTGGTCATGGAGCTCCTAAGGGAATTAGGGCCCTGCCCCCAGGTACCCTGGCAGCCACAGTTAGGGGACAGGCTGCCCGCCAACCCCAGGCCTGTCCCTAACATGCGTCAGCAGAGTGGAAGGGGTACACGCCTGGGCTAACCTGGTCCCCTTTCTGGGCCTCAGTTTCCTCTGCTGTGCAAGTTAGGGGGCTGGGCAGACAGCACCTGAGGCAAGATTCTCTTCCCAGCGTCTATTTCCAGAGGCGCGAGGCACAGCTGGGGTCCAGCCCAGAGCACCCTGCGGCCCCAGAGACACCTTCTCACCCCAGTGGTCCCTACGTCAAGGTGGTCAGAATAAAATGGCAAAACTGCCTGAAGTGTGGCCGGGCTTCCTGCAAAGGGCGCCTCCTGTCACTCTGCACGGCGCGGATCTGGGGCCTGCCTGGTCACAGGCCCCTCTCCTGCCCAAGCCCGGCCACCAGGCAGAGCAGATGGGCTCCTCAGCTGGAAGGCTGGCCCCCAGGGAGGGGCCGGGGCGTCCCACAGTTCTCGCTCAGCAAATGTGGCTGTGAGTCCCTGAAATTCCTCTAAGAAAGGAGCCTCGACCAAGTCCTCATCCCAGGGCTTGTGCAGGCTTTGGGGTCCCTGGAGCAAAGCCCTGCGCCTCTTAAATTTCTGTCATTACTTTCTCAACGAGATCCACAACCCAGAAAACACGAGAGACTCAAAAATTACCAAACAGTCTCTGCCATGGGAGGGAAGGATGCTCAGGCAGGGCCACCAGCCACACCACCCGAGCTCCCTGCTGTACAAAGAAGGGGATGCCTCTGGCTTCTTACCCCGACCCTGTACTTCCCTGGCCTCAGGAACCTGCTGCCGTCCGAACCCAAGAACCTTCCTACCGACAGAGCAGTGAGCCGGCCCGGCACTGCCTTCCGCCAGCCTCCCAGCCTCCCACTCCAGTGCATAACCCGCCACCAGCAGCAGCCTGGGACTCACCACCAGGATCCCGCCAAACGCACGCATGTTCTGCACCAGGCCCAGGACGGTACTGGCCACCACGGCCATCAGCTGAGGACAGGAAGAGAGCACAGCCCTTACTCCTCCTGGCCCCACTGAGGGGACACCATCCCGGCCCACCACGCTGACCCTGACAGAAAGGCAAGATGGGGCAGGCCAATGACCACCAACCCACACACACACACCTGGACCCACAGCCACCCCCACACGCCTCTACACACCCACACAGCCTGTCAGGCCCCCACGTCCACCCATACACACCCTCGCACCCCAACACCTACATCTACCCACACGCATTCGCACACGCTTGCATCGCCACCCGCACGCACTCACTCACCCACTCCCGCATCCCAACACCTCCACCCCAGCCTCATTCAAGCACGGACTTCAAATTCCTGTGGGAGGCCCTTCTCTGCCTCCCAACCCACTGCAGGTGGGTCAGCTACTCTGTGGCCTGGAGACGCCAAAGAAATGCAGAGCTAGAGGTGGCAGGAGCACCTGCAGGAACTGAGTCTGAGAAGGGGCCTCTGAGAACCAGCAGGGAGGCCCCGGCTCCAAAGAGCCGCTCCTCCTCATCACAGCCTAGCCGGGAGAAAGGCCTTCACATCAGCCCCATCAACCCACCTGAGGAATCCAAACTAGACAACACAGCTGAACGCCACAGTGGAGACCAGTCAGCATGTACGTGTGCACACGTTGCGTGTCATCGTGAGCATGTATATACTCACGTGAGAGGTCCTGGGAAACTGCGACTTCAAGCAAAACGGCATGATTGCAGGGTCTGCTGTGCGCCATTTCCCTTAAAGTCACAGTTTCCAAGAACCTGTGGATAGCACTGAGGCCTTACTGTGGATGTGTGCACACACGATCATGCATCTTACACGGGCACAAGTTCACATGGATATCTGCATGCGATGTGTGCACACACGATCATGTGTCTTACACGGGCACGAGTTCACAAGGATATCTGCATGCGATGTGTGCACACACGATCATGCGTCTTACACGGGCACGAGTTCACAAGGATATCTGCATGCGATGTGTGCACACACGATCATGCATCTTACACGGGCACGAGTTCACGTGGATATCTGCACGCGATGTGTGCACACACGATCATGCGTCTTATCCGGGCACGAGTTCACATGGATATCTGCACGTGATGTGTGCACACACGATCATGCGTCTTACACGGGCACGAGTTCACATGGATATCTGCACGCGATGTGTGCACACACGATCATGCGTCTTACACGGGCACGAGTTCACATGGATATCTGCACGCGATGTGTGCACACACGATCATGCGTCTTACACGGGCACGAGTTCACATGGATATCTGCACGCGATGTGTGCACACACGATCATGCGTCTTACCCGGGCACGAGTTCACATGGATATCTGCATGCGATGTGTGCACACACGATCATGCGTCTTACCCGGGCACGAGTTCACATGGATATCTGCATGCGATGTGTGCACACACGATCATGCGTCTTACACGGACATGAGTTCACATGGATATTTGCATGTGATTATCTGTGCATACGGTGATGCGGGCGTGCGTATTAATGTACGTGTGTATGTGCATGATGATGTGTATTGTATCCAAACATGATTGTATATGTGTGACTGTGTATGATCATGTGTGCCTGTGATTGTGTGTGTATATGCATGTGCATGGTCACATGTGTGGTTGTGTGTGAGATCACGTGTGCTTGGCTGTATTGTATATATGTATGATTGTGCTTGTATGGCTGTAATTATGTGTGAACACGTGTGCGCGTGTGTGTGCGTATGAAGGTCCCAGCACAGCAGCCCCGTAGGAAGGCTCAGGACCCCTGAGCTGCCTTCAAGTGGGACATACTGTCAGGTGGGACAGGTGCACAGCTCAGAGGAAGGATGAACGGGGACAGAGGAGGGACCTGGACACTCAGAACATGGGTCTTAGGACATGATGCCAGGAGCAGCAAGGCCCAGACCCCCGACCTCTGCCTGCCTGCCCCTTTAAGGTGCCCATTGCTCCTAACCGGTGCATTAAGAGAAACCAGCCCTCAGAGATGGTCATGAGCCACCTGCGCCCGCATTAGAGGATCCTGGAAACAAGCTCCCTGGCCAGGGATACCACTGCCCCTCATTAATAGCACCCTGGGAGCCATGGCAAAGGCCTTTCTGGGAACCTCAGAGACCTGGGGGAGCACTGGTGTCCAGGGCTCCAGCCCCAAGGAGCTCCTGCCACTGGCCAAAGCATTGCACCCGCCACACCCTTGCCCGCCTTCCTCTCCCAACCCAGAAATGCAGGGCTGGGCTCTCCTGCTTCTAATGACCCTTCCCCAGCATCACAAGAGCACGGCAGAGAGCTGAGGGTGCAGCCAGGGAGCCCAGGGTGACGGGCACAGTCCTCGGGCCCTTCCTGCCCCAGGCTCACCCACCCTGGAGCAACGCAGCAGCATGACCCAGGAGGGTGGGGCGAGTGGGGGTGGGGCCGGCACACACCTTCATGCTGGGGATGATACGCAGGAAGCGGAACACGATGAGCATGTTCAGCATGCGGGTCATGTCCCACAGCGACAGCAGGCCCACCATCTCCGGCCTCCTGGGGAGAGACACGGGAGGCGGGTTGGGAGGAGCCCAGGAGCCCCACAGGGAGGAGACAAGGAAACGCGCGGGTTCCTGGACGGAGGCGCAGGGAGGGCAACAGGGCATGACGGGAGTGCACCCCACAGCCAACACCGAGCAGAAAAGCCTCTGCAGGGTGGCGAGAGGGCGGGGCCTGGGCTACTCACTGCTCCGCTTCCACCTGCAGCCCCGGAGCGACCCCCATCCCCCCAACACCTTCCCAGCCAGCCCTTGCGGGAAGGCTGCAGCCCTCCTTCTACACAGACCCTCTGTCCACACGGGAGGGCATGGAGGTTCCAGACACTGAGACTTGCTCCAGCTCAGGCCCCAGCAGAACTGCGTGAGCCCATGTCTCCTGCCCCGGTCTCCTGCGCCAGCCCCATCCCCTGGTTCCTGCCCCCATCGCCCACCTCCTGTCCCATGACCCTGACCCTGACCCCATCCCTGACCCAAGCCCCGCTTGGCATCCCTCATGGTCTTTCCATGCTTTCATTTCTGTTGAAACTCAAACCCATTCTCACCCACAGTGTCAGCCCCCCAAGGTAATGACTCAGAACAAAGTGCAGCGGGCATGCTCAGTGCACATGAAAGACAAGGCAATGCCAGCCCCACGGCACAGCACAGTGGCACTGCCTGCCTTCCTGAGGTAAGTTCTGGGGGGCTTCCTAGGGAGCTGACGGAATAGCAAGGCTCTTGCTGTCCACCGTCCCCACCCCCACCAAGCGACTCCCAGCTGCTCCCTAGGCAGTGGGGTGGATGACACAGCACACAGAGACCCAAGGAGCCCGGCCTAACCACAGGGCCGAGGCTGGCATGCTGGGCCCCGTGCCCCACCCTTCCTGTCTCATCACGGGCACACCAGAGCCACGCTCTCAGGGCAGAGCAGCCTGGCTGACAGCCCTGTGGTGCCACGAGGCTCCAGGGTCCCTGCCCAGGTTGTCTCTTCATGGCCAGAACCCCGGGCAGTGGTGAATCAGCACACAGCCTCAGAGTTCAGTGAGCCCCGGGCCCCTAGCTCCACTATTTTAAGGAGGCTAAAGTGATGTCCAGAGTGGGAGGCGATGACTCAAGGTCACACTGTGAGGCAGGGGCTCTCCCAAGGACCTTCCCGCCAGCAGAGGGGCCCAGCCGAATCCCAGTGGTCACAGGTCCCCTGAGACCTGAGCCAGGGGCATCTCTGCTGCCAGCCCCCAGCATGTGTGCTGGGAGGGGGAGCCCACTGCCGCCCGGGAGGGCATCTCCAAGGGGGAACAACGGCTTCCCTCCACAGCCTGCGGGGTGCCAGCTTCTGGAGAGAGGACCCCCAGAGCGACGGCAGGGCCCTGCCCCGACACAGCCTCTGCTGTGGGATCGGCCCACCCATTCCACCATCACGGGGTCTGCCCTAGAGTCAGAGCAGACCCAGCCCCCTGGACACCACTGAGACCCTCCCAGGGGCGCTGGGTGGTGGTGCTGTTTGCTGTAGCCGCCCTCGGTTCTGCCCAGTCACATACCAGCCTGGGTGTGGCAATCGGTACACAGCCAGAGTTGAGATCTCCAAAACCTTTAATTACAAAAGAAAAGAAGGCTTCGCTACAGCAACACTAATCTGGGCGGCCCTTAAAGGAATTATTATAAAGCTCATCTCTAACACATTCTCCCCAAAAGGGGCTTTTGGGGAGAAATCAGAGCTTGGTCCTGGACCCCACGGGTTGGTTCCAGATGTCAGGACTTCTTTCAGCTGGAAAGACACCCTGGCCTCAGGAATCGGGGGACTGCACAGATTGGGGTGGCAGAGGTGGCAGAGAAGATACTGAGTCAAGGACAGACTGCAGGGCCCTTTTCAAATTTCTCTTCACCTATGTGCCGAGGGGCCTGCTGGCTACAGCAAACGTCACTCTCATGTGGCTGCTTGTGACACACACACCAAGTGTGGCATGCCCTCACTCCCACTGGGTCTGGGGAAAGGAAGTGTAAGCATTTCCCAAGAACACCCTGGTGCCTGAGAGCCCCCTGGCCCCTCGCTCCACCCATGCTGAGGTCACACCGTCTATCAGTGACGTTTAAGAGGCTGTTCCCCGGGCTGGAGTCGCTGGCCAGGGCTACAAGTCCTTCAGGGCTTCCCCTGGGGGTCGGGAGGGGCAGCCTGCCCCCCATGACACTCGGATGCAGTAGAAACCCAGCCTCCTAAAGACCTCACCGGCTGCCCACTGAGCAACTCGGCCAGCAGGGAAGCCAGCCCTCACCACTGAGAGCAGAAGCCCACCTTCCTACAGCCTCTAGTCCTCAGGGGAGGCCTGAGATGGGCCAGCACAGAGCCCAGGTGGCGCTCACCCACCCGCCCAGTAGAGGCCGGCCTCGGATGCGCCTACTTTACCAGCAGGACAACGGTGAGGAGCCCGTCAAACACGTTGCTGGGGTAGGACAGGTACCCTCGCAGGCCCAGGGCAAAGACCTTGAGCAGCATCTCCAACAGGTAGTACACAATGAAGACGCAGTTGAGAATCTGAAAGGGGCAGAAGAGGCACCCAGCATTGGGCCCCAGGGCTGCCAGCACTGCCCAGCCTCACCCTGGCCCTGACAGGTGGACAGCTCAGAACTTACCCCCAGGATGAAGTCATCACGCTCAGCAGGCAGCACATCTGCATCCAGCACCAGGAACACCTGCAACGCCAGAACAGAGGGCTCGCCGGCTGGCCCAGCACAGCGCTGGGCGAGGCAGGAGGGGCAGGCTCCCCTGCAAGGTGGGCGGGAACCGGCACTTCCGTGCCAGCTCTGGGGCAAATCCACACTCACGCAAATGGACACCAGGTTTGCCAGGGCGATGAGGTTCCCCAGGTAGTCAAAGTAGTAGTGGCCGAAGAGGAACTGGGCGCTCTGCAGAAACGGAGACTGGTACTCGGGCCTCGGCGGGTGCTGGGCAAGGAACACACGTGCTCAGAAGCACAGGCCAGCAGCCGTGGCTGTTGCAGCCCAAAAATGCTCACACCCTCTTATTCTGGGATTTGATTTTTTCCTACCCCATCTCCCGTCCTATCTATCCAGCCACAGGAAATAATCCCAGACACAGAAATCGCTTTATACACAAAGGTGTTCATCTCAGTGGTCTTTGTAACACCCAAAGAGAAATAGAAGCAACTGAAACATCCACTGAGGCTGTAAGTAAACCATGTTGTGATATTAGAGTCACCTGAAACATACGCAAAGTGTCACCCTGATATATATAAAAAAAAAAAAAGCTGTGTGAAAAAACACAGGTAAGTGATATACTCATAGCTACAGAAACTCAGCACAGAACCAACTCCTGTACTGTGGCCAGCAGCAGCAGGAGGCAATGAGGGGCAGGCGGGCAGACGCTGCCACTGTCAGGACCCTTGTGAGACCCAGCACTTCCCACGCTCAGCAGCCTCCTTGAGACACGTCTGTGTGTGCAAGAGGTCAACAAGGGGAATGGCCTAAACATTTCTCAGCAAGGAGACCTGCACCCGCTGTCCCACACGGGAGCCACTGACCACCGGCGGCTATTTCATGAAAATTTCAATGCAACAAAATTCAACACTCAGTTCTTCGGTGGCAACAGCCACGTGTCAAGTACTCCACAGCCACATGTGACACGTGGCTACAGCTCATCCCCCCAGAAAGTCCATATGAAAATGGAGAGGGTAAGAAGACATGGCTGCGTGAACAGGCAGGCTGCAGAGTGAAAATCGCAATGCTTCATGTATACGTCAAAGAAGAACAAAGCAACTGTTTCCCCAGGTAACTACAAATGCCTGAAATTACACAGGGAAAAGTCTGGAAGGAAAACACCAAAATATCCAGTTGAATAGAGTGGCTATTCTCCAGTGAGACCCAAACTGGTGGTGCCAATGATCAGCGAACTTCCTCTCGGCTCCCGACATCCTCCTCGATACGCACTCTGCCACAACGGGCAGGGTCCCTTTCAGCGTCTCATCCACAGTGAACGGGAGTTGAGGCTTTCTTAGCGGAGGGGCTGGAGGGACACAGCAGGAGGGCAGGAGGGCAGGTGGAGGGACATGGCAGGAGGGCAGGTGAAGGGACACAGCAGGAGGGCAGGTGGAGGGACACGGCAGGAGGGCAAGTGGAGGGACATGGCAGGAGGGCAGGAGGGCAGGTGGAGGGACGTGGCAGGAGGGCAGGTGGAGGGACATGGCAGGAGGGCAGGTGGAGGGACATGGCAGGAGGGCAGGTGAAGGGACACGGCAGGAGGGCAGGTGGAGGGACACGGCAGGAGGGCAGGTGGAGGGACATGGCAGGAGGGCAGGAGGGCAAGTGGAGGGACATGGCAGGAGGGCAGGAGGGCAAGTGGAGGGACATGGCACGAGGGCAGGTGGAGGGACATGGCAGGAGGGCAGGAGGGCAGGTGGAGGGACGTGGCAGGAGGGCAGGTGGAGGGACATGGCAGGAGGGCAGGTGGAGGGACACAGCAGGAGGGCAGGTGGAGGGGCATGGCAGGAGGGCAAGTGGAGGGACATGGCAGGAGGGCAGGAGGGCAAGTGGAGGGACATGGCATGAGGGCAGGAGGGCAAGTGGAGGGACATGGCACGAGGGCAGGAGGGCAGGTGGAGGGACATGGCAGGAGGGCAGGTGGAGGGACACGGCAGGAGGGCAGGTGGAGGGACACAGCAGGAGGGCAGGTGGAGGGACACAGCAGGAGGGCAGGTGGAGGGACACGGCAGGAGGGCAGGTGGAGGGACACGGCAGGAGGGCAGGTGGAGGGACACGGCAGGAGGGCAGGTGGAGGGACACCGCAGGAGGGCAGGTGGAGGGACACGGCAGGAGGGCAGGTGGAGGGACAGAGCAGGAGGGCAGGTGGAGGGACAGAGCAGGAGGGCAGGCCTCCCCTGCGGTTTCCGGATGCTACGGGGTGGATCGGAGTGTGGTGTTAAGCACATCTGGACACGCTCTGTCCGAGACACATAGTCCCCAGGGGACCTACAGCCACAGCCTGACCTCCTGAAAATTTCCCAGCTTCCCACAGTCCTCAATGTGGAAACCAGTGCCCAAAGGCCACCTGCCCACACTGGCACCGAATTCCCTCGGCAGGACCACGCCACTGCCTGCTCACAGCCTGGGCCTGCTGCACCCAGGAGGGTCGCCTCCTGCTTACCCAGTGACCACAAACCAACCGCAGCCCGGGGAAGCCAGTGAACGTCTCTGCATTCCTGTGGGCAAAACCACACCTGCTCTCAAGAGGTCTGAACCCCAGCTTCGGAGGGTCCCCTTCCAGGTCCATCCTTCCTCATGCACTCCCCTCAGCCCAAGGACACCACATGGTTTCCTTACATCTTGCAGTTACTCTTTTATCGTAGTTGCCACTGCCGTACATGACACTTTCTGTTTAACCCAGACGGACACCTTGGCCAAGAGAGATTTCAGCATTATCTATTACGTCTAAATTGTTACAAGGAGAAGGTGTTCATATGTTAGCTGTGTAACTGAGAGATAACTGATATGACTAAAGTGCTTGTCTCTGGGTAGAAAGCCCGTGAGGTGGATTTTCCCACTTCCCTCTGTTGTCTATAATGAATGACCACTACATTTTTAACCCCAAAAGCTTCTCATATGAAGAGGAGACTTCTTTCAGCAGCAGGCAGGGCACCTTCTCTGAAGCTCGCCAGCAAGCACCAACCGACTCCCTGGCCACGGCCAGGCTGACGCCCAGGCAGTGACCCCACACGGGAGGGCTCTCGAAAAGGCTGGAGCTCCCATGACGTCAGCCTGCCGAGAAAGGACCTCTTTGTGCTTCCAAAACCACAGGCTGCCCCAAATCTGAGCAATCCCAGAAGCATCTGCCTCCCAAACTGAAGCTCTGCCAGCCCTTCACGTCAGCGGGCTCTGCGTCCGCAGACTGAACCAACTGCAGATCAAAACATACTCAGGGAAAAAGCATCTGTACGGAGCATGTACAGGTTTTCTTACCCTTATTCCCCAAACTCCCACTGCATTCCTAGGTGCTAGGTATTCCAAGTAGTCTAGAAATGACTTAAAGTATACGGAAGGATGTGTGTAGGTTACATGCAAACACTACATCATCTTAAGAGACTTAAACATCCATGGATTTTGTATCCACATGGAGTCCTAGAACCAATCCCTGCAGATACCGAGGGGCAACGGCCTCCCCTCTACAGTCAGCATTATTGAGGAAAGAAGGAGTCAGAAAACCAGATTAAGGCTATTGTGGCTCCCAAAACCTGTGGAACCTAAACTCCCATCTCAAAGCCCAGTGCTCGGTGCCCTGGGAAGAGCATCGCCGGGACCTCCAGGGAGACCACCAGGCTGGGAATCAGGCCAGGCCTGCGTGTTGGGCCTTCCCCACTCCTGTGCGCACACAAGCCCGCTCTACTGGGTCACGGCCAAAGCAATCCATCCGCCCTTCCTCCACATCATCACGGGAGGAGGAACCCCTTTCCAGGTCTCACCAAATCCTGACACTGGAAAAGGGTGGGAGAGTCAGCTCTGGACAACCAGGACTCAACCACGCCCTAGGGAACGGCAACAACTGCCCAGGGAGAGCCCAGATGGCCCAGAACACACCAGGAGCAAAGCCTGAGGAACAAAAACCACCTTTCCAGAACCTTTAGGATGACTGGCTTCTCCCAGCCTGTGTCTGCCTGCCCCTTTAGTCATATCAGTTATCTCTCAGTTACACAGCTAACATACGAACACCTTCTCCTTGTAACAATTTAGACATAATAGATAATGCTGAAATCTCTCTTGGCCAAGGTGTCCGTCTGGGTTAAACATGGGCCGGATCACAGCAAACCTAGCCTACGACAGCCGCTAAGAGCTGCTTCCTGAGCCCCAAACAGCTCCGCCCCTAGGACAAGCGCCTTTATCTAGAATGGTGCTTCTTAACTTTCTGTTATCTGAGGACCATCTCCACAGTTTCTGTGAAATCTGCACCTGGTAAAATTTATTTCGTATCTTCAAGTCAACCTTAAGTTGATAACGCATTGCCCAGCCTTGTCCCAAACAGAGGTTTGATGGCGTGAATATTCAAACTGCCACCTACTGATCCTCACCACACTCATCGCCCATATGCCCCAAGGGGCTGGGGGTGCCACAATGAGGAATGCAGCCCTAAAGAGGATGCCCGAAGTGAGGATGGGGACGAGTGCGTGGCACTCAAGCTCAGGCTGGGGCAGGGCCTGACTACAGAGGTCTGGAAGGACCTTAGGAAAACAATGTTTTTTAGAGAACCACCTCTGACAGGGTCCTGCAGCCACAGGGGCCGACAAGGAATCCTGAAGCAGCTGACAGTTGCTATGGGTTGAATTTTGTCTCCCTCGAAATTCGTATCTTTAACCTCTAACCCCCAGTAGCTCAGAATGTGACTATATTTGGAGACAGGGCCTTTTAAAAGGTAATTTAGTTAAAACAAGGCCATTAGAATGGGCCCTAATCCAATCTGAATAGGGTCCTTATAAGAGGAGGAGATGACACACAGAGGGATGACCACGTGAGGATACAGGGAGAAGGCGATGTCTACAGCCATGGAGAGAGGCCTCAGGTGAGGACACAGGGAGAGGCTGGCATCTACAAGCCACGGAGAGAGGCCTCAGGTGAGGACACAGGGAGAGGCTGGCATCTACAGGCCACGGAGAGAGGCCTCAGGTGAGGACATGGGGAAAGAACAGCACCTACAAGCCACTGAGAGGGGCCTCAGGAGGAACCAGCCCTGTGACACTTGGCCTTGGACTGACGGCCAGGACTGTGAGATAACAAATGTCTGCTGCTTCAGCCCTGCCCCCGCCCCAGTCTGTGGTGCCGTCCCAGGAGCCTGAGCAAACGAGAAAAGTGACACAGAACTGGCAGGCGTCTGCCACCCCACCTCTCTGCCCCATCCCTGTTCCAGGGTCTGGCTCAGTCCTCTGAGGCTGAGCAGCTGGAATGGCAGCCCCCGTGCTGCCCCCACACTGCCTGTGAGCACCTGGGCTGTTTCCCACTGTCTCCACCCACCTGGCCCAGGCCTTCTGGACACAGAGCTTAGTCGGATGCTGAGGCCCACCTGGGAACTTTGTAAGTGTCAAGGGTGAAAGGCAAAGGCCTTGGAGAGGACCAGTGTGTGGACCTCCTGAGGAAGGACAGACAGGAAAAGGAGAGTCTGTCATGGAAACCGAGAAGACCATTTGGAAGACTCCTTCATGTCGGGCTGGGCTCAGGCTAGTTCCTGGGGTCTGGTGAATTTCATAAAAATCTCCCCAGTCTCCAAGAGCCAAAGAGAACTCCATTCCCAGTTCCCATACTAGGAGCCAGGATCCCTGGCAGGTGAATCCCAGCACTGATCATTAGAAGAGTTCCCCAGGTGATCAAGGGCAGGGGAAACTGGAAGGCCCCCACTATCCACCCTGGGCGGCTGTGGCCCCAGTTACCTCTTTAACCACACTTCTGTCAAGCTCGTTGAAGAGCTTCTGAAACTCCTCAGCTGAGAGCAGAACACTGCCATAGGAACGCACCTTCTGCACAGGAAGGAGCACAGGTCAGCAGGGGCGCACGGGAAGGTGAGCGCCCTCGAAGGTGAGCGCCCCCAGCCCCAACCCCACCCTGACGGGCTGTGAATGCTGCAGGTGACCTGAAGCCACACCCCTAGTCCTGAAAAGGGGCTGCTGGCCCAAGTGACCTCCCGGGAGGAGCCCAGAGGAGGCTGGGAGCAGGGGGCGGGTACCTCCATCATGGCCTGTTTGTGGGAGCTGTCCAGCTGGACCTTCTGAAGCACCTGCAGCAAGTTCTGGGGCTTCACCCCAACTCTGCAGGGAAAAACCCACAGCCCGGTGAGCACAGCCAGCTCGGCTCCCTTGGAACCCTGGCCTGGGTCCTCCTGCCCTGGCGTCTGGCTTGAGCTTTGCCATGAAGCCACTTTGCAGCTTGAGCCACACCAAGAGCCCCTGTAACGAGCATCCTGCCACTGCCGTCCCCCCGAGAAGGCGCAAACTGACTTCACCACTATGAGCAGTCAGGACCAGAACTTTCCACTGCAATGTCCCTCAAGCTCTCTGCCCTCATTTCCAAGCAGGATGGTGGTGTGGACACCTGGCCCACGCACCTCTGGCTCTGCTGCCTAAGTCAGCACAGAAGGGTAGAAGAGCACAAAGGGGGACAAGAAGGCCGGGCCACTCGGCCCTTCACCAGCCCAGGGTCCCCGGGGGGCACGAAGACAAAGGCATGGACTCAGGACAAGGACGCCGGGAACCACAGAGCGCCAGGGACATGGTGGTTTCCATGAGTCGGGTGCCAGCCAGCAGGGGCGAGGCACAGGCCAAGCACAAGAAGCCCCTAATGAACACCCGGCCCCTGCCCAGCAGCCACAGCACCCACCCTCAGGGAGAAGAGGGTCCATGCCCAGCACTCACGCCTGAGGGAAGGCTCCTCCCTCCCCCACCATGGAGGATAGGACTTCAAAGGCAGCCCGGGTTCCCAGCCGCCTCCGAAACAGCGAGGTCTGGAGAGATTTCTGCAAAGAGGAAGGCTATGAACGGCAGGATCAGCCCTCCCCCAGCTCAGAACCCCCGACCCTTCCCTCCCCTGGGGAACAGGCAGAGGGGGAGTCTGGGCAGCCTTGGGGGGGGGCCCAGTTCCCCACAGCCTGGGGGCAGCCCCTCACCCCCCAGGAATGAGAGGATTGGTCAGACTCCCGGGACAGGCCGCACAGGAAGGAGTCTGACGGGCGTGCTGCGCAATATGCTGGGCCGCGTTTCTCCTCTGTGTGTTGGGGGCGCCCCCAGCTCCCCCTCAAGAGGGTTTAGGGTCTGCTGTCCTGGGAGTTGCCATCTCTGGCAGTGGCTAGAGCAACAACACATGTGCATCCCCGGCTGATCCACAAGAGGTGGCAACCCTGCCCTCCCGTCCCACCAGGGGCCTGGCCAGCAAGGGTCACCCAGCTGCTCATCTCAAGCCACACCCTGCTTGGCCTCCCGGCAGCTCCAGGCACAGCCAGCATTGGGGAGCTCGCTCACCATCAGGTAGCCCCGGAACTGACTGTAGATGATGGCTGTCAGCAGGTTCATCAGAAACAGGCTTCCTTCAAGAGGAGACAGCCACGGTCAGGGGCGCCACCAGTACAGCAGCAAAACCAACGCAAGGGTGGCCGGCACAGGATAGCACAGCGCCGGGGGCGTCCCCTATCAAATGGAAACATGGCCTGGCCAGCGCAGTCACAGGTGGGAGGATGACGAGGTCAATGGTGGGGACAGAACAGAAAGTGTGGGGTGGGGGATCCCTGGGGTGAAGCTGTTGGTGGGGGATCCCTGGGGTGAAGCTGTTGGTGGGGGATCCCTGGGGTGAAGCCGTGGCATGGGGGATCCCTGGGGTGAAGCTGTTGGTGGGGGATCCCTGGGGTGAAGCTGTTGGTGGGGGATCCCCGGGGTGAAGCTGTTGGTGGGGGATCCCTGGGGTGAACCTGTTGGCGGGGGATCCCTGGGGTGAAGCCGTGGGGTGGGGGATCCCTGGGGTGAAGCTGTTGGTGAGGGATCCCTGGGGTGAAGCTGTTGGTGGGGGATCCCTGGGGTGAAGCTGTTGGTGAGGGATCCCTGGGGTGAAGCTGCTGGTGGGAGATCCCTGGGGTGAAGCTGTTGGTGGGGGATCCCTCGGGTGAAGCTGTTGGTGGGGGATCTCTGGGGTGAAGCTGTTGGTGGGGGATCCCTGGGGTGAACCTGTTGGCGGGAGATCCCTGGGGTGAAGCCGTGGGGTGGGGGATCCCTCGGGTGAAGCTGTTGGTGGGGGATCTCTGGGGTTAAAAGCTGTTGGCAGGGGATCCCTGGGGTGATCTCTGGAGTGAAAAACACGGATGTGAAGTTTCAGGTCGTGGAGGCAGCAGGGTGTATCGGTCCCTGAGCTCTCGGGATCCTGTCACAAAATGCTGGCCACGTTACCTGCACTCACCTATCACAGTGAAGACTATGAAGAAGATGGCATAGGCCCGGTTCTTGGAATACGCAGGAATCATCACTAAAAGAAAAAAGAAATAACAGAAACTGACAACCTCAGTACCTGATCCCACTCCCATCCTGACGCTACACTATTTGCTTTTGCAATAGAAAGGAGGTCTCCATTGCTGAGCGTGGTGGCTCACGCCTGTAATCCCAGCACTTTGGGAGGCTGAGGCGGGTGGATCACTTGAGGTCAGGAATTCCGAGACCAGCCTGGCCAACATAGTAAAACTCCATCTCTACTAAAAATACAAAAATTAGCCAGGTGTGGTGGCTCATGCCTGTAAACCCAGCTACTCGGGAGGCTGAGGCAGGAGAATCACTTGAACCTGGGAGGTGGAGGTTGCAGTGAACCGAGACTGCACCACTGCACTCCAGTCTGGGTGACAGAGCATGGCACCATCTCAAACAAAAAAAAAAAAGAAAGAAAGAAAAAAAGAAAGAAAAGGAAAAAAAAGAAAGGAGGTCTCCTGGGAGGGCTGAAAGGCCTTCCTGTCCAAATTCGATCTCTTGCCTCTGCTCGCACACCCTCCAGGACGGGGAACTCCCTACCTATCAAGGATGTCCCTCTGCACACAGAGCTGAAACCTCCCTGCAGCCCTCCCCACAGTCAGTCCTGCTCCCCCTGCAGTCACTTCCTAGGACTCAGACGGTCCTGCTCCCAGTGCGGTCACTTCCTAGGACTCAGACGGTCCTGCTCCCAGTGCGGTCACTTCCTAGGACTCAGACGGTCCTGCTCCCAGTGCGGTCACTTCCTAGGACTCAGACGGTCCTGCTCCCACTGCGGTCACTTCCTAGGACTCAGACGGTCCTGCTCCCACTGCGGTCACTTCCTAGGACTCAGACGGTCCTGCTCCCAGTGCGGTCACTTCCTAGGACTCAGACGGTCCTGCTCCCAGTGCGGTCACTTCCTAGGACTCAGACGGTCCTGCTCCCACTGCGGTAACTTCCTAGGACTCAGACGGTCCTGCTCCCAGTGCGGTCACTTCCTAGGACTCAGACGGTCCTGCTCCCACTGCGGTCACTTCCTAGGACTCAGACGGTCCTGCTCCCACTGCGGTCACTTCCTAGGACTCAGACGGCCCTGCTCCCACTGCGGTAACTTCCTAGGACTCAGATGGTCCTGCTCCCACTGCGGTCACTTCCTAGGACTCAGACGGTCCTGCTCCCAGTGCGGTCACTTCCTAGGACTCAGACGGTCCTGCTCCCACTGCGGTCACTTCCTAGGACTCAGACGGTCCTGCTCCCCCTGTGTCACTTGCTAGGACTCAGACAGTCCTGCTCCCACTGCGGTCACTTCCTAGGACTCAGACAGTCCTGCTCCCACTGCGGTCACTTCCTAGGACTCAGATAGTCCTGCTCCCCCTGTGGTCACTTCCTAGGACTCAGACAGTCCTGCTCCCACTGCGGTCACTTCCTAGGACTCAGACAGTCCTGCTCCCACTGCGGTCACTTCCTAGGACTCAGACAGTCCTGCTCCCAGTGCGGTAACTTCCTAGGACTCAGACGGTCCTGCTCCCAGTGCGGTCACTTCCTAGGACTCAGACGGTCCTGCTCCCAGTGCGGTCACTTCCTAGGACTCAGACGGTCCTGCTCCCAGTGCGGTCACTTCCTAGGACTCAGACGGTCCTGCTCCCACTGCGGTCACTTCCTAGGACTCAGACGGTCCTGCTCCCCCTGTGGTCACTTCCTAGGACTCAGACGGTCCTGCTCCCACTGCGGTCACTTCCTAGGACTCAGACGGTCCTGCTCCCACTGCGGTCACTTCCTAGGACTCAGACGGTCCTGTTCCCACTGCGGTCACTTCCTAGGACTCAGACGGTCCTGCTCCCACTGCGGTCACTTCCTAGGACTCAGACGGTCCTGCTCCCACTGCGGTCACTTCCTAGGACTCAGACGGTCCTGCTCCCAGTGCGGTCACTTCCTAGGACTCAGACGGTCCTGCTCCCACTGCGGTCACTTCCTAGGACTCAGACGGTCCTGCTCCCACTGCGGTCACTTCCTAGGACTCAGACGGTCCTGCTCCCAGTGCGGTCACTTCCTAGGACTCAGACGGTCCTGCTCCCACTGCGGTCACTTCCTAGGACTCAGACGGTCCTGCTCCCAGTGCGGTCACTTCCTAGGACTCAGACGGCCCTGCTCCCAGTGCGGTCACTTCCTAGGACTCAGACGGTCCTGCTCCCACTGCGGTCACTTCCTAGGACTCAGAGGACACAAGAGACAGCACTCAGGGTCCGCAAGATGAAAGGCACCAGCCAGGGTGGCTGGGCCACAGCCAAGCCCAGGACCGTGGCCTCCATCCTGGCCACACCTGCACCTGAGCAGTGGAGGCCCCATGAGCATCACACAGGGTGAGCGTCGTGGCCAGTAAGACCCTTGGCCCTCACATGCTGCTGCCCAGTGGCTCCCACAGCTGAACCTCGGCAGCAACCGCAGCGTGGATGTGTGGAGCTCCAGCAGGACGGCACCAGGAGACCCCTCTGACCACTGCCATCATCGCCCTATGAAGAACACCAGCCACTTTCAGCTTCTCAGAGGAGTGAGTAGACAAGGAGGAAGAGGAGATGAAAAGAAAAAGGGAGGAGGGAGTGAGAAAGCAAAGGAATGAGACAGAAAAGGAAAGAAGGAAAGAGAAGGGACAAGAGAGAGGGAGAAGAAAACCAAGACAAAAAAAGAAGAGATAGGAAAAGAAGGGGAGGAAGGAAAATGTCACCCTTTCTTCTCCACTTATCGAAAAAAAGGCCTCAGAAACTCCCACTGGGTTCTAAGGCTCAGCAGCCCAAACCGGCCCCCCAGTGCTGGGCTCACCGACCCCCACGGTCCCTCCCTGGCCCTGCACGCACCATCGGGGTTGTTGGCCGTGGTCAGCAGCACCAGGAGGGAAGTCAGAGACTCAGGCAGGTTCTGGAAGTAGGTCAGCCTCTCCCTGTCCTGCCCATCATCCTGCTAAGAGCAGAAGCGGCAGCTCCAGGGCACCACTGGGTCCCCACCCCACAGGCTGAGCTCCAGGCCCCGGACCCAACCGGCTGGAACCATCCACCCGCCGCCCAGCCTGCATCTCCCTGTGGCCTCCCAGCAGGCTGAGCTCATGGCCAGACAGGACCAAACTCAGGATCTCCGGGCGCAAGAGTGGGCACCCAGGGAGACCGCTCACCCGCATGGACACGGTGCCTGGAAGCAGGCCGGCTCAGAACCACAGCAAAAAGCCCTCAGCCAGCCTAGTGACCTCCCTCAGGCCACCTCGCCTGCTCGCAGCCGACTCTGCCATGCACTGTGCAAGCAGTGAGGCTACGGGGCAGAGGCAGGAGGGGCAGGAGGAGCAGAGGGGCCCAGGCTGCCAGGGTGAGATAGGTTGGACCCTTCGTGAAGCCTGCTCTAGAGGCTGTGTGTCAGGGCCCACGGCCGCCCATAGCCACCCACGGGACTCAGTGGCACTGTGCTCGTGGCTGTGGCGAATCACAGCCATTGGTAAGGGGGCATCCACACCGGAGTCCCTATCCTCTCTCCCTCCTGAGAGGGGTCCCAGCCACAAAACACAGCTGGCACATGCAGTGTTTCTGCTCGGAAAGCAACTCTGCTTGAGACTCCGGGCCCGGGGCTCTCACTGGGGCCAGGCTCATGGGCACCCTCTGCCTACCAAGCCTCCAGACCCCCCAGCTGGAAGATGGGTGGTTCCCGCAAACCAGACTGGTTGTATGAACTGTGGGGGCAGGTGGCACAGCGGGACTTGGCACACAAAGCAACCTCCTCTCTTAGGGATCGTTTCAAAGCCACAATCCCAGCTGCTGGCCAAGGGGCAACCCCGCAGGCAGGCCCTGGCATGGAGGCACCTGTGATGGCCACTCTCTGTCGCACAGGCCGCCCTTCCTGCCTCACAGCCGCATCAATAGCACTGAGGCCTCCAAGGCCTCACCTATAAAATGGCACTGTCCCCTCGTCTGTCCAGTCAGGGGCTCCCAAGGACACGTGAGCTAATTGGTGAAGACTCCACAGTCTGCTGGGGGAGGGGGCACAGGGGCCACTGAGAGGAAGTTAGAAGGCAGGGAGCGCTGTCAGGCACAGAGCCACGGGTAGGGACAGGCTCCCCTGCTGGGGAGAGCTAGGCGGGCCCCTCCTGGGCCTCAGCCCAAGCCAGAGTGGAGGAGCAGAGCAAGGCCTTCCGAGGCCTGGAGGGCAGGCTGGCCTCCAGCAGTCACCGGGGACGGCAGGACCACAGCACTGGGTCCAGGCCTCCCGGGCATCCCCCGTCCCACCCTCACCCAGTCAAACCACCACGTTCCCAAATGTAAAGCAACCCACCGAGCGCCCATGGAGCAAGGTTTAGGGCCAGGCTTCGAGCCAGCTGAGGCACACCACCTAACAGACGCTGAGGTCCATAGAGCCGACAGAACTCCCTAAGGCAGGTGGCCCTGCCCCGGCCCATCTCCCACCCCACACTGTGTACCTCCCAGCAGGCCTCACGCTCCTCCTCTACAATTCAGCTCCAGACCCTAGGCATGACTTCCCGTACCTCCTGCCCAGCCCAAGCCACAGCTCTGCAGGGACACAGAGGAGCCCTGGGCTCCTGCCCAACCTGCCACAACCAGCGACGATGGACCCGAGCCAGCCCACAGCCCCGACCTGAGAAACATCTGTAAAATGGGACAGCACCATCACGGCTGCTGGGAGACCACACACCCCAACACCAACCCTGGTTCTTGGAAATCAATCCAGGTTGGAGCTTCACAACGAGCAAAGCCAGCAGAGGACAAGCAGGCTGGCTCTGGACCGCACTCACAAAGGTAGCTAAAGCAAGGCGGCCGCTGCACCCAGAAGCACAGCCTGGCTACCGCCCCAGGCCAGGGTGGCAGGGCATGATGGCCAGGGAAGGAAGGCAGGATGGGCCGGGTACCATCCCACGCTCCTCTCAAGTCCTGCCTCGGACAGGGATCCAGACTCCTGCCAAGACCACGACAAGCACGCACCCCTCACACAAGGTACACCTTGCTCCCCTAGGTCCCCTTCGTGGGGCAGAAACCCACGCCTGGAGGAGGAGCCAACCCTTCCAGGTGCCTCAGGATGGGACACTCGGCTTTCCCGGGGTCGAGGACCACACCCTGGCCTCAAGGCCGAGGCTGTTGCCACTTCCAGCACCCACACTGACGCCATCCACCTGGTACAGGCTCTGGCAAACAGCGCTACTGCAGGGGTCACTGGACGGTCACACAGAGGAGGGCCTGAGATTCTGTCAGCCGGTTCCATCTCCACAACCCAGCTGCCCCCACCACCCACAGACAGGCACACAAACACACACATACACACAGAGATACGCACACACATGCACACGCACACAGCCATACAGACACCACGCACGCAGAGACATACAGACACCATGCATGCACACATAGACACACCACACACACGACACCACACGCACACACAGACATACAGACACCATGCACACAGACACCACACACGCACACAGACATACAGACACCATGCACAGACACTACACATGCACACATACAAACACACACACAGACATACAGACACCATGCACACAGACACTACACATGCACACATACAAACACGCACACAGACATAAACACCATACACCTACACATACAAACAAACATGCACACAGACATGCAGACTCCACACACACATGCAGAGCCACACAGGGGCTCAATGACCGCTTCCGCCCTGGGTGAGAACGCGGGCTTCAGCCTTCCCCTTCTGGACAACACACACCAAACCCCAACACGGCCACAAACAGGAACAGCAGCGCAGGCTGAGCACTGTCCACTCCCACAACAAAGCAGCAGAGATGCAGCGTGGCCCCAGCCCCAAGAAGGATGGTGCCCTCGGCCAGGACAGGAGGACAAACACATAGCACTGGAGCGGGGTTGGGGGACAGGAAGACGCCTCCACACAGCAACGAGCTGCTGGGCCCCGGGGCAGCCGCAGAGGAGGATATGGTGGGAGAGACTAGTGGCAGGAGAGGGCGTGGGAGGTGAGGGCCCTCCCAGTAGGCCAGCGCAGCCTTGGGGGCTGCAGTCAGAGAGGGTACAGGGCAAGCCTGGTTGTCAGGAAGGATGAACAGGGCTGGAGGAGAAACCAGAGGACCCACCCTCAGTGAATAGCCTGGCGGGGAAGGGCGGGGAGGGGCGGGGGATAGGGAGGGGGGAGGGAAGTGGGAAGGAGGATAGGGGAACTGAGTCAGGATGGGAGGGAGCAGAGGAGGGTGGGAGCGGACAGCCAGGACAAAGGACAAGTGGCCCTGAGCCCAGGAGACCCCAGGGCAGACAGGTGTCTGGGCAGTGGGGTGGTGGAGCACTGTGGCCACCCAAAGGCAGACTCCTGGACCCCAGATGGGCCACTGCTATTACTGGACAGAGTCCGCACATGGGTTAGGCCAGGGCAGCAGACACCAGCCCAGCCCCCTCTGTTAGTCACAGCACAGGGCAGCCCCATTCCCAGACCCTGACCACGGGTGCCCTACCTTCCCACCAGCGAACAGCAGCATTCCGAACATGGTGAAGAGGCACAGGTGGATGGCCAGCAGCAGCCCGACGCTGGGGGAGAGCACGGCACTCAGCCTGGGCCAGGCGGCGGGCAGGCAGGGACACCTGACCTGCCTGCAGGGCTCGGTGACAGGAGCGCCCAAGAGTCTGCAGCAGCTGGGGTGGATCCAGGCAGCAGCTGGGTCCCCCTCTCCCCGAGGGCCTTGCCTCATGCTCAGCTCATGGGGCCCAGAGGAAAGGCCTGGTCGTGCCCTGGCAGGGTCCTTTCTTTGACAGTGACAAATGAAACCCTGGGGGCCCAGCTGAGACAGCATCCAAGGACCCAGGGCTCTCAGAGGGGAGGCCACTTCCATCCACCTGAGCTGGATGGTGAGGGGTCAGCACGTGAGCCACTAGGGACTCGGGCAACGCTGCCACTGGCAAGAGCGGAGGGCGGCAGGGGATCGGGACCAGGGGTGAGCCGAGGCTGGATGGAGGCTGGGCCTGGGGCGCAGGGAGAGAGCCCCACGCTTCTAGTGGCAACAAGAGCCACGAGGGCTTCCAAGCAGGGGTGTCGTCAGGAACAGCTCAGCTTTATGAAGTCTAGGCTGGCAGCGTGCCGACACCATGAGTGGGAGGGGACGGCAGAGGGGAGAGGCAGGGCACAGCCACAGAGGGGACAAGAGGAGACCCATCGGAGAGAGTGCCCATGGGACTCAGCAGCCTTCGAGCTGGGGCCGCGGTGTTTGCAGCCCTGGCCCTAGCTCGAAGGCTGCTGGGAGGCTTCTGGGGAACTGCTGGAACCAAAGAGACCCCAAAAGCCCCCCAGCAGCCTCCCCACACCGTCACCAGCCAGCCAGGGATGCGGAGCACGCAGTCCAAGATGAGACTCCGGTGGGCCCCACCCGCAACCACGTGGCCCGGGGCAGAGAGAGCCCCTTCCCAACCCTGCGAGCCCAGAGCACCAAGAGCCCACCTGGCCATTTCCGGCAGCGACCAGCGGATGCATTTCAAGGTCTTCTTCATCATAGAGGAGTTCTGCAGCAGGAAGAAGGGACGGAGAAGCCGGCGGATCCGCAGGGGCTGGAAGAGACCCAGGAAACTGAGGACCACGTCAAGTGCTTAGTTCTACCCCTCACCGACCATCCCAGATGGGCACACGGTTCAGAGACCCCAGTGCCCTGGGGGCCACTCCAGAGTCACTGAGCCCAAAGTGGAGGGCCTGGCTCCAGAGCTGGCCTTGAGACCTGTTCCAGGCCACATGCTCTGCAGTCCTTCCCTGTCACAGGCCTCCCCACTACCCATCTCCCAACTCCTGGGCGCTGCACACACAGGTTCCCCAATCCTAACACCTGTCCCTGTCCCAGGCCATCCTCCCCTGTGCCCACCCAGGACACAGCTGGAAGGGTGGTGGCCCCATGCCTCCCTTGGTACCCTCCTGCCTTGCCCAGCACACCTGGCTTCTCAGGGTACCATCCCCGCCTCCTCACCCCTCAACCCGCCTCCCCTTGTGTCCCCATCTCCAAGCCTTCCCCTCCCAGACACAGACCCTGCCTCCAGGAGCCCCACCTCCACACCCCCACACTCACACAGCGCCCTCCAGCCTCACTGCTCCCACGCTCAACACTCACACGGTGTGAATGTGCGTCCCCTCCAAATCTCACGTTGAATCTGACTCCCCGTGTTGGAAGCGGGATCTAGCAGGAGGGGTTTGGGTCGTGGGGTGGATCCCTCATGAATAGCCTGGTACCCTCCCTGCAGCAATGACTTCAGGTGAGGGGTTCACGAGAGATCTGGTTTTTAAAAGGAGTCTGGGGGCCTCTCTCGCCATGTGACACACCTGCTCCCCGTCTCCTTCTGCCATGAGTGGATGCTTCCTGAGGCCTCATCAGAAGCAGACGCCAGCACCATGCTTCCCATGCAGCCTACAGAGCCGTGAGCCAAATAAACCCCTTCTCTATTAATACCCAGCCTCAGGTCTTGCTTTATGGACACGCAAAACAGACTCACACACACACTCACACTCACACACACACACTCTCACAGATATCCCCATCTTCCCTGCCTTCCTTCTGTGAGGACAGAAGGGCCCACCCACGGCCACCACACCACCCACAGTCCTGTCAACCCACCCCAGCCCTCTCAGGATTGGCTCAATCACCACCTTCTGCCCCAACCATCACACACCAGTGTTCTCACAGCTTCCATCATGCCACGTTTCCCTGCCCTCCCCTCCATTCACTCCCCTGCTCCTATCCCAGCCCATCCTCCCCTCCTGGCCACTGGGACCCACCTGGGGGTCCCCATGAGCACCTTCCCATCCTGCCTGGCGCCCTCAGCACCAGACACAGCTACCTTGGTGCTCCCAGCTGCCCTGTAGGTCCCCGCACTGCCCGATCCGCCTGTGCTGGGCACCCTGCCCCCACCTCCTCTCTCTGCCTCACACCTGGATTCAGTCCCTTGAGTATCTCGTTTACACTTTGGCGCCTGTCAATCTCAAATCCACGCTCTCCACTGCAGTCTCGCATCCTCATCAGTATCTTGTTTTAGAAACGCAGAGCTGTCAGCTCCTTGCACAAAACCAAAACCCTCCGACAACTGCCCACAGCTCTGCCCATGGCCTCCGGGGTCCACGGAACAGGCCCAGCCAGTCAGTCCAGCCCCTTCCCAGACCTCACAGGCCACGGCCCTCAAGCTGCCAGTGTCTGCCCAGCCGGCCGGCTCAGCCCCCGCAACCTGCAGAACGCCACCTCTGCCAGGGCTGCCGGGCTCCTCTCCGGCATGGCACCCACCACCACACTTGGGAATCACACTCTATGTCTGGCACTTCTGTGCGCTGGCAGTCTCTCTCTCACTCCAGAAGGGGGTCTCAGAGGACAAGAGACCTGCCTATTCTGTTCACCAAGGTCCAGCCAGCAGCAGCACGGCAGGCCCTCCAGAACATCTGCAAGTGACTGATCCCCAGCGCTCACTCCAAGTGAATCACCATTCTCAAAAGGGACCCCAGGGCCTGGCGCAGGACTGAGAAGGCCAAGAGAACAGTGGTGAACAGAGAACTGCTCAGGGCTCTGGCCCCTGCCCTGTGCGCCCAGCTCACCCGGAACCCATTCATTGCCCACTGGTTGGAAACTCTGGTCTTAGGGCCTGATAACAAAGGCTTCTTTCAGCCCCTCTACAGGCCAAGGAGGTGCTGAAGATGCTGCTGGGTCCCCTCCCCTGCCCAGGAACTTGCACCCTCACCTGTAGTCAGACACAGACCACAGCACAGCTTCCCCAGACACAAGAGCCCAACCTGAGGGCCTTCCCTTGACAGCTGGGGCCATGAGGCCTCTATAAGGACGGGAAGGTACATCCAGGTGACTAGCCTCCAAGGACAACCAACCACAATGCCAGTCAAGCCCCTGGGACCCTCAGACCCAAGGCCTTGAGGAAAAACCACGTCCAAACAGCCCTGGCAAAGACAAGAGTGAACGAGCAAAACCCAACAGTGACCGGCAGCCTCCATATTATCCAACCCACTCGGCCACAAGGCTGGAGGGCACCCAGTCCTCCCTGCAAGCCACCCCATGCCTGTAGGAGTTCTTTATGACTGGACAGCTGGCCACAGAGGAAAACCTCAGGCCTGGTTTGCAGACGTGCTGAATGATAGCCGGCCCAGCCGGAAACACACACACGCACATTTCAGCCTCCATCAAGAAAGCGCTGCACGGATGCTGCAGAAGGGAAAGCTCTGCAGTGGGCAGGGTTGGGCAGTCCCCTGTGTGGACTGAGAAAGGGGATGTTCCCAAGTGGAGGACAGGGGCGTGGAGAGAGAAGAGTGGAAGACTGGGCACGAGGTCTGGGAGGAAGTATGTGGACCAGCTGCTCTGAACGAGCTTTTCTGCAGGGCACGTGGCCTAAGGAGCTGGTGCCCCATGTGAACGCCCACCATGGGCATCGTGGAGAGGAGGCTCTCTGGCCAGGACCAGGCATCCTGTGGATGCAGCTAGGCCTCTTCCCTCAGCCACCCTGCTCCTAACTCCCTCCACCACACACAAAGCAACCACCACGACAGACACGGAGGCTATGCCTGGTGCCAATAGCACAACCACTCAGCCAGAGGCAGGGCCAGGTACCAGCCCGAGACAGCCCCCTGACAACAGAGGGGCCCTTGCCCACAACCATCGCTCATCTGTCCTCCCTGGACAGACAGGCATGCAGGTTATGAATCTGCCTGCCCTGCCTCCAACGCCTCTCCCAGCACCATCCCAGGACCTGGGAATGAACTGTGGGGCACTGTGTCCCACTCACAGCCCTGCAAATGCTGCTTCAGGTGAAAGAGCTGGGGCAGCCCCGGCGCGGGCCCACAGTAGCTGGCTGTAGGAAGGGTCCCAGAGCCTTAGGAAGACTCAGCAACGCTGTCAGCTTAGGGTCACAGGGCACAGCACAGGCTCTGAACCAGAGGCCACTTGGCGGGGCTGTCTCTCCCCCAGCCAGGACCCACTGGGACCCAGGCAAGGGCAATGGGAGTGAACATGGTGAAGAGGCACAGGTGGATGGCCAGCTTTCCACTTCCCACCTCCCCCATTCTGGGTCCCCGCTCTGGAAATATCCACTCCCAAGGTGGGGATGCTTCCACCGGGACACACGCTGGACCATAGCTTGTTCATGGAAAGAGGGCTGCTGTGCCAGCAGGGTGAGCGGGCAGGCTGGCTGCTGCCACTGAGAACAGCAGGGAGGGCTGGGTGGGGGTCCTCTGGGCCACCTCTTACTCCTATGTCCCATAGGAAAAGTTAGCAGAAAACTCCAGCCTTCCAAAGGCAGGACCACCAAGGACTCGGGCCCCTCAGGGAGGAAGGTCCAGTCCCTGTGCCAGGTGAAAAACCCGGGCCAGGTGGGGAGCTGGCGGAGGCGAAGGGAGCGCGGAGCAGGTGGCAGAAGAGATCCAGGCAGGGCCCACGGCCAGGTATAAAACCAGGCCTTTATTCATTTTCTTCCTTGCTTGTAACGTAGACCTGTGTCTCTTTTTCCTGTCTCCTTCCCCATCCTAATTTCATATAAGGATTCTTGGTGTGGCTTACAATTTAGCCTGTAAGTTACAGAACATGATACAGCTGCCACAACCGTAACTCAGAAATGGCGGTGGGAGGGCTATCCTCGCTCCCTTTGCTGGGGCAGTCACGCAAGAGGCTCTCCCTTTGCAGGGAGGAGGCTGCGGGAAGCTGCCGAGTCAGGGAGACAGGAAGGAGGTGGCCACGGAGGCCCCGCAGCAGCACAGCGGGGCTGCCCTCCAGCCACCCTTCCGCTCTGCCGTGCTGTGGGCTGCGATGCCGCCCATTCCAGCTCTCCTCAGCAGCTACTCCCCACCAGGTCCTGCCAGCAGGGCCCTGGGGCAGGCGGGGACAGGAGATGCACTCACTAGGCTGTTCCTATCAGCTGCACCTGGAGCTTCCAGCCCCCACATCGGCACTGCTGGGACCAACCTCATTGAGCTTCTGGGAGGCACCAGCGCCCACCAGACAGCACCCCCTCCCAGAGGACAGAGGGCAAGAACCCAGCTCTATGGGCCCCTCCCTTGGGCCTCCAGGTGCTAACAACCCCCATCTCTCCCCCGTCCCCTGCCCATGAGTGGGACTGCTCCCGGTGGTTCTGGGTTCCACTGGGCTCCTTTCACTGTTGGTTTCTCGGAGCCTGTTTAAGGCCCTCTGTTCATTCTCTCCACAAGGCACCTGTGGGGCTCTGCTTCCCGACAGACCCCAGTGGATTCTGCTGACTCCGCACCCACCTCTCCCAGCTCTATTCTCGCAAAGCCCAGGGGGTGCTTCTGGGTGCTCTGAGGGGAAACCAAGGCACTGCGGTGGAAAGGGCTGAGTGTGGCCGGGTGAGGGGGCTTTCTCACTGTCAGACCTCACAGAGCTTGGGGCTTGTGACTACGGGGCATGGTGAGGCCCTGGTGTGGCGCTCTCATCCGGGGCTGGACGGCCGAGGCCTTCAGCTAGAGAGCGGAGAGCCGGGAGGCAGAAGTCTTGGAGCTCACTCCCAGGTCCGCCCTCAAAAACAGGGCGAGCCAGGAGGAACCCTGTGCCCGTCCAGGCCTCCATGTCTTCATCTGTGAGACAGGAACAAGGATCCCCAGCCAACAAGTGAAGGAAGTGCCATGGGAGGTGGGCAGTGCTGGGCGGGTGGGCAGGATGGCTGGCGGGCTCAGGGCTCCATCCCAGCACCCCCGTGGGCCTTGCACCCACACCAGCCCCAGATCTCTCCATCTGTCTCAGGGCTGCCTCACCACCTACCTCATGACACACGAGACTCAGGGACACGGTCCAGTCCACCAGAGACACCACCAGCACCACGAGGTAGCCCAGCAGCCAAAGGTTTTTCTGGAAATGGGCCCACCCGAACAGGTAACCCTGCAAGATAGACGGGCGGGTGAGCAGCAAGTAGCCCCACACGCTGGCCCTGCAGCCAGAGAATGACGGTGCGCAGCGCAGGGACCAGGCGACCAGAGCAGGGTGCGCCTCCACAACAGTGTGGTCCCCACGGGACGCAGAGCAGCAGTCAGGAGGCCCGAGCTCCCGCCCAAGCCTGCTAGGGACTCGCTGTGCAGTCTCAGGCAGCACCAAAGCTCTCTGGCCTGGGGTCCTCATCAGTAATGGGAGGCTCCTGCCTGTTCTGCCTATCTAACAACCACCTTGTGCAGGCTGAGAAGACATGGAATGCACTCTGGAAAAGGCTAGAAAAATACCAGCTCAGTGGGCAGGTCTCCGCCGCCACAGCAAGGCAGCTTGGGAAGTGAGGTCTGGTCTGTTCTTCCCTTACCTAACTGCCATTTCCCACCATCAAGAAAGTCCCCAGAAGGCGGTGGCTCACGCCTGTAATCCCAGCACTTTGGGAGGCCGAGGTGGGCGGATCACTCAAGGTCGGGAGTTTGAGACCAGCCTTGCCAACATGGTGAAACCCTGTCTCCACCAAAAATAGAAAAATTAGCCGGGCATGGTGGCAGGCACCTGTAATCCCAGCTACTTGGGAGGCTGAGGCAGGAGAATCACTTGAACCCAGGAGGCGAAGGTTGCAGTGAGCTGAGATCATGCCACAGCACCCTAGCCTGGGCGACAGAGCTAGACTCTGTCTCAAAAATAAATAAATAAATAAAAGACGGCCGGGCACAGTGGCTCACACCTGTAATCCCAGCACTTTGGGAGGCCGAGGCGGGCAGATCACAAGGTCAGGAGATCGAGACCATACTGGCTAACATGGTGAAACCCGTCTCTACTAAAAATACAAAAAATTAGCCAGGCGTGGTGGCACGCGCCTGTATTCCAACTGCTGGGGAGGCTGAGGCAGGAGAATCACCTAAACCCAGGAGGCGGAGGTTGCAGTGAGCCAAGACTGCACCACTGCACTCCAGCCTGGGCAACAGAGCGAGACTGTGTCTCAAAATAAATAAATAAAATAAAATAAAAGACAGCCCCCAGAGGTCACAGCTTGCTGATGTACCCTCTCTCACCTTTTGACACTTCTCAAACACACCAACCATTCAAAAAACGCTAATGACAACCTCTTGCCAGTTTCAGTTCCAGTTGAAAAACCCCCAGACCTGCTAACCACATGATAAGCTACAAAGGAAGAAATGAGAAACTGCCCGGGGCCTGCAATCACACACACCAGCATCCAGCCACAACCCTCGGTCGGCACACAGCCCGCCCTGCCCACAAGGGACTACAGGGCAGTGCCGGGCAGAGGCCCCACGCGACCAGGAAGCCACGTGAGCCCAAGGCCCAGCCAAGGAGCGGCAGGGCTGGCGCTGAGGAGGGCTGCAGCCAGGGCCTGATCTAACACCATGGGCATGGATGTGGGGGCCCCTGAGACCGCAGCACTGGAATCACTGTTTGACAAAAATAGAAAACGTAGCCTGCACCTCCCTGGAAAGGCACTAAGTCTCTGACGAGGCTCAGAAGCTTAGGTGAGCACCAAAGGCCCACCTCCAGCTTGTGGGAGGACGTGCGTCACAGGCAGAACCCAGAGTCAAACATGCAGCAGCTGCTGTGTGCATAAGAAACCCCTTTCTGCCCCACGCCCACCTCCTCTCCTCTTCTCTTTGGGGTGGCAGGGTGAGCCTTGAGGAGGGACCACCTGGGCCTCACTTATTCACTTGGGACCTCTCCTCACAGCAGCACTGCAGACACTGGACTGTTCCCAGAGGCCCTGTCAGCCTGCGCAACCCCTGACGGCCCACTGGGCTCAGTCTGCATGGTGGAGAGGGAGGAGAGCTGACGGCACACTGGGCTCAGTTTGCATGGTGGAGAGGGAGGAGAGCTGACGGCACACTGGCCTCAGTTTGCATGGTGGAGAGGGAGGAGAGCTGACGGCACACTGGCCTCAGTTTGCATGGTGGAGAGGGAGGAGAGCTGACGGCACACTGGCCTCAGTTTGCATGGTGGAGAGGGAGGAGAGCTGACATAGCCTCTGCCTCAGGCACTTGCTTGTCCAAGAAAGTGTGCCTTGCTCACCGGGTCAAAGTACAAAGTCTGGGGAAAAGGCAGCTCACTCCAGAGAATCAGCAATAAACCAGGAGAGCAGCGGCCAGGCGCTGGGAGGCCGGGGCAGCACGTAGAGGGCCTGGCGCCCGCCTCACCTTCACAGAGAGGTCGGCCGCAAAGACCAGCAGGCAGAGCACCTCGACACTCTCGGTCAGGCCGCAGGGCGGCTCCCAGGGAGCAGCGCGGTAGCGCACGTCCGCCGTGCTGGTGAGTGAGGATGGGGTCTCGATAAAAGCCAAAAACAGGATCAAGAAGATGGTGAAGCTCAAAGTCCTGGAAAGGGGACAGAAACATGAAAACACAGGAGCCAGCAGCCCTCAGGGCCCAGAGGCTGGTCAGGAGCTTCCCCAGTCCGAAGCACGGGAGTTGGCGCTGCCTGAGCGTGGACACTCGTGACTGGGGAGATCACGAATCTGCTCAAAGCTCCATTGCCGAGGGCTGACCACAGCATTCCAGAAAGGAACCCTTGTTGTAGAAGGAGCCTGCCATCACAGGCCGTCTCCTTTCCAGAGAGGATGATGGTAACCGCCCTATCTATGTAGTGGGGAGCCTGCCTGGACCCTGAGACCAGGTGATCCCCAGGTGGGGGCCAGCCTCCCCTGCCACGCAAGCCGGCAGGAACCCTGAGTTCCACATGGGTGCGTTCTCACCGTTGGCATACGTTCGAGTAATACCGTCGGTAAAGCCACATCGAGCTGGCATCCACCCGGTGGTTGATGGAGCGGTACTACAAGCGAAAAGTCACATGAGGCATGACATGGGTGCATGCAGGGTGGGCCGTGACCCGAGCCCCACACCACACACGAGACAGGCCCAAGTCTCAGGCTGTGGATCACAGGGGACGCTTCAGCGTGTGGACATGGCCAGCCCTGACCCATCAGGCCCACACCATCACAAACCACGAGGTTTGCCCAACACACAAGACCTCACAGGCCACACACCCGGGGTGGGTGGGTGCGTGAGCAAACACTCAGGGAACACTTGCTGAGAGCACAGCTGTGCCCGTGTCTGCCTGCGAGGCTCTCTCTTCTCTGTGCAAGGCTGACCCTCCCACGCCCCGTGCAGCTGTGTCATCCTCCAGGATGCCCCCACCCACCCGGGACCTAGAATGGGGTGGTCCACAACAGGCCTCAGAACACGGTGCATCAAAGCAGCAAATGCGTCCAGGATGCAGAAGACAAGTCCTCCGGGGACTGACGAAGAGCCGTGCCCAGAGGCTCCACCCTCAGTTCTCTTAACCTACAGTCCAGCAATGGAGGCCTTGGACCCAGTCAGTCGCCCCTGGAGGGGCGAGCCAATCGGAGGGCGGCCACCCCCCAGGCCCGGCCACAGGGAGCAGGTGCCACCGACCTGAATAGCATCTTCGATGAAGACCACAGCCTGATCAATGCAGAGGTCCCACCTGGCCGCGGCACCTGCAGGCAGAGGGGACACATCAGGTGACCGAGCAGGATGACATGGCCTCACCCTCCAGGATACCCGTGATCAAGGAAAGATGCCGGCTGTGGTTCTTCCCAAGGCCGTTTGTAAAGAGATGACTCCACCCGGCAGTGGGGCTGCATGTACCTGCCCAGGGCAGGGACCAAACCAGGTAAGTGCCTCGGCATCAAATGCACAGGCCAGGCCCAGGGCACGGCACCTCCGCATGCAGCGCACACAACTAGCAAGCCTGTGGGAAGCGGCACATCCTGCAGGGCCCTGGCACCAGCGTCGGGGTTCAGAGCCCGGCTCCTCCACGTGCTGGCAGGAAGGCTGTGGCTGGCTCCTCCTCTGTCAAGTGGGGCTATTTACAGCCACCCAATCGGCTCCCCAGAGGGTACTGTGAGGTGCAACGCAGGAGCACAAGAGCCCCCTGCCACGCTCCCCAGGCATGCTCGGTACATGGGGCTGCTGTCACCCCTCTTCCGCTCGGCCCTACCTGGCTCCTGCACAGTCTTCATGAGCCAGGACACTGTACCCAGTGTCCCACCCACCCCCATCAAACCAGACCTCGGATTCAACAGTGACAGGGAGAACTGGCATCTAGAACCCAAAGGCACTGCCATGAGGCTTCATGAGTGCTACCAAGGTCCCATTCCCTCACTGTCCCGGTCCATGGGCCCAGGCAAGCCCACCCAAATCACTCCCAGGGTCAGAGCTGCAGGAACGCCCGAGTCCCCCAGCCTCTGCCGGTGCCTTCTGTGGTGAAGGGTGGCCGCCCGCCTTTACCAACAGCACAAGCAGGGTGGAGCCTCCCGGCAGGCCTGGGCAAAAGCGGCAGTGGCTCCTGACTAGGAGGGGCCTTCAGGAAAAGTCAGGCGGCACAGAAGCCAGGACCCAGCACCCTGGCCTGCTCACAAGCCCCTCACCTGCCACAGAGCAGCCAGCGGGCGCACCTGGTCAGCCACTGAGCCACTGCAGGGAGCCTGGGCCACCCACCCGCATCGTAGGCACGGGCCACCTCTGGCCTCGCTGCAGAGCTGCTCCCCAGCAGGCCAACAGGGAAGGAAAACTCAACCCGAAGCAACTGAGGAGCCCGGAGAGGCTGACACTTCCCAGCACGGGGAGAGGGTGAAGCAGCTGCTTTTTCAGTTGAGACTCGGCTTTCACACCTGGCCCCTTGGGGCCCACAGCTGCACCAAGACAATGTGGTGACATGGGAGGCAGCAGCAGAGGCCTCAGGAGGTGCTGGTCCCCAGGCAGAGCTCCAGGCCATGACCCGCCCACGCCACTGGCCATCCTTAGGGAGGCAGCTGCCCCTGTCCTCGGGGCTCCTGCTTGGGGGCATGAGGTATAGGCAGCTGGGCCCTGGACGGATTAGAGGTGTGAGGGGCCCCAGACAGAGGCAGGAGACCGGACCCCACCCTCACTCTGCCCGGCCCTGCTGCACTGCCGGGAGCAAGAGCCTTCCCTCCCTGTGGCTTTGGTGCCCACATGCACAGCCACGAGACCCACCCTGAGGACACCCGAATGTCTCCCCAGGGAAGCTCTGAAAGTGGCTACTGTTTATGTCCCCTGAGCACATCCTGGGATCGCTATGAACAGAAGCCACACTGTTTTGTTCCCTGCTGTATCTGCAGAGCCCAGAAGTCAAGCACACAGGACTCAAAGCTGATATATCCCATGAATAAATGAACAGCCCTGAGGGGAGCCTGGGGGGCCGGTGATCTGAGAGGCCCCACCTTACCAGATTCCCTGGGAGAAGACAAAATCTCTACCAGGAGAGATCTAGTGATACAAGCTTCTTAGACAAGAGACAAGCGGCCGAGTTCCGGGCCTCACTCCAGCCCCAGGACCACGGAAAGTACTCACATCCACCCAGGCCAGCCATCCCAGGCCAACAGTGGTGGGCACCCCTGGAACCATCCAGCACTCGTGGTTCCCTTTCGCCTGGCTTTTTGGTTGCTGGTTTGTAAAATTCTGGGTCTGGCCATCCTCCGTTTCACCCTGCAACAGCCCAAGGATCTCGTTCCAAACACTCAGAAGCACATCGCAGCTTCCCCTGGGCCCCCACTATTCCAGGCCCACACTCCACCCTGGTCTGGCACTGCAGGTTCCCACATTTGCCGGCCCGCCTCTCTCCTGCCTTTCAACCCTCAGTGCCACTCATTCCGAACTGGGCTCTGCCAAGGCCATGCTCTCCAAAGCCTCCAACCCTTTACTCAGGCTGCTGCTTCTGCCAGGAGCACCATCCCCCAATTTGTGAGTCCAGGGACTCCCTTGGGACAGCTCGCCCCGCCCTGAGCTCATCACCCTGGGGGACAATCACCTTTCCACACACCATCACCCACTGGGGCTGAAGGGTTCTGCAAGGCACAGAGGACAGCAGGGGCTGAGATGCTGCATCCGGCACACCAGGCCTCGACACGGCTTCCTAATCCAAGCCTCTGCCCCGCAACATCCAGGTCTGAGCTCCCGCTCCCCTGTTGCTCCAGGCTCCAGGCTGCACAACCTGTGTAGGGTCCTGACCATCATCCTCTGTGACCCTGGGCAAGTCCCTTAACCTCTAGGTGCTCCAGGTCCTCATGGACCCCCACCCAATAGGAGCTAAGTACAGACTGAATGACTTACTATAGCCAGAGTACTTTGCTAAGTGAGCCCTTCATAAGCATTCAGTTACTCTGAAAGCCTCTACAGCATCGCAATCCCTTGTCCTCTGACTTGTTTGATAACCAGTAAAAGTGTGATTTTTCTGACCCAGCAACAAGAGAAAACAACTGTTCTCAACCTTTGACCCCGGCCCCATCAGGTGGGGCCAAGTCAAAACGACCCAACAGCAGGGTCCACTGGGGTCCTTGGGGCACCCACAGCAGCAGCCCTCACCACAACCCGTTGGCAAGAGACCAACCACAGGACTTGCAAACCAGAGCACAGGGCCTTCATTTCAAAGCCTGGCACAGGCCTCAGCACAGAGACTGAATGAGCCTTTCGGAGTCTCCATGGCTCCATAGTCTGCCAGTCCTTGCTGGGGACCCTGGCCAAGGGGATTCAGAACACAGAGCGTCCTGTCCACGTTCTCAGAAGCCCTGGCTGAGGCCACAGCATAGGGACAAAGAGCGCTCCCCGAGAGCCTCCTCTTGTCAGCCACACTGCCCAGCAGAGCGGGTCTCACCTGCCAGGGAGGACCTGCAATGATCACAGAGCTTACCCAGGACGGCCACTGGCCCCCACACCAGCCCGCCGGGCCCTGTGCTGAGGACAAACTCTGGATTCTCTCTGAATCCTCACAATGCCCGCCAGGCAGTCCTTAGTATTATCTCCCTTTTACTGAGATTCGGAAAGGTGAAGCATGGCCAGGCACAGTGGCTCACGCCTGTAATCCCACCACTTTGGGAGGCCGAGGCAGGCAGATCACCCGAGGTCAGGAGTTTGAGACCACCCTGGCCAACACAGTGAAACCCCATCTCTACTAAAAATACAAAAATTAGCCAAGTGTGGTGGCGGGCGCCTGCAGTCCCAGCTACTTGGGAGGCTGAGGCGGGAGAATCGCTTCAACCCAGCAGAGGTAGAGGCTGCAGTGAGCCGAGATCACGCCACTGCACTCCAGCCTGGGTGACAGAGTGATACTCCATCTCAAAAAAGAAACAGAAAGGTTAAGCAACCTGCCAAGGTCACACAGCCAGTGCAGCCCCAGAAAGGCGCCCAGACCCCTAGACACAAAGTCTGTGTTCCCTGAACGGTGCCATATGCTGGGCGTCTCATCAAGGGGCCTGCCAGAGCTGCTCCCTGCAGATCTCCTTCCTGACTGGTCCCAGGAAGCACCTGAAGAACTTCCTGGAGGCAGCTTCTGAGGTGAGCAGACAGGGTGGCCACCTTGGCCTCTGGTTTTTCATCTCTCGTCAGGGTCCCCTCCTTGGCCCCTCATTACTCCATGGATGGGCACATGCCACAGACCAGTGGGTGGGCACCAGGATTCCAACCCAGTTCCTTCCAGACAGAGGAGGAAAGAAGGAAAGAGAGGCCAGAGAGGGAAGGAGCCAGGTGTGAATTCTCAGAGTGGTTCGAGCAGCAGCCGCACCAGAACAGAGGGCTGTGACCTTGGGCAGGTCTCAGGGCCTCTCTGGGCCTCAGTTTCCTCATCTGTGAAGTGAAGCTAAGGTCCTTCCACCTCTTAATCCAGAATCTCATTCCCCTGGTGTCAGCGAGGGGCGGACGCACCCCACCCTCGGGGGGCGGATTCAGCAATCTTCAGACCAGGACAAAAAACGGGAAGGGCAGGAGGGAGTGCAGAGGGGACTCTGGGGTGGCAGAGGGCAAGGAGAGGAAGCCGCCCCCGTCTAGGGGGCCCGCCCCAGCCCCACGGGAAGTGGGACGGGGAAAGGCACCCTACAAAGAAAGGACTCCTAGCTCCCAACTGGTTCGAATCCCACCTCGGCCACTTACTGGGTGTGTGACCTTGGGTAGGGTAACGCCTCTCTGTGAGCCTCTGCTTTTTCCAGAAGAAACGGGAAAAATCAAAGTGCTGCCTTCTCTGAGTCAATTAGGCGACCCTCATTACGGCGACAGTCGGGAAGTATGGGGTCTGGGCCCGCCCGGGCACACGGAGGGTGCCTGCCGCAGGTGGCCGGTTCCCTCGGGGCTGCCCAAGGCTGGGCGAGGGCCTCTTCGCCCAGCTGGTCGGGATCAGGACGCGACACGGAAGAGACCCCAGCTCTGCCCTGACCCCGGTCCGGGTCCGCAGGACGCAGCCCACTCGCCCTCAGAACACCGGCTCGCCTGGCACCCGGCGCGGCCCGGGCCCCGCTCGGACTCGAACCTGGTGGGGGCGCGCCCGGCAGAAAGCGGGGTGCTGGGACAGCGGGACCCCCACGCGCGACCCTGGTCTCCCGGGCCAGTCCCCTCCCCAGGTCCGGGCGGCTCACCAGGGCCGACTTGGATGCTGCGGTAAGTGGTCAGCCCCGCCGGCCAGTCGCCGCCACCGCCGCGGGCCCCGCCCAGCAGGGGCTCCGACTCCGCCTGGGGTTCCGCCATCCAGCAGCCCACGCGCTGGACCCGACCCTCAGAAGCTCAAGCCCCGAAGGCGCCCAGCTTCACTGCGCAGGCGCGGAGACCCCGTCCCTGGCGTTTTTGCTGACGCGCGCACGGCACTGTGGCGCAGGGGATCCCTGCAGTCCCAGCCAATGAGAACGGGGAGGGAGGGGTGGGGTTCTCCTGAGTGGGGCGGAGCTAAAGGGCCCCGCCCCTCTAGGGTGGAGCTCAGCTTCGTTCCACCCAGGGCGGGGCAGCGTTCTGGGGCTTAAGGGCCGAGGGCTGGGGAGGAAATATGTTCTCAAAGGATGTCTTTCCGGCCAGAAGCTTCAGCATCACCTGGAAACATTTTAGAAATGCAAATTCTTGGGCCCTTAAACCTACTAAATCAGCAACTCTGCGGGGAGGACCCAGGAATCTGTGTTTTAACAAGCATTCGGGGTGATTCTGATGCATGTGAGTATTGAGTACACGGGGTGACTGCAAAGGACTCCCCCCAGAATGGAACTGGAGTTTACCCTCTGATGGTGAAATTAGGAGGATTCAATATCATTAAGGGAAAAGTTTAAAAACATATGACACACTTAAAAAATATTTACAACGTATATAAAAAGTGTTTTCAACATTAATGCATAAAGACCTTGTATTCGTTTTCTATTGCTACAGTGACTAATTACCACAATCTGAAAATATAAAATAACTCCCATTCATCATCTTTCAGTCCTGCGGGGCAGGAAACCTCCTGTCTCAGGGCCTCACGAGGCTAGAGTCAAAATGTCAGCTGCCGTGGGCTCTTATCTGCAGACTCTGGGGAAAGCCCACTTCCAGGCTCATCCAGGATGTTAACAGAATTGTCTCCATGGGCCTAGGACTGAAGTCCACGTCTTCTTGCTGGATGTTGGCTGGTGTCATTCTCACTCCTAGAGGCCACTGCATTCCTTCCACGATGGCTTGAACACCTCCATCATCAGAGCCAGCAAGCAAGAGCACGCTGAAGACGCTTCGAGATGCAGCAAGACGCCTGTAATCCCAGCCCTTTGGGAGACCGAGGCAGGTGGATCACGAGGTCAGGAGATCGAGACCATCCTGGCCAACATGGTGAAGCCCCGTCTCTACTGAAATACAAAAAGTTAGCCAGACGTGGTGGCACGTGTCTATAGTCCCAGCTACTCGGAGGCTGAGGCAGGGGAATCGCTTGAACCCGGGAGGCGGAAATTGCAGTGAGCTGAGATTGCGCCACTGCACTCCAGCCTGGCAACAGAGCGAGACTCCATCTCAAAAAAAAAGGTGCTGCAAGACGCTTCCAATCTCTGTGACTTCCCCTTCTGCCATACCTCTTTACTTTTTCCCCCTCTTTTGGGGAGGGGGGAGGGTTTAAAATAAATATAAAATTTACCATCATAACTGTGAAAGGAAAATAAATCTCAGGACTCCAAAATCACTAAGCCAAAGGGAAAAGTCAAGCTGGGAACTGCGTTGGGCAAACTGCCTCGCCTTTTCTTCTTTAATAAAATAGCTACGAAGATTTAAAAAGCTACATACCTCCCTCACAATTTGCCCGCTAGGAAATTTTTCGTGGGCACCCAAGATCTTTACCCTAAAACAGTTTTGTTGAATTTTACCCTAACAATGTACATTGACAACTGATCTTCACAGGTTCCAAACAAAGGATGGAACTCTAAGTCATCCCTCTGCTCACCTGATTGCTTCCTCTGGTATAAAAGTGCAGATTCACCGAGCCAGACTAAGGCATAAGTGACTATTCCTCTACCCCCGCAACCTGTAAATTGTGTATTTCAGTGAAAGTCTGATCAAAGACTCACAAGAATGCAACCTTTGTCTCTTATCTCTCCACATATTTTTAAAATTTCTCCCTCTTTCCCAATATCCACCCTTTCCCTTTTTTTTTTTTTTTTTTTTTTTTGAGACAGAGTCTTGCTTCGTTGCCCAGGCTAGAGTGCAGTGGTGCGATCTCAGGTCACTCAGCAACCTCCGCCACAGCACCTGGCCAGTTTCCCCTTTAAATATTGAAGTCCTACAAATCATCCTTGAAGGAAGGCATAGACCTGCCTCCCAGGCACTCCTTAACCTTGGCAAAATAAACTTACTAAATAGATCGAGACCTGTCTCAGATATTTTTAGTTCACATAACTATATTGAAGTGTACAGCTCATTGATATTAAATATATTAATGATGCTATACAACTATCACCTCCAACTCCAGAACTCTTTTTATCTTGCAAAACTGAAATTCTGGACCCATTAAGCACTGACTCCTCATTCCCTCAGCCCCTGGAAACCACCATTCTCCTTTCTATCCCTAAGATTTTGGCGACTCTAGGTTCCTCATTTAAGTGGAATCCTGCAGTATTTGTTCTTTTGTGACTGGCTTATGTCATTTAGCCTAAAATCCTCAAGGTTCATCCATGTAGCATGTGTCCAAATTTCCTTCCTTTTTAAAGCTGAATAATACTCCACTGTATGTATCCATGACATTTTGCTTATCCAGTCATCCATGGATGGGCACTGGGTTGCTTCCACCTTTTGACTATTGTGAATAATGCTGCTGTGAACATGAGTGTACAAATAATTCGTCAAGACTCTGCTTTCAGGCCAGGTACAGTGGCTCATGCCTGTAATCCCAGCACTTTGGGAGACCAAGGCAGGCGGATCACCTGAGGTCAGGAGTTCGAGACCAGCTTGACCAACATGGTGAAACGCCGTCTCTACTAAAAATACAAAAATTAGCCAGGCATGGTGGCAGGCGCCTGTAATCCCAGCTACTCAGGAGGCTGAGACAGGAGAATCGCTTGAACCTGGGAGACAGAGGTTGCAGTGAGCCAAGGGCTCATATGATTATGTCTGAGGCATTCGAACCAGAGCGACTCCATCTTGAGTTAGGACTAGGAAAAATGAGGCTGGGACTTGCTGCGACTCCATCTTGAGTGAGGACTAGGAAAAATGAGGCTGGGACTTGCTGCGACTCCATCTTGAGTGAGGACTAGGGAAAATGAGGCTGGGACTTGCTGCGACTCCATCTTGAGTGAGGACTAGGAAAAATGAGGCTGGGGCTTTATCAGGCTGCATTCCCAGAAAGTGAGGCGTTCACAGTTAAGGGAACAGATTGATAATGTTTACTAAGCAGACCTAGACTTGGGAGTGTGCTGATATCCTGATATCTTCAGAACAGAAGCATCCCTAATTTTGCTTTAAAGGTAATAATATCAATTCTTGCAAAATACAGTAATTAGGAAAATTCTTTATCACAAACCCCAGTGGCAGAGCACGTGTCCTCATGATCTTTGATCTTTTTTCATCCTATATATAAACGAGTATTATACCTAGGGTGGACACGTTCCTCCTTACTTTCCGGAACGTCCTAACTCTGTCTATGGAGCAGCTGTTCTGTCACCACTTTACTTTCTTTTCTTTTTTTTTTCTTTTTTTTTTTTTTGAGACAGAGTCTCGCTCTGTCGCCAGGCTGGAGTGCAATGGCACGACCTCAGCTCACTGCAACCTCCGCCTCCCAGGTTCAAGGGATTCTCCTGCCTCAGCCTCCTGAGTAGCTGGAATTACATGCACACGCCACCACGCCCAGTTAATTTTTGTGTTTTTAGTAGAGACGGGGTTTGACCATGTTGGCCAGGCTGGTCTCGAACTCCTGACCTCAGGTGATCCACCCGCCTAGGCCTCCCAAAGTGCTGGGATTACAGGAACGAGCCACCGCACCCAGCCTACTTTACTTTCTTAATAAACTTGTTTTTGCATTGCACTGTGGACTTGCCCTGAGTTCTTTCTTGTGGGAGATCCAAGAACCCTCTCTTGGGATCTAGATCAGGACCTCTTTCTGGTAACAATTACACTGGGCTCATCAGATAATCTAGGATGATCTCCCTAATTTAAGATCAGCTCATTCGTGACTTCAATCGCATCTACAAAATCCTTTTTGCCATCTCATCTAGCACAACCACAGGCAGGACACCAGGAGTGAAGATCATGGGTGCCAAAATTCTGCTTCCTGCAGAGCCTTTAAAATCCCATACATTCAGCCTTAAATTCCACATATGGGAAAAGACTTGAACCAGAAGTTCCCAAGAAAGAGGAAATATCAGTGAGGAATGCCTAAAATAAAGCTCCACCTCATTAGGCTACAAAGGGATGCAAATTAAAGTAACAATGAAATCACTGAACTCCTAAGTCAGCAAATGTTTAAAAGATGACACAGCTCTGGGGAACAGAGTGGGGTCGAGAGAGATCTCAGGATGTGGCCACAGGTTTGAGTTTTGTTTTTGTTTTGTTTTTTGTTTTGTTTTGTTGTGACAAGGAGCATACATTTTAAAACATGAAAAAAAGTATAAGATATTTTTATTTCGAAGAAAGGAAATAATAGATGCACGCAGCTGTCTGCAAAAACGGCACATCCCAATAAATTGTCTTTATTGCCGCTAAAGAATTCCCTTGATGTTTGGGTACACAACCCCAGAGGCCCTAGTGGAATGTGGTTCCCAGTAAGCAGTTACACCATGTGGAGCGTGATGCAGGAGGGAGCTCAGAAGGAGCAGAAACAAACAATGTGGGCAGGGCCCAGTGAGGTCCCGCAAGAGGGCGCTGAGACTGGGATGGCAATGTCCTGTTCCTGGCACAGCCAGAATGGGGCACGGACAGATGGCATCTGGGCTGTGTCCCTCACCGGCATTCAGTGAGTCTGTCGCCACGTACTTACGGGTCTCGGGAGGGAGAGAAAGAGCTAGTGTAGGGGCCCCTCTGGGTAGCACCATCCTCACAGCAGCCTGGCAGTCACCGTTTGTGGGTGTTCTGGGCCCTGGCTTAGGGACCTGTCATCAAGGGAGCAGTGCTAGCCTGGGAGTAAAACTAGAGAGACACAGCCAGGCACGGTGGCTCACGCCTGTAATCCCTGCACTTTGGGAGACTGAGGAGGGCGGATCACTTGAGGTCAGGAGTTCAAGACCAGCCTGGCCAACATGGTGAAACCCCGTCTCTACTAAAAATACAAAAATTAGCCGGGCGTGGTGGCCCACGCGTATCATCCCGGCTACTCAGGAGGCTGAGTGAGGCAGGAGAATTGGTTCAACCAGGGAGCAGAGGTTGCAGTGAGCCGAGATCGTGCCACTGCACTCCAGCCTGGGCAACAGAGCGAGACTCCATCTCAAAAAAGAAAAAACTAGTGAGACACCAGCCCAGCCTCTGCAGGACCTCGGGCAAGTCACAGCACTTTTCGGCTGCTCAGTTGCCTCTTCCGTGAAGTGGGGGTGTAACAAGCCCAAGCCCCCTGTGCTGGGTGAAGGGGGTCTTCCCAGACACACGTGCCTCCAATAGCGGAGGTCCAGGCCCTGGCTCGAGCTGCTCCTTCGGGGCCAGTTGCTCTGCGAGGTTGACCAGGAACCACCCCCCAGCAAGCCCTGCCCAGCAAGCATTTACTGAGCGCCTCGTAGGTGCTGTGTGCTCTTCTAGGTGCTGTGGATACAATAGAGGAGAGGGCAAAATGGGGATCTACTGCTGGCTCTGCTGATTCCACACCTACACTGGCCCAGCTGTGAGATGCCGGGCGCATCACCCCCTCTCTGAGCCTCAGTTTCCCCATCTGTAAAGTGGGGAGAGAATTGCACCTCACATGGCTGTAGGGAGGATTCGAACAAGATGACATGTGTCAGAAGCGGGGCCAATGGGAAGCACTTGGTGAAGGGGGCACCCTTCCAGTAGGCACAGTCTGAGTGCCCGGCCCCATCCTCAGAGCTCCTTGTCTGTCTGGTCCAGTGGAGGAGACAGAACCCAGAAAGAGGAGGCTATGACAGCATTTCCCAGACCCAGAGAAGAAGGGGAGAGACTCAGTGGCTCTGGCCACCTCCCCTTCAAGGCTATACAGTCCAGAAAGGCCTCCGCAATCCTTTTAGAGAGGGAGAAACTGAGCCCAGAGGCAAGAAGGGCTTGGCCAAGATCTCCCCTTATCTGCAGCCGAGGTTGGGTGAAGCCACCAGTCCTCCTGCCTGCCCCATCCATGGGTCTTTCTGGTGCCACAGACTGGGAGGCAGTTCTGCAGTGGACTCGAGGCAGGGCAGTGATGTCCTTTGACCCTGTCCCACCTATCCCCTACCCTTATCTTTCTCTCTCCTTTCTCTTCCACCCTACCCACCACTGTTCCTCTTCCTCAGCCCAGCGAAGAGAAATAACCCTTCCACAATTCCTGTTCAGGTGATGGCAGAAGCCATCCTAGAACCAGGGATGCTGGCCAGGTGTGGTGGCTCACGCCTGTAATCCCAGCACTTTGGGATGCCAAGACAGGCGGATCACCTGAGGTCAAGAGTTCGAGACCAGCCTGGCCAACATAGCAAAACCCCATCTCTGCTAAAAATATAAAAAATTAGCCTGGTGTGGTTGCGTGCACCTGTAGTCCCAGCTACTGGGGAGGCTGAAACAGGAGAATCACTTGAACCTGGGAGGCGGAGGTTGCAGTGAGCCAAGATCGTGCCACTGCACTCCAGCCTGTGCGACGGAGCGAGACTCCATCCCAAAAAACAAAAAAAAAGAACCAGGGTTCCTGGATCTCCAGTCCCCTCAGGCCACTGGACACAGGGCTACAGCAAACAGGTCACAAAGTCATTCCTTCCCTGATGGGTGTGCTGCCTGCACTGAGGCTGGGGGTAAGGCAAGAAGCAGCTAGGGACGGGAGGGAGCTATGGGAGGCAGGCAGCGGGAACCCAGATGATTTTGATATGCAGCCCCCTCAGCAGGGCACAACTTACCATTGGGGGTGGAGGCACTTGCTGCACCCTGTAGACTCCTGCACCCAGACAGAGGTAACCCTTCATTATTCCTAACACTGAGCACGCATACTATGGCTTTGGAATCACGGTCAGCTCAATTAGCTCAGTGCTTACCAAACTTCAGTCATTGTCCTTCTACCCCTTGCTGTTTGCCATCCCACACCCATCTGTACCTCTGTTTATCTTACGGTTCTCTTCAAATTGATTTACATTGATTCATTTTCTCTACTTAGTTTCATTGCAAGTAATAAAACACTAAAACTCAATTTGATGTGTTAGTTCTATTTTTCTAAGAGATGTTAAAATAAATATGTGTATTAGTTATCTATGGCCATATAACAACCCCAAAACCTAGTGGTTTAAAACAATGCTGATTATCTCCTAGTTTTTCTTAGGCAGGAATCTGAATGCAGCTTGGCTGAGTGCCTCAGACTCTGGGTCTCCCAAGAGCTTGTAATCAAGGTGTCAGCCAGGGCTGCAATCATCGCAAGGTCTCTGACCTGTCTTTACTCACATCTCTGACACCAAGTGTGTGGGATATTTTTTCCCACACACCAACCAACTCTCTGGACGCCAAGTGAGTGTTCTACAATTCCATTTAATTCTGACACTATCTTCCTGGAGTTAATGCAGATCCCACATGTTAAGGGATCCCACAAGACTGCCTCCACTTCAGATGTCAGTTGAAAGTCCAGGGCCTCCTGCACTAATGACAGACCAGCTATACATTGAAGGTTCCCACAATCTCCTCCTCAAGTTAAATAATTTGCTAGAATGGCTCATAGAACTCAGGAAAACAATCTACATACCATTACCAGTTTATTATAATGGATACAACTCAGGAAAAGCCAAATCGAAGAGATGTATAATCGAGGTATGGGAGAGGGGCTCCATGCCCTCTCTGGGCCCACCACCCTCCCAGAGCCTCCATATGTCCACCAAACCAGCTCTCTGTATTCTGTTGTTCTCATGAGACCCAATGTTTTTATGGAGGTTCCATCACATAGTCATGCTTGGCTGAATCATTGGCCATGGGTGATTGAACTCAATCTCTGGCCCCTCTCTCCTCCCTGGAGGTTGGGGGTGAGGCTGAAAGTTGCAACCCTCAATCACGTGGTTGGTTCCTCTGGCTACCAGCCCCCAACCTCCATGAGTCACCTCATTAGAATAAACTCAAGTATGGTTGAAGGGGGCTTATTATGAGTAACAAAAGACACTTCTCTCACCCCTTTTACTTAGGAAATTCCAGTGGTTTTAGAAACTCTATGCCAGGAACCCTAGATGAAAACCAGATATACACTCTTTATTATATTACAATAGCACAAAGCTGCCCCAGGGAAGGGTCCTCTTCCAAGCTTGCTCAGTGGCTGTGGGCTGGATTGAGCTCTTCACTAGCTACTGAACTGAGGGCCTCAGTTTCTCAGAGGCTGTTACCCAAAGGCCTCCCTCAGCTCCCTGCCATATGGGCCTCTCCACAGGGCAACTCACCATATGGTGGCTGGCTTCACCAGAGCAAGCAAACAAGAAGAGCCCGAGAGAAGACTAACAAGCTGGAAGTCACCATCCGTCCAACCTAATCTCGGAAGTGACATCTCATCACTCTTGCTGTATTCTATCAGGTAGAAGCAAGTCACCAGGTCCAGCCCACCTGCAAGGGGAGGGAAGAGCAAAGCTGTGACCACCAAGAGGTAGGAGTCCTTGGGGGTCATCTTAGAAGGTGGCCTACCACAATATGTAGTGTGGAAGTTTACAGTGGTGAGACTTTAGGCCTGCTCCTATGCCTCCTAAGATCCCACACCCCACTTCCCATCTGGTTCTCACAGCCAGCCTGTGAGCCAAGGACACTGTCACTCTTCTTAGTTGGCAGATGAGAAAGTCGAGGCTAGAGGGACTTTGTGACGTTGCATCGCCCAGAGGGCTGGTGGCACAGTGTCTGGAAGCAGCCCTGGTATGTCATCCACTGCTTCACACGAGGCCAGGGCCCACCCAGGGTAGGATGATGTCAGGAGGGTGAGGCTGACCCAGGCCGGTTGATGTAGTTTGGCTGTGTCGCCACCCAAATCTCACCTTGAATTATAGTTCCCATAATCCCTATGTTGTGGGAGGGACCCAGTGAAAGGTAATTGAATCATGGGGGCAGTTACCCCCATGCTGCTGTTCTTGTGGTAGTGAGTCCTCATGAGATCTGATGGTTTTATAAGTGGGGCTTTTCCCCCTTTTACTCGGCACTTCTCCTTGCTGCTGCCACGTGAAAAAGGACATATTTGCTTTCCCTTCCGCCATGATTGTAAGTTTCCTGAGGTCTCCCCAGCCATGCTGAACTGTGAGTCAATTAAACCTCTTTCCTTTAGAAATTACCCAGTCTCAGGTATGTCTTTATTAGCAATGTGAGCATGGACTAATACACTGGTCAACCCACAGCAGCTCGCTGGGATTGTCAGAGGCATCCTAATCAGAGTGACTCCATCTTGAATAAAGGCCAGATAAGGCCAAACCTACTGGGTTACATTCCAGGGGGTTGGGCTGTCTTGCCCACAAGATGTTTTTTATGGTTGAGAGAAAGAGTTGATGATGCTAACTAACTGAAGACCCAGAACTGATGGAAATGCCCCAATCTTTCAAGAACAAAAAGCATTCTTGGGTTAAGAATAAGTTTTTCTTGCCAGGCATGTGGCTTGCTCCTGTAATCCCAGCACTTTGGGAGGCCAAGACAGGTGGATTGCTTGAGCCCAGGAGTTCGAGCCCAGCCTGGGCAACATAGTGAAACCCTAACTCTGCAAAAACATTAAAAATTAGCCAGGCGTAGTGGTGCATGCCGGTAGTTCCAGTTACTCAGGATACTGAGCCGGGAGGACTGCTTGAGCCCAGGAGGCGGAGGTTGTAGTGAGCTGATATTGCACCACTGCACTCCAGCCTGGGCTACGAAAAAAAAAAGAAGAAGAAGAAGTGGTTTTTCTTTTCTTTTTTTTTGAGACGGAGTCTCACTCTACCACCCAGGCTGCAGCGCAGTGGCACAATCTTGGCTCACTGCAAGCTCCGCCTCCCAGGTTCAACTGATTCTCCTGCCTCAGCCTCCCAAGTAGCTGGGATAATAGGTGCCTGCCACTGTGCCTGGCTAATTTTTGTAGAGACGGGGTTTCACCATCTTAGCCAGACTGGTCTTAAACTCCTGACCTGGTGATCCACCTGCCTCAGCCTCCCAAAGTGCTGGGATTACAGGTGAGCCACTGGGCCCAGCCAGAAGAAGTTTTTCTTAAAGATAATAGTACACTGGTAAATTCTTATTAAAATCAGTAGTAACATAGGAAAATAATGCTAATAGTCTGTCACAAGCTGATCACAAGCCTTTGTAATAAAGCACACTGTTTTTAACAGCCTGTATAAGCAAGCACTATGTTTAAGATAGAAGCATTCCTCCTCTTGCTTCCTGAGGAGGCCCTACTCTGCAATGAGTGATTTCTTTTTTTTTTTTTTTTTTTTTTTTGAGACGGAGTCTTGCTCTGTCCCCCAGAGTGGAGTGCAGTGGCACAATCTCGGCTCACTGCAACTTCTGCCTCCCGGGTTCAAGCGATTCTCCTACCTCAGCCTCCCAAGTAGCTGGGATTACAAGCGCCCGCCACCACGCCCAGCTAATTTTTGTTTTTAGGAGAGATAGGGTTTCACCATGTTGGTCAGGTTGGTCTCAAACTCTTGACCTCAGGTGATCTGTCTGCCTCGGCCTCCCAAAATGCTGGGATTACAGGCACAAGCCACTGCTCCCGGCCTAGAGTGGTTTCTTTGGTTTCTTTTTTTGTTTTTTGAGATGGAGTCTCACTCTGTCGCCCAGGCTGGAGTGCAGTGGCGTGATCTTGGCTCACTGCAAGCTCTGCCTTCTGGGTTCACGCCATTCTCCTGCCTCATCCTCCCGAGTAGCTGGGACTACAGGCGCCCGCCACTGCGCCCGGCTAATTTTTTGTATTTTTAGTAAAGACGGGGTTTCACCATGTTAGCCAGGATGATCTCGATCTCCTGACCTCGTGATCCACCCCCCTTGGCCTCCCAAAGTGCTGGGATTACAGGCACGAACCACCGCGCCCGGCCGAGTGGTTTCTAATAAACTGTTTTAACTTTACTATACTCTGCGACTCACCCTGAATTCTTTCCCACGAGAGATCCAAGAACACACTCTTGGGGTCTAGGACAAGACCCCTCTTCTGGGAATAGGATTGCCGTCCAAGTCCCCAACACAGCGGCTTCCTCTTGCGAAGGAGACTGGCCCAGCTGTGTGAGCCAGTGTTGTGTGAGGTCGATGAGAAAGGGGGTCCCTGGCACAGAAACCCCATTCCCTACCCTCCCCCTAGGCTAGAAAACAACCCAGGAGAGTCATAAGAGTACTCTGTCCTCCTCTTCCCCCCGCCCCGCTACCCCATAAATGAACCAAGAACGACCCTCACAGCACAGCTGCACTCTCCAATGTGGCTTTTGTTGCCCGTCACGCATGTCTTTTGGAACCAGCAGTGGAGAAAGACTTATTCTTGGTGGGGACAGTGATGTTGGCTCAGCCTGAGGGTCCCTTATGTCCTGCCAAGGCCGAGGGCTGGTGCCATCGACTGGGAGCTTTTTCTCCCAAGGCACTCAGAGGTTGCACCTAACTTGGTTTGAATATCAGAAATACCTCCCTGGGTTTCCAAAAACTGCCCCAGTTGTGTTACTTTGGCCAAAGTGCCCATCATCTCTCCCCCTTTATTTTATAGGAGGAAGAAATGATGTCTTCCGGGGAGGCTGCCGGGGCTTCTGTGAGGTCCAGCAATGAGTTGGAGGCACCAGCACTGCACTGAAATCAATGTCTCCCAAGACGGAGAATGCCTGGGGAGGCAGGAGCTCCGCTCCCCTGCAGGAACCTCCCAAGAAGGACCCGAGCGTCCCCGCAGCCTGGAGACTGGCCGTCTGCGGTTGAGCACCCGGGACCTGCTCCAGGTGCTTCTTGGCCATATTTACTTCCCCGGCTCCGGGTGCGTCAGGCCGACTGCCCACGTGCAGCTGGGTTTCCTCTGTTTAGCTGCATCCACAGGGGTCATGTATCCGTATCGGTCTTTCTAAGGGGAGCTCTGTGGTTTTATTCATTCATTCATTCATTCATTCACCCACGCATCTACTGAGCACCTACTACATATCATGAACTGTCCTAGGCACTAATGAATAACACCAAACGTGCTCATTGTAACAGTCTCTGATGATTGCTAAGATCACGTGGAAGAAAGCAAAAACCGTCAGCCTCATGGTCATGTGAGCAAAGCCTGTGCCCTGACCCACCCACCGCCAGCCCCATGAGCTCTGGCAACCCCAGGATCTCACTGAGCCTCGGTTTCTGTATCTGTAGAATGGGGATAATGATGGTGAGGGCCCAGGTTTGCAGACAGAAGGGACATGCGGTAGGGCCCCAGGCCAGGTTTCTGCCCTCCCACCCCCTTCCCTTCATGCCCATTCTCTGGGAGAAAAAAAAAAATGCTGTTTTAAAATCACCAGGTATTCTCCAATCCCTTGGGAGGCCAAGGCAGGAGGAGCACTTGGGCCCAGGAGTTCAAACCCAGCCTGGGCAACATAGGGAGACCCCATCGCTATAAAAAATTTTAAAAATTAGCTGGGTGTGATGACACATGCCTGTAGTCCCAGCTACTCGGGAGGCTGAAGTGGGAGGATCGCTTTGGCCGGGGAGGTCGAGGCTGCAGCGAGCTATGATCCCATCACTGCACTCCAGCCTGGGTGACAGAGAGAGAACTTGTCTCAAAAAAAAAAAACAAAAAAAACAAAAAAAACTCATGAGCTATTCTCCCATCCCTTGTCACACTTCAACCTTGAAACTACTGCCCAGAGCAGCCCAGGAATTATCCCTGTGTTGCACGCTGGGAAATGAAGACTCAGAGAGGCTGTGTGCGTTGTCTGAGGTCACACAGTGAGCGAGGGGCACAGTGAAAGCCAAGCCTGGCCCTGGAGGGGAAGGAGAGCGTGTGAGCTGGGCACAGGGCCCAAAAATGGGGTGTTGGTGAGCAAACCCCCTTGTCCTGCCCTGGGGACCAACCCCTGGGAAAACCAGATACTTCCCAGGCCAGGGCAGGCTGCACGTGCTATTTTGAGTTCTCTTGCATATGACACAAGCAACAGGAATTCGGGGAGACCCAGGCCATTTGCTATGTTGTGAACCAAATGGCTTGTGGTGGCAGCCAAGGAAGGGGCCGGTGGGGGACGAGAGTCACTAGGGTGGCGTCGGGAAAGTGAGGGCTGAAGTCCGAGCCCAGAGGCCTGTGGGGTTGGGGGTACAGAGAGGGGAGAAGTCTGGGAGGGGCCCCTGGGATGAAGCCCTGGGAGAGGGGTCGGGGGTGCAGAGAGGGGAGAAGGCTGGGAGGGGCCCCTGGGGTGAAGCCCCGGGAGAGGGGGTTGGGGGTACAGAGAGGGGAAAAGGCTGGGAGGGGCACTGGGGGTGAAGCCCCAGGAGAAGCAGGGGCCAGTCAGGCCTAGCTGGGAGGACAGCCAGCGGGGTGGAAGCTGGGGTCTTGCCAGCTCTTAGGCCAGGGCCCTGGACGCTCCCGCTGAGACAAGGATTTGAGCACAAGTAGTGTGTTTTGGTGGAGAGCCTGGGAAGGGTGGGAGGGAAAGAGGGAAGGGGCGCAGGGGAGGGGAGAAGCCAAATAAGGCAAGTTTTCAGCAGTGGCAGCGGGGCTAGGCCCCGTGGAGACCTCTGGGAGACCACATAGAACAAGCCTCAGAGGTATCGGGGAGGTGGGAAAGCAGGCTGTTCTCCCCACTCCCGGTGGTCCCTGGCCATGGCTGGGAGCTGTTCCTAGGGCACAGATCTCCCTGCGTGGAGGGGCGCAGGGGCCGGCAAGGGGGCACCACCAGTCTGTCCTGGGTCGGGGAGTGCAAACGTGCTGCAGGTGGCACCATGCACCCCTGCAAGGAGGCAGTGCCGAGCTCAGACCCTCCCCCGACAACCACACACAAGGAGCACCCGAGGTTTGAGGCTGAGGTGAGCTGTGATGGCATGGCAGCTCCAGCCGCGCGGCAGGGTGAGACTCTGTCTCTAAAAACAGTTTTTTAGAGACAAAGGCGGTTAGGACTTTCACTCGTCTTCTTTTCTGTTTCTTTCTTTCTTTCTTTATTTTCTTTGAGATAGGGTCTAGCTCCGTCACCCAGGCTGGGGTGCAGTGGCACAATCACAGCTCACTGCAGTCTCGGCCTCCCCAGCTTAAGCGATCCTCCCACCTCAGCCTCCCAAGTAGCTGGGCCACTGGGAGACAGAGTGAGACTCCATCTCAAAAATAAAATAATATAAAATAAAATAAAATAAAAATAGAAAGTACAAACTGGACTTGTGCTACCAAGGGACTGATGAAAGGAACCAACGTAACCCACTCCGGATGGTATGTTACTTGCCCGCAGAAAGCAGTGAGGCTCCGACACCAGCTTCAATGGGGATGGATCTTGGAAACATGACGTTGAGTGAAGGAAGCCCAGCTCGAAAGGCCACATATTACACGATTCCATTTATACGAAATGTCCAGAAGAGGCAGGTCCTGAGAGAGAAAAAGCAGCTTTACAGTTGCCAGGGCCTGGGAAGAGGGAGGAACAGGGAGAGACTGCTTACGGGGATAGGGTTTCCTTTTGGGGTGATGAGAACATTCTGAAATTGGAAAGTGGTCATGGTTGTTCAACCTTGTGAATATACTAAAAGCCACTGAAGTGTATCCTTTTAAGAGGGCCCATTTTATAGTAAGCGAATTATGGTGCAATTTTCAAAAGCGCACACGCAGCGGGCCATCTTTAAATGAGATAAACAGGGAGATCCTCTGGGAGGAGGTGCCGCTTCAGCTGAAGTCTGAAGGCTGATGAGGGGTCCTCCACACGGTGGGTACAGACAGGGAGGCAGGAGGAGCCGCAGTGTGCAGGGGCGGTGCTGGGAGCAGTGAGCTTGAGGGGAGATGACCCAGAGGAAGTGAGGGGCAGCTGCAGACCCCGTGGGGCCTGGTGTCCGTGCTGAGGGGTTTAGACCTCACTCCGAGAGCAAGGAGAAGGCCGCCAGACAGTCTTGAGCAAGGGAGAGAAACACGTGGGATCTGTGCTTTTAAGAGGTCCCTGGGAGAGGCCTGGGGGGATTAGAGGGGAAGAAGGCCGACCCTCCAGGGGGACCAGGTGCCTCAGGGACACAATGGCTTGAGACTGGGCTGCAGTTACCTGGTACAAGCAGCCATTCACCCCTGGGCCTGAAGAGGGGCCGTGGTGGGGGCAGCTTGCACTGGGGTGGCCGAACCCCACGATGTCTTAAAGGCAGCCCTGCCCTCAGACGATGAGCCCCAGGCTGGAAGAGAAAAGTCTGGGTGTGCTCTGGCACAGAAAGGGGCTACACAGGACTCCCACCTCAGGGCTTTGAGGTGAGCTGAGAGTGAGTGAGACCCAGTAGGGTGGGGCCACGGCCAACCCCACAGTTGCCCTGGGACCAGACTCTGAGCCAGCCTTGCAGGCTTTTTACAGCGGGGGACCCAGAGCTCGGAGGTGGGAGGGGAGGCCCCGGGATAGACCTGAGGTCGGGCGGGGCTGGGGGTCACGCACCCAGGGAGGGATGATCCTTCCACAGCCTGCCAGAGGGAACTCATCTCGGCTAGGGGACCCTGGCGGTTCATGGGCAAGGCCTACTCTGCCACTGCACCTTGCCCCTGTGAAGCTGAGAAGCCCCCACCCATCTCCAGCGGCTACTAATGTATGTGAGCAGCTTGGAGAGTGGGCGATGTCCCCCAGCCCAGCAGCTGGGACCAGGAAGCTACTCAGGGATTAATGCCAAAGACAGCCTCTGCTCCCCTGCTGTGCTGGCTGAGGCCTCCACGCTGAGGACGTTCGCCCAGCACCAAACCCCCATGAAGCATCTCCTGCATGCCAGGTCCTTGCTGGGCACTGGGGACAGCAGCATATCTGCCATGGTGCCCCTCCCTGATAATCTCACCGCACACCCCCCCGGGGCCAGGAGCCAGGTCTGTCTTATTTACCCCAGGGTAACACACAGAGACTGAACACATAGTAGCTGCTCAGCAAATGGTGTTTTGATGCACGACAGAATCCACACGTGTTGAATGGAGTCAGGAGCAGCAGCACTTACGGAAGGGACAAACTGAGCTTGGGCTAAGAAGCAAGGCTTCATGAGGAGGCTTCCTGGAGGAGGTGACATCTGAGCTGGGCCCTGAAGGATGCATGGAAGTTTTCCAAGGGACAGTGGTAAAGAAAACAGTGTGATCACAAACCGAGGGGCAGAAAAGGGCCCGCACCAACCAGGAACCCCAGCAGTCCACGGTGGGCCAGGGGCTGGAAAGTTGGGGAAACTCCTCCGGGAGGACTGTGGCTCTAGAGTCCCTCTACCTGGAGCCCCTGTGGACTGGGCCAAGCCAGCATGATTCATCCAGCTCCTGGCTTGGCTGAGGGTCCCCCTGCTCCTGTTCCCGGAAGCCTCTTTCCCAGATGAGGCTGAAGATAGCATGGTTAAGGACAGAGGTGAGGGAGCTCTGCATTTCTTTTTTTTTTTTTTTTGAGATGGAGTCTCACTCTGTCCCCCAGGCTGGAGTGCAGTGGCGCAATCTCAGCTCACTGCAAGCTCCGCCTCCCGGGTTCATGCCATTCTCCTGCCTCAGCCTCCCGAGTAGCTGGGACCACAGGCGCCCACCACCACGCCCTGCTAATTTTTGTATTTTTAGTAGAGACGGGGTTTCACCGTGTTAGCCAGGATGGTCTCGATCTCCTGACCTCGTGATCCACCCACCTCAGCCTCCCAAAGTGCTGGGATTACAGGCGTGAGCCACCGCGCCCAGCCGGAGCTCCACGTTTCTACCAGAAGTGACTTTGGTGCAGCTCAGACCCGGGAGGACATGCATGGAACTTGGTGGTCACTCTCCCCATCTCAGGGAGAGAACTCAGGCTTTGCAGGCCTCCCTGCAGGGACCCCCCTCCGCCCCCCGCAGAAAAAAGGCCTCAAAACCACACAGCCACCCCCTCCCCTATGGTCAGGAAAGCTGCTAGGTCCTGCGTACATTATCAAGGTGGGAGGGGTACATCCCAGGACCAGACGCAGGACTCAGCAAACAGCATGGGCTGGGATTCAGCCCCACTTACCCTCTCAGCCAGGGGCACTTGAGGAGTGCACAACCCAGCAACAGGACAGGGCAGCCCTGCTTAGAGCTCTATCCACAGAGTCTCTGCAGTCTCAAGACAGGGGCCCAGGCCCTGAGACATGTCATGCTCTGCTCTTTGAAGCTTCTCATTTCCCCTGAAGAACACTGGGGGCTGCCATCCACACTGTGGCTTTTATAATGAATGTTTCTGCTACTTTTTGGTAAGTGGGTTTGAAAGCAATTTTGGGAAGATGGGACAGTGATGCCATAGTTTTTTCCACCTCCCCAAATTCCCCAACAATTGACAGAGCATCTAGGATAGAAAAACCAAAAACCTCTGGATAACTATAGCCACAACGGGACTAGATGGCAAGGTGTCCACAGCACACAAGCAGGGGGGTACAAAGTCACTGACAGCCACAAGCCTTGCATGGTATCAGCAACCGCAGGAGAGGAAGAGGAGAGAAGTCAATGCAGACGGGGATTCTGATGGTCCTGAGATCTGGAGAGACCCCCAAATCACAGCAGGTACTCCCTGGAAAGCCCATAGTCCAGTCAGAGAACAAGAGTCAAAGCAGGGAGACTCACAGCCTTCCTTCCACTTGCAGGCGCCTGCAAGGAGAAAGCAGTAAGGCAGACGGTGCCGGAGCCATCTGGGCCATGGACTCTTGAAATTCACAAAATGCAACTCGCTTCCAAGACAAAGCCCTGCCCCGAGAAGAAATTGCTGGGGGTAGAATCCAAATTGACCAGGGCAGAAGCACAAAGGAAAACAGGTCCCAGTAAAAGGGAGAGAAGAGAACAGAGGCAGCAGGTTGCAGAAAGCAAGGGGCTGTGTTTACCATCTCTTCTCAGAACTATTAGGTTGGTGCAAAAGTAATTGCAGTTTTTTAGTTTTGCACCAACTTAATAAGAGCAGAGGGCGCTCTCAAGGGAGCTATCCTGGCCCACCTTTCCCCCAGAGATATTCAGAAAGATGCATCTCACTGTGGGGGGGAAATGATCAACAGGAAGGAAGTGTTGTCCAATCCCATACAGAGATGCTATACAAAAAGAGACAGGCCAGGCACGGTGGCTCATGCCTGTAATCCCAGCACTTTGGGAGGCTGAGGCAGGCAGATCACCTGAGGTCGGAAGCTTGAGACCAGCCTGACCAACATGGTGATACCCTGTCTTTACTAAAAATACAAAAATTAGCCAGGCGTGGTGGCACATGCCTGTAATCCCAGCTATTCAGGAGGCTGAGGCAGGAGAATTGCTTGAGCCCGGGAGGTGGAGGTTGCGGTGAGCCAAGATCTCGCCATTGCACTCCAGCTTGGGCAAAAAGAGCGAAACTCCATCTCAAAAATAAAAATAAAAAAGAGAGACAAAGGAGCAGAATGACAGCCCTACCCAGCCAACGATGGTGTGCCCAAAGGACATGTCCTCAAAACAGACAGAAGCAGTCACTTTAACATCGCACAACAAGCTGTGATTTTAGATATTAAGAAACTAATAGAAGTTATGGAAAATAGCATAAATCAAAACTAGAAAAACTCAGAAATGAAGCAATCGGTGAAAAGGAAAAGTTGTAAAGAGATGATGAAATCAGAAAGGAGTTTAAAAGAGAAAAGGAATTAAGAAATGAAGACTGAAACTAAAAGGAGTAGAAGGGCAAATGAGTACCACAAATAAAGCCTTAAGAGAAACAGACTAGGAAAAGCAGGCTGTTGAGGCTCATGTCTGCGGTCACAACTACTCGGGGACTGAGGAGGGAGGATCGCTTGAGCCCAGGAGTTCAAGTCCAACCTGCGCAAAACAAGACTCTTATCTAGAAAGAAGGGAAGGAAGGAAAGAAGGAAGGAAGGAAGGAAGGACGAGAGGGAGGGAGGGAGGGGAAGAAAGAGAGAGAGAAAAAAAGAAAGGAGGGAGGGAGGAAGAAAGGGAGGGAAGGGGGAAGAAAGAAGAAAGAAAGAAAGAAAGCAGAAAAAATTTTAAACCAAAAAGAAATGTTGAAGCCAAAAAAAAAAAAAGTCTAGAGAAAATTATAGCTATAGAAAATAGGCAAATAAGATTCAAGATACATACAATAGGAATCCCAGAAGAAAACCAAAGCAATGAAGCAGAACAAATAATAATTATAATTCAAGAAAATTTTTCTGAAATAATAAAATAAAATAAAAAATTTTTAAACTGAGTAAAGAACACCAATCAACAAAAGAAAACCAATCGACAATCCCCCCTGCCAAAAAAGAGGGGATTAAAGGTATCATATGAAGGTATTGGGGGAGGGTTGCCACAAGAATAAAAACACAAAGGTTCTCAACAACAAAATCTACACTAAACCAAGAAAGAGTAACGTGGCCCCGCCAGCACATCCCTCTAAGGCTGCAAGTCCTTGAATCCCCTTCTCTATAAGGTTCCTGGTAAGAGTTTAACAATGAGACGGGTTTTCTTTTTTTTTTTTCTTTGAGATGGAGTCTCGCTCTGTCTCCAGGCTGGAGTGCAATGGCGCGATCTCGGCACGATCTCTGCTCACTGCAATCTCTGCCTCCCAGGTTCAAGCAATTCTCCTGCCTCAGCCTCCTGAGTAGCTGGGATTACAGGCATGTGCCACCACGCCTGGCTAATTTTTGTATTTTTAGTAGAGGCTGGCTTTCACCATGTTGACCAGGATGGTCTCGATCTCTTGACCTTGTGATCTGCCCATCTCAGCCTCCCAAAGTGCTGGGATTACAGGCATGAGCCACCTCACCCAGCCTAGAGAGGTTTTCAAAAGACGTATAGTAGGCTGGGTGCAGTGGCTCACACCTGTAATCCCAGCACTTTAGGAAACAGAGGGAGGAGGGTTGCTTAAGGCCAGGAGCTCAAGACCAACCTGGGCAACATAGCGAGACCCTGTCTCTACCAGAAAAAAAAAAAAAAAAGAAATCATAAAAATAGCCAATTGTGGTAGCATAGGCCTGCCTGTAGTCCCAGCTACTCGGGAGGCTGAGGTGGGAGGATCATCTGAGCCCAGGAGTTGGAGGCTGCAATGAGCTACAATCACGCCACTCCAGTCAGCCTGGGCAACAGAGTGAGGCCCTATCTCTAAAAAAATATTTTTTTGGCCAGGCACAGTAGCTCATCCCTGTAATCCCAGCACTTTGAAAGGGTGAAGCAGGCAGATCACTTGAAACCAGGAGTTTGTGACCCAACCTGGCCAACACTGCAAAAACCTATCTCTACAAAAAACACAACAAATTAGCCGGGTGTTGTGCGTGCCTGTGGTCCCAGCTACTCGGGAGGCTGAGATGGGAGGATCGCTTGAGCCCAGAGGTTGAGGCTGCAGAGAGCCGTGATCATGCCACTGCACTGCACTCCAGCCTGGGTGACAGAGTGAGATCCTGTCTCAAAAAGAATTTTTTTTTTTTTTTTCTTGAGATGGAGTCTTGCTCTTTCACCCAGGCCGGACTGCAGTGGTGCTATCTGGGCTCGCTGCAATCTCCGCCTCCCAGGTTCACGCCATTCTCCTGCCTCAGCCTCCCGAGTAGCTGGGACTACAGGTGCCCGCCACTGCGCCCGGCTAATTTTTTGTATTTTTAGTAGAGATGGGGTTTCACTGTATTAGCCAGGATGGTCTCGATCTCCTGACCTTGTGATCTGCCCGCCTCGGCCTCCCAAAGTGCTGGGATTACAGGCGTGAGCCACCGTGCCTGGCCAAAAAGAAATTTTTTTAAACTAAAAAATTAAAAACCATATCCATCTGAGTTTGGAGAGGAAAGCAGGGCCACTCCATGCATTCCAGAGAAAAAGGGGCTTACTATAGAAATCAGTGCTTCCATAAATGCAGGAGGAGCTGGAGGGTGGGGCTGGGGAAGGTGTGGGAAGCTTGCTGCAGTCCTCATCAGCAATCACATGGGGTCAAGTGCCTGCAGAAGGCAAACAGGCAACGGTAGCTGTTGCAACAGAACGCGATGGTGAAATACAGAGTTTGCATCCTGTGAAGTTGGTGGCCTCCTCCTATTGCACCGGAGAATTTGCTGGGGGAAAAAAATAGGAGCTCAGGGTTTTAAATATCCAGTTCAAGACCTAAAGTACCAGAAACCCTCCACTGGTGCTTGAAAAGAAGTCCATATCTCTTGTAGCCACAGAGTTGAGAGATCAAAAAAATAAACAAATCCAAACTCTGATCCCCTGGGTGGCAAAATAGAATCAAGTTCAACTACTACACTTGAACTCAGGGCCGCAAGTTTCTCTTCTGTGAAAGTCAGGGCACTGACGGGGAAAGAGTGGATCCCTGAATGGTGGAACGGATTCCATTTGGGAAGATTCTAATCCTAGGGTAGACTCTTCCTCAAGAGCCCCTACCACCTCCAGCTTCTAGATCGAAATCCCGGTGAGCTCCAGGAATGTGGCCACAAAATCTGACCCAGGAAGATGTACTATACACAACAAAAGAATTGCAAGCTATTTCCGGTTCATACTGGCAGAAACCTAGGAAATCTGTAGGGGAACAAACCCTAAGGGTGTCAGACCGGCGGGGTGGGGGAAGAAAGTAATGCCGGGTCAGGCTTAATTATTTTGATATGGTGCACTCACCAGAGATTCTGAGCTCCACGTGTCCACTCAGCACCTGGGAGTGGCTCTCAGAGTTGGCCCATTCCATCAACTGAAACCTGGAGCAGTGGTGACCCATGTTTTTATTTATTTATTTATTTGAGACAGAGTTTCACTCTTGTTGCCCAGGCTGGAGTGCAATGGCACGATCTCTGCTCACTGCAACCTCTTACTCCTGGGTTCAAGCGATTCTCCTGCCTCAGCCTCCTGAGTAGCTAGAATTACAGGCACCCGCCACCATGCCCAGCTAATTTTTGTATTTTCAGTAGAGGCAGGGCTTCACCCAGTTGGCCAGGCTGGTCTCGACCTCCTGACCTCAAGTGATCCACCTGCCTCGGCCTCCCAAGTGCTGGGATTACAGGCATGAGCCACCATGCCAGGCCTTGTTTTGTTTTTTGTTTTTTTTTTTGAGATGGAGTCTTGCTCTGTCACCCAGGTTGGAGTGCAGTGGCACAATCTCAGCTCACTGCAACCTCCATCTCCCGGGTTCCAGCAATTCTTCTGCCTCAGCCTCCCAAGTAGCTGGGACTACAGGTGCCTGCCACCACGCCTGGCTAATTTTTGTATTTTTAGTAGAGATGAGGTTTCACTATGTTGGCCAGGCTGTTCTCAAACTTCTGAGCTCAAGTGATCCACCCACCTCCATTCCCAAAGTGCTAGGATTACAGGCATGAGCCACTGCACCCAGCCCAGTGGTGACCCATTTTAAATGAAGATGGGATTCCAGGACTTCTTTGGAATTCCGTGGAGCAGAGTTTTTCTACTTCAGCACTATTGATATTTGAGGCCAGATGGCTCTTTGCTGTTGGGGGAGGTTGTGGGGACCTTAGCAGTATCCCTTGCCCACTCAATGCTAGAAACGTACCCCTCCCAGCCATAACAACCAAAGATGCCTCTGGACATTGCTAAGTGTCCCCATGGGGGGCAAAATCTCCCCTGATTGAGAGCCACTGCAGTAGAGAAAGGTGTCCAAAGAGTAGGGCCAAGCACAGTGGCTCACACCCAGAATCCCAGCACTTGGGAGGCCAAGACAGATGGATCACTTGAGCACAGGAGTTTGAGACCAGCCTGGGCAACAAGGTGAAGCCTCATCTCTACAAAAAAATGGAACAAATTAGCCAGGTGTGGTGGTGCGCACCTGTGGTCCCAGCTACTCAGGAGGCCTGAGCCCAGGAGGATGAGGCTGCAGTGAGCTGTGATCACACCACTGCACTCCAGCCTGGATGACAGAGAGAGACCCTGTCTCGAAAAACAAACAAACAAACAAAACCAAAACAGAAAAAAAAAAACCCAGAGTTAAGGAGAGGAATACTGGAGTGAATGTATCATGTACAGTCTACTCTGTTGTTTTTTTTTTTTTTTTTTTTTGAGATGGAGTCTAGCCCTGTCACCCAGGCTGGTGTGCAGTGGCGCAATCTCGACCCACTGCAACCTCCACCTCCTGGGTTCAAGCAATTCTCCTGTCTCAGCCTCCCAAGTAGCTGGGACTACAGGCTCCTGCCACCACGTCCGGCTAATTTTTTAAATTTTTAGTAGAGACAGGGTTTCACCATATTGGTCAGGCTGCTCTTGAACTCCTGACCTCAGGTGATCCACCTGCCTCGGCCTCCCAAAGTGCTGGGATTACAGGCGTGAGCCACTGCGCCCAGCCGCAATCTACTCTTTCATCCCCTAACTAGGCCCTCAGGAGGGCCCCTCACCCAAGCATTGAGAAAGACACTGGGTCAGGAACATCAGCATGTTTGAAGAGTTTGTAGTGGCTGCTCTCTGCAGGCTAGGAGTGACAGTGGGAGATGCTGCCATTGAAATGGGCTTCCTGAATTCAGTGAGGATGGTGGAATCCCAAAGTGGCGGGGCCAAGGGACAGTTCACCACGCAGACAGGGAGGGTGTCGTTACATCACAGAGAACTGGATTAATAATCAGAATGGCTTGACCCCCCACCCCCACCCCAGAGTTCCCTGGCAGTGGTTAACTCACCATGAAGAACCTAGGACTGAAACAGTTGGTTTTACCATGTAAAATTGCCAATGTTCAACCATTTTCTTTCTTTTCTTTTTTTTTTTGTTTTTTTGTTTTTTTGTTTTTTGTTGTTTTTTTTTTTTTGAGATGGAATCTTGCTCTATCACCCAGGCTGAAGTGCAGTGGCACGATCTCGGCTCATTGCTGCAACCTCTGCCTCCCGGGTTCAAGCGATTCTCCTGCCTCAGTCTCCCGAGTAGCTGGGATCACGTGTGTGCGCCACCACACCAAGCTAATTTTTGTATTTTTAGTAGAGATGGGGTTTCACCATATTGGCCAGGGTGGTCTCAAACTCCTGACCTAGTGATCCACCCGCCTTGGCCTCCCAAAGTGCTGGGATTACAGGTGTGAGCTACCGTGCCCGGCTGTTTAACCATTTTCAACAAGAAAAACTACAATTTAACATCATTCAGCCTAACATCTTGGCAACCTACTAAGATCTTACTTGACCTGATTAAGGAGCTCTGTGAACGGACAGCTGACTCGAGTCACTGTGGTGGAGGCTCGGCGCCCTGACCCAGTTCCCAGATTTTACCCAGAGCTCCTTGAATAAAGTGAGGCTGGGTCTCACTGAGGAAGGACGCTGCTCTGCCACCAAACATTTACAATGTACACACATTTTCCTTGCTGTCCCCAAAGGGACCTGTGCCATTTATCTGGGAAGAGTGAATATGGAAAGGCAAATACCCAGAGGGGAGGGCGGTCACAGGGAACTGAGTCTTAGCGGTACTCGTTGTGCCTGATGCACACAGCCACTGCGGTCCCACAGTCAAAGCAGGGGCTTTTGGAGGTCAAGCAATGAATGGGGTTTGTTCTGATCCGTCTCATGGGAGGCTCCGCAGGCCCTGAAACCCACCCTGTGGTTATTTTCTCATTCTGGAAAGTACAGTGGAAGAGGCACTCAGTGGTGTAGAAGCCATGGGGTGGCTCCTTGACTGGTAGAGTGAGGGCTACTATGGTAGAAAGGGCCACATGGATGCCACCAGCACTGCCTCTCTCTCCCAACATGGAAAACCAAAAGTCATATTGTGAACTTAGTCAAGCAGTAACTGCAACTTCATGTGCTTTTCTGGATGTAATGTTTTTATGGAGCAAATCAACACAGCTCCCAACACTCAATACCAATTATTTTTCTCTATACTCATTACTTAACAGAAACAGGCCAGGCGCGGTGGCTCATGCCTCTAATCCCAGCACTTTGGGAGGCCTAGGCGGAGGATCACTTGAGGTCAGGAGTTCAAGACCAGCCTGGCCAACATACCACAACCCCGTCTCCACTAAAAATACAAAAATTAGCCAGGCATGATGGTGCATGCCTGTAGTCCCAGCTACTCAGGAGGCTGAGGCACAAGAATTGCTTGAACCTGGGAGGCAGAGGTTGCAATGAGCCATCGTTGTACCACTGCACTCCAGCCTGGGCGATAGGGCAAGACTCTGTCTCAAAAAAAAAAAAAGAAAAAAATAGAAACAAATGAGAAGTGTGTTCCGTTGGGCAGTGACAGGAAAACACCTTTACCCCCTTACCTCAGGTCTACCAACTCTCCAGCCCTCTGTGACAGCTAGTTCTGGAGTACTTCCATTACCTCACCATTCCACAGGCTGACGAACCGACCCACTGTAGTGATAGCATGTGTGCGTTGGACCTGAGAAGAAACAGTAAATACCCGAGCCATCTTGGCAAGACACAGGCATGTCAGCCAGTGGGAAATGAACCCCACAAAACGCCTAACATCTCAGTGAAGTTTCTAGGGGTACAATGGTGGGGGGCGTGTTGAGATAGCCCCTTGAAGAGGAAGACCAGTTGCTGCACCAGGCACCCCCTCCTGTTAAGAAAGTGGCATGACCTTTGGTGGGGCTCTGGGTTTTGGTGCAGCTTACACCTCATTCAGGTGTGCTCTTCCGACCGACTCACTGGTAACCTGCAAGGCTGCTGCCAGTTTCAGGACCCAGAATGAGAGAAGCCTCTGCAATACATCCAGGCTGCTTTCAAGCTGTCATGCTATTGAGCCCAACAGACCCAACAGATCCAGTGGATCTTGAGGTGTCCGGGGCAAGTAGGGATTCTGTATGAGGCCTCTGGCAGGCTCCAACAGGTGTCACAGAAGAGACCACTGGGATTTTAGAGCAAAGACATGTCCTCTTCTGAAGATAACTATTCTCCTTTTGAAAAACAGCTTCTGGGCTGGGCGCGGTGGCTCACACCTGTAATCCCAGCACTTTGGGAGGCCAAGGCCAAGGCGGATCACCTGAGGTCAGGCATTCAAGACCAGCCTGGCCAACATGGTGAAACCCTGTCTCTACTAATATATAAAAATTAGCCGGGCATAATGGCAGGTGCCTGTAATCCCAGCTACTGAGGAGGCTGTGGCAGGAGAATTGCTATGAACCCGGGAGGCGGAGATTGCAGTGAGCCGAGATGGCACCATTGCACTCCAGCCTGGGTGACAAGAGTGAAACTCTGTCTCAAAAAAAGAAAAGAAGAGAAGAGAAGAGAAAAGTCCAGGTGCGGTGGCTCACGCCTGTAATCCCAGCACTTTGGAAGGCCAAGGTGGGCAGATCACAAGGTCAGAAGTTCAAGACCAGCCTGGCCAATATGGTGAAACCCCATCTCTACTAAAAATACAAAAATTAGCCGGGCGTGGTGGTAGGCGCTTGTAATCCCAGTTACTCAGGAGGCTGAGGCAGGAGAATCGCTTGAACCCGGGAGGCAGAGGTTGCAGTGAGCCAAGATCCTGCCACTGCACTCCAGCCTGGGAGACAGAGTGAGACACTGTCTCAAAAAAAAAAAAAAGAAAGAAAGAAAGAAAAAGAAAAACAGCTTCTGGCTTGCTGTTGGACTAAATGTGTCACATTTTCCCACAGGATCTGAGCTGCCCACCCGAAACTAGACGGTAACCAATCCAACACATGATACAGGTAATGTGTGCTGTAGCACCGTGATCAGGTAGAAGTGGGCCACGTGAGCTCAGACTTGAGCAGCTCCTGAAGTCCGTTGCACAAGCAGATGGCCCAGACTCCCGTGCACCCCCTTCACTGCAGAGCTCCTCCCCGCCTCCACATGAATGATCTCATGGGAGTCCCTTATGACCAGCTGACCAAGAAAGAAAAAACTCCAGGTCTGTTTTATGTATGGCTCGCTGGCATCGCCTGAAAGTGGGCAGCTGGAGCTCTACTGCCCCAGTAAGGGTGGCCCTGAAGTGTCCGGGGACAGACTTGCAAACAGTGCACCTGGTTGTTCACATTACACAGAAGGAGAGATGGTCAGAGATGTGAGTCTACACTGATTCATGGGCAGGATCTAACGACTGCTCCGGAGCTTGGAAGGAACACTATTGGACAATTAATCCAAGGTCTCGGGAAGAGGCATGAAGGCGAATCCCTTTTAATGGGCATAAGGGGGGCAGATAGCTCTTTGTGTCCCATGTAAATACTGGCCAACGGTCAGCCTCCCAGAGACGGCTCTCACTAAACAGGTGGACCGGATGACCTATTCCGAGGATGACACTCAGCCTGTTTCTCTGGCCACCTGGTTTCCCATGAGCTCAGCCATGTGAGCTTCCCCTGGCCAAGGCTGACCATCTACAATCACTGTTGAGATCCTACAGGCCCATGATGGGACATCATTTCCCAGGGGACAGCCAGCCACCTCGTGCGTGGCAGGTTGATTTCCTTGGACTGATTCCACTTGGAAAGGGCAGAGATTTGTTTTTCCTGGAATAATCACTTGGTTTTTTGTTTTGTTTTGTTTTGTTTTTGAGACAAAGTCTTGCTCTGTCGCTCAGGCTGGTAGCTGGGATTACAGGAGCGCACCACCATGCCCGGCTAATCTTTTTTGTATTTTTAGTAGAGACGGGGTTTCATCATGTTGGTCAGGCTGGTCTCAAACTCCTGACATTGTGATCTGCCTGCCTTGGCCTTCCGAAGTGCTGGGATTACAGGCGTGAGCCACCGCACCCGTCCAATCACTTGTTTTGAATATGGATTTGTCTTCCTTGCCTACAGTGCTTCTGCCAGAACCACCATCCATGGGCGTATGGGACCTTACAGATCATTAGTGTATTCCCCACGCATTGCTTCTGATCAAGAAGCTTAGTTTTCACAAATGCAATGGACCCGTTGGCTTGTACCCACTGAATTCTCTGTCTTGCCAAGTTCCCCATCATCCTAAGCAAGGAGCAGTTTTTGGACACAGGAATGACCTTTTCATGGCAGACGATGACATGTTGTGGGACCACAGGATGAAGTGTAGGCTCTGAACCATCAACCCCTGAGCCCACCAGCACAGAGGGGGTCACGGCACCGGCTGAGGTGGCTGGCCCTCATGGGTTGCTATGATGGAAATGGGAGACCCATGCCTAGAATCCAGGAGATTCTCTGACATATCCCATAGCACTCTGGTGTCCCATGGTAAAAAGTCACAGGAAACTACAGCAATGCAAAAGAGGTAGCCCCACCCAGGGCACAGATCCTTCGAGAATGAAGGCCTGCATCCTGGCTAACACGGTGAAACCCTACTCTACTAAAAATACAAAAAATCAGCCAGGTGTGGTGGCACATGCCTGTAGTTCCAGCTACTCGGGAGTCTAAGGCAGGAGAATCGCTTGAACCTGGGAGGCGGAGCTTGCAGTGACCCAAGGTCATGCCGCTGCACTCCAGCCTGTATGACAGAGTGAGACTCCATCTCAAAAAAAAAAAAAAAAAAAATGAAGGCCTGGATCGCCCCACCAGGCCAAGAACAGTGACAAGCTGAAATGGCGGGTGGGCAAAGGCAGCGTGGAACGTGCTGGGGAAAAGAGGCCTTATCTGTTCCTTATCACGGGAACAAGGTTTGCGGTGGTTGCTTGTGCTCTCACCCCTGCTTCGGTATGCGTACATGGTATATATTACTGAGTTCTTTTTCCTTTCCCTCCCTCCCATTCCTAGTCTATCTGATGTGTGTTCATAGCTGTCAGCCCTATACCTAGCATTGAAGTTACAGAATGTGCAAGGCAGGTGTGGCTTAGGAAGGACAGAGATGGACATGACCCAGATATGGATCAAGGGACAAATGGGGACGGGCGCAGTAATCCCAGCACTTTGGGAGGCCGAGGCAGGTGGATCACCTGAGGTCAGGAGTTTGAGACCAGCCTGGCCAACATGGTGAAACCCCCTGTCTCTACTAAAAATACAAAAATTAGCTGGGTGCGGTGGTGCGTGCCTGTAATCCCGGCTCCACAGGAGACTGAGGCAGGAGAAACACTGGAACCCGGGAGGCGGAAGTTGCAGTGAGCCGAGATCGTGCCACTGCACTCCAGCCTGGGCAACAGAACTAGACTCTAGCTAAACAAAAAAATATATAAATTGCTAAAGATAAATTTCATACTATGCACAATTTATCACAATTTTAAAAAATGTTCCTGGAATTAAATATTTTTAAAGAAGCAAAAGTGACTTGAAATATACACACCAACACACCTACACCCATCCCCCAGTCAGTGTTATCTGTTCAGCCATCCCATGGAATCAAGCCTTGGGGAAATTCCAGATTCAAGAGATGCGTTCGAGGCTGAACATTCAGAAGTTTTGTCTGGAAATAGCTGCTTCTGATAAAAAGTTTATAGGAAACATGGTCTCTCCCAAACAGAAGACCCCAGATCTCTCAGACTTGAGAAAGCAAGAGTTTTGTACTAGTTTTGCACCAGTCTCAGGGGAAACTGTGACGAAGTTTGATTGGGTTTGAAGACATATTTGAGTTTTGTTTGCGTACCAGTGGCAGGCCCAGAAGGAAAGCCCGCACGTGACCTCAGTGTTCAGTGCAACTTCAACTCCTGTTTCCCTCTCTCTTGCTGCCCCAAAGCAGGAGTGAGCTTCCCGCCAGGCCCCTGAGGGTCCGACAGCCATCCTGGCAGCTGCTCTCAGCCTGTCTCTGGCTGCTCAAGCCACCCTCGCTGAGGACCTACCTAGGGTTTGCAAGTGTCTGTTGCCATAATAATCCACAGAGAAGGCAAGGGCAGTGGTAAGCTGAAGACAGGACCCCTCAAAGCAAAGTGGGAGAGAATTCTCAGAACTCTTTTCCTTCCCTGTAATGTTTCTTGGGGTCACCCCCTAAAATAAACTCCTTGCACCTCCCCACTAAAAGGTTAAGTCTCGTTAAAAGAGTATCCGCATGGCAAATTGACAGTTGGAGTGTGCTGGACCTGGACGGCCTCTCAGTCCCATGACCTCCTCCTATGGCTGGAAACTGTTCCCCGAGTCCCTTCCATGACAGATGCTGGGTCAGAGTTTCTCAATGAGAAGGGCTCGTGGTGAGGTTTGGAAGGTGAGTCAGTTGGGACCCGTGATTCCCAGGAGGCCATGGCGCCCAGATGCAGTGGCTTCACAGACCTCCCCACGAGCTCTTCCTTCAGGCTTGTGGCGGCCACACGGGGCAGCTTCCCAAGCTCTTCCAGCTCCAGTACCCACACAGGGGCTGGCCAAAGTCCCAGTGAGCGTTCCTCTGATTCTCTGACTACAGCTTTCCAGACTCGCACGCCTCAGACCTGCCCACGCCACGTGTGAACCCCTATTTCCCTGATAGTGTGATGTGTCTGTTTCTTGACCCAAGTCAGGGCCGGGGGAGGAGGAGGGCAGGAAGGAGAGAGACTGAGGAAGAGGGACAGGGAGATGCTGCGGGGAACCTGTCATTAAAAGGAGCACATCAGGCAGGGCACGGTGTCTCACACCTGTAATCCCAGCACTTTGAGAGGCCGAGGTCGGGGGATCACATGAGGTCAAGAGTTTGAGACCAGCCTCACCAACATGGTGAAACCCCGTCTCCACTAAAAATACAAATATTAGCCAGGCGTGGTGGCACTGCCTGTAGTCCCAGCTACTCAAGAGTCTGAGGCAGAAGAATCGCTTGAACCCGGGAGACACAATGAGCCAAGATCTTGCCACTGCAATCCAGCCTGGGCAACAGAGTGAGACACCGTCTCTCCCCAACCCCAAAAAGAAGCACATCCACTCACGGGCCTTGTTTAGCTTGTGACACACATGCAGAGCTGTAAAAAAAGTGTGCAAACACTGATTGGATGTTGAATGATGTTTAAGGAATTATTTGTTATTTTTAGGAGTGACAAGGCTACTGCAAACTTTTTGAAGGTTAGTTATTCAGTCCTGTGCTGAAATTGAAGGTCTAATGACGGGACATCACGGATCCGCTTAAGGCGGGACAGAAGCAGGCGGGTGTGGACGAGGTAGACCAAACCTGGTGTCCAGGCTGCCCTGGAAGTTGAGGTGGACAGGGCAGAGGAGGGATGCCAGTGGGGTGCACCACCCACCCACGGGCAGGCACCACACCGAGGAGCTGGGTGTGTGGGAAGGACTCTGCTGGGGGCAGCGAGGAGAATGCACCTGGGAGGCACCAGTGAGGGGTCTCAGCAGGGAGGTGGCCCAGGGGACGGGGGAGAGATGGACACAGTCAGGCAGTATCTGGCATCAGGGAAGTGGGGAATTGGAAAAGGCAGAGAGTCCCACATTGGAAAGATGGGAAACTGGAATGTCCAGACCTCAGGGCTCAAGGCAGCAGCTCTGTGCCTGGACTTACAGGGGCCTGTAGGGTGCCTCAAGGCCCTACCCTCCTGCCCAGCCTGCACATGCACCCTCCCCTCCTGCCCTGCAGCCACCCACTTTGTTCTCCTAGTGCACCAATCCTTTCCATCACGGGGCCTTTGCACCTGCTGTTCTTGATCCTGGAACACTTTCCTGTGGGTTGCGTGAGCAGCCACCTCCTCCTTCTCCTTCAGGTCTCAGTGTAAGCATCATCTCTGTAGAGGAGCCTCCAGCCCCACCCCAGCTAATCAGGCCTGGCCATCCCCATGGATTAGTTTCTTGTGGCTTCTGTAACAAATGACACAAACTTAGTGGCTTAAACAACACAAACGTATTCTAGTAAGAGTTCCAGAAATCAGAGGCCTAAAGTCAAGGTGTTGGCAGGGCTGGTTCCTTCTGGAGGCTCTAGGGGACAGCTTGTTTCCTTGTCCTCTCCAGTTTCTAGAGGCAGCCTGCATTCTTTGGCTGGTGGCCCCTTCCTCACATCAACACATGGCCCACTACTCATTCTGATCTCCTGTCTCCTTCTTACAAGGACCCTTGCAATGACATAGGGCCCACCTGGATAATCCACAATGATGCTCCCATCTCAAGACCCTTCACTCCATCCCAACTGCAAAGTCCCTTTGGCCAGGTGCAAAGTCACATGTTCTCAGGATCTGGGGATTAGGACATCAACATCTTTAGGGGCCATTATTCAGCTCACCTCCCATCCCTCCCTGCCTACCACCTAAGTTTCTGTCACTATGCCTGTTTGGTTTTCTCAATGCACTAATCACAGGTTGGAGTTCTTATGTTCAGTTTTTTCTATTTATCACCTGCTCCCCATGCCCCATGTCTGGTTCTTCCACAATTCTTTTCCTAGCACCAACATTGCTGGTGTTCAGTACAAATGTGTTGAATTAAGGTAAGAATGAATGGATGGGTGGATGGGTGAGTGGGTGGGTGGATGGCTAGATGGATGAATGGATGGATTGATAGATGAATGGATGGATAGACGGATTGATGGATGGATGGGTGGGTGGATGGATGGATGATGGATGGATGGATGGATGGATGGATGGATGGATGGTTTGGTGGATGGATGGATGGATGGATGGATGGATGGATGGATGGATGGATAGATGGATGGATGGATGGTCTGGTGGGTGGGTGGATGGATGGTTTGGTGGATGGATGGATGGATGGATGGATGGATGGATGGATGGATGGATAGATGGATGGATAGATGGTTTGGTGGGTGGATGGATGGTTTGGTGGATGGATGGATGGATGGATGGATGGATGGATGGATGGATAGATGGATGGATGGACGGTCTGGTGGGTGGGTGGATGGATGGATGGATGGATGGATGGTTTGGTGGGTGGATGGATGGATGGATGGATGGATGGTCTTGTACTTGGATGGATGGATGGATAGATGGTTTGGTGGGTGAATGGATGGATGGATGGATGGTCTGGTGGGTGGATGGATGGATGGGAGGATGGATGGATGGATGGATGGATGAGCAAGTAGATGGGTAGTTGAGTGGGTAGATGAGTAAGTGGATAGATGGAAAGATGGACAAATTAACAAATGAATGGTCTACCACATGCAGGACAGAGGATAATGTGGACTTTTGCTGAGATTCCCAAGATGCACCTTCCAGCACAGAAAGGCCCAGCCTAGTGGAGGAGGGGAACAGAGCAGAAGGAGAGGGGTCCCTTTCACTATTAGGAAAGACAGCTAGGCCTTGGTTCAACCTTTTTTCTTTAGACAGAGTCTCGCTGTCTCACCCAGGCTGGGGTGCTGCAGTGGCGTGATCTCAGCTCACTGCAACCTCCACCTCCTGGGTTCAAGTGATTCTTATGTCTCAGCCTCCCAAGTAGCTGGGACTACAGGTGTGTGCCACCATGCCCAGCTAATTTTTTGTATTTTTAGTATAAATGGAGTTTCACGATGTTGGCCAGGCTGGTCTGGAACGCCTGAGCTCAGTCAATCCACCTGCCTCAGCCTCCCAAAGTGCTAGGATTACAGGCGTGAGCCACCACACCAGCCGAATGGCCCTGCACACCTTCTTCATCGCAGGTGCATTTTACTGTGTTTCCTTTGACCTGGTCTGCCTCTCTGTTGGACATCAGCTCCCGGAGAGCAGGGACCTTGCCTGTCCTATTCATCAGCACAGAGCACAGTGCCTGGCACCCTGCAGGTGCTCAGGAAATACCTGTAGTCTTTACTGAGGATGGTGCTGGCTGCAGAGGGGCCACGAGGGCTGGTCCACACCCACCCCCTCGTCCAGGGAGCAGCAGGGCAACCATAGGCCACAGAAGCACCTGGCAGGGAGACATCTCTGTCCAGAACCGACCTCCTTCCCCCAAGGATCCCCCCAACAGAGGAGGGTCCAGGCCTGCACCCTCAGGAGGGGACATGGGGAGAGGCGTAGGACCATGAGGCCCTTGGCAAGGGATGATTAAAAACAAAGTTCTACTGGGAGGGGCAGGGGAGGACTCCTGACGGCAAGTGGTGGCTGTTTAGAAAGTGAAGGCTGGACGAGCAGGGACCATGCCCCATTCTCAGCATCAGCCAGAGCCCTGAGCCTTGCAGGGAGGGCCTGGCACCAGCGGGACACCTGGAGCAGGGAGCGGCGTTGCTGAGGTGCATGAAGAGCTCTTTCTCCCGGCTCCTCCCGGCATCCAATCCCTCCTTGCTATAACCCTGTGGGTCATTATCTTTTCCCATCTGACAGCTGAGGAAACCAAGGTCCCCAGTGGGAAGGAAACTGTCCACGGTCACCCAAGCCTGGAGGCAGCACAGGAACTCCTTGCACTGGGCCTCTGGGCACCACCCCACACACACAGCCCACCACTCCCCCAGGGGGTGGGGAGAGACCCCCAGGGTGGCTGCTACAGACTGCATGTTTGTGGCCCCACCCCCTGCCCTGCTGCCCCACTGCCCTGAATTCATGTGTTGACATCTAATCTCCTGTGTGAGGTGGGGTGTTTGGGAGATGAGCAGGTTATGAGGGTGGGGCCTCATAATGGCATTAATGCCCGAGTAAAAGAGGCCCCATTGAGCTCCTTCGCCTGCCTGAAAGGGGTCACCACATGGGGACTCAGTGAGAGGCTGGGTCCTCACCAGACGCTGAATCTGTGGAGGCCTTGATCTTGGCCTTCCAGCCCCCGGAGCCATGGGAAACAAACGCCTGCTCCGATAAGCCCCTGGTCTGCGGTACTGCAACAGAGCAGCCGGACACACCAAGCCCACGGGAAGGGGACTCCACAAACTCAGGCCAGGACGACCTTCCCGTTTACAAGCGCCTCTCGCTTATTTTGAGAGAAACAGATTTCCATACCAAATAAGGCGGTGGACTTCAGAGCCTCTGCCCACTTCACACAATTCCTTTTAAGTGTCCAAACGCAATTACACTTGGAACTCGCCGGGATTCAGCCTCCCCCGGCCTCCCCATGTAAACAAGCGTTCCAGCTGGGCCCCAGCTGGCTGCCCTGGAGAGGAGGGGACGGGTCACCACCCTGCCTGCTGCCTCCAGCCTCTCTCTCAGCCTCAGGCATGGCCCGTGAGCCTCCAGGATCCCAGAGTCCCTCCTCACCCCATCCCTGAAAAACGGACCCCAGGAGGCCAGCTGAGCCGCGCAGGGAGCAGTGCGAGAGTCCCTCTTCCACGCTGAGGTTCGCACATGGCCAGGACAAGCAGGAGGCAGGCAGCTCCCAGCGCAGGTGCAGGGGCAGCTCCGCTTCTCATTTCCCTTCAAGATGCCCACAGAGGCACATCTCTCCCAGTCTGGGCACTACACTCCTGCAGGGAAAGTTCAGAATTCCCTCGGGCTTCCTGGACCCTGAGAAAGTTGGCCCAGGGTAGGAGGGGAGCCTTCTCATCACCCCCTCCTCCTGGCCACCCTGCTGGCTCCCGCACCCCCGACTCTGCACCCCCACCCCTACCAATGCTCAGTGCCCCAGGCATGAACGCGTTCCAGGACCCCCCCCCACCGCCCGCCTCCAGGGGCTCAATGGGGAAGGGGGACCTGACTCATCCTCCCGCTGAGCAGCGCAGGCACCAGGCACCACAGCCCGCCAATTTCCAGCTTGCTTGCCGAGCGCCGTGATTTTCCACTTGCGCCATCTGATTGCTATTAGGGCTGGGGAAAAGGGAATTCCTGGTTCCATAAGCCCCCAGGGGGCCCAGGCCGAGTCCGGGGTGGGAAGGGGGAGGGGTGCCGCTTGGGCGGTGCTGACCACCTCTGCCAGTTCTGCACTGCCCCTCCATGGAGCCCTCGCCCTGCTGCCCCCCACTGCTCTGTATCAGCCCCTGAGTAAATTAAAACAACGGGGTGGGGACTAGCCCCTCCTGGGCCAGCCTGCCCCGAAATGCCCACTGGGGGCAGACCAAAGACGCCAGGCAAGTGTACAGCCGGTGCTCCCTCTCCTGGGCAGCCCTGCCGAGCAGCAGAATGTGAGGGAGATGAACAGCTGGACTCGGGCTGCAGTGCTCGGGCCAACGTGACGTCACCAGGCGGAGAGATGAGTTCCCGGTGGGGCTCTGGGGGGGGCTCCTGAGCGGGGCATTCCTTCCTGAAGCCTCATCCCCGCTCAGCCCTGCTCAGCCCCTCCTCCTACTCCCCTCCCCCTCCCCCTCCTGCCGGGCCAGGAATTGGGTTTGGGGCGGGTTCTGCTTCCAAAGCCATCTCTTCCAGCAGGAGAGGGCTCTACTCTGAGCTCCTATTTTCCAAGGCTCCGGGCCGCGCTCGGCGCTGGCCTGCTGCCCCGGCGGGTCCGCCGGCCGGAGGCGGGAGTCACAGGAAGAGCCCTCCACAAAAGGAGGCCTCGGCGGATCAGGACAGCTGCAGGTAGCTCCAGGGGCCCAGGGTCCAGGGGAGGGTGTTCCAACAACCGGGGCTGCAGGGTGAGGGCCAGGCAGGGAAGGAAAATGACGCGGGCACTGTAGGGGCAGAGAGGTGGACGCTGTCGGGGCAGGCAGCTCCCAGAAATCCTAAGGCCCCAGGCAGGGAGCCCTGAGACCCCAGAGAGGCTGTCACTCACCGGAGAAGCTCCCCTGCCACTCCTGAGGCTCCAGGGTTCCAGGGCCATGGAGGAACTTTAAAAGTCCCCCTCCCGTGGCAGGACCTGACCCCTCTCAGCTGGCCTCACCCCCAGCCCCACCGTCCAGCTCCTGCTCTGTGCTGCTGGGGGTGAGGGCTCCCTCTCGGTCCCTCCCCCAGCCTCACTGGCCATTCAAGCATGCATTCTAGAGGGGCTGGAACGGAACACCCAGCAGGCAGTGTCCCACACACAGGGAGATGGCTCCCCCTGCTCTCAGCCCTGGGGTGCACATGGGGTGTCCGTGTGGGCAGCCACAGGATGTTGGGCAACTGCAGTCCCACCTTCTCCCAGGCCTGCGGCCTGATGAAGCTGTTGGCCTTGGATGGAGGCGGCTCCTGGAATGATCTGCAAGGTCTCAGTCCCCCCAGACAAGCCTCTTCAATCCAAGCTGTTAAGCAGGGGACTCCAGACCCGGAGTGAGGAAAACAGAGGCTCTGTGTCTGGGGGAGCGAGACAGGCCCCTCTGATGGCGGCACAAGCGGCTAAGGAGAGGGGCTGGGACAGCCCCAGCGGCGTCGGGGCTGGGTCATGGTGGGATGGAGTGAAGGGAGAGGAGGAGCTTCCTGCGGGCAAGGCTGCAGGAGGCTGACAGGTGGCCAGGCCACCCTTGGGCTTGCTCCGAGGGGAGGGTCAGGTGTGAGCTGTGCTGGCAGCTTTTTGGGTCAGCTTCAGTGGAAACTAGTTCTGTCATAGCAGCCCAGATCCCACCCAGAGGAACACACATACACATGTACTGACACGCACGCCCCATCCACGTGTCACACACATGTCCTTTAATATGGCCCATCTGGGGTCTGCTGGCTTCTAGATCTTTCTGTGCATGCGTGAAATCGCTTTTCAGGTTGTCCCTGGCAGGACAAGGACAAATGCACAGGGACACCCACATAATGGAGGGACGCAGATGGTAGAGAGGGGAGCTGGGGGCCCCCACTGCATGCCCACCTGCAGCGTAGGGGGGAGCCCAGCCCACTGCCTTTGGGGCACTAGTTGGTGTGGCTGGGGTCTAGCCTGGCCAGGGTGAATGGATGAGGCTCCTGTGAGTCAGGACATCTCTGGAAACAAGGCTGGGGGCCCAGACCTAGGGGTGGTGGGTGTCCAGAAGGGCCACCAAAAAGAGTAGGGGCAATGGAGAGAGCTTGGGGGGCTCTTACCAGGCGCCCGGAAGGATGAGGGCAGGTGATAGGTCTGGGGTTGCAGGGCAGGAAAGCTCAGACAGGCCCCAGAGCGTGGAGAAGTTACGGCCTGTCTGTGGCAACGGGACAATGGCCCAACTGGAGTCCAAGGAGGGAGACTTAAGATACAGGTCGCAGCACCAGCCATCTGCAAGCCCACTGCACACACATCACAATGCACTGGCTCACTCCGGCACACAAGGTGCCCCCACCCTGGGACACCCCGAAGACCCCAGGCTGAGTCAGCCGTAGGCCAGGCACAGGTGCTCACAAACGCCCTTTGAAGGCGCAGAGCGGCGCGGTCTGGCAGCGCGGGGCCGAGGGGAGCCAGGCCACTGGGTGGGAAGGGTCCTGGGAGCGGCCCCTGGGGCCACACTTGCGCCACCAGCTCCGGGAGGCCCAGGGTTAAAGAGGGGGCGGGCCACACGCGCAGACGGCCACCTCTTCTAGCCAATGGTGGGCGCGGAGGCCAGGAGTACGGCCCGCCCCCGGGCGGGAGGAGTGCGCGGCGGGCGGGGGCACGTGGCTGGCTGAGGCCGGGCGGACCCGCGCGGCGCAGAGGAAAGAATTTCCGGGGAGTTGAGCTGAGCAGGATGCCCAGCTCTCCCCTTGGGAGAGGAGGGGCCCGGCAGCCTGCGACCTGGGCTGTGCCCAGCAAGGCCCTTCTCCGCTCACAGCCTCAGTTTACCCCCCCAGTACAGCAGGGAATAATAATAGATGCTTCTCTGCGGGGAAGGGGCACAGGGCTTCACGGGGAGAAGCTTCCTCCAAGGGGTGAAGCTCAGGTTGGGGGACCGGGATCAATTCCAGAGGACCCAAGGCAGGCAGACCCATGAGGTCTGGCCGGCCAAGGTGGACCAGCCTCCAGCAGGGTCACCCCCTACCCCAGGCCTCCCATTGGCAGCCCTAGGGTGGGTGCAGCTTCCCCTCTCTATGCCAGCAGTCCCTCCCTACGGCAGCTGCTCGAAACACAAATCTGCAAGGCTGCAGGGCATGGTGTGGCTATGGGTGTGCCTTTGGGCAGGTGACCTCACCCTCTAAGCCCAGGAGCGCCCATCAAAGGGGCATGAGGATACCTGGCCCATAGCTGGTCATGAGGACCAAACCAGATGATGGGTGTAGGCGGGCTGGCAGGGTAAGTGGTGGTGACAGTGATGCTGATGACCGGGCTGTCCTGCCTCCCAGGCACATGTAGGGGAAAGGCCAGATGCCTTAGCATGTTACAAACCGCGGCTCAGCCAAAGCCCTCCTCCTCCAGCAGGTTCCCCCTGCCAGGAATGATCCCTCTTCCCCTGCTCCTCCTTCTGGGACCGATTGCTGGGAAACCCCTGTCCCCACACCAGGCAGGGCACAAAGGAAGTGCCCCAAAAATGTGTGTGGGGAAGTAAATGTATGTCTGCAAAAGCAGCCTGGCTCCAGAACTCTCACAAGAAAAGGGAAAGGAGAGGGCTTCTTTTCCAGTGAGCTGCGGTGGGGCTGACGCGGAGTCCACAGGCAGGAGGGGGCCGTGCCCCAGGGGTGACCTCCAGAATCTCACCAGGACAGTCCCACAATGCCCCTGCTGCTGAGGGTGTGGGGTGATTGCCTTTCCTCTAAGGTGATGGCTGAGAGCCACAGGCCTTGGGGGCCTAGGCACGGGGGTCCAGGAAGGGGAGGGGTCCCTGCTGTCCTCATCCACCCTCTCTCTGGGCTTCTGCCAGGTGGGTGTGCAGACTGGTGAGCTGCCAGCAGGGGCCCAGACGCGCCAGGCCTGGAGATGGCTGGAAACTGCTCCTGGGAGGCCCATCCCGGCAACAGGAACAAGGTAAGTGCCACAGGCGGAGGGCCCTGGTCTTGCCCAGACGGGTGTGGGTGGGAGGGGCAGACCCAGCCCAGCATCTCCTCCCCCATCCCCCCCTTCCTGGCCCCACTTTCCAGCTCTGGACCCACCGTGGGCAGTGGGCTCCTCTGGGCTATGTGGCCGGGCACAAGTTCCCTGGACCCTCCTACCCTCCTGTCCTCATCAGTGAGGCAAGCACCAGGACTGGACCTCAAGGTCCCTCGCTGTGCTGACACTGTGGTCGCCTTGTAGCATCCTTGCAAGGTCTTGTTTCATCTCTTCCCTGCAGAGGTGGGGCAGTCAGCTACTTACTACAGCCAGGCGGGCCAGGAAGCCCTGGGACGCTGACTCCAAGGTGGCCCTGATGTCATGTGCTCCATGGAGCCTAGGGGGTCCTGGGCCACCCCGAGAGTGTTGCCCCAGGCCAGGGTCCATTAGTCATGAGTCACCCACCCTGAGACTCTGACAACCCCTCCAGGCTGACCCTCCTCCTGCCCTCAGCCAACCTAGTCCCCTACTTCTCTGAATCCCTTGAAAATTCTGGGATTTCCTTCGCTCTCAACTTCGAAGGATCTCTTGAATTCCTATCCATCCTCTTCTGCATTTGAGGAAACTGAGGCTTACACCCAGGTAGTAACTTGACTGGGATCAGCCCCTGGGTCAGGAGCAGAGTGGCAACTCCAGCCCAGCCCTGGGGATCTCACCCCCACGCCCTTGGGCCTTGGGCCCTCTCCCTCTTCCCCGTAGTGACCGCTGTGGAGTGGCGGCCGCAGGAGGCAGAGGTTGGACTGGTAGGTGGGGTGAGGCAGTCTGCAGAAACTCCCAGCGCAAAGGCAGAGCCCAGGGTGGGGCCGGGCTCCAGAGCAGGCATTCTACAAGGCAGTATGCGGCTGGTCACGGCAGCTACACGCCCAGTGACTCACCCGGCCTCCCCCTCTGACTCCAAGGAGGGGATTGCAGACTTTTTCCAGCGTGCATGCATACAAGAGGCACTGAGTAAGCTGACCGCCTCCATCCAGCCCCTTGAAGCCCAGCTCTTTCCCAGCACCTGAGCTGGTCCTCTTGGGCCTGTTTGGGCACCAGATCCTACGGTCTAGTTCCCCAGCCCAGAAGAGTGTCCAGGTCACCCACAGGAAAGAGAAGCTAAGGAGCGGGATTTGGGGCGAACAGACCAGCCGACAGGGGTTGAGCCTATAAATGTATTTAGAGAATGGCAGGGAGGGAGCAGGGCCCCCTTACAGTGCTTGCCCTGACCTCACAGAGTCTCCCCAGAGTTTTGCCAACACCTTCAGTCCTGTTTTCAGATTCCCCTTGACCTGAGCAGGCTAGGAGGTCCCTCCCTTTGCAACGGGGTGTCCAACCCAGAGAACAGTCTCTCAGGACCCAGCTTTCTGCCAGAGCTGGGAGTCATCTGAAGGTGGCAGAATGGATCCTGCCTTCATAACCTTGCCTTTGGTTTTGTTAGGGAGCCCTGAGCAGTGGGAACAGAAACCAGCCTTTGAGGGGAGATGCTGGATGTGGGAAGAGGAGTGACTGTTCTCCGGGCAGGCAGCCTTTGCCTCTGGGGGGAAAGGTCGGAGAGGACTGCCGGAGAGCTGAGCCAGCCTGTAGATAGATGGGTTGTTTGGCCTGCACAGCATGTTTAAATGTTAACATTTAAAGATCGGGTGTTCCACATTCCAGTCTAGAGTTCAGGCTTCTCCAGGGAGCGGGGGAGGACGATCAGCCACTCCAGTGCACCCAATCCCTGGCCCCCACCAGCTGGAGCACAGCAGGCTGCCCGCTTCGCTCAAGAGAGGGGCTCTCAGATTTGCCACTGTGCTCCCTCTCACCTGTTCCTTGCACCTGGCCCACCTGCATGCATTTATACACAAGCCTAGACCCTGAGGGCAGGACCGATACTCAGCTGGGATGCACTCTTACAGCCACACCAACAGTTAAAGTATTGAAATGCTTCCCTGCAGCTTGATAAATAGCTGCTGCCTCTCCTCCACCCCAGGGACCCCCTGGACTTTCCCACAATCTGGAAACCCCAGGGGCAACCCTGGCTCATCAGGAAGCCACCTCCCATCCCACTAGAGGACAGGGTCCAGCTCCGGGGAAGGCCGAGATCCACTCGTTGTTTTTTTTTAAATGTAACTTACAAGTGATTTTATTTCTTCAAATAGTTTCGTGTTTGTTGAAACATTGCAAGATTTTGCAAGAATAGTACAATGCCCGCCAATACCTCACCTCAGCTCAGTCATCGTTAACCCTTCACCACAAGTGCTTTCTCTCTATCTCTTGACAGATAGGCTTTTTTTCCCAGAATGATTTGAAAGTAAATTGCAAGGCTGGGTGCGGTGGCTCACGCCTCTAATCCCAGCACTTTGGGAGGCCAAGATGGGCGGATCACCTGAGGTCAAGAGATCGAGACCAGTCCGGCCAACATGGTGAAACCCCATCTCTACTAAAAATACAAAAATTAGTCAGGCATGGCGGTGCGTGCCTGTAGTCCCAGCTACTCGGGAGCCTGAGGCAGGAGAATTGCTTGAACCTGGGAGGCGGAGGCTGTAGTGAGCCAAGATCGGGCCACTGCACTCTAGCCTGACAAAGCAAGACTCTGTCTCAAAAACAAACAAACAAACAAAAGTAAATTGCAGACACCAAGCCCTTGATGCCCAAATAGCCTGTATCTTCTAAGAACAAGGACGTTCCCGTAGCCACATAGTGAAAATGTGCGTAGCCACAGTACATTGTCACATTCAAAAGCTGCAACACCGATGCAATGCCATTATCTCTGCATCGTCCATACTCACATTTCCCCAGTGGTCCCAACGATATCCTCTGCAGCAGTTGTTGAGATCCAGCGTATAATCCAGGATTCTAACACTGTGTTTAGGAGTCATGTCTCTTTGCTCTTCTTAAAAATGGAAAGGCTCAGCCAGGCGCAGTGACTCACGTCTATAATCCCAGCACTTTGGGAGGCAGGTGGATCACTTGAGGTCAGGAGTTCGAGACCATCCTGGCCAACACGGCGAAGCCCCGTCTCTACTGAAAATACAAAAATTAGCCGGGCATGGTGCCGCGTGCCCGTAGTCCCAGCTACTCAGGAGGCTGAGGCAGGAGAATCGCTTGAACCTGGGAGGCAGAGGTTGCAGTGAGCCGAGATCGTGCCACTGCACGCTCCAGCCTGGTGACAGAGTGAGACTCTGTCTCAAAAAAAAAAAAAAAAAAAAAGGGAAAGGCTCTGCAGTTTTTTGTGCGACTTGGACGTTTTTTGGACAGTCTACTCTGACCGGTGGGCAGCCTGGCACCCTTCCTGGGCACTGTCTGGTGCTACCTCTACTCCTATAGGCACCATTGTGTGCTGCTAGCTCTAGACGCTGGGACGGAGAGTTAACATCAGGTGAGGTCAGGGGCGTTTGAGGATAGAGTTGCAGCCAGTTAGCTGCTCCACAGCCACTGCCTTACAGACCCCCTCCCTGCCCCAAGTCCCTAATTGGGACCCCCCCCCTCCCCCACGCTGGGCCCCAGATGCAGGTCTGTGGGTGGGGGCCAGCCGGCATCACAGGTGTCCCTCTCTGCACCTGCGCAGATGTGCCCTGGCCTGAGCGAGGCCCCGGAACTCTACAGCCGGGGCTTCCTGACCATCGAGCAGATCGCGATGCTGCCGCCTCCGGCCGTCATGAACTACATCTTCCTGCTCCTCTGCCTGTGTGGCCTGGTGGGCAACGGGCTGGTCCTCTGGTTTTTCGGCTTCTCCATCAAGAGGAACCCCTTCTCCATCTACTTCCTGCACCTGGCCAGCGCCGATGTGGGCTACCTCTTCAGCAAGGCGGTGTTCTCCATCCTGAACACGGGGGGCTTCCTGGGCACGTTTGCCGACTACATCCGCAGCGTGTGCCGGGTCCTGGGGCTCTGCATGTTCCTTACCGGCGTGAGCCTCCTGCCGGCCGTCAGCGCCGAGCGCTGCGCCTCGGTCATCTTCCCCGCCTGGTACTGGCGCCGGCGGCCCAAGCGCCTGTCGGCCGTGGTGTGCGCCCTGCTGTGGGTCCTGTCCCTCCTGGTCACCTGCCTGCACAACTACTTCTGCGTGTTCCTGGGCCGCGGGGCCCCCGGCGCGGCCTGCAGGCACATGGACATCTTCCTGGGCATCCTCCTGTTCCTGCTCTGCTGCCCGCTCATGGTGCTGCCCTGCCTGGCCCTCATCCTGCACGTGGAGTGCCGGGCCCGACGGCGCCAGCGCTCTGCCAAGCTCAACCACGTCATCCTGGCCATGGTCTCCGTCTTCCTGGTGTCCTCCATCTACTTAGGGATCGACTGGTTCCTCTTCTGGGTCTTCCAGATCCCGGCCCCCTTCCCCGAGTACGTCACTGACCTGTGCATCTGCATCAACAGCAGCGCCAAGCCCATCGTCTACTTCCTGGCCGGGAGGGACAAGTCGCAGCGGCTGTGGGAGCCGCTCAGGGTGGTCTTCCAGCGGGCCCTGCGGGACGGCGCTGAGCTGGGGGAGGCCGGGGGCAGCACGCCCAACACAGTCACCATGGAGATGCAGTGTCCCCCGGGGAACGCCTCCTGAGACTCCAGCGCCTGGAGGAGGCAGGGGCAGGAAGCGGCCTCCAAGACCCTTCGCCTTGGGACAGGAATGGGCACCTGCTTCTGAGTCCATACAGGAGAAGAAAGATCTGTTTCCTCTCCTCGGGCCTCCTTCTCCCTGGGCTGGGGACTCCAGGGGTGGCTGGGAGACTGGGCAGCCACCAGCAAACAGACCCTGTGGCCCCTGCCCGGCTCCCCCACCCATTCTGCTCCCCTAGAGACCTCTTGTACAGAAGTTGCCCCCAGGTGGTGGGGCCCCTCCTTGCCCTAGGCTGGTTGGTAAAAGAGAGGAGGTCAACACCCAGCCTAGCCACCTCTGCCTCTTGGGTCAGCCCTCCTTGACTGTGTCCCAGCCAGCACCAGGCCAGCAGCCTCATCCCTGCCATTCAGGGCTGTTCCAGAGATTCGATCCTCTTAAGGCATTATCAGTGAGCAAATGTGAAGGAAATGGTGTCTGGAAGAAAGTTCTGGTTCACATGCCTTGTAGCTAAGTCTTTCTGCAAACAACCTCCCTTCCCCCCGTCGAGTCATTTGGTGACTTTGATGGGGGGATTTCTGGTTATGTCAAGGCTCTGGAGACAGGAAGGGCCTTTGGCCGCCTTGGGTAGTTGACCTGCCTTTTCTGACTCCGGGACGAGCCAGTCCTAGGCTGCCTCCGGGAGCACTTGAGGTATCCCGCAGGCCATGAGGACCCACTGGGCAGCTCCTGGACAGCCTCTTGGCTCCAGCCCCCACCCGAAAGTGGACACTGGCTCCGCCCTGGCCACCTGGGGACTGGCACTGTGGTGCACAGTGGCCCAATGTGGCCAACGGAAGTTTTATAAAAGACAAAATGTATATCAATAAACATTTTATAACTTGCAGCCAGGAAGGCTTCATGCCCACAGTCCTACCCTGGGTCTCTGTTTCCGACAGTGAGGACGCCCAAGGGCACAGAGTCCCGGGACGGGTGGCACCCCCCGCCAGCTCTCCCGCACACTTTGCTCTTTGCCTCTGCTCTCAGGCCTCCTCCTGGGGCTGGGTCTGCACACACCCGTGTTCCCGCTCCTGTGGCTTGTCCACTCCCTGCCAGAGGGAGCCGTGGTCAGCCAGGCTGTCCTGTGCCGGCGTATCCCAGTGCCCCTTCTCAGCTCGGAGGCCCCCACGGCCTCTGGGAGCCACAGCTCTCACCTCCTCCATGCCAGGCTCTGGGCCGGCCACCATGGTCCTGCCTGTGTCCACCGGAGGCTCCGTGGAGTGGATTGCTGCCTCTCCTCCTGTTGCCCCCGTTCAGGATGCCCCTCTCTGTCTTGAGATCCCTGAGCCAGCCTCCCAGTGCCCAGACATCTCTCTACAACCCAGCGATAGGCTGGGAGCCCTCCCAAGATGACAGCCCAGCCAGCGCCACGCTAGAAGGGTTCCTGCCTGGCCCTTTTGCCTCTGGTCAGCCCCCAGAAGGGCCCCATCCTGGGTTCCTGGTGTGCAACCTAGGACCCTGGCTCCTTTGAGACAAGCCTTAAGGCAAGCCTGCTCACCCCATGGTCCCATGGAGAGAGATCATGGCAGAGGTGTTGGTGCCCCCAGTCAGGAAACGTGGCTGACAGAGTTGGGCCCCTCGTCTGCAGAGCAGAGCCAGGAGCAGGCAGGCGGGCAGCACTCCGAGCTCCAGGTGGGAATGAGTAGAGGCGTGGGCAGTACCACCAGGTTCACGCACCCAGCCACCTGGAACGTGGCCTTCTAACTGCAGGCCCTGGAGCCTGCTCAGCCTGCCCCTGGTGAAGTGGTCCAGCCCTCAGTGGGCTGACCCCCCAGTTCTGTGTCCCTGATGATCCACTGCCCGGCCAACCTGACCTCCACTGCCCTCCTGCCCCTGCTCCTCAGCCCACTGCTCCTCCATGCTCCCCTTTCTAACAATCCTGGTCAGGTCCTCTCAGCAAGACCACCGCTCTAGGAAAAGAGGGGATCTCATGTGGCCCAGATGTCGTAGTTCCAGGACCTCTAGGTGATGAAGGTTGCATGTCCCCACCCGCTCCCTCCCAGTGCCCAGAACGAGCTCTGCCATCCTCCAAGTCCCACCCTCCCCAGCGCTGGTCAGAGGATCCCAGAAGAGCAGAGCTGGAGACCACCATGTCCAACAGGTCATTTCCAGCGACTCAGAGAAGCCAGGTGGGGCCTTGAGCAGACACACCAGGAGGCAGGGCTAGGACCTCGTCCAGTGGCGAAAGCTCCCACCAGCACGGGCATCCTAGCTACACAAGTGGGCAGAAGCACGTCCCTCTCCTGAAGGCAGCTGGGTGGGGGGTCCATCTGGGGTCCTGGCTCCTCCTCAGGGCCCAGAGCATCCCAGTTCCTGGGAATTCATCTCTTCCTTAGGAGTCCCCACCCCAGGACTCCAGCCCTGAGTCCTCGTGGGGAGCTGCTGACCTAGAAGGAAGGGGCCTCCCTGCCTGGATGCTGCTGCAACAGCTCAGAGCCAGGGCCGGTGAGGGGGTGGACAGCCTCACGCAGTAGCAGGGCCTGGAGGTCAGGAATAGGCTGGGTCCGACTCTAGGAGGAGGCATCTGCCCTGATGGATCCTAAGGCGGGAGGGGCAGAGGTGAACCCCAGGAACTAGGCCTCCCCCAACCCGTGGCCCTTCTCAGGTGCAGGTGTTTGCAGTCTTGCTAGGGAACAAGCTTTCTTCCCCTCCATCCCCCCGCAAAGCCCCAGGATTCCCACACCTCCCTGGACCACCTCGCTCTCTGTGCTAATGGAGGGAGACTGCACAGATGATGAGATGAGCGGGAACTGCCCGCTCTCCTCCACTTTCCTCCTCCTTCCTTTGGTATTTAATTATTAAAGTGGGCTTGGGAGGAGCTGAGGGCTGCGGGGGAGATTTCCATCCCACAGCTCTGGGAAAAGGATCCACAGCAGGTCACAGAATGGAGAGTGGGGCATGGGACCAGAGCATCTGGGCTGCCCTGGTTGTTACAAAGCCGACTTAGTAACAACCATGTGGTATGTGGGAAGGGTGGGGTGAAGGGGCAGGGGTGGGGCATCAGGCAGGGCAGAACTCTCCACTTTTCCGTGCTGTCTGCCACCCACTATTTCTATAAAAATAAGCTGCTCTTTTAGATTATGCAAGGGATAAGCAAGGCCAAATTTGGAAAGTCAAGAGCAAGCCTCAGGGAGGCAGAGGGCTGCCACCTATAAGCCATGGGACCTCAGTCTTGCTGTGCCTCACTTTCCTTGGATAAGTCAGCTACAGCACCGACCTCCAGGAGTTGGTGCAGTGGCCTGGGGTGGCAGCCGGTGTGCCTGATTGCCCTGGTCGGGCGTTCAGGGCAGGGAGCAGAATGGCCACTGCAGAAGGGATGTGCCTGTGAGTGGTTTGTCCCCAGCACCAATCTGCTGTTTGCGGACATACTATGGGCAGTGGGTGCTGGCCAAGAGCTGCACGTAGGTTTTCTGTTGACTGTCCATGCAGGGCTACATGGCCCATACTGTCAGCCCCAGCTGTGGAAGTGGGGGCTCATGAATGGAGTTTCTCATCCAAGGTCAGTCGCGCTGGTGGACGGCCCTGGCTGGAGGCCTACATCACCATCCAGGGACTCCCCACAGTGGCCCTCCTGTTGCCCTGGAGGCTCAGGTCTCTGACCTTCCATCTCCCATCTGCAAAGCACTGGACACTGGGGTTCCGGGCAGATGCACGGAGTGGCCTGGACATGCCCATCACAGCCCTAGGATAACCCAGACGGGCCATCGAGACCTATCCACACTCTGTGGAGACCAATGGAGGAAACAGCTCAGTTTCAGGCTGTGGGCGTCTGAATCAAAGCGGGGACTGGGAACAAGGTGCTCAGCGGACACTCAGCAAACGGCCTGAACGCCGACGCCTCTCCCGTCTCTGTCTCCTGTCTTCACAAAAGGAAAACGGAATGCCTTTCTGGCATCCACCCAGCTTTCCCGGATCCCCTGCCAGTTGTCATTTTCAGATAACTTGAATTTTATATTTTATGCCAGGATTTTTAAGCCCCCAGGATCTTTTCACATCTGCACAGCTTGGCTTGGAATCCTCAGCTAGGACCATCCTTCCTCCCCAAGAACCAGGGCCTCATCTAGAAGGTAGGGCAGGGAAATGAGGGTCCACATGTGGTCCGGCCCCTCGGCATACAGGGAGATGACCAGGCCTGGGAAATGTGCCCTTCGACGGGCTGGTGACAAGGCCAAAAAGCTGGGCAAACACATTGCAGAGATCCTCCCAAACTAAAACCACTGAGAGTACAAGTGCAAAACATTCCCTTTTAAGCCAGTAGGGGCTTGACAGCTGGAGAACTTGAAAACAACAGGGCACAGTTCACAAAATCAAAACTCATGGAAAACTCTGCGCGGGTGAGTCAGAGTGCCAGCGCCAAGTTTCCTGGCATGCAAGAGGAGGCTCCCCCGCTCAGGCAGATTTTTTTAAACATCTTTTTAATAAATTGAATTGAGACCTAATTTACATAAAATAAAACTGACCCATTTAATATCCAGTTTAATTATCTTGGACAAATGTTTATGTGCCCATGTCATCAGAATGTTTCTATCCCTGCGGAAGAATCGCTTCCATCATCCCCCCAAAGTTCCCTGGCACCACTGGGCAGTAGGTCCAGCCTTGGGCACAGCCCTGCCCCGACCTGGGTGGACCATCCATCTCTGCTTTTATGCCACTGTAGATTAGTGTCCCAGGCAGACTTTTACACCATATCAGACAGGGTGCTTGGTGGCAAGTAACAGAAACCCCGGGTTAATCTAGCTTTGGCATCTGGGGTACATGGGAGGTATGTGTGTATTTAAGGGAGTTTACTAACTCACATACCCAGAAAGTTCCAGAAGTGATTCTGGCTTCAGACACAGCTGGATCCAGGGCCGCAGATGATGTTCGCTAGGCCACTTCTCTTTTCCCTGTTTTCATCCCTGTTTTGGTCTGTGTTCTATTTATTCTCAATGGAAAAACTAAATGGCAGGTAAGCGGCAGTTCTCGGTTTATCTTCTACAAATTCTGCAATCCCAGCAGAAAGAGCACGCCCTTCCTGGAGATTCTAGCTTAAGTCCTGATATCAAGTGCACTGGCCAGGCCAGGGGCACACACCCTCCCAGGAGCTGGAGGCAGGGATGGGGGACAGGGGGTGACAGTCACCCCACCTTAGCCCAGTGGACTGAAAACAGGGAAGAGGTGCGCCCAAGGTAAAACTGGCAAGCATGGCCGGGTGCAGTGGCTCATGTCTGTAATCCCAGTATTCTGGGAGGCCAAGGTGGGTGGATCACTTAAGGTCAGGAGTTCGAGACCAGACTGGCCAATATGGCAAAACCCCGTCTCTGCTAAAAATACAAAAATTAGCCAGGCGTGGTGGCAGGTGCCTGTAATCCCCGCTACTCGGGAGGCTGAGGCAGGAGAATCACTTGAACCTGAGAGACAGAGGTTGCAGTGAGCTGAGATCACACCACTGCACACCAGCCTGGGCGACAGAGTGAGACTCTGTCTCGATAAATAAATAAACAAACAAACAAACAAACTGGCAGGCAAACAGCAGGTGTTGGCCACGTTCCTCCCCTCAGTCCACCCTCTACGTGCCCACTTCTTTCCTAAGTATGATTTTTAAATGCTCCCAGCCAAAATCTGTAGCTGTATAATTTACAACATAAAATGCCTGCCTTCCCCACAGAAGAGAGATGACCAAAGTCAACCGCAGGGCCTGCCTCCCCAGCTCCGAGCCCACACCCTGGGTGTTACTCACGCCACCCTCCGTCAGAGCCACAAACACCTCCTCTTTGAAAGGTACTTGTAGTACTTTCTGGGGATGCTATCACCCATTCACCAATACCACAGACTGGTGGGAGCACTTAAACAATAGAAATTTTCTTTCTCTCAGTCCTAGAGTCCAGAAATCCAAAATCAAGGTGTGGCAGGGCTGGTTCCTCCTGAGGCCTCTCTCCTTGGCTTGCAGACGGCCACCTTCTCCCTGTGTCCTCACAGGGTGGTCCCTCTGTGCCTGTCTGTGTCCTCACCTCCTCTTATCAGGACTCCAATCACACTGGATTCAGGGACCATCCTAGTGACCTCATCTTAACTTCATTAACCCTTTAAAGACCCTTTCTCCAAATATGGTTACATTCTAAGGTACAGGGGGTTTGAGGGTTCAACATACAAATTTTGGGGAGACCCCGTTCAGGCCACAACAGTGCCCTTTGGCCAAATGATGGTCACTCTCCAGACACACAACACGCAATGGAAAGGAAAAAGGAAATAACAATAATTTTTTTTTAGAATTCCCACTTGGAAAGGAAAAGGAAAGAACAAAAACACGTGGTGGTTGTTGGTCTGTGGCATATTCTGTGCTAGGCAGGAAACCAGCAGCGCAACGGGGGTCTTGGTCAGCCCACCGATGTGGCGGCCAGAATCCAAGACAGCCCCCAGCAATGCCGTCTCACCCTCGTGTCATCCCCTCCCTGTGCACATGGGCTGTACCAAGTGGCTTGCTTCTAACCGATGGAACACAGCAAAGCTGATTAGGCTGCACAGCACTGTGACTTGCATCTTGCTAGCAGACTCTCTCCCTTGCTGGCTTCAATGAAGCCAGCTGCCGTGTTGTGAGCTGACATATTAGAGAGGCCCCTGTGGCAAGCCATTGAAGGCAGCTTTTGGCCAACAGCCAGCAATAAACAGAGGCTCCCAGCCTGGCAGCCGGCAAAGAAACGAGCCCGGTCAACAACCACATGAACTTGAAAGCAGATTCTTCCCGGAGGGAGGCTTCAGATAAGACATCTGCAGGGACCACTCCTGATGTCACATGTTCTTTAAAGGCCTGGGGAAGCAGAGCTGAGCTGCCTCCTGACACGTGTGGCCCAACACAGAAAGTGGGGCTTTACCAACCTCACGGTGTCATCCCACCAGGACCCAGCCAATTGCATATGTAAAGGCAGGTATTTGCAACAAGCCTCTTTGCCTCTTTCAGGTATTAGTTTCTCCACTGGTCAGGAATCTTTGTTGCAAATGACAAAAACCCCATTGAAACACACACACACACACACACACACACACACACAGAATGCACTGGCTCCTATTACTAAAAAGTCCAGGCAAAGATGGGCTTCAAGAACAGCTGGATCCAGGTGCCTGGATCTGGGGACTCTGTCAATCAACTAGCAATTAGTCAAGAAATGTGAGCATCTCTACATGCCAGGCAATGTTCTAGGCACAGAAGGCACAAAAAATGTGAGAACTGCCACCTTCTGGAAGCTTATGTCTTTCTGAGCAGCCTGTCTCTGTCTCTTGGGTCTTGGCCCATTCTCAGGCAGGATCTCCCCTCCTGGAGAAGAGACAGGCACCATAGGTCCAGCACAGCAAACCCAGAATAAAGAGGCCAGGGAAGTCCTCACTGTCACTGCAGAGTCAGCACCGCCCACACCCCTAAGACTGTCCCCCAAGTCAGTTGCCTAGGGTTACTTCTGTGATCAGCCTTAACGTCTGGGGTCCCCGCTTTTTCTTTCCTCATGCACATTTGTTCAAAGCAGATGCCCAGCATCTCCCATGCCTATACCTCCTTCCGCTGCAGGGCGGGACAGTGAGAATGAACACCATGCTAGCTCGGGGACCGTCCTAGAGACTCAGCCATCCGCTGCACCACCCATACGGCCCACCCGGCACCTGCTCCAGGCCAGCACCCTCACAGGGCAGGTGACACGGATAAGATGCCGGCCTCCATCCTGCCCTTGAGGGGACTGACACATCAGAACTCTTCCCTCGCCAGGCAGGAAGGGGGCCTCGGCCGGTGTGGGGGAAAGGGCTGCTCTACCATCTGCCTGTGTGGCATGTGTGTGAGCTCCCCTTCTTTCTAGGAATTGAGGGAGGCCCTGAGGGACTACAGGCATTTTGGTGAGGACTTTGAGGCTCAGAGACGTCACCTGAATGGTGTGGTTCCCCAACTCACAAGCAGTGGAACTCAGACTGGAAATAAGATCCTGGGCTCCGGGCCCAGCTCTTCTTCCTCCCCATCCCTCCGTAGGCAGCATCCTTAGTGAGTCCATTAGCCAGAGCATCTCCCCAGGCAGGCAGTTGGGGGTGGCTGTAATAGCCTTTCCCAGCCCACAAGAACCCCCATTTCCTCCATGGCTTCACCTGAACCCCCCACGGTGGGTCTCACTAATGCTGTGAGGTCTCCTCGGCCATCCCTGGTGGCATTCAGGAAGGGAGGTATCACCTTTCCTTGAAGGCCCCAGCCTCATCCTCCATTTCACTGCCGCCAAGCTGTCTCCTGTGGGGGCCGGGGGTTCATGCTCAGGTCCATTAGACTTCAGCTGGCTCTTCTGGGCCAGCACCGCGGTACCCACGTGCAGAGGCCCTGGCAGGCGGGGCCGGCACCCATCCTGCATTTATACCTCAGGCCCGGCTTCCCACTGCTCAGAGGGAACCTAGCGAAGATCATCAGGGGATCCTGGGGACAGGCTCCTCTGAGCCTGGGGGCAGCCCTGCCCAGCGGGAGAGAAGCAGGCAGCTCAGGCCAGAGCCAGAACAGGGCGAGCGGCTCAGGGGCCTGGGCCTAGGTGGCTGCTGAGGCCTCCAGCACTGGAGTGGGCAGGCACCAGCCACCTTCACCGAGGGACCACACACTGCATCCAAGACAGGTGAGAGGCCTGTTTTTTGCAATCTGGGTGAAGGCAGGAGAGCGTGGGGGACAGAAGCGATGCTTTGCACCCCGTGGGACGTTGGGGGAGTTCCTGTTCGGCCAGGGTAGCCAGGTAGCCCAGCAAGTGTCTCAGCTTCTCTGAGCCCAAATAAAGCAGAAATAATGAAACCCACCTCAAAAACATTCAAAGCGCGGATGAGCTCATGTCACCAACCCTGGGACCTGCCACCTCAGTGTGCAGCACAGCACGGAGAAGCGTCGGACAAGCTAAATTCAAGAAGACATAGTTTGTTTTTGAGAAAGCAAGCTTACGAGACAACCAGGCCCTATATTTTCATTTATGTAAAAAACATATATTGATAGGTAAATGCACAGAAAAAAAAATCTTCAAGGATTTATAGTGATACCTGGGGGTGAAGACAAGGGTAGACCTTCTTTCTTCTTTAGCATTGGAAGCTTTCAAAATAAGAATCTTTGCATCTTATCTGTGTCGTTTTTAAAGATGTTTAAGGCACAGGGAGAAAGGGACAACGTCATACTAGCCGTGGGAAAGAACACATTTTTGTGTCTTCAGTGGCATGGACAAAAGGTCAAGCAAGGCTTTTGAGGACAGGAATCCTAAAAGTTAACATGAGAGATTCTCTATTGGAAAACTTACTTGACATTGAATATGAGAGGACAGTTTCCAACCTAGTGCCTTCCCCAACACACACACACACACACACACACACACACACACACACACACTCACACTCCTCAACACATTCTAAAAATCAGGCTCCATTATTGGCCATAAGGCAGTGGAAATAGAAAATACTTTTAAAGGCCAGGCGTGGTGGCTCACGCCTGTAATCCCAGCACTTTGGGAAGCCGAGGTGGGCGGATCACCTGAGGTCAGGAGTTTGAGACCAGCCTGGCCAACATGGTGAAACTCCGTCTCTACTAAAAATATAAAAATTAGCCAGGTGGTGGCAGACGCCTGTAATCCCAGCTACTCGGGAGGCTGAGGCATGAGGATCACTTGAACCCAGGAGGCAGAGGTGGCAGTGAGCCAAGATCACGCCACTGCACTCTGGCCTGGGCAACAGGGCAAGACTCCATCTCAAAAAGGAAAAAAGAAAATACTTTAAAAATCTGAAATATTGTCTGGGCGCGGTGGCTCACACCTGTAACCCCAGCACTTTGGGAGGTGGAGGCGGGCAGATCACGAGGTCAGGAGATCGAGACCATCCTGGCTAACACGGTGAAACCCTGTCTCTACTAAAAATACAAAAAAATTAGCCAGATGTGGTGGCAGGCGCCTGTAGTCCCAGCTACTTGGGAATCTGAGGCAGGAGAATGGCGTGAACCCAGGAGGCAGAGCTTGTAGTGAGCCAAGATCAAGCCACTGCACTCCAGCCTGGGCAAGAGAGAGAGACTCCATCACAAAAAAAAAAAAAAAAAAAAAAAAAATCTGAAATATTTTAAACCCAACAACTAGGGAATCAAAGCATAACACGAACATACCCCACAGTGTGAAAGCTTACACACAGGAAACGCTTGGAAGGATCCATTCCCAAAGGAATTATCTCTGGTGGTGAGATTATGAGCAATTTTTCTTTTTCGGTATTTTGAGTATCTATCCAGCGTCTCCAATGTGCTCTACAGTAAACACAAATAACCTTGGTAATAAGAACAAGACCCCCAAATTTTAGGAGGTGCTCCGTCTCAGGGCTGTGCACGTTCACCTCCATGGGTCCTGACCCGGGGCGGTCACTGCTATTAACGCCTCTCCTCCCAGGGGTCTCCACGGTCTCTGATGTGTTCAGTGGCCAAGCAAAGCAGCGCTGAGCACACTAGAACACTGTAAACACCCCTTGACGCCGTGCGGCCGTCCCCGGCCTGAGTGATGATCACCTCCCCCCGCTGCGGTACCTCCTCGAGGCCTCGTTCAGCATCGATTAGTGCTGGGGGCAGGAGTTGGCATAAATCGGGGCTTCTCTTGGCTCTGATGGGGATCAGGAGCAAGCTTCAAGCTCAGAACCTCTAACAGAGCCCCAGAGCCACTCAGGGGAACCGTGGGACCCTGAGGAGGGTTGAGCAGTCTGGGGTCCCACTGTCCATCAGTCCATCAGTCCATCAGGCACTCAGCCAATAAACTCTGAGTGCTCATGATGTGCTGGGCACGGGGCCCCCTGGCTGGCCCTGGATACCCCCGCACCCTTCCTAGGAAGAGAAGGCTGAGAGCAGAGCCACCTGGGGCCGGGTCCCCGCTGTTCCTGCTGTGTCGGGCTCAGCTGGGAAGGCGTCTTGTGGGTGGGCTCCACTTGCCCTCTCCCAAGTCCAGGATCAACCCCTCAATGAGCAGTGTGTGGCGATGGCACTCTGCTCTCTATGGTGGGCACACCTGCGCCAAGGGGCATAGGAATTTCCTGTGGCCGCACAGACCGGGCAGCTTAAAGCACAAAGCTCCTCTCTCATGGTCGGGAGGCCAGAAGCCCAGAATTAGGGTCGGCAGGGCCATGCGCCCCCTGAGGCTCTAGGGAGCCCCTCCTTGCTTTTCTGGCTTCTAGTGGCTCTAGGCGTTCCTGGGATGTGGCTGCATAAACCCAGTCCCTGCTTGTGTCTTCATGAGGCCCCCTCTCCTCCCTAGGCAACTCCTCTGTGTGTCTCTTATAAGAACTGGGATTAGGGGCCAACTGCCTCATCCAGGATGGTCTCATCTCAAGATCCTTAACTCTATTACATCTGCAAAGACCTTACCTCCAAATAAGTCACATTCACGGGTTCTGGAACAGGGACCTATCTTTAGGGACCACCATTCAGCCCCCTACAGGAAACAGCCAGTGTATAACCTGCTGGTCTGCACACTCATTCATCCGTCAGCAAGTCTTGTTGAACATTTACTACCTGCAGGCATGGTACTACGTGTTAGGTTTTGTTTTGTTTTGTTTTGTTTGTTTGTTTGAGACGGAGTCTCGGTCTATTGCCCAGGCTGGAGTGCAATGGCGTCATCTGGGCTCACTGCAACCTCTGCCTCCTGGATTCAAGTGGTTCTCCTGCCTCAGTCTCCCGAGTAGCTGGGACCCACCAGCTACTCAGTGCCCAACAGGCACCCACTACCACGCCTGGCTAATTTTTGTATTTTTTAGTAGAGACAGGGTTTCACCATATTGGCCAGGCTAGTCTCGAACTCCTGACCTCGTTGATCCACCTGCCTCGGCCTCCCAAAGTGCTGGGATTACAGGTGTAAGCCACTGTGCCTGGCCTAGTGTTAGGTTTTTTAAAGGGGAGGTGAGGGTTAAGGAAAGACACACACACACAGAGAGAGTGGCGGCTCTACAGGAAACGCAGGTATATTGTAAAAACCTGCGGAGGTGGGGGACCAGCTTGATGCCAGAGCCCACCACCGCTTACAGGCTGGGGTACTTATAGGTATGGGTGGGAGGGGTCTGGGCAATATGGCTTGCTGCCTGGCAGGATATTGATAAGATCATGGGGGTGTTGCTTGCACTTTCTCCCAGCAGAATATGATAAGAGGCAGGCTGTTTCTCACAGCCCAAATCCCCGTGGAATGTTTCACTTTCACCAGGGTCTGCGCAGTGGCAGGGGGCTTACGAAACGGTGCAGCTGGACTCACACTAGGGACCAGGTGGACAGACAGAGGGATCAAGTCAGACGCGGTGCCCACCCATCCAGCCGACATGCTGGCTGAACTCACTCCATCTGCAGAGACGAGGGAAGGAGGGCCGGGAGTTCAGGAGTTCATTAAGCGCTGCGGGGCGCTTAATCCAGGGGCCAAGCCACAAACATTTATTGAGCACCACTGTATGCCAGCCCCTGATTCAGGGGTGGCAGAGACACGTACTCTCCCCCACCCTCCACCTCCCCACTCACCCCTGCATCCTGAAGCTCACGTCACTGCAGAGAAGCCAGGCATCTCCACTGATGTGGCCAGTTTTCACGTATGTGTTGGCTTTTACTAGAAAATAGCCACAGCTCATTATTCTACTTCGGCTGGGATAAGGGCTCCTGTCTCTCAACCCCTCCACCCCAAGTACCTCTTCCTTTCCTCAGCCCCAATACTTGACACTCTCCTGCTATCAAGGAGCAAGAGGATGCCAGGGAGTGTCACCTCCCCCCCTCAAGTCCCTGGCTGACCCACGCCTGGTTCTGCGCCTCCTCCTGATGATGTTGATGTCTCAGCTCCTAGCTGGCCAAGCTCCCGACTGTGGGCTAGGTCCCCTCTCCTCTCGACACCTCCCCAGGAAATCATTCCTGCAGCTGCGGCCTCTCCCACGCATCAGGAGTCCCCTGTCCACTGAATCACTATCCTCGAATACAGCACACAATCACGTCGTTCCAGTAAATGGAGAGATCAGCCTCCCTGTCATTTCTCTGTTCCCCTACCCCACCCATGACCACACATTCCTTCGAATGTCACCTGCACTCTCTCAGGGGTCCCTGCAGCTGAGCATCTCCCCACCGGGAGGGGTCCTCTGGGGCCATCTCCCTAACACACGCCCCACCTCCAACCCTTATCCCTTTGCAACCCATCAGGGTTCCGCATAAAGGCCCCCATCAAGGCCGGGCACGGTGGCTCACACCTGTAATCCCAGTACTTTGGGAGGCCCAGGTGGGCGGATCACCTGAGGTCAGGAGTTCAAGACCAGCCGGGCCAACATACTGAAACCCTGTCTCTACTAAAAATACAAAAATTAGCTGGGCATGGTGGCGTGTACCTGTCATCCCAGCTACTGGAGAGGCTGAGGCAGGAGAATCATTTGAACCCAGGAGGCGGAGGTTGCAGTGAGCTGAGATCGCGCCACTGCACTCCAGCCTGGTGACGGAGCAAGACTCCGTGTCAAAAAAAAAAAAAAAGGCCCCCATCACAGCTCTCGCCATCACCCTCACAGGTGCCAGGCTGAAGCCACCTTGCTGTCCCTGCTCAGGGACCGTCTCTCCTGCAGAACGGCATCCACAGGTGCAAGGAGGGGCCTGTCTCTTTCTCTCCAGCACCCTGGTACCTGGAATAGCCCCTGACACACTGCGGGCCCTTGGGAAATGTCTGCAAGGGGCTCCCTGGTGACCCCCAAGAGGAAGCCAGGCGCCCTGAGGGCCTCTGAGCCCCACTGGACATCACCACCCTGTCCAGACACCCAGAGCAGAGTGGGGGATGGGGAAGGTGGCAGGTGGGGGACAATGGCCTGGGAAGACCCATCAGAAGTATAAGTACAAGGACCGTGGGACAGCAGCATGTGTCTGCACCCTCCTCTCTCAGAGCTTCGGGGCCCCTGGTCTCCCTTCCCCACAGAGCACTGCCCAAACACCCCTGAATCCACATGGAGTAGACCCGCGTCGTCCTGCAGCGGTCATGTGGGTGCACAGGTGACCCAGAGGCAGAGGCCAGGCTCCATGGCATTAGAAGGGGGTTCCCCAACAAGCTGGAGAGGGATCAGGCAGCCGGTGCCCAAGCCCGCCTGGGAAGGGCCTGACCCTGGTACCCAGCCACGTGCACGCACACTTCTCCTGCAGCCAGCACCCCGCTCCCTCACCTGGCTCCCCCCAGCTCCCCTTCCCACCTGAGTCCTACCCTCTGAGTCCCTCACCTTGTTAGACACACCCTGAGCTGTAGGGTAGGACTGCCTTTAACTGTGTGTTTCCTACCCACAACTGTGAGTTCGTGGTCATCGTTATATATGTGCTCGGTGTGTCCGTGTACATGGGTATACATATATGTGTGTTTACTGTGTATAGGTATATGTGCTGTGTATAGAGCTATGTGCTCTATGTGTATATATGTGCTACATATGTATATATGAATATATGCTATGTGTGATATGTATATATGTCTATGTGCATATGTGTGTGTGCACTATTATATATGTATATGTGTTTTTATATATATGGAATGTATGTATCTGGCACATAGTATGAGTTTGGTAAATGTTTAAATCTGTTTTAAACCTGAGGGGACATTTCCAATTATAGTGACCTGTGGAGATTGGTAACTCTGGGACATGGGTCTGTGCTCCCACCGTGGAGACCAAAAAATGTTGGAGAAAACACAATTCCCCTCCCGCCCCACCCAAATAAAATACTGAGTAGAAAGATGACAGACAGGAAGAGAAATCTTCAGGTGCCACAAATGAATCAGCAACCAGAGCTGACGCCGGGGGCCCAGGGTGCACCAGATGAGACACAGGCTCCAGGGGCTAGGGGTGGGAGGGCTAGAGGTTAGGAGGTGGTCTTGGAGTGCATCAAGTTGGGGAGGGAGTTTGAACAGGGGAACTTGCATGAGGCCAGGGCCCAGGGAGCTGCCCAGAGGAAGCAGTGTTCTGCCCAGGGTGCTGTTAGGAGCTCCACCCCACCTGTAACTGGGTGTGTGGATGTGTGGGCGTGCAGGTAGAGTTGGGCACCAATTTGAGTAGCTAGAGCCCCAAATTTGCACCATTCACAGGTGTAGGATCTGAATTTACTACCACTTGCATGATGCCAAATCTCCTAGCCAAGAAATCCATCAAAAACCTGGTCCTGGACCTGTGAAATCCTTTGAATATCCACAGAGGCCAATGCCAAATGCCTGGGTAGCAAAACCTTTATGACAACGTGGGGCTCTCACAAGAAAAAGTAATGATATCCCTGTAGAAGGAAACCGGTAATTGCAAACTTAAAAATAAAAAATAAAGAGCCAGTCACGATGGCTCACGCCTGTAATCCAGCACTTTGGGAGGCTGAGGTGGGCAGATCACTTGAGGTCAGGAGTTCAAGACCAGCCTGGCCAACACGGCAAAACCCCATCTCTACTAAAAATACAAAGATTAGCCGAGCATGGTGGCACATGCTTGTAATCCCAGCTACTTGGGAGGCTGAGGCAGGAGAATTGCTTGAACCCAGGAGGCGAAGTTTGCAGTGAGCCAAGATCATGGCCACTGCACCGGAGCCTGGGCAACATAGTGAGACTCAGTCTCAAAAAAGAAAAAAATTAGTAAGGATGAAGAGGACCACTACATAAAGGACACAGTTCCTCAGTGTTATCAAATAATCTTGGATTTGTAGTCACTTAACAAAGTTTCAAAATAGGTGGAAGACAAAATGACAAGACCTCAGTCATAATGGGTTGATATTTATAGCAGACAAATTAATAAAGCTACAGATAATGCAAATAACATAATTTTAAAAACATAGTCAAATGGATATAGAAAGAAAATAGAAATTAACCATCCATTAGGCTTCAAAATGCATCTCAACAAATATCAAAAAACTGACCACGTTATCTGACCTTCTTGCAATGTTAATAACAAAAAGATAGCTAGTCATGCATTATAAAATATATTTCTAAATAACTTATAGATATTTAAATTTCATATTTGCAATAGTTTTCAATTATAATCTATTTAGACAACAATAAAAACACTTGATATCAAAACCTAGGAAACATCTAAAGAAATACTTAGTGGTCCATTTATAGCCCTAAATACCTGTTACCAAAAGGAGAAGGTTTAAAAATTAATTACCTAAGCATTCAACAAAGGAAGCTGAAAAAGAATCACAGGGTAAATCCAAAGAAAATGGAAAAAAAATAAAAGCATAAATTAAGGAAACATGAAGCAAAGAAACAGTAGAGATGCTTTTATTTTTAAATAGTTCTCAAAAAACAACCCTCTGGCAAACTGATCAAGAAAAAACAGGAGTGAAGTCACAAATAAAGACTGGCAGATAGCAGTGAAGTTGTAAAAATTCTAAATGAATGTAAGAAACTACTGTGAGTATTGTACTGATAAATGTGAAACCAAAAAGCAAGAACAATTTTCTAGAAAAATAATATTGCCTACTGTAACTCAGTAAGAAATTAAATGCCTGAGTAGACTTAAAACATTAAATAAATTGGATTTGTAGTTCTTTTTAAAGCCATGCACAGCCACTCACACTTACATAAAAATTACCAGAACAGATGGTTTTACCTTCTGCCAAACCTTCAAAGAAAGATACTCCTTACATGACACAAATTGTTCTAGAAGACAGAGGAAAAGGGTAATCTCTCCAACTCATTTTATAAAGCCAGTATCACCTTTTAGCTTTGAAATAAAAAACAGGCAAGGATAGTACCAGAAAGGAAAATTATGGGCCAATTTCAGTTATAAACATGGATGAAAATGTTCTAAATAAAATCAGAGCAAAAACCCCTCAGAACTAACTAAATGGTTTATCTTAGAAATAGAAGGTTGAATAAATGCCAGAAAATCTATCAATGTATATTCACCACATAAGTAGACAGAGGGAGAAAAAAAGAAAATTATTATCTTGGTAGATGCAGAAAAAAAGTTTATGACAAATTTCACCATGCATTTATGATAAAAACTCTCAGAAGACTAGGAAGGAAATCTTCTTACTTTGATAAAAGATAATATCAAAAACTGAGAGTAAACATCATATCTAATGGAGAAACTTTAGACACGTGCTCTTTAAAATTAGGCAGAAGATGGCCGGGCACAGTGGCTCACGCCTGGAATCCCAGCACTTTGGGAGGCTGAGGTGGGCGGATCACAAGGTCAGGAGTTCGAGACCAGCCTGGCCAATATGGTGAAACCCCATCTCTACTAAAAATACAAAAATTAGCCGGGCATGGTGGTGCATGCCTGTAGTCCCAGCTAGTTGAGAGGCTGAGGCATGAGAATTGCTTAAACCTAGGAGGCAGAGGTTGCAGTGACCCGAGATCACGCCAGTGCACTCCAGCCTGGGTGACAGAGCGAGACTCTGTCTCAAAAAAACATATAAATAAATAAAATAAAAAATAAAAAAATTAGGCAGAAGATAAGCATACCTGATTCCAGGCATTGTTCAGTATAGTACTAGATGATCTGGACCATGCTCTAAGACATGAAAAAAAGTAAAGGTATAAGGATAGTTGCATAGAAAATAAAAATATTCAACAGATAAACTGATAGACATGGTAAAATAAATCATAACATTCACCTGATTGGTAAAAACTACAGAAATCAACAGTGCTCCTATACATCAGCAAAAATCAACAGGAAATATAACAGAGACACTTTTGTCTCTGGCCATGATGGACTAACTGGTATTGGACCAGCCCTACCACTGTAAACAACTAGAAAACTGGAGAAAACATATGAAACAACTGTTGGCATATATTGGACAAGAGGCAGCCCAGGACTAAGATCTTGAGAGAAGAGAAATGTAAGAGGCAAGTCCTATGATTACCCTGGCTTTCTGCCTACAGATACTTTCTGGACAGTGGCACAGAAGTGGGGGAAACCAAGCAGACCATGGTGCTCTCTCTGAGTCAGAGCTCAGGAGAATTAAGTGGTTGGAATTTGTGAAATGGAGCACCAGAGAGAAAGAAGGGAACTCCTCAAGGAAACAACTCCAAAATCCTGCATAGACCCTTTGAGTCTTTGGCTGAAAACTAAGCTGTGCACAAGATGAAACTAACTCTTTGAAACTGGGCAAAGAACAACTACTGATTATCTGTCTGCTGAACAAGTCTCAGAGTTCACACAGGGCTAGAGGGGTTCAAGTTCTGATAAGCTAAAGTAGAATGACTTCGTTGGAAACTTGGGACGTTCAGTAGAAAGCCCAAAAAGGTCTCTCCTATAGCTACTCTAGACCTGCTCTAACAAAGTTCAAAACAAGTCTTGAAAGGATCAAATTTATCTGTAAATTAAATGTCCACCAGAAGAAGGCCTACCACTGTTTAACAAAAAATTAAAAATTCAGACATTCAACAATGTAAAACTCACAATGTCCATCATCTAAGGAAGTATTACTAGACATGTGACAAAGCAGAAAAATGGGACCCCTAACCAGGAGTAAAATTAGTAAATTGAAAGAGACCAAGAAATGACAGAGATAAAATTAGCAGGCAAGAAATTTTAAATGCCTGTCAGAAATGCTCAAAGATTTCAAGGAAAACATGAACACAATGAAAAGAAAAACATGAGGTATAGATAAGAACCAAATGCAACTTCTAGAGCTGAAAATATAGTGTGTGGAACAAAAAAAAATTTACTGAATGGGATTAAGAACAAGATTACACACTGCAGAAGAAAAGATCAGACAACTTGAAAGCAAGGCAATAGAAACTATTTAAAATGAAGCACAGAGAAAAAAAAACTCAGAGCTTTAGTAATCTGTGAGACAATATCAAGCAATATAACATGTGTCTAATTCAAATTCCAAGAAAGGGGGCAGAAAATATTTAAATAAAATGGCCAAAAGTTTCCAGACTCATAATAAAATTATAAAATAAAAATTACAGGCCAGGCGCAGTGGCTCATTTCTGTAATCCCAGCACTTTGGGAGGCTGAAGCGGGCGGATCACGAGGTCAGGAGATTGAGACCATCCTGGCTAACACAGTGAAATCCCAGGTTACTAAAAATATGAAAAATTAGCTGGGCGTGGTGGTGCGCACTTATAGTCCCAGCTACTCGGGAGGCTGAGGCAGGAGAATTGCTTGAACCTGGGAGTCAGAGGTTGCAGTGAGCTGAGATGGTGCCACTGCACTCCAGCCTGGGCGGCAGAGCAAGACTCTGTCTCATTAAATAAATAAATAAATAAATAAATAAATAAATAAAAATTATAAACCCTTAGATCCAAGAACCTCAATGAATATAATGAACACCAAAATAAACTATACCAAAGAATATCATATCTACACTTTTGAAAACCAATGATAAAGAGAAGACCTTAAAAACAGCCAGAGATGGCCAGGTGCAGTGGCTCATGCCTGTAATCCCAGCACTTTGGGAGGCTGTGGTAGGTGGATTGCTTGAGCTCACGAGTTTGAGACCAGCCTGGGCAACATGGTGAATTCCCATCTCTACAAAAAATACAAAAATTAGCCGGGCATGGTGGCATGCACCTGTAGTCCCAGCTACATGGGAGGCTGAGGTGGGAGGATGGCTTGAGCCCAGGAGATGAAGATTGCAGTGAGTCGAAATCATGCCACTGCATTCCAGCCTGGGTGACAGAGCCAGACCCTGTATCAAAAAAAAAAAAAAAAGACAGAGAGAAAAGGATGAGAATTATTACAGACCTCTTTTCAGAAGTTAAGCAAGACAAAAGACCACAGAATGACATCTTTAAAATTTTAAAAGATAAATTTTAAAACTGTCAACCTAGAATTCTTCATCCAGAGAAAATATCCTTCAAAAAATGAAGGTGACACATTACCCACAAAAATTAACTTAAAATGAATCAATGACTTAAATATAAGAGCTAAAGCCTCAAAATCCTTAGAAAAGAACACAGAGGTAAATCGCCAATCTCCATGAACTTGGATTTGGCAGTGGATTCTTAGATATGACACCAAAGACACAAGCAACAAAAGAAAAAATAGATAAACTGGACTTCATCAAAGTAAAAACTTTTGTGTCTCAAAGGACACCGTCAAGAGAGTGAAAAGGCAACCTACAGAGTGGGAGAAAATATTTGCAAATGATATCTCATAAGAATCTAATATATACAATTTTTATTTTTAAAAAACTTTGGCTAGGCGCAGTGGCTCACACCTGTAATCCCAGCACTTTGGGAGGCCAAGGCAGGCGGATCACCTGAGGTCAGGAGTTCGAGAGCAGCCTGGCCAACACAGTGAAACCCTGTCTCTACAAAAGTACAAAAATTAGCCAGGCATGATGGCAGGTGCCTATAATACCAGCTACTTGGGCTGAGGCAGAAGAATCACTTGAATCCGGGAGGTGGAGGTTGCAGTGAGCCAAGATTGTGCCATTGCACTCCAGCCTGGGCGAGAGAGCAAGACTTCGTCTCAAAAAAAAAAAAAAAACTTTAACAGTTCAACAATAAAAAGACAAATAATCCAATTTTAAAGGAGAAAGAATCCGAATAGATATTTCCTCAAAGATATACAAATGACCAATAAGCATGTGAAAAAATGTAAAAATGTTCTACATCATTAGTCATTAGGGAAATGCAAATCAAAATCACAATGAGATACCAATTCACGCACCCACTAGGATGGCTACAATAAAAAAGACAGCTAATAACAAATTTTGGTGAGGGTGTAGAGAAGTCAGAATCCTCATACATTGTAGGTGCCTACTTTATTCATGGAAAGGACCTGGACAAAGGTAAGAACTCACTGGGGTACACTGAATGAATGAACTACTGAATTAATAATTGAATGGAATCCATTAAATGAATGGAATCCCCCCAATGTCCAATTCATCAGCAAGAATTGTGCGCTCTACTTTTAAATTTTATTCCAAACCCAGCTGTTTCTCATGACCTACACTCCACAGCCACCACGCCAGTTCAGCTCCCACTAGCACCTGCATCAGACTCCTTACTTGTCTCCCAGCCTCTCCTCTTGTCCTTATCAGTCTATTCTCCATACAGCAGCCTAAACAAACTGAAAAATTAAATAAGTTATTGTCAAAATCATGGTTTTCATTTTGGATGATGGGTACCTACATTAATATGAACACAAACATATATACACTAAAAAATAAAAGAGGGCAACCAAGATTAACAGGATGTCATGAAACAAGAAGTATTATTATTAATCCAATTCCATTCATCAGCTGTCCAATAAAAATGTAAGTAGGGCACAGTGGCTCATGCCTGTAATCTGGGAGGCTGAGGTGGGTGGATCACGAGGTTAGGAGATAAAGACGAGCCTGGCCAACATGATGAAACCCTGTCTCTACTGAAAATGCAAAAATTAGCTGGGCGTGGTGGCATGTGCCTATAAACCTAGCTTACTTGGGAGGCTGAAGCAGGAGAATCGCTTGAACTAGGGAGTCGGAGGTTGCAGTGAGCCGAGATCTCAACACTGCACTCCAGCCTGGCAACAGAGGGAGACTCCATCTCAAAAAAAAAAAAAAAGTAAAATTTTTTAGATGTAATAAAATACCATTTACAATGCCAGCAAAACCACTAAAACAATACCTAGAAATTAACACAATAAAGTGTACAGAACTTTTATGAGTAAAATTTCAATGTTATAGCCTGGCGCAGTGGCTCATGCCTGTAATCCCAGCACTTTGGAAGGCCAAGGCAGGCTGCATCACCTGAGGTCAGGAGTTCGAGACCAGCCTGGCCAACACGGCAAAACCCCATCTCTACTAACAATACAAAAATTAGCCAGGTGTGGTGGTGGGTGCCGGTAATCCCAGCTACTCTACTCAGGAAGCTGAGGCAGGAGAATCACTTAAAACCAGGAGCTGGAGGTTGCAGTGAGCCAAGATCGTGCCACTGCACTCCAGCATGGGCAAAAAGAGTTAGACTCCATCTCAAAAAAAAAAAAAAAAATTCAATGTTATTATTAATTATTTTACAGGATGTAAGAAAGGATTTGAGAACAGAGAGACATTTCAGACTATGGACATAATGACTTAACATTGTGAATGTGACAATTCTCTAATACAATATTCTGCAAGTTCTATGAGCTTCTACTGAAAACTTGAGAGTTTCTTTCTTTTAGGAATTCCAAAAATTTGCTCTAAAATTTTAAGGAAGAATAAAGATTCACAAATGGCTAATTCAATTTTGGCAAACAAAGTTAAAGAAGGGACATGCATCTCATAAAATAAAATGACATAGCAGAAAGACATATTTAAAAAAAAAAACAAAACAAAACACTGTGTTAATGTTGTAGGAACTGAGAGACAAACCAATGACACAGAATGAAGAATGAAATTAAAAACCCAGTCCCATGTGTAAATGAGAACTTAATAAGTCAATAGGGAAAGGACAGACTGTTTAGGAGACAGTGTTAGGAAAGCTGATCCATACTATGGAGGAAAAATCAAGCTCATAAAAAATAGATTCCAGTTGGATCCAAGAACAAAATCTGAATGGGAAAAACTATAAAAGTAATAGAAGAAAATAGAAAAGACTACATTTTTTATCCAGGGAGACAGAATACTTTCAGATTTAGAAGACACAAAATTTCAGAGAAAAAAATTCTGAAGAGTTGGCTATACCAAAATTTAGGATGTCTTCCAACCAAAGTTCACAATAGATAAAGTTGCCATAAAAAACAGAGCGTTCTCAGAGAAAAGTATCTGCAATGTCTAAATCCAGGAAGGCATTAATACCTAGAAATACAAGCAACTCTTGCAAATCAGAAAGGAAAAGAAAAGAAACCCAATTGAAAAATGGACAACAGGTGTGAACAGACAATTTGAAGAAGGGGAACTCCAAATGGCTAACAGATATATGAATTGATGCTCAAACTCACTGTAATCACAGAAATGCAAGTTAAAACATCTACAGTATATCACTTTGCAACCATCAGGTTGGCAAAAGTTAGAAAAACAAATAACACCAAGTGTTGGTGAGAGAATGGGAAAACGTAAACATTCCTATTCTGCTGGTACAGGTGAAACCTGAAGCAGCCACTCAGAAAAAGAATTACCAGGCAATATTTAGTGAGACTAAATGTGCATATGTTCTATGACCGAGCAATCCTCCTCCAAGAATGTATCCCAGAAAAATATTGAGTCAAGTCCAATGGGTACATGCATGAGGATGTCCAACACAGTGTTTTGGTGATAATGGGAATTTTGAAGCAAGCTGAGGATCCACAGTAAGGAATGGATAACAGATCAATGTGCATGATGACATTTTAAACCACAACTTTTGCATACAGCCACCTGGATATATCCTACAAACATATTGTCAAGTGAAAAATAAAAAACCCATCATTAATTCTAAATCACAACATTTACGTAAATTTAAAACACAATGGGCAACCACTCCATCTTGAAAGATATTGAGGTGTCCAAGGATTTGCGTGAAACAGGTTGGATGGATGCAAGCGGCAGGAGGAAAAAGGCAGCTAAGATGGGATGGGGAAGGAAACTTGAATAAATGGAGGGTTTTTAATGGGCTGATGCTCATGGTGTGTCTTAAACTAAGGAGTGTAGTTAATTCTACACTTTGCCCTGAGGTCTAATTTTTTTTTTTTTTTAAGAGACAGCATCTCGCTCTGTCTTCCAGGCTGGGGTGCAGTGGCGGGACCATGGCTCACTACAACCTCAATGTGCCAGGCTCAAGCGATCCTCCCGCCTTGGCCTCTCAAGTAGGTGGGACCACAGGTGTGTGCCACCATGCCTGGCTAATTAAAAAAAAAAATTGTAGAGATGAGATCTTGCTATGTGGCCCAGGCTGGTCTCAAACTCCTGGCCTCAAGCAAACCCCAAAGTGCTGGGGTTACAGGCATGCACCACCACGCCCAGCCCTAAGGTCTATTGTTTTTTTAATTAACTCACAGGGTTTGACAATTACAGGAGAAAAAAAAAATGATTTCAAATGTTTCTATCAAATAGTTTTTCTACATCTATTGATAATAATGATTTTTCTATAATAGATGTAGAAAAAGCATTTGATAAAATTCAATACCTCTCCATGATTTAAAAAATAATTCAAAGCAAGATAGAAGAGAATTTTTTAACCTGATAAAGGGTATTTATAACAGCTTTGTAGCTATAAAGGTGACCCTGGAGGCAGATCTGGGCTGAGTGAGTCACAGGAGTGGGGGAAGGTTAAGCCTCCCGGTCATGGTCTGTTACATAAAGAACCTGGAGGGGAGAGCTCTGAAGCTGGAAATTCGAGGGGCACCCAGGGGTCCCCCGTGGTCCCAGCAACACAGAATTTCACATTGGTACATCTTCCTCTCGTAGGGATGAACCAGACTTTGAATAGCAGTGGGACCGTGGAGTCAGCCCTAAACTATTCCAGAGGGAGCACAGTGCACACGGCCTACCTGGTGCTGAGCTCCCTGGCCATGTTCACCTGCCTGTGCGGGATGGCAGGCAACAGCATGGTGATCTGGCTGCTGGGCTTTCGAATGCACAGGAACCCCTTCTGCATCTATATCCTCAACCTGGCGGCAGCCGACCTCCTCTTCCTCTTCAGCATGGCTTCCACGCTCAGCCTGGAAACCCAGCCCCTGGTCAATACCACTGACAAGGTCCACGAGCTGATGAAGAGACTGATGTACTTTGCCTACACAGTGGGCCTGAGCCTGCTGACGGCCATCAGCACCCAGCGCTGTCTCTCTGTCCTCTTCCCTATCTGGTTCAAGTGTCACCGGCCCAGGCACCTGTCAGCCTGGGTGTGTGGCCTGCTGTGGACACTCTGTCTCCTGATGAACGGGTTGACCTCTTCCTTCTGCAGCAAGTTCTTGAAATTCAATGAAGATCGGTGCTTCAGGGTGGACATGGTCCAGGCCGCCCTCATCATGGGGGTCTTAACCCCAGTGATGACTCTGTCCAGCCTGACCCTCTTTGTCTGGGTGCGGAGGAGCTCCCAGCAGTGGCGGCGGCAGCCCACACGGCTGTTCGTGGTGGTCCTGGCCTCTGTCCTGGTGTTCCTCATCTGTTCCCTGCCTCTGAGCATCTACTGGTTTGTGCTCTACTGGTTGAGCCTGCCGCCCGAGATGCAGGTCCTGTGCTTCAGCTTGTCACGCCTCTCCTCGTCCGTAAGCAGCAGCGCCAACCCCGTCATCTACTTCCTGGTGGGCAGCCGGAGGAGCCACAGGCTGCCCACCAGGTCCCTGGGGACTGTGCTCCAACAGGCGCTTCGCGAGGAGCCCGAGCTGGAAGGTGGGGAGACGCCCACCGTGGGCACCAATGAGATGGGGGCTTGAGAGCCGCCCACAGGTGCTTCCCACCTGTGCGAGCCCATGCCCTGGAGATTCCCGAGCCGTGAGCTGCCTCCCACCTCGTCCCTGCCAAGTGTCTGGCCCGCCTTCTTGGGGGAGCCCCAAGGACTTTGCAGCTGCATGTGGGGGTCACTTCCCTGCATGTCAAAACTCCCCACAACACCTGTGTCCTGGATCTCACAATGCAACCCCGCTGGAAGATGCAATTTATTTGTTTATAGCAGATTATCTGGTTGGGGGAAAATATTAGCTTTTAGCCCTACCCTGCTTTAAGCTGGTTATCTATGGGTGGATAACAGGAATCTCATTTGAATATGAAAGCTTTCTCCCAACCACCTTCTCTGCCTAAGACGGCATCTTTGTGGAGGAGGCAGGTGACCTCGGGTGATCTTTGGCCCTATGCTGGTCCTTGGGTGGCATCAACTGGCCACCAAGGTGGTGCCCCCGTGCACCTTTCCCCAGGTGTGCCTGAAGTCTGGCAAGTAAACGGTGTCGCCATCGCCGACCCGGATCTCGCTGGCTGTGGGCCATGAGACTCTGCCCCACCATCCCTCTGACCCCTGGCCAGCCCTTGACCCCTGGCATTTGCTATGAGGTCGCCTTACCCTGTCACCCCTCGCACCCAGGGCAGGCCTGTTCGCTTTCCTCCAGGCCGCACTGGGAAGGGAAGAGCCTCTGCCTGGCTTCACTGGCAGTCACTCCAGCAGATGCTGATAGGACAGTGCCCCAGGCAGTGGAGGGCAGCCTTCCAGGCAGTGTCCCCCAGAGCCAGAGTCTCATACCTCACTGACTGTCCCTCCCAGGGCCCCCTCACTTTGCCCAAAAGCCCAAAGACGGAACATCTGGGACACACATCAGCTGGCTCCACTCTCCTCCCTCCCCCTTTCCTTCCCACAGTCCCCTGGGTCCAGAACAAGGCAGATGTTTCCTGCACTTTCCACAAATCACAGCCCTTTCCTACCACCCAGCATCCAGCCTCGAGGCTCGGGGCTTGCATGGAGGGGGTGCAAGACAGGAGGTCCCTGCAGAGTCAGTCCTGGACTTAAAGAGGTGAGGGAGGAGGAAAGACGGAAGTGGAAAGATCCTGTCTCCAGACCACAGCCTGGCCTGCAAGCCTGGCACCTGGCTGCGTCATCCTGTTTTTCATGTCAGAAGGTGAAAATGATCTTGTTCTTTCTCTTGGCATCTTTCTGAAGCAGTTTTCAGTCTCCTCCCAAAAGATGGAGCCTTCGAGCCAGCCAGGGCACAGGTCAGATCCTGAGACAGGAGAGGACAGCTCATCAGTAAGCTATAAAATACACCCCTGGAATCAACTCTCACAGCCTGCGGTTCTGTGCCGTGGCAGGTGATGGTGTCCTGGGGACTCGAAGACTGTGCCCTGGACAGGACTCCCCTTCCTGGGCTCCCCCTGTTTGTTCATTGCCCTGGGCTGGGGGCTGTGCAGCCCTCCCAGAAGGAGAAATTACCTCTGAGTGCTTTCCCACCTAGGGCTCAGGCCCCCAGGTCTGTGTGTCCCAGAGAAGCATGCGAGGCAGAGTGGTGGCTCTTTCTCAGTCGTTCCAGCATTTAGCGGAGCACTTGGTACCAGCACTGGCCTCAAATGCCAGATGCACTTAACAAGTGCTCATTTGGCCAGTAAGAGTAACTGATGCCTGTACAGTGCTTTACAGCCCACGTTTTGTCCAGGATCCAACCCATATCTTCTGACTACAAACCCCATGCTTCACAACCCTTCTCCAACCTGGGCAGCCACGAGGTGGCCCAGTCTAAAGCCGACGGTTGGTAGGAAGAACATCTCGCTTCTTAGCACTCAGTGGCTACCACAGGGCCCCTCATTTGCAAGGGGAGGAGCCCTAGAAATTGTTCACACAATGATGTTATGTTTCGATAAAACATATAAAATGATATATCTGTTAGACCTTCTACTCCGGTACCTCCATCACACTCCACTTTAGGTCAGGTGGCACTGGTGTGCCCACAGGTATTTGGGGGGTGGGGCTGAGTGGAAGAGGAGTTAGGGGGTCCCTGCAGTTTGGGCTTAGTGAGGTGCATTTATGTGGTTTCCGATCACTTCTGTGTGTGGTTAGGCAATTGCTAGCACCCCAGGGTAGGAATGGCTCCCAGAAACGTTGCCACTGCCTGCTGTGCCAGCTCCCCGGGCATCGTGCAAAGAGCTGCCTGAAAAAATGAACAGATAAAGGAAGTATGTGGGGGAGTGGGTAACAGAGAAGAAATAAGATTTGAAATGTACAGAATCAGAAGCTAGCTTATAGAAGAATCCTCCAATCCCCAGATGTACAACTCTAAATGGGGGGTTCTGTTCTCACGGGTGCCTGCTCAGAGCAGGTCTCACCTGTTAGCAAGATCCTTGCTAATGCAGCATGTGTAATCAGAACACATACCATACCTCTTTTCTCCTGGGAAATGTGAAAGTACCATTCATGAGACACCCTGTTTTTGTATCCAAAATGCTGGAGCAGGAATACAAATGGCAAAAACGTCTCTGTGTGAAGTTGCATGTTTTATGTATCCAGCTATCACTCACTTAAAATAAATCCAATCAATGAGGAAAAACACAATTATCTTTCTCTTTTCTCCATAGAAAGTGTACAAAATTGATCTATGAAGAGGCAAGCAACAGTATGCAGCCAAAAATGTAGGACAAATATTAGAAAGGTTTGTTAAGCAGCTAATTATTAAAAATATTATAGGGCTTTTAATATTTTATGAAGTTTGTGTTACCTGCTCTTGCTTAAAAAACAATGTTTGATTTACTTTCTCATTCTAAATAAGTATTCATTTTCATACCTAATTTTGTATTTGTAACTTTCCTTCCTTCTTTTCTTCCCCCTTAAAAAGGGCCCCAAATCCTGTAGAAATTTTAGGTTCCATAAACCCTGGATCCAACCAGGAGCAGCGAGCCCTCTGGCCACACTAGAGCGCTGGAGATTTCCGTGTGAATAACCATAAAATTCCAGTAGCATAGTCCACACTGTCTGACAGCTCAATCCTTTGCTGAAACAAGTTTTCTTGTTGAGCCCCCGATTTCCCCAATCCCATCCCAAGGTTCAGCCCTGTGGGGTCCCAGGTGGGAACCAGATGCGGAGGGAGGATGAGGGTCCTCCCACCACTCACTGATGGGGACAGGGCCTGGCTCTGGGAGTGAGGAGACGGGGGCTCCCCTCTGCCTTCTGGGTTCCCTCAGGCCAGGTATTCCCCCCTGTGGCCTCTTCTTCCCCAGCTGTGTAATGGGAACAATCAACCTCACCCTGCACTCCCCCTGAGGCCCCTGCGGGCTGCCGCAGGAAACTGGATCAAGAACACATGTTCTAAACAATCAAAAGTGATTCCAGAAAGGAATTCCTGACAAGAACAGCTTGATCAGGCCAACAAACACAGCTTGGTTTGGTTTGGAAATAGGTGGCTTCCAGATTGCTTGTTTAATAGAGATGAACAAAGCATACATAAATGCTGCAGACCACAGCGTCAGGAGGCAAACAGTACCAAGTTCTTTATTTTCTATCATGGTACTTTCCTTTCTCTGGAGCCCCCAGTAGGACTCTTGGCAGAGACTTGGGTGCAGTCAGTTCAGGAAGGGCCCAGTCAACTCCAGGCTCCCCACTCCCCATCCCAGGAGTTGCCTCTCAGTCGTGGCCTCCCACGGACTGGACATTGTCTCCTCCATCCTTGTCGTTATCTACTTCCTGTGGCAGCCATTATCAGGTCACCTGATTTTTGTTCCCAGAGTCCCAAATTTATCTGCAACTTCCATCACCTCCACTGGCTAATTGCTGTAATAAAGCGTTCTCAAATCTCATGGTGCAGCATAATGAAAGTTTTCTTGCTTATACCATAGACCAATGCAGGTGGATGGGAGGCTCTGCTCTACTCTGTCACTCAGAGACCCAGGCTTCTGATGATGTAGGACAGGTGAGCCCCCAAACTGGGGCTCAGCCAGGAGAGTTCTTGGCTTTGCCCAGGAAAGAATTCAAGGTGAGCCAGTGGTGCCGGGCACGGTGGCTCACGCCTGTAATCCCAGCACTTTGGGAGGCCGAGGCGGGTGGATCACCTAAGGTCGGGAGTTCGAGACCAGCCTGACCAACATGGTGAAACCCTGTCTCTACGAAAAATGCAAAATTAGCCGGGCATGGTAGTGCATGCCTGTAATCCCAGCTACTTGGGAGGTTGAGGCAGGAGAATCGCTTGAACCCGGGAGGCGGAGGTTGCGGTGAGCCGAGATCAGGCCATTGCACTGCACTCCAGCCTGGGCAAAAAGAGCAAAACTCCATCTCAAAAAAAAAAAAAAAGGTGAGCCAGTGGTGTTAAGACAGCAACTTTCATTGAAGTGGCAGAGGTACTGCTCCTTGCAAAGCACACTACCCCATAGGCAGTGTGTCCAGATCAGCAGCTCAGAGGCTGTGCTGCACTCATATTTACACCCACTTTTTAAAAAAAAATTTTTTTTTGAGATAGATCTTGCTCTGTTGCCCAGGCTGGAGTGCAGTGGTGCAATCTCAACTCACTGCAACTTCTGCCTCCCAAGGTCAGGTATCCTCCTCACTAAGTCTCCATAGTAGCTGGGATTACAGCTGCACACCATCACGCCCAGCTAATTTTTATATTTTTTATAGAAAGGAGGTCTCACTATGTTGCCCAGGCTGATCTTGAACTCCTGGGCTTAAGCAATCCACCTGTCTCAGCCTCCCACAGTGCTGAGATTACAAGTGTGAGCCACCACACCTGGCCTATACCCACTTTCAATTATATGCAAGTTAAGGGGTAGATTATGCAGAAATTTCTAGAAATAAGGTGGTAACTTCTAGGTTATCAGATCCTGGTCATGGAAAAGGGGCGGTAACTTCCAGGTGTTGCCATGGCAATGGCAAACTGACATGGCACTGGTGGGTGTGTCTTAAGGTCAGGTGCTTTCCCCTCTTCCCTGTCTTCAATCTGGCCAAAAGTCTTCCAATCTGGCCAAAAGTTCAAACCCTGCCTCTGGAGTCGTGGTCCACCTCCTACCTCACTTCTACCTTATGGCTCTGCCCTCTGCCAGATCCTCATGGCCTCTCATTCAGCCAGAGGATGGGAGGAGAAAAGAGGAGAGGTCAAACATGGCAGGCCTCTACCATGAAGCATTCCACTGGCTGGAGTTCAGTCATGTGACCCATACCACAGAGGAGTCTGGGAAATGTAGTCCAGCTGAGAGGTGACAGCGTGCTGGCAGTCATCACAGCCCTCGCTCGCTCTCGGCGCCTCCTCTGCCTGGGCTCCCACTTTGGCGGCACTAGAGGAGCCCTTCAGCCCACCACTGCACTGTGGGAGCCCCTTTCTGGGCTGGCCAAGGCTGGAGCCGGCTCCCTCAGATTGCAGGGAGGTGTGGAGGGAGAGGCGCGAGCAAGAACCGGGGCTGGGCACGGCGCTTGCGGGCCAGCTGGAGTTCCAGGTGCGAGTGGGCTTGGCGGGCCCCGCACTCGGAGCAGCTGGCCGGCCCCAGGCAATGAGGGGCTTAGCACCCAGGCCAGCGGCTGCGGAGGGTGTACTGGGTCCCCCAGCAGTGCTATCCCACTGGTGCTGCGCTCAATTTCTCGCTGGGCCTAGCTCAGGGATTGTAAACGCACCAATCAGTGCCCTGTCAAAACAGACCACTTGGCTCTACCAATCAGCAGGATGTGGGTGGTGCCAGATAGGAGAATAAAAGCAGGCTGCCGGAGCCAGCAGTGTCAATCCGCTCAGGTCCCCTTCCACACTGTGGAAGCTTTGTTCCTTCGCTCTTTGCAATACATCTTGCTACTGCTCACTCTTTGGGTCCACACTGCCTTTATGAGCTGTAACACTCACTGCGAAGGTCTGCAGCTTCACTCCTGAAGCCAGTGAGACCACGAACCCACTGGGAGGAACGAACAACTCCAGACATGCCGCCTTCAGAGCTGTAACACTCACCGCGAAGGTCCGCAGCTTCACTCCTGAGCCAGTGAGACCACGAACCCACCAGAAGGAAGAAACTCTGAACACATCCGAACATCAGAAGGAACAAACTCCAGACGCACCACCTTAAGAGCTGTAACGCTCACCGCAAGGGTCCACGGCTTCATTCTTGGAGTCAGTGAGACCAAGAACCCACCAATTCCAGACACACAGCCATGCACTCTGGTGGGCCAGGAGAGGTGATATAGGCAAGTTCTCACTGTCTCAACCAGAGCAGCTCCTGCCTTGTTTGCAAGAAAGGAAAGAAAGGGGCAGAAAAGGACTGCAGGAAAAGCAAGGCACAATCAATACGCCAAAGCATTGCCCCACGATGCAAATTCATGCTGTTTTCTTTTTCCCTAACTCTTCATGTTGCCATTTGTGATACTGTCTAGGAACTGATGCTCTGAAATTAACAGGATGTTAACATAACTTATTCATGCACTGAATAAACATTTCTCAGACCCCTATTATGTGCCTGTCTCTGTTGTGGACCCCAGGTGAATGTCTGAGCTTTTACTTTCTGTCCAGTCTTTGGGGCACACTGGCCAGTTGTCACGACCTGAGGCCTCCTCTCCCTCATCCGTGCACATGAGACAGAACATCATGGTCTGATTTAACCTTCAGGTCACTCCCTGAGGTAGGTGGGAACATTGTCTCCCTTAGATAGTGACAGCTGCCAAGTGGCAGAACCAGCCCTGGAATCAAATTCCTCTGGCCGCTCCTTGACTGTTGGCTCCAGCTCCTTCTGATTGAAGCGACCTTTGCAAAAATTATAACTGTGGAAATTATGACAGTGAAAGAAATCAGACCTAACCAACTCTGTCTTGCTTCGAACCTTTTAGCTGTCCTGTTCATTCCTGGGCATAGGCCCAACTAACTTTGGGAAGGAATTCAGTTCATGGTTTGACTCTGAAACAAAATTGATAACAGCCCTTTCCCAAAAAGACCCCCTTCTTGCCTGGGGACCAGTCTGCCTTTGCAGGACTAACAAATTAGCTACAAGATTAGAAATTACAGTTTAGGGGTCATGCAGTCTCTGGCTCCAAGAGTCTGAACCTCCCCAAATTGCTCCTGAGGATAATATCACTATTGTAAAACCTAAGATCAGTGCTTGAGATATTTTGCAGACCTTGCACTCGATGGACCAGTTGACACCACTCAGACCGGTAGTCTTGTTCAACCAGTTCTGCCATCCCACCCAGGAACAAAAGACGGCAAGAAAAACTTACTTTGATCCCCTGTGATTCCATCTCCAGCCTGACCAATCAGCACTCCCCACTTCCCAAGCCCCTACCCACCAAATGATCTTTAAAAACTCTGATCCCCAAATGCTCAGAGAGACTGATTTGAGAATTATTAAAACTCCAGTCTCCTGCACAGCCAGCTCTGCATGAATTACTCTTTCTCCATTGCAATTCCCGTCTTGATAAATGGGCTCTGTCTAAATGGGCTCTTGTCTAAATGGGCAAGGTGAACCCATTGGGCAGTTAGACTTCTACCATCTCAGGCTGAGAGGGTCAATAATAGGTGTCCACTATATGCTTGGCATGCGGCACAGCACAAGTGTGTCTCAGAGGAGGCATTAAAGTAAAGCCATCCAGCACATTCAACAGGTCATTGCTGCTGCTTTTTTTTATTTTTATTTTTATTTTTATTTTTATTTTTGAGATGGAGTCTTGCTCTGTCGCCCAGGCTGGAGTGCAGTGGAGCAATCTCGGCTCACTGCAGCCTCCACCTCCTGGGTTAAAGTGATTCTCCTGCCTCAGCCTCCCGAGTAGCTGGGATTACAGGCACCCACCATCATGCCCGGGTAATTTTTGTAGTTTTAGTGGAGACGGGTTTTGCCATATTGGCCAAGCTGGTCTCAAACTCCTGACCTTAAGTGATCCGCCCATCTTGACCTCCCAGAGTGCTGGGATTTCAGACGTGAGCCACCATGCCCAGCCATGCCTGCCAGTTTTAACTTGAGCGTGCCTCTTCCCTGTTTTCAGTCCACTGGGCTTAGGTGGGGTGGCTGTCACCCTTTGTTCCCTGTCCCTGCCTCCAGCTCTTATATTAAAAATATTTTTAATACAGGATTTTTAATGGAGATGTATTTTTAATGGAGATGGGGTTTCGCCATGTTGGCCAGGCTGGTTTCAAACTCCTGACCTCAGGTGATCTACCTGCCTCGGCCTCCCAAAGTGTTGGGATTACAGGCGTGAGCCACCGCGCCTGGCCAGGTCATTGCTTATTAAAGATGCACTGCATTTGCAGCAAAGGTGAAAAACAGAAACAGAAACCATGGTCCTAGTTGTCAAAGAGCTCACTGACTAGTTGGGCAGACAAAACCAATCCACTTAAAAAGACAGAACAGAGCTGGGTGTGTCGGTACAAGCCTGTAGTTCCAGCTACCCTGAAGGCTGAGTCAGGAGGATCACTTGAGCCCAGGAGTTCAAGGCTCCAGTGAGCTATGAGTGTGCCAATGCACTCCAGCCTGGGTGACAGAGGTGGACTCCATTTCTTAAAAATTAAAAAAGAACAGTAAGGGCTGTAGATGTGATAAGGGGAATGGAGAGTCTCAGGAGAAGGAAGTGAGGGCTTGAAAGTCTGGGGGACTTCCCGGAGGAGGCAGGCACTGCCTATGCCTTGAAGGATAATAAGGATACACTGGACAAAGAGGAAGGAGAAGGCATCCAGATCAGGGAATCAGATGTACTCCAAATGCCCCTCTCTCAGGGGTGGTCTGATTGCCACTCTTCCTCCAACAGAGTCAGCCTCCACCCTCCTGATCATGCTGCGGGTCCCTCTCCGGCCATGATCAAAGACCTGTATCTGATCTGGCCTACGAGACTGGGCACCAGTGCTCAGGGAGCTTGCCGATGAAATCAGGGAGCCCCAGGGCAGATTGGCTACTGGGTCTCCCTCTGGAAGGCACCAGAACCTTCCAGAAATGGCAGAGGCACAGGAACTCAGGACCACCCTGCCCCCTGCTCTCACCACTTGCCTCTCTGTACATCGGCTCCATCCTTCTGTCTTGCACACGGGCCACCTCTGCCCCTGCATCCTGGAGGAATAGCCAGTTCCAAAGCCCAAGTTCTCCTGCCTCGGATCCAGTCCCACAGAAGCTGCATTTGCCCCTCAGGTCCAATTCTGGATTTCAAGGAGAGAGAATTAGAGTGACAAGTTGAGAAATGAAGAGGACCTTATTTTGTTATCTTTAAATTTATTGATTTCTTAAAGAACTAAGAGAAAGTTCAGGTAAAAATTAACAGGATATGAAACAGATGGGATAAAAGATGAATATTGAAATCAACAGAAATCAGTTTGAAACTGAGAACTGAATTGTAACCAAAAGCAATTCATTAAGAGGAAAAGATCAATTTGGAATAGAAGAAATCAGTAGGCTCCTGGATTTTTGATCGTCCAATTCATGATGAGGAGTACATTTTATGAACATATTGGGAAATATTTAAATTTCTTGCTGGTTTGACATCAAGGAAGACAACTTACATCTTGAAAAACCACTGCAGCACGGACATTGACAATAATGAATTAACGAGTGTTATCGCTTCAAAGACTATTTCAGATTAATCACTGCACAAGAAAAGCTGAAATGCCCTGAAATCTCACCAATCATATATGAAAAACAACTTGAGAGGGGTCTTCAAAATTTGACAACAATCCGAAAAATGTACAGGACATTAGCAATAATCAGTTGTGAAGCTAAGAAACATCTAAAAACAATACAAAACACATTTTGATCACCCATGCTAAAACAAGATTGAATTAGCTTTTGATTCTCACTGTGGAAAATATTCAAAACCGTTGACATCTGAAAAGGATATCAAAGAGTGTCAGCCAAAAAAGGTAAAAAAATTATCACGACTGTTTTTCTGTATTATGTATTACTTGTGATATTTGTCAGCTTTTTAAAATCTGTAATTTGCTGTGATTTCTTTTCTCGTTTTAAATAAGTGTTCAATGTTGTCCCTAATTTTGTATTTATAAATTCATATTCCTTTTTTTTTTTTTTGAAATGGGGGGTCTCACTCTGTCACGCAGGCTGGAGTACAGTGGCACGATTACGGCTCACTGCAGCCTTGACCTCCTGGCCTCTAGTGATCCTTCCACCTCAAGCCTCCTGAGTAGCTGGGACTACAGGCGTGTGCCAGCATGCCAGGCTAATTTTTGTATTTTTTGTAGAGATGGGGTTTTGCCATGTTGCCCAGGCTGGTCTTGAACTCCTGGGCTCAAGCAATCCTCCCGCCTCAGCCTCCCAAAGTACTGGGGTTACAGGCGTGAGTCACCGCGCCCAGCCTGTATTCTTTTTCTTAATAAGCGCCACTCCTTGGATGGATAAGCTTTAGGTCCCACAAAATAATGTGCCCCCTGGATGGAAGGCAGAGAAGTTCCTTTCCAATTCCAGATGGTCAGGAGTTAACCGGGGACAGCTTGAGGGTCGATACTGGGCTTGCAGCTGCTGCCATACACGTTCATGAAAAGCAGGAGAATACTCAGGCCCTGGGCCAGGGTGGCGGCATCTGACTGCCCTGCATACCTTACTCAACATAGTGACAAGTCAGCCTCTAACTTCTTATTTTGAGATTCAGACTGAAGCTGAAGACTTTTTTTTTTTTTTTTTTTTTTTTTTTGAGAGAGAGAGAGAGAGAGTCTCATTCTGTCGCCCAGGCTGGAGTGCAATGGCGTGATCTCGGCTCACTGCAACCTCCACCTCCCAGGTTCAAGCAATTCTCTGCCTCAGCCTCCCGAGTAGCTGGGATTACAGGCACCTGCCACCACACCCTGCTAATTTTTTTTTTATTTTTAGTAGAGACGGGGTTTCACCATTTTGGCCAGGCTGTTCTTGAACTCCTGACTCCTTGATCCACCCGCCTCGGCCTCCTGAAGTGCAAGGACTACAGGCGTGAGCCACCACGCCCGGCCGAAACCTAAGACTTCCTATGCAGTGCTGGAAGAACCACCTCCTCTGCCTGTTTTTGTAGCCTGGGCGCTGATTGATTTGGGAAAAGCAACTCTCACGATGCACTTCTGCAGTTGGCTAGATCAGACGCCTGTGGAATTCACAGCTTCATGGGTCTGTTATTCACTCCACAAACATTTCTGAGCACTCACCATGAGCCAGGCATTCCTTGTAAGAGGCTGCACATCCATCCATGGAAAAGGAGACATTCGGAAATTCCCGGAAGACACAGGACAGATCCTGACCCCAACCAGCCAAACCGTGAAGAACCACCCAGGGGCTTCTTCTGCCTGAAGGAGGTCGTCCTCCCCGATCTGAGGAGGCGGTCCCAGCCTTCCTAGAAGAGTTGCTGCCCTCTCCAGGGAGCTGCTGCCCTCTCCAGGGAGCTGCATTACAGGAAACAAGATTCCCCCCGCCCTACCCTCACAGTCATCCTTACCTTGGATCAGATCCCTGCGTGACCCAGGGTGGCTGGAGAGGAACGCAGGAATTTCATACTCTGCTGTTCAACATCTGGGTGATTTCTGTGGGAATGACATTTTGGGAGCGCTTAACAGAGGAGGGAGTCCGTTATTGAAGATCGAATGGAATGCGTCGATATGCGTGCATTTATAGAGCCCCTGCGTCCCACGGCCAGGCCCACAGGGTTGGATGTGGCCTAAGAATCTGGTTAGCATGGATCTGAAACTCACCCAGGCCAGGGAAGTCAGAGGACAGAAAGCCCGCTGCATAGAATGTAGAGGGAAGAACTCAAATACGTCAGAAAAAAACAGGTGAATCTCCCACGGCAGCCACTCTGCCACTCACCACTCCCCACAGAGGACCCAGAGGATGCTGTCCCCCAGGACTGGGGACATATGTGGCGAAGGATGCGCCAGGACATTCTCGGATGCTCTGGCCATGGGGAGAGGGATATTTGGGAAGTGCATGCACTAGAGAAAGGACGTGTACAGATAGGTGGCCCTATTGCCTGCGGTGGGTCCAACGTCCAATCCCCTTTCTAAAGCATCCAGAACACCCTTGGTAGGAATGGCCACCCTGACTTGATGAGAGGGTAAATCCAGTACCTTGTGCCCTGGAAGCATAAGGAACCCCTTGCTGAAAATCCTCCTCATCGTCTCATACAACCAGGGACAGGCGTGGCCTGCACTGGGTGAAAGGGTGTATCCCAAAATGCCGCACTCACCAGAATCTCAGAATGTGGCCTGATTTGGAAATGGGGTCTTTGCAGATGTACTTAGCTAGGATGAGGTCATATGGAGAAGTGAGGGCCCCAATCCAATATGGCAGGTGTCCTTATCAGAAAGCCATGTGAACAGACAGAGATGGAAAGGAGAACACTGCCTGATGAAGGAGGCAGAGGCTGGAGTGAGGCAGTTACAAGGCAAGGAACGCCAGGGTTGTAGGAGCCACCAGAAGCTGGGAAAGGGGCAAAGAGCGGATCCTCCCCTAGAGCATCCAGAGGGAGCCAACCTGACCCTGCTTTCATCTCAGACTTCTGGCCTCCAACACTGTGAGAGAATGAATTCCAGTTGTGTTAAGCCACCAAGTTTCTGGTATTTATGGCAGCACGGAAAACCAATACACAGCCTAGGGCTGCCCACTGACACCTACACTCCCAGAGAACTGAAGCTCGACACAAGTAAACCAACAAGAGAAGGCGCCCTGGCCACTTCTGGCCCTTGAGTAGCTCCTGTACTTCTCCAGCCTGTTCTCTAGGCAACAGTCAATTCAGCAGCTCCTTCACAGGCTTCCAATGAATGTCTATCTTTTTTATTTTTTCCTTAAGTCAGACAGGGCTGATAATAGCTGTCTCAACCAAGGAACCCAGACACACTTAATTGTCATTTGGGTAACTGCATAAGTGGAGATGTTTTGGGCAGCAAGAGAATGAAACTGAGGTCAAACTGGATCAAAGGGAAAGGAATGTATTTGCTTTAGTAACTAAAAGCTCCAAAATATCACGGCTTCAGGCATGGGTCGATCCAGGTGACCTAACAGTGTCATCAGGAACCTGTTTCTCTCTCTCCATCAGCTCTGCTCTCCACTGTGACCTTTTTCTCAGGCAGGCACTCCCCCTTAGTTGGCATAATGGGTTCCCACTGTGCAGACTTCCTTCCGTCCCACCAGCTCCGTGACTCCAGAAGGAGGAGAGTTCCTTTTCCACAGTACTTCCCAGAAAACTTCTGGGACTGACTCTTGTTGGATAAATTGCAATTGAGTCTTCTTGGACTAGAGACTGATGTACTTTTCCCAAAACGAATTATGGAGCCAATGGGGTGGAATAGGCTGATTGTCCAAGTCTGGAGCATGTTAAACTCAAGTGAAGCCAGAAGTGAGGTCACAATCCCCCACCGAACAACATCGGGGCCATGGACGTCATGGCCATTGGCTGGCCAGGTTTGGGATTTGGCTGGCCTCCAACTCTCTTAAAAGCATGGTTGTCTTGTGGAATATGTGCGTCCCATCAACTCCCATAATCAAAGCCAAGGCCTTGCAGAGTCACGGTCCTTCAATTGGCACCAGGGCCAAGATGTTCCTCTGATTTTCCCCAGCTCTTCCTGGTCTGCAACCTGGCTCTGTCAGTCATGCAATATCTGCGGGGTTGGGGGGACACTGCAAGGAACTGAACTGAATTTAATCCTCCTGAAGAATGTCAAAAACTGTGACTATAGGAGCACTGCCAGGACAGCCATGGGAGGAACTGATAAAAGAGGTAGGAAAATCAGGACATCACCCCGCGTCAATGTAACTACCAACACAAGCTGGAATAACAGCCAACTGTAGCTTTCGTTCCATAGAAACAGAGCGCAGATCCACTGTAGCTTTGTAGCCATGTGGGGCTACCTCCCCACATCCTGGGCTGGGCTGTTGTTTGCTGTTGCTGCTCACTGATAAAATCTGCTACTTTTGTGTTTATGAGTCTGTGTGTTCCTTTAGGTCTTGATTTCTATTTCCCCAACATGGTTCATCTGCTCTGCCCCCATCCCCAGGTCACAGCTGAGGGGACAGATGGCTCTCACAGTTGGGATGACATCCAGCTTCTCAGGCAGGAAGCGTGCCCTGGAGGGACTTTCTCAGGTTGGCTGGCAGGACCCCTGCCTTTGCCGGGACTTCAGTGTGGAGTGGGGCATTCGTCGCTGCCTACAAGTTTAGCTCACTTGACTCTTGCTATAGTTTTGAGTGTATGTGTCCCTTCAAAATTCATATGTTAAAATTTAACCACCAGTGTGATAATATTAAGAGGTGAGAACTTTAGGAGGTGACTGGTGCCCTTATGAGAGGGATCGGGGAAACTAGCCAGCCCCTTTTGCCCTTCAGCCATGTGAGGACATAGGAAAAGGTGCCACTATGAAGGCAAGACTGGGCCTTCACCAGATACCAAGTCTGCTGGCACCTTGATCTTGGACTTCCCAGCCTCCAGAACTGAGAGAAATAAATTTCTTTCTTCTTCTTTTTTTTTTTTTTTTTTACTTTTTGAGACAGGGTCTCACTATGTTACCCAAGCTGGAGTACAGTGGCACAATCATAGCTCACTGCAGACTTGAACTCCTGGGCTCAAGTGATCCTCCTGCCTCAGCCTCCTGAGTAGCTGGGACTACAGGTGCAAGCCGCCACCCCTAGCTATTTTTTATTTTTTGTAGAGATGGGGTCTTGGTATGTTGCCCAGGCTGATCTTAAAGCCCTGGGCTCAAGCAATCCTCTTGCCTAGAAAGAAATTTCTACTCATCATAAGTATAAGTACCAGGTATAAGGTATTTTGTTATAGCAGCAGGAACTAACTATGACAACTGTCAACCTCCTTGAATTGCTAATCCCTGTTGGAAGGGACCTCTCTGCACAGATCAGTTATTCCCATTTTCAGGTAATTCAGCCCCCAGAATACTGATTTTGTTGGATAGGACCCCCTACATTCTTTAGGGGGGTGATTAAGTTAACATGAGGTCATTAGGGTAGACCCTAATCCCACATGACTGGTGTATTAGTCTGTTTTCATGTTGCTATGAATACATACCACACATTGGGTAATTTATAAAGAAAAGAGGTTTAACTGACTCACAGTTCTGCATGGCTAGGGAGGCCTCAGGAAACTTACAATCATGGAAGGCAAAACAGGCACGTCTTACCTGGTGGCAGGCAAGAGAAGTGTGTGCCAAGCAAAGGGGGAAGCCCCTTATAAAACCATCAGATCACACGAGTACCCACGCACTATCATGAGAACAGCATGAGCGTAACCACCCCCATGATTCAATTACCTCCTACCGAGTTCCTCCTGATGGGAACTACAATTCAAGATGAATTGTACACAGCCAAACGATATCAACTGGTGTCCTTATAAGAAGTGGAGATGAAGACACAGACACACACAGAAGGATAACCTTGTGACTCAGGGAGAAGGTAGCAGAGTCTGCCAGCCAAGGAGAGAGGCCTCAGGAGGAACCAGCCCTGCTGACACCTTGATCTCAGACCTCCACCCTCCAGGACTGTGGGAGAATCAATGTCTGTTGTGTAAGCCGCCTGGCCTGCAGCTTTGTAATAGCAGTCCCAGCAAATGCATGTCAGGCCTTCCTCAGCAGACACACACAGTCTGAGCACAACATCAGAGTTTACACAAAGTAGAACTTGCATAACAACTTGCCACCTTCCCGCCAGCATCACAAATGGCACAGCTGGGCATTGAGAAGAAGCTCACTGTCCCCCTCCATACCCCACGCAGACCCCACCAATCCCACACATTAGTTTGCCATATGCAACACCCCACTCCCCGCTTGCTGTTTCCCCATCAGCAAGGAATCCTGCAGTTTTGAGAGATGGAAACCTTGTAACCTACATTAAGCATGCTCCTTCTCAGAGGTTATGGCATGCACAATTAGAACATCCATGGCATGGTCTTGTGTCAGGCATGGCTGGATCCTGGTGTGATGTCGCATCAGACATAGCTGGATCCTGGTGTGATCCTTCCTCAGGCATGGCTGGATCCTGGTGTGATCCTGCCTCAGGCATGGCTGAATCCTGATGTGATCTCACCTCAGGCATGGCTGGATCCTGGTGTGATCCTGCCTCAGGCATGGCTGGATCCTGGTGTGATCCTTCATGAGGAATACCTGGATCCTGGTATGATCAGCAGCCTGGCTCTCCCCAGCTCCCAGCTTTGGCTTCCTTTGTTAAGTCCTTTTCAGGCCGGCTCCAGCCTGTGAGGGCAAGCGTGCTGCCAGCAAGACCTGCTGGTCCTCTCCTCTCCAGCTGAGAGCTCAACACTTCTCCAAAACCCCAGAAGAAGGTGGGCCAGGAGTGATGACAATTAGACCAGCTGGAGCCCTGTGCCCATTCCTGAAACAATGACCTTGGTCAGGAGGTAGACTATGCTGTGGCTGGCCTGGGCCAAATGTGAACCCACAGAACCCCACCTGGAACCCAGAGATAGGGGAAACCCAAGAGGTCTCCACAGAGGAAGAGCAAATTTGTTCTGTGCAGGAAAAATAACCATATTTCCCTACAGTGTCTGGGGTTGACTGAAGCACATTAGTCTCTGTATTAATTCATCCTCACACTGCTATAAAAGAATACCCAGTGGGGCACAGTGGCTCACGCCTGTAATCCCAGCACTTTGGGAGGCCGAGGCAGGTGGACTGCTGGAGCTCAGGAGTTCAACCCGAGCCTGGACAACATGGTAAAACCCCATCTCTCCAAAAATCAAAAAATTTGTTTTAAATTTGCCAAGTGTGGTGGTGTGTGCCTGTAGTCCCAGCTACTCAGGAGGCTGAGGTGGAAGGATGGCTTGAGCCTGGGAGGTGGAGGTTGCAGTGAACTGTGATCATGGCACCACACTCTACCCTGGATAACAAGAGAGCTCAGGCACTGTCTCAAAAAAAAAAAGAAAAAGAAAAAGAAACACCTGGGACTGGGTAATTGATAAAGAAAAAGGTTGAATTGGCTCACCGTTCTGCAGGCTGCACAGGAAGCGTGGCGGCGTCTGCTCAGCTTCCGGGGAGGCCTCCAGAAACAGTTACGGTGGAAGGCGAATGGGGAACAGGTACATCTCATCTGGTGGGAGCAGGAGGAAGAGAGAGACAGGGGCGGTGCCTCACACTGTCAACCCGATTCCGTGAGAACTCTATCACGAGAACAGCACCACGGGGGAAATCCACCCCCAGGATCCAATCACCTTCCACCAGGCCACACATCCTACAATGGGGATTACAATTCAACATGAGATTTAGGCAGGGACACAGATCCAAATCATATCAGTCTCCAAGCACATGGACTACCAGTATCTCGGTATCTGGAGTCCTGGCTCTTCCCTTTTCTGCCACCTGGTGCCAGCATGCTCCCTGCTCTCCCATGCCTGCCCTTCTCCAGCTGCGGGCCAGGACCGTGAGAACTCACATCCACAGCCTTCAAGATTCTCCATCACCAGCCAGCCCATGACATCAGGACTTTGAGCCTTTTATTCATTTCCTGTGGCTGCTGGAACAAATTGATGACATGCTTAGTGGCTAAGAAAGACACAATTTCTATTTTTTTTTTTTTTTTGAGACGGAATCTCTGTCACCCAGGCTGGAGTGCAGTGGTACGATCTCGGCTTACTGCAACCTCCGCCTCCCGGGTTCAAGCGATTCTCCTGTCTCAGCCTCCTGAGTAGCTGGGATTACAGGCACCTGCCACCACGCCCGTCTAATTTTTGCATTTTTAGTAGAGACGAGCTTTCACCATGTTGGTCAGGTTGGTCTCGAACTCCTAACCTCAAGTGATCCACCCACCTCAGCCTCCCAAAGTGCTGGGATTATAGGCGTGAGCCACTGCGCCCGGCCCACCCAATTTTTCATCTTACAGTTCTGGAGGTCAGAGGTCTCAAGCGGGGCTTTGGGGCTACAATCAAAGGCCGTGCTCCTTCCAGAGGCTGTAGGAGGGAACCCACTTCCCTGTCTTTCCCAGCTTCTAGAGGCAGCCCCTGTTCTGTGGCTCAGGGCCCTGCGTCCTTCCAACCTCCACTCTAACTCCACTTCCACGCTGACCCTCCTGCTTCCCCTTATAAGGACGCTGTGATTACATGCAGGGCCCACCCGGATCACCTCCCAGCTCAGGATCCTTTACTCAATCACTTCCACAGAGAACCTTTTGCCACATAAGGAATTAGAAATCAGGGCACTATATTTGTTGCCTGGGGCTGCCATAACAAAGTCCTACAATCTTCTTTGCTTAAAGAAGCAGTCATTTCGGCAGGGCGCGGTGGTTCACACCTGTAATCCCAGCACTTTGGGAGGCAGAGGTGGGTGGATCACCTGAGGTCAGAAGTTCAAGACCAGCCTGGCCAACATAGTGAAACCCCATCTCTACTAAAAACACAAAAATTAGCTGGGCATGGTGGCACGTGCCTGTAATCCCAGCTACTCAGGAGGCTGAGACAGAAGAATCACTTGAACCTGGGAGGCAGAGGTTGCAGTGAGCCAAGATTGTGCCACTGCACTCCAGAGCCTGGGCGACAGAGCAAGACTCCATCTCAAACAAACAAAAAAAAAGGAGTGGGCTCCAACTGGGGACAGCAATCCGGGGAGCCTCGCCCACCTGGCACTTGGCCACCAGGCACTTGGACACCCCTGTGGCCAGGAAGGGAAATGGGCCTGGCCTGCCCCAAAGGCCTGGGAGTGAAGGGAGTGGCCGGGGGTGGTCAGTGACAGCCCCAAGGAGAGAAGAGGAGTAGAACCCGATGGCATGGGGTGACGTCAGGGAGTGGTCTGGACAAGGAGCAGGGAGCCCCCGACCTCGCACCTGGGCTAGGAGGACTATGGTCAGAAAACTAAGCAATGTTCCAGAAGGGTCCTCAGCAGAGGGACCGGCTTAGTTAGGGCAAGAAGGGGTAGGGGCCACTCAGAGCAGAGGGCAGCATGAGAGGTTTTGCTGTTTGTCATCACCTCGGGATTAAAAGGATCCAGCCTGACTCTGGTGGAGGAGGAGGCAAATCTGCACATACCAGCTACCTAGAGGTGTCTTCACTCTCTGACCACACAAGGCTGTGCCCGAGCCCTTCCATCCTGGCGTCGTCACCCTGTGCATGCAGGATGCGGGAGACAGAGGCCGGTGCTCCTTGTGGGTGCCCTGACCCTCGGCGTCTCCAGGTTTGTCCTCTGCTGGGTGGACCTGCCCCAACAGACACAGACGCATTTCAGCAAGGCTGGGCACCTCAACTCGTCGGTCAGCAGCAGCACCAGCCGGTCACCTGCTTCCCTGTGGGCAGTCAGAGGAGGCAGAGGCTGCGGGAGCCCCTGGGGGCCCGGATCTGCCAGGCGGGGCAGAAAGAGTCCAAGCTGGAGGGGAGAGAAACACCCACCACAGGCACCAAGAAGATGGCGGTCTGTGAGCGGTGCCTCCGAAACCCCAGCCCTGAGCCGCCCACCCCTGCCTCCTGCCCAGGCCTGAGGCCGTGGCCAGCCATGCACAGCCCTGCCCCTGGCTCCCTGCTTTTCCTGACCCCAGCGTCCAGCGGTCACTTAACTGGCAGGTAGTTAGTGTGGGTCAGGCACGGAGGTGGATGAGAGCAAGACCTAGTGAGGAGAATGAGCTATGCAGGCCTGGCCATATGAAAATTCTAACCACCAGCAAGGCACAGGGACTGAGCAGCTGGCACAGACACCCATGGCCTCGGACAGCTGCTGGGGCCCTGCTGTGCCAGGTGCCCACCCTTTAGTTCCTGAGTCACTGAAAGAGAGGTCACAGGGGTCCTGGGGAAGAGGCTGGGGCAACGAGGGCCACGGGAAGGGGGATTCAGGGAGCTCAGGGAAGGGCTAGTTATCACCGGTACAGACATGGTCCCTATTCTAATGGTCTGCAGGGCCTTCCTGTACGTGTAGCCACTGAATAGCAGTGTGGGTGAAGCGTCCAGAGCTGGCAGCCTGTGCTCAGCCATCTGAGCAGCACAGATGGCCCTGGACAGGGGGCGTGTTGGAGGGGCCTGTGGGGGGCCGCGGGCAACAAGCAAAGCTGTACCAGCTGCCTCTCCCGGCCTTGAATGGCAGCCGGGGAGACAGGTCGAGATCTAGGAGACCCGGTCAGGAGGTGGGGCAGGTTGATAGCGGAGGGGCACTCAGGGGCCATGGGATCCATCGGGACCACAGGTCTCTGCCAGCCCTGTTCACCCAGAGGCCTGCAGACCAGGAACAGGGCAGCTGGGGTGGGCACCCCCCCCTCCCAGGTTACTGTCAGCCCACTGGCTCAGTGCCCCCCCAGGAGACATGCCCTAACCCCAGTGGGCCCCTAGCACCCTGCACAGAGCATGCGTACAGCAGGCCTTTAACACATGCTTGATGGAGTAAGAACGGCGCTCCCTCGTGTGGGGTCCGACGGCTCTCCGCGCACTTGCACACCCAGTGGTCCGTCAGGTCACCCTCGCCTTTGCGCCTTTTGCCTCCTGCGTGGATCTGGGACAGCAGTGGTCAAGCCATGTGATCAGCACCTTCAGGCCGCGGGCCCTCATCTCCCAACCACTCCTCACCCTCACTCCTGCCCGCCAGCCCTCATCTCCCAACCACTCCGCACCCTCACTCCAGGCCGCCGGCCCTCATCTCCCAACCACTCCGCACCCTCACTCCAGGCTGCCAAGCCTCAGGGCCTCCACACTTGCTCTTCCCTCTGCCCAGAGCACCCTGCTCCCGCTGTGTGCAGGGCTCTACCCCTCACTTTATTTTTTTATCCCCAAGACAGAGGCTCACTCTGTCTCCCCAGGATGGAGTGCAGTGGTGCAATCTCAGCTCACCGCAACCTCCACCTCCCGTGTTCAAGCAATTCTCCTGCCTCAGCCTCCCTAGTAGCTGGGACTACAGATGCCTGCCACCACGCCTGGCTAATTTTTGTATTTTTAGTAGAGATGGGGTTTCACCATGTTGGCCAGGATGGTCTCAAACTGACCTCAGGTGATCTGCCTGCCTCAGCCTCCCAAAGTGCTGGGATTATAGGTGTGAGCCACCGCACCCAGCCTCTACCCCTTCCTTTCTTCAGGTCACTGCTCAATGCCACCTCTTCAGAGAGGCCTTTGCCAACTACCTTTTATGAAATAATACAGCATGGCCAGGCGCAGTGGCCCAACCTGTAATCTCAGCACTTTGGGAGGCCGAGGCAGGTGGATCATGAGGTCAGGAGATCGAGACCGTCCTGGCTAACACAGTGAAACCCCGTCTCTACTAAAAGTACAAAAAATTAGCCAGGCGTGGTGGCGGGCACCTGTAGTCCCAGCTACTCGGGAGGCTGAGGCAGGAGAATGGTGTGAACCCGGGAGGCAGAGCTTGCAGTGAGCCAAGATCGCGCCACTGCACTCCAGCCTGGGTGACAGAGCGAGACTCCGTCTCAAAAAAAAAAAAAAAAAAAAAAAGAAAGAAAAAAAGAAAGAATGCAGCAGCACGCACCCCCTCCCTCAATCCCCCCACCTCGCTTCATTTCTCCCCGGTGCAGTTATCACTGTCTGATATGTGACATGCATACACATCCACCAGGAGGACAGGGACCATGTCTGCTTTGGTCACTGCTGTGCCCCAGGCCTGGGGCCTTGCCTGGCACAGAGACATTTGCGGAAGGATACGTTTGGGGAAGGCTCCCACTTGGCAGGCCAGCCCTGGGCATCCGGGCAAAGATGGGGGTGGCAGCCTCGAGGGTGGAGTGGGAGTGGTAAACCAGGCGGCTGAAGCTCACACTCATCTCCAAGAGAGCCCCCTTTGAACAACATAACCCCATGGTGACTCTCCCCCCAATCCGGGTGGGAGCACCAGTGTTCATGTGGACACGCATGTGTGTGACTGTATGAATGAATGAAGGCGGGTGATAGGTGCCTGCCTGCCAGTGTGAGTGCCTACAATACCCGACCCACACCCTCTTTGGCTGGTGCTGGCCACTGGTCCCCACTAGCTGTTTCCCGCATCCGTGGTTTTCTCTCCCTGCTGCAGGGAAAACTCCCTGAGAGGAAGGCCTGACTCTCTGACTTTGCCCAAGGCTGATGGCAAAGCTGACAGTCAGTCAACAAAATCTGACTTCGGAATAAAAAAAGGCAGGTTGTGCAGGAGCTGCTGCTTTGCTTTATTTATTTTGAGGCTATGTTATTAGGAGCATACAAACACATAAGTGTTATATCTTCCTGGGAACTGGAGCTTTCTTGATAACTTATGATATTATCCTCCTTAATCCTAGTCATGTTATTTTCCTAACGGTCTGTTTTTGTTTGTTTGTTTGTTTGTTTGTTTTTGAGATGGAGTCTCGCTCTGTCGCTCAGGTTGGAGTGCAGTGGCGCGATCTCAGCTCATTGCACCCTCCATGTCCCAGGTTCAAGTGATTCTCCTGCCTCAGCCTCCTGAGCAACTGGCACCCGCCACCATGCCCAGCTAGCTTTTGTATTTTTAGTAGAGACGGGGTTTCACCATCTCGGCCAGGCTGGTCTTGAACTCCTGACCTTGTGATCCACCAGCCTCGGCCTTCCAAAGTGCTGGGATTACAGGCGTGACCCACCGCGCCCAGCCAACAGTCTGTTTTGTCTGGTATTCGCAGAGCTCACCAGCTTTCAACTGGCTGGCGCTTGCACGGTTCATCTGCTCACCTCCTTTGACTTTGCTCTTTCTGTATCCTTATCTGTTAGACGCGTCACTTGTACACAATTTGGAATTGGGTTAAGCTGTGACTTCAAAAATTAAACCCACCATGGCAGTAAGCGGGTCTTTGGTGACTCCCCTGTTGCACCCTGGAGTCTACCCTCTGGTTGTGCAGGTGGGCAGGGGGAGGGTCAGCCCTCCCTGAGGGGCCACAGTGATTGAGGGAAAGGACCAGCTCAGGACTGGCTCTAGCTCCACCACTGCCTCCCATCAGGTGCCCTCCTTGAGCCTCTGTTTTCTCATCTGTGCAACAGGGATACATCCCCCTCCCACCTCCAGCTGCTGTGAAGAAGGGATGTGCAGGTCCTGGGTCCATCTGTCACTGTCACTGGGCAGTGTTATCCCTAAGGTGGAACCCTGGGCCCTTTCAGCAAGAGGGCTTGCAGTAGGTGAGAGCTATCTGGGCACACCCTGCGGGTCAGCATGTGGCCACAGCCACCCTTTCGGGACCCAGTCCAGCCCAGCCTAAGCGGTCCCCCTCTGTCTTGTCCCTGGGCCCACCGAGGGTCAGCTGAAAGATGTCAACCCCACGAGGTACTGCAGGCTCTCAGAGGATGAGCCTTCATCCCAAATAAGGCCATGGTGTATTTGGCTCTCGAACCTAACTACATTTCATTTCCCATAGCAGGACTACTCCTGGAGTCCACATCAAACTTGGAGCATCCAGGTCACCACATGCCAGAGACAACCAGGCACAGGAGCCAAGGGAGGTCCGGGTGACCGGGGGAGGCTGGGGTGATGGAGGAGGCTAGGGTGACAATGGCCCTGGCCTGGCAGCCTCCCCTGCTCTGCTGCAAGACCGCCCACCTCCACCCCCACCCCAGCAGCCCCTCTTGGCCCCTCTGCCGAGGGGAGTGCTGGCCTTTTCCAGACCCGCTCGCTGCAGTCTGACCTGGGGAGCCAGGAGCACACGGGAGAGGGAAGCATAGAGAGAAAACAGAAGTGGCTGTCACGGCTTCCTCCACCCCGAAATTCTTCTTTAAGCAGACATAGAGGAGGGGAAGGTGGGGGGCCACTAAGAGCCCAAGAGACACCACCATCGGGATGGATAAGCTGGCTGCCCCTCCCACTCACAGAGCAGGTGCATGGGCCGTCCCAACACCCCCCCCCCACCACAGCGACCCCCAGTGGCGTGCCAGGGGCTCTAAGAGTGACTCGAGGCTGGCCCTCCACCGGGCAGGCAGCTCCTCCAGCTCGTAAACAAAATGGGCCATCCGGAAGAGGCAGCAAAGCAGGACCTCGGGATACACCACCCCCACCCTGCCCCCACCCCACCCCCAGGCCCCTACCCTGCCCCCACCCCACCCCCAGGCCACCACCCTGCCCCCCAACCCCCAGCCCCCCACCCTACCCCACCCCAACCCTCCATCCTGCCCCCACCCTGCCCCGCCCCACCCCCAGACCCCTACTCTGCCCCAGCACCCCCATCCTGCCCCCGCCCCACCCCAGCCCCCCCACCCTACCCCCACCCTGGTCCCCACCCTCGCCAATTCCCAAAGAATTGCTCCCCAGCGAGGCCCTGTGCAGATGGGCTGTGTGTGGCTGGGAAGGAGGGGGCCATGTACTGAGGGCCCTGAAACTCAAAAGCCTCCCACGAGACCCCCTGCCCCAATCTCAGATCCCCCTCATGCAAATTGCTTCCAGCCATCATGTCCCCACCCAACCGGCTCCCACAGCCCCAGAGTGGCCTGAGACCGGGGGCCTCCACCATCCAGCCTGGACAGGGAGGCCCCTGCTGGATGAGGACCCCACTGCAGTAAGCAATTGGGGACCCCGGGCCATTGAAAGCTGCAGAAGTGAGCTGGCACTCCCTGTTCCCAGGAATTTCTCCCAGGGAAAAGATTTCACTGAAACGACCCCATAGAGCTGCCATGAAGATGAAAGGACACAGTGCAGGTGCAGGACTCGGCGTAACGCCCGGCACGCAACACAAACTCGAACGTGACTTCGCTAATAAAGACTTGGGTGCCGCCCTCCCTCAGGCCAGGGCGGTTCCTGGCGTCATAAGGAAGTTAATCATTCAGGCCCCCACAGCACCGGATACTACTGTTCCCAGCACTATCCTCGTTTTACAGGCGAGGCCACCGAGGTCTGGAGGGGTTTGAGTGGCTTGTCACAAAGCCAGGAGGCAGCAGAAGTGGACTCTGCAGCCAGATGTTGGGGCTCCAGAGCCGTGAGCGAGCATAACCAACGTGCTCTTCTCGCTCTCAGGGGTGGGTACTCGGGGGAAAGTGCGTCTCCTCCCCCGTCTCATGCTCTCCAGCCAACCCCAAGCCCAGCATGGAGCCTGCATCCAAAAACACGGGCGGATGCTTAGTATCCTCCATCGCCAACAAAGCTCAGGCCTGCAACCGGGGCACCAGGTGGGACCAGGACAGGGATGAGGCGCCATTCTGAACACTGGAGGAAAAATCAAAGCGCACACTGGTTGGGGGAGACCCCAGCTCCCTGGGCAGAAAGTTAGAGGATTCTTTACTGGGTGCATTAGTTACCTGGAGAGTAACTATGGCTGCTGGAACAAATGACTGCCAATTTCACGGCTTAAAACAACACAAATGTGTTATTTTACAGTTCTGGAGGCCCAAAGTCTAACACAGGTTGGCAGGGCTGCATTCCTTCTGTAGTCTGTAGGAGAGAATCTGTTCCTTGCCTTTTCTTTCTTTTCTTTCTTTCTTTTTTTTTTTTTTTTTTTTTTTGAGACAGAGTCTCACTCTGATGCCCAGGCTGGAGTGAAATGGCGTGACCTCAGCTCACCGCAACCTCCACCTCCCAGGTTCAAGCGATTCTCCTGCCTCAGCCTCCCAAGTAGCTGGGATTACAAGCACACGCCACCACGCCTGGATAATTTTTGTATTTTTAGTAGAGATGGTGTTTCACCATGTTGGCCAGGCTGGTCTCTAACTCCTGACCTCAGGTGATCTGCCCGCCTTGGCCTCCCAAAGTGCTCAGATTATAGGCGTGAGCCACCACACCCCGCCTGTTCCTTGCCTTTTCTAGCTTCTAGAGGCCACCTGTCAACCTTGGTTGGTGGGCCCTCCCCCATCGTCAAAGCCAGCAGGGTAGCATCTCCAATCTCTCTCTTCCATCACCACATCACCGTGTCTGTCTCTTACATTCATGCCTCTCTCTTTTCAGGACTCTTGTGATTTGATTACACTGGGCCCACCACGATAATTCAGAACAATTTCTTTTCTTTCTTTTCTGTTTTTTGAGACAGGGTCTTGTTCTGTCACCCAGGCTGGAGTGCAGTGGTGCAAGCACAGCTCACTGCAGCCTCCACCTCCTGGGCTCAAGCCATCCTCCCACCTCATCCTCCCAAGTAGCTGAGACTACAGGCATGCATCACCACACTCAGATAATTATTTATTTTTTGTAGAGACGGGGGTCTCACTATGTTGCCCTGGTTGTTCTCAGTTCTCCTGCTGCAGCTTCAGTGCTGGGATTACAGGCGCCAGCCACCACATCTGGCCTCCTAAGAGTTTCTGAGTCTCAAGATTCTTAATCATACCTGCAAAGTCTCCTTTGCCATTTAAGGTAACAAATTCACAGATCCTAGGGATTATGACATGGACAGACAACGCTGGGGAGCTATTATTCTACCACACTGGGGAAAATGGCCTGCCCAAGAGGCAAGAACTCCAGACAGTGATATGAAAGGTTTTCCCCAACGAAATCACTAATGTCCTTGTAAGCTGACAATGAAACCACTAATCAACTCACCCTTCCCCCATCCGCACACCTAGAGCTTTCTGTGAGCTATTAGTGCTGTACTCTTAAATAAAAAGGGAGTTGGTTGGGCGTGGTGGCTCACGCCTGTAATCCCAGCATTTTTCGAGGCCAAGGTGAGCAGATCACGAGGTCAAGAGATTGAGAGGATCCTGGCCAACATGGTGAAACCCTGTCTCTACTAAAAATACAAAAATTAGCTGGGCATGGTGGCATGTGCCTGTAGTCCCAGCTACTCCGGAGGCTGAGGCAGGAAAATCACTTGAACCTGGGAAGTGGAGGTTGCAGTGAGCCAAGATCACGCCACTGCACTCTAGCCTGGAGACAGAGCAAGACTCCGTCTCAAAAAAAAAAAAAAAAAAAAGAGTCTGGCCGGACGCAGTAGGTCATGCCTATAATCCCAGCACTTTGGTAGGCCGAGGCAGGCAGATCACCTGAGGTCAGTGTTCGAGACCAGCCTGGCCAACATGGTGAAATCCCGTCTCTACTAAAAATACAGAAATTAGCCAGGCGTGGTGGCTCATGCCTATAATCCCAGCACTTTGGGAGGCCGAGGCAGGCAGATCACCTGAGGTCAGGGTTCAAGAACAGCCTGGCCAACATGGTGAAACCCCGTCTCTACTAAAAATACAGAAATTAGCCAGGCGTGGTGGCTCATGCCTATAATCCCAGCACTTTGGGAGGCCGAGGCAGGCAGATCACCTGAGGTCAGGGTTCAAGAACAGCCTGGCCAACATGGTGAAACCCTGTCTCTACTAAAAATACAAAAATTAGCCAGGCGTGGTGGCTCATGCCTATAATCCCAACTATTCAGGAGGCTGAGACAGGAGAATCACTTGAACCCAGGAGGCGGAGGTTGCAGTGAGGGCCGGCAAGTCTCCCCGCTGCCCTGCACCTCTGTTTCCTCACCTGAAAACACAGACAGAACATCCACACCTCCCTCCCAGGGGGAGAGTGAGGGCCAAAGGAGACAGTTTTATAAAGAGTCTGGTTCAGAGGCTCGCTGCAAAGGCCTAAATCACTGCTGGCTTTTCAAGACATCCAGAGGACAGACTACCATGAAACCCCACATTTGCACTCCTAAGTAAGTAACCAGGAGAAGGAAAAAGACGTCCACATTAAAACTTGAACACAAATGTTCATAGCAGCATTATTCACAATAGCCAGAAAGTGGAAAAATCGAAATGCCTACCCTGATGAATGGATCAACAAAAAGTGGTGTGCCCACACAGCAGAATGTTATTCTGTCTTAAAAAGAAATGGCGAGGCCGGGCGCGGTGGCTCACGCCTGTGATCCCAGCACTTTGGGAGGCCAAGGTGGGTGGATCACCAGAGTTCAGGAGTTCAAGAGCAGCCCAGCCAACATGGTAAAACCCCGTCTCTACTAAAAATACAAAACAATTAGCTGGGCGTGGTGGTGCACACCTGTAGTCCCAGCTACTTGGGAGGCTGAGGCAGAAGAATCGCTTGAACCTGGGAGGCGGAGGTTGCAGTGAGCTGAGGTCACACCACTGCACTCCAGCCTGGGCGATAGAGCGAGACTCTATTAAAAAAAAAAAAAAAAGGAATGGTGAGCTGACACGCTGCAGCACCAATGAAGCCGAAAGACATGCTCAGTGAAGGAAGCCAGTCACAGAAGGCCGCATGTTGAACAACTCTATGACAGGAAATGTCCAGAAGTGGCAAATCCACTGAGATAAAGTAAATCAGGCCAGGTGTGGTGGTTCATGCCTGTAATCCCAGCACTTTGGGAGACCGAGGCGGGTGGGTTGCTTGAGCTCAGGAGTTTGAGACCAGCCTGGGCAACATGGTGAAACCCCATCTCTACAACAAATACAAAAATTAGCTGGGTGTATTTTTTAGCTGGGTGGCACATGCCTGCAGTCCCAGCTACTCAGGAGGGTGAGATGGGAGGATCACTTCAAGCCAGGAGGTGGAGGCTGCATGCAGTCAGCTGTGATTGTGCCACCGCACTCCAGCCTGGGTGACAGAGTGAAACCTTAAAAACAGAGCTGCCACGGTGGCTCACACCTGTAATCCCAGCACTTCAGGAGGCCAAGGCAGGTAAATTGCTTCAGCCCAGGAGTTTGAGCAGCCTGGGCAACATGGTGAAACCCCATTTCTACAAAAAATACAAAAATTAGCTAGATATTGGTGGCGCATGCCTGTAGTCTCAGCTACAGGGGAGAATGAGGTAGGAAGATCGCTTGAGCCCAGAAGGTTGAAGCTGCAGTGAGCCATGATTGCACCACTGTACTCCAGCCTGGGCAACAGAGCGAGACCCTGCCTCAAAAAAGAAAGAAAATGTAAATCAGATCTTTCCCAGAGGCCCCCAGCCTCTGGGGGCCTCTCTCCTCTGTCCTCCTCTCCGCTGTTCATTAAACAGAACCAGGTTCCCAGGTCCCCCTGGAATCAGGCTCCCAGGTCCACCTAGAATAGGCACAGGTCAAGGGGATAGGCTTGCCGTGACTGGCTGAAACCCCCAAAGGCCATTCCCTGGAGCCACACACCACACCTGGAACCACAGCTGGGTTCTCCTGGCCGGGCTGATGTCAGATGTCTCCCCCAGCAACCAAGGTGCAGAATGTACCAAGGTGTCATGACCTCTGTCAGAGAATCACACAGTTCTCCCAGCAGACAAGCGGGTACTGACACCTGTCATGAGACAGAGCGGGCCTGTGAGAGGAGGAGCTCGGCCCCTGTCCGGCTGACCCAAGTGACAGGAGGAACTCCGACCCTATCCGGCTGACTTTGAAAGGGCCAGGCTGAGAGCTGCATCCACCGCTGCTACAATGAGGACAAAGAGCTCCTACCCCAGGGGGGCTGCAGCCTTCCCTGCTTCTGCTCATGGCGAGGGGCCCCAGGTCTCAGTAGAACTGTCTGGTAGATGCCAATCAGCCTGACATCACTAGAAAACCCGGAATTCTGCATATACATGCATTTCCAGGAGTGTGGGACTTCTGGGTAGCATATGTGCATTAAACAAGAAAGAAATACAATTCTTATTATTAAGAACATTTGGACAGTGCTTTGTGAGCCATTAAAGTCACTCGTCCCCCAAGCCGGAAGCGTGGGGATCTTCCCAGCCCCTCACCCCTGCAGGAGGCCAGTCTGCAAGTTCTGATGACTGAGCCCATGCATAGTCAGCAGATGCGCCCCTGTGTACCCCACCTGACTCTGACTTCTCCAGACTATAGCTGCTGGCAGGTTTTCCACCTCAGACACCTCCTCAAGGCAGCCACCAGAGGGACTTTTCTAAGACACAAACTGGGCCAATTTCCCTCTCCTCACTGCCCAACTCTGGCTCACCCCAGCCCACAGCCACCGAGACCACACAGGCCTGGGATGGAGAAAGAATGTGGAGGACCCCAGACCCACTGGAAATCTGGCCTTTCCTTGGCACTTGCTGAAAAATGGGAGCAGCTGCGACCCCATCAGCTGCCTAACTGGAAAACCAGCAGGAATTGTCCTGTTCTGATTATAGAACCAACATTCATCATTGGAGAAACTTTTTTTTTTTTTAGCTATAAACGAGAGACCAAGAATCACACCAAATCCCAAAGATCAGAGGTGTTTACAATGGCCATATGCCTTTGTATCTTTTCTTTTTCTTTTTTTAATTTTAGAGCCAAGGTCTCACTATGTTTACCCAGGCTGGCCTGGGACTCCTGGGCTCAAGCGATCCTCCTGCCTTGGCTTCCTGAGTAGCTCGGACTACAGGTGTGCGCCACCACACCCAGCTCCATCTTTTCTATGCATATATGTGTGTTTGGCGTACGTTGAGCATGCTGATTTTGTAGTTTTATATCCAACTTTTGTCATTAAGCACTAACATTAAATGATTATGTAATATAATGTGATTATAAAATGATTCTACTGGTTGTTTACAAAGTATCTGCAAAGGGCCAGGTGTGGTGACTCACGCCTGTAACCCCAACACTTTGGGAGGCTGAGGTGAGAGAATCACTTAGCCCAGCAGACCAGTCTGGGCAACAAAGACCCTATCTCTACTAAAAATTTTTTTAAAAAATTATCTGGGCATGGTGGCATGTGTCTGTAGTCCCAGCTACTCAGGAAGCTGAGGTGGGAGGATCTCTGGAGCCCAGGAGGTCGAGGCTACAATGAACCGTGATTGTGCCACTGCACTCCAGCCTGGCCAACAGAGCAAGACCCTGTCTCAAAAAACAAAGTCTCTGCAAAAGATAACTTAAATATTATAGAGCAACAGTCTCCAGCCTTTTTGGCACCAGAGACCGGTTTCGTGGAAGATAATTTCTCCATGGGCCAGGCCGTGGGGCGGCAGGGGGAATGATTTCAGGATGACCCAAGCGCATGACATTTATTGCACACTTTATTTCTATTATTGACATTGTAATATATAATAAAATAATTCTACAATTCACCATAATGTAGAATCAGTGGGAGCCCTGAGCTTCTTTCCCTGCAACTAGACAGTCCCATCTTAGGGTGATGGGAGACAGTGACAGATCATCAGGCATCAGAGTCTCATAAAGGAGCACGCAGCCTGGATCCCTCGCATGCGCAGTTCACAATAGGGTTCGCGCTCCTATGAGAATCTAACGCCGCCGCTGATCTGACGGGAGGCGGAGCTCGGGCGGTGACGCGAGCAGTGAGGAGTGGCTGTAAATACAGATGAAGCTTCACGGGTGCACCCACCACTCACCTCCTGCTGTGAGGCCCAGTTCCTAACAGGTCATGGACCCGTACCCCTGGGACCCCCTGATCTAGAGAAACATCCATGTAAAGTTAGCGGATTGAACACACACATCTACATAAGGCCACTAAATAAATTGATGCCACAGAATCACCTAAAGGCTCAGGAACTGGGGGCCTTGGGAGCCCAAGAAGTGGGGTGGGAAGGAGCTAAAATAAGGCGGGTGGATGGAAGTCTTTAAAAGAAGCAATCAGTCATGGAGACAGAAAATGAACAGAGATTCCAGGGGCTGGGGGGTTGGTATTTGATGGGGATGGAGTTTCCATGTGGGAAGATGAGAAAGTTCTGGAGACAGATGGTGGTGATGGTTGCACAATGCTGGGAATGTAAGGGATGCCGCTGAGTTGTACACTTGCTTACACAATGGTTAAAATGTTAAATTTCATGTTATAGATATTTTACAATTTTTATGAAAGCAGCAGCAATCAGATCTTCTAATCCCATCTGCTACTCAGAGAAGCCTCCTCCTCTACTCTGAGAAAAGACCAAATACCCGACTAGGCTCTGCAGTGGGTAAAACAGAATGAGTCTGCCTGAGGGTCCCAAGGCATAGCTGGGCGGGGGAACCCCGTACTGAGTGGAGGGTGAGTAAGCAGGTGTATGAACAGAGACTGTGATTGCAACCTGGCACATCCAGGGGGAAAGACTTCTGGTCCCTGGCTCAACGGCCGGGCAGCTGATGCCTCAGTGAAGCCCACAGTCAGCGAGCCCTCCGCACGGTCTTGGAGAGTCAGTCCCTGGCTGATAGGAGGGGACAACTACCAGAATCTGCAGAAAGCCACGATGCGAAAGGCAGACGGAAGCCATTTGTAATCGAAACACTGCAGGAAAAAGAAAGCAGCAAACAATACAAAACCACACCCACAGACAGAAAAGAGAAGACGCAGCCCCACAGGGAGAGCACTGCAAAAAGGGACATGAGGGAAGGGCTCTTCGATGCTGAAAGGAAAATGGTGTGAATTTTTAAAACCTAAACAAAAATAAAATGGTTGGAAAATAAGGCTGAGGAACATCTCATTGTTTAAAAAAGGAAGAGATGGAGAGATAGAAAACAGGAAAAAAGATGTAAGAAGGCCAGAGGCAGTGGCGCACGCCTGTAATCCCAGCCCTTTGGAAGGCTGAGGCAGGTGGATCACTTGAACCCTGGAGGCTGAAGCTTCAGTGAGCTATAATCGCACCAGTGCACTCCAGCCTGGGTCACACACTGAGACCCTGACTCAAAAGCAGCGACGGCCTGGTGCGGTGGCTCACGCCTGTAATCCTAGCAGTTTGGGAGGCCGAGGCGGGTGGATCACTTGAGGTCAGGAGTTCGAAATTAGCCTGGCCACATGGCAAAAACCTGTCTCTACTAAAAGTATAAAAACATTAGCTGGGTGTGGTGGCGGGCACCTGTCATTCCAGGTGTAATTCCAGCTACTCGGGAGGCTGAGGCAGGAGAATCGCTTGAACCCAGGAGGCGGAGGTTGCAGTGAGCTGAGATTGCGACACTGCACTCCAGCCTGGGCAACAAGAGCAAAACTCCATCTCAAAAAACAGCAACAACAACAAACCCAGAAACTGATTCTCTCTCTTCAAGATAAAATCTCGAGGGGCGGCCCTGTCCTGCCACTTCCAGCTTCTGGGGGCTCCACGTTCCTTGGCCTGTGGCTGCACCACGCCAGCCTCTGCCTGTGTTTGCAGGCAGCCTCCTTCTCTTCTCACATGTCTCTTAGACGGACACCTGTCATTGGATTTAGGGACCATCCAGGTAACCCGGGATGATCTCCTCTCAAGAACCTTTACTTAATTACATCTGCGAAGACTCTTTTCCCAGATAAGGTCACATTCGCAGGTTTGGGGATTAGCATATGGATTTACCTGTGGGGAGGGAAGCGCTCAGTCCACTCCCCGGGGCAGACCAGGCACTGGATTCTGGAGGCGCTGCACTCACCTGCCTACTAAACATCCCAGGAGAAATGTGAGTGGTATTTGGAGTGTGGGGAGGGATCAAAGCTGGAGATAATCAGCACATGACTGGCACCTAGGGCTGCGAGGCTGGGGACTGACGCTCAAGTCCGGTGCCCAGAAGGCAGCCTGAGCCGGGGGCATGCGACTCACTGGGCGACTCTCAGGGTGGGTGCTGGGGAGCTAAGCAAACATGGGGTCTCAGCAGGGGACAAGGTCGGCCTGACCCTACCGCAGCCCCAGGGCCAAATTTCACCTCAGGGTCGGTGCCACCTTGAGACAAGCACCGGCCTCTCGAATCTCCATGTTCACTGTGCTCTGTCCAAATTCTTGAGCCACAGAACCCATGAATGTGATAAATGGCTGTTTTGGGTAGATGTGTTATGCAGCCATAGTAACTGGAACAGCTTTTTTTTTTTTTCCTCTGATGAATCAGAAAGCCTGCCTTACCATCTAGTTTCATAGTGAGAGCCTGGCTCAGATCCCACTTCGTAACTGGCCGTTTTTGTTCCTTTGGCCCACAGGAAAAAAGGCTCCAGGCCGCCCCTGCTCCTGACCAGACGAGGACCCTAGCAGGTCCACAGCGTCCCCTCCTCGGCCAGCTGTTTCTTTTTCTTTCTTTTTTTTTTTTTGAGACAGAGTCTCGCTCTGTCGCCCAGGTTGGAGTGCAGTGGCGCGATCTGGGCTCACTGCAACCTCCGCCTCCCAGGTTCAAGCAATTCTCCTGCCTCAGCCTCCCGAGTAGCTGGGATTACAGGCATGTGCCACCATGCCCGGCTAATTTTGTATTTTTAGTAGAGACGGGGTTTCACCATGTTGGGCCAGGCTGGTCTCAAATTCCTGACCTCAGGTGATCCGCCCGTCTCGGCCTCCCAAAGTGCTGGGATTACAGATGTGAACCATCGCACCCAGCCAGCCCTGTTTCTCTCTGTGGTCTGGAACACGGGGGTGTTTATCTTGAGTGTGGCTATATGTTTTCAAAACTCTTTCCATTTTCGCTGAGTCAGAGACGGGTTGTGGGGGCCGTGCCTCTAAGTGTAAACTTGCAATGTCTCCATGACCAGAAGGCTGCCCTCATGATGGGGACGGGAGGAGCCTGTGGTATTAGCGTAAGGATGGACAGATGAATGGCACAGAATTGAGAACCCAGAAATGAACCCCTCCATTTATGCTCAAACAATATTTAACACGATGCCAAGGAAATTCCGTGAAGAAACAGGAGTCTTTCAACAATTGCTGAGACAACTGGAGATCCGCATGCAACAACCAACCAACCAAACCAACCAACCTTTGGCCCTTGCCTTATACCAATACCATACATGAAAATGAACTCAAGATGGATCACAGACCTGAACAGAAGAACTAAATCTGTACAATGTCTAAAAGAAAACATAGGAAAAACCTCTGTGATCTCAATTTAGGTAAAGAGATGTTAGACATGACACAGAAAGCACAGCCATAAAAGAAAAAAAATCGATAAACTGGACTTTAAAAAATTAAAACTTTTGCACTTCCAAAGACAATATTAAGGAAATGTTGAAAGAATCCAAAGACTGGGAGATAATATTTGCATATCATACATCTGATAAAAGACTTCTATCCAGGCTATATAAAGTTTTGTTTTGTTTTGTTTTGTTTTTTTGAGACAGGGTCTCCCTCTGTCGCCCAGGCTGGAGTGCAGTGGCATGATCTGGGCTCACTACAACCTCTGCCTCCCAGGTTCAAGCGATTCTCCTGCCTCAGCCTCCTGAGTAGCTGGGATTACAGGTGCACACCACCATGCCCCCGCTAATTTTTGTATATTTAGTAGAGATGGCCTTTCACCATGTTGGCCAGGATGGTCTTGATCTCTTGACCTCGTGATCCGCCTGCCTTGGCCTCCCAAAGTGCTGGGATTACAGGCATGAGCCACCATGCCCGGCCTAAAGATATCTTATATCTCAATAATAGGACACTTCAATTTATCTTAAAAATGAGCAAAAGATTTGAACAGAAATTTCACCAAAGGGCCAGGCACGGTAACTCACACCTATAATCCCAGAGCTGCCCAGAGGGATCCCAGAGTGGGCTGAAGGGCACCACGCTGCTTTGGGAGGTTTTAGGCCCACATTATAGCCCTGGCACTTAAAAGGAATTGTGGTCACTGCTGGGAGCTTAGCAAAAGCTATATTCCCAGTATTTTGGGAGGCTGAGGCAGGAGGATGGCTTAAGCCCAGGAGTTCAAGACCAACCCAGGCAAAAAAGCAAGACCCTGTCTCTATGAAAATAATAATAATAAAAGAGGCCAGGTGTGGTGGCTCACGCCCGTAATCCCAGCACTTTGGGAGGCCAAGGTGGGCAAATCACTTGAGCCCAGGAGTTTGAGATCAGCCTGGGCAACATGGCGAAACCCCATCTTTACAAAAAAAAAAAATAGCCAGGTGTGGTGGCACGCGTCTGTAGTCCCAGTTACTCGGGGATGCTGAGGTTGGAGGATCCCTTGAGCCTGGAGATCCCTTGAGCCCAGGAGGTCGAGATTGTAGTGAGCCCTGTTTGTGCCACTGCACTCCAGCCTGAGCTACAAACTAAGACCTGTCTCAAAAAAAAAAAAAGAAAAAAAAAAGAAAAATTTACCAAAGGAGATATCTACATGTCCCGTAAGCGCAGGAAAAGGGTGCTCAGCTTCCTTAGTCTTTAAGAAAATGCAAATTAAAACTACAATGAGATCATAGTATATACCCACCAACATGGTGGTAATAGTAATAATAATCAGACAATACCAAATGTTGGCAAGAACAGAAAAACTAGAACCCGCATACATAGCTGGCAGGAATGTAAAATGGTGTAACCTCTCTGGAAAAGCCTGGTAGTTTCTTAAATGAATAAACTAACTTATGACCCAGCAATTCCACTTCTAAGAATCTACCCAAGAAAAATGAGAATGCATGTTTTCACAGAAGGACTTGAACGATGAATATTCATAGCAGCCTCATGGGTCAAAACAGCCAAAAAGTGGAAGCAATCTGAATATCCGATAGATGAGTGGATACACTAAATGGGTGTATCCATACAATGGGACATTGTTTGACAATAAAAAGAACTGAAACACTGATACACACCACCACATGGGCAAACCTCAAAAACATCAGGTGAAGTAAAAGAACGCAGATGCACGGGGCTGGATACGGATGTTCCTCGACTTATGATGGGAATATGTTCCCCACAAATCCATGGGGAATTGAAAACATTGCAGATTGAAAATGCTTTCAATACACCTGACCTCCTGGGCATCGTAGCTTAGCCTAGCCTACCCTACACATGCTCAGAACGCTTACTGAGCACACTTATCTAACACAGAACCTATTTGATAATATAAAGTGTTGAATTTCTCATGTCATTTACTGAATACTGTACTGAACATGAACACAGAATGGTGGTTTCTACTGAATGCATACAAGCCTTTGCACCATTGTAAAGTCAAAAAATCGTTACGTCAAAACCACGGGGAGTTGGGGACAGTCTATATTTATATGAAGTTTCCAGAAAAGGCAAATTTATAGGGACAGAAAGCTGACTGGTGACTGCCTGGGGCTGAGGGCAGGAGCAGAGATTAACTGCAGACCAGCACCCAGCAGTAGGGACGGGTAGGGGTATGTGGCCCAGCCCCATGTTTACTAACATCATCGAATCTGAATCGTATATTTACAACGAGTGCATTCTATGGCATGACAATTACACCTCAATAAAGCTGCACAACAGAACAGCTCATTGGCAGCTGAGGGCTGGGGGAGATTGTGAGCTGCAGCTTCAGTGGAGAAGGCCAGAAGCCAAAACCAGAGCCAAGTGAGGTAGCAAAGTAATTCATATCCCTGGGTAATGAAGAACTGGCCCCAATCTGCCCACCCACACGAGAGCCTGCTTCCCCATTCTGCTTTTCCTGCAAGCAAAGAAGTTTCCAGACCAAATAAGGCTGCAGCTTTTGCTATGCTCCCAGTGGTGACCACAATTCCTTTTAAGTGCCAGGGCTATAACGTGGGCCTAAAACCTCCCAAAGCAGCGTGGTGCCCTTCAGCCCACTCTGGGATCCCTCTGGGCAGCTCCAAACAAACCAAGGTAAACAGAGCAGGCCTGCCCTAGGCCCGCCCTTGGCCCACCCTTGGCCTGCTCGGCACAGGGCGGGGGCGAGCTGTGTTGGGTGCAAGGAAGCCAGGCAGACCCACACTGGGGGACCTGCGACTTCCACCAGCAGCTGACCGGTGGGCCCTTGGGACCTGGGCACTCTTGCCTCTGTCTCTGGTAGGAAAGGCCATTTGCTGAAACCCTTCTATAGCGGCATGTGCCGTCTCGTTCCTCTCCACTGCTGCTTTGCAAGATGACGAGGAGGAGGGCAATACATTTATTAGAAGCCAGGCGCCGTACCCAAGGCCTTGTGTGTTTGATCATTTCATCTTCACAGCTACCCTGAGACAGGTCTTGTTACTTCCCCATGTTACAGAGGAGGAAACTGAGGCCCCAAGGCACGCAGCACATCCCAAGTAAACTCAGGAGCAAAGCCCAGAGCTGGCAGGGGCTCCTGCCTGTGCCCACTGCCCTGCCCGGCACCCCCGGAAAGGAGCACATGGCAGGGCTACCTCAGGGGAGCCGCACGGGTGGAGGTGGGCAGTTCTCCTTAGAAGGGAGTCCTCTACTCTCTTCCACCCGGTTCCGGCCCGGGTGGGCTACAGCCTGCAGCTACTGTCAGCAAGACCACACTCCAGCTGGCCAGGGAGACGTTTGGCTTGGGAAATTTTTTTCCTTTTCTTGGGTTACCCTATCCAGGCCAAACTGTAGGGTACTTTTCAAACAACCAGCTACAAATATTTTCCTAACAAGGCCTCTCTGGGATGAGAAATGGAAACTTTTTATGTTGCAACCTTGGGTTCTGGCATTTTAACAATGCATCACCAAGGGCCGCGGTGGTCAGTGCTGAAGGGGAGAAGGCTCCATGCAGGAGGCTGGGGGGCACAGCCAGGGAGACGACAAACCCGGAGCCAGGTCCCGCAAGGACATGATGCTGCACTTCATGTCTTCCACTTAGCACAGCTGGCGCGGCAGCAACTGTTCCCGTCCTGCTTCATAGATGACAAACAGGCTCAGAGAGGAGAGGTGACTTGCTGAGGCCACACCTCAGTGGACGGTGGTGCTGGCTGGCGTTCAGACTCAGGTCCCTCCGATTCCAGAAGCTTCCACCCCCCACCCGCCCGGCCCGCCGCTGATGCTGGCTGCCTTCCTCTACTTCAAGCTCCTCCTGGTGGGACGGCCCACAGAAGAACACCTGGATAAAGGTACAGGGCTTGGATTCCAATCGTGCCTTCTCTAATGAGTGGGGCGACACTAATTCCATACTGCCTCCATGCTGGGAGGGGTATGCCCAATAAGATAAACAGATGTGGGCATGACTGGGTCAGCAAAGATTCTTTGGCAGCAAGTGACAAAAACCCAAGGCAGACTTCTTCAGCTAAAAAAGGGGATTTACTAGCTCAGGACACCAGGAAGAATGGGGTGGAGGTCAGGCATGGCTACATCCAGGTGCTCAAACAGTGTCATCAGGTCACTCTCCCACCCCCATTTTTGGGTCTGTTTCTCTTTGGCCTCCTTCTCTCCTGCAGACAGGCTACCTAGGAGGCAGGGAGTGTGGCTGTCGGCTGTCTCCCACCCAAGAGCCAACATCTTTCAGCATCCGTGTCAACCCCAGGGCAGGACTCTTATCAGCTGTTTGGATTCTGGGAAGTTGGGGAGCTTAAGCAGGCACCCCCGCCCCCGCCCCTGCAGGAAGAACACCTGTCCCTGTGTGCTGTGTCAACCGGGAGATGCTTCCAATGGTGCCCTCATCCCCCAAGAGCATCATTACACAAATGCCTCCCACAGCCACGGGTCCTCAAAGAGCATGAGAACTGCAGCCTTCTGTGCATGGTGCTCAGCACTTATGGAAGCAACCAGATTAACTCTGCCGCACTTGACACAAAATGCAGTAGAGTCCTGGTCCCCTTCCCAAACAATTCAGTCCAAAAGCCACTTGACGGGAACAGACAAGGACAGGACAGGGGGAGGAGGAGGGGCTCTAGTGGCCCAGGGTGGGGCGTCAGTCCGGGTAGGAAGGGAGAGTCGCCCAGGACCAGCAAGAACACGGCAGTCAAAGCGTGCAGGCCTGGCCTGAGGACACATTAGCCGAATGCGCTGCGTAAATGGCCTCTGGGGGACAGCCACCCTAGGTGCAGGTCAGGGAAGCTCAACCTCACTCAGAACCATCGGGGACATAAAAGGACATGAATGGGATTTAAGGAGAGAGGAGCCTGCACCGGGAGAGTCTGCCGCAGAGAGGTCAGAAGGAGAGGGGGCTTGAGAGACGCGGCGGGGAGGGCACAGCAGCTGAGCAGAACAGGCAAAGGGCGCGCCCCTTAGACCCGCAGCAGACACACTGGGGCAGTGTGCAACGTTTTCATTTAATTTTTAAATAATTTATATCCCTCTGAAACAAAACCCTGAGGCTCAGGTACATCATCTGAGGTTCTCTTAAATAGAAGAGTTGGTACAGGACACCGGAGAAGGCCGGGAGGCTCTGGATCGGTAAGTGCTGAAGATGCTGAGGCTGTGGGGCAGCTTTCCCGGGACAACCACGTGGGAGAGCCGGCTCACCTGGTCCCCACGGTGAGGCGCAACAAGGAGGGGCTGGCACAGGCCAGGCACCTTTATAAGCCAGAGAGAGGTGCACAGGCCAGAAAGAGGTGCCCCCCAGACTCACAGGAGCCCCGTGGTGAGGAGGAGGGGGAACACTGCAGTCACCAGCAGACAGAAGGAAAGTGGCCCCAGCATCTGGCCACATGGGAACGTGCAAGCCAAACGCCACTCCCTGCTCCCTGCCTGAGCGCCATTCGCAGTCTTGTTTCCTGTTTCCTCTCAGCACCCTCATCCTAACGGGCTGAGCTGGCAAGTCCCAGACATTGGAGGAGTGACTTCAAGTTTGAGGCCCTGGGTATTCTCCAGGGACTGGAACCTTCCCCAGGATCCAGAGGCTGGGATGTGGGTTTTGGCGGGGAGTAAGGGGAAGGGACGTGCATTTCCCAAGCCCCACCTGCACGAGCACTGTTGTCCCCCAGGTGCTTTCCTCCACATTGTGACATCGGAAAAGCTTATCCCTGGGGTCCAAAAACCCAACCTTCCCCAACAGGGCCCTCCGCTCCTCCCCCATAGGCCCCTCCGCTCCTCTGTGGCCCTGGTGGAGGCGGAGCATGGTCTGCCAGCGCCCTGGGCTACCATGGAGAGAGCTCCGCGGGGCGTGCAAGGATGCGGCCGGTCACGTCCCCCTCTCCTTCCTCCGGCTGGTCCTCTGGTTGCTGAGCTCACTCAGCTTCTTATCCAGCCTCCTCTGCAGCTGGGCCCTCTTGGCTGGGTCCAGGGATCCGTTCTTGGTCCCGCTGCCGGCATAGAGGACCCCTTCCCGGCTGATTCTCTGCCGGGCATGGGCGCGAGCCCTCTCACCGCAGCCATGGATCTGGGGAGGACACAAGAATCACTGCTGGGCTCACAGGGGCAAGGAGGCAGATCCTGCAGCTCTGCCTATCAAAGAGCTGGGGGGCCACAGGCGCCCCAACAGAGAAGGCCACTCCTCCCGCCATGTCAGTCCTTCACCCTGCAGGCTGCCTGGCGGGAGAGCGGCGGGGTGGTCTGCACCCTGGTGTGGCGGGAGCCCCCGAGTGTGCACACAGGAAATGGCACCACCCTGACTGACCACACGGTCCCTGCGGCCACTTCCCACTGCCTCCCAGCCTCCGCCTACCTAATCCACACTGCAGCCAAGACTGGTGACATCACAGCCCTGCTGACACCCTAGAGGGTACCCCACTGCCTTCAGATCAGGCCTGACTCCTCCAGGCAGCTCGCCAGGACATGCCCAGCCTCAACTCTAGCCATCTGCCTCACACTCTACTCCCAACTCTCTGACTGGGCCTGGGGCTTTATGCATGTTCTAAGGGTGGATAGCCTGCCTGCCCACCCGCCATCGGCCCTGTCCTTCCCAGCCCAGCTCCCACCTTCTGTCCCACAGGTCTCAGCTCCAGTGTTACTTCCTCCAGGAAGCCCACCCTGACTGCTGCATCTGGGTGGGTGACCCTGCTGCCACCCTGGCCCTGGGTTTTCTTCCTCAGAGCACTCAACACCTGGTACTGTATGCTGGTCTCTTACCCAGGTCCCCCACCAGGCCCAGCATCCTCCAGGGTAGAGACAAGGCTGGTTCAGACCTCGGCTTTCCACAGGCGCCCACACCTGGCCCAGGGGGTTCTCATCAACCCCGGCTCAAGGAATGAATGACACAGCAGCCGGGCCATGGCCAGCTCAGATGACGGGCTGGAGGCTCTGCCTCCCACCTCCCCTATGCCAAACAGACCAGATTAGGCCACTGACAGAACCCAAGGACACTGGGACAAAATTCCCTCTGCCCAGAATTCCCACTAACGTGGCTGCAGCTCAGCAAATAAGGCATTTTGTTTGCTTGTGCCCTGATGTGCTGAAAACCGATCATGAGTCAGTGTCTGATTTCTGTTTCTGAAGGTATCTGGAGATTGTAAGGAGCTAACTGTTCCGACTGGAACAAGTCTGCCCAGGGTCTGCTTCCTGGAGACGGAACCCACCACCCCTCCCCACTGTTTGATCGCAGGAGGGGAGGCCGACATACCTCGGGCAGGTGGTGGCTGAGGCAGTAGCGGCGGCTGCAGAGCTGGCAGAACTGGCCCAGGGTTGTGACGCCGGCTGTGCACTTGGCAAAGCCGCAGGTGTTATCAGCCTTAACGGCGGCAGAAACCAGGGCCTCAAAGTCCTCCTCCGTGGGCAGATCTGTGGCCGGATGTCCTGGAGAAGACCCGCGTCACTCAGGCAAACGGAAAGACAACACCTGGCCCCTCATTTAAGGTTTTAAAATCAATTCATGGCTAAGCACGGTGGCTCACACCTGTAATCCCAGCATTTTGGGAGGCTGAGGTAGGAGGACTGCTTGCGGCCAGGAGTTCAAAACTAGCCTGGGCAACATAGTGACAGAGTGAGACCCCGTCTCTATTAATTCTAAAAAAAATTAAAAAGCAGCTCATGTGTCTTCCCTCTGCTACCCTGTCAGTGCCTGGGGGCAGGGGTGGCATCAGTCCTGTCCTCTAGCACAAAGCGTGGCATACAGTAGCTGCTCAACAAAGGTTTGGGGAGTGAATTCCTCTGGAGCCCCAGGCTCTGGGAGGCCCCTTTCAAAGCCACCCATGTGCTGGTGTAGCTTCGCTTCAGGAATTCAATGAATCAATGCAAGCTGGAACTCCTGCATGCTCTTGCTGAGGAAAATGGCAGTAGCAGGAGTTCCCCAAGACCGCTACACGCTCTGCCAGCGTATGCCTGGCCAACTCCCACTGCACGCCTAGCCAGCTCCTGCGGGGTGGGCACAATGCAGGATGTGGCAAACGGGGCAGAGCCCACCCAGGGACTCCACATGGCCCAAGGGCAAGAATGGTTTTGCGCTCAGCCAGCCCCTGTGGTTCTGAGCATTTTGCCCAGGACAACTTCCAGGCAGAGTGCACCCTTTCGCTGTGCAAGACCTCCACCCTCCAGGGCCACATGTTGCATGGGACCCCGTGATCGCTCCATTCCCGAGGGGCTCCAGGGAGCCATCCATGTTTGCTCTTCCAGGCCCCTCCTGCTGCTGCAGACATGCTCTGAGTGCTGCCTACTTGCCGAGTCCCACACAGGGTCTGGGAAAAGAAGGTGCCCGTGACCTGATCACCGACCTAGGGGAGCCCAGACGGAGCTGGGAGTGGCATGACTGAAAATAAAGCTAAAATGACACGGGCACGGTGCCACCAGGAGGAAGCCCTTCCTTCTGTTGATGGTGGCAGGTGGGCTCCAAGTGGGGCCAGCACCCCAGTGAGGGGACACTGCCCCAAGTTCTTATTAGTTGACTTACCTTTGGCTTTTTTCTTTTTCTTTTCTGGAAGTTTCTGCTGCCCTGAGGCCTGCTGCTCCTTGCTGGCGGGCTGCCCCTGCGCGCTCCTGACCCTCTGCAGTCTCTCCAGGTGCAGCGTCCTCAGATCAGGCTGGTCTGGGCCACGCTGCTCCCTGGGAGGCTGCTCTGTCTGCGCAGGGGTAGGGGGCACTGGCTGGAGAGGGGCTGGGCCACCGGTCCCTGCTGGGGGTCCCAGGGCTGCTCGGGGTCGCGGGGCCCTCTTGCTCACAGTGATGAACCTCCTCTTCCCTTCCCCGGAACTGTCGTGCCTCAGCCCGTGCTCCTCGGCTATTTGGTGGACCCGCAGCCTGTCGTGGGAATTGAGGGAAGGAGGAAACTCCAACTGCATCTTCTTGCTGGCCATGAACTCCACTATCATGGCCCGGAAGTGGTCCACGCCATCTTGGCTCTCCACTCCCTCTGGGCTGCCTCCGTTGAGGCTGGGCTGAGATGGAGCTTCAGAGGCCAGAGACTTCCCAGCCGGCTTCTTCCGGCCCTGTCTGGCAGGTGCTGCAGCCTCCTGGCCTCCCTCCTGCCGCTGGCTTCCGGTCCTGGTGGACGTAGCAGGTCCCTGGGGCTTGGTGGCAGCGTGGCTGGAACCCTGGGAGTTCTCATGGGAATAGTTTTCTGGGACAATATCGTCAAGATACTCAAAGGCCGTGCGTACTTCCCCATGCTGTGTGAAATACTCCACCAGGGTCTTCAAAAATGCATGGTTGTTGACAGTACGGGAGTCACAGATGACCGCCACGTGGCGTCGGGCACGGGTGACAGCCACGTTGATCCTCCGGTCCTCAGCAAGAAAACCAACTTCACCTACAAAAGGCCAGAGGGGAGTGAGAAGCAGGTTTCAGACTAAGAAACACAGTCAGGCTCCTACGCCCTTATCAGTAACCACCACCAAAAGTGTAGTCCCCTGCGCGTGGCCCACCATCCACACGGGTGCCCGGCCACGCGTGGCACCGTGATGCCACACCTGCCCTGGCATCTGGCTGCCACGGCTGACTGAGTGGGGCTCTGGGGAACCCGACTGGGTTCTGTCGCTCCTTTCCTTCTAAGCCCAGCCTCAGGGGCCGCCTGGGGTGTGGCTGCAGCTGGCACCAGGGAGAAAGCACAAGAAACCTTCCAGGACCTTCCCTTCTTTCCCCCATAGCTTCTAGCCAGGCCTCACCTGCTTTCTGCCTTCTGAGAATGTCTCACAAAGCCCGTTCACTAAACCTGCTTCTGGGAACAATGCTCATCCCAAATGGGAAAGCCCACACACCACAGCAGCACAGAAACCACAGCCACGACCACCACACCCCGCGGCTCCGTGCATGGAGGCTAAAGGCCAGCTCTGGGCTGCAGGGGGCTTCACCTCCTCGGCAGGATGTCCTGATCATTCCCAGCCCACCCTGCGCCCCCAGCTGCCACCCCAGCCACCTGCTCCCTGACAGCACACTCACGCCTCTGAGCCTCTGCAGACTCTCTTGCCTGTGCTTTGCCTGACGTGAACTTACTAAGGACAGAAGGTGCACCATGAGCACACTGCCAGAAACCAGTGTGGCACCCAGCAGACACCCAATATGCCCCTCAATCAATAAATTCACTTCTGTGCTGTCCCCAAAGGACTCTGGCGAGGGCTCCGTACCTTTCCTGTTGGATCTGACGAAGGACAGTATCACGGCCTCCTTCTCTCGGCCTTGGAAGCCATCGACAGACTTGATTTCAAGCTCAGGGTGCCTGTGCACAAGGCTCTGTCTGAGCAGGTCCACCTGAAACACCAGCCGGGCTGTGGTTTCCTCACCCACCCATGCCAGCGCAGCAAGACCCTGCCCTTCAGCTCAGCAGAGGGCCTCACGCTGTGAAACAGCCAGGACCTGGGAAGCGGAGCCTGCAGGAGCCCCATGGGGAAAGGCTTCCCGTTCGCCCTCCTCACGGGCACGCATGCACGCCAATACCACACCCTGTCCCTGGCATTTGATCATTTCTTTTGGCTTATGACAGCCGCCAGCCTCAGACAGCCCTATGTGTGATGCCTGCACACCAGGAAGGTATGATGGCCACTTCCACAGATCCTCCCGATACTCCAGAAGGTACATTTTTCCTACCAAATGAGATACGCATGGGAACACGACCTGAGCCAGACCAGCAAGGCTCAAGGCTGAGACTCCTGTGGGAAATGCCAGAAAAGGACAGGCTGTTCCGCCAGGGCTGCCCGTGGAAGGACTGTGTCAGCCTGAGGCTGCCGGGGTCACCCAGCAAATCTGGCCAGAACACAAGCCAGTGCAGAAGGCTGGGGCACCGGGCAGGGCGGGGCAAGGTGGGGCGGGCAGACGAACACGCAGAGGGGCCCCTGACGACATCATTTGGGCCCTGGATCCAGTCACAATAAGGTCAGCCCTACCCCTGAACTTTTCGGTCACCACAGCCAACAAATCACCCTTTTTCTTTCACCCTCTAGGTTGTGTGAGCCCCAGCTGCTCTGTAGAGGGACAAAAGGAAACCCTCGTACCTGGAGGTTGTATGGCGAGACCACAGCAATGTCACGGGCTGGAACACCAGCGTCCACCAGAGCCTGGATGTGCAAACTGACGAGGCGGACTTCGCCTGGAGGGAAAGAAAGAACGGGTGAGCAGCACAAGGTCGCCCCAAGTGGGCATCCACCACCAACACGTGTTTCGGGCACGTTTCTGTCTATCATGGCCAGCTGATCCTCCACTCAGGTGGCTTCCTGGGAGCTAATCATCTGTGTCCCAGGGCCCCAGGACCAGCCATGCCCAGCTAACTTGAATTTCACATCAGCAATGAAGGCCTTTTGACTCCTATGGCCGTGCATCCTGTTCAACGTGGAACTGGGGAGATGGTGGTGTCAGCTGAGCAATGACAGTTCCCATCACCAGACCAGCCAGGCAGAGCTGGGCCACCATTCAGGAGAAGGCCGTAAAATGCTGCCAGGCCCATCTCACCCAGGAGCGGTCTGCTCACCCTGGAGAAAACGATGCTGCTCAGCCTCTTGCAGTGTGGGGCTCCGTTTTTTCACGGCCATCAACAACTGCTCTCAGCTCCTCCCGGAATTAGGCAATTAAAGTGCCTTTTATTTTTAAAGAGCTGGAGGTATGTTTAAACAAAAAAGCTGGCCATCTGCAAGCAAGCTCACCAGGGTTCCCTTTCGACTGTTCGTCCTCCTCCTCCAGCTCAAACAGCCCGCAGCCGGCGGTGTCCACCAAGAGCAGGGGCACACCCGTCTCTTCTGTGGCAGCCACACCTGGGAGGTCCCTGGCACACAGGCAGAGAGGGAGCACATCAGGGGGCCACAGTGCAGCACTGAGGCCCCACCCAACAGAACCGACCCCTCCCACGAGGAAAAGGCTTAGGTAGGGGAGGACAATGAGCACATCAGGACATCAGAAGGGAGGGAGCGGGCCTGACCCAGCTCTCCAGGGCAAGGCCACCCTCTCTTCCAAAAAGCTAGCCTCAGAGTCGACTTTCATGCAGAAAGCTTCACTTTAGCTTGCTGCGTAGAAACAGGTGACGCAGAGGATTAGCCAGGGCAGAAGGATGGGGCGGCGGGTGGTGCCGAGCTACTCACCTCAGGAGGTGCCTTGCCACGGAAGAGTGGGCTGTGAGCTGCCCAAGGTACATGGTGTCTGAGGCCCAGCGCATGATAGCCTGGTGCATGCGGTACTGCACCGTCAGTGTCCGCACCACCCTCGCGCCGTACTCCTCAGCCAGGCGTTCCATCAGGCTGAGTGACAGTCCTGCCAGCGCAGCCCTGCGCCCAGGAGGGAGAAAGGGGGAAGGCAGGCCTGAGCCCCAGAGTCCAGGTGTGAACCACAGCAAGTGAGGAGGACAGGCCCCAAACCTCAGGACCCAACTCTCCCCTGGATTCTGACCCAGAAGTAACCAAGGGGCGGGTTTGGCTGAATCACAGCCCCAAAGGCACCTACATCCAATCGCCAAGGCCCGTGAATGTTCCCTTACAGGACAACAGGGACGCTGCAGCTGAGATGAAGTTAAGGATCCTGGGATGGGGAGGCGACCCTGGATGACCCAGGTGATAACCCAAGGGTCTTATAAGGGGGCATGCGAGGGTCAGTCAGAGAAGGTCACCGAGGGGAGAGATTTGAAGACGTAACACGGCTGGCTTCATAGACAGAGGAAAGGGCAACAAGTCAAGCAGTGGCCTCTAGGAGCCGGAAAAGACCAGGAGATGGGTTTTCCCCTGGATCCTCCAGAAGAAGCAACCCCACCCACACCTTGATTTTAAGCCGGTGAGTCTGATTTTGGACATCTGACCCCCAGATTGTCGTTTCTGGAGGTCAGAAAATCTGTTGTTGTCAGCCACTAAGCTTGTGGTCATTTGTCACAGCCATAACAGGGAACGAACACACTCCAACATGCTCCAACTGTGAGCAGTCAAGTCCACTCCCACCAAGAACGGCTGCAGCGGCTGAGCACTGCCCAGGCGCCAGGCACTGCTGGGTGTGCCAGATGTGGATTAACTCCCTTCATCCTTATAACAACCTCATGAGGTGGCTACTGTTATGACTCCCATATTACATGTAAGAAGGGTGAGACAGAGGAGGCTGCCAGCCCACAGCTGCCCGGGTGAGCTGCAGAGCCAGGACCTGCCCGGGCCACCTGGTGCCAGAGCCCACCCTCTGCACCACTACGGCTCACCAACCCCACCAAAACCCTGGGGCAGTACCCAGCTCCACTTCAGAGACCTTCCCTCTGGAAACTTACCAGACCTCTGTGATTAACGTATTTTTAATTCCAACAAAATGAGGACAGGACGCGATGATCAGTACCAACTGCAAACCCAAAACACTCAGCGCAACGTCACCCAACGTCCTCCCCCAAAAACCATCCTACTCTCTGCAGGGAACGCCACCCAACGTCTTCCCCCGAAACCATTCTACTCTCTCCAGGGAATGCCACCCAACGTCTTCCCCCGAAACCATCCTACTCTCTCCAGGGAACGCCACCCAATGTTTTCCCCGAAACCATCCTACTGTCTCCAGGGAATGCCACCCAATGTTTTCCCCGAAACCATCCTACTCTCTCCAGGGAACACCACCCAACGTCTTCCCCCAAAACCATCCTACTCTCTCCAGGGAACGCCACCCAACGTCTTCCCCCAAAACCATCCTACTCTCTGCAGGGAACGCCACCCAACGTCTTCCCCCGAAACCATCCTACTCCCTCCTACACAACAGGGTCCCTGCTCAAGGGCACAGTTCCAAACTTCCTCCACCCAAAGGCTTTCCAGAGGATGAAGACCTCCTTTAAGGACATCTCGAGAACCTCTCCCTGGAAGAAGCCACTGAATAAGCGTCCTCCCACGCCTGTCCTCCCTGCTCCCAGGGAGGTTCTGATGGCAGTGGCTGCTGCCATCATGCCGGCTGCAGCAGGGAACCCTGGCTGTGGCTGCACACTCCATGAAGCCAGTGGGAGCCCCGCCCCTTCTGAGGTAGAGTGGCCGCTGCAGCCCAGACACAGGGTCACAGCTACAGACCCAGGCCTCCTGCTCCAGAAGGGCGGGGCTACAGCCGCCCAAACTGCAGCTGTGGATCTGCGTCTCCCGGTGCTCTTAGGGGAGCCGGGAACAGGTAGGATCTGCCTTTCCGCGTGCAGCTGCAGCCGCCAGATCTGTGGCTGCAGACCTGGGCTTCCTGCTCCACGAAGCAGGCAGGAGCCGGGAACAAGCAGGAGCCTGGCCTCTTCTGAGGTGGTGGGTCGGGAGCTCTTGGGTGCAGCTGTAGCTGCCCTCCCACTCTGCAGCCTGCACCCTCAGGCGCCCCAGGAAGGACAACCCCCACACCATCCCTGCAGGGTCATGGGTGTCTGCTTCCACTGCCTGGCCTCTCTCAGCTCCCAGCACCCACTCGGATCTCAGAGTGGGATTGGAGCCAAGCCCCAGGGCCATGAATGGCAGCGGGAGGCAGACAGAGTCCTGAGTGGAAGGGGACAGTGGAAGGCCAGGAAGGGCCTGAAGGCTGGCAGCTGGGCTGCCAGTCCTGTGGACCAGAGTGAGGACTCATGGTACCTATTCCAGGCCCGCCCATGGCCACCCATGGACCAATTGGCACATCCTTCCTTCCCTCTTGAGGTCCATAAAAGCCCTGGGCTCAGTCAGAGAAGGCGAGAGGACAGCCAGAGGACGGAGAGGGCAGAGAGGATCTATGCTCTCTGCTGAGAGCTTCAGAGACCTGCAGAGATGTCCAAGTGACTTGCCTGCAGAGAGGAGCCACCCTCTCCAGGGCCTCCTCTGCTGACAGCTGAACACTCGACGGATGACCTGCCTACAGAGAGGAGCTACCCACTACTCTGAGCTGTTCTAACACTAAATAAAACTGTTCTTCACCCTTCACTAATCTGCGTACCTCATTCTTCCTGGATGCAGGACAAGAACTGAGGCAAAGGTGCTGCGGCCGCAGAGGTTTCCAGCCAGAAAAATCAACACCCCAGAGATCCCGTAACATTTCCACTCTAGATCCCCATGTGTCTCCCACCAGGACGATCTTTCAGAGCACCTTTCCTCAGCACTCCTCTTTCTTCCACCATCTTTATTTCCAACATCTTCCTCCCAAAGCTCACTCTCAATTACTATTTTTGACACCTCTCTCTACATACCCGCCAACTCCTGGGCTGCCCACGCCCCTGTGATGAGATTCTACTCGACAGGATTTCTTGCACATCTTCTTCCGGTCCTCGGAAAACAACGAAAGTTCCGAGTTCATAGCTTCTACACACCCACAGTGAAACAGAGAAGTGTTTCAAAAGGCAACCGAAATCTGAAGAAATCAATCTTCCCCCGGTGGAAGTGAGGGCCAGGATGCAGGAGTCTCAGAAGTGTTTCATTCCTCAGGGACAACTTTCTGAACAGGGACTTGTCCAAGGACAGCCCACGTGCCAGGCCCTGTTCACAGGCCTCGTGTAAGGGCAGTCAAGGGATACCATGCAGAGGGTTCATCTGGAGAGAGGGCACGCCCGCCACACCCAGGCAGGAGTGGTCCAGGCAGAGGGGCCAGCGAGGCCTGTGTGGCTGAAGCAGTGAGTGCTGGGTAGTATGGGGAGAGGTGAGAGGGGGGCTGGGGGGGCGGGCAGCACTTTCTCCACCAAGACAGCCTGGGCCAGGCCACTGCATCAGGGCTCCAGTGTCTCCACCAGGACAGCCTGGGCCAGGCCACCGCATCAGGACTCCAGTGTCTCCACCAGGACAGCCTGGGCCAGGCCACTGCATCAGGGCTCCGGTGTCTCCGCACGGCAGAACCATGGTTTGCTGAGTCTCTGCCCAGTGCCCTCCATCCAGGGATGTGTCTACAGATTGAAGACTAAAGAACCCACATCCACCCAGAGGCCAGTTAGCCCAGCCCAAGGCTCTCACGGCACTCTACCATCAAACCTGCCTGGTTCATGAGGGGATATTCAACTCAACAAGCAGGGACGGAACACCAGAAACGTGCCAGGCCCTGTGTCCAGTTCTGAAGCTACAAAGATGAAGGTGATGCGACCCCACCCTCGGGGAGTACATGATCTCACAGATGCGACGTTGAGATGAATGAATGCTGTAAGACGGGGTAGGAGCTGTGCCGAGAAACCGAGGAGGCACCGCAGGGGCTCCTGGTGAGCCTGGGGCTCCTGGCTGAGCGTGGAAGGACCGCAGGAGGGCGGGGGCAGAGAAGGGCATGTGAGGCAAAGGGGTCTTACTTGTGAGAGACTGTGGTGGGGGGCAGCTGCTTGTGATCGCCCGCCAGGATGCACTTTCTGGCCTTCAGCAGGGGGATCCAGCAGCTCGCCTCGAGGGCCTGGGCACACTCGTCAATGACCACCACGTCGAAGTAGCTCTCGGGCAGCAACTTCAGGGGGCCATCGGCAGACGCACCTGGTGGAAACAGGGAGCCGGGAGTCTCCAGGGGCACAGCTGCTTCCCAACAGCGCAGCCACACCAGAGGAGACACCATCAAGCTGGGGTTTCATCAAGGCTTGCATTGCAACTGTGTGGGATAAATTTGTATCTTGTAATAAAAACTTGGCCAAGACATTTTAAAACTCATGGTTCCAGCTCACCTGTGTCTTAAGCAGTGGGTACTCTGGCCACAGGCCCCTCTGATCTTCAATTGGCAAAATTAATCACCCCTTCGGGGCTGTGACCCCAAGCCCAAGGGATGCTGTCTGAGTTCTAAATATTGTAACTCAATTATTTTCTAAATTTAGAACCTAATTCTTTTCTAAGGTGACTTTCTTGGACATACAGAACAATCAACTGCTGGGCACTCACCCAGAAAAAAGCCTCCATGTATTTGGCAACACAAACCCACTGCAGCAGCTTTTCCTTCCTGGGACGCGGAGCAGCAGAGTGCAGCGTTCAGGCTGTGAGCAAGACTCAGGCCCCACGCTGTCTCCAGCCAACAGTGTGGGGCCTCAGGCGAGCCTCCCACCCCTAAGCCTGTTTCCTCACCCACAAACATGGACAATGACTGCATGTCATGAGATTGCACCACAAAGGGAGATAACATATATAAAGTGCCCAGCACGAGAAGGCAGGTTTCCATAAATGTGATCAATGTTAGTTCCCACCCTTTCTGCCTTCCATCTGAGTGAATTATGCTAATGATATGTACATAATGCCATGATGAAGACATACTGAGAAATTTCTCAAGATTGACTCTTCAGAGATGGCTAGAAAAAGCACCCACAGAGGAGACAGAACTTGGCTGGGCTTTGGATAATTAAGAGACATGTTTAGGTCACAGATGTGACTTCACAGTACAGAGAGAAACCAGACTTCATGATGGAGAAGCACTTCCAGGAACTCACTCTAGTTCCCCAACAACCAGCAGGGAACAGAAAGGCCACAAAGGCCACAAGCTGACCTTGTGGGGCTCAGGGGATGCCTCCTGATTTCCAGCAAGTGCTGTCCTTGAAGCCAGAGAAGGATGTCAGCAAAGAGACTCTCACAAGCTCTGAGAATTCTCTCCTCCACGAAAGCAACAAGACATCGGCAAATGGTCAGAATCAACTTTCTCAGAACTCTGGAAACTCGCCAAAGGCTGCAGCAATCAGGGAAGTGTTCATTCCAGAAAAGCATCTGAATCCCCGTCAGCACGGGAGCTCGGTGGCACTGAAACCTGCCCTATTCCCAGCCATCCCTATGGCAGCCTTGAAACCCTCAGCCTGAAGTCAGGGTGAAAACCAGCACCTGCCAGCCCCGGGGGGTGCAGAACAGGGTTGGCATTCCTGAAAAGCCCCACTCCAGAAACTGTGCTTATCTCATCTGTCTGGGAATCCTCTGGTAGACCACACTCAAAAGACTTTATCTGAGCTCATGTAATACAAACAGCCTTTTCCCTGGTGGTGTCTGTCAAAAACAATCAGAGGTAATTGTTGAACATCACAGTTTTCTAAGACAGAGAATAATGGTCGGAGCAAATGATAGGATAACCAAAGTTTTAAGCTGGGGAATGAGATATCCTCAGGGGGCTTTGAAAAGCTCCAACATATTCCTGGGAATCTAGAAGGCCACACACATGTACAGGGCTCAGGAAAGACCTCGGGAGGCCCTCAGCTCTCATCTGTGGCTCAGCTCAACGCACTGCACAAACGGGAAGTGAAAGCTGAGAGTCACAAACAGCCTGGCTCTGTGTTGGAGGTGTGCCCAAGCACACACACAGAGCCACTCAGCAAAGACTGGGGCATTTATGGCTCCAGGAGTTCAGGGGGATTTCTGTCTAATCACTAGCTGGCCACTAAGTTGTATTAGACTTTAGTGGCCACGCAAGACAAAAAATACAGATTTTACAGAATTAGTCCAGAAAAGTCACTAAACAAACAACAAGTGGCAACAACAACAAACCCCGGGGTGGGAAGAGAACCTGACTTCCAGAGTTGCTACATTCTATTATTTAAAATCATCCATTTTCAACAAAAAACTACAAGGCACGTAGAGAGTCAGGAAAATATGGCCAATATTCAGGGGAAAAAAGGCAATCAACAGATACTTGAGGCCAGGAGCAGTGGCTTACGCCTGTAATCCCAACACTTTGGGAGGCCAAGGTTGGTAGATCACCTGAGTCAGGAGTTCGACACCTGCCTGGCCAACATGGTGACCCCATCTCTACTAAAAATACAAAAATCAGCCAGGCGTGGTGGTGGACGCCTGTAATCCCAGCTACTCAGGAGGCTAAGGCAGGAGAATCGCTTGAACCTAGGAGACGGAGGTTGCAGCAGGCCGAGATCACGCTACGGCACTCCAGCCTGAGCAACAGAGTGAGACTCCATCTCCAAAAAATTAAATAAATAAATAAATAAACTGGATACTAGAGAAAGCCCAGATGCTGATCTTACTAGACAAAGACTTGAAATATCAGCGATTCTAAGTATGTTCAAACAGCAAAAGGGAAACAAGTCTAAAGAAATAAAATATGAGAATAATGTCTCACCAAATAAGAGAATATCAATAAAGAGACAGGAATAATTTTTTAAAAAGTACCACACAGAGGCTGGCATGGTGGTTCATGCCTGTAATCCCAGCACTTTGGGAGGCTGAGGCAGGCAGATCATGAGGTCAAGAGATAGAGACCATCCTGGCTAACATGGTAAAACCCAGTCTCTACTAAAAATACAAAAATTAGCTGGGCGTGGTGGCAGACGCCTGTAGACCCAGCTACTCGGGAGGCTGAGGCAGGAGAATTGCTTGAACCTGGGAGGCAGAGGTCGCGGTGGGCCGAGATCACACCACTGCACTCCAGTCTGGCGATAGAGCGAGACTCCATCTAAAAAAAAAAAAAAAAAAAAAAAAGCACCACACAGAAATTCTGGAGTTGAAAAGTACAATAACTGAAATTCACTAGAAGGATTCAACAGGAGAGAATGATCAGCAAACTTGAAGAGAGGTCCATTGAGAAGATCCAGCCTGAAGATCAGAAAGAAAAAAATGGAGGAAAATGAACAGAGCTTCAGAGATCTGTGGGGCATTATCAAGTGAATCAACTGATTCATAATGGGAGTTGTAGATGGAGACGAGAGTAGAATAAGGGCAGAAAGAATACCTGAAAAAATAATGGCTGAAAACTCCCCAAATTTGATGAAAAACACGAATCTAAACATCCAAGAAGGTCCACAAACTCCATGTAATTTACTCACAGAGATCCACACCTAACACATGATAATCACACACTCAAAAGACAAAAGACGACACTTGAAAGCAGCAATAGAGTAGCAACTTGTCACATATAAGGAGCCCTCAATGAGATCAATAGCTGCTTTCCCATCAGAAAGTATGCAGGCAATGGAATGACACGTCCAAAGGGCTGAAAGACTGTCAACCAAGAATTCTATACCCAGCAAGACTATCCTTCAAAAAATGAAGGAGAAACTAAGACATGCCCAGATAAAGATGAGCTTAGAGAATCTGTCACAGCAAACCTGCCCTTCAAGAAATACCAAAGGGAGTCCTTTGGAGAGAGTAACTCAAATCTACATGAAGAAATAAAGGCAACTACATGGGTAGATATAAAAGACCCCATAAATGTATTTTCTGCTTGTGACCCTTTTTTTCTCCTGTCTGATTTAAAACACAACTGGATAAAGCAATAACTACAAAGCCAATTAGAATCTAGCCAGGTGTGGTGGCTCACTCCTGTAATCCTAGCACTTTGGGAGGCCAAGGTGGGCACATCATTTGAGGTCAGAAGTTCGAGACCAGCCTGGCCAACATGGTGAAATCCAGTCTCTACAAAATATACAAAAAAAATTAGCTGGGCCTGGTGGCATGCGCCTGCAATCCCAGCTACTCAGGAGGCTGAGGCACAAGAATCACTTGAACCCGGGAGGAGGAGGCTGCAGTGAATCAAGATTGTGCCACTGCACTACAGCCTGGGCAACAGAGTGAGATGCTGTCTCAAAAAAAAAAAAAAAAAAAAAGAACCTGGACTCTGTTCCTTAGAGCAGCCCACCAGCTGAGAGGTTGTGGCAAACAGACTCTAAGGCAGGGATGTGCAATCTTTTGGCTTCCCAGGGCCATATTAAAAGAAGAAGAATTGTCTTGGGCCACACATAAAATATGCTAACATTGACAATAGCTGATGAGCTTAAAAAAAAAACACAGAGACAAAAATCTCATAATGTTTTAAGAAAGTTTATAAATTTGTGTTGGGCCACATTCAAAGTATCCTGGGCTACATGTGGCCTGCAGGCCTTTAGTTAGACAAACTTGCTTTAAGGTATGCCCCAGGATCCTGGCCACTGGTATTCACATCTTGCATAATCCCTTCCCCTCAAATGTGGGTGGGGCCTGAGACTTGCTTCTAATCCACAGAACAGGGGAAAGGTGATGAGATGTGACACCCTTGATAACATTACATAAGACGATAACCCATTGTGCTAGGAGACTATGTCTCTTGCTGGCTTTTAGGAAGCAAGCAGCCATGTTGGCAAGGCCTAAGGGCAAACAGCTAAGAGCGGCCTCCAGCCAACACCCAGCAAGAACCCACAGGGAACTGAATGCTGCCAACAACCACGTGAGCCTGAAGAAAGATCCTTTCCAGGCAAGTTTCAGATGAGACTGCAGCCCCCACTGACACCTCGATCGCAGCCTTGTGAGATCCTGAGCACAGCACCTTGTTCAGCCGGGCCTGGGCTCTCCGCCCAGATAAACTGTAGAATAATAAACGTGGGTTGTTTTCAGCTGCTACCTTTGTGGTACTATTATCACACAGGAACAAACCAGAGGTCTCACAAACACATTCCTAAACCCCAAAAGAGTGGTTGACAAGATTCCCACAACAGTCACAAGGTACACAGCTCTGTAACGGGAGTGCTCTCTCCTGGCTACAAGAGAGAATGTGCGTCCTCCACCTCTGCCCAAGATGGAATAGCAGGGACTGCATTTACTCTCCCATCTCAAATAACAACCCCCCCAGCCAGTTATTTAAAATTTTTTTAAAATAACTGAAACCACACTCTTCAGGACACTAGACAACAGGTAACAAAGAAAAGTAACCCCTGAATAACGAGAGACAAAGGAGGTGAGCCCTGGGGTTACCCCAGCTTTCTGCCTTGAGAGTTTCCAGGAGAGAGTACAGAGAAGGGGCAGCCAGGTAGAACCTAGAAGGCTCCCTGAGTTGAGGAGACAAGGCTGAGAATCTGTGGCGACCAATGCAGGCAGAGTTTCCAGGACAAAATGCCAAAGAGACTGCTACACAGAGAGAAAAAACCCCAGAGATCTGCTGCGAGATTCCCTTGGGTATTGTGATTAGCACATGCTTAGGAGAAAACTACTCCAGGCCTGGGAAAAATACCATCCAAAACAATGAGAGAAAAGTGCCCAGTGCTCACACAAGGCCGGGAACAGCACCTAATCCCACCAGTCAAACTCAAAAATCTCATGATACAGGGTGCATTGGGTAGAAAGCTCAAAGGGTCTTACCTCAGTACAGGGGAATATTAACCCTGGACTAAGCACTGATCCAGACCCTAACACATCTCAAAAGCAAGACTCAAAAGGATTAAACTGTTTACAAGTAACTTTACTGCTTCCCAAAACCAAGCACAAGAATATTATAGGAGACTGGGCGTGGTGGCTCACACCAATCCCAGCACTCTGGGAGGCCGAGGCAGGCAGATCACTTGAGGTCAGGAGTTTGAGACCAGCCTGGCCAACATGGTGAAACCTCGCCTCTACTAAAAATACAAAAATTAGCCGGGCATGGTAGCGCATGCCTGTAGTCCCAGCTACTCGGGAGACTGAGTCAAAAGAATCACTTGAATCCAGGAGGCAGAGGTTGCAGTGAGCCAAGATCGCACCACTGCACTCCAGCATGGGTGACAGAGCAAGACGCTGTCTCAAAAAAACAAAACAAAAAAACAAAAAAAAAGATTATAGGAATACAAAAATATTCAATATTCAGCATGCAACAACGTAAAATCCTCAATGTCCGGTATCCAAACAAACATTAGCAGGCCTACAAAAAGGTAGGAAAACACAACCACTCAAGGGGAACAGTTCATCGAAAGAGACCAAAAATGACACAGGTGATAGAGAAATAATAGTCTAGAATATTCAAAACAGTTATTATAGTTGTATTCCAAATGTTAAAAAAATTAAATAAGAACATCAAAGATATAAAAAGACTCTTATTTCTGGATGTCAGATGAAAGTTACACTGGATGGGACAGATGTGAGATTAGGCATGAAAGAAGGAAATTAGTGAACTCAGCAATAAGCAAGTATAAAGGTTCAGCTGTGCAAGATAAATTCTATAGATCTGCTGCACAACACGACGTCTATAGTTAACAATATTATATAGTACACTTAAACATTTAAGAGGGTAGATCTCATGTTGTGTTCTCACCACAATGTTAAAAAACATGAGGCCGGGTGCGGTGGCTCACACCTGTAATCCCACCACTCTGGGAGGCCAAGGCAGGCGGATCACGAGGTCAGGAGTTCGAGAGCAGCCTGGCCAATGTGGTGAAACCCCGTCTCTACTAAAAATACAAAAATTAGCCAGGCGTGGTGGTGTGCATCTGTACTCCCAGCTATTCCAGAGGCTGAGACAGAAGAATCGCTTGAACCCAGGAGGCAGAGGTTGCAGTGAGCCAAGATTGCGCCACGGCACTCCAGTCTGGGTGACAGAGTGAGACTCTGTCTCAAAAAAAAACATGAAGCAAATAGCACCAGGGCAAATCATAGTCAAATTGCTTAAAACCAGTGATAAAGAAAGCATCATTTTCTTTCTTTTTTTTTTTGAGACGGAGTCTGGCTCTGTCGTCCAGGTTGGAGTACAGTGGTGCAATCTCAGCTCACTGCAATCTCCGCCTCCGGGTTCAAGCGAGTCTCCTGCCTCAGCCTCCTGAGCATCTGGGATTACAGGTGCCCACCACCACACCCTGCTAATTTTTTTGTATTTTTAGTACATGTGGGCCAGGCTGGTCTCGGACTCCTGACCTCAGGTGATCCACTCGCCTTAAGCCTCCCAAAGTGCTGAGATTACAGGCATGAGCCACCACACCTGGCTGAAAAAATCTTAAATGCAGACAGAAGAAAAAAGACACGTTACATACAAAGGAACAAGGATAAGGATGACCAATTTCTCTTCAGAAATACTCAGGCAGATGACAGTGGACAACATCTTTAAAATATTGCAAGGAAAAGTGTTAATCTAGAATTCTCACGCAGCAAAAATATCTTTCAAAACTGCAGGTGAAACAAGATATTTTCAGACATACAAAAGCTACTGGACTGCATCACCGGCTGACCCACACTACAAGAAATGATCATGGATGCCTTTCAGGTGGAAGGAAAATGATGCCACGTGGAAATACACGACCTAAACCAAAAGAAAACAAAGCGCCAAAAGTGGTAACTACACGGGCAAATACGAAGACATTTTTCTTATTATTTAGATCTCTTTAAAGATAATTCACCATTAAAACAAGAACAAGCATTGTAAGTCTTAGAATATGCGTATAAGAAAAATATATGACAAAAGCATAAATGCTAAGAGGAGAGAAATGTCAGCTTGCAATCATAAAGCCCTTATGCTATATGTGAGGTGGCATATGAACAGACTATGATGAGTTGAAGACACATACTGTAAGGCCTAAAGTAACCACTGAAAGAATCAAATACAGATATATAGCTAACAAGCCAACAAAAACAAAAATAGGCCAGGAGTGATGGTTCATGCCTATAATCCCAGCACCAAGGTGGCCAAGGTGGGAGGATCCCCTGAGTCCAGGAGTTCGAGACCAGCCTGGGCAAAACAGCAAGACCTTGTCTCTATAAATTATCTTTTAAAAATAAATAAATAAATAAAAATAAATTCCTAAGAAATCTTCAATCATGGGGCATAGTGAGAACTTATGTAAAAAAAAAAAGAAATGTTCAATTAATTAATTAAAAGAAAGCAGAAGAGGAGGAAAATATAACAAAGAACAAACGGCAGAAACTGTCAAACTGGATAATAAAGCAAGGCCCAGCTATATGCTATCTACAAAAAAATTCACTTTAGGCCAAAGTGGGAGGATCACTTGAGGCCAGGAGTTTGAGACCAGCCTGGGCAACATTGCAAGACCCCATCTCTAAAAGGAAAAAAGAAAAGAACATTTTTAAAATTAGCCAGGTGTAATGGCTCATGCCTACAGTACTAGCTACTCGGGAAGCTGAGGTGGGAGGATTACTTGAGCCAAAGAATGCAAGGCTACAGCAAGTTATGATCACGCCTCTGCACTCCAGTCTGAGCAACAGAGCAAGACTCTCTCTTTAAAAAGAAATAAACAGGCCAGGCACAGTGGCTTACACTTGTAATCCTAGCACTGTGGGAGGCAGAGGTGGAAGGACTACTTGAGTCCAGGAACTCCAGACCAGCCTGGGCAACACAGTGAGATCTTGTCTCTATTAAAAATCAAAAAAATGAGCAGGGTGTGATAGCACGTGTCTGTTGTCCCAGCTACTCAGGAGGCTGAGGTGGGAGAATCACTTCAGCCCAGGAGGTTGAGGCTGCAGGGAGCCATGATTGCACCACTGCAACTCCAGTTAGGGGTAACACAGTGAGACCGTGTCTCAAATATTTTTTAAAAGATCACTTTAAACATAAAGACACAAATAGGTTCTAAGAAAAAGGATAAAGATAGATCACACTAACACTAGTTGAAAGAAAGGTGGGGGCTGGGTGCAATGGCTCACGCCTGTTAATCCCAGCAACTCAGGAGGTCAATGTGGGAGGATTGCTGGAGGTCCCACATTCATGGTTAAGGCTGGAGTACAGCTTTGACCGCACCACTGTACTCCAGCCTAGGTGACAGATTGGGACCCTGTCTCTTAAAAATAAAAAGAAAGCTGGACAACATGGATGAACCATGAGGGCATTACACTAAATAAAACAAGCCAGTCACAAGACGACAAATCCTGCATGGTTCCACTTACTTGAGGTATGTAAAATAATAAAATTCTTAGAAACAGACAGGAGAATGGTGACTGCCAGGATCTGGGACAGGGAAAAAGGGAATTGCTGTTCAACAGATCCAGAGCTTCAGGTCTGCAAGATGAAAATGTTCTAGAGATCTGCTGTACAACAACATGCATACAATTAATGCTACTGTACTACAGACTTAAAAAGGGTTACGATGGTAAATTTTACAGGTTTTTGACCATAATGAAAAGAAAAGCAAGCTGAAATGCTGAAATGATTATTTTAATGTCAGACAAAGTAGATTTCAAAAAAAGAATATTATCAGGGATAAAGAAGGTCATTTCATAATGATAAATTTGTTAATTAATCAAGAAAACATAGCCCCACATTTATGACCCCAGTAAAAGAGTTTCCAAAGATATGAAGCAAAAACCAATAGAACTGCAGGAAAAACAGACATGTCCAGTTATATTCAGAGATTTCAACGTCCCTCTCTCAATACAGCAGACTTGAACCACATCATCAACCATCATGATCTGACTACTTACAGAACACTCAATAAAATCAGAACACACGTTCTATCAAGTGTGCATGGAACACTCACAAAGACAGAGACCAGATTCTGGACCATAAAGTAAGTCTCGATGAACTATCCAAGTCATGAGAGTATGTCCTCTGACCACATGGAACTAAATTAGAAACCAATAACAGAAAGTAAGCCAGGTGCAGTGGCACATGCAGGGAGCCCCAGCTCCTCAGGAGGCTGAGCTGGGAGAATCACCTGAGCCCAGGAGTTTGAGTCCAGCCTGGGCAACATAGTGAGATCCCATATGGGGATGGGGATAGGGAAGGCGACGGGGATGGGGATGGGGACAGGGATGAGGAGAGGAGAGAAGAAGAGAGGAGAGGAGAGGAGAGGAGCAACACAGTGAGATCCCACACAGGACGGGGACGGGGACGGGGAGGGGAGGGGAGAGGAGAGGAGAGATCAACAACAGAAAGATATCTGGACATTTCCCAACTATCTAGAAACTATATAACACTTCTAAAAAACCAAAAGGCAAATGAGATAGCATTTTGAAATGAATGAAATATAACAGATCAGAATTTGTGGGATGCCACAAAAGCAGTACTTAGGGAGACATTTATGGAGCTAAATGCTCGTATCAGAAAAAAAGAAAGGTCTCAAATCAATGATCTCAGCTTCTACATTAAGAAGCAAGAAAAAGAACAAGCCCAAGAAAACAGAAAACGATAAAGATCAATGTGGAAATACATGAAACAGAAAAACAATAGAGAAAAAGCAAAAGCTGGTTCTTTGGGAAGATCAATTGAAACCTGCAGCCAGGCCGGGCGCGGTGGGTCCACCTGTAATCCTAGCACTTTAGGAGGCTGAGGCAGGGGGATCCCTTGAGCCCAGGAGTTTGAGACCAGCCTGGGCAACATAGTGAGACCCTGTCTCTTTTTTTGTTTTGCTTTGTTTTTTTGGTTTTGGGGTTTTTATTTTTTTGAGGCGGAGTCTTGCTCTGTCACCCAGGCTGGAGTGCAGTGGCGCGATCTTGGTTCACTGCAACCTCCACCTCCAGGATTCAAGCAATTCTCCTACCTCAGCCTCCCAAGTAGCTGGAATTACAGGTGCATACCACAACTCCTGGCTAATTTTTGTATTTTTAGTAGAGATGGGGTTTCACCATGTTGGCTAGGCAGGTCTCAAACTCCTGACCTCAGGTGATCCACCCGCATTGGCATCCCAAAATGCTGGGATTACAGGTGTGAGCCACTGCGCCTGGCAGAGACCCTGTCTCTTAAAATATATATGTATGTATATATAAAATCTAAATTTAAAAAAAAAAACCCTCCAGCCAGAAGAGCAGGAAAAAAAAGAGCACACAAACCAGTATCAGGAATAATACAGGTTATATCATGACAGATCCTGCAGACAGTAAAAGAAGAATAAGGGCATATTAGGAACCACTTCATGCCTCTAAATTCAACCGTTTAGATAAAATGGACAAACTTCTTGAAAGCTACAAGCTCATGGAAGAAAAACAACCTGAACAGCCCTTTATCTATTGAAGAAGTTGAATTTGTAGTTCAAAACCTCTCCATGAAGAAAACTGCAGGTACGGAGGCCTTCCCTAGTGAACCCTACCCAACTTTTAAGAAAGAAATACCAATTCTAAACAAACTCTTCCAGAAAACAGAAGAGGGAACACACCCCAACTCCTTCTTCGAGGCCACACAGGCAGGATGGAGACGCCCCCTCACCTGTGTTTGTTGCAAGGACCACGTTTGCCGAAGTGAGGCTCTCGAGCATAGCTGCTTCTTCCCTCTCCTTCAGTTCTTTTCTTAACAGCTTAATTTCATTTCGAAAATTACTTTTCTCTCTCTTATCCTGGGTCTTTTTGTTTTTCACCTATAAAGAAAAACAAAGGAGATACACTTACTTCAGTCCAACTTTGTACTTCTTCAACTCTATTTATGAAGTGCTTCTATCATTCAGTCCAGTTCAATAAACTCCGTAAAAAACACTCAGAAATCTTCCTTGAAAGAGACACAGATACACACACGCAACTAAGCACCTTACATCCTCACTTGCCTTGAAGTCACAGGAAGAGACATTTTAAGTCCTGGAAAGAGACCACGTTTTTAACTCAGAGGAGACCAGAAATTGGACCAGCCCTGCCCTGCACACAGGCATTTGATCTTGGGGAAGAAAAAGCGCTTGCCCGCCCCAGGATTTGGGTTGTAGGAGCTTACGAATAGAGAGACTGAGCTTCACATATTATTCTACATTTTTCAAGAGATTAAAAAAAATTTTTTCAACCCATAATCAAAACCTCAACTTACTTTAATATCTCAAAAAGATGGAACTGGTCAGGCGCGGTGGCTCATGCCTGTAATCCCAGCACTTTGGGAGCCCGAGGCAGGCAGATCACGAGCTCAGGAAATCGAGACCAGCCTGGCCAACACAGTGAAACGCTGTCTCTACTAAAAATACAAAAAATTAGCTGGGCATGGTGTGTGCCTGTAATCCCAGCTACTCGGGAGGCTGAGGCAGGAGAATTGCTTGAACCCAGGAGGCGGAGGTTGCAGTGAGCCGAGATTGCACCACTGCACTCCAGCCTGGGCGACAGAGCAAGATTCTTTAAAAAAAAAAAAAAAAAAAAAAAAAAGATGTAACCTTTCCTTATTTGTGATTTCTACTTTGGGGGATGGAGTTTTAGCAGGGGTGACAGGAGGTATTTTACTGTGTATAATTTACAGAGAAAGAAAATCCTCAAAAGCACCAATTTCAACAGGAAATGAAATCACCCACATTTGTGATGAGCAAACATCATGCATATTCCTCCACCACCTCGAACCTGCATGACATGCATCTATCCTTCCTCCCCCTCCCAGCAGGCGGCCCATCCCCACGCTGCCATGCAAGCAGCCACGCAAGCAGCCTCGATGCCACGGGCCCATAGCAAAGACTGGCTCCCAGCACCCTCTCTGCTGCCGCCACTCCTCCGAGGTTAGGACACCGAGGGTGCAGGTGCTGACCGTAAGCACACAGGACAAGATGTGAGCACAGACATTAGAGCAAAGACTGGCTCCAGCACCCTCCCTGCTGCCATCACTCCTCTGAGACTAAGACACCAAGGAGTACCAGTACCGACAGTGAGCACACAGGACAGGACGTGAGCACAGACACTACAACAAAGCGTCCACGGGAGAACCAAAGAGCTCAAAAGTGTCGGAGTGTCGGGCTGGGGGGAAAAGGCCCTCTCAAATGGAAGAAACCTACCACCACCCTACTTCTCCAGCCGACTGGTGTCCTCTTTCACAAGGAGAAGGTGGAATGGACGGAAAGCTCTAGGAGGATGCCAATTTTTTCAATGTTTATGTTCAGGCTACTTTTCTCCCATTGCCACTACTAGCAAGACAACAGGACCAGACAGAAAGACACCCAGGAAAATGTTTGGTTTTTTTTTTGAGACGGAGTCTTGCTTTGTCACCGAGGCTGGAGTGCAGTGGAGTGACCATGGCTCACTGCAACCTCCACCTCCCAGGTTCAAGAGATTCTCCTGCCTCAGCCTCCCAAGTGGCTGGGAATACAGGTGCCCGCCACCATGCTCAGCTAATTTTTGTATTTTTAGTAGAGACGGGGTTTCACCATGTGGGCCAGGCTGGTCTCGAACTCCTGACCTCAACTGTTCCGCCCACCTCGGCCTCCCAAAGTGCTGGGATTGCACGTGTGAGCCACTGTATCCGGCCGGAAAATGTTTTCTTTACAATTCCTCACACCTACTAACCAAGTGCTCTGAAGACAGTTGAGACTCTGTTAAATGCTAAGTATAGTTCTCTATCAAAAATGGGCAGCCCTGGCTGGGTACAGTAGCTCACACCTGTAATCCAGCACTTTGGGAGGCTGAGGCGGGTGGATCACTTGAGGTTAGGAGTTCGAGACCAGCCTGGCCCACATGGCGAAACCCCCGTCTCTACTAAAAATAAAAAAATTGGTTGGGTGTGGTGGCACATGCCTGTAGTCCTAGCTACTTGGGAGGGTGAGGCACAAGAATCACTTGACCCCGGGAGGCGGAGCCTGCAGTGAGCCAAGACAGCAGCACTACACTCCGGCCTGGGTGACAGAGCGAGACTCCATCTCAAAAAAAAAAACAAAAACAAAGGCCAGGCATGGTGGCTCACGCCTGTAATCCCAGCACTTTGAGAGGCCGAGGCGGGCAGAGCACCTGAGGTCAGGAATTCAAGACCAGCCTGACCAGTATGATGAAACCCTGTCTCAACTAAAAATAGAAAAATTAGCCAGGCGTGGTGACACGCACCTGCAGTCCCAGCTACTAGGGAGGCTGAGGCAGGAGAATCGCTTGAACCCAGGAGGCAGAGGTTGCAGTGAGCCGAGATTGCACCACTGCACTCCAGCCTGAGCAATGAGAGCAAAACTCTGTCACAAAAAAAAAAAAAAAAAAAAAAAAAAAAAAGGGCAGCCCAATTTTTAAAATTATTAAAGGAATCGACAGAAGCAAGAGAAGGTCAAGAGGAATGCAGACAGATAAATTTGCTCCTTAAAAAGACTGCAGATCAGAAGCCCACGCCCCACATGGACACTGGCCATGACACCTACAAAGACCTGGTCGATGTCCTTCCTGATATCTGCAACAATCTGGGCACTGTCGCTCCGCGCTAAAACCGCATCCAGGGAGTGCTGCTGAATGGACTCCAGGAGGCGGGCAGGGTGTCCCAGGCGCAGAATCCGCTGCTTACACAGAGCCAGGCGCTCCACCAGATTGTCCACGGCGATGTTGGAGGGGGCGCAGCACAGAACCTGGGAACCGCAAGTTAGGATCTGGTCATTTACTTTGTAATCAAACCACTGAAGTTGACACTAAAACAACAAAAAGCCTTAAAGGTAGAAAGAAGCACAAGGCATGTACACACGTGCTCTCAATCAAATCTTGCATTCATTTTCCAAGCCCACGTGTGATCCGATTCTTCCGGTACCCCAAGGCAAGAACCCAGGATACAGAAAGCCCTCTGTCCTTGTGACAAGGAAGGGGATCTAATTGAGTTGGTTAACATAAGCCACCTATAGACGGCAAACTAAGAGAGCACCCTGTAACTCACAGAGCTGTAAACATTCACCCCTAGACACTGCCATGAGGTCAGAGCCCACAGCCTGCCCATCTGTATGCTCCCCTGCAGGTCTGAGCAGCAGGACACTGAAGAAGCGAGCCACTCCCCCATCCCACGCCCTGCGAGGGGGACAAGGGAACCCTTCCCGTTTCAAATGGACTCACAGTTGTCTCCCGAACACTGTAGCTCCACTATATTTTTCTTTCTTTCTTTTTTTTTTTTGAAACAAATTGCTCTATGGCCCAGGCTGGAGCGCAGTGGCAGGATCATGGAGAAACCGGCTCAATAGTCCCATGGACAGTTGTTTTTGGATAAAGAGAAATTGACCATCTGCTGTTAAAGCTTCAAACTTATTTATGTGAGTTTCTTCCTCAGAAAAGGACATTGAGGCCTCTCAAAAAAATATCAAAGATCTGAAAATCACCAGACCACTACAGGTGCCTCCTTGCCCTCCCTAGTTCCTGTTTTTTACACATTGCTACATTTCTTCCCTGTTATATAAACCCCTAGTTTTAGTCAGGGAGATGGGTTTGAGGATGAGCTCTCATCTCCTCGGCTGCACCATCTGATTATAAAGCCTCTTCCTTGGCAATACTTGTCCTCAGTAACTGGCTTTCTGTGTGGCGAGCAGCAAGACCTAGACCACACTCCTGGTGTTTCGTGACTTTCTGGGCTCAAGCTATCTTCCTGGCTCAGCCTCCCAAGTAGCTGAGACTGCAGGCATGCATCACCATGCCCAGCTAATTTCTTCTATTTTTTGTAGAGACTGGGTCTTGCTATGTTGCCCAGACTGACCTCAAACTCCTGGGTTCAAGTGATCCTCCCCCCTTGGCCTCCCAAAGCGCTAGGATAACAGACATGAGCCGCTGCACCCAGCCACAGCTCCACTATTAAAAGTGAGACGCTGGCCAAGTACGGTGGCTCATGCCTGTAATCCCAGCACTTTGGGAGGCCAAGGTGCGAGGTCAGGAGTTTAAGACCACCCTGGACAACATAGTGAGACCCCATCTCTGAGGAAAAAAAAAAGAGGAGGTGGCAACCAGCAGAGGAGGCAGAGTCTCTACAGGCCCTTAAGCTCAAAACAAACAGCAGCTCAGGAAGGAGGCTCAGCCACCCACTCTCTATGCCCAGCATCGCCTCCAACCCCACTGGCATGTCCAAAGGCATATCTCCACCAAAGCGTGCACACAGGTGTGTCTTGGCTCACTTTTAGTGAATAGTCGGCACCCAATTAAAACCACCAATCTGCTCCCTTCCAATAAGTCATCTTTTCTTACCAGTTTTCAAACATGTGCAAAGACACTCACACATTGGAAAACCGCTGGACGTAATCTTTTAAGCAAGTGACAGGCTTCCCTGCGCTCTGCCCGAGTTCCATTGCTGGCTCTGCCACTCTGAGTGCTGGGCATTTGACCTTGTTTCTCAGTTTCCTCGTGGTTTTTTTGGTTTTTTTTTTTTTTTTTTTTTTTTTGGAGATGGAGTTTTGCTCTTATTGCCCAGGCTGGAGTGCAATGGTGCGATCTCAGTTCACTGCAACCTCCACCTCCCAGGTTCAAGCAATTCTCCTGCCTCAGCCTCCCAAGTAGCTGGGATTGCAGGTGTGTGCCACCACACCCGGCTAATTGTTTTGTATTTTTAGTAGAGACGGGGTTTCACCATGTTAGCCAGGCTGGTCTCGAACTCCTGACCTCAGGTGACCCACCCGCCTCAGCCTCCCAAAGTACTGAGAATACAGGTGTGAGCCACCACACCCGGCTTCCTTGTCTACAAACTGGGGCCACTAACCACCTGCCTTGGCACAGGGTTTCAGTGAGGATTAAATGGGTGCTCAGAACGATGCCTGGTGGTAGGCAGCACCCAGTAAACATCAAACTACAAAACTGGCCATTATTCCAATTCTCATCATTATCCAACATTTTTATAAACCAGAAAGTTTTTTCAAAAAGCTCTAGAACTTAAAGTATAATTAAAAATAAATAAATAAATTAAAAAAAAAAAAACTCTCCATGTGCCAAGATCCACAATGACTCAAGCTGATGCAGATGATGATAAAAGATCCTTTTTCAGCCATTAAAAATGTAACTGGGCCGGGCACAGTGGCTCATGCCTGTAATCGTAGCACTTTGGGAGGCTGAGGCAGGCAGATCAACTGAAGTCAGGAGTGAGACCAGACTGGCCAATGTGGTGAAACTCCATCTCTACTAAAAATACAAAAATTAGCCAGGCATGGTGGCGCACGCCTATAATCCCAGCTGTTCGGGAGGCTGAGGTAGGAGAATCACTTAAACCCGGGAGGCGGAGGTTGCAGGGAGCCAAGATCCCGCCCCTGCACTCCAGACTCTAGCCTGGGTGACAGAGTGAGGCTCCGTCTCCAAAAAATAAAAATAAAAAAAATTTAAAATGTAAGTGAATAATAATGTACAATGTTATATTCCACATCTCAGAAAATCATTCATCTGTGCACTGGACATGTGCATCGTATCCATTAACCAGACTATCTGATTAGCTGTTAACACCTCAACCAGACGCTGAGCTCCTGACGGGCACAGACCGGGCCCAGGCCAACTCCAGGCCCCTGCACGGGCGTGCACACGGAGGAGCACGAGCACAGCAAGCGTGGTGAACAAATAAACCCTGACCCAGGGCCTGGCCGACACGAAGGCTGCCACGCCTCAAAGGGCTCCAGGAGCCTTCCTCAACAACCCAGGCTACGGCTCCTGCGCGTGCTCCCCAAGACTCACGGGGATGCTGGAAATCAAACAGGGGCAGTCCAAGGCTCAATCAATAAATGCTCAGTAATGTTCCTGACCCATCCCACCAGAACTGAGGCTGAAAGGTCGCTGAGCACCCACTGAACACAACAGACCAGGAGCGGACGGGCTCTGACAGGGAAGTGGCATGCACTGCCCACCTTTAAGCCTTGTTTCACAGCTTGAAGAATGATCTCAACCACAGTCGTGGTTTTCCCAGTGCCAGGAGGTCCATGGATGATGGCAAGTTCTTTCTGAGACAGCGCAAATAAAACCGCTTCTTTCTGGGAGGTGTCCAGGCAGGTGTTGAAGAATGTCAGCGGGTCTGTGGAAGAAGCAGCAGCGTGAGGCTCAGGTGCTCTGGGGAGCTCTGTGGGTGTTCCTCCTCAGAGAGTGTGTGCCCCGGGGGATGAGTGATGCCTGTCAGGAACACGCCGGACCTCCCCAGGGGCAACCCAATCAACACAAAATTAAGTCTGCTTTATTTTCACAAGGTTTCTCCTTGAACAGGAATCGGCAAACTGTGGGCCACATCCAGTCAGCTGCCGGTTTTGGTGAGTTTTACTGGAGCACAGCCACACCCATTGATTTACATACCGTCTACAGCAGGCAGCTGTAGACGGTACGTATGATATGGCCCACAGAGTCAAAACATTCACAATCCATCCCTTTACAGGAAAAACCCCTGCTCTAGAGTAACAGGAATGAAGGAAATGTTTCCTAGAGCATATTCCTTTCTAACATAATGTCCCTCTTTAAAGTGCCCATAAAATGATAAAGACAAATGACAAAAACAATGATTAACAAATTCTAGGATCGTGTTTCTATTTTGAATCTTCCACGACCAAGACTAAAGATCTGCTTCTTTTTTTTTTTTTTTTTTGAGATGGAGTCTTGCTTGTCACCCAGGCTGGAGTGCAATGGCATGATCTCAGCTCACTGCAACATCCGCCTCCTGGGTTCAAGCGATTCTCCTGCCTCAGCCTCCAGAGTAGCTGGGACTACAGGTGAGTGCCACCATGCCCAGCTAATTTTTTGTGTTGTTAGTAGAGACGGGGATTCACCGTGTTGGCCAGGATGGTCTTGATCTCCTGACCTCATGATCTGCCGGCCTCAGCCTCCCAAAGTGCTGGGACTAAAGGTGTGAGCCACCGCGCCTGGCCAAGACCTGCTTCTTATGCTGTGCTCTTGAGAGCAGGTGGTGCTGTGCTCAGCCCTGCAGCCATGGCATTCGCTACATGGTGCCCACTACACAGAGACGCCTATCGGATAAGGAGCAGCTCATAAGCAAAGGGTGTTTGCTGACCCTGACTTGTGAGACTGAAGCCAACATGGAAGACGGCAGGGTGTGCAGCTAGTAACAGGCCATTGAACCCCACGTTCCCGTGCTCTAGCCAAGCCATTCCAGAGTCCCTAAGACACAGTAAATACATTTCTAATTCAGTTTGTGACGCATAGGAGCCCTTCAGTAAATATTTCATAGAAATAAAGCATTACTGAAATGTGACTGCATTTAGAATTTCCAAAGGAAAATGCAGAAAGAAAATGAGTATTTAAAAACAACACATCTTGAGGGACTGCATGCTGAAAGAGTGCTACAAAGTCGTCCTGTGTGTTTGAAGCTAACACAACACTGGCTTGCCTAGCACAGTATGATAGAAAATAGCTGTGGGGTAACCCTTGCATGAGGCTTGGCCAAAGCCACCGCTTTACAAATGGGCCAAGTCCAATACTCACAGGACTGTTAAATCATGGGCAGTGACTGGATGAGACAACAAACTCCTCCCAAAAATGACGTTCTCCAAGAACAGCAAAGGACATAAAAAGTGCACAGACCGGGCACGGTGGCTCACGCCTGTAATCCCAGCACTTTGGGAGGCCGAGGCAGGTAGATCACCTGAGGTCAGGAGTTCAAGACCGGCCCGACCAACATGGTGAAACCATGTTGTCTCTACTAAAAAATACAAAAATTAGCCGGGCATGGTGGCGGGCACCTGTAATCCCAACTACTTGGGAGGCTGAGGCAGGAGAGTCACTTGAACCCAGGAGGCGGAGGTTGCAGTGAGCCGAGGTCGCACCACTGCACCCCACTCTTGGTGACAGAGCAAGTCTCCGTCTCAAAAAAAAAAAAAAAAGATTTTTCCAACCTAAAATTGCTATCAAGCATAAAGTATGATCAGCTTTCCTCTATTTTCACAAAGTACTAAGCTAAAAGAAATATCATTACATTTCAAAATAAAAGATTTATATACACTAAAAAGAACATTATTTTAAAACTCAATGGAGGCTAGGCACGGTAGCTCATGCCTGTAATCCCAACACTTTGGGAGGCTGAGGTGAGTAGATCACTTGAGATCAGGAGTTTGAGAACAGCCTGGCCAAGATGGCAAAACCCTGTCTCCACTAAAAATACAAAAATTAGCCAGGCGTGGTGGCGTGTGCCTGTAATCCCAGCTATTCAGGAGGCTGAGGCATGAGAATCACTTGAGCCCGGGAGGCGGAGGTTGCAGTGAGCCAAGATCATGCCACTATACTCCAGTCTGGGTGACAGAGCGAGACTCCATCCGCCCCCCCCCTCCACCCCCCCCGCCAAAAAAAAATTTTTTTAACTAAAAACTCAATGGGGCCAGGCGCACGGTGGCTCACGCCTGTAATCCCAGCACTTTGGGAGGCCAAGGCGGGTGGATCATGAGGTCAGGAGTTCGAGACCAGCCTGGTCAATATGGTGAAACCTCATCTCTACTAAAAGTACAGAAATTAGCCAGGCGTGGTGGTGCATGCCTGTAGTCCCAGCTACTTGGGAGGTTGAGGCAAAAGAATCACTTGAACCCGGGAGGCGGAGTTTGCAATGAGCTGAGATCGCGCCACTGCACTCCAGCCTGGGCAACAGAGCAAGATTCTGTCTCAAAAAAAAAAAAAAAACCTCAATGGAACGAGCCAGTTCATTAGGACTGAGTACAAGGAGGACGGTCCAGTTCATGCAAGGCCCTCCGAGACACTCCTACAAAGATGTTCAGGGAGACTTCTTCTAGTCATACTTTCTCAAACTCTTATTAAAACGGCCCAAGGTCACACTGTTCTCTATACTTTCAGTAGTGATTTCAACCAAAAAAGAAAACTCAGAAGTTCTTACGTATTTCACTGGCAGGACTGGGAGCAGATCTGCCAAAGAGCACTTCTATGAGTGAGGAGGCTGGGCCAGAATGATACTTCTTTAGAGCAATCAGGGCTCTGCCAAGGGAGAAAACTAAAATTAGAACACCTGCAATTCAGTGCCCGAGCCTCTGCCCCAATGCTGCCACCAACTCCCATGAGGGCCACACCCACACCATGACTTGTTGCTCTCTTTTGTGCGACAGGCATGTAAGAATGGATTAGCTGTGTTGAAGGAAGATGGTACTTAGGATTTCCAGTCCCATCCACTTACTTTTTCAGTCGCCTGTAAGTGACATCATTGGCAAGTTTTAACAGTCTGTAGGAATTCTCTCGGTCCAAGCTCAACTGGAAATCGTGGGACTCATCAAAGGCCACCGTGACCGACTTCTGGGTGACCCGGGTCAAGATCCCAGTGGCCAGCTGACTGCCCTCATTAGCAGCATCGTACAGGCCCACGATATCACCTGCAAAAACAAAGACTCAGTGACACAAGACACTGGGGAAAGCTTCAATATCATTTTCTGTAATAAAATCCACTATACTTCAAATATTTTATCTTTGTTACTTTCTTTAGTAAATGCAATCAGTAACAGTTAAAAAAAAAAAAAGAAAGTAAGTTAGGCCGGGCACGGTGGCTCACGCCTGTAATCCCAGTACTTTGGGAGGCAGAGGTGGGCAGATCACGAGGTCAGGAGATTGAGACCATCCTGGCTAACACAGTGAAAGCCCGTCTCTACTAAAAATACAAAAAATTAGCCAGGCGTGGTGGCGGGCACCTGTGGTCCCAGCTACTCGGGAGGCTGAGGCTGCAGTGAGCCAAGATTGCACCACTGCACTCCGGCCTGAGCGACAGAGTGAGACTCCATCTCAGAAAAAAAAAATCTCAAACTCTGCTCAGGTCTGACTCCAACCTACAGGTTCCCCTCCTGGCCCTCTCCTCTCTCAATACCCTCATCTCATCTTCTCCAAATCCAGCCAGTATTCCAGTAATTGTTGGGCTAAAGTCTACGAAATCAAAATATGAAATTTAAAACTCCGTCACCACCAAAACAAGGCAGAGACACTTCCATAGTAAAAAGTACAGCCCTGGCAACGCTGCTTCCTCCAGGCTTCCAAGGCTGTGGTTGTCTAACACAAGCATCCCAGGCGTGTGGTTAAGAAGCTTCTTCTAACTGTCCCTCCTTTCCAACCAGGCTGGCACAAGTTTAGCCAAAGCATGCTTGGCACAAGAAAGGGTTGGGAATACAGAAGTACACATCCTGCATGTTTACCAGCTGGACCAAGGCTGCCCATTACATAGAAACATAAAGAGAGTCACATGTAGTTTTTCTTTTGTTTTTGTCTGTTTTGAGAGAGGGTCTCACTTTGCCCCCAAGCTAGAGTGCAGTGGCGTGATTTCAGCTCACTGCAGCCTCAACCTCCCAGGTTCAAGCGATCCTCCTGCCTCAGCCCATCAAGTAGCAGGAACTACAGGCACACACCACCACATCTGGCTAATTTTTCTATTTTTTTGCAGAGATGGGGTTTTGCCACGTTGCCCAGGCTGGTCTCGAACTCCTGAGATCAAGTGATCCACCCACCTCGGCCTCCCAAAGTGCTAGGATTACAGGCACCCAGTCACGTGTAGTTTTAAGTTTTCTAGTAGCCATATTAAGAAATTTAAAAGAGGCTGGGTGCACTGGCTCACACCTGTAATCCCAGCACTTTGGGAGGCCAAAGCAGGCGGATCACCTGAAGTTGGGAGTTCGAGACCAGCCTGAACAACATGGAGAAACCCCGTCTCTACTAAAAATACAAAATTAGCCAGGCACGGTGGCGCATGCCTCTAATCCCAGCTACTCGGGAGGCTGAGGCAGGAGAATCACTTGAACCCCGGAGGCGGAGGTTGCAGTGAGCCGAGATCATGCCACTGCACTCCAGACTGGGCAATAAGAGCGAAACTCTGTCTCAAAAAAAAAAAAAAAAAAAGAAAAGAAATGGGTAAATTATTTTAATAAGATATTTTTTATTTAACCCAATATATGAAAAATATTATTTCAACATGTAATCAGTATTCAGAAAAATTACTCAAGATATTCCCAATTGTTTTTTTAACATAATCTTCCAAATTTGGTGTGTATTCTGTATCTGCGGCAATTACAAGCCACACTTCAAACATTTGATGACCACGCATGGCTAATGGCTACCATTTTGGACAACGCTGATCTAGACAACTAAAACCCACATCAATTGTTGGACTTCTGATTAAGAGTTCTTCATTGCAACGCTTTATTCTCCAACTGGTCATTTTAATCCAGTCTTTACGAGGGTACAAGTCACGGTCTGAATGCCAGTAAATTTCAATGTCTGTCTAGGTCAATACGCACACACCAGAAGTAAAGCTGTTACTGGGAAGAGCTGCCGCGGACCCGTATCGCCTGGGCTCAAAGGTGACCAGCAGCCGTCCGTACAGCCCAGTGCGCTGGCTGGATACCTGCAGCTTCAGCAAACACACGCCTCGGCTCTGGAGCTCTTTCAGAGAGATGTTCTCCTGCCAGGACCTGGAAGACACCCGGTATTGATGCTTCAGGATTTTTACTAGTTTCTACTTCCACCCACCCAGGAAAAGTAAAAGAGAAAGAAACATAGATAAAGATCTACTCACAGGCACTAAATATGTCCCAATGGAACTCCGAATTGGCTCCACTCCCAATCCCGCTCCTCCTACATCCCCCTAGGGCAGTTAATGCCACAACCCTTCTCTCAGTTACCTGAGACAGATCTTTCAATCAGCATTCCCCTCTCTCCTCCCATCTGTCACTAAGTCCTATCAGGCCCCTCCCATTTCTACCTGGACTTCTCTGCCTCTCATCCTGGCTGCCACAGCCCCGGTTCAAATCCACATCACTGCTCACCTGGACTAAACAGAGCCTCTCAACTACCTTACCTCTGGCCTCTCCACGTCCAATCAAAAGCAGGAGACCCAAGAAATCCTCCTAAAATGCAAAGCTATTCGCCTCCCTCACCTGCTTAACCCCGCTGATGGCCCATCCTTCATACACAGAACAGAAGACTAGCTCCTTAGCCAGGCCCTTCCCAGGCTCGCCCTGCCAGTCTGCTCAGCATCCTCAGAAAGAGCCACTGCCATGGGGGCTGACTCTGTCCTTGGCACCACGCTGAGCACCTGACTGACAGGGGATCGTTTCATTCTCAGAGCAAGCCTGTGAGGTGGGAATCATCCCAGTTTTACAGATGAAGTAAGTAAGGCTCAGAGACAGAACCTGCAAAGTCACACAGCCATAAATGAAACAGCTGGGATTCTAAGAAACTCAACATAACTGCAAAAGCTCTCCATTGCCATGATCAAAAGCATCTCAGACAAATCCTACCCACATATGGCTGACTGCAAACTCTGGAAGCAGACTGCCTGACAGCAAATCGGGCTACACTGTGTCACCCCGGGGCAAGTTACTTAACCCCTCTCTGTCTCCATCTCCTTAGACGGAAAATGACAGTAACAGAAACCTACACTGCGGCCGGGCACGGTGGCTCACGCCTGTAATCCCAACACTTTGGGAGGCCAAGGCGGGCAGACCACGAGGTCAGGAGATCGAGACCATCCTGGCCAACATGGTGAAACCCTGTCTCTACTAAAAATACAAAAAATTAGCAGGACGTGGTGGCGCGCCTGTAGTCCCAGCCACTCAGGAGGCTGAGGCAGGAGAATCGCTTGAACCCGGGAGATGGAAGCTGCAGTAAGCCGAGATCGTGCCACTGCACTCCAGCCTGGGCGACAGAGAGAGACTCTGTCTAAAAAAAAAAAAAAGAAAAAGAAAAAAAAGAAACTTACACTGTAGGGTTGGCATGGGATGAGGTGTAAAAGAATTAACGCATGGAAAGTACGTAAGTGTTAGCTCTGATTGTTTTGGACAAGTAAATAGTCCCATTCGGAAACAAGCCCGGCTCTCACATGGCTCCCCACACCTCTCAGGACGGCTCCCCACCCTACTCCGCACCCACCAGCTTAACTCCAATTTTCCTTCAGGCACCACTCCCTCCTTGAAGCCACCATGACCCTCCCCAGGGAAGGGCCTTCCTCCTCCAGGCTCTTTCCCCGCGACACGCACGCAGCCGGCCCTGGACGCACTGGAGGGGAAGGGACTCTCTGCTTATGCCCAGCCCGCCGCTGGCCGGATCGGGGGCAGCCAGTGCACCTGACTCATGCTGCCGGGGCCTGACTGAGAATGGGCGCAAACCATGTTTACTGAATGAATAAGGGAAAGGGCTGCTAACTCGCTGCGGGTGGAACTGGGGTCGGGGCCAGGGCCCAGGAGTGTAAGCTTAGTGGGGGGTCTCGGGTCGGGAAATCAAAGTGCTTCTTAAGGGTCCCCAAACGGAACGCGCTGCCCAGGAAGTGATGAGACTGACAACTCGGGAGGTGGCCAAGCAGGGGACGGACGATCCCTGCCCCTGACTCGAAGGGTCGGAGACGAAATTCCCGCCCCAGACTATGAGGCCGAGCCCCTCGGAGACTCTGCCCGGGACACGGCGGGACCGACCGCGAGGGAGCGGCGCCGGCGGCCTCCCGTACCTGCGCTCCTCCACCTCCGCGTCTCTCTCAAGCTCCAGCAGGTCCAGTTGCTTGGTCACGAAGCTCTCCACAGCTGCCGAGGCCATCGCCGCCGCCGGCCTGGGCCCCTAGAAGCCGACGTCCCGCTTCTGCGCCGGGCCGGTGTTACAGCGGACCGGTGTTCCCCGCCGGGCCCGTGCGTTACGCACGCGGTTCGCGTCGTTTCCGTTTCCGGCCGAGGCTGCGGCCATGGCAGCATCTTCCCTGACGGTCACCTTAGGGCGGCTGGCGTCCGCGTGCAGCCACAGCATCCTGAGACCTTCGGGGCCCGGAGCAGGTGAGACCTGGGATATGGGAGGAAGGGAGGACGCAGAGCGAGCGCTGCTCCCTGCGGTCTCGCCACGTATGTGCCTGGGTCCGACCTGGTGCCTTGTGTGTTGATCGCATTTGTGGTGAATATAGCACGGGTTTTGGAGTCGGGGGAACCCAGGTTCAGATTTTGATTCCTTCAGTTAGTAGCCTGAATACTGACAATAGCCCTTGAACTTTGGTATAGGCCCTATGTTATGGGGGAGAAGAGTGAGGCTCAGAGGAGCTAGGTAACGTGCCCAGGGTCACACAGCGGGGAAGTGGAAGAAGAGTACTTCAGGCGCAGTCATTTCGGCTCCAAAGCCTGTGCTTGAACCACTGCCCCCAGGCTGCGAGCTGGTCTGAAAAATGGTGATGGATATCCTCGCCTAATCTGAACTCATTCTGCAAAAGAAACAGCCGTATTTAAGGCGCTGGGCTGATACGAGGCTCCAAAAAGGTTATGTCCGTTAAAAACTCTATAAATCTCTGCTTGAAAATGGTTGGAGTGTGTATTTGTGTGCATGAGTGTTTATGTATGTTTTAAACCTGGGTTTCATGTCTCACCATGACCCCCAAAAATGGAAAACTGGATCTAACTCTATATTGGACGATATTAAAAGAATAGTACCATAATTCCCAAAACTTGGAAGCAACCCAGATGTCCTTCAGGAGATGAATGGTTACATAAACTGTAGGACATCCATACAGTAGAATATTATGCAGCAATAAAAAGAAATGAGTCATGAAGAGACATGGAGGAAACTTACATACATGTTACTAAGTAAAAGAAGCCAACCTGAAAAGGGGACATCTTGTATGTTTCCCACTATGACATTCTGGAAAAGGCAAATCTAAGGAGACAGTAAAAAGTTACATGGGGGGTAAGAGGATTGGGGGAGAAAAGGATAAATAGGTGGAGCTCAGAGGATTTTTAGGGCAGTGAAACTATTCTGTATGATATAATGGTAGATACATGTCATTATAAGTTTGTCCAAATCCATAGAATGTACACTACCAAGGGTGAACCCCTAATGTAGACTATGGACTTTGGATAACAATGATGTGTCAATGTAGGTTCATCAATTGTAAAGATTGTACCACTCTGGTGAGGGATGTTGATAGGAAGCTGTGGGCACATGGACAGGGGACATATGGGAACTCTCTGTACCTTCCACTCAATTTTGGTGTGAAACTAAAACTGTGCTAAAAAATAAAGTCTATTAAGAAATTAATAATAATCACAGAGTTGGGCCAGAGGCAATGTAGATGCCAAAATTGGCCATGAGTTGGTAACTGTTGAACCTGGAAAGGGATAATTGAGAGAGTTCACTATTCTGTTCTCTTTACTTTTGTATGCTTGACATTTTCCATAATAAAACTTAGGTTTAAGTAGGCAGGAAAGTTTTTACAAAAGCAGTGGGACTTACTCCATTCTACCTACCTACATGAAACCACCCCTCCAATGCTATGTTCAAGTACAGACTCACGCATTAGGAGAGAAAGACACACAGTGAAGCGAGTAGAGACAAGGTGACCAAAACAGTGAGCAGCTGGGGCCTTGAAGAGTGAGCAAAGGAGACGTGATGGAAGTACACAGTCACAGTCTCTAGGACTACCTAAAGGAAATCCTGTGGGAGAGGAAGGAGACTGTTTGTTCCCTGGGGACCCAAAAACAAAGCTAGAAGCAAATTAGGTACAGAAGCCTGCTAAGTTTTTAATAGTGGGATGGATTTGCCAATGGGTTGACTGAGTAGTGTGCGAGAGAAGAGTCAAAACTGATGGAGGTTTGGGGCCTGAGCAACTGGGAGGATGAAGTTGCCCTCATGTGAGAGGGAGGAGTGTGGGAGAAGCAGGCATGGGAAGAAATGAGGAGCCTCTGGAGGTGTGAGGTGCTCGTCAGACACGAGTGGCTAAGGCAGATAGATAGGTGGGTATGCAAAACCAGGAGAGAAGCCCTGGCTGGAGGTGTAAACTTGGGAGTCACCAGCACATTGGGGGTGTTTAAATCCATCGGACTGGATGCAGTCACCAGAGGAATGGCCATGGGCGGAGAGGAGGTCAAGGCCAAGGGTTGAGCCCCGGATGCCCAAATGGGAGAGGAGAGGAGAAAGCAGCCGAGGAGATGCAAATGGGGAGCTGGTGCTAATGGGTGAACTTTAAAAAGGTGGTTTTTATGGTGTGTAAATTATAGCTGAGTTTCTTTAAAAGTGGTTATTGAGAAACTGTTCTCTGCTTTTTACACCTAAGCACTTATTTTGATCCCCTGTCTTCTCAGTAGATTGAATGTCTTTGTTTCCTGGTGTATTCCTGGTGTATGCGTTATCTACGGTTACATCAGAAATTACCCCAAAACTTAGCAGCTTAAAACATTTATTAACTCACACCAGTTCTGAGAGCCAGGAACACAGAAGCAGCTTAAGTGGCTGGTTCTGGCTCAGGGTCTTAGCTTGCAGCAAGCAAGTCTGCAGGGGCTGTAGTTATCTCAAGACTCCACTGCGCCAGCGGCTGGAGAATCTACCTGCAAGGTCGTTCCCATGGGTGTTGGCGATAGGCCTAGTTCCCCGCCATGTGGACCTCTAGGTAGGGCTGCTCACAGCAGGGCAGCCCTAAGGCCAGAGATCAGAAAGGGTGAGCACAGGCATCCAAGATGGAAGTCCCAGTTGGTTATCACCTCATCCCAGAAGCCACGTGCTAGCATGTCTGTCACTAGCTGTTGGACACACAGGCCACTCCCAGGGGGCTAACAGGGGTAAGAATAGCAGGAGGCGGGGCCCAGCAGGGCCATCTTGGAGGCTGCTCCCACGCTTGGGCACAGATCAGAGTCTGAACCTACCAGGCACTTAGTCAAGGCATGAGTTAGTGGACGGGTGGTTCTGGTCTCAGGCGCTTGTAGATGATGTGGCTAACTGATCTCAACACATATAACCAGTAGCTGTAAGTGACGTTCTTGTAGTTTTGCTCACCTAGGTGTTTCTGTGGGCAGGCTGTCATGCAGTGGTTCATACCATGTACCAGGAGCAGCAGCTGTGCATTTAGCATCATAAAGGGCAGTTTGCATTTGTAGTATTAATGGTAATGATCTGTGTTTCTCTTCTTCCCTCAGCCTCCCTTTGGTCTGCTTCTCGAAGGTTCAATTCACAGAGCACTTCATATCTACCAGGGTAATATCAAAATGTGGGTTTTGGTGCCTCTTTTCCTTTCATTTGTAGAACCATCTTTCTAAAGTCAAAACTTCCTACCTTTTGGTTCTCAATAATATTTAAATTTCCTCTTTTGTTTTTAAGAGACAGAGTTTCACTATGTTTCCCAGACTGGTTTTGAACTCCTGGCCTAAAGTGGTCCTCCCGCCTCAGCCTCCTGAGTAGCTGGGATTACAGGCATGCACCACCACTTTCAGCTTTAACTTTTTTGACGGTATTTTTCTGAGACCCTTAAAAGAAGACGTAACTGCAAGAGACCAAAGAGAAATTCTGTATGTGTTTGCTCTCTTTTATTATGGAGGAGCTTGAAGTCTTAACTCAAGATTTCTGATGAGGAAGTTTGTATCAGAGTCTCTAAGAGAAACTCATTATTTGAAAAAGCACATTCAGTGTTAAAATTTTATACTTGAGAAAACATTTTTAGGTATCATAAACTGCAGAAAACATTCGACAAAGTTCCACTCACTGGTGGGAGACACAGGAGCAGTGCAGGGATAGCAGTTACTGTAGGGACCCCCCCGGGGTGCAGTTCCGGCTGCCCCTCACAGCCTGGGACGCCAGGCTTCTGCAAGATGGAAGTAATGTTCATTTCTATCTGCATGGGTGTTGGAGAGGATTAAGTAAATGTATACATTTAAAGCTCTTAGAACAGTGCCTGGCATACAGTCAGCACTCACAAAACATTGGCTGCTGGAACTGCTGCTGGGACTCCAGGGATCCTCTGCAGTGGGGAGATGTGGGAGTCTTTCTTGCTTCTCAAAGAAGCGGCAAAACATTCTGAGCATAGGAAGAAGTTGTAAGTGAGCATGTGGGTAGGTTGTGCCTACTACCCCTGTGTCCTGTGTGAGAGGTTAGCACCTTCCTGCCAGCGTGTTCTTCTCACACTGGGCACTGCTGAACCCGTATGGGGAGACTAGACATCAAACAGGTCAAAGACGTTTTGTAGAGAGCAGCACCTTCCTTGTCCTCCTTGTCTCTCAAGGTCATTGACCAACCACAGATCACGGAGTTCATGTCTCTAGGAGCTCCAAGCCCTACCCCACTGGGAAAGCATTCATTCCTCTCCCAGATTGGTGTGGAGCCCCTCCTGCGCGCCAGCCAACAGGACGGGTGGGCCTGGTCTTTGGTGTGGAGGCCGGTGCATTTTGCATATGGAGCAAGTCGTTTTCTTCCTCCTAATGCAACCCTGGAGTAGAAAGACTGAAATTTTACTTTGCAGTGGCAGCAGCAATAAAAGCTTAAAAACGGTTCTGAATAATTCGGTTTGGGATCTACCTACCCTCCCTCTTTGTAGACTACAGAAAGAAAGACCCCACCTCCTTTTGAATCTAGGCCCCCCTCTTTCTTTCCTCCCTTCCTCTCCCCTCCACCTACCTGAGGCTGAGCAGGCAGGGGAGAGTTAGGAAATGAAGAAGATCTTGGGCTGGGCACGGTGGCTCATGCCTGTAATCCCAGAATTTTGGGAGGCCGAGGTGGGCGGATCACTTGAGGCCAGGAGTTCGAGACCAGCCTGGCCAATGTGGCGAAACCCCATCTCTACTAAAAATACAAAAATTAGCCAGATGTGGTGGCATGTGCCTGTAATCCCAGCTACTAAGGTGACTGAGGCAGGAGAATCGCTGGAACCCTGGAGGCAGAGGTTGCAGTGAGCTGAGATCATGCCACCGCACTCTAGCCTGGGTGACAGAGCGAGACTCCGTCTCAAAAAAAAAAGGCATTGCCCGCACCAAGCTTGGCATCCTGAGGGTGGGGAGGGGAAGTGGCTGGGGACCGCAGTGCTATAGCTGCTGAGACTGAGCACTCCTAACACCCGACCCTCACTGGCCATGCTGGGACCGGCTGTGAACAGTAGCCATCTAATACCTAACACAGCCCTTTCAGGCGGGTGCTTGTTTTCCCATTTGCTCAGTTGTAGACACCAGGACACAGAATTGTCTGGGGTTCCGAGCCAGTTCTGCCTGGCACTCACCTGGGTGTGAAGGAAGAGCAGGCACCTACCTAGGAGGAGGTGGAGGTGGAGCAGGGAACGTCATGGTCCTGTTTGAGCAGGATGTGGTGAAGGGTCATTGGAGCTGCCATTCCAGGGCCACTGGATGCCAAGGGAGGCGGGAGAGCTGCTGGCCCTGTGTCCTGGGTTGTGGGGAAAGTAGAGGCAGCCTGTGCCTCCAAGATAAATGTGCCCCAAGACACCACAAGCCCAGCCTTCTTGGATGGGCACCCTTCCAGCACTGAGAAGTACCCAAGTGAGGGCTCTTTTGCAGAACAATGAGAGTTCCTGCTTTGATTATTGAATGATGAGCCATTGTTCCCTGTGGTTCTAAAAGGATACAGGGAGCCTGTCCTCGGGGTTACCCCAGAGGGGCGGGGCCTGTCCGAAAGAGCGAGCCTTTTGTTGCCGGGGATCCCTTCCTAACATTTGTGTGTGGCCATTTCTTAGAGGATTTGAGCTGCCTTTTCAGGTGCTTGTGACATTTGTCTACGAAATGTGTTTTACAGATATGTTCCTAAAACATCCCTGAGTTCACCACCTTGGCCAGAAGTTGTTCTGCCAGACCCAGTTGAGGAGACCAGACACCATGCAGGTAAGACCTCCCTGGGAGACAGAAGCTAGAGGGCACCACCTAGACCCTGCTCCAGTCAGCCACAGAGGTTGTCACCAGGCCACAGAACGAGGCTTCATGTTTCCAGATGCTCCCAGACACAGCACAGTGCCAGCACTCATGTCCATTTTCACCAGTTAACACCAGAATTTCAGATGTTTTTCATTAACTACTCCTTGAACACCTGCCACACTGCAGGCAGGTGGCATAATTGAGGGCAGGGGGCCCCTGCTCCATCTCGTCTGCTTCTGTTGGTGGGTGCAGCGACAGCTCTCCCCAGTTAGCACAGTTAAGCACAATTACTGGAAGCCGGTGCCACCCGGGCTGTTGGAGAAACATGCAGAGGTATCAGGACTCATGTCGACCTGGAGCCCGTGTCAGAAGGGACAGGATCATTAGCCACTCTTGCCATGATCCTCGCTTTCCAGAACACTGGAAATCAAGATCCTCGAGTGGAATCTTCTTATATGTTAAATACCGTTTGAGATTCCGTGCGAGTGAAACAAGTCTGCCAAGAGTTTCACCCTCGGTGCTGGTGCTTCTGGTGTTGACAGTGTTTCCAGGGCAGGCACTCTGTCGTCCCTTCTGTGTGTCTCGCCCTCGGTCAGGCCGGGGGGTCGGTGCCCATTAAATGCTTGTTCAGAGTAAACGGTGCAGAAGAGAGGGGACTGTGACCTGGGTCAGAGCAGAGATAACAGGAACTGAGCACGGAGCCCCTCTGGGCACAGGCGTGCAGGGGGAACGCGTCCTGCCCCAGGGGTGGGATATGGGGTTGGGATACGGGGGGCTCCTCATTGCAAAGTCCTCTCCTTTCGCTTCCTGGGGTTTGCACACTTCTGGTCTGCTGGCTCCTCATTCTCATGAGAATGAACCAGGTGGAGGGTTTCGCCCACCCTAGAGTTGTAGAAACCTAGCCAGGCGTGCCGAGTGCTTAGGCGAGGGAGTTGCATGAGGCGGTTTGGGCGTTCTCTGCAGTCTTGGGGAGCTTCCTTCTGTGAAAGCCCCATGTGCCACAGTGCTGGTGCTCCTGAAGCAGCAGACTGACCCTGTGCCTGCCCTTGTGCCTGCAGGGGGTGGAGCAGGGGCTGGGCCGCCAGCAGTGAGGTGCTCACAAGGGGTGCTGGCTGTCAGGTCCACCCTAGGGCCCCACCACCAGGAGCTGCACATCACACTGCAGCGCGTGGGGGAGCAGGTGAGGGTGACTGCCCACCCACCCGCCTTCCCCTGCAGAGGTCGTGAAGAAGGTGAATGAGATGATCGTCACGGGGCAGTATGGCAGGCTCTTTGCCGTGGTGCACTTTGCCAGCCGCCAGTGGAAGGTGACCTCTGAAGACCTGATCTTAATTGGAAATGAACTAGACCTTGCGTGTGGAGAGAGAATTCGACTGGAGAAGGTGAGACCACCGAGCTTCTCTGGATATTCAGGGACTCAGCCACCAAGTATGTAATCTCCACGCCCCAGCTCACACGGAGGAGGGACCCTCGCCGACCCCGTCTCAGGTGGAGGCCAACAAAGCTGAGGCTCAGAAGGGACTTTGGGGGGCGCCCACGGCGGGGCTGGGGTCCAAGGGCAGGGCAGGCTTCCACTGCTCTGAGGGCGGTGCCTGGCCCAGCAGGTCTGCTCCCTGGAGGAAGGGAGACAGCACATAAAACAGTGCTGAGGGCAGAAACATGTCTTTATTGTGTTCCAGTCTTATTAGTATATTCCCATAGAAAAATGCTTGATTGCAAAGATAATAAAAATCCCGGTTAAGGATGTAGTGCACTTTATAGCCCCTGTCTATGAGGAAAAAACTGTTAAGTTTCTGCTAAGACAGTACTCTGTCATTAGCTTTGACAGCTGCTGCTGTTTTTAAATAGTAAACACTGGTTGACAGGCATTTCCCTGGGTGCTAATTTACCTCACCGACCATTCAAAACTGCATGGTCTAGGCCAGGCATGGTGGCTCACACTGGTGACCCACCACATTGGGAGGCCAAGGTGGGGGATTGCTTGAACTCAGGAGTTCAAGACTAGCCTGGGCAACATGGTGAGACCTCAGAGACCTCATCTCTACTAAAATTCCAAACAATTAGGTGGGCATGGTGGCACACACATGTAGTCCCAGCTATTTGTGGGGCTGAAGTAGAAGGATCATTTGAGCCTGGGAAGTTGAGGCTGCAGTGAGCCGTGATTGGCCACTGCACTCGAGCCTGGGCAACACAGCGAGACCCTGTCTCAAAAAAAACTGCATGGTTTGTCTGTTTATTATTATTTTTCAGACTCAGTCTCGCTCTGTCACCCAGGCTGGAGTGCAATGGCGCAGTCTTGGCTCACTGCAACCCCCACCTCCTGGGTTCAAGTGATTCTCCTGCCTCAGCCTCCCGAGTAGCTAGGATTACAGGTGCATGCCACCACGCCCTGCTAATTTTTATATTTTTAGTTGAGATGGGGTTTCACCATATTGGTCAGGCTGGTCTCGAACTCCTGACCTCAGGTGATCCACCTGCCTTGGCCTCCCAAAGCGCTGGGATTATAGGCATGAGCCAACGTGCCTGGCCAGTCTGTTTATTTAGCTAGGCATTTCTAGCCTTCAGCTATGATTCTATTTGCTGGGGGCGTCTATTTGATTTTTGCCTACTCTTTTTTTTTGTTTGTTTGTTTGAGAAGGAGTTTTGCTCTTGTTGTCCAGGCTGGAGTACAGTGGCACAATCTCGGCTCACTGCAACCTCTGCCTTCCGGGTTCAAGTGATTCTCCTGCCTCAGCCTCCTGAGTAGCTGGGATTACAGGCATGCACTACCATGCCTGGCTAATTTTGTATTTTTAGTAGAGATGGGGTTTCTCCATGTTGGTCAGGCTGGTCTTGAACTCCCAACCTCAGGCAGTCTGCCCGCCTCGGCCTCCCACAGTGTTGGGATTACAGGCGTGAGCCACCACGCCCGGCCTGCCCACTCTTTTTATAAAATTATAATTACCTCTGCAACAGGTAATTTTTCTGGGATGCTTAATTATCAATATAAGTTACATGGTTTTCTTTATGAATTAAAGCTCCTCCTCTGAAGGCAGATGTTTGCATATTTGAAACATTTCACATTAACAAAAAATTCTAGAAAGCCCCTCCTAAGCAGATTGTTTTTTATAACAGGAAACCCAGTGGGAGTGCACATGTCATGCTGAAACAAACTCTAAAAATACTTATTTTATTATTTGTCACTATCTAACATGCGTGTCCGCTGAGTTTGTTATATGATATACTTTGTCTCTAGACATTTAAGTTGAGTATGATTGGATTTTTTCTTATCAGTAAAATTTAAGATGATCTCCAACATCTAATAAAAACACTGTAGGCCGTGCGTGGTGGCTCACGCCTGTTATCCCAGCACTTTGGGAAGCCGAGGCGGGCAGATCACCTGAGGTCAGTTTGAGACCAGCCTAGCCAACATGGTGAAACCCCATCTCTAATAAAAATACCAAAAAAAATTAGCCGGGGTTTGTGGTGGGCGCCTGTAGTCCCAGCTACTCAGGGGGCTGAGGCAGGAGAATCACTTGAACCTGGGAGGCAGAGGTTGCAGCAAGCCAAGATCACGCCACTGCACTCCAGCCTGGGTGACAGAGCGAGACTCTGGGTCACAAAAAGAAGAAAGAACACTGTTGCATTTGGAAGCAAAGATGTCTTCATCTGCAGCCACACTTGGTGTCGTGATTTCCCGGCATTGAGAATGGTTGCCTGGCTCTTGAGAATTTTGCAGTCGTTAAAAGAATACAGGAGAGCCTCAATCATTGCAATATTAGTAGAACTGTAAACTGCGCCAAGAGACACAATGGTATGATTTGTGCTTTTTCTCTCTATGTTATGCTTTGATAGAAAGGGTTTTGTTTTTTTTTGTTTATTTGTTTTCTTTGAGACAGAGTCTCGCTCTGTCGCCCAGGCTGGAGTGCAGTGGTGCAATCTCAGCCTCCTGAGTAGCTGGGACTACAGGTGCATGCCGCCACGCCCAGCTAAGTTTTTGTATTTTTTTAGTAGAGACTAATTTCACCGTGTTAGCCAGGATGGTCTCCATCTCCTGACCTTGTGATCCACCCACCTCGGCCTCCCAAAGTGCTGGGATTACAGGCATGAGCCACCGCACCTGGCCGGAGATAGAAAGGGTTTTTGAAGTCACCGTTGGTATGAGGATTACAGCAGCTATCTGGATGCATATCCATGGTATCTAATAATCAAATTGTGCGTCTCCTCTGAGGGTTGGAGCATTTCCCTTAGGCAGCCCCACGGCTGTGCAGTGCTGCCACTTGTCAGCTCACAGCCCCGGTTGTAGATATTAAAGAGATCATTAGACAGCAGATGAAATTCATGTCACAATGTTTTCAGTCTTTCTCATTTTGTGTGGTGTTGACATCACTACCTGTTATTAGCAACTGTTCTTACTCATCGTAATGAGCCACTGATGAAACACACCTGTTGAATTTTTCAGGTCCTGCTGGTTGGGGCAGACAACTTCACGCTGCTTGGCAAGCCACTCCTCGGGTAATGGCTGTGAAGTGCTGGGCTTTGTCTGGGGCTCCAGGGCTGGACATGCAGACAGTGGTCACAGTGCAATTAGGCCAGGTGGGGAGTTGCATTCATATTCTTTGTTGACACCAAACACAACATTTATACTTAATAATAGTGGACATTTAGGGCCCATGAGAACATCCAGACCAAATTATTGGTCTCTTGCTGTTTCATGACAGTGTGGTCCTCTGAAGATTTGTTCAGACTCCCTGGAACTGTTCTTTGTGGTCCTTTTTCGTGGTTTTCAAAATGTTTCCATTGAGGGCGTATTACTTTTATAATCAACAAAAGAGAAAGTATAACTTCATTTTAGAAATTCTCACCTAAGGCATTTGAAAAATAATCCAAAAGGTACATTATTGTTGATTTTTCTTCCTTCTAGAAAGGATCTTGTTCGAGTAGAAGCCACAGTCATTGAAAAGACAGAATCATGGCCAAGAATCATTATGAGATTCAGGAAAAGGAAAAACTTCAAGAAGAAAAGAAGTAAGTTAGAGAAAGTACCGCTGGGCCCTGTTGCACGGTGCTGGTTGCCCAGGCGCATGCGGACGGAGGGTGTGGGGCACGTGGGTCTCGGGACAGGAAGCCCAGGCAGGTCTCAACCTGGCTGCCACTGCCCACTTGCCACCCTCATCCTAGAGGGAGCACCCAGAGGGTCCAGCCTCGCTCCCCTTCTCCTCCACGCTCCACGCGTGACCCCACCTCGCTCCCCTTCTCCTCCACGCTCCGCACGTGACCCCACCTCGCTCCCCTTCTCCTCCACCCTCCGCGCGTGACCCCACCTCGCTCCCCTTCTCCTCCACCCTCCGCGCATGACCCCACCTCGCTCCCCTTCTCCTCCACCCTCCGCGCGTGACCCCACCTCGCTCCCCTTCTCCTCCACCCTCCGCGCGTGACCCCACCTCGCTCCCCTTCTCCTCCACCCTCCGCGCGTGACCCCACCTCGCTCCCCTTCTCCTCCACCCTCCGCGCGTGACCCCACCTCGCTCCCCTTCTCCTCCACCCTCCGCGCGTGACCCCACCTCGCTCCCCTTCTCCTCCACCCTCCGCGCGTGACCCCACCTCGCTCCCCTTCTCCTCCACCCTCCGCGCGTGACCCCACCTCGCTCCCCTTCTCCTCCACCCTCCGCGCGTGACCCCACCTCGCTCCCCTTCTCCTCCACCCTCCGCGCGTGACCCACCTCGCTCCCCTTCTCCTCCACCCTCCGCGCGTGAACCCACCTCGCTCCCCTTCTCCTCCACCCTCCGCGCGTGAACCCACCTCGCTCCCCTTCTCCACCCTCCACGCGTGACCCCACCTCGCTCCCCTTCTCCTCCACCCTCCACGCATGACCCCACTTTGTTCCAACCCATGACGCCTAGCACTGTCCCCAAAGCAGCAGTGAATCCGCAAGCAGGTGTAGGGCTGTCCTAGCAGGTCTGCACTGAGGACATCCCCCATAGTGGGCATCCTGAGGGATGGCACCCACGGGGCATGGGCCACATAGCTGAGCGGCTGCAGAATTCTGTCCCTCACAGCTCTTGCTATAACTGCAGTTGCCGGCCTAAACCACCAACAGTGGGCATAGTTAAATATACCCAGAATACTGGTATTGGCTGTCACCTTAGAGTCATCTGGGTAGGGGAGCCTCTCATGTACCTTCTGACACTTCCAGGTAGCCTCAAGGTCACTCAGGTGGGGCCATCCTCCCACGCACTCCAGAAGTCACAGCATAGACAGTGTGGGAGGAGAGGTGAGGTGCCAGCGCAGGGCACTCCTGGCCATGAGGCGTCTGGTGTCCCAGCCTCTGCACCTGCCAACAGAGTGAACGAACAAGCTAGCGAGGCAGTCAGTGCACACCTGGAGATAAACACGGCCATGTGCAGCAGGGGACGTTGCCGGGGTCGCGCTGGCTGGGGAGGGCTGTGTGCAGAGCCCCTGCTGTAACTGATGACAACAGTCAGGGTCTGTGGTCAAGCCTGTGACATCCTTTCTTTCAGTCGTCACGACCCCGCAGACTGTCCTCCGGATAAACAGCATTGAGATTGCTCCGTGTTTGTTGTGATTACCGAGTTAATACTTACAAAAGGATAAAAATAAACTCCTGCTTCCCAAGGAGACCAGGTTTCTGTGTTCTGGTTTAAAGCCGTGCATGCCTGTTGTAGATAGTTTAACTGGAGCAGCATGTCTGTAAGCACCAGGCCCCCGAGCCAGAGAAAACAGGAACTCGGGGAGAATGACAAGCATGGCCCTCCCAGGGCTGGATAAATAGTATTCTTGGCAGCCCTCCACCCCATGTGGCGGCGGCAGGGCCCAGGGGAGTGGGGCGGGGACGCAGCTGGGACTTGGAGCTGACATCAAGAGAGGCGCAACCTAGATTCCACGAGATGGACAAGAACAGCAAATTCCATCTGAGTAATCGAAACAGATCTGTCGCCAGCGGGGCTTTTGTAAGGCTGGGGTTCAGAGCAGGTGGCCTCGGGTCCCTGCTCCTGGCCCTTCTGCCTCACACAGTCGAGCAGGGGCAGGGATCACAGTGCAGGGGGAGTGACACAGCGCAGCAGGGATCCAGGAGGGCTGGGCAGGACAGGAGGAGGGACAGCTGGGGAGTGGGCACAGCACATTCTGGGAGCTGACAACAGCAGGGACAGAGCAGAGGCCCAGGCTGTGCTGAACTCAGTCTTGGAAGTAGCAGGCAGACCCAGAGGGCTTGGGCTGCTGGGATCGATAGGGGTGGCTGAGGCAGGCAGCAGGGCCTGCTGGGAGCTACCCAGGTGAGAAGGGACAGGGTCCTGGAGCCAGAGTAGCGAAGGAACCAGCAAAGGGAAGGGCCTGGGCGTGGGGATGAGGGGCTCTCAGATGATGCCAGGCCCCTGGTTTGGTTCATTCACAAAGACAGAGCCATCCTCCAAAAGAAGAGTTAGGGCTTCAAGTGACAAGATACAAACCTGTAATCCGACCCGGCTAAGTATTTTCCCCAGGAGTCCTACAGGGAGTCGCTCTGAGATCTGGAGATAAGAAAACCCCTCAGGTGCCCAGCGCCCTGGTAGGTGCTGGCCCAGCTCCCCCATCGTGTTCTCCGCGTGCAGCAGGGGGCGCCAGCCCAGTGGGCTGAGCGCTCCTGGTCCCGCCCATCCCGGGCATCCTGAATTTGGAGACGTGAGAACCCAGAGAGTCAGGCCTCCAGGGCTCCACATGGGTTGGAGCGAAGCTGGGGGTGGTGGGAGGGACCTGGGGCTGTGGTGTGCTTGCGTCTTTAATGCAGCCACATCTGGAAGTAATAAATTTCTAAATGCGGTAGCTCATGCTATCTCCATCTGAAAGTGATGTCTCTAGAATCATGAGGCCTCGCATCCTTTCCCCTTACCCACCCCCTCTCTAGGTTCTCTCCCAGCCAGCCCAGCAGCGTCTCGTGTGGTCTCTGTTCTATGTGGAGGTTATAGGATGTTTAAGACGGGAATCGTTGGCCTATTCCATATTCTTTGACATAAGCACATCTCCATTTCTTACTATGCTTGAAATAAAAAACAGGTTCTGGAGACTCCTGCTGCAGTCAGGCAGTTCAGCTTGGTGGTGGGGTGGGGTGTAAGCATGGGTTCTGCAGCTAGAGAGCTGAGTGTGAATCCCAGACCCACCGCAGTGAGCTGGGTGTGATCTTGAGCAAGTTACCCAGCCCCTGTCTCATCTGTCAAATGGGGGTCATCCTAGCACCAAACCTAATGCGTTGCTGTGAGGAATCCAGCAGTTAGCAAGCCACCCACAGCAAGTGCTCAGTCAGTGTTCACTATTTGTATTACCTACAGCCACTGCCGTCTGGGGAACTGTTTGGTGACATGCCTATAAAATATTACCAATATTGGCTGGGTGTGGTGGCTCACGCCTATAATCCCAGCACTTTGGGAGGCTGAGGCGGGCAGATCACTTGAAGTCAGGAGTTTGAGACCAGCCTGGCCAACATGGTGAAACCCTGTCTCTACTAAAAATACAAAAATTAGCCAGGTATGGTGGCGTGCACCTGAAATCCCAGCTACTGGGGAGGCTGAGGCAAGAGAATCGCTTGAGCCCCAGAGGCAAAGGCTGCAGTGAGCAGAGATAACGCCACTGCACTCCAGCCTGGGAGACAGAGTGAGACTCTGTCTCAATAAATAAATAAATATATATATATATAAATATATAAAATATTATCAATATCAAACTGGTGAAAGTTAACTCCTTTTAAAAACTAGACAAGTTTCCTCAAATTATCACACGATCCAGCAGTTCCACTTCTGGGGCTATACACAAAGGAATTGACAACAGGGTCTTTTTTTTTTAAGATGGAATTTTGCTCTTGTTGCCCAGGCTGGAGTGCAGTGGTGTGATCTCGACCCACTGCAACCTCCACCTCCTGGGTTCAAGTGATTGTCGTGCCTCAGCCTCCTGAGTAGCTGGGATTACAGGCGTGCACCACCACACCCGGCTAATTTTTTGTATTTTTAGTAGAGACGGGTTTTCACCATGTTGGCCAGGCTGGTCTCAAACTCCTGGCCTTAAGCAATCCTCCCACCTTGGCCTCTCAAAGTGCTGGAATTACAGGCATGAGCCACCGTGCCTGGCCACAAGTTAACTATATAAATGCAATAGTCTCTATAAAATCCTGTAGTGAAATCCTATGATTTTGTGTTATCTTGGCATTCATTTTTAATCTTCCTCTAACACACCTGAGCTCCTTTTAAAATGCTTACTTTCTCTCGTTGTGCTTTGAATGAAATATAAATTTGCTACCCTGGTTTCTCAAAAACTCTGTAAGGGCTTCAGCTATAACTTGTTCCATTTACAGTGGCATAATTTAGTCTAACTGTCCTTTTAAACCAGTGAGTTTTGCCTATCTTGTGGCTAAAATTTAAAAATCAAAGCTATAAGATTTGTATTTATGTTTGTTTGTATTTGTATTAATACATGTGTATACATGTCTGTTGGTATACTGTCTACTTGGTACCAAACTGACTTACAAATAAGCAAGTCCTCATTATTAATAAGCCAAAGGCTGGGCGTGGTGGCTCATGCCTGTAATCCCAGCACTTTGGGAGGCCGAGGCATGTGGATCAGCCAAGGTCAGGAGTTCGTGACCAGCCTGACCAACATGGTGAAACCCCATCTCTACTAAATACAAAAAATTAGCCAGGCGTGGTGGCATGCGCCTGTAATCCCAGCTACTTGGGAGGCTGAGGTAGGAGAATCGCTTGAACCTGAGAGGCGGGGGTTGCAGTGAGCCAAGATCACGCCATTGTTACACTCCAGCCTGGGTGACGAGCGAAACTCCGTCTCAAAAAAAAAAAAAAAAAAAAAAAAAAAAAAGCCTAAATGCTTTTCAAGTTCACATGACTTTAGTAATCTTTGATAAATGAAACTAGTTTTAAAACTGTTGGTGCCCAGGCATGGTGGTTCACACCTGTAATCCCAGCACTTTGGGAGGCCGAAGTGGGAGGATCGCTTGAAGCCAGGAGTTTGAGACCAGCCTGGGCAACACAAGACCCTACCTCTATTTAAAATTTTAAAAACTCACAGAAAGTAGTTAGATGAAAAATAAAAGGCTAAAAAATAAAATGAAATAAACTTAATAACTTCTGGTAAAATAAGATAAAAATATCTGCAGAATTTCAAACATTTCTGCCTGGGTCTATAGGTCAGAGTAATTTATACAATCTTGGTTAGATGTTTTAAGGTCATAAAACTGTTGCTTCTGTGATTTTTGTTTCTTGTTTTTTTTTCTTTTTGTGAGAGAGTCTTGTTCTGTCGCCCAGGCTGGAGTGCAGTGGCAGGATCTCAGCTCACTGCAACCTCTGCCTCCCAGGTGCAAGCAATTCTCCTGTCTCCGCCTCCCAAGTAGCTGGGATTACAGGTGTGCACCACCATGCCAGTTAATTTTTTTTTTTTTTTTTTTTGTATTTTTAGTAGAGATGGGGTTTCACCATATTGGTCAGGCTGGTCCCAAACTCCTGATCTCAGGTGATCCACCCACCTCAGCCTCCCAAAGTGCTGGGATTACAGGTGTGAGCCACCATGCGTGGCCACTTCTGTGATATTTTTAATACTTGTTTGTCTGTGACGTCATGTCTTTGGTTTTGAGCTTTTAGATTCTAGGCTTTAGGCAGGTGGCCATGGTAAGTCCTGGTGACATATGCGTGTCCTCAGTGCCTAGGCCAGCAGCTGCTGAGCAGAGCTAAGCCCAATATCGTCCCATCCTCCCTGGCCCAGCTCTGCCTCCTGACCATGCTGGGAGGGGTTGGACCCTCCAGCCATGTCCTCACAGCTCTGTCTCTGTCTTGGGCTATGAACCTGGTACATAACAATTAAAATTGCTTACCCCCTAGGTTTTTCACTGGAAATCAGAGTTACTAAGAGTTAAAACTATAGTTAATACATGTAATTAAAACTACTGGCAGGGCATAGTGGCTCATGCCTGTGATCCTAGCACTTTGGGAGGCTGAGGCAGGCGGATTTCTTGAGCCCAGGAGTTCAAGACCAGCCTGTGCAACATGGCAAAATCCCATCTCTACAAAAAAATACAAAAATTAGATGGGTGTAGTGGTGCATACCTGTAGTCCTAGCTAGTAGGGAGACTGAGGCAAGAGGATGGCTTGAGCCTGAGAGGTTGAGGCTGAGGTGAGCTGTGATTATACCACTGCACTCCAGCCTGGGCAGCAGAGTAAGACCCTGTTAAAAAAACACACACACAACCCAATAAGAAAAACCAGATAAAAGAAAAACAAATTCTGTATGCAAAGTGTACAGAGAAAATAGGGTGTGTTTTTGGTAAGGAGGGTTACAAAAAAACATGAGAATGCAGTTTTGTTAAAGGAAAAGTAATTTTGTCTAGTTTACAGGTTATTTAAAGGTTGTTTTAAATTGAAAAAGTGAAAAATAAAACAATAGATATAGAAAGTTGGAGAAACAGACTCAAAAAGGTTTTTGTAAGAGGTTATAAAAGGTTTGTGGAAATCTTGTGTGGTCAAAGCTGATTAAGATTGGATGAATCTATTTTTGTTTTGTTTTGTTTTGTTTGAGACGGAATCTCGTTCTGTCACCCAGGCTGGAATGCAGTGGCACAATCTCAGCTCACTGCAACTTCTGCCTCCTGGGTTCAAGTGATTCTCCTGCCTCAGCCTCCCGGGTAGCTGGGACTACAGGTGTGCACCACCTTGTTCAGCTGATTTTTTGTATTTTTAGGAGAGACAGGGTTTTGCCATGTTGGCCAGGCTGGTCTTGAACTCCCAGCCTCAAGTGATCTGCCAGCCTCAGCCTCCCAAAGTGCTAGGATTACAGGCATGAGCCACCGTGCCTGGCCTGGACAGATCTATTTTTAAGCTGTTATTAAAATTAGCTTTAGGCCGGGAGCTGTGGCTCACGCCTGTAATCCCAGCACTTTGGCAACAAGAGTGAAACTCTGTGTCAAAAAAATAAAATAAAATGCAATAAAATAAAATCAGCTTTAACATACAGTAATATACCGATGCAAGGATAGAACTTGTTTTCTTTTGAACAAGATTTTCATGTGGTATTAATAAGAAATAGTAAATTTTGTCTTCACCTTTTGAGTAAACCGACAAAAAAAAAGGCAGGGGGGTCAGCATGTCCCTCTTGCTGTCTTTGTTAGGTCTTTTGATTGTTTAGAAAACTCAATCTCCTCTCTATCAAAAAGTAAAGATTTTGCTTTCTGACATCTTTTAATTGTCATTTTGGCTAAATGAATGACTATTGTTTTACCATGACCCGTAATCCTATTTTGATCAAGTGTTTTTTTGTTTTTTGTTTTGTTTTGTTTTGTTTTTTGAGACGGAGTCTTGCTCTGTCACCCAGGCTGGAGTGCAGTGGCGCAGTCTCGGCTCACTGCAAGCTCCGCCTCCCGGGTTCACGCCATTCTCCTGCCTCAGCCTCCCGAGTAGCTGGGACTACAGGCGCCCGCCACCACACCCAGCTAATTTTTTGTATTTTTAGTAGAGACGGGCTTTCACCGTGTTAGCCAGGATTGTCTCCATCTCCTGACCTTGTGATCCGCCCGCCTCAGCCTCCCAAAGTGCTGGGATTACAGGCGTGAGCCACTGCGCCCGGCCTGATCAAGTGTTTTAAACCTTTCTTATTTTGATATCAAGTGTTTCAAACCTTTTATACGTAACAAACTTCCCAAAATCAAATTTCAAATTCTAAATGCAGTCTGGTTTTGACCTCAAACTAACTTTTGGACGTTCCAAATAGGGCCCCTCCTACCCCCTCCCTGTTAAGTCATTGTGACAGACGAGGTCTGAAGATGCAACCGCACTTAGAAAGTCTTTTCCCCCAGATCGGCCGGGCGCAGTGGCTCATGCCTATAATCCCAGCATTTTGGGAGGCCGAGGCTGGTGGATCACGGGTCAGGAGTTCAAGACCATCCTGGGCAACATGGTGAAACCCTATCTCTATTAAAAATACAAAAAATTAGCCAGGCGCGGTGGCGCATGCCTGTAATCCCAGCTACTTGGGAGGCTGAGGCGGGAGAATCACTTGAACTCGAAGGGCAGAGGTTGCAGTGAGCTGAGATCGCGCCACTGCACTCCAGCCTGGGGGACAGAGTAAGACTCTGTCTCAGAAAAAAAAAAAAAAAGATTTTTCCCCCAGATCATGCCTGCCTCTTGGGCTCGTTCAGACTCCAGAGAGAATCATTTACAAGTTAATTTCTGTCTCCTGGGTCCGTTCTTTTTCCCTAATAACCATTTGCTGCCCCTCAGAAGAATCGTCCATATTCCCCATCTCCTCCCTCCTCTAGGAAAAGAGGGGGTATAATCTCCTATACCCCATTGCGGGGTTATGGTAATCATGGCATGAGTCTCCCTCACCCACATAATAAATTTGTATGCCTTTTCTCCTATTAATCTGTCTTTTGACATTTGATTTTCAGCAAATCTTCAGAGGGTGGAAGGCAGTCTTCCCCTTCCAAAGGGACATTCAAAGCATAGCAAGTCTTCATGGGATAAGATGCGTCCTGTGGTCCCAGCCACTCAGGAGGCTACGGCAGCAGGATCACTTGAGCCCAGGAGTTTTGAGTCCAGCTGGGGCAACACTGCAAGACCCTGTCTCTAAAAATAATAATAATAAAATTAAGTTAGAGGCCGGGTGTGGTAGCACACGCCTGTAATCCCAGCACTTTGGGAAGCTGAGGCAGGCAGATCACCTGAGGTCAGGAGTTCAAGACCAGCCTGGCCAACATGGCAAAACCCCATCTCTACTAAAAATACAAAAAAAAAAAAAAAAAAAGCTGGGCATGCTGGTGTGTGCCTGTAATCTCAGCTACTCAGGAGGCTGAGGCAAAAGAATTGCTTAAACCTGGGAGATGGAAGTTGCAGTAAGCTGAGATGGTGCCACTGCACTCCAGAGCAGGACTCCGTCTCAAAAAAATAAATAAAATTAATTAATTAAGTTAGAATATTTTTTTGAATATGAAATAAGTGTTTTGGTTTTTTTTGACAGAATCTCGCTCTGTTGCTCAGGCTGGAGTGCGATCTCAGCTCACTGAAATGTCTGCCTCCTGGGTTCAAGCAATTCTCATACCTAAGCCTCCCAAGTAGCTGGGATTACAGGCATGCGCCACCATGCCCAGCTAATTTTTGTGGTTTTAGTAGAGATGGGGTTTCACCATATTGCCCAGACTGGTCTCGAACTCCTGGCCTCAAGTGATCCGCCCACCTCGGCCTCCCAAAGTTCTGGGATTACAGGCGTGAGCCACCACGCCCTGCTGAAATAAGTGTGTAGCTGCTATAGATCCTCCTCTCTAGCTTGGATGGGGCCCAGACCATTCCATCTCAGTAGGTGCCTCCCCAGGTCACTGTCTGCTCGCTGTCTGTCCCTTCCTGGGTCAGCAAATGTTATTCATATGTTCACAGGCTTCCCATCTTCCTCCCTGCCCTGCTAGGCTGTCAGCTCTGGCAGGGGGCATCTATCCATTTTATTCACTCCTGTTTGCTCAGCATCAACTACCACCCTGGGTATGCAGTTAGCACTCTGTGAATGAATGAATTCTCTCTCAGAATCCCTAATTCCTCGCAGCTGATGAGCCAGAGGTTGGTTCCCAAGGTGGGCTGGTATTGCCTCTTCAGTGAGGTGCAGATGTCGGTGGGATCCTGGGCCAACTCAGGAAGGTCAGTGTCAGGCAAGACTGATGCCCCAGGAGCTTTGCAGAAGAGACCAAGTCCCAGACAGGCCAGACATAGCTCTGGAGGCATCAAGCATGTCATTGTACTGCAATGCGTGCGGGGGGCTTGGTGTTATCTAAAAGATCCAGGAAGGGGCTGCATCAGGGGCCCAGGAGGGACAGCAGCTGCTTGTGATTCTCTCCCAGCATCTCCACACCCTGGGGGCCTCAGACTCCTGGGGCCTTAGCCACTTCCAAGGCAGGCCACAAGCTTGTGGTGGCTCACAGAGATAAGAGAAGCACACCTGGGGCTGGGAGCGGGGGCTCATGCCTGTAATCCCAGAACTTTAGGAGGCCAAGGTGGGTGGATCACCTGAGGTCAGGAGTTCGAGACCAGCCTGGCCAACGTGGTGAAACCCCATCTCTACTAAAAATACAAAAAATTAGCTGGGTGTGGTGGTGGGCGCCTGTAATCCCAGCTGCTCGGGAGGCTGAGGCAGGAGAATCGCTTGAACTCAGGAGCGCAGGTTGCAGTGAGCCAAGATCGCACCATTGCACTCCAGCCTGAGCAACAAGAGCGAGACTCTGTCTCAAAAAAAAAAAAGAGAGAGAAGCACACCTGGAAGGCTGGGTGCTCTCCGACCCACTTCCTGCACGGACACCTCTTCCCGTGACTGGGCTCTGCAGAGTCGAGGCCCTGGCTCCCGGGGCATAGACCAGGAATGGTGCAGAAACCCTGGCTGACTTGTGTTCCTGAAAGGCGCCATCTTGCTTCCTTCTTTTCTTCTTCCGGGTGATGCTACCAGGAGACACAGAGGTCCTCCCTCCAGAACCAACACTCAAAGGAACTGATGGATGGAATACAGTTGTGTAAAATAAAATCATATGGCACGAGGGCTGCCATGACTCAGCAGGACAAAGAAGAAATGGACAAAGGGTGAGAAGATGCAGTCCTTTCCCTGAGTAGACAAAGGAACATGGAAAGCCGGGCACAGTGGCTCACACCTGTAATCCCAGCACTTCAGGAGGCCGAGATGGGTGGATTGCTTCAGCTGAGGGGTTCAAGACCAGCCTGGGCAACATGAAGAAACCCCATATCTACAAAAAATATGAAAGTTAGCCTGGCATGGTGGCACATGCCTGTAGTCCCAGCTACTTGGGAGGCTGAGGAGGGAGGATCGCTTGAGCCAGGGAGGTCGAGGCTGCAATGAGCTTGTGTTCACCCCACTGCACTCCAGCCTGGGAGACAAAGTAAGAACTTGTTTGTTTCAAAAAATAAAAGAGAAACAGGCCAGGCACGGTGGCTTACACCTGTAATCCCAGCACTTTAGGAGGCTGAGGCATGTGGATCTCTTGAGCTCAGGAGTTCGAGACTAGCCTGAACAACTTAGGGAGACTTCTTCTCTAAAAAAAAAAAAATTAACTAGCCAGGTGTGGTGGTGCACACGTGTAGTTCCATCTACTTGGGAGGCTGAGGAGGGAGGATCCCTTGAGCCTCGGGGATGGAGTGAACCAAGATTGCACCACTGCACTCCAGCCTGGGTGACAGAGTGAGACACTGTCCAAAAAAAAAAAAAAAAAGAAAGAAAGAAAGAAAGAAAAAGAAAGAAGAAAGGAAAAAATAAAAGAGGAACAGAGAGTGTGGTGCCCAGTGCTTCTGGGTCCAGTGGAGTAGGAAGGTCCCTGACTGCTGAAGGAGCTCACAGTGATGTTTGTTGAGCGTTTCTATGTGCAGAGCACTGGACCAGGCACAACCTGTGCAATTCACCTAACCCCCTTCCTAGGAAGGGCCTTGTGACAGAGGCTCTGGGACTTTTCACATCTTACACATGAAGAAACTGAACGGCACAGAGGTTCTGGTGAGTCTCACCCCTGGCTGCACTTTATTTTTATTTATTTTATTTTAGAGATGGGGTCTTGCTCTGTCACCCAGGCTGGAGTGCAGTGGCACAATCATAGCTCACCGTTAACCTCCAACTCCTGGGCTCAAGTGACCCTCTCACCTCAGCCTCCCGAGTAGCTGGGACCACAGGTGTGTGCCACCAGGCCCAGCTAATTTTTGTATTTTTTTTGTAGAGATGGGTCCTTACTATGTTGCCCAGGCTTGTCTCAAACTCCTAGCCTCAAGCAGTCCTCCCTCCTGGGCCACCTAAAGTGCTGGGATGACAGGCATGGGCCACCACACCAGGTCCCTGACGGCGCTTTAGAATCCCCTGGTGTGTTTGTCAGCACAGGGTACATTCTGCAACCATAACAAATAAGCCCTAGCCCTTGGGGGCTTTACTCTAAGATTTTATCACTTGCTCACAAAAATAAAACCGGCTCACATCAGACAACCGTGGAATACTGTGAAATATACTGGGTCTTTGTCCCCTGTTCTGGGCATAGAACACCTAAAACCCTTGGAATTTCCAGAGTCATGGGATTGTCTTTTGTGATTCATACGTGCCCTTTTGATCACAGCTGAGTTTATGCTAATGAGATAAATTAGGGTAGGGCCCCCAAATAACCTCAGATTGGGGAGGGTTTGCAGTCACCAGAAAGACCAAAGGACTCCAGGGCTGGAACTTTCAACACCTCCTGCTAACCTCCAGGAAGGAGGGACGTGGTGACTAGAGATTAACCTCTTTGAAAACTTTTTTTTGGCCGAGTACGGTGGCTCAAGCCTGTAACCCCAGCACTTTGGAGGCCGAGGCGGGTGGGTCACCTGAGGTCAGCCTGGACAACATGGTGAAACCCCATCTCTAGTAATAACACAAAAAAATTAGCTGGGCGTGGTGGCAGGCACCTGTAATCCCAGCTACTCAGGAGGCTGAGGCAGGAGAATCGCTTGAACCCGGGAGGCAGAGGTTGCAATGAGCAAATTCGGCACCATTGCACTCCAGTCTGGGCAACAGAGCGAGACCCTGTCTCATTTTTTTTTTTTTTTAATTTTTGTCACCCAGGCCCACCACCTCACCTGACTAATTTTTAAATTTTTTGTAGAGAAGAGGTCTCCCTGCGCTGTCCAGGCTGGTTTGGAACTCCTGAATTGAAGGGATCTTCCTGCCTTGGCCTCTTCCAAAGTGCTGGGATTGCAGGCGTGAGCCACTGCCCTCAGCACTAAAAAACCTCTTGAACAACTAGATCTGATGAGCTTCCAGGATGCTGAACAGGTGGAGATGCTGGGCAGGTGGCATGTTCAGAAAGGGGATGGAAGCTCCGTCCCAGCCCCACCCCAGCACACCCTGCCCTGTGCATCTCTTCCATGTGCCTGTTCCTGAGTTTGTGTCCTTTCTAATAAATCGGTGAAGTGTTTCCAAGTTCTGTGAGCTGCTCTAGCAAATAACGGACCGTTAGGAGAGTGTCGTGAGAACCCCCAACTGACAGGCAATGGGTTAGAAGTGCTGGAGGCCTGAGCTTGGACTTGGGATTGACATCCGAACTGGAGGCAGTCTGTGGGACTGGGCGCTTAACCTGTGGGGTCTGTGCCAACACCAGGTCGACAGAGGCAGCATTGGATTACATTGCAGGACTGCCCAGCTGGTATTTGGAGAACTGCTTGGTGTGGAAAAAAACACCCACATCTGGTGTCAGAAGTAGAAAAACACAGTGTGTTTTCCCCCAGTTGGTGTCAGAATTGTGAAAGGAAAATAAAATCTGGAGACCCCAAACCTGCTATGCCAAAGGGAAGGGCTAAGCTGGGAAGCCAAGTGACACAAATCCTGCCTTTCCTTTTGTTCCTAAACACAGAGCAACAAGATAAGAGGCCACCCGTGAAGAGAGGCCACCCTGACAATGTCAATTAACAGCTTATCTTCACAGGCATGGAACAAGAGGAGACTAGAAATGGTTCCCACTGGCCGGGCGCAGTGGCTCACGCCTGTAATCCCAGCACTTTGGGAGGCTGAGGCAGGCAGATCACCTGAGGTTGGAGTTCGAAACCAGCCTGACTAACATGGAGAAACCCCATCTCTACTAAAAGTACAAAATTAGCCAGGCGTGGTGGCACATGCCTGTAATCCCAGCTACTCAGGAGGCTGAGGCAGAAGAATCGCTTGAACCCGGGAGGCAGAGGTTGCGGTGAGTCGAGATTGGAAAGAAAGAGAGAGAGAGAGAGGGAGGGAGGAGGGGAGGAAGGGAAGGGAAGGAAAGAAAGGAAAGAAGGAAGGAAGGAAGGAAAGAAAGAAAAGATACCTGCCATCACCACCCACCTCAATGCATATTTGACTTCTTTCTCATAAAAATGTAGTTTTATTGAGCTCGAGAAGAATACATAATGGACTGTTCCTCTGCCTCCTTTTCACATGCAACGTGTGGATTCAGTAGGTTTAACCAAGACCTCAAAACAATGTGACTGTACCCTCCCTCTTTTTTTGTTTTGTTTTGTTTCGTTTTGTTTCGTTTCATTTTGTTTCTGAGATGGTGGCTCTGTGGGCCAGGCTGGAGGGCCATGGCATGATCTTGGCTCACTGCAAGCTCCACCTCCCAGGTTCAAGCTATTCTCCTGCCTCAGCCTCCTGAGGAGCTGGGACTACAGGTGCCCACCACCACACCCAGCTAATTTTTGTATTTTTAGTAGAAATGGGGCTTCACCATGTTGGCCAGGCTGGTGTCAAACTCCCAACCTCAAATGATCTGCCCACCTTGGCCTCCCAAAGTGTTGGGATTACAGACATGAGCCACCGTGCCCAGCCCTGCCCTTTTTCTTTTTAATTTTTTTAATTTTTTTTTTGTAGAGACAGGGTTTTGTTATGTTGCCCAGGTCGGTCTTGAACTCCTGGCCTCAAGCAGTCCTCCCACCTCAGCCTTCCAAAGTGTTGGAATTACAGGCGTGAGCCACCACACCCAGCCTTATAGCTCACATTTTGATGAAAAGAGCCACATTCCACCTCATTTTAAAGCCAGAGCCCCACCCCAAAGTGAACATGGAATGTATGTTACATGCATGTTTACCCATCGCACGTGCACTCAACCCCCATTATGAACAAATATAGCTTTTCCTCCAAACCTGCTGAATACGTGTGACTCTGCTGTGTGATACGGGCCCTGTGAGTCATCAACCTCACCTGCCCTTTCCCTCTTGGAAGACAGCAAACCTTCAGTCCACACCGGAGATGACCTCTCCCTGATTTGCAAGCTGAAATCACCAGTCCAGCTCTTTCTACTATCTGGCCATCCTGGTGGCCTTTTGGACGACAGGCTGCTAGCCTCAGAGCTGACTCCCAAGGGCAAAATGACGCAGGAATAACAGAAAGTGCCTCTGAGAACTCTGGTCACCAACAAGGTGGTCCACAGCAGGGAGGACAGAACCAAGCGACTGCCAAAGCCAGGCCGTGGAGTGTGACGGAAGGGTTTCATTTTGTAGCTCCATGTTTTCTGCTTCCTGGGGCGCCTTTAGGAAAATGGATTCTGGCAGTAGCTGATTTAGGATCAGTGTCTTCAGTTTTAAATGCTGCAGGGTGGAAGAGTGTGTTTGGGTTGACACAGCACCCGCAGCTCACCATGGGACAATCACGGGGAGCTGTCCCTGATTCAGACACGCAGGAGGTGACTCCCAAGGGGACAGCTGGACTGCTGGACTGGGTAAAAGTCACTGTAGGGTCTGTGTACCCTGAGAAAGGTCCCTGTTCCTTTCCTCGTCTACATGCCAAGTCAAATGTCTCAGACGGAGCAGCTCATCAGATTTGAACACAAGCCATTTGATGTTGGCTTTGTGATGAACAGAATGTGTTTCTACTGGACATGCCCATTACCCAGGTCATGGAAAACGCTGTGTGTAAGGGTGCTTGTTTGTTTGTTTTGTTTTGTTTTGTTTTGTTTTGTTTGAGACAGAGTCTCTCTCTGTTGCCCAGGCTAGAGTGCAGTGGCATGATCTCAGCTCACTGCAACCTCTGCCTCCCGGGTTCTAGCGATTCTCCTGCCTCAGCCTCCTGAGTAGCTGGGACTACAGGCACACACCACCATGCCCAGCTAATTTTTGTATTTGTAGTAGAGATAGGGTTTAATCATATTGCCCAGGCTGGTCTCAAACTCCTAGACTCAGGCAATCCTCTCACTATGGCCTCCCAAAGTGCTGGGATTACAGGCATGAGCCATCACACCCAGTCTACCTGGGACTTTGGACTAGAAAATTTCCATTGGAGGGGCATTTACTAACTTGCTGTTAGACATTAATTGAAGCTACCTCATGACTGAAGGACATAAAATAATCTTGAAACCTGAAATACCTACAATACCTTGGGTGACATCACAGAAACCCTCTAATGGAGATGACAGCGCCAAGAAAAGTTCCGTAACAACACGAAAATGGTTCATATAGGATGGTGAACCATCCTATATGAAGGCAAGGATGGGGACTCCTTGCTGGGGAAGGCAAGGAGGAGACTCACAAGCAGGGAGAATCCCCTGGGACTGACTCTGGAACTGTGTGAGGAGCTGCTGGATGTTTTTTTTAACTTTTATTTTAGGTTCAGGGATACATGTGAAGGTTTGTTACATAGATAAACTCATGTCGCAGGGGTTTGTTGTACAGATTTTTTTTTTTTTTGAGACAGAGTCTCGTTCTATCCCCCAGGCCAGAGTTCAGTGGCATGATCTTGGTTCACTGCAACCTCTGCCTCCTAGGTTCAAGTGATTCTCCTGCCTCAGCCTCCCAGGTAGCTGGAATTACAGGCACCTGTCACCGCGCCCAGCTAATTTTTGTATTTTTAGTAGAGATGGGGTCTTGTCATGTTGGCCAGACTGGTCTTGAACTCCTGACCTCAGGTGATCCTCCCACCTCCGCCTCTCAAAGTGCTGGGATTACAGGCTTGAGCCACCACATCCGGCCTGTTGTACAGATTATTTTATCACCCAGGTATTAAGCCCAGTACCCATGTATCTCACGTTGCTAATAAAGACATACCCCAGACTGGGTTATTTATTTATTTATTTAGAGATGAAGTCTCACTCTGTCACCCAGGCTGGAGTGCAGTGACATGATCTCAGCTCACTGCAACCTCTACCTCCTAGGGTCAAGTGAGTCTCATGCCTCAGCCTCCCGAGTAGCTGGGATTATGGGCATGTGCCACCACATCTGGCTACTTTTTGTATTTTTAGTAGAGATGGGGTTTCACCATGTTGGACCGGCTGGTCTTGAACTCCTGACCTCATGTGATCCACCTGCCTCAGCCTCCTAAAGTGCTGGGATTACAGGCTTGAGCCACCGTGTCCCAGGAGACTGAGTACTTTATTTTAAAAAGAGGTTTAATTGACTCACAGTTCAGCATGGCTGGGGAGGCCTCAGGAAACTTACAATCATGGCGGAAGGGGAAGCAAGCATGTTCTTCTTCTTATGGCATCAGATAGGAGAAGTGCCAAGCAAAAGGGAGAAAAGCTTTTTATAAAACCATCAGATCTTGTGAGAACTCACTCACTATCATGAGAACAGCAGCATGGGGACAACCTGCCCCATGATTCAATTACCTCCCACTGGGTCCCTTCCACAACACGTGGGGATTGTGGGAACTACAATTCAAGATGAGATTTGGGTGGGGACACACCCAAACCGCATTAACCCGATAGTTATCTTTTCTGCTCCTCTCCCTCCTCCCACCCTCCACCCTCAAGTAGACCACCCTCAAGTAGGTCTGTTGTTTGCTTCTTTGTGTTCATAAATTCTCATTTGAGCTGCCGGATTTTATCATCGCTTGGGGAATGCCCCATACACAGCTGTCAACTGGCCAGGAAAGAGCTGCCTGGTTAGTGGTGAATAGGAAACATCCGGTCTGGAGGGATGCCACTGTGATCAAAGAAGGGTGGAAACAAATCAGCTTGGTGGGCTGAACTGCACACTGTTTTCCTGGCAGTGGTGGAAGAATTGAAAGGTAGGCCGGGCCCAGTGGCTCACGCCTGTAATCCCAGCACTTTGGGAGGCCAAAGTGGGCAGATCACTGGAGGTCAGGAGCTTGACAGCAGCCTGGGCAACACGGCGAAACCCCATCTCTACTAAAAAATACAAAAATTAGGCAGGCGTGGTGGCAGGTGCCTGTAATCCCAGCTACTCGGGAGGCTGAGGCAGGAGAATTGCTTGAACCTGGGAGGCAGAGGTTGCAGTGAGCCGAGATTTCACCACTCCACCCCACTCCCTGGGTGACAGAGCAAAACTCCATCTCAAAAATAAAATAAATAACATAACATAACATAACATAACATAACATAACAAAACAAAATAAAATTGAACAGTGGTGGGAGCCCCTGTGTTTAGGTTTTTACTGGCTCCTGGGCAGCGGCCGCATGGTCAGGCAGGAGGGTGGTAGAAACCTGGCTTATTGAAGGGGTGGCCACGTGGGGCGCGGCCCTGTGGAAATGTGGGGGTTCCTTCAAGTAGGACACATCGATGCCCATCAGAAGAACTTGTGCGTACTGGCTTAACGTGGCCACCACTTGGGACCGCGAAATGAATGGGTGTGGGGGGAACTGCCGCAGTGCAGGGATGGGCTGAACTGAACCCTGCTGATGAGTAGGTTTCCTTCCCCAGGTGGCACCATCCTGTACAAACCATTTCCATGTTGTTAGGAAACTCTTCTTGGCACTGCCATCCCCACTAGGGGGTTTCTCTGATGGCACCCAAGATATTTGTAGGTATTTCAGGTTTCAAGATGATTTTATGTCCTTCAGTCATGGGGTAGCTTCAATCAATGTATGACTGTTGCGATAAACTGAGGAACAGAGGAACCAATACAGAGTACAGGAGGATTTGTTTATTTTAGGTACGCACCGGCTCAGAGGATTCACATCCGAAAGCTGAGCCCTGAACAAAGAGCAGGGTTTTTATAAGCGGTCTTACAGAAGCAAAATAAAAACAGTAGCAAAATAAAAGCAGTTAATCATACAGTAACAGGTCACGTAATCTATAGCATAACATAATTTGTGACCTAGCCAGTGGCCTTGTAGCTGCATTAAAAGAAAAATAAGAACTGGCTAAATACAGACATTTGTAAAACATAATCATGCTAATCATGCTTAAGAAGCCTGGGAAAAGAGTAACAGTAAAAGAACCTGTCTTTCTTTTTTTTCTTTCAAGCTTGCTCTGGAAGGGAGGGGGGTGTCTGGAGCCCATTCCTTTGGCCTTGGCTATTTGGACAGCGTTATCTTCTAACTTTCCTTAAAGTGAGCTGCTAGGCAAGAGGAAAACTTGTTCTTTTCTTTTTAGCCTTTGCCTTGCCATATTCTGGGCCTTAGCTTTTACTTTTCTTGGAGTGAAGAAATGCAGTATTTATTATTATTATTATTTAAATTTCTGCCTCAGTTTCTCCCCTTTGATGCCTTTTATGAAATAAGTTTAATAAAAGGCATCACTATTACTTAGTTCTGCCTGAAGAGACAAGTTTTCTTCTTTAGACAAAGGTTGATATTTACACAGAGCTATTAGCTGAGTTGTAGTTTGCCTGGCTACTATTGCCTCTATAGTTGATTGAATACTTCTAACAAGGAAAGGTAAGAGACAATGGAGTATTATGCAGCTTCCCAGTGTGGCCAGCACTACTCCTATTAAAGTCTTGAACTCTCCAAAAAATGAAAACCAGTCTCCAAAGAGAGAATCTGGGGATCACCTTTTCTAAGTTTGAACTGGAACACTGGCTAATTTTCTCATTCTTGCAGTTATTTCTATAATTGCTTTTCCGCTGTCATCGATGTCCAGGCAACAATTAGTTAGACTGAACTTTCCACATACTCCTCCTTCCTGGGCTAGGAGGTAGTCTAAAGCTAATCTGTTCTGATAGGTAGCGTTTCTCAATGTTGTGGTTTGCTGGGCCAGTACATCTAATGCATTTGTTGTTTCATTGGTGATGATTTCAAGTTCTGCCTGCAATCTTATGATACGGTTAAGCATGTAGATAGGAGTGCGGTCTCCCTATGACCTATCTTGTGCCCAGGTAGCTGGCCTATAGTATGGAATTATTTTTTCAGGGGGCTAATTTGTGCCTTTTCAATCTCTTATTTTTATACCTCTTTGTGTCTGCATCTCTTTTGTTTCTTCTTCTAACTTCATCATAGACAGGGTACCTTGAAGTTTTTCCCTGTTGCAGTGGGAGTAGGAAGAAAGATGGTCTAATCGTTCTAAGCACACCTCTGTCCATTTAACTGGCAACTGTCAATATGCCTGTAGCCTACAGATCCAATAAAGACGGGGGGTGCTTGCCAAGTATTTGGAGCTTCAAGTTGATACCAAGTGTGGTTTAGAGAAGAGAAACAGGAGAACAGATTTGGATGAGGTGCTTTGTAGTCATCTCTGCCCTGCCACAAAGTTTTCCTTAATGTTTCATTATAATATTGCTGTCTTAAGCAGGTTAGTTCTCCTACTGGGTCTGTAAAAACTTTTCCCTAGGGAGCAACACAGTATCTGCTAATAATAGAAGTTTTTAAGAGCTAGACGCTTGAACTTGTGCGTGTCTGTTTGGGGAAAGAGAGAGTCAGAGTAAAGTTATCTTGAGGCATTAACTCTTTTGCTTCCTGAGGCTATTAGTCTCCCATGTTAGTCCTTCTACAAACATAACATGAGGAAATGCCTAGGCTGCATGCAATGTTTTTAGCCAGCTGAGCAAATAGGTTTTTGGCTAAAGGAGGAGGCTCTGGTAACTTTTGGTTTATATGCTCAAAGAATGACTTAAAGACTCGGAATTGCTGCTGAGCTGACCGCTTGGTTTGAGTCCTCTTTAGAATATACAAAGTTATTTTAGTTTTTTGACTGTAGCTTTGTAATGCCATGGAGTAACCTGCAGTCTATATAGGTAGATCTGGCTTTAAGATAGTAAGATTTACAGGATTGCAAGTGCTTGTCTTACAATCCGGTTTTGCTGGCACTTTGATGAGCAAGATTGGCTTTAGCCTCGGTGATGATCGGTCAGTGAACTGCGTTGTGCGGTTCCAGCAAGCTATCGCTAGGGCCTCGGAGGGGCAAACGGGGTGCACATGCAATTTTGTACTGGCAGTTTGTATAGTACCCTGTAGGACCAGAGATTGTGAGATAGTTCACAATCTCTGGTTCATGGATGTTAACTGACAAATATCAAAGTATATGGATATAGCCACCCCACCCCCCGCCCCCGGGAAGAGAGGCTTGGGTTCAACTTACAAAACTTCCTCCCTTTGACTCGGTATGAATCTCAAACCAAGTCCCAGGTAAACACTTAGGGTCATAGCATATATAAGGCTGGCCATTTCCTGGGTCACAGGTTGAATAGGTGGTTTGATTATAAGTACAAGTTCCTAAGCGAGTCCCTGTACACTCATAATAAGTATAGTGCAATAGGGTTCTAGTTATACTGTTCCCTGACCAAGTAGTATGTGTACAGTGGGGACACCTTCTGTAGGTGTTTCTTCTACATGGTTAAGGGGGGTAACAACAAAACAATGTACAGCATATTCATATCCAGCAAGGACAAAAAAGGTCCTTACCTGGGAAAAAGGTTGAGCACAGCGACAGAACAATAGTAAAACAGTTAGTGTACACGAAAACCACTAGTCTTAAGATTTTAGCTACATTACTTGCTTGACAAGTCCTCAAGTTTCAGCCGTGCGTAGACTAGTCAGCCTCCAGAGTGACTAGAGCAGGGCTGTTGTCCTCAGCAGCAACTCGGTCTCATCTAAGGATCAGCCAGGTTGGATGATCTGGGTCCTGCTGGCTGGTTCACTTGTCCTGAGCTGCCAGTGTTAGCCGACTGTGGTGGATCCAAGACATAACACCTGCAAGTTAAACAGCAGTGGGAATGGACAAGATTACGATATAGGACCCATCCTATATGGATCCTAGAGAAATTAGGTTTTACTTTCTAACCTAAACAGCGTCACTAGATTTAAAAGGGTGTCGGGCTTATAGGCATTTTCATGTACCTAATTATGAACACTTTGGCTGTTTCAAAAACCTGCATTTGCTTTCTTAAAGTTAATTCCCCTAGTTCCTGGAGGTCACCTTTAATTTGACCTATGATGTAGGAGTGGCCGACCAAAAAAAATCTTATAGGGCAAATACCCAGTTTGTTTGGTGGGGGTGCACCTGACTCAGAGGAGGACCATAGCCAAAAACCTGATTCTATCTTAAATGAATTTCCTGGCAATATTTCTTCAGTAGCTGCTCGAGTGTCCGGTTCACGCCTTCCACCTTCTCCTGAACTTTGCAGCCAGTAGGCCGTGTGTAACTTCCATTTTATTTTTAACAGTCTTGTTAAATCTCGCACTATTTCAGCTACAAATGCTGGCCTATTGTCTGACTTTAAAGTTAGAGGCAGTCTAAACCTGGGAATAATGTCTTTTAACAGTACTTTAGTCACTTCTTGTACTTTTTCTGTCCTGGTGGGGAAAGCTTTAACTTACCCTGAAAAGGTGCAAACAAGCACTAGCATGAACCAATAACCTCCGGCACGGGGAGGTTCTGTGAAGTCTATAAGCAAGTTTTCACCAGGCAGGGCTCCTTCTCCTGCTGTTTCCCAGAGGAGGGGTTCTTTTTCTTCCCCTTTTGTAACTCCATCTAGTGGCTTAGCCATCAGTGAGAAATTGGAATCCAGATACAGCAGAATCCTGCTGCCTTTAACTTCTAATGTGACCATGGGCCCCTGGGTGCCTAATGAGAAGGTTCCCGGTCTGTCCTGTTCCTTACGTCCTTCGGCTCCTGCCAGCCTGATCAGATCAGTATTTGGTTCCCCAAGGTGCGGCAGCCCTTGGCCGATGGCCTCTTTGTCTCGTGGTCTTGGCTATTTCCCTCATTGCCTTCTGAACACTCATCCTTCCAGTGTCCTTTCTTTTTGCATCGCGCACATTAATCTCTTTCTTTTTCTTTTTCTTTTCTTTTTTTTTTTTTTGAGACGGAGTCTCGCTGTGTCTCCCAGGCTGGAGTGCAGTGGCGCGATCTCGGCTCACTGCAAACTCCGCCTCCCGGGTTCACGCCATTCCCCTGCCTCAGCCTCCCGAGTAGCTGGGATCACAGGCGCCCACCTTGTCTGGCTCTTGAATCCATTCCTAACTTGACTTTTTTCCACGTCTACGTCCGCATCCACGTCCTCTCACATTGCTAATCTCCCTTTCCATAAGAGCTGTTGACAACAGATTGGCCTTTTTCTTAAGCCTTCAATTTACTTTCCTTTTTCTTTCCTGAGTTCTGCTCTTGCGGCCAGCCGGTGGGGCCGGACAACGGCACGGGCCCCGCCCCCGTGCACTGCCGCCTGTCTCTCCTGTTTTTTTCTGATTTCCTTTTTACTTTCTTCTTTCCCTTCTCACACTTACTGTTACTTTCTCCTTTCCTTTTCCTTTGCTCTTCTCCTGGCGCCAAGTCCCTGGCCCCTTCTTTTTCCAGATAGAGCCGGGCTGGGGAGAGGAACTTAATGGTGGGCGTGCTTAGCTGCCGCGCTTGTGGCTTTTGCTCTTTCCCGTTTTGTTCCTTGGTCACAGTTAACATACACCGTGGTGGCCACTTTTATGGACTGGGTGGTATTCATGCCTGCAGCTTCCACTTGATGTCACCCTGGGCTTGCCCTACGAATGAAGTATTCCCCATAGGCTGATGTTCAGCAGCCTCACAGTTAAATGGGGTACAAAGCCGGAATGCTTCACAGAGTCTCTTATAAAACTGACTTAGGCTCTCATCAGCTCCTTGAAGCACTTCTGAAATCTTCTTTATATTCATTGCTTTCCTTCTACCAACTCGTAGCCCCTGCAGAAGTGCCTCTTGGTACCTCTGCAAACGCTGAAGCTGAGTTTCATCCTCTGGGTCCTAGTTGGGATCCTGGTCATCATAATAGATAGGTCCTCGTGTCCCCCTGAGAGGCATTTGCATAGCTCCAGCACGGCCAGATCTGAGATGGCCCACTTGACTATCTTGACCTCCTTCCTGGCCTCTCAAGGCTCTGATCCTCCCCTTCGAGGTGAGACCTGGGGCATGTTAGCTCCTGAATCTGGTTCCTGGGGGGGCTGTCGGCCTCGGTAAAGCGGGGGTAGGCTGGGATATATGGAGGAAGAATTTCTGTTACCTTTGGTGGCTCCTGTAAAACTGGCTTCTCTTGCTGTCTCTGGGATTCCCTTTTAACTCTGTGTCTGCCGGCAAAGCTGCTCTTATTTTCACTTTTGGTTTTTTTTGCAATAAGCTGTTAAACAGGCCTGGATCAATGCTGGGTTTGGCTATATTATATTTAACTATGAGTCAATATAAAGAAATTGATCCAGGTACACTGGCTGTTCTCCAACCCTTGTCACCACCTTAAATACATGGCCAATTGTTCCCTGTCTGTAGTTCCTTCGGTCAGCCATCCAACACCAGAAGAGGGCAATTCTAATTCACCCAGAGTTCTCAACCTCTGAGGGGGTTAACTCTATAATCCCCTGCAAAACCTTTCTTAAGGTTCCGTAACATGCACTCCCACAGAGTAAGTTTTGATGTTTTGATGACTTTCCTCCCATTCCTCCCTTTACAACGCAGCACATTCACTCTTGCCTACTCACTCTTCCTCTCGTTTCGACCAACCACACTGTCTCCTATTATGGGGGTTTTCAGATGCTGCTTGGCTTTGGAGAGGTCCTTATTCCTGCTGCAACTCTGAGCTGTAGGGCAGCTCCTATTAGCCATATGCAGATCACCACTAGTCTTAGTCGGCCCCACCCTTTCTCGGAGCACACAGTCTACACTAAGGGATCTGTGACTCTTCACTTCGCAGCTGATGCGCCTAATGAGGCCTTTTCATTCACACACTTCCACACACCTTCAGTTCCCATGTTTGTAACTGGGGTGGCAAGCCACTCTCGCCCCCTCTAGTTCCCAGTTGGGGTGGCGAGCCACTCTTGCCACCTCCAGTTCCCTAGCCGACTTGGCGAGCCACTCTTGCATCCTGTGTCGGCGGGGTGTGAGTTTCATCCAAATTGACAAGCCACTCCAGTCACCCCCAGCCCCTCTGGTTCGGACTATTTGGCACACCCCGGGAGATGATCAGGCTCCCTTCTGTCCAAGGGACGGGTCCTGCCTTGAGCCCCCAAAACCTTACTGTGGTTCCTGAAGCGCGTTGTTTCTGAAATCATCCTGTAGTCCCTCTTTAGGTTCCGTTTCGCTGCTGGGTAGGGGTGCCAGGTCACAGGAGAGCTGATCTCCCCCCCAGGCTGAAGTTCTCCCGGTGGCACCTGGGGTCACAGGTTTCCTGAGACCCTCGCTCCAGCCCCCAGAGGCAAAGGAGACAGTAAGCCTGCCGTCTCCAGTCCCTTCGTGGTTGCCAAAAATGTTGCGGTAAACTGAGGAACGGAAAAACCAATTTGCAGTACAGAAGGATTTGTTTATTTTAGGTACGCACCGGCTCAGAGGATTCACATCCAAAAGCTGAGCCCTGAACAAAGAGCAGTGTTTTTATAAACAGCCTTACAGGAGCAAAATAAAAGCAGTAGCAAAATAAAAGCAGTTAATCATACAGTAACAGGTCACGTAATCTATAGCATAACATAATTTGTGACCTAGCCAGTGGCCTTGTAGCTGCATTGAAAGAAAAACAAGAACTGGCTAAATACAGACATTTGTAAAACATAATCATGCTAATCATGCTTAAGAAGCCTGGGAAAAGAGTAACAGTAAAAGAACCTGTCTTTCTTTTTTTTCTTTCAAGCTTGCTCTGGAAGGGAGGGGGGTGTCTGGAGCCCATTCCTTTGGCCTTGGCTATTTGGACAGCGTTATCTTCTAACTGTCCTTAAAGTGAGCTGCTAGGCAAGAGGAAAACTTGTTCTTTTCTTTTTAGCCTTTGCCTTGCCATATTCTGGGCCTTAGCTTTTACTTTTCTTGGCGTGAATAAATGCAGTACTGATTATTATTATTATTATTATTTAAATTTCTGCCTCATGATAGCAAGTGAGTAAATGCCCCTAGTCAGTGTCTCTCTTGCACCGTCTGAGGCATAAAATGCCAATAAGGACAGTGCTGTCAGCCAGCAACAGAGACAGACATTGCTGCTGGCTGTGTGGCCAATTCCCTGGGGTAGGCCCTGGACACAGCTGCAAGTCAGGCTGATGCCGGAGCCCTGGGTGTCGGCTCGGGACTGGGCTTGGCTTGCCTGGTGGTGGATGCAAATGCTCAGAGTGCATAAAAGAAGGAGAACAGAAGACACTGCACCAATTTGGATGGTGGGGTCACATTTCCTCAGCCCGAGGAACATCCTGTGCACCCCATCATGTCCAACGATGGGCAGAGAGTTATCCTCAGGGGAATAGTTGGGCAAAAAATTGGAATGGGCAATTGAACTGAAACATGGGTTGTCTAAAACACGGGGAGATAGGCCAGGCGCAGTGGCTCATGCCTGTAATCCCAGCACTTTGGGAGGCCAAGGCAGGCAGATCATGAGGTCAGGAGATTGAGACCGTCTTGGTTAATGCAGTGAAACCCCGTCTCTACTAAAAATACAAAAAACAAATTAGCCATGCGTGGTGGCAGGTGCCTGTAGTCCCAGCTACTCGGGAGGCTGAGGCAGGAGAATCGCGTGAACCCGGGAGGCAGAGCTTGCAGTGAGCCGAGATTGGGCCACTGCACTCCAGCCTGGGAGACAGAGCGAAACTCTGTCTCAAAAACAAAAAAACAAAAAACACACACACAAAAAAAAACACGGGGAGATAAAGCCATAAAGGGCTGGCCTACATGCCTTCACGGGTGTGTGTGTGCCTGTGCGTGTGTGCGCATGTGTGTGCATATGTGTGCATGCGTGTGCTCACACTCAACATGAATGGGGCTAGAGGAGAGTCCCCACTAGACATTCCTCTAGTGGAATCTGGGGAGGAGAAGGCAGGGGCGATGCTGGAATGATGACTCTCTCTTTATATATATATATATATATATATATTTTTTTTTTTTTTTTTTTTTTTTTTTTTTTTGAGACGAAGTTTTGTTCTCGTTGCCCAGGCTGGAGTGCAATGGCACGATCTCGGCACACAGCAACCTCCGCCTCCCGGGTTCAAGCCATTCCCCTGCCTCAGCCTCCGGAGTAGCTGGGATTACAGGCATGCGCCACCACGCCCAGCTAATTTTGTATTTTTAGTAGAGGCAGGGTTTCTCCGTGTTGGTCAGGCTGGTCTCCAACTCCGGACCTCAGGTGATCCACCCACCTCGGTCTCCCAAAGTGCTGGGATTACAGGCGTGAGCCACTGCACCCGGCTACTTTTTTTCTTTTAAAGAGTAAGAAATCAAAATGAAAATAGGGCCCAATGGTGTGAGAACAGCAACAAAAAGGTAGAGAGTAACTGACCAAATGCAGACAGAAGGGAAGGAAGGAAGGAGAGGAGAGGAGAGGAGAGGAGAGGAGAGGAGAGGAGAGGAGAAGGGGAGGAGAAGGGGAGGAGAAGGGGAGGAAAGGAAAGAGGAAAGGAGGGAGGGGAAAGGGGAGGGACAGAGGGAAGGTAGGAAAGGAGGGAAGATAGGAAAGGAGGGAAAGAAGGAAGCAAAAGGCATGGGAATTGTGGTACAGGATGTACAGTGTAGAACAGGCGAAAGGAAACTACCGTATTGGTAATCCTCCGGAGCAGTTTACAGGTAAAGCAGCCTGGCGGGCTGTTGGCAGTGCCCAGTGCCGGTAGCAGTGGGAGGCTTTCGGGAAGGCCCAGAGCTCCCACAGGCCAGGGTGGTCAGAAGGCTGGGGCCGAGGAGGGCCTGCTGGTGTTGCTGTGACAAGGCACGGGCCCGGAGTCCTGTCCTTCATCCTGGCATCCTCTCAAGACAAAGCCCACCAGTGTTGACCCACCTGGACGTGGGGGATAGAGCACCTAAGGGCCTCTAAACACCCTGTCACCCCTAGAGACTCCTCCCCAGCCCTGCCTCCTTCTTGTCACGTCCCCAGCCTTCCACGTGGCCACGTGCACCTGGCACCTGGGACCAGTGGTCATTATCTTTCCCTGGAGCGTGGGGAGAAGCTCAGGTCAGGTGTAGGGCTGGAGAGGAGGCCTGTTTTGCGGCCTCTGCAGTGTGTGCCCCTGCATGCGTATGCGCGTGTGTGAGGATGGGGCACCTGCAAGCCCAGGACTGCCACCTGCAGCCACCCATCTTACCTGGTGTCTTTGCAAGGGGGAAGGGCTTGCCCGAGTCAAGGTGGAGCAGTGAGGCCCCTGCCTATTTTCACTGTTTCTGGACTCTTTTGCGGTAGCCTATGACCACGGGTGTGATCATTTCACACTTCTTTCATTTCTTTCACTTTTTTTTTTTTCGAGATGGAGTCTCACTCTGTGCCCCAGGGTGGAGTGCAGTGGTGCGATCTCGGCTCACTGCAACCTTTGCCACCCAGGTTCAAGCGATTCTCCTGCCTCAGCCTTCCGAGTAGCTGGGATTACTGCATGCCCAGCTAATTTTTGTATTTTTTTTTTTTTAGACGGAGTCTTGCTCTGTCGCTAGGCTGCAGTGGCGCAATCTCGGCTCATTGCAACCTCCACCTCCCAGGTTCAAGTGATTCCCCTGCCTCAGCCTCCCAAGTAGCTGGGACTACAGGCATGTGCCACCACACCTGGCTAATTTTTTGTATTTTAGTAGAGACAGGGTTTCACCACGTTGGCCAGGATGGTCTTGATCTCCTGACCTCATGATCCTTCTGCCTTGGTCTCCCAAAGTGCTGGGATCACAGGTGTGAGCCACCACACCCGGCCTTTGTATTTTTTTAGTAGAGACAGGGTTGCACCATGTCGGCCAAGCTGGTCTCTAACTCCTGACCTCAGGGGATCCACCCGCCTTGGCCTCCCAAAGTGCTAGGATTAGAGGTGTGAACCCAGCCTCATTTCTTTCACTTTTTAGCTTAAATCCCTCCTTTAACCTTGTCATACATCACTGCAGCTGTGAAATCGTAGCCTCGATGTCACAGCTACTTATTGATACACATTAAAATAAATACCTGGCTGTGGATATAAAGCCCATGTGTTCATATCTCACCTGAGTCACATCTGGTGTCCCCAGCACCACTCAGACCACCTGCTGGGCTGTTGTGGCCGTCAGAGTGGAGCAGAGCTGGGTTGGGTTCCAGTTCTGTTGCTCATCTGCTATGGGATTTTTCAGCCAGTCCTCACCCTTCTCTAAGCCTCAGTTTCCACACCTGGGAAGTGGAGGGCCCCTGGCAGGTAAGGTTACAGAGAGGCCAGTTCTCCCACTCCGCCTGCCTTGGAACTACTGTCAGTCACTCTGGAGGTCCCTGCCTCCACCAGAGAAGCCTGCAGAGTTGAAGGGGGTTGAACTATCCTTGCTGCAGAAGCCTCCTGAATTCTGCAGGAAGGGAAATGGCTGAGGGCAGGCTATTGGGTGCTCCCACAGCAAACTCCACAAAGGTACTGAGTACTTTAGGATCTGAAGGAAGAGGGAATATTTGTTTCCTTCACAGCCACAAAAGGACCTTTCCAAAAATAGCCACCTCTTAGGTCCAAGCAGAAATATCTGAGCCACGCTTGGAGGGTTAGTATTTTTTTTTTGGCATTATGATGATTCAACTTTTCAGAAAGAAAATCAAATGGAAAGTGCATGTCATACCTAGCAAGCCTTGTGAACAAGATTGGGCAAATTGCTTCCAAATTCTTAACATTCATAACCTTTGGTCTGGAGATACCAGTTCTAGAATTTGTTGTAAGGAAATAGTCAAGTATATGAAGATATCTGTATGTATGAGAATGCTCTTCCTAGCCGAAGTAGCAAAAATGGGATAAACATGGATGTCTAACAGTAGAGGAATGCTCAAATAATTACAAGGCAGCCATATGGTGAGAAGCACCAGGCAATCATTACCAAAAAGCAGAAGGGCTGCTGCCTGGGGAGGGGGTGGCAGGAGGGAAACACCCCAATGGGGTACGAGGAACTTTTGGGGGCGATGGATGTGTTCACTATGTTGGTTGTGGTCATGGTTTCCCAGGTATATACAGATGTCAAAACTTATCAAACTGTACACTCTAAATATGTATAGTTTACTATATATCAACTATATCTCAATAAATATGTTTTTTAAGAAACCATGCAGTTATTAAAAACCATGCTTCAGAAATATTTAATAAAATAGCAAATGATACGGAAATAACATCAAGTGAAAGGTGAGGGAAAATAATACAGGTTTTTGGAGAACAATTCGTCAATTTGCAGCAAATTTTTTTTTTTTTTGAGATGGAGTTTCACTCTGTCACCAGGCTGGAGTACAGTCCCACGATATTGGCTCACTGCAACCTCCACCACCTGGGTTCAAGTGATTCTCCTGCCTCAGCCTCCCAAGTAGCTGGGATTATAGGTGCCCGCCACCACACCTGGCTAATTTTTGTATTTTTAGTAGAGACTGGGTTTCACCATGTTGGTCAGGCTGGTCTCAAACTCCTGACCTCAGGTGATCCACATGCCTCAGCCTCCCAAAGTGCTGGGATTATAGGTGTGAGCCACCACGCCCAGCCAATTTGCAGCAAAATTTGAACTGTCCATAACCTTAGGCCCCCCAGTTTCCCGTCTGGGTCTTATCTTATCAAGTGAACAGTTTTAAAGATCTTGCCTGCAGCTCCTCGGTACCATTAGAGCCCAAATCCAAGCCAGACTCCACAGTTACCTACTAGGTCCTACCTGGGCTGGCCCCTCCAGGAACCCATCCCTGTCCTCCTTGCTTCCCCAGCACCTACAGCCGCACTGGCCTTGCTGTTCTGGGAATGAGCCAAGCTTCCTCCCACCTTGAGACCTTTGCACATGCAGCTCTCTCCGTCTGTGGTCTCTGTGTATGGAGGAGACTGTGCCTCCTGTCTTCAGTCTCTGCAAATGTCACCTCCCCACACTGGGCTAACTGCCCGACCAAATCCTTTCCTCCAGGTTGCCAGGGACACACACGGCACAACCTTGGGAAAAATCGAAGAAAGTTATGCATATTTCACGTCCGACACCAGAATAAAATCCACGTGGATCCAAGTTTTCTTTTTCTTCTTTCTTTTTATTTATTTATTTATTTTTTATTGATCATTCTTGGGTGTTTCTCGCAGAGGGGGATTTGGCAGGGTCATAGGACAATAATGGAGGGAAGGTCAGCAGATAAACAAGTGAACAAAGGTCTCTGGTTTTCCTAGGCAGAGGACCCTGAGGCCTTCCGCAGTGTTTGTGTCCCTGGGTACTTGAGATTAGGGAGTGGTGATGACTCTTAACGAGCATGCTGCCTTCAAGCATCTGTTTAACAAAGCACATCTTGCACCGCCCTTAATCCATTTAACCCTGAGTGGACACAGCACTCGTTTCAGAGAGCACAGGGTTGGGGGTAAGGTCACAGATCAACAGGATCCCAGGGCATAAGAATTTTTCTTAGTACAGAACAAAATGAAAAGTCTCCCATGTATACTTCTTTATACACAGACACGGCAACCATCCGATTTCTCAATCTTTTCCCCACCTTTCCCCCTTTTCTATTCCACAAAACCGCCATCGTCATCATGGCCCATTCTCAATGAGCTGTTGGGTACACCTCCCAGACGGGGTGGTGGCCTGGCAGAGGGGCTCCTCACTTCCCAGTAGGGGCGGCCGGGCAGAGGCGCCCCTCACCTCCCGGACGGGGCGGCTGGCCGGGCGGGGGGCTGACCCCGCCACCTCCCTCCCGGACGGGGTGGCTGCCCGGCGGAGAGGCTCCTCACTTCCCAAACGGGGTGGCTGCCGGGCGGAGGGGCTCCTCACTTCTCAGACGGGGCGGTTGCCAGGCAGAGGGTCTCCTCACTTCTCAGACGGGGCGGCCGGGCAGAGACGCTCCTCACCTCCCAGACGGGGTCGCGGCCGGGCAGAGGCGCTCCTCACATCCCAGATGGGGCGGCGGGGCAGAGGCGGTCCCCACATCTCAGACGATGGGCGGCCGGGCAGAGACGCTCTTCACTTCCTAGATGTGATGGCGGCCGGGAAGAGGTGTTCCTCACTTCCTAGATGGGATGGCGGCCGGGCTGAGACGCTCCTCACTTTCCAGACTGGGCAGCCAGGCAGAGGGGCTCCTCACATCCCAGACGATGGGCGGCCAGGCAGAGACGCTCCTCACTTCCCAGATGGGGTGGCGGCCGGGCAGAGGCTGCAATCTCCGCATTTTGGGAGGCCAAGGCAGGCGGCTGGGAGGTGGAGGTTGTAGCGAGCCGAGATCACGCCACTGCACTCCAGCCTGGGCACCATTGAGCACTGAGTGAACGAGACTCCCGTCTGCAATCCCGGCACCTCGGGAGGCCGAGGCTGGCGGATCACTCGCGGTTAGGAGCTGGAGACCGGCCCGGCCAACACAGCGAAATCCCGTCTCCACCAAAAAAAATACGAAAACCAGTCAGGCGTGCAGCGCGTGCCTGCAATCGCAGGCACTCGGCAGGCTGAGGCAGGAGAATCAGGCAGGGAGGTTGCAGTGAGCAGAGATGGCAGCAGTACAGTCCAGCTTCAGCTCAGCATCAGAGGGAGACCGTGGAAAGAGAGGCAGAGGGAGACCGTGGGGAGAGGGAGATGGGAGACGGGAGACGGGAGACGGGAGACGGGAGACGGGAGACGGGAGAGGGACTTTTTTTTTTTTTTTTGAGACAGAGTTTCACTCTTGTTTGCCCAGGCGGGAGTGCAATGGCATGATCTTGGCTCATGGCAACCTCCGCCTACCTGGTTCAAGCAATTCTCCTGCCTCAGCCTCCTGCGTAGCTGGGATTACAGGCATGTTCTACCATGCCTGGCTAATTTTGGGTTTTTTTTTTTTTTTTTTTTTTGTCTCGCTCTGTCCCCCATGCTGGAGTGCAATGGCGCAATCTCGGCTCACTGCAAGCTCCGCCTCCCGGGTTCACGTCATTCTCCTGCCTCAGCCTCCCGAGTAGCTGGGACTACAGGTGCCCACCACCACGCCCGGCTAATTTTCTGTATTTTTAGTAGAGACGGGGTTTCACTGTGTTAGCCAGGATGGTCTCGATCTCCTGACCTCGTGATATGCCCATCTCGGCCTCCCAAAGTGCTGGGATTACAGGCGTGAGCCACCGCGCCCGGCCTAGTTTTGTATTTTTAAGAGATGGGGTTTCTCCATGTTGGTCAGGCTGGTCTTGAACTCCCGACCTCAGTTGATCCACCCACCTCGGCCTCCCAAAGTGTTGGGATTACAGGCGTGAGCCACTGCACCTGGCCGGATCCAAGTTTTCAATGGAAAGCCTGAAAGCATAACAGTCCTAGAAGAGAATATGGGGAAGTTTGTTTTGAATCTTAGAGCAGGGACAATTTTATCTATGACTCAAAACTCAGACACCATAAAAGAATAAAGTGTTTGACTACAGAAAAAGTCTACATTAAAAAAAGCAAATGGGCTGAGCGTGGTGGCTCACACCTGTAATCTCAGCATTTTGGGAGGCTGAGGTGGATGGATCACTTGAGGTCAGGAGTTTGAGACCAGTCTGGCCAACATGGTGAAACCCGTCTCTACTAAAAATAACAAAAATTAGACAGGCGTGGTGGTGCATGCTTGTAGTTCCAGCCACTCAGGAGGCTGAGGCAGGAGAATCGCTTGAACCTGGGAAGTGGAGGTTACAGTGAGCTGAGATAATACCGCTGCACTCCAGCCTAGGTGACAAGAGTGAGACTCCATCTCAAAAAATAAATTAAATAATTTTAGAAAAAGCAAATAAAAAGACAAACTGGTTAGTTATTGGGGAAATGCAACTTGAAAGCATAATGAAACCCCCTTCACACCCACGAGGGTGGCTATAATCAAAGTTCCAGGTAATAAGTGTTGGTGAGGACGTGGAGGAAGTGGGGCCCTCATAGTGGCCCTGCTTTTGCTGGCGGGAATGTAAAATAGTACAGCCACTTTGGAAAACACTCTGGCAATTCCTGAAACAGGTTCCAGCAATTCCATTCCAAGAGAATTGGAAACACATGTCCCACAAAAAAACGTGTGCACAGACGTGTACAGCATCATTACTCATAATAACCAGAGTGGAAACAACCCAAACATCCATCCATAGCTGAAAGGAGACCTGAAATGTGGTCCGTCCACACAGTGGAATATTATTCAGCCATGAAAAGGAATGAAGTTCCGATACATACCACAACCTGGACGGAAGCATTACGCAGAGAAACCAGACACAAAAGATCCCATACTGTATGATTCCATCTGTATGAAATGTCCAGAATAGACAAATCGTTAGAGACTGAAAGTATATTAGTGGTTGCCCGGGGCTGGGAGAGTTGGGGGAAATGAGAAGTGATTTTGCTAATGGTACAGGGTTTCTTTTGGGGTAAGGAAAATTTTCTAAAATTGATTGTGATCATGTTGCACAATTATTTGAATATACTAAAAACAATTGAAATATACTTTAGAGGGTGAACTGTATCTCAATACTGTTGTTTTTAGGACACACTGGTAATAAATTTTTTTTAGCTCAATCTATAAAAAGAGCAACAGCCTAATAGAAAACTGGGCAAAGCATATGAGCAGTATACTGAAAAAGAAATACAAATGGCCCCCACATTTGTAAAAAGATGCTCAGTGATTGAGCCACTGCAATCCAGCCTGGCAACAGAGCAAGACTCCGTCTAAAAAAAAAAAAAAAGAAGATGCTCACCTTATTTATTTATTTATTTTTTTTGAGACAAGTTCTTGCTCTGTTGCCCAGGCTGGAGTGCAGTGGCACGATCACGGCTCACTGCAGCTTCAACCTCCAGGGCTCAGGTGATTCTCCTACCTCAGCCTCCCAGGTAGCTGAGACTACAAGTGCACACCACCACACCCAGCTAATTTTCGTAGAGATGGGGTCTTGCTATGTTGCCCAGGCTGGTCTCAAACTCCTGGGCTCAAGAGGACCTCCCGCCTCACCCACCCAAAGTGCTGGGATTACAGGTGAGAGCCACCGCGCCCGGCCTCAGGTTTACTTACAATGAAAATAATGCGCGTGCAAACTGCCCCCAAGATACCACTTTTCACTTCTCAGACAGAGGAATGTCCACATTTCGGCAGGCACTCTGGTCAGGCCTGTGCAAACCCTCACACCTGGGCAAGGGGACTACGGAACAGGACAATCCCCACGAGGAGATGTGATGGTTACTCTGATGTGTCAGCCTGATGGGGCGACAGGGTGCCGAGATATTTGGTCAAACATGATCCTGGGTGTGCCTGTGAGGCTGTTTCTGAATGAGATGAACATTGAAATCCACAGACTGAGGAGAGCAGAGGGCCCTGCTACCTCGGATGGGCTCCATCCAGTCAGTTGACGGTCTAAGTGGAACCAAAGGCTGATCTTCCCCCAAGCAAGAGGGAATTCCTGCTGCCTGACTGCTTTGGAAGGGGGACATGGCTCTTTCCCTGCATCTGCTCTCCTGGGTTTCTAGCAGCCAACTGCAGATCTTGGGACTGTCAGCCTGCATAATTTAGGGAGTCATTTCTCAATTCCTTACCATAAATCTCAGTCTCTCTCTCCCCACCTTCCCATCTCGTGTGTGTGTGTGTGTGTGTGTGTGTGTGTGTGTGTGTGTGTGCATATGTACACATATATCCCATAGGATTTGTTTCTCTTGAGGTCTTCACTAATACAGAGGGCAACTCGGTGAAGGACGTCAACACTGTCTGTACACATGGCCTTGACTCAGCAATCACAATTCTGGGAATCCACCCAAGGGATGAGGCCTACAGGTGAAAACATGACCTTTGTACAGTTATTCATTGCAACAATGTTTATAGGAGCAAAAGACTGGGAAGACTCTTGTGTCACAGGGAACAAATGATTGTGGTAAGATAAATCCTTATGATGGAGCACTTTGTCCCTTTAGGCAGCATATATAAATAAAGTTAATGAACCTTAATGGAAATGAGCACCCAGACACAGAAGTAGATTCTAAAATGCAAGCACAGAGCACGGGTGATAGCGTGCTCCCTTTACCATAAGAAAAGAAGCAAACACATACAGGCACTCGTTTTTGCTTATATTTTCATAAGTAAATTCTGATGGATACACGAGAGACCATGTGTCATACAGGCCAGGGATGGGAGTAAGACTTTTCTCTAGATACTTTTTTCTTTCTTTTTTCTTTTTGAGACAGACTTGCTCTGCCACCCAGGCTGGAGTATAATAGCGCCACCTCGCCTTACTGCAACCTCTGCTGCCTGAGTTCAAGCTATCCTCACACCTCATCCTCCTGAGTAGTTAGGACTACAGGACTACAGGCGAGCACCACTACGCCCAGCTAACTTTTGTAATTTTTTGTGGAGATGGGGTTTTGCCATGTTGCCCAGGCTGGTATCCAACTGCTGCTCAAGTGATCTGTCCACCTTGGTGTCCCAAAGTGCTGGGATTACAGACGTGAGCCACCGCACGTGGCCTCTAGATACTTTTTAATTTTGATCTGGTATTTGAACCATAGTAATGATCCCAATATATCCTCTTCTCAGAAAATAAAATATCCCCTCCTCACCCACCTCCGGTGTATTGGTTCATTGCCCTTGCAGGCCCAAGCCCCGCGATGGTGGAATGTGTCTGTTTGTTCCCGACTGCACACACTCCCTGCACCTAGGAGAGGCCTGGAGTTTAGCAGGTGCACACAGGGGCTGAAGGGTTGGATAGAGAAAAGCTGGAATCAAACTAAAAACAACAGAGAATGCTTGAAATAAACGAAGGCGCATTCCAGCTGTGAGTGGTACATCTATTATGCAGTCAGGAAGGAAGCAGGTCCCTTCCAGGCGCGGTGGCTTACGCCTGTAATCCCAGCACTTTGGGAGGCCAAGGTGGGCGGATTACGTGAGGTCGGGAGTTCAAGACCAGCCTGACTAACATGGCGAAACCCCATCTCTACTAAAAATACGAAATTAGCCGGGTGTGGTGGCGCATGCCTGTACTCCCAGCTACTTGGGAGGCTGAGGCAGGAGAATCGTTTGAACCTGGGAGGCGGAGGTTTCAGTGAGCTGAGATCGTGCCACTGCACTCTAGCCTGGGCAACAAGAGACTCCGTCTCAAGAAAAAAAAAAAAAAAAAGAAACAAGCAGGTCTAGGCCAAGCAATTTCCAAACTCACTGTTAAGTGGGGGAAAGCCCGTTCTAGAACTGTATCTACAACCCCATCTGCTTTACATTAAAGCGACTCCTAAATAAAACTATGTATTTCTAGATATATATACGGTACATAAAATGCGAAAAAGACTGGGAGAATACACAGCCGACTCACAACTGTGCTTACTTCCAGAGGGGGAGTGGAAGGGTGTGGGAGGGAGAGGGGCCACGGGGCTTCGCTGTTCAGTTTCGGTGTCTTCTCAAGAGATTGTATTTATTACTCGAGGAAAACAACGTTTATAAATATAAATGTTAAAAAATAACGAGCAGAAACGCTTATATACCAAGTGACTTCCATTTTGTTAGCGCGCACAAAAAGAGTTGAGAAAACTATATGGAAAGTAGCACAGACCAAAAACAGGAAGCAGAGCGGCATGCTAATCAGGCAACAAGATTCCAGGCGATTTTAATAAGCGTTTTGTTTTACAGGTCAGTGTTTCCTGTTTTTCCACAAGGAATGCTTCTAATAAAGGGGGCTTGGAGCAGTCAGCCCGGGGAGTGAACTCTCGCTCCAGAACGGACGGGGTGGGCCGGGAGCCCCTGGGGACGCTGGGCCGGGCCGGGGGCGGGTCCGCCGGGGCTGGGCTGCAGGGTGGACCGAGAACACCCGGAGCAGGAAAAAGTGCTCGGTGCTGAGCGCCGGCAGGCGACCGGGGGTGCTCGCGCAGCGCGCTCGGTCCTCCCTCCGGGTCTCGGGGCTCTGCGCAGCTCCGGGAAGCGCACCGGGCAGCGGGCGGCCATCCCTGCTCCGTCTCTCCCCACCCCCAGTCCCAGCCCGGCGTCGGGCAAAGAGGCAATTTCACACTCTGGAGGGGCGACTGAGGGGTTCACGCCAATGCCCGCTGGTCCCTCCTGCAGTCTAACTTCTTCCACCCGGGCGCAGCCTGGGTCAACCTCCACCTTCAGCTATCGCCCCGGCCGTGGGGGGCCTCTCCTGCCAGCCGCCGCCGACCCAGCTGACTCAGGAGGGTATTCGCGCGCTCACCGAGGACGCCCTCCCCACTCGCCCCTGCGCCTCCTCGTCTGCAAAAGAGGAGCCGAGGATCCCAGCACTTTGGGAAGCCGAGGCGGGCGGATCACGAGGTCAGGAGTTCGAGACCAGCCTGGCCAATATGGTGAAACCCCGTCTCTACTAAAAATACAAACATTAGCCGGGTGTAGTGGCGAGCGTCTGTAATCCCAGCTACTCAGGAGGCTGAGGCAGGAGATTCGCTTGAACCGGGGAGGCAGAGGTTGCAGTGAGCCGAGATCATGCCATTGTGCTCCAGCCTGGGCGACAGAGCGAGACTCCATCATAAATAAATAAACAAACAAACAAATAAATAAATAAATAAAAAGAGGAGCCGAGGGAGAGCCTGGGACGGAACTGGGGCTCTCCATGGGCGCTTAGAGGAGCTGAGGAAGGCGGGGGACACCCGCACGCCCCCTCCCTAGCCTCCGCCAGCTCCTTCCCAGAGGGAAGGACCCGCGGCTGCGCGGGCGCCCTGGAACTAGACTGCGCCCTGGACCCCCAGCCCCTCTGCGGTCCTGCGCGGGCGCCGGGGCCGGCAGGGGAGGGGGCTGCAGCGCCTGGACTGGCCATGGAATTATGTTGCATGAAAAACAAAGAAAGCAGCGCTATTCGGCCGGTCGGCCGCTCCCTCCCCACCTCCCCCGACCCTGGGCCTTAGAGGAGGGTCACTTCCTCCTCCCCACCGGTCCCTACCGCCAGAATACCCCAACTCTTCTTTCCTCCGTCCGAAACCTGTGACTTCAAGGAAACAATTAGCTTCTCCGGCAGCCAATGAGCGCCCAGCCAATTCCCCATTTTTCCAATGCACAAACGTTTTGGGGGGTTGGAGACGCCCAGGACCCCAGAAACAGGACAATCGCAGTTTCGGACTGGAGCGGCGAGGGGGGAGAGACGGGTGGGTCTTAGACAAGGAAGAAGCCTCACTGCAAGCACAGCGGAGGAAGGCATTATGTCTATTTGGGGTAATGGGGGGACGCAAGTGACCTCCGAGTGGACCTTGAAGGCTGAGTGGGAATCTTCCAGAAGGGAAAGGAGACAGCCATTGGGTTATATTTCAGGATCAAGGTCAGCGTGGGAGGTCCGGGCACCCACACCCACCTCCCAGGCAGACTGAAAGTGCTGTACTGTGCGCATCTGTCCTATCATGAATGGACGCATCCAATGTGGTCTGTCCGGACAAACAGAGTACTATTCAGCTATACAAAGGAGTGAAACACCGACCCAGGCTACAACATTGGTGAACCCTGAAGACATGATACTCAGTGAAAAAAGGCAGTCACCAACGACCACATGTTGTAGGATCCCATTCCTATGAAATGTGCAAAATAGGCAAATCCATATGTGAATTTGACAAAAAGTGGACTGGTGGCTGCCCCGGGTGGGGAACATGGGGAGAAAGGCTGCTAATGGGTTGAGTGTTTTGTTTAGGGGAAAATGTTTAGGAAATTAGATTGTGGTGGTGGTTGCACAACCCTGTGTATATACCAAAATCGATTGAATTGTACACTTGAAAACAGTGAACTTTATGGTATGTGAGTCAAATCTCAGTAGATTAAAAAAAAGAGAGCTTAGCAGGGCCAGGCGCAGTGGCTCACACCTGCAATCCCAGCACTTTGGGAGGCCGAGGCGGGTGGATCACCTGAGGTCAGGAGTTCGAGACCAGCTTAGCTAAAATGGCAAAACCTCATCTCCACTAAAAATACACAAATGGCCAGACACAGTGGCTCACACCTGTAATCCCAGCACTTTAGGAGGCCAAGGTGGGTGGATCACCTGAGGTTGGGAGTTCGAGACCAGCCTGACCAACATGGAGAAACCCCTTCTCTACTAAAAATACAAAATTAGCCAGGCATGGTGATACATACCTGTTATCCCAGTTACTCGGGAGGCTGAGGCAGAAGAATCACTTGAACCCGGGAGGCAGAGGTGGCCGTGAGCCAAGATCGCACCATTGCACTCCAGCCTGGGCAACAAGAGCAAAAACTCCATCTCAAAAAACAAAACAAAACAAAACAAAAAAAACAAAACAACAACAAAAATTAGCAGGACGTGGTGGCGCCCACCTGTAATCCAGCTACTTGGGAGGCTGAGGCAGGAGAATCGCTTGAACCCGGGAGGCGGAGTTGCAGTGAGCCGAGATCTCAACACTGCACTCCAGTCTGTGCGACAGAGCAAGAGATCAAGACTTCATCTAAAAAAAAAAAAAAAAGACAGAGAGCTTAGCAGAGTTGCACCTCAGATCCTGCATCGTGGTTCTTATGGCTGCTCCATTTTGCAGCAGAGGAAGCTTCTGCTTGAGCCTTGCAGTGGAGCAAGGCTGCAGCTGCCCTCTGAGAGTGTCTTCTCTGGAGAGCTGACTGGCCCTGCTTTGCCTCCGTCTCCTCTCCTGGCACCTGATCCATGGCTGTGCACAAAAACAAGAAGAAGTGAGTGGAAAGGCACGCTGGGCAGAGGGAACAGCGAGAACAGATGCTCAGAGGCAGGAGGTGGGGTGAGGTTTTCAGTGGAGAGAGCACAGAGCCCAGTGAGGTTTGTGAGCCCAGGTTGGAAAGGTCGTTTGGGCACAGATCTCTAGGAGGTCTTTCCGGCCTGCCTGAGAGGAAGGGCCAGCTTCCGGGAAATGCAACTCGCACAGTCACACAAGGGGAGAACTTAACAGGGCTTCGTGGTTAGTTTCATGCTCTGCAGTCACTGGCTTGAAATTCCTTTCTTGTTTTTTAAAATTTTTTTCAATTTTATGTATTTATTTATTTTGGAGACTGAGTCTCGAGAGCTCTGTCACCCAGGCTGGAGTGCAGTGGTGCGATCATAGCTCACTGCAGCCTCGAACTCCTGGGCTCAAGCTGAAGCCATTCTCTTACCTCAGCCTCTCAAGTAGCTGGGACTACAGGCACACCACCAGGTAATTTTTTATTTTTGGTAGAGACAAGGTCTGGCTTTGTTGCCCAGGCTGGTCTCAAACTCCTGGTTTCAAGCGATCTTCCCACCTCAGCTTGAAATTCTTCATAGTTTTTGATCAAAGGTCTCAGCCTTCATTTCACTTTGCTTGACAAATTTTGAAGCCTGTTCTGCCTGGAGGCCACAGATTGCCTCAAAGATGTTGGGGCACAGAAGGTGACCGCGAAGAAGGGCACACATGGGGACAGTTTAGAGGTTCCTGTGGGAGACATGGAAATGGGGTGAGGGCCTGGAAGGGAAGGGCCAGATGGAGGGGCACCAGGCAGCTAAGCCTGCAGAGCCCCAACCCTCCACCCGTCCATCCCAACCATCACTCAGTCATTCAGCTAACATTTCTGAAACCCAAGTTATGTATCTGGTTCTGGTTTCCAGGGTTTCCAGCCCTAGGGGGCTTATGGTCTATCAAATCTGTAAGCTAGTCCCCACCCACCCCATGCCAGAGCCACACTCTGCCCGACTCCCTGGTTTGTTTTTCTCCTTTGCTTTTTATTTTTTTATTTTTTATTTTTATTTTTATTTTTAGATGGAGTCTTGCTCTTGTCGCCCAGGCTGGAGTGCAATGGCACGATCTCAGCTCACTGCACCCTCCGCCTCCCAGGTTCAAGCGATTCTCCTGCTTCAGGGTCCCGAGTAGTTGGGATTACAGGCACCTGCCATCATGCCTGGCTAATTTTTGTATTTTTAGTAGAGACAGGGGTTTCGCCATGTTGGCCAGGCTGGTCTCGAACTCCTGACCTCGTGGTCCACCCACCTCTGTCTCCCAAAGTATTGGGATTACAGGCTTAAGCCACCGCATCTGGCCTCCTTTGCACTTTTCACATGAATCTGTTTCTTGACCACCTCTCTCACTAGAATTTGTAGCTTGGTTAAAATGCTCTGTTCACTCCCTGAGAGTCCCAGTGTCTAGAATAGTGCTGGCACAAGTATGGGGGCTCAATACATATTTGCAGAATGCATGAATGCATGATCCAATGAGTGAATATGGGTAAGACCAGGGCCAGATTTAGATCTTTCCTCTTTCCAGGACCTACAGACTGGGCAACATGGTGAAATCCTGTCTCTACTAAAAATATAAAACTTAGCCAGGTGTGGCATTCACCTATAGTCCCAGCTACTGGGGAGGCTGAGGCAGGAGGATCACTTGAGCCCAGGAAGTCGAGGCTGCAGGGAACTGAGATTGTGCCACTGCACCACTGCACTCCAGCCTGGGTGACAAAGGGAGACCCTGTCTCAAAAAACAAACAACAAAAAATCGTTCCAGGTCCTAACTGCTAAAAGGATTATGGCAACCTCTTCATATGTAATTTGAAAGGTGTCGACTAAAGAAAAAAAAAATCAAGCTTTTGAAGCTTTAGTTTATTCAGAGATCTTGCTGAGGACTATTGACTGAGGCCTCTAGCCCAGAAGCAGTTCCATCATATTGCTCCGCCACGGTGTTTCAGGTCACACCTTATATACCTGTGGTGGAGGTTCCCTGTGTGCAAAATCACATCAAGCTTTCTCAGAAGTTACATTGACGCAGAATCACATCAGAAGTTGGGTTTGGCTATATTTGGTTATAGATTACAGAGGCATAATCACTAACCTTGTTAAATGTTATTTATTTTTATTTCTTTTGAGACAGAGTTTCGGTCTTATTGCCCAGGCTGGAGTGCAATGGCGTGATCTCGACTCACTGCAACCTCCGCCTCCCGGGTTCAAGCAATTCTCCTGCCTCAGCCTCCCGAGTAGCAGGGATTACAGGCGTTCGCCACCACGCCCGGCTAACTTTGTATTTTTAGTAGAGATAGGGTTTCTCCATGTTGGCCAGGCTGGTCTCCAACTTCCGACCTCAGATGATCGGCTGGCCTCGGCCTCCCAAATTGCTGGGATTACAGGCCTGAGCCACTGCGCCCAGCTGACGTCATCTTATGTGCAGGAAAAGGCAAGAAGTAGGGTCACTTATCGTTTAAGAAATATAGTAACTCAGGCAAGAGGCATGGGGGCCATGGACTCTGTCCTGTTTTGTCTTCAAAGCATCCTTCTGGAGAGCTGCAAGTCAGAATCAGGGTCTTTGTGAAATGACGCTGCAAACAGAAATGAGTAAACGCGGTTTCTTACATTTGCTGCTTTGTCTCATAAAGATGTGTGCTAAACTGTTAAATAAGCATAAGAAAGTCCATTGGCCAGGTGCGGTGGCTCACGCCTGTAATCCCAGCACTTTGGGAGGCCGAGGCGGGCAGATCACGAGGTCAGGAGATCGAGACCATCCTGGCTAACACGGTGAAACTCCGTCTCTACTAAAAATACAAAAAAAATTAGCTGGGCATGACGGCGGGAGCCTGTAGTCCCAGCTACTCGGGAGGCTGAGGCAGGAGAATGGCGTGAACCCGGGAGGCGGAGCTTGCAGTGAGCCGAGATTGCGCCACTGCACTCCAGCCTGGGTGACAGAGCGAGACTCCGCCTCAAAAAAAAAAGAGGTCCACCGAGGTTCTGATAGGTATTTGCTGCTTTCTTTTTTTTTCTTTTTTCTCTTTTCTTTTTTCTTTCTTTTTTTCTTTTTTCTTTTTTTTTTTTTTTTTTTTGAGACAGATTCTCACTCTTGCCCAGGCTGGAGTGCAGTGGCATGATCTCGGCTCACTGCAACCTCTGCCTCCCAGGTTCAAGCGATTCTCCTGCCTCAGCCTCCCAGGTAGCTAGGACTACAGGTGTGTGCCACCACACCCAGCTATTTTTTTTTTTTTTTTGTAATTTTGGTAGAGATGGGGTTTCATCATGTTGGCCAGGCTGGCCTTGAACTCCTGACCTCAAGTGATCCACCCACATCAACCTCCCAAAGTGCTGGGATTATAGGCTTCAGCCACCGTGCCCTATTTGCTGCTTTGACATAGAAAACACATACACACACACACCCACACACCCTAATTTTTCTTTTCTTTGTGGTCCTGCTTTGCTGGCAACCGAGACTTGACTTCTCCCGGTGGGTAACTTGGCCCCAGGGAACAAGTGAATGAAGTCATTTCTCTGGGGGTGGCAGTAGGGATGGGGGGTAAGGGTGGGCTCTAGTGAGGATTTAAGGGGATCAGAAAGGTGATGCCAGAGTGGCAGGGTGGGAGCTCAAAGGAGAGCCAGGCTGGAGACAGAGCCACTGAGCAGGCGGGCACCTGTAGTCCCAGCTACTCAGGAGGCTGAGGCAGGAAAAATGCTTGAACCCAGGAGGTGGAGGTTGTAGTGAGCCCAGATCACACCACTGCACTCCATTCTGGGTGACAGAGTGAAACTCCATCTTAAGAATAAAAGGGAAAGAAAACAAAGCTGCCATAAGATTGCTACAAAACTGGTTAATGTCCTGCAGGCAATAAAATCATAACCTTGGGGAATTCTTTTTTCTATCAACTGGAAATCCTTTGAATTTCTGTTGGGCAAAAATCTACCAGCTCACATGTAACTTCACAGACTCTGGGGCCTTGTCCAAGTTACTGTTCCCTAGAAAATAAGCGAATCCTTGAATGGGACGGTTAGGCAATGATCAAGTGTGACACTGAAATCACATTCAGACATGCTTTTGCCTCATTTCCAAGTTTTGGATATTTTTTCTTAACCTGTGTGGGGCAGGAGGCTATAGACACGTCTTGGAAGGGTCACGACTGGAGTGATTTACTGTATGTGTGTGCATGTGTGTGCGCGTGTGTGCGTGTGCGTGTGTGCGTGCGCGTGTGTGCGTGCATGCATGTGTGCGTGTGTGTGCATGTGTGCATGTGTGTGTTTCCAGGGATAGCATTTGTAGCCATCATCAGGTTTTCCAAGGGTCAGTGACTCCCCGTTTCAAATTTTTTTTTTGAGACGGAATTTTGTTCTTGTCGCCCAGGCTGAAGTGCAATGGCACAATCTCAGCTCACTGCAACCTCTGCCTCCCAGGTTCAAGCAATTCTCCTGCCTCAGCCTCCGAAGTAGCTGGAACTATAGGCGTCTGCCATTATGCCTGGCTAATTTTTGTATTTTTAGTAGAGACAGGATTTCACCATGTTGGCCAGGCTAGTCTCGAACTCCTGAACTCAGGTGATCCACCCACCTTAGCCTGCCAAAGTGCTGGGTTTACAGGCGTGAGCCACTGTGCCCGGCTCTTCCAAATTTAAAAACTATAAAGACTCAAGTTATTACCTGCCTCTCTCGTTCTCCTTCTACCTCTACCTCCACCTCCAAAGGGGAGGATTTATGTCCTTAACATAGAAGACCTTTTGCCAATGCTCTCATTTAAAAACTCAGGTGTCTGCTAAAATGAGCTACAGGAGGGTCACCTCCTCCCTGTGCATGAAGTCCCAGTGTCTGGGCTGCCAGCACAGCGGTCAGGAGCAAGACTGCCCTGGCCCTGGTGTTGGGCAAGTCGAGATACCAACTTCGATAGCATCCATTAAGGCATTGCCTGCACTGGGCCCAGCACGCTGCTCTGATCCCATGAAGAAGCTCAGGTCCTGGCCTGAACGCATACTCTCTAAGTAGGCTAGGTAGATGGGGGCCTCAGAGATGACTGGGGAAACTGAGGAGGGAGTAATAGTGACCTTTGAACTATTCTGACCACTTCAAATGGCCTTAAAGAGGCCCCTCATCTATCTGAAATTAACCTGTATAGATCAAAATGCCCAGCTTTTTGGTTCTTGGCTGGCAGTACACGGTGTCCTGGCAGCCACTGTGCTTATTGATAAGCATCTTTTAAAGGAATGAGCAAATTTTATGCTGGTTGTAGGCTCCAGGTGGCAGTTTTGCATATTTCTGCTGTATGCTCAGGGAAATTATTTATTCCCCCATTAAACGTACTGTTTATAGGCAACAGTGTTTTTGTTTATTCGTTTAGACATTTTTTCCTTTTTTTCCAGCATTCTCTGATCTGGGAGGGCAACAGCTTTTAAAACATGGACTCATGACAGGATGCGGGGGAATAATAATCACAGCTAAAGCTTATGTGGCACCTACTGTGTACCAGGGAATGCTCTAAGCACTCCCGGCAGTTACTCATCTTCATTACAACTCTCCAAGGCAGCTTCCATTTCTTTCCCATGTTACAGATGAGGAAACTGAGGTGCAGGGAGGTTTAAGATCACTCGGCTAGTAAGTGGCAGAGACAGGATTTGAACCCAGGCTGAGTGGTTCTGGAGTTCACACTCCCAACACCAGAATATGACTGCTTCTCCAAATAAATGAACTAATCAGAATAATATTAGAAAGAAAAGAGTGATGAAAAGGTTGCTTATTAGTGCCCAGGGTCAATGTCCTCTCTTTTTTTTGAGATGGATTCTCACTCTGTTGCCCAGGCTGGAGTGCAGTGGTACAATCTTGGCTCACTGCAACCTCTGCCTTTTGGGTTCAAGTGATTCTCCCACCTCAGCCTCCCAAGTAGCTGGGATTACAGGCGCCAACCACTATGCCTGGCAAATTTTTTTTTTTTGTATTTTTAGTAGAGATGGGGTTTCACCATGTTGGCCAGGCTGGTCTCGAACTCCTGACCTCAAGAGGTCCACCCGCCTCAGCCTCTCAAAGTGCTAGGATTAAGGTGTGAGCCACCGCACCTGGCCATCCTCTTTTTTTGAAGTGAGGAAACTGAGGCCAGATGAGCAGTGAGGCACCCATGCAGCCAGCCAGACTCAGCTCTGTGCCCTGTGGCCTGCTGCACCCTCTCCTGACCTCCATTCTTGCTTCTTCACTGTGCTGCCTCCCCACAAGGCAACCCCCTGCCGACCTTCCTTGTGCCTCAATGGGCCAACCAGGTGCCAGGGACTGAGAGGTGCAGAAGAAACAGAGCGGAGTCCGGCTCTGAAGGGACGACGGAGAGTGGTGAAAGGTTTGCTCATTAGTGCCCTGGGTCAAGGTCCTCTTTTTTGTTGTTGTTTTGTTTTTTTGTTTTTAGACTGAGTTTCAATCTTGTTGCCCAGGCTGGAGTGCAGTGACGCGATCTCGGCTCACTGCGACCTCTGCCTCCCAGGTTCAAGCGATTCTCCTGCCTCAGCCTCCAGAGTAGCTGGGATTATAGGCACCTGCCACCACGCCCAGCTAATTATTGTATTTTTTGTAGAGATGGGGTTTCACCACGTTGGTCAGGCTGGTCTCCAACTCCTGACCTCAGGTGATCCACCCGCCTCAGCCCCGAAGTGCTAGGTTTACAGGCGTGAGCCTCTGCACCCAGCTGGTCCTCTTTTAAGTGAGGAAACTGAGGCACAGATGGGCAGCAAAGCGTCCAGGAGCAGTGGGATAGAACGTGTTCTGGGCTGGGTGCAGTGGCTCATGTTTGTAATCCCAGCACTTTGAAAGGCTGAGGCGGGCAGATCACTTGAGGTCAGGAGTTTGAGATCAGCCTGGCCAACCTGGTGAAACCCTGTCTCTAGTAAAAATACAAAAATCAGCCGTGGTGGCACGTGCCTGTAATCCCAGCTACTCGGGAGGCAGAGGCAGGAGAATCGCTTGAACCTGGGAGGCAGACGTTGCAGTGAGCCGAGATCACGCCATTGCACTCCAGACTGGGTGACGAAGAGAGACTCTATCTCAAACAAACAACAACAAAAGAATGTGTTCTGATCCCGTGTTCAGAGCAGACGTGTTCCATTAAGAAAACAGTGCACTTGTTGCTCTGAGTCCTTTCCGTGCACGTCCTCTTGCTGCGTGCAGGTGCTTTCGTCTGCATCACCCTGTTCTGTCCTCATGAAACCCTGGTGATGCAGGCTCAGCAAAGTGGAACTGACCATATTTACTCAACACCTAGAGGCCCAAGGTGCAAGGTCAGAGGGACTACAGGCTTCGGAGAGGAGAGGGAAGCACACCACACTGAGATTTCAACACTGTTTCCTATGGGGATACCAGAGCTGAGTTCCAAAAAAGTCGTACACACTTCTGGATCAGAATCTGCTGGGAGCTGCCAGCAAGAAATGAGGCTGGCGAGATCGAGTGGGGACTCAGCTGTGCTCTTGGCAGGCAACAGGGTTTACCATTTTCTGTAACAATTGTTCATCTATTTTAGGTGGGACAATGATAGTATGGTCATATTTTTTAGTTAAGAATATTTATCTTTTAGAGGTTTGTACTCGAGAATTTGAGGGCTGGGCGCAGTGGCTCACACCCGTAATCCCAGCACTTTGGGAGGCTGAGGCAGATGGATCACCAGAGATCAGGAGTTGGAGACTAGCCTGGCCCAACATGGTGAAACCCTGTCTCTACTAAAAATACAAAAATTACCGAGCATGGTGATGCACGTCTGTAATCTCAGCTACTCGGGAGGCTGAGGTATGAGAATCGCTTGAGCCCTGGAGGCAGAGGTTGCAGTGAGGTGAGATTGCGCCACTGCACTCCAACCTGGGGGACAGAGCAAGACTCCATGTCAAAAAAAAAAAAAGGAATTTGTGGACATAACGGTAGGATTTCTGAATTTGCTTTAAAATAAACAGTAGGACTGGGCAGGAGTGGGTAGGAACACAGGCATACACCTTGGCCCTAGCTCCATAATGGTTGATGTTGAGTTTTGGTTGTATAGGCCTTTATTATACTATTCTGGTTAATTTTTTTCAAAGGTTTGGATTTTTCAAAATATTAGCCAGGCATGGCGGGACTTGCCTGTGGTCCCAGCTACTCAGGAAGCTGGGGTAGGAGGATTGCTTGAGCCTAGGATGTCAACACTGCAGTGAGCTGTCATTTTGCTACTGCCCTGCAGCATGGGCAACAGAGAGAGATCCTGTTTCAAAAATGAATGAATGAATGAACGAATGAATAAAAAGGTTTGGATTTTTCCATAAAAAAGTATTTTTTGAGTAAAAAGAGAAATCTTAGCGGTAAATAAAAACATTACCTGCATTAAAAAGAAAATTTTTCTTGTAGCTATGGTAGGCAATTGCTACAGTATTCAAACTGGGGCAGAATCTGTAAAAAACAAGGCTTGAGAAAGATTACTCTAGTTTCAGAGGCAGACATGGAGACGTTTTTGGCCCCAGGGAACTGAGGCTCAGGCCCGGAGCTCCCCGGGAGGCCTCGTTCTCTGCTTCTTTATTAATAGACTCAGCTACGCAGCCGCGGGAGCCGCAGACCCGGGCAGGAGAGCTGCAGCGTGGTCGGCGGGAGGGGAATAAGGCCTCCCCAGTGCGGCTGCAGTTGCAGGCCGGCGCGGGCTCGTTGCAGCTGCCGAGAGCCCGGCCACCATGGCACAGGTGAGCGTGGCGCCTCGGCGTCCCCACAGACTGGGTCCCTGTCCCTGCCCCGCCCGGCCTGCAGGTGGCACCTAGGCGGCGCGCAGGGAAGGGCGCACGGTCAAGGCCGAAGAGCCCTGGGAACAGACAGGGCGCGGGGCCAATCCCAGCTGGGCGCGCACCGGGGCGCTGAGCGAGGGAGGAAATGACCTTGGAGCGGGGACCTGTCGGTGGCTGAGGTTCCAGGGAAAGGAGGGAAGGGCATTTGCGGTGAGAATGACAGTCCAGCTTCCGTAGTGCAAACCGCGAAGGCCCACGTGCAAGGAGAGCCTCACGCGCGAGAGCCGCCCGGGCTCGTGGGGTGCAGCCGCGCGTCAGGAACGTGTGCCCTGGCCCAGCCCACTGGCCTCTTGGGGCGGTGAAATCTGCGGGGGTCGAGTGCCTGGGCTCACTGGTGGTCCAGACAAGCGCAAGCAGGGGGACAAACCCCCAACTTCTAACCTCAAAGAAATGCAAATTAAAAGGAGAGATGAGAGATTCTTCCCTCCCCCACCCCTCCTTTTAGGATTGGCAAAGATTAAAATAATCCATAATCGGAGACAGGGCCCCGCTTGCACGCGCGGGTGGCAGTGGAAGTTGGTAAACTTTTCGGCATGGTAGCTTGGCCTGTGTCACCAAAATGTCGCACGTGCCTGGTTGCTTCCCCTCCAGGGATCTATCCTACAGGATAATCAGGAGCTCCAGGAGGTACATCGACGGCCAACGCAGCTTTTATTTATACCTGCAATGGTGGGGTGGGGGGCGGGGAGGAGGCCCTAATTGTCCAATGGGGGCCGCGTAAATGGATCACAGCATAGTCAAAGGAAATCTTATGCAGCCTTGGGAAGGCCGGTGGTCATCTCCGTCCCCCAGCAGAGACCTGTCTACGACGTAAGCCAAGTGAAAACAAAACAGCCTTACAGACAGCTTGCATCCTAGCCTTCCTTTAAAACAGCGAGCCCGGGAACCGCAGGGAGAGTTAACTGCAGCGGTGGTGGGGGGCGGGATCAAAGGAGAACTTTCATTTTCTCTTCTAAATTCTTCTGCGGTAACAACTAAATGATACAGAAAGAAGGATGGTTGCAAACATGGATTTTTTCATAACTAGAAGAAGTGGTCGAACTTAAAAAGAGCAGGGTTCATAAAAGAGGTTTAAAAGAGTCTTTGTTCATAACATCGGTGCATTTATGGAGCACCTGCTGTATGCAGAGCCGCCAGCTCGCGCCTGGAAGCATTGCGGGCAAAGATAGGGGAGGGGTGGCTCCCGGTCAGGAAGACCCCCTTGGCCCTCCTGTTACGCTTGGGGCCCCTCTCCCTCCCCCTCAACCCCCTGGGTCCCCTGCAGCTGCGCTCGCCCTAGACTCCTGGGACCGGTGGATGTTCAGTTCCCGCTCCCGGCCCCTCTCCCGAGCTCCAGCACAAGGGTCTCTCGGTCGCTCTGCCCTGGCCTCCAGCTACTCCTCTCCCAGCACCTATTATGTTCTTGACGCTGGAAGAATTATTTTAGTAAATCTCACCAAAGCCCCCCAAGTGAGGCATTTTTATCCTAGCTAGATGAGGAGGAGCCACGCTGCCTCTGGATCGCGATGACTGCCACTCGTGGTATAAGGTCTGATTTGGGGCATGGGCTGTGGAATCAGATCTGGACCCAATGTCCGATCTATCACTTCCCCGCGCTTTTTTTTTTAGAGACGGGGTCTCGCTACGTTGCCCAGGCTGGCCTCGAACTCCTGGCTTCAAGCGACTTCCCGCCTCCCGAGTAGCTGGGATTACAGGCGCGCCCCACCACTCCCTGTGGATCGGTTGCTTCTCAGCTCGGTGATGTGGGGTAACTTATTTCCTGGCCCGCGACCCTTGTCTGCATGAAAGAGTCAGGGGTGAATACCATCAGGGGGTGCCTGGAGCATTACACGGGGCAATGCCGATAGATAAGTCGCGAGGATCAGCCAGGCACGGAGCTAAGCGATTTTATGCGCACGGCCTCCACGAGATGGCTCGTTTTACGGATGAGGAAACTGAGGCTCGGAGGGTGAGGAATCTCGTCCTAGACCCCATTCCGGCAGAGGTCGAGGACGCGAGCACCCGCTCGAGCCTCAGTTTCCCTCCCCTCCTAGCCCCGCGGACGCCCCGCCCCGCCGAGGCCCCGGGCCCGCCCTCCGCGCGCCGGGAGTCACCCGCCTGCAGGCGCCGCAGCCGGACCCGCCTCAGCCAATCCGCTGCTGCCGGCGTCGGGTGCGCTCGGCCTCGCCCGCGGCCCTCCTTCCCCGGCTCCCGCTCGCCGCTCGTTCACTCCACCGCCGCCGCCGCCGCCGCCGCTGCCGCTGCCGCTGCCGCACCTCCGTAGCTGACTCGGTGAGGCCCGGTCGCCCGCGGTGGGGAGGGTGGCGGGGCGGCCCTGCGGGCTGCGGGGGCCGGGGACGGGCGGGGCGCGGGGCTGCCGGGAACCGGACCGGGTGGGGGACGCCGCCGGAACCGGGGCGCCGAGAGGAACCCCGGTATTCCCCCCGGACGGCGGGGTTGTGGAGATCCTGAACCCAGAAAGAGGCCGGGGCTCCCCATGTTCCCCAGGGGATTGGGTCTGAGGGTCCACCGGGGGTCGGTCCATCCGCAGGCGGGTCCCGTGCGGCCGCGGGAGGGATGCTCGGCCCTCCGGACTTGGCTGGACGCCTCCGGCCCGGGGCCAGCGGGGCCACCGGCTCCCTTGTCTCCCACTCCTTAATCCGCCCTGGACTGGATTGAGTCTGAGGGTCTGCCCAGGGGTCGGTCAGCCTGCGGGTGGCCGCGGGAGGGATGCTGGACGCTCTGGATGCTTTCCAGGATGCCTTCGCCCGGGGCCAGTAGGGCCTCCGGCTCCTGTCCCTGCCCATCCCACCCTGGCTCTGGAGAGGATTGGGTCTGGGGGTCCGCCCGTGGGTTGGTCACCTACGGGCAGGTGCAGTGCGGCTGAGGGAGGGGTGCTCGGCCCTCGGGATTCGGCAGGGCGCCGCTGACCCCATCCCAGCGTCCGTCTCCCCGGTCCCCCTCCCCATGCCCGCCCTCGCGGTGCAGCCGTCGGGACACGCCCTTGGCGCAGGGACTCCAGGCGCGGTCCGAGCGCTGCCGTGAGCAGGATGAGGGTGCCGGGCCCAGTGCCTGCTTGGGAGCGCCCCGCAGCCTCTCCCGTGCAGCGCTGGGTCAAGGGCGGGTGGGCGCGGAGCATGTGCCCAAGGTCGTGCCGGGCTGGGAGCGGCGGGGCCGCGGGAGGGTGGGGGTGTCACGTGGCCGTGCCCTGGCGAACTTGGCCTGCGAGCCCGACGGTGCGGTCAGGGCCACGCGGGGCAGCCCCTTCTCGGAGCCACCGCCGCGGCCAGCCAACAGCCGGCTTCTTTCGGTTTGTCAGGAGAGGCCATGGGTCAGCGTCTTTATAATGTAAATCCGCCCTTGGCTTTCGTTAAAGCCGCAGAACTCAAAGATGAGGGCCGATCTTACTTTAAAAAAAGAAAACAACTCAGAGAGTTAAAAATCCCAACTACCTACCAGGTTAAATACATAACAAAGTTAATATTCCCAACTCGGCACAGGCTTTCGGTTCCTCTCGGCTCCGTGTGTTATAAAATATTTAAGGGCAGATTTTAGTAGGAAGCTGGTAACTTTGTAAGTTACCGAATAAAATGAAAATCGGTTTTACCTTTTGCAACGTTGTATTTTGTTACACCATTTTCTTCCACAGGTGTCCGGTTTCTGGTCATTCCAGATATGCAAGCATGTTTATTTCATTCTAAGCCACAAACCAAGTGAATAAAAAATGGCTGAGCACTGGTCTTCTATTTATGCCAGGAAGCACCCCCACCCCCGGGCCTTTCCAAATTCTTTAAGGCGACTCTGACCGAGTGAACGTAGCAATAAATTGAGGACATAAGTGTCGCTGAGAATGCACACCGCTGAGGCCAGCGAACATCCAGCTGTCAGTTGGTCTGGGGACTATCAGCATTCGCAGCTGGTTCTTTGGATTGGTTTTGCCTCAATACCAAGAGCCTGTGGACTGCTTTTCGCATGTAAATTACTGGTTTCCTTCCTGTGAAGCATTGCTAGCCTAGACCTTGCACTTGAACCCTATCTTAACAGTTGGAATCAAACAATAAAAAGGGCCAGGTTTGGGAGTGCACACACTTTGTTTCAAAGTGGCAGAAGTTGGCATCATGCACAGGCCAAAATAACGTTTCGAGTTGGTACTAAAAACAAGCCGCCTACCCTGGAGGGGAAGAGAATTAAACTGGGTCCCTTCCGATACTGCTGCGGCTGCTGCGTTTGGCCCCGGCCCCGGACCAGTGGTCACCGAGCGGTCAAGTTGGGCCTCCGGGGAGCCCTGGAACGAGGGCCTGCCCTTACCCAACCCTGGCCCCGAGTGCTCATTCATAAAAACACCGTCAGTTTTCACTGAGGCTTCACAGTGAGCCCCTTTTAGACGCGCCCTGGGCTCTTGAGCGCGGTGCCTGCGTTTCTGGCTCGTTGGATGCAGCATCTGTCATCAGAAGCACTGAGCACCGAGCTGTCCCCACAGCTGGGCACCGCAGGGCTCGACCTTCCCACGGAGAGGTGCGTTGCATTTCTCCCGCTGTCGCTGGGGTGGCCACAGGGACGCGCGCCAACTCGCTCCGGAAGGTCTCTGTGGGCACGGCGGGTGGAACAGGATCCGAGCGCCTGGGACGCGCCAGCCTGGGGGCGGGGCTGCTGCTGACCTTTCCCCTACTTTTCTCAGCCGTCACGTGACGCCGCCCGGGGCTTGGGGGAAGGGGCGGGGCGCGAAGCCGCAGTTGCTGGCGGTGCCCTTCCGAGGACGCTTTCCAAGCGAGCAATTAAACTTGCTGCCCGAAATCTAAAGGCGCAGGGGCGGTGGCAGCGGCGGCGGGAGGCGGAAACCGGAGCCTGCGCGGGCCAAGGGCTGCTTCTGCACTTTGATCGTTTGCATTTTTTCCTTTGTTGGAAAAAATGTTTAGTCACTCTGCATGGTTATTATTGGCAGGCCAGAATTCTGTTGCTGGTGGAAGCCTGAACTTGAATTCCGGAAGAATTGGTGCTTTAAGAATTAAAATGGCTGTTCGAGATTGTTTGTTTAAAGTGTGTTGGAGAGAATCTCTCGAGAATCTCTCCAACACACTTTAAAGAGGCCTCACTTGTCTTCTGCCAGTCTTGAGCTTTTCTTGTGAAGACTTTTGTTTTGTTTTGTTTTTACAAATAAGCGATATAAGCATACGATGCAAAGTTAAAGAGGCACAGATGGGCCCGGCCCCGTGGCTCACGCCTGTAATCTCAATGCTTTGGGAGGCCAAGGTGGGAGGATTGCTTTGAGGCCAGGAATTCGAGACCAACCTGGGCAACAGAGCCAGACCCCTGTCTCTACAAACAATTAGTAGGGCCTGGTGGAGTGCATCTGTGGTCCCAGCTACTCAGGAGGCTGAGGTGGGAGGATGGCTTCAGCCCAGGAGGTGGAGACTGCAGTGAGCTATGATTGCACCACTGCGCTCCAGCCTCGGTGACAGCCAGACCCTGTCTCTGTTTTTTTTTTTTTTTTTTTAAAAAGGTGCAGATACAGAGTAGAGTCCTTCTCACTTGGTTCCCCTCTCCAGATGCCACCACTATTACCAGTTTCTTTGACGACATGTACAGGATATGTTTTTTAAACAAATTGATTGCTTAACACAAGTAAGGACTTTTTTCTGCTTGCTAGCTTCAAATATTTGTTACCTTGTGTAAATTTCAACTTTTACCCCATCCAAATGTCAGGTGAAGGTTGGATCTCCAGCAGGCCCTGGGCTGAGGCCAGCTACCCTATTTGGGTATCTTGACGGCCTCAGAAGTGTCTGCCTTTGCCTTTTTTTTGGTGAGGATTGTTCTTCGGTCCAGGAACGTCTTTGGAAGTTAACAGTGAAAGAAATCATGCTGCTGAGTGAGGCGTGCCCTCTCCAGGGTGTGCAGGAGGGTCACCGTCACCTTGGAGGGTTGGGCAGTAGGGTGGGTACCGCTCTGCTTCCTGAGGGATATAGGTTAGGCATTGGACACCAAGTCCTTTATGTTAAGAAAGGAAGGCTTCATACTCCTGATGCGGGTGGTTTGTGGTACCCAGCCCAGGAGCCGGAGAGCCAGCCTGCATTCTTCCTGTTCCCTAAGCCCCCACATGCAGCCGGGGCTAAGTGCTGCTACTTCTTCCTAACTCACCCTTACATTCACCTTCCTCATTATTTCAGTGGCCCAGAGCAGACATTCAGATATGTGTTGAAGGAATGACAGAACATTTGAGACATCCTTTCTTTTTTTTTCTTTAGTGACAAGGTCTTGCTCTGTTGTCCAGGCTGGAGTGCCGTGGCGCAATCATAGTGCACTCTTGGCCTCAAGCGATCCTCCCACCTCAGCCTCCCAAAGCACTGGGATTACAGGCATAAGCCCCCTCGCCCTGCCCGAAGCACCCTTTTTCCACTCTGGATTGCCATAACCGCCTGACGAGGGGCACTGTTATTCCTGTTTGTGTTATGGGAAGTTCCTGTGAGGGAGGCAGGGAGCAGAGGAGCATTTGGGTCCCCCCTCAATGCACCTTCCTTCATGCTGCTACTGTGGCTGAGGACATCTGGACCCGAGACCACGTCCCTATTCTCTCCCCACAGCAAGCTGCTAGCTCTCTGCAGTGATGTCTGCTTCGCCCACCAGCCCTGGCTCACTCAGGGGGTCCTGTGGTCATCAGGTCACATTGAGTCACCACAGACAGCTTTCCTAACGCTGTGTTCTGATGCCCTGGAGAAACTGTCAGCTAAGCGCAGTGGCTCACGCCTGTAATCCCAGCACTTCTGGAGGCCACGATGGGCGGAACATGAGGTCAGGAGATCGAGACCAGCCTGGCCAACACAGTGAAACCTCGTCTTTACTAAAATACAAAAAGGTAGCTGGGCATGGTGATGCACGCCTGTAATCCCAGCTACTCGGGAGGCTGAGGCAGGGGAATCGCTTGAACCCAGGAGTTGGAGGTTGCAGTGAGCTGAGATCACACCACTGCACTCCAGCCTGGTTGACAGAGCAAGACTCCGTCTCAAAAAAGAAAAGAAAAGAGAAGAGAAGAGACAAAACTGTCATATGCTATCACTGAAATTTGACTTTTTATAAAATGATTCTTCATTTATAAAAGCATTTATCCCTGATTTGCCAACTGTCATCTCCTCTGGTGCCCTGAAAAAGATTTAATACATGGAGGTTTGCTTTCCTTTTTCTTTATTTCCTTCATTCCTTCCTTCCTTCCTTCCTTCCTTCCCTTTCTTTTCTTGGAGATTTTGTTTCATTTTTCTTTCTTTCTCTCTTTTCTTTTCTTATTTTCTTTTCTTTTCTTTCTTTTGAGGAAATCTCACTCTGTTGCCCAGGCTGGAGTGTAGCGGTATGATCTCGGCTCACTGCAGCCTCTGCCTTCTGGGTTCAAGTGATTCTCCTGCCTCAGCCTCCCAAGCAGCTGGGACTACAGGGGCATGCCACCATGCCTGCCTAATTTTTGTATTTTTAGTAGAGATGAGTTTCACCATGTTGGCCAGGCTGGTCTTGAATTCCTGACCTCAGGTGATCTGCCTGACTCACCCTCCCAAAGTGCGGGGATTACAGGCATGAGCCACTGCGCCAGGAGTTTTTTTTTCCGAGGCAGGATCTTGCCTTGGTGCCCAAGCTGGAGTGCAGTGCCGTGGTGCCATCATAGCTCAACGTAATCTCCCATTTGGGCTCAAGGGATCCTCCTTCTTCAGCCTCTTACATAGCTAGGACCACAGGCATATGCCACCACACCTAGCTAATTTTTTATATTTTTTTGTAGAGACAGGCCTCACTATGTTGCCCAGGCTGGTCTTGAACTCCTGGCCTTAAGTGACCCTTTCACCTTGGCCTTGCAAAGCGTTGGGATTCCAGGCATGAGCCACCACGCCGGGCTTCCTGGTTTCTTTATACTTCTTCAAATACACACAGTGGCTCAATGTGATGTCCAGTACAGTTTGCACAAAATACAACCACAGATTGCTAAAAGGTATACATCGAAGTCAGAAGGTATCAAATGCTGGCATTGAGATTTGGCATGGGGTGGGGGTGCAACAGGTAGGAAGAGAAATCCACATTCCTAGAGGGTTTGCATTGGCACCACAGGGCTACAGTTGGAAAGGGACAAAGAACGTGTTCCTGCAGTAAAGACCTAACAGGTGTCAGAGCTGGCTGCCACGTCCTCCTGCAGTTTGCCGGAGGAGGTAAGGGCATCCTGCATACTTTATGTGAGGCAAATACTTGCTCAAGGTCACAGGTCTGAGTAATTGGTAGAGCTGGGATTTGAACCCAGATCTGTGTGTTTTCTTTCCCTTTCCCAGGCTGCTTCCCAGACCACTGGGCAGCCAGAGGGCCTGGGTTTTGGAGGCCCCCACTCCCTACCCCATGCAGACTGGGTGTGGCACTGAATCCGCCTCTAGGGTTTCTGGGTTTCCATTTCCTCATCTGTAAGGTGGTGGGTCTGAACCTGTCATTCCATGTCACACGAGTTTTGTGAGGATCCAATCAGAGGTCAGATGTGAAGAGAGTTTTGAGTGTGTAAAGTAAATACAGGCTCTAGCAAACAATGTCCTGGCTGCAGGCGGCATTTAGGGACACCAATGTATTTTGCAGTCCCCACATTAGAAGTTCAGTTCAAGTTCAGTTTGAATTAGAAGTTCAAGTTGTTATATTCTGTGCAAAGGTGAAGAATATGCATGGGAGATACAGGGGACACCGCTCCTGTTGTCTTAGGGACATTTGTGGGAACAATATACTGGTACGAAGAGGAGGTTTAGGATGTCCTTTGGGCAGGTGCAGGTCTCCTCCTTGCAGTCTGAGCTCCTGCCCGAGTGCCGATGCTGGCTAGAGGCAGGGCAGGCACAGTGGGAAAGAAGTAGCAGCTGTTAAACTTCTGGTGGGCTTCTGAATAGCTAGGTCAGATAACTGGGTCTGTCAATACGTTGGCTATCTTCTTTATAAAATTGTGAATCTTTGTGGCTTTTCCAAATTTTTTTTCTAAGATCATATTTGTCTGTATTTATCTAACCATTACTTATTGACGTGGTGCACTATAAGGTCTAAATTTGAATTGGCTTAATTTTTTTTTTTTTGAGATGGAGTCTCGCCCTATCGCCCGGGCTGGAGTGCAGTGGCGCAATCATGGCTCACTGCAACCTCCGCCTCCCCAGTTCAAGCAATTCTCCTGCCTCAGCCTCCCGAGTAGCTGAGATTACAGGCATGCACCACCATGCCCAGGTAGTTTTTGTTTGTTAGTAGAGACAGGGTTTCATCATGTTGGCCAGGCTGGTCTCAAACTCCTGACCTCAAGTGATCCACCCAGAATTGGCTTAATTTTTACAGTACTTGGTAAGACAGGGTCTCGCTCTGTCATCCAGGCTAGAGTGCAGTGGCGTGATCATAGCTCACTATAACCTCAAACTCCTGGGCTCGAGTGATACTCGCAAGTAGCTGGGACCACAGGCATGCACTACCCACACCTTGGCTAATTTTTGTATTTTTTGTAGAGATGGGGTCTTGCTACATTGCCCAGATTGGTCTCAAATACCTGGGCTCAAGCGAACTTCCTGCCTTCGCCTGCCAAAGTATTGGGATTACAGGCATGAGCCACCATACCCAGTCCAGAATTCCTTTTATTTTATTATTTTTATTTTTTGAGACGAAGTCTCCCTCTGTCACCCAGGCTGGGGTGCAGTGGCATGATCTCGGCTCACTGCAACCTCTGCCTCCCGGGTTCAAGCGATTCTCCTGCCTCAGCCTCCCGAATAGCTGGATTACAAGTGCCCACCACCACACCTGGCTAATTTTTGTATTTTTACTAGAGATGAGGTTTTGCCACGTTGGCCAGGCTGGTCTTGAACTCCTGACCTCAGGTGATCCACACGCCTCAGCCTCCCAAAGTGCTGGGATTATAGGCATGAGCCACCGTGCCCAGCCCAGAATTCCTTTTATAACCTGACGACCCATTATATTGACCCCATAAATGTGAATAGTCCATTATGATAAACTTCAGTACAGGAAATCCACTGTGTGGCCAATTTAAATAATGTGAATATTGAATGATCAGTCATGAATTCAAGACGCAACCTTTCATAATGAAAGCTCCAGGCTGGGTGTAGTGGAGCACACCTGTAGTCCCAGCTTAGGCTGAGGCAAGATGATCTCTTGAGCCAGGAGTTCAAGGTCACGCTCGGCAACAGAACAAGACCCTGTCTTATAAAAAAAAAATAATAATGAAAATCCTTCACCTTTCTTGTACATGAAACCCTCCGAAAAACATAAGGTGAGTCTTACATTCTCACTTCTAAGGTGCTTCCATCAGGTTTGGGAAACAATTTCTTTTTTTTTTTCTTTTTTGAGATGGAGTTTCGCTCTTGTTGCCCAGGCTGGAGTGCGGTGGTGGGACCTTGGCTCACTGCAACCTCCACCAACCAGGTTCAAGCAATTCTCCTGCTACAGGTGCCCACCACCACACCCAGCTAATGTTTTGTATTTTTAGTAGAGATGGGGTTTCACCATGTTGGCCAGGCTGGTTTTGAACTCCTGGCCTCAGGTGATCCGCCCACCTTGGCCTCCCAAAGTGCTGGGATTACAGGCGTGAGCCAACACGCCCAGCCAAGTTTGGGAAACAACTTCTGTTTGTGTGTATACACATTTACTGGAAAAGTACAAGGGCACCATTACAGATGTGCATATCTGCAATTGAATAACGATGTGGCTCATACAGTGCAGAGAGCGCACACCCACACTTGCCTGGAGAAGAGGAGCTGCTGCTTTTCTTCCTTCCCATTATTGCTAATTTTTGCCTGCATCTCAGTTCAGAAGAGCCATGAACTTTACTGCACATGTGTGCTAGTTCTAGGGAACCCCCTGGGCTGCTGCTGTCCTTCCAGAGCCTTCCTGGTACTTCCCTTGAAGTTCTTTGGGCAGCAGTGAGGAGGCCAGGCCAGATTTTTGCCACCTTGGACATCATGCATGTTGTGAAGGTGGTTTCCCCGAGCTGGAGCCAGTCCCGGAGGCTGGCACTAGCTTTCTAGCGAAGCAGAATCTTCCCAGGCATTGGTCACCCGGGCATCCAAGAATGTGTTGTAGATGATGAGATAACTGCCCTGCCCTTCGCCAGAGACACTGCTTCTGACCCTGCCTACAGCGCCTTCTCCAGTTTTTCCAGGGATGAGGCCCATGTCATCCAGCCTCACACTTTCTCTGTTCCTAGAGGCCCTGCCTGGTATTCCTGCTGAGCTAAGCTGTCGCTTCCCATGGGTAACATTTTCTCAGAGGATTTCCAACATAGTTGTTTACCGCTGGAGGAGATGGGCAGCTGTTAGCTAGGTTTGAATAGAAAGCAGAGCCTGCTCCTGTGTGCATGGGCACTGTGCAATGCTAGTGGGAAGACTGCAGCATGTGAATAATTTTACAGTTGGCACTGATGGTGTTTATACTTACTGGAGTTTTATTGCTGGCTGCAATCTCATCATTTTGGTTACAACAGTGACCTAATTTTATATCTGTGTTGTAACTTTAGGAATCCTAAGTAGAACTTTTTGTGTAGTACCTACCACTTTACTTTGGGAGTTAAGAGTATAAGTTTTGGAGTTGGACCTGGGTTTTTGTTTGTTTGTTTGTTTGTTTGTTTGTTTTTGAGACAGAGTCTCGCTCTGTCACCCAGGCTGGAGTGCAGTGGTGCAATCTTGGCTCACTGCAACCTCCACCTGCCAGGTTCAAGAAATTCTCCTGTCTCAGTTTCCCTAGTATCTGGGACTACGGGTGCATGCCACCAAGCCCAGCTAATTTTTTGTATTTTTAGTAGAGACAGGGTTTCACCATATTGGTCAGGCTGGTCTCGAACTCTTGAGCTCAGGTGATCTGTCCGCCTTGGCCTGCCAAAGTGCTGGGATTAGAGGCGTGAGCCACCGCACCTGGCCTGGGCCTGGGTTTGATTTCCAGCCCTGCTATTTGCTGGCTGTGACACTGGGCAAGTTTCTTGACATCTAAGCCCTGGTTTTCTCATTAGTACATGGAGATAGCCCTAGTACCCATTTCCTAGGGTGCTAGTGGGAATTAAATGATCTAATGCTAGTCAAATACATCAATATAAAAATATATATGGGTCACATTGTCTAGCATATGCCAAAGGGTTTGGTAAAAAGAATGTTCTGGGTCGGGCACAGTGGCTCATGCCTGTAATCCCAGCACTTTAGGAGGCCAAGGCAGACGGATCGCTTGGGGTCAGGAGTTCGAGACCAGCCTGGTCAACATGGTAAAAACCCATCTCTACTAAAAATACAAAATTAGCCAGGCGTGGTGGTGCGTGCCTGTAATTCCAGCTCCTGGGAAGGCTGAGGCAGGAGAATCACTTGAACCCAGGAGGCAGAGGTTGCTGTGAGCCGAGATCATGTCATTGCACTCCAGCCTGGGTGATGGAGCAAAACTTCGTCTCAAAAAAAAAAAAAAGGAATGTGCTGTAACTTCATTATTAAAAGCACAAAAAGGAATCTTTATGTCTTACCTACCTACCTTCCCACACACCTATCTATTAGTATCTCCATACGTGTTGATTGCAAGGCTGTGTTGAAAGACTTCTGCCCCACTCAGAAATTATTTACATATTTCAGTTGCTATAAAGACCATTTTCTTGGAAGTCCGTTGTCACGTATCAAGTTTTATTGTTTGTTTTATATTACAGAGGCAAGTCCCATATCTCCATTTTCCTTGGGCGTGTTTTGAAACCTGGCAATGCACGGTGCATCAAGCTGACCTTTCACCTGCTTTCCTCAGCCACCTGCCTGTCTCAGCTCTGCAGGACTGGGGGTGCAGGAGTGGGGAGGTTTGCTCAAAGGGCATAGGGACCTGTGTTGAGTGTCTTCTTGATTACATGGCCAGTGTTAGGATTCATAGGCCAATGACTTCGAAAGAGGTGAAAGGTTTTGGTTAAAAGGAATTGATTATGGAGAAAGGGAACAAAGTGAACACTTTCAAAAAACAAAGTACCAGAGCAGTTTATTGGCCAAGGATTTGGGGGATATTGAGCAAAGTTGTTAAAATGAAGTTAATCGTAAGCAAAATTGAAGATGTGTTATCACCTTCCCCCCCACGATTGTTGATGTAGCATTCAGCGTTGGAGAACTGTCCATAGTCTTCAGGATTCAATTCGGATGACACAAGGATTCATGTCCTTGAGAAGTGTATTTGGAAGACTGGACACATAACTCACAAGTGAAGGTCATTTGCCAGCTGGTGCAGGTGACATTGCTAAATGTCTCTTGTAGAATTTCTTGGGGAGTTTGGATTCGTGGGCTGCCCCCTAAAGTGCTGGGAGCTTTAAGCTAAGTATGAAGAAAGGAGAAAACAGAAATGGAAAAAGAGCTGAAGACTTCCCAGCTGCGAGCCAGTTAGTGGCATAGGTCAAGGCTGGTGGGCCTGGCGGAGGGGCAGGTGACAGGGAGAGCTGAGCTTGGAAGGTGGTAGGAACAACCATGGAATAGGTGAGCTGGAGACGGGACAGCGGATTTGTGACAATTGTGATGAAGGGGTTGCAGCCTTGGCTGGGGCCTCTTATTCTGCATCTCTGTGTGGTTCCGAGAGCAGATTAGCATAAGGTGCTTAAGTGCTATGGCACAGACCTCAGTGATGAGTCCCATCATAGCCTCCAGGATGGCATGTGGCCTGGCTCCCATGCTCCACCTGGGAGTTGGTGGGCACCCCGTGTGCTCCGGGCAAGGAGGTCTGTGTGAGCTCCCAGCAGGTGGGCTCCAGGTGGGCGATCTCCACCCCCAATCCCCCAACCCCACTCAGCCTTTCTTTTATTTTTTTTGAGACAGGGTCTCACTCTGTTGCCCAGGCTGGAGTGCAGTGGCACAGTCCGGGCTTGCTGCAGCCTCGACCTCCCAGACACAAGAAATCTTCCCACCTCAGCCCCCAGAATGGCTAGGACCACCGGTGTGCGCCACCACATCCAGCTAATTTTTTGTATTTTTGGCAGAGAAGGAGTTTTGCCACGTTGGCCAGGCTGGTCTTGAACTCCTGGACTCAAGCAATCTTCCCATCTTGCCCTCCCAAAGTGCTGGGATTTCAGGTGTGAGCCACTGCACCTGGCCTCCCACTCAGCCTTTCAGGGCTCGTGTCCACTTGGGGCAGAGGTACAGGCCAGGCCCCAGCCACCATGCCAGCTTCTCAGAAGTGATTTCTGTACTTTCAGTGAAAATAGACACATCCGCGGCCCCATGACAATGCCAGACGATGTGTTGTTTTTGGTGTGGTGGAGGCCGCCGGGGTGTTGCCGCCACCTCCGATTTACTCCATAGCTGGCCCAGGGGCACACAGCAAGGAGGGGTCTTAGCTCAGGAACAGCACCCAAGGGTCCTCCTGTTTTACTTACCCAGAGCTGCCTCCTCCACGAGTCCATTCCCAGGGCTAGTTCGGGATTCCCGTCCGAGGGCTCCGCGATGATTTGTGGGAACGAGTGAGTGACAGGGGAGAGGTTAAGTTCCCTTTTCATCCATCTGTATTTTTCTGTATTTTCTCATTTCTTCCTTTTAACTTTTCTTCCTCCTCTTTTCTGCCTTTCCAGTAAAAGCGTTCTCTCCTCTAGCCATCCTTGAACTTGGGGCACAGGTGCACGCCCTGCTGTGCAGCTTGGATCCCAATGGTCACGCTGTGTAAACTTTGTCCCCCGGGACACCACCTTTTCCCACCAGGGCTGTGATATGTCTCCGATACCTGGGCATGGAAGAAAATCACAGAAGGAGAGGGGCTGCAGATAGGCCGGCCCCTGGGGTGACGTGGATTAAAGAGCCGTTGGGCAGGTCTCTCTGGGAAGTCTCTGTATGGGGGTGGCTTGGAGAAAGGAAGGCTGGGCTGTAGAGCAGACGTGTTGCTGGTGGGACACGCGGCCCGGGGACCTTCACATCAGCAGGTTCTGGGGACTGGAGTGAACACCCCTAGTCCATCCCTGCTTCTTCCCAGGCAGGGCAGGTGCCGGCGTTCTCAGTAAGAGAAACCCTGGGGAGGATGCGGGCACGTGGACAGGTGGTGAGATTCATTGTCAGCTGGTGAAGTTTTGGCTGGGTGAAGACGTGCTTGGAAGGTCAGGTGCAGTGTGCTCAGGTTGAAGCTAAAGTCCTGGGGGGCTGGCTGACTCCCAGGGTGCAGGGGGAGCCACCTACTAGTTCAGAAGCCAGAGGGGCCCAAGGCAGCAGCAGATGGACCGGGGCCAGCTTGCGTGCCTGGTGGCCTCCCCCAGGAGGAAGAAGGAACGGGAAGTGGGGCTGGCCCACAGAGACTAACGGTTTAGTTGTACACCGTGAGTGGGATGTGGCAGAGCCCCCACCAGCCAGAGGAGGCGGACGCTTGCCCAAGCCTCAGGCCATGCCATGCCCCTGCCACCCTCCTCACTACAGCCTCAGGAAGGCTGAAGGGGTGAGCAAAGAGGCTGCCCAGTGTTGGTGGCCTGGATCCAGACGCAGGCCTGGCTGCCAGCTGGCCTAAGGGCCCTTCTCCCAGCGTGCTGGGGCTCCCAGCCACAGTGCCCAGTCTGGCAGGGTGTGCCCAAGACCCCAGGGAAGGCTTCCGGGAAGGGGAGTTGTAACACATGGGTGCCCTGGCCTCCTGCCCTCGATGAAAGGTGCTGGGGAGGGGAAGACGCAGTGAGCCTGGTGAGGGACTCCCACGCAGGTGGGAGGTGGGGGGCCCTGACCCAGGCCTGGCTGTAGCGGACAGGTGGCCCATTCTGGACACACAGAAGCGGAAGGAACACAGGCTGCAAAGTGGTGGAGTATGCCCCCCTCTCCAAGAAGCCCCTGGCTGGGGCCGATGTGGCAGCGATGGCGAGGTGGGCAGGGCACTCAGACGCCTTGGGAAAGCTGACTTGGGAGACACAGGGAGATGGGGTGTCGAGCAGCTGGTGGGACTTCAGCAAGGGCAAAGAGGGCAGGATGACCACATCAAGAAGGAGCTGGAACTTTGGTAGAGCAGGCAGGGCAGGGCAGGCATAAGGAAGTCTGCCCCAGAGGCCAGGGGTGCCCACGAACACTATGCTCTTTTTCTACTCCCATTAAAATACGATGCTGCAACATGGACAAGGCCACTGTCTGCTTCTTTGTTTGCAACAGTGAAAAAGTGAACAGAGAAGTTCCCTGAGCCCCAGCAGGGACACAAGAGCAGACTGGTTCCTGCCAGCAGGGGGGTGCAGGACAGCAGGGCCAGGGCTGTGTAGGTGGGCATGGGGCAGCTTGGAACTCAATGTGGACGAGAAGCAAGTTGCAGGACCGCGCACAGAGTAGGCAGCATTTGTGTGTGCCTCGCACGTGTATGGTGGCACTGTATGCACTTGTAGATACTCAAATACGTAGGGAAAGATGAGCCCCGCATTCTGGGGACAGGGAGAGGAGGTTGTATCTATTGCATCTTAGAAATTTTTGCAGGGCTGGGCACCTGTAATCTCAGCAGCTTGGGAGGCCAAAGAGGAAGGACTGCTTGAGTCCAGGAGTTCAAGACCAGCCTGGGCAACATAGTGAGATCCCATCTCTACAAAAACAAAAATAAACAAACAAACTGGTGGGGGTGGGGTGGGGTAGGGGGGACATTCTAAATCAATACAGCAAAATGTTAAATTTGTTGATTCCAGGAGGGTACACAGGTGTTATTCTCTGCTTGCCTGTGTGTTTGCGGTTATCTTATGATTTAAAGCATTTAAGACAGAAAACAGTCTTGCTGTATAATATAGTAAAGTTCACTGGAGCTTGTGTATGTGTATGTTTTGAGACAAGATCTCGTTCTGTCGCCCAGGCTGGAGTGCAGTGGTGTGATCATGGCTCACTGTAGCCTCAACCTCCCGGGCTTGTGTGAGCCTCGCCCTTCAGCCTCCCAAGTAGCTGGGACTACAGGTGCTCACCACCGCGCCTGGTTTATTTTTGTATTTTTAGTAGAGATGAGATTTTCCACATTGCTCAGGCTGGTCTCAAACTCCTGGGCTCAAGCGATCTGCCCGCCTTGGCCTCCCAAAGTTTTTGTGAGGCTTATCTGAGGTCCAGGAATTTATTAGTGACTGGCGTTCTTCCACCTGGACACCCCACCTCACCCCCACTCCTCCTCCCTAAGCACCAGGTCCTTGGAAGAGCTTTGCGCCCTTGGCCCTGGGCTTGTCGTCTGCCCATCCCAGTCTCAGCTGCTCACCTGCCTCACCTGGCTGCTGTCTGTTTCCAGGAAGGTGAGGTTAGCCACCTGTAGTCCCAGTCCTGTTTATGCCAGTGTGGTGAGGCCGCAGACCCGATTTACTTTGAGGAATCCCGTTTGTGCTAAGTAAAGTATGTTACAGAAAGTCACGCTGAGGGCCAGGTTGGTTTTCTTTTTTTTTTTTTGACAGGGAGTCTCACTCTCTCACCCAGTAGTGCAGTAGCCTGATCTCAGCTCACTGCAAGCTCCGGCTCCCGGGTTCACGCCATTCTCCTCCCTCAGCCTCCCGAGTAGCTGGGACTACAGGCGCCCGCCACCACGCCCGGCTAATTTTTTTTTTGTATTTTTAGTAGAGATGGGGTTTCACCGTGTTAGCGACGATGGTCTCTACCTCCTGACCTCATGATCTGCCCCCCTCGGCCTCCCAAAGTGCTGGGATTACAGGCGTGAGCCACCGCGCCTGACCTTTTTTTTTTTGAGACGGAGTCTCACTCTCTCACCTAGGAGTGCAGTGGCCTGGTCTCGGCTCACTGCAACCTCTGCCTCCCGGGTTCAAGCAATTCTCCTGCCTCAGCCTCCCAGTTAGCTGGGAATACAGGCGTGCACCACCAGATCCGGCTAATTTTTGTATTTTTAGTAGTGACAGGGTTTCACCATGTTGGCCAGGCTGGTCTCGAACTCCTGACCTACAGTGATCCTCCCACCTTGGCCTCCCAAAGTGCTGGGATTACAGGCCTGAGCCACAGTGCCCGGCCTCAGGTTGGCTTTCAGTGCGGGGGTACATCAAGGCAGGAAACGTGCTGACCACTCTCAGACTCTGGTCTGGGGCCCTCTACTCTCCAGGGCCAGGGAGGGAAGGCGGGTGTGGTGCGAATGGCTTTATCTGGTTACCATTCTTATGAGTTCCTCGGTTTTAGAGACATTAGGAACCCTCTGCCCTGTGTCTGGAGTGAGTGAGGCTGGCCCAGGAGCTGGGTGGCACTCACTGGGGTGGGTTGGCCTCTGTGAAGCCATGGTGCCCGTGTCTTCTGCAGTCCCCCGGCTTTGTTTCCGGTGACTCAGAGGTGGGAGAAGCTGCCACTCTGCATCCACTCCCAGCTGGGTGAAAGGCAGGGAGCAGGTGTGCCCTCTTCTGGGGAGAGGTGAAGTCCCTGCGTGGGCCAGGAGTGTGGCCTCCTGCCTGAAGAGGAAGCACCTGGAAGAGGCTGGCTGGGTGAGGTGGGGGGCAGGCACTGGAGGGAGGCGGGCACTCGGGGAGGCGGGCACTGGGGGGAGGCCCTGCTTTTCCTTTCTCATCCTTTTTACACCAGGGTCATAAAAATCCTGTTGGGTTGGGCAAGCAGGTGGTGACTGTTCAGGTATTTCCAGATTGTGGGTAGTGGGGACGGGGTAAGGGGGCTTGGGCATGGCCAACTTTCCACATGCTCTGGCCCCGGAAACCTTTGCTCCTCCTGGTTTTATCTTCCCTGGCTCCGGATGGGTTACGCCGTTTCTCTGCTGCCAGCCCTGTTGTATTGGGTGGGCTATGGGGTGAGAAGTGTGTGCTTCCCTTCCTGGGAGGTGGGCACCTGGGGCACTTGGAGTATCTGAGGAGCTCTCCAAACATGAGATTTTTGAGCTCCAATTGCAGCAGATGAATGTTTCATTTCATTCAACACATTCTAAAACATCAGGAGATCTCAAATGTGCGTAGAAGAGACACTTACCTACCGGGCTTGCACAGCCCTGCCCTTCACCCGTTCTCACACATGGCTCCTTCCTACCCGTCCCTCCATTTTTCCCACCCCAAGTGATTTTGAAGCAAGTCCCAGATATGATAAAAGATAAAATTAGGCTGGGCACAGTGGCTCACAGCACTTTGGGAGGCCGAGTTGGGCAGATCACCTGAGGTCAGGAGTTCAAGACCAGCCTGGCCAACACGGTGTAATCTGGGCTATATTGAAAATACAAAAATCAGCTGGGTGCAGTGTCGGGTGTCTGTAGTCTCAGCTACTGGGGAGGCTGAGGCAGGAGAATTGCTTGAACCCGGGAGGCAAAGGTTAACGTGAGCCTAGATCGTGCTACTGCATTCCAGCCTAGGCGACAGAGCAAGACTCAACAGTCTCAAAAAAAAAAAAAAAAAAAGATACAATTGCATGTAGCAATATGTTAGGATGTATCAATAAAAGATGGGAACCCTTTTTAAAAATAACCACTGCCTGAGTGCCATGGCTCACACCCACGGTCTCAACTACTCAGGAGGCTGAGGCAGGAGGATTGCTTGAACCCAGAGCTGCAGTGAGCTGTGATTGTGCCACTGCACTCCAGCCTGGGCAGCAGAGCGAGACTCTGTCTCTTAAAAAACATAACCACAATATCTTGTAATACCTAAAAGATAATTCACAGAAATTCCTTAATGCCATGAGGTAACAGTTGTTTTGAATGAGTCTTTTTTTAAATTTAATTTAATTTTAGATTTGGGGGTACACGTGCCTGTTTGTTACACAGGCATTTTGCATACTGGTGGGGTTGGGTTTCTGGTGTACCCAGAGTGCCCTCCATGAAAGGGAAGAGAGTGAACATTGTACCTGATAGGTAATTTTTCAGCCCTTGCCCTGCTGCCTCCCTTCCCTTTTGGAATCCCCAATGTCTGTTATTTCCATCTTTTTTCTCTTTTTTTTTTTTTTTTTTGAGATGGAGCTTTGCTCTTGTCCCCCAGGCTGGAGTGCAGTGGCCCGATCTCAGCTCACTGCAACCTCCGCCTCCCAGGTTCAAGCGATTCTCCTGCTTCAGCCTCCCAAGTAGCTGGGATTACAGGCGTCTGCCACCGCGCCTGGCTAATTTTTGGTATTTTTAGTAGAGATGGGGTTTCACCATGTTGTCCAGGCTGGTCTCAAACTCCTGACCTCAGGTGATCTGCCCACCTCGGCCTCCCAAAGTGCTGGGATTACAGGCGTGAGCCACCGCACCCGGCCTGTCACTTCCATCTTTATGTCTATGGGTACCCATTGTTTAGCTGCCACTTATAGGTGAGAACATGCGGTATTTGGTTTTCTGTTTCTGAGTGAGTTCACTTAGGATAAAGGCCTCCAGTTGCATCCATATTACTGCAAGGGACATGATTTCTTTCTTTCTTTCTTTCTTTCTTTTGAGACAGAGTTTTGTTCTTGTTGCCCAGGCTGGAGTGCAATGGCATGATCTCAGCTCACTGCAACCTCTGCCTCCTGGGTTCAAGTGATTCTCCTGCCTTGGCCTCCCGAGTAGCTGGGATTACAGGCATGCACCACCATGCCCGGCTAATTTTGTATTTTTTAGGAGAGATGGGGTTTCTCCATGTCGGTCAGGCTGTTCTCGAACTCCTGACCTCAGTTGATCCTCCCGCCTCGGCCTCCCAAAGTGCTGGGATTACAGGCGTGAACCACCGTGCCCGGCCAATTTCATTCTTTTTTATGGCTGCTGAATGAGTCCTTAATGTGACCAGAGCATTATGGTGGACAGGATATGGAAGAAAATAATAACATATCCACCCCCACCATCATATATTTGAGGAGAGAATGGTTAGGTGCATAGACATTAAATAGATAACACTTCTTCAGACAGTATTTTTTGGTAACAGCTTTATTGAGAGATTCATATACCATAAAATTCACCCATCTAAAATGTACACTTCGGTGAGTTTGGGTTTTTTTTGAGACAGGGTCTTGCTCTGTTGCCCAGGCTGGAATGCAGTGGTGCAGTCACGGCTCACTGCAGCTTCGAACTTCCAGGCTCAAGTGATCCTCCCACCTCAGCCTCCTTAGTAGCTGGGACTACAGGCACACATCACCGCACCCATCTAATTTTTGTAGTTTTTGCAGAGACAGGGTTTCGCCATGTTGCCCAGGCTTTCAGTGGTTTTTAGTATATTCACAGAGTTGTGCAACTATCACCACAATCAATTTTGGAATGTTTTCATCACCCTAAGAAGATACCCCCAACTCCTTACCCATGACCTCCCTATCTTCCCATCTGCTCCAAGCCCCCGGCAACCACTAGTGTACTTTCTGTCTCTGTAGATTTGCTTGTTCCAGACATTTAGAATAAATAGAATCAGCAATATATGACCTTCTGTATGGCTTCTTTCACTCAGCATCACGTCTTCAGGGTCCATCCATGTTGCAGCAGGTGTCGGAGGTCCATTCCTTTTCATTGCTGAATACTATTCCACAGTATGGATGGACCACATTATATTTATCCATTCATCAGCAGAATGTATTGCCACTTTTTGGCTATCATGAATGATGTTGTGAGTGTTCGTGTGCAGACTTTTGTATGGACATGTTTTCAGTTCTCTTGGGTATATATGTAGAAATGGAATTGCTGGGTCGTATGGTAAGTCTATTTTTCTACAATTTTCTTTTTTTTTTTTAAGACAGGATCTCCCCTGTTGCCCAGGCTGGAGTGCAGTGGTGCAATCACAGCTCATTGCAGCCTCCACTTCCTGGGCTCAAGCGATCCTCCTGCCTCAGCCTCCCAAGTTGCTAGGGTTACAGCAATGCACTACCATGCCTGGGTAATTTCTTTGATTTTTAATAGAGATGAGGTCTTGCCATGTTCCCCAGGCTGGTCTCGAACTCCTGAGCCAAAGCAATCCTCCTGTCTTGGCCTTGCGAAGTGCTGGGATTACAGGGGTGAGCCACTGCACCTGGCCCAATTTTTATTTTTTTTTTTATTTTTGTTTATTATACAGAGACAGGGGCTTGCCATGTTGCGCAGGCTGGTCTGGAACTCCTGGCCTAAAGCAGTCTTTCTGCTTTGGCCTCCCAAAATGCTGGGATTGCAGGTGTGAGCCACGGTGCCAGGCCAGTAACTCTGTATTTAAGCTTTTGAGGAACGGACAGACTGTTTGCCAACGTGGCTGCACCATTTGACCAGCCATGCATGAGAATTCTGATTTCTCCACATCCTCACCAACACTTGCTATCATCCATCTTTGTGATACTAGCCATCCTCCTGAGTGTGAAGTGGTGTTTTCCTATGGTTTAGATCTGCACTCCCTATTGGCCACAGGAGGCAGTCTTACACTTGCAGTGGTCCCCCCTTATCCTTGGGGGGATACATTCCAAGACCCCTGGTGGGTGCCTGAATTTGCGGACAGAACCAAACCTATACGGTCAGCTTTGTATCCTCAGGCTCTGCTTCTGTGGATTTAACCAACCAAGGATTGAAAACATTTGGGGAAAAAGAAAAAACCTAAATAATAACAAAAAATAATACAAAATAAAAATACAGCATAACAACTGTTTACATAGCATTTATAAGGTATTCATTATTGTAAGTAATCTAGAGATGACTTAAAGTATACAGGAGGGTTGGGCGCGGTGGCTCACACCTGTTAATCCCAGCACTTTGGGAGGCCGAGGTGGGTGGATCACCTAAAGTCAGGAGTTTGAGACCAGCCTGGCCAACGTGGGGAAACCAGGTCTCTACTCAAAATACAAAAATGTAGGCCGGGCGCGGTGGCTCACGCCTGTAATCCCAGCACTTTGGGAGGCTGAGGCGGGTGGATCACCTGAGGTCAGGAGTTCAAGGCCAGCCTGGCCAACGTACTGAAACCCTGTCTCTACTAAAAATACAAAAATTAGCCAGTCGTGGTGGTGGGGGCCTGTAATCCCAGCTACTCAGGAGGCTGAGGCAGGAGAATCACTTGAACCCAGGAGGCAGAGGGTGCAGTGAGCCGAGACTGTGCCATTGCACTCCAACCTGGGCAACAAGAGCAAAACTCCGTCTCAAAAATAAATAAATAAAATAAAAATACAAAAATTAGCCAGACATGGTGGCACATGCCTGTAGTCCCAGCTACTCTAGAGGTTAAGGCAGGAGAATCACTTGAACCCGAGATTGCACCACTGAACTCCCACCTGGGGGACAGAGCGAGACTGTGTCTCAAAAAAATATATATACAGGAGGATGTGTGTAGGTTATTTGCAAATACTACACTATTTTCTATAAGGGACTGCACATTCATGGGTTTTGGTAAGCATGGGGGTCCTGCAACTAGTCCCCCTCAGATTCCGGGGGACAGATGTGTATACGAGGTGTTTTCCTGTGTAGTACTACTGTGTAGTAACTCCCTGTAGGCAGGGAGTGTTGACAGCATGGGTAGCCTGGGCAAAGGGGTGATTCACGTCCCTGGAAGGAGGGAGTGGGACGGTGGGAGTTTTCATCATACTGCTCAGAATGCTGCACAATCGAAAACTATGATTTTTTTTCTTTTTTGAGATGGAGTCTCACTCTGTACCCCAGGCTGAAGTGCAGTGGTGCAATCTCAGCTCACTGAAACCTCTGCCTCCCAGTTCAGGCAATTCTCCTGCCTCAGCTTCCCAAGTAGCTGGGATTACAGGCATGCACCACCATGCCCAGCTAATTTTTGTATTTTTAGTAAAGACAGGGTTTCGCCATGTTGGCCAGGCTGGTCTCGAACCCCTGACCTCAAGTGATCCACCCACCTGGGCCTCCCAAAGTGCTGGGATTACAGGCATGAGCCACCGCACCAAGCCTGGAGTTTTCCATTTAATATTTTCAGATGGTGGTTGACCATGGATAACTGAGACTTCAAAAAGCAAAATCACTAGACATGGTGGCTCACACCTGTAATCCCGGTACTTTGGGAGGCTGAGATGGGTGGATCACTTGAGTCCAGGAGTTCGAGACCAGTCTGGGCAAGGTGGTGAAACGCTGTCTCTACAAAAAAATACATAAATTAGCTGAGCATGGTGGTGCATGCCTATTAGTCCCAGCTACTCAGGAGGCTGAGGTGGGAGGATCACCTGAGCTTGGGGAGTAGAGGCTGCAGTGAGCCATGATCGTGCCACTGCACTCCAGCCTGGGCAATACAGCGAGACCCTGTCTCAAACAAACAAACAAACAAACAAACAAACAAACGTGCAAACTGTAGCTGAGAGGGGACTGCTGTAGGTGCGGCTATATCAGTGTTTTTAAGCATAAGGCCACTGATCCAGGCCAGAACCCAGGGTGGGATTTGCGCTCATTACATTTGCACAGGGAGCTCCTCTGGCCCTTGTTGGATTCACTCATTTCTGCTCATGGCTCAAAGAGGGAGAGGCTAGGTCAGGACAGCCCATCTCAGCTCCTGCAGAAGTAGAAAAACAAATTGTGCACCTTAGGGGCATTTAGAACTCTTAGGGTTACCCTGAACCAGTCCAAATAAACAAGTCCTTCATTAAACTCAGATCGCTCTGCGAGGGCGTTTCACTCCTAGAAAGGACACTATAATTACCTCCAGTCTGACTCTTCCTATCAGAGGTTAGATTTCTGAGCAAGTGTTGGATACATAACTTTGGAGGGACTTGGCTACAGACGCTATATTTAATCCACTGCCATGAATAATGCCTTTGTGTTCTGTATGAAGCCCAGGAGATCTTATCAATCGTGCAGAGGTAGCCAGTCACGTCACTTTATTTGCCACGGTGCATGCTTTGCAGAGTCCTCTTCTGGGATGCCTTCCTCATGGTTACTGCGAAGGCTTTGATGGGGAAGGGGGCTAAGAGTTAACCTTGAGGCGGGGCGTGGTGGCTCATAGCAGTAATCCCGGCACTTTGGGAGGCCGAGGTGGGCGGATCATTTGAGCTCAGCAGTTCGGGAACAGCCTGGCCAACATGGTGAAACCCTGTCTCCACTAAAAATAGAAAAAATTAGCCAGGCGTGGTGGCAGGCACTTGTAAGCCCAGCTACTCGGGAGGCTGAAGCATGAGAATCGCTTGAACCCGGGAGGTGGAAGTTGCAGTGAGCTGAGATGGCGCCGCTGCACTCCAGCCTGGGCGACAGAGTGAGACTCCGTCTCAAAAAAAAAGTTAACCTTGAGACTCCACGGGAGTCTTACAGCTGCTTAGATAGCTTTTTGAGAAATGGTTCAGAGCTGCTTGCTTTGATGCCCTCTTCAACCCATGGCAAACATCTGCTTGGTGATCTTGCTGCTTTCAAAAATGGGATCCATTCCTTTAAAACTGGCCAGGCCGTGGGAGTTGGCTGCGTGCCTACTAAATAATATGTAAATACTGTTGTTTTGTTGTTGTTGTTGTTGAGATAGGGTCTCACTCTGTCGCCCTGGCTGGAGTATAATGGCGTGATCATGGCTCACTGTAGCCTCTACCTCCTGAGCTCAAGGGATCCTCCTGCCTCAGCTTCCCAAGTAGCTGGGACTACAGGCCCATGCCACCACACCTGGCTAATTTTTTATTTTTTTCAGAGACGGGGTTTCGCCATGTTGCCCAGGCTGGTCTTGAGTTCCTGGACTCAAGCGATCCTCCCACGTCAGCCTCCCAAAGTGCTGGGATTACAGGTATGAGCCATCGTGCCTGGCCCATACATATTGTCGATTGCTTTGCAAATTGCTCTAAGCTGAAGTTATAGCTGGTGGAAGGTAGTTTTGCCAAATTACTCTTTCCGAGTCATTGAGGCAGAGCTGGCAGGTTCTGTGCTGATACCTCCCGGGTGTGTCGTCTTGCCCAGCTCCTCCCTTGCTCTGGCGATGTGGGGCATCTCCACCCGGATGTCCTGGTGACATTTCACATGTGGCAGGTCCAGGCATGAATTCTCAGCTTCTGCCCCAGCCTGCCTCCTTCCCTCCCTGAGACTGTCCCTTGTCAGTACCTGGCTTCACTGAGTGGGTGGCTCAAGACAGGAGCCCGAGGGCCCATTTCACCAGCAAGTGCAGCTCAAGGTGCCTCTGCAGACTGTCTTGTGTGGGTCATTGTCCACACTGTCACTGTCCCTGTCACTGACAGAGTGGGCCAGGCCCATGCACCTTCCTGGAAGACAGCCTCAGCTTCTTAACTGGTCCTGCTTCCCCATCCCCATCCATACTCCATACAGCAGCCAGAGTGGTCTTTAGAAAAGAAACAGTGGCAGGTTCCCCTTTCTCTGGGCCCTTGGATGCTTCTCCATTGCTAGCACAAAACCCTGCCACCTCCCACCGGCTGCCTCTGCCTTCCTCTCCAAACTAGGCCCCCTGTCCTTGAACCCAGACACCCTGTCGACCCCAGCCACCTGTGCTTGACCCCAGACACCCTACCCTTGACCCCAGCTACCCTGCCTTTGACCCCAGACACCTGCTTTTGACCCGACACCCTGCCCTTGACCCCGCTGGCCTGCTCTTGACCTTAGCTGTCCCGCCACTGACCCCCCCCCAACAGCCTGTCCTTGACCCCCAGCCACCCTGCCCTTGACCCCAGCCACCTGCCCTTGACCCCAGACACCTGCCCTTGACCCCCAGCCTCCTGCCCTTGACCCCAGCTTCCTGCCCTTGACCCCATCCTCCTGCCCTTCCTGCCTCCAGCTCTTGCCTGCTCTTCCCATGGTTGCTCCTTCTCCTGGCTTCCCTGTCTCCTGAGAGGTCCCCTCGGCTTCTCCCCTTCCTGCACCAGAGCACTGCTCCTGCGTTGCTTGTTAGCCCGGTCTAAGCTGTGGGAGGGCAGAGGGACCTTTTCTGCTGGTGTGCAGCTCTTCTCCTCGGCTGGCACGTTGGAGGCAGTCAACAAATATTTGTAATATGGACAGATGTCTGAAGTCGGGTGCCTTTCTAGGGCCTGCCAGCGGATGGTTCTGTGTTTTGGCTGGTGGAGGACTGAGTCAGGCTGATTTCTGTAACAGGGGATCTTTGAAACTGTGATAGCCACTGATTTTGATCTCACCTTCAGAGGGCATCAGTGGGCGAAAACAGGAAAATCATCCTGTGGTGAGAACACGCACACACACCCACACACACACACCACACACACACACACAGACACACACACCCCCACACAACCACACATCACCACACACCCACACACACACACCACACACACACAACCACACACACGCACCCACACACACCCACCCCCCACACAACCACACATCACCACACACCCACACACACACCCACCCCCCACACATACCACACACACACCCACGCACCCCCCCACACCACACACACACCATACACACCACACACACTCACCCCACACACACACCCACACACACACCACACACACACCCACACACACCACACACACATATACACATGTACACCACACACACACACCACACACGCACACACCACACACATACACCACACACACCACACACACATACCACACACACGTATACACACACACACCACACACACACACACACACACACACGAGTTTTTGGATTTTTATTATGGTCCTTGAAAGTTTTTTCCTCTTAGCTTCTCTTTTATCCATTTAGTACTTTGTGGCAGGCAGCTTGGGAGGAGGTGGAGGAGGCACCGTGAGAAGGGCAGGAGCCACCACCCCGGGGGGTCCAGGAGGGGATGGGGGTGGGCTGTGTTGTGCTGAGCGGCTGTGCCAAGGAGCCTGAAGGAAGGCGGCCGGAGCCAGGATGAAGGGTACAGGAAGAATGTAGCAGATCCGGAAGCAGTTTTCTGCAGCCGGCCAGGGGATGCTCTCCCCAGGGGCTGTGCTTGGGTCTGGACTGCAGCGCCCCGGGATCCGTTTAGCCCGTGGGGCCGCCAAGGCACGTTCCGTTTCAGCCGCTGCCTCCAAGGAAGAAGGCCCGCTCCGTCTGTGGACACCCATTCTTGAGGTGTCTGCGCATATGACTCATGGAGTCTTCGTGGGTCTCTCCGAAACCCTAGAACAGTTTCTCGAAAGAGCAGCCACACAGACACCAGAGGCAGAGGCATTTGGGATTGATCTGCGCTCGAAGTTCAGAGTCTAGGGCTGTCGTGGGCTCCTTCGTGGACTCCTGCGTGGACACTCTGGGCCTCTTCTAATGCCAGCCTCCAAGGGCCTGGCTGCAAGATTGAGATTTGTCTGTGCTGTGCGAGTTGCTGAAGCGCCGTGGGCTTTACGTCAGTAGGTGTGGCCTGGATGCTGGCTTGGAGGCGTGGTTCCGGGGGACGTCCAGGGCCAGGGTTGGGGTACCACGGGCCTGGATGCTGGCTTGGAGGCGTGGTTCCCGGGAATGTCCAGGGCCAGGGTTGGGGTACCACGGGCCTGGATGCTGGCTTGGAGGCATGGTTCCGGGGGACGTCCAGGGCCAGGGTTGGGGTACCACGGGCCTGGATGCTGGCTTGGAGGCGTGGTTCTGGGGGACGTCCAGGGCCAGAGTTGAGGTACCACGGGCCTGGATGCTGGCTTGGAGGCGTGGTTCCAGGGAATGTCCAGGGCCAGGGTTGGGGTACCACGGGCCTGACTCCTGATGATCATCTTGGGGCTCTAAGCAGAGGTGGCGACTGTCTTTGTAGCGGTGGACAGGCAAGGGGGTGCCAGCTGTGGTGATGGAATTGGTCTGTTGATGAAAAGTATTAAATCTGTTAAGTGGCGAGGAAGAACTTAAGTTCAGAAGGAATGGCACTTCTGTATGAGGGTTTTTTAGTGTCTGGTCACACGTTCCACTGTGTTACATTTTCTCCTTCTCCTTCCAGGTACTCTCTGAAGATGGCAGAAGCTCACCAAGCTGTGGCCTTTCAGTTCACGGTCACTCCGGACGGGATTGACCTGCGGCTGAGCCATGAAGCTCTTAGACAAATCTATCTCTCTGGACTTCATTCCTGGAAAAAGAAGTTCATCAGATTCAAGGTTTTCTGAGATTTGTTGAAATCTACACAGTATGCCTTTTAATATCTAAGAACGGGGCTCTGGCTGCTATTGAGGTCTACGTGTTTCAGACTGGCGACTGCATATCACTTACCTGTTTCCATGGTACTTAAGGCTTGGGGACACCGTCACATAGACTTTAGCTCACTGGATGCTTGGAGCAGTTCCATTAGGCAGGTGGAGGGACTTGGCATGCGTTAAAGCAGGCTGGGAAATCGAGGCTTAAAGGGCCAGCGACCTACTTAATAGGAGGCAGAGTAAAGACTAGAATTCACATCTTCTGCTCTGAGTCAGAATCCTTTACACCTTGTTCAAATAGGATTTTTCCAGGCCAGGTGCAGTGGCTCACACCTATAATCCCTGCACTTTGGGAAGCTGAGGTGGGCGGATTGCTTGAGCTCAGGAGTTTAAGACCAGCCTGGGTGACACGACAAAACCCCATCTCTACAAAAAATAGAAAAATTAGGCAGGTATGTTGGCATGCACCTGTAGTCCCAGCTACTCAGGAGGCTGAGGTGGGAGGATCACTTGAACCTGGGAGGCAGAGACTGCAGTGAGCCATGATTGAGCCACCACACTCCAGCCTGGGCAACAGAGCGAGACTTTGTCTCAAAAAAACAAAAAAATATTTTTTCCAAACTTCAGCAAGTGGATGTAATAACTACTTTGTTTATAAAACATTCACACATTAGAAACTCTCTGCATAAGGTCCGGGTGCAGTGGCTCACACCTGTAATCCCAGCACTTTGGGAGGCCGAGGCGGGTGGATCACGAGGTCAGGAGATCGAGACCATCCTGGCTAACATGGTGAAACCCCCGTCTCTACTAAAAAATACAAAAAATTAGCCGGGCGTGGTGGCGGGCGCCTGCAGTCCCAGCTACTCGGGAGGCTGAGGCAGGAGAATGGCACGAACCCGGGAGGCGGAGCTTGCAGTGAGCCGAGATCGCGCCACTGCACTCCAGCCTGGGTGAGAGAGCGAGACTCTGTCTCAAAAAAAACAAACAAAAAAAAAGAAACTCTCCACAAGTTCAAATACAGTTGAGTCCACATGTTCTCAATTCTGTTTATCTAAAGAAGTAGAACTTTGTTCTTTTTTAAGTAAGTGTCTTGTTTTTCCATGTATTTTAATTTATTTTAAACATCATAGAAGGAACAAGTGCATGTTTGAAAACATGCAAACTAGGTGAAAGTTCATCAAGTCAAAAGTGGAAATCCCCCCCCGCTGACCCCCCTGCCAGCCCCAGCGGTAACTCAGTTCAGTTTGTGCACTTCCCGGTGCTCCTTCTCCGAGGGCGGCACTGAAGTGGGCCACTGAGAAAGGCCTAAGCTCAAGAGCAGGTGGCAGCAGGGACAGCATGGCGGGCAAGCCCCTGGGAGCCAGTACAGCTGCACGGGTGTCCCTGGGGCTCAGCCTGTGGGTTCTTGGGCCCAGATAAATAACCCACCAAGGTGACATCCGAGATTTCACTGAGGCACTAGCTCGGCTCGCCGAGAGCTGCTCTTTTTCACCTTGGAATCTGGGAAAATAGAAACTTGGATGCAGAGGCTTGGCCATCATATTCAACCCAGTGGGAATGTTGTTCTCCCTCTCCCCTCCCCTCCCCTCTTTTTTTTTTTTGAGACAGGGTCTTGCTCTGTTGCTCAGGGTGGAGTGCAGTGGTGCGATCACGGCTCACTGTAGCCTCACTGGGCTCAGGCAATCCTCCTGTCTCATCCACCCAAGTAGTTGGGACCATAGGTGCACACCACAATGCCCGGCTAATTTTTTTTTTTTTTTTTTTTTTTGGACAGAGCCTCACTCTGTTGCCCAGGTTGGAGTGCAATGGCACAACCTTGGCTCACTGCAACCTCCGCCTCCTGGGCTCAGTGATTCTTCTGCTTCAGCCTCCTGAGTAGCTGGGACTATAGGCGCCCACCACCACACCTGGCTAATTTTTTGTATTTTTAGTAGAAACAGGATTTCACCATGTTGGTCAGGCTGGTTTCAAACTCCTTACCTCAAGTGATCGGCCTGCCTCAGCCTCCCAAAGTGCTGGGGTTACAGGTGTGAGCCACCGCACCTGGCCTGCTTTGGTCATTTTTAATCCATTATCTTGGTGAAATCAATATCTTATTAGGATGGTTTAGGAAGAATTTTTTTTAATTGGAGTTGTCAAACATACACAAGAGTGAAGAGGACTGATTAAAGATCCCCACCATTCCCTTCCTTGTTTCAACAATTTTGCCAATTTTGTTTGATATAATCCTTTTTTTTTTTTGGCTGGAGTATTTTACAGCAAATTCTCGACATGGGGTGAGGTCTCCCATGAAATCTTCAGGGTTAAGCAGCCCTTCTGACACAGGGGCGGCAAGAGGAGCAGTTTTGGAACCGGGGTCTCGGGGCATTCTAGACAGTAGCAGGCTGGGGACAGGACGTCATGGTGGCTCAGTGACGTCCTTCACCAGCTAAACTAGTGCCTGGGCTGATTATCATGGCCCGGGGCGTCGACTCTTGGGGAAGCTTTCAGGGTGGGTTTTGGCTCGGAAGTAGTGGAAGGGAGGAAACTGGAATCACTGCAGGCTGTAAACTCTGGGGAGAGTCCCAGCTAGTGGGGTGTGGTTTCTCAGTGCACGCACGCTGTCCACACCCTCTTCTCACTGCCTGCTGTCCCAGCAGCCCTGCTGCCAGGGGCCATGAAGCGTCATTGCCCTGTGGGTTGTGGGAGGACACCGCTCACGGCCCGGGTGTCTGTCTTTAGAACGGCATCATCACTGGCGTGTACCCGGCAAGCCCCTCCAGTTGGCTTATCGTGGTGGTGGGCGTGATGACAACGATGTACGCCAAGATCGACCCCTCGTTAGGAATAATTGCAAAAATCAATCGGACTCTGGAAACGGCGTAAGTAATCCTGTGAAATCTCCAATTGTCTGGGAAGTTACCGATTTTATTGCTGTTTTTATGTCTCTTCAAATGTGATGATTGTCACTGTTCTGGATTCCATATGAAGCTCCTGATGCTGTTCTCACGTCAGCTTTCTTCCTGTCTCCTGGGTGCTGTTAAGGTCCCCCTAGGAGTTTGCGGTCCCCTGCGGCCTTTCCTCTGTAGACCAGGGTGAGAAGAGTGGTAGTGGCCCTGGGGCACCCCTTGGAAGGTGTCAGGGCCCGAGGGTTTGGTCAATAATGACAGTGCCCTTAGCCTGGCCAATAGGGCTCTGAAATGGAATTTCTGCTCAAAGGGCTGATTCCCCATGTAGTCATTTCTTTGCACTTGGAGTCTGTTCATTCCAGAGTTCTGTGACCCTTGAACTGACTGCTGTGGGGTCCTCTGCAGGGACCTCACCCACTTAACTCTGTCAGAATGGTTTAGAAATCTCCAGGGACCCCCCCGTCCCTCCTACCTCTAGGGTTTTGGATTTTCCTGGGGCTTATTTCTTGCTACCAAGAGATAAGCCCAGAGACACCTTAGGTAACATTCAGCACATGTTCATTTTATTTTTTTTTTCTAACCACCTGCCGCCTGTTGATAGCACATGTTTATTGCACACCTGTGATGTCTGTTATTCCATCCAGTTCTGGAGATGGCCCAGACTCCCATCTAGGAAGGTCAGAGCCTGCACTGCAGTGACCTCTCATTAGGGTCCCTTTTACCAGTGAGAAAGCATTCAGACAGGTGCAGGTGTCTGCCCAAGTCACAGGAAGAGGGAGCGGGGAAGCTAGAGTTCAAACCCAGCTCTGCGCAGCTCTGAAATCTGTGCTTTCTTCAGTGTAGCACTGAGGTCCCCCCACCCCCTGCCCCAGAAGCTTCTGTGAGACAAATGCGAGTGAACACCGCTGCTTTACCACCATTTGAACGTCCAGACAGTGGAACGCAGGGCAACTCAGCTTCCTCGTGCAGCCGTGACCCTTGGGCTTGGACACACATTTTACTTTCGGGTCTGAAAGCTCCACAGTGTCTCGGAAGTGTCCCTGCTGCCCCGTGCCAGACGTTTGATTCGATTTCTGTGCTGCTTGTTTACACCAATGGCATTTTTGCCATTTGGACACGGTGGTTCACACCTGTAATCCCAGGACTTTGGGAGACCGAGGTGGGTCGATCACCTGAGGTCAATAATAGCCACCAACTCCTCATAATTGGGCTTTGTTTTGGGGCCAGGAATTGCAGGTGGAAGGCACAATGCCGGGTCTGGGCTAAGCTAAAAAACGAAGCTCTGGATCTTTATAGTCACGCCTTCCAGGTTGTTTGCATATAAATATTGTTTAATCAGAAAGAAATAAGAAAATAAACCGGCAGAAAAAGAGACGTAAACGAAAACTCACTCACAGTTAACGGCTGAATTTGATTTTTTTTTGGAAATGGAGTTTTTGCTCCGTTGCCCAGGCTGGAGTGCGATGGTGCGATCTCGGCTCACTGCAACCTCCGCCTCCCGGGTTCAAGCAATTCTCCTGCCTCAGCCTCCTGAGTAGCTGGGATTACAGGTGTCCGCCACCATGCCTGGCTAATTTTTGTATGTTTTGTAGAGATGAGGTTTCACCATGTTGGCCAGGCTGATCTCGAACTATTGACCTCAGGTGGTCCACTCGCCTCGGCCTCCCAAAGTCCTGGGATTACAGGTGTGAGCCACCATGCCCAGCCTTGATTCTGATGACTAGAAATAAAAGATTAAGCAGATTAATGGTCTGAGTCTCCTGATGACAGCTTGAGCAAGTGCCCTGATTCCTGAACCTCTTTTTGCGAAGGGTCTGCAGAGGACCCCTCCACATCCTGTTCCTTCTCCAGGAAGCCCCTGGACCCTCCAGAGTCATCGAGCGTCCAGCTGAGTTGCTTGCAACCTTGAGGTAGCTCAGGAACGCTGGCTCAGGCCTCTATAAGAGTCTGCAAGAAACATAATAAAAGTTCCCAGTCATTTTAGCAGAAGCATGCCTGGCTGGGACGCCTGCCAGGTTCCTTGTCTGCCTGGGTACTGCTGTCATTGCTGTCACTCAGAAAGCAGCTGGCAGACCTGGGTGCTCAGGGCAGGCCTGGCTGCTCTCTTCCTTGAGGTCCCAGGACCCACAGGCCTGCGGTGGGTAGCTGCCTCCGAGCCTTGTGTCTGGAGCTGTTCCTACGTACTTTTCATTCTCTCATGGGGCTAATGAATATCTTCTTTTTTTTCTTTTTGAGATAGAGTCTCACTCTGTCACCCAGGCTGGAGTGCAGTGGTGCGATCTCGGCACACTGCAAGCTCCGCTTCCCAGGTTCAAGTGATTCTCCTGCCTCAGCCTCTTGAGTACCTGGGACTGCAGGCACATGCCACCATGCCCAACCAATTTTTGTATTTTTGATAGAGATGGGGTTTCGCCGTGTTGGCCAGGCTGGTCTTGAACTCCTGACCTCAAGTGATCCACCCGCCTTGTCCTCCCAAAGTGCTGGGATTACAGGCGTGAGCCACTGCACCCAGGCCAGTTCTTTAATTTACTCTCTAGTGTAGGCGCTCTCTTAAAACTGGATTATATATAGAAGTGTTGACTGTTTAAAGCCCTTAATAATCTGGGTCTTTGTAAGATTTGTTTCTTTGTACCTCTTAAACCTATTTTGGTAAACTGGGCCATCCCTGGCCTAAATTTAGAAAGGCCGGGTTAAGGGCCAACGTCTTCCAGCCTCATGGGCCATTTCCTGTCCTGGAGGGGATCTGCAGTATCTCTGGGCTGCTGCCTTCAAAAGTGGAGTCAGGCTGGGTGCGGTGGCCTGTAATTCCAGCACTTTGGGAGGCCGAGGCAGGAGGATTGCTTGAGCCCAGGAGTTCAAGATCAGCCTGAGCAACATAGTGAGACCCTATCTCTTAAAAAAAAGAAAGAATAAAAAAGTGGAGTCATCCGTGTCATGTGAGGTTTGTCTCTGAGTTTGTCCCCGACAGCCTTGTAAGGAGCATGTCCTTTCAAAGAAAGCTTTTTGCTAACGTTTTTTATCTGAGTGCCTCTATGTCTATACTTTTAAAAATCTTGAATGTGTCATTTATTTGTTTATGCTAAAATATTTTTATTTTTGCAAATCAAGTAAGTATATAGGTCTTTTTCTTTCAGTAATCTAAAATGTAGATTATCTAAAAGATAGCTTCTTAAATCCCTAAACCCAAGTTTGTTTATAGGTTAGATGACCAGAAAAGAGTGTATAGGTTTAAAGAAGAGACTACAGTGAAACTCCAGTGCTAGATTTCACGGGTTATAGAAAGATATACATTTTGGAGCAAAGAGTATATAACCTTGAAGATAATTTGTTTTTGTCCACTTAAATATTATGCAGTGTTAAATTAGTGGTTTTCTTTTTTTATTTCTTATTTTGAAGAAATATTTATTATTTTTTATTTTTATTATTTTTTATTTCTTATTTTATTTTCTTTTTTAAATTTTATTTTTGTATTGATGGGGTTTTGCCATGTTGTCCAGGCTGGTCTCGAACTCCTGGACCCAAGTGATCCACCCATCTCAGCCTCCCAAAGTGCTGGGATTATAGACTTGAGCCACTGCACCTGGCCAAATTAGTGCTTTTCAAATATTAGGGACACCTTTAGGTTATATATATTGGTGTTTTAATCATTTGAAGCATGCTTAAATAGTTTTCATTTAAAAAATATTTTGCAGTTCCCAAAACAACCAAAACTAAAACAAACCACAAAATAGCTGCATTTCTGGCCAGGCACAGTGGCACACACCTATAATCCCAGCACTTTGGGAGGCCGAGGCGGGTGGATCACCTGACAGGAGTTTGAAACCAGCCTGGGCAACATGGCAAGACCCCATCTCTACAAAAAATACAAAAATTAGTTGGATGTGGTGGTGCGCACCTGTAATCCCAGCTACTCAGGAGGCTGAGATGGGAGAATCATTTAAACCTGGGAGGCGGAGGTTGCAGTGAACCAAGGTCACACCATTGCACTCCAGCCTGGGCAGCAGAGCGAGACTCTTGTCTCGAAAAAAAAAAAAAAGCTGAATTTCATCTCATTTTTAAAGTCCCATCTTTACCATAATATATACTACCTTCCTTCACAAACAAAAACATTTCCTGTATTTAAGTTGAATATTTACATGACCGTTTTACACAGTCCGTTTCTTTATTTGTGTTAAATACACCTAAGTCAAAAACAAGCTCTTTTGATATAAATACTGGAGGTAACAGTTGTAACAAATAATTTGAGATTACGATTACATCTAAAAGTAAGTTTGAGAGAAAAAAATTCATCAAGAGCTGAAGAAAGTGGCCCAGAATCTCCTGCGCACCTGCCGGGGACGCACAGGTCGGCAGGGCATGGCTCTCACGGTGGCCAGGTCCTGGCCTCACAGCATCCCCTCTGCCGTTGGTCCTGAGGTCCTGGAGGAAGCTGTATCTTTTTCCAGAAGACACAAATTAGCCCTGGTTGGTTTCGAGGCCACCCGAGCAGATCGGGCTGAAGGGACCTCTGGGAAGAGAGCAAACAGGCCCGCCCCGGGCGCCTGGGTCTGCCAGCTACTTTCGGCGTGATTGGTTTTGGGGTGAGGAGGAGAGTGCCCGTGAGTGTTTTAAGAGCTCAGTTCCTGCAAGTGCTCTCCCTCTGACTTTCCCGGCTGTACCTGGGGCAGGCTGCTGGACCCTGCAGCACGTGGTGTCTGTGGCGTCACCGGTGGTGTTGGTGGCACCGTGTGGCCTCACGCACAGCCTCCCTTGTCTGGGTCTGTCTCCACAGCAACTGCATGTCCAGCCAGACGAAGAACGTGGTCAGCGGCGTGCTGTTTGGCACCGGCCTGTGGGTGGCCCTCATCGTCACCATGCGCTACTCCCTGAAAGTGCTGCTCTCCTACCACGGGTGGATGTTCACTGAGCACGGCAAGATGAGTCGTGCCACCAAGATCTGGATGGTAATTGCGTGTCCCTCTGGCTGTGGAGGGGGTGGACAGTTTGGGCTTTGGGAAGAAGGACACCCCTGCGGAAGGACACCCCTGCGACCTTTTCTCCCTCTATGCTTGGTTGGTGACTTGGGCCTCAACCTTGAATGGCTGGAGAGGTTTGAGTCACCATGACACAAAAGCAGGGGCCAAAGAGTGCTTCTCTTTTGTGACATTAGTGAGACCTGCAGCATTTTATATTGAGGTCTGCTCGGTTTGTAGTTCAGGTCATTCATCAAATAAAAGTGCTGTCCATCCGGTTCTTTGTAGTGTTCTTGACTCACTTGTTGTCAGGCATTAAATGGTTACCTTAGCTGACCCCTCAGACAGGCTCCCGTGACTCAGACTTAGCTTCTGGAATGTTCCTCCAGCTTGCTTTGGCCCTCAGCCCAAGGGTCCCTTATTTAAGGTAATGGCTTTGCCATATATGTGGATGCTTGTCCAAATTTCATGATTTAAATGTTTTTCTTTTTTATTTATATTTATATTTTTTCATTTTAGTTTTTTTTGAGATGGAGTTTCACTCTTGTTGCCCAGACTGGAGTGCAGTGGTGTGATCTCAGCTCACTGCAAACTCTGCCCTTCCAGGTTCAAGCAATTCTTTTGCCTCAGCCTCCCAAGTTTCTGGGATTACAGGCATGCACCACCATGCCTGGCTAGTTTTGTATTTTTAGTAGAGACGGGGTTTTACCATGTTGGTCAGGCTGGTCTTGAACTCCTGACATCAGGTGATCCTGCCTTGGCCTCTCAAAGTGCTGGGATTACAGGTGTGAACCACTGTACCCAGCTTTTTTTTTTTTTTTTTTCTTTTTGAGACAGGGTCTTGTTCCATTGCCCAGGCTGGAGTATAGTGGCACCATCACGGCTCACTGCAGCCTCGACTTCCTAGGCTCAAGTGATTTTCCCACCTGAGCATCCTGAGTAGCTGGAACTATAGGTGTACACCACCATGGCTGACTAATTTTTATATTTTTAATAGAGACGGGGTTTTGTTGGCCAGGCTGGTCTCAAACTTTTGAGCTCAAGTGATCGGCCCACCTTGACCTCCCAAAGTGTTGGGATTACAGGCATGAGCCATCACACCCGGTCTCAATTTAAATGTTTTTATGGGGGCTGGGCATGGCTACTCATGGCTGTAATCCCAGCACTTTGGGAGGCCAAGCCCAGTGAACCACCTGAGCTCAGGAGTTTGAGACCAGCCTGGGGAACATGGCAAAAAGACGTCTCTACTAAAAATACAAAAATTAGCCAGGCAAATTAGCCAGGCGTGGTGGTGCATGCCTGTAATCCTAGCTACTTGAGAGGCTGAGGTGGGAGGAATGCTTGAGCCCAGGAGGTCAAGGCTGCAGTGAGCTGTGGTTGTGTCACTGCACTCCTAGGGGACAGAGCCAGACCCTGTCTCAAAAAAAAAAAAAAAAAAATTTATGGGCTTAGTTTTTCTGAAAATCAACCCTCCAAGATGGGCATCGTCTCTGGACTTTCGAGGCCTCCGTCTGGGGGGCTGGGGCCCCTGTGACCCCCTGCAGGCGGGTGTGTGCCCCGTGTACCATCTGCCCATTGTAGTCATGGCCCTGGGCCTTGGGCTTTGCTCGGCACCTCAAGCCCAACCTGGGTTTCTGGGGCCAGATGTGTGTAAAGAAACATCTGCTTTATTCACCCCTGTCTTGCCAAGTGGCCTAAATGGTTGTAATGGACCAGGTCATCATGGAAACATTTTCTGCAGAATCTTTCTCGAATGGGGCTGATCCGTGGGTCTGCCGGTGTATACGAAGCCGTGGGTCTGCTTTGGTTTCTTGTCTGCCCCGACCTTGGCCCCGGTGCCCTTCTGCTTGGTCGCCTCGGGATGGCCCCCACAGTGGTGCCTGCCTGGACTGGGCTGCTGTCCCAACCTCTGGGGGAGCCTGCTTGTGAGAGAAGCATGGGAGTCACTGCAGTGCCCACCACACACCGGGACTCCACTCTTTGCCAAACAAATTTTTTTTTTTTTTTGAGACAGCATCTTGCTCTGTCACCCAGGCTGGAGTGCAGTGGTGCAATCTCGGCTCATTACAACCTCCGCCTCCCGGGCTCAAGCGATTCTCTCACCTCAGCCTCCACAGTAGCTGGGACCACAGGCACACACCACCACGCCCAGCTAATTTTTTGTATTTTTAATAGAGACAGGGTTTCGCCATGTTGGCCAGGTGGTCTCGAGCTCCTGGGCTCAAACGATCCACCCTCCTCGGCCTCCCAAAGTGCTGGGATCAACAGGCGTGAGCCACCACACCCAGCCAAACCAATTTTTTCTCTCAAATCAATTTTCTACCATTTGGATATAAAATTTCTGATTTCTAGAGAAGCAGAATTTAACACCTAGAAGAGACTCAGGGGTGGCTCCCACACTTGGCAAAGCAGGCTAAAGGGCACTCCCTCCAGTGGGTTCACAGCTGAGGTTCAGCTGAGTCCCAATGCCCTGCAGTACCAAGACTCCCCGCCTGGGCCCAAGGACTGCCTTTGTTTTGGTTGCCATTGAGGTGACTGGTTATTATACAGGCTTGATCATCCAGCCTAAAACCAAGGGCCACAGATGTGTCCTTTGGGAGACTTGGCAATGACTGAAGGAAAGAAACTGCTTCCCCTCGGCTTGGCTCAGGGCCAGGCACGTTGACCCTCCTCACTGTTCCTAGAGCCTGGAGCCCATCCCGAAACTAAGGGCCTTGCGGAAGGAGGTGGGGTGAGACTCACCCTAGGTGCAGAAGCACGGTCAGGGTCCTGGCCAGTCACGACGCTGGCAGCGACATCTCACGGCCTCTGTCAGGCTTGGCTTTGATTCTACCTGGTTTTTTGGTTTGTTTGTTTTTGTTTTGCTTTTTGACATAGGGTCTCACTATGTTGCCCAGGCTGGAGTGCAGTGGTATGATCATGGCTCACTGCAGCATCACCCTCCCAGGCTCAATCAATCCTTTCACCTCAGCCTCCCAAGTAGCTGAGACAACAGGCACATGCCACCATGCCTGGCTAATTTTTTGTAGAGGTGGGGTTTTGCCATGTTGCCCAGGCTTTTATTGGCATGGAGGGCAGGGTTATATGCTTATTTGCTAGAACCTGTAAGTATGGGGCGGGTAAAAGATGGACCAGATGAAAAATAAATCGACACAGAAAATCAGTAAGTGGTTGGCACATTGTGCGCACGGGAAAAGTGGCTTCGGATCTTTAACATAGCCTTGTCTTTGAAATGGTCATTCTCCCATCCAAGTACTAACCAGGACTGACCCTGCTTAGCTTCACGAGATCAGACGAGAACAGGTGCCTTCAGAGTAGTATGGCAGTAGTCTGAAAATATAATTCTCTCTCTTCAGGGTATGGTCAAGATCTTTTCAGGCCGAAAACCCATGTTGTACAGCTTCCAGACATCGCTGCCTCGCCTGCCGGTCCCGGCTGTCAAAGACACTGTGAACAGGGTAGGTGTGGCTTAGGCCTCACACTGAAATGCCAGCCATCTGTGGATTAAGGCTTAGGTCTTAATTATGATGAACTAGGTCACCGCCATTTGGCTCAAGTAGCCTTCAGCGGTGTGCCTGGTAGGGTTCTCATAGGAACTCTTTTTTTTTTTTTTCTCCAATGCATCACTGCTGCATCTTAGGTGTTTTTTAAAAAGTGTCAGGTTTCATAGAGAAACTGCTTGTGAATTTTTTAAAGCTTTATTTTATTTTATTTTATTTTATTTTATTTTATTTTATTTTATTTTTTGTGATGGACTCTCCCTCTGTCACCCAGGCTAGAATGCAGTGGTGCAATCTCAGCTCACTGCAACCTCCGCCTCCCAGGTTCAAGTGATTCTCCTGCCCCAGCCTCCCGAGTAGCTGGGATTACAGGCACCTGCCACCACGCCCGGCTAATTTTTGTATTTTTAGTAGAGACAGGGTTTCACCATGTTGGCCAGGCTGGTCTCGAACTCCTGACCTCAAGTGATCCACCCGCCTCAGCCTCCCAAAGTTCTGGGATTACAGGCATGAGCCACTGCACCAGGCCAGTTTTTGCTACTTTACATAATTACTAAATACAACATTGTATTAAATGATTGCAGTCATTCCCCATTCTTCCCTCCCCCCACCTAGTAACTTCTCTTCTACTTTCTGCCTCTGGATTTGCCAATCTGAGGGACCTCATATAAGTGGCATCATATCATATTTGTCCTTTTGTGACTGGCTTCTTTCACTCAGCAAAATGTCTTCAAAGTTCATACACATAGCAGCCTGTGTCAGAATTTCCCTCCTTCTTATGGCTGAATAGTATTCCATTGCATGGCTAGACCATATTTTATTTATCCGTTCATCTGTTGCTGGGTGGCGAATGTTTTTGATCTGATTGGTGAGGGTCACCAGCTGAGGGTGGGGTGATAGTCAGCTTCTAGCCGGTCTGAGGACAGGGTGCTTCTTGACACAGCAGCCGCACTTCAAAGCCAGGCCCCCAGGGGCAAGGCACTACCTAGAAAGCCTGTCATTTCATCCTCAAAGCTACTCATTTCTTTTTCATTTTCTTTTTTTTTTTTTTTTTTTTTTTTGAGACAGGGTCTCACCCTGTTGTTCAGGCTAGAGTGCAGTGGCGCGATCTTGGCTCACCACAGCCTCAACTTCCTGGGCTCAAATGATCCTCCCACTTCAGCCTCCTGAGTAGCTGGGACTACAGGTGCATGCCACTACATATGGCAATATTTTTTTTTTTTTGAGACAGAATCTCGCTCTGTCACCCAGGCTGGAGTGCAGTGGCGTGATCTTGGCTCACTGCAAGCTCCACCTCCTGGGTTCACACCATTCTCCTGCCTCAGCCTCCTGAGTAGCTAAGACTACAGGCCCCTGCCACCACGCCTGGCTAATATTTTTTTTTTGTATTTTTAGTGGAGACGGGGTTTCACTGTAGCCAGGATGGTCTCCATCGCCTGACCTCGTGATCTGCCTGCCTCGGCCTCCGAAAGTACTGGGATTACAGGTGTGAGCCACCACGCCTGGCCCTATTTTTTTTTTTTTTTTCCAGAGACGGAGTTTCACTGTCTTGTCCAGGCTCGTGTTGAACCCCTGAGCTCAAGTGATCTACCTGCTTCGGTCTTTTTTTTTCTTTAATTGAACAAAAGGAGAGGGAGCAGCTCCATTTCTTTGTTTTTAAAAAAATTATGGTAAAATGTACACAACATGAATTGTACTGTTAACCATTTTCAAGTGTACAGTTCAGGGGCACTAAGTACATTTATAATGTTGCGCAGCCCTCACTGCTGTCTCGTTCCAGGACATTTCATCCCCCAAAAGCTCATAGCCACTAAGCAGTCACTCCCCATCCTTCTACCTCCCTCTCCCAGCCCCTCAGAACCACTAATCTCCTGTCTGTCTGTATGGATTTGCCTCTTCTGGACATTTCGCATAAATGGAATCACGTGGCCTTTTGTGACTAGCATGTCTTTAGAGTTCACCCGTGTTGTAGGATGGATGAACTTCATCCCTTTTTGTGGCTGAATAGTGTTCCATTGTATGGAAGGACCACAGTTTATCCACCTGTTCATCCGCTGTTGGGGACGTATCCAGGAGTGGAATTGCTGGCTCATGGGAATTCCGTGGTAACTCATTGAGGAACCATGAGACTCTCACGCAGCTGCACCATTTTGCATTCTAACCAGCAGTGCATGGGTGCTTTAGTTTTTCCACATCCTGGGACTCCAATTTTAAAACTATAATAATAAGCAAAAACTTCTCGGGTTAAGGGTTTGAATCCAGGCTTGGTTACTGAGTCCCTGTTGGCCTTGGTAAGGTCTTCCCATCTCTGCTCTTTTTTTTTTTTTTCAGACAGAGTCTTGCTCTGTCACCCAGGCTAGGGTGCAGTGGCATGATCTCAGCTCACTGCAGCCTCTATCTCCCAAGTTCAAACAATTATCTTGCCTCAGCCTCCTGAGTAGCTGGGATTACAGATGTGCACCACCACACCCGGCTAATTTTTGTATTTTTAGTAGAGACAGGATTTTACTATGTTGGCCAGGCTGGTCTCGAGCTCCTGACCTCAAGTGATCTGCCCACCTTGGCCTCCCAAAGTACTGGGATTACAGGCACAAGCTACCATACCTGGCCCACCCCATCTCTCCTCTTCTGTGCCCACGCTTGCAAATCAGGGCTGATGACGGCCCCTGTTCCACTGGCAGGATGGGGTGAGCAAGAGATGCTTGACCTTCAGTGACCTCTGTCTGTGTTGCGTAGCTCGGGGTTCCACTTCAGCTCATTCAGGGCATGATTTTCTGTCTCATTCACGGGCATTTTACTTTGAATAAGCCTCAAGATGCTTGACACCTGCCCCCTCCCCCTTTTTTTTGGAGACAGAGTCTCACTCTCTTGCCCAGGCTGGAATGCAGTGGCACCGTCCTAGCTCACTGCAACCTTGAATTCCTGGGCCCGAGTGATCCTCCTGCCTTAGCCTCCCAAGTAGTTGGGGCCACAGGTGTGCACCACTATGCCTGCAAATACTTTCTTGTAGAGACAGGGTCTTGCCATGTTGCCCAGGCTGGTCTTGAACTCCTGGGCTCAAGCAGTCCTCCTGATTCAGCCTCCCAAAGTGCTGGGGTTACAGGCATAAGCCACCGTGCCCAGCTACAGCTGGCCCTTTTAAGGGAGTGGGGTCTTACTTTTCAATGTACAGGGAGGGACTATAGAGAGATTACTGTTGCACCAAGCTTTGTTTTTTACAGCAGACAAACAACTTGTCGGATTAAAATATGTCATGACAAATTGTGGGGTTAGCAACAGTTTTACTTTTTGTTGCTGGGGGAAACAGCATCTCACCCAGGCTGGAATGCAGTGGTGTGATCATGGCTCACTGCAGCTTTGAACTCCTGGGCCCAAGTGATCCTCACACCTCAACCTTCCAAGTAGCTGGGATCACAGGCACATGCCACCGCACCCAGCTAATTTTTGTATTTTTTTTTTTTTTTTTTGCAGAGATGGGGGGTCTCACTCTGTTGCCCAGGGTGGTCTTGAACTGGTCAAGATTGCTTGGGCTCAAGCACTCTTCATACCTCAGCCTCTCAAAGTGCTGGGATTACAGGTGTGAGCTACCACACCTGACCACTGTTACTTTCTGTAAGAGCTTGCTTAGGTGTGTAGCAGAAGCTTTTGAGTGTCTTTTTAAACAATTGCTCTCTGTGTTTCCACCTCTGAGCATTTGTTCAACCAAAGTAGCACATGTAAAAGGACGAGGCGGGGTGGGGGCTGGAAACCCTGAACCTGGGGCACTGGCCTTAGCCTGGTTCCGTGACCTATTCCAGCCCCTCGTTCCCATCCTGCTGCCTGAGCACCTGCCCAGCCCCAGCACCCAGCTCTCAGCATGACTCTGCCCCATCTCATGGTCACCATCGCAGGTCATCAAAACTTACTTAGGTCAGAACAGATCTTTTATTAAGGGCCAAATAATAGATAAGAGACATTCTTGAAATTTCCTTGTTAACTTTTCTTGTCAACTCTAGAATTTATTTTAAATTCTAAAAATTTAATGGTGATTTTCTGGTGATGCAGGATTTGGGACACTTTTAAAGCTAATAAAGGAAGAAAAAGTTTAATTGTTAAATTATCATTACCCTATGACACCATTTAGCATTGAAGGGAGTTTACCTGTCTAAGGACTGCCAAGACCAACTTGGGGGAAGAGTCTAAACTTTTTCTTTTTTTTTTTTGAGATAGGGTCTCACTCTGTTGCCCAGGCTGGGTTGCAGTGGCATGATCATGGCTCACTGCAGCCGCAACCTTCTGGGCTCAAGCGATCCTCCCAACCTCAGCCCCCCAGGTAGCTGGGACCACAGACATGCACCACCATGTCCAGCTAATTTTTGTCTTGTTTTTTTTTGTAGAGATGGGGTTTCACCATGTTGTTTAGGCTGGTCTTGAACTCCTGAGCTCAAGCAATCCACTGGCCTTGACCTCCCAAAGTGCTGGGATTACAAGCATGAGCCACCATGCCCAGCCTAAAACCTTTTCAATGTGTTAGAACTTTTCCTAAGGCACAAGTGAGGCAAACATAGGCTTTGATTAATATGTTTTAACTTGGGTGATTTTTTTTTCCCCCAATAATCCCAGTATCTACAGTCGGTGAGGCCTCTTATGAAGGAAGAAGACTTCAAACGGATGACAGCACTTGCTCAAGATTTTGCTGTCGGTCTTGGACCAAGATTACAGTGGTATTTGAAGTTAAAATCCTGGTGGGCTACAAATTACGTAAGTCTGTATACACAGTTTTTCTTGATGAAATTTTTCCGTATGAAGACGCTAATTTTGAGGGGCAGGGATAACAGGGCTGAAATGACAGTTTGGATTAGCCAAAATCACACCCTAGGAAGTTCCAGCTATAGTTTTACCTCTGTGCAGAGTGGAGTGTGTGTGTGTTAGGACTGACGTGTAGTTACAGTGACAGTTTCTTGGTTTTTGGATTTTTTTGTAGAGACAGAGTCTCACTATGTTGACCAGGCTGGTCTCAAACTCCTGGGCTCAAGTGATCCTCCCACCTCGGCCTCCCAAAGTGCTGGGATCATAGGCATGAGCCACCACACCCAGCCTACAGTGACAGTTTTACCCTGAGTGCAGGTACACCAGCACGATGCTGTGTTTTGCACGCAGGAGGCTTCTCCCTCTCCCTCTTCCCCGGAGAGTCCTCCCGTGAGCTGTTTCTCCTGCAGCAGTGCCATGCTGCCCCAGAGACCTGCTCCCATCCTCCTCTTTGGTTTATCTTGATTCCAAGGGCATCCTTCCCGAGCTCGCTGGTGGATGCAGGGATGGTGTGGGATAGGGCGGTGCTGATCGCCCCTCCCTGGGGTTGAGTGTGGCTCGGTGGTCCCAGGAGCATCTCCTCCAACGAAGCGTCTTAGCTGGCACCCTGTGTGCGGGGAGCTGGCTGGGCTTCCACGTACTGGGAGGGCAAGAGCAGGCCTCCGGCAGACAAAGCAAGGGAGGGAGTCTAGCTTTGAGGAACAACTAACACGGAAGAGAAGGTGTCCAAAGCGACCCTGACAGAACCAGCAGGTGGCGCTAGACGTGGCATGGTGGGTGGATGGGCAGTGCCTGGAGGGGTCTCTCTAGCCTCAGGGGGCCGGGCATATTCGCTGGCTGCACCGGTGTGCTGGACTGGTAAACGTCAGCTCTCTGCACAGCTCTCCGCACACGAGGCCCTTGCATGGGCACTGTTCTGTAGGTACGTGTGTTTCAGCACAAAGCTGAAAGGAAGCGATCCCTGGGTCCAGCAGGCTGTGAAGGGACAGCAGCTGTGAGGTGGTTGGGGGGCACTGCCTCTGGGTGGCCTCAGGACACATGTGCCAGGGAATAGAGACAACACCTGCGGAACACCAGGTTAGTGCCACGGACTGGGACGGTGGCTTCTTCAGGCAGACCTGGGAAGCAGTCTGTGGAGCAATTTTGCATAACATTGGTTTTTTCTTTGTTTTCTTTTATTTTCTTTAGTTTCTGAGACAAAGTCTCGCTCGTCACCCAGGCTGGAGTGCAGTGGAGCGATCTCGGCTCACTGCAAGCTCTGCCTCCCAGGTTCAAGCAATTCTCCTGCCTCAGCCTCCTGAGTAGCTGGGATTACAGGCACCCGCCACCACACCCGGCTAATTTTTGCATTTTTAGTACAGACGGGGTTTCATCATGTTGGCCAGGCAGGTCCGGAACTCCTAACCTCAAGTGATCAGCCCGCCTCAGTCTCCCAAAGTGCTGGGATGACAGGCGTGAGCCACCGCTCCTGGCCTTTGTTTCTGTTTTCTTTTATTTGAGAAAGGGTCTTGCTCTGTTGCCCAGGTGGGAATGCAGTGGCACGATCATAGCTCACTGTTGCCTGGAACCCCTGGGCTCAAGTAACCCTCCTGTCTTAGCCTCCCAAGTAGCTGAGACTACAGGCGTGAGCCACCACACCTGGCTAATTTCTTAAAATTTTTTGGAGAGATGGAACCTTGCTATGTTGCCCAGGCTGGCTTCAAACTCCTGGCATCAAGCGATCTTCCTGTCTCAACCTCCCAAAGTGCTGAGATTACAGGTGTGAGCCACCATGGCCAGCCCATAGTTTTGGTTTTTAAAACATGTTAGCAGTCAGACATTTATGATTTACTTTCCATTTGGTCTCTTAAACATTTTTAAATTTTTATTTTATTTATTATTTTTATTTTTAATGTAGGGCTAGAGCCTTGCTATGTTGCCTAGCCTGGTCTCGAACTCCTGGTCTCAAGCAATCCTCCCACTTCGGCTTTTTATTTCCCTTTTGAACCATCTACAAAATGAAGGTGATGTACCTTCTTTCTGCCTGTCTCAACTTAAAAAGAACACTTTTCATTTCCCACGGTGTCGCATTCCATCTAGTTAGGACTGCGTTCCCTGTTCTGGAATGGCCCCTGTTAGACGCCGAAATGTCTGCCAAAAGCACTGCCTGCCCTTCCCCGCGGCTCTGGGCTGCTGCCAGGGAGCCTGCCTGGCCCCTGCTGAGCCTGCGGGTTTGTCTGGTGTTTGCGCCCACTAGGTGAGCGACTGGTGGGAGGAGTACATCTACCTCCGAGGACGAGGGCCGCTCATGGTGAACAGCAACTATTATGCCATGGTGAGTCCACCCGCCCGGGCTGCTGTCTGACGAGGACGGTGGGGCGGCGGGTCTGTCCACAGAGGTGGCGTCTTCACAGGCCTGTGGACGGCCTGGGAAAACTCTGGGGATTGGCTCATGCTCCTCTCTGTCCTGCTTCCAGGCCGGAGAACCCTATGAGTACCCTTCAGTGTTAGCCTAGTAGCCCAGGGTGCTCTGCTACTGCAGGGGGATTTGGGTTGCAAAAATAAGTTTCTGGCAAACAGGAATTCCTCACTGTGCTGTACCTGTCCTGCTGTTTTTTTGTTTTGTTTTGTTTTGAGATGGAGCTTTGCTCTTGTCCCCCAGGCTGGAGTGCAATGGCACGATCTCGGCTCACTGCAGCCTCCGCCTCCCAGGTTCAAGTGATTCTCCTGCCTCAGCCTCCAAAGTAGCTGGGATTACAGGTGCCCACCACCACGCCCAGCTAATTTTTGTATTTTAGTAGAGACGGGGTTTGACCATGTTATCCAGGCTGGTCTCGAACTCCTGACCTCAGGTGATCCACTTGCCTCAGCCTCCCTAAGTGCTGGGATTACAGGTGTGAGCCACCGTGCCCGGCCTGTCCTGCTGTTTTTATGGCTTAGCACTGGAACTTGGTGCCACAGCGGCCTTAAGATCCCTGCAGAACCCCTAGAGCTCAGGGACAGTGGGTTGGCCAAGATCCTGCCACCAGTGCGCTGCGCTTCACCCTACTGTTTTCTGAGACGCCAGAGGGGTGTGCATCGACGGTAGTTTCTGGTTTCCTGGGCTTTGTCTTTCAAAGCATGGATGGTTAGAAGGCCTCTCAGTTTGTGTTCTTGACCACTGCTTTAATAACTGGCAAATAGAACTCTTCTCTTTCCTTTTCCTTCCATTCCTTCACTTCCTTTTATTTTTTTCCCTCGTTTATTTTTTAATCATTTACTTTTTCTTTTCTTTTTTTTTTTGAGATAGAGTCTTGCTCTGTCGCTGAGGCTGGAGTGCACTGGTGCAATTCATCTCACTGCAGCCTCTGCCTCCTGGGTTCCAGCAATTCTCCTGCCTCAGCCTCCCGAGTAGCTGGGATTACAGGCACCTGCCACAACGCCCGGCTAATTTTTGTATTTTTAGTAGAAACGGGGTTTCACCATGTTGGCCAGGCTAGTCTCAAACTCCTGACTTCAGGTGATCCGTGCGCCTCGGTCTCCCAAAGTGCTGGATTACAGACATGAGCACCTGGCCTATCATTTGCTTTTTCTTTCTGTTTTTCTTCGTTTCAAAATTGTCCTTTCTTTTTCTCTTAACTTTTTTTTTCCCATCTGAAATAATCTCAAACTGAAAGAAAAACCGTTAGTGTAGTCCATAGAACTTCTTTTCCTGCTCTATTTGGAAGTGAGCTATTTATCTGATGCCCTTCCCGCCAGGAGACCTTTGTTTATTTCCCACAAACAGAGGCACTTTCTACATCAATGGGGACATGGTGTGTACATAGACTCTTCCAAAATGTAGGTTAGACCTGTGTTCCTTGGCCTTTTCTTCCAATTGTGGAAAATGCAGACATTTGGAACAGGGTCTCAAAATTTAGAAAGCTGCAGGCACAGCTCTATATAAACAACTATTTTAACCTTTCATTGTGTCTCATCCAGAAAACTTCCTGATTGTCTAATTGCTCCCCGACTAATTTTTGCTTTCCTTTCTCTGTGTTACGTGAGGGTATTTGGTGCAAATAGTTATCTTTAATAGCGCAGAAGTTTTAGAGGACTTATGTTCTCATAAAACATTTACAAAGTCAAAGTGGAGAAAATCAAATTACCATTTATTTTGTAGCATTGCAGATGTAACCGAATATGTATGTATATTGATGCATCTCTAGAAATATTGTGACAGTGTGCAGGATGTGCTGTGATTATTTAAATTTGCTTATCTTTCCCTATGCAAATTCTCTCCACCTTTGTCGCTTTTCAGGATCTGCTGTATATCCTTCCAACTCACATTCAGGCAGCAAGAGCCGGCAACGCCATCCATGCCATCCTGCTTTACAGGCGCAAACTGGACCGGGAGGAAATCAAACCAGTAGGCAAACAAATTGCTTTAAAAAAATTATTTTCAAACAGCTTTACAGAGGTATAATTGACATATTGCACATGTTTAAAATATACAGTTTGTGGCCGGGCACAGGGTCTCACGCCTGTAATCTTGGCACTTTGGGAGGCCAAAGCAGGCGGATCATCTGAGGTTAGCAGTTCAAGACCAGCCTGGCCAACATAGTGAAACCCTGTCTCTACTAAAAATAGAAAAATTAGCTGGGCGTGCTGGCACGCGCCTGTAATCCCAGCTACTCGGGAGGCCGATGCAGGAGAATCACTTGAACCCAGGAGGTGGAGGTTGCAGCGAGCCAAGATAACACCATTGCACTCTAGCCTGGGTTATAAGAGCAAAACTCCATCTCAAAAAAAAAAATTAAAAAATAAAGTGTAGAGTTTGCTAACTTCTGATGTGTATATATTGATGCATCTGAGAAACCATCATCACTGCAGTCAGGATGGTGAATACATCAGTCAACCCGAAAACCCCTCTGCCCTTTGTCATCTCTCCCTCCCACCTGGTCCTGGACCCCCTGGTCTACTATCTGTCACTCTAGATTAGTTTGCAATTTTTAAAGCTTTGTGTAAGTGGAATCATAACAGTATGCACTCTTTTTTTCGGAATTCTAGTTTCTTTCACCCAGCCTAATTATTCTGAGATGTAATTCTCCTTGTGTCTCCTAAATGAATATACATCTGTTGTACTTTAATTCTGTAATCTGCCCTTTGGAGAAGCCCTTGATGTTTTTGAACTAATACTAGCTGCTTAGTTGCTCATAAGAAACAAGACTTTTCTTCCTGGAATATTTCTTTGGTTGTAAGTGTCAGTTATCAATAATCAATTAGAATGTGTTATTTAGGATTTAACTGTGCAGGAAGTTGCACCCTGGCATGGTTTAATGAGTCCCCCAACGAATCATTCCAGTGAGCCACTGGAAAAGAGGAAGTCAAACGAAGCAATTCGCACAGAAAACACATTCAGCATTTCCATGTGGTCTTAACTTGCTTGCTGCTTGCTGCTTTTGTTTTCTTTTTTTTTTTTTTTTTGAGACAGAGTCTCGCTCTGTTGCCGAGGCTGGAGTGTAGTGGCACGATCTCAGCTCACTGCAGGCTCTGCCTCCCGGGTTCATGCCATTCTCCTGCCTCAACCTCCCAAGTAGCTGGGACTACAGGCACCCGACACCATGCCCGGCTAATTTTTTTGTATTTTTAGTAGAGACGGGGTTTCACTGTGTTAGCCAGGATGGTCTCCATCTACTGACCTCGTGATCCGCCCGCCTCAGCCTCCCAAAGTGTTGGGATTACAGGCGTGAGCCACCGCACCCGGCCAACTTGCTGCTTTTCTTCTGTGGGATTTTCGTTGTTGGTTTGAAATATATTTTTGTTACAGATTCGTCTTTTGGGATCCACGATTCCACTCTGCTCCGCTCAGTGGGAGCGGATGTTTAATACTTCCCGGATCCCAGGAGAGGAGACAGGTGAGTCAAGCTTCTTCAGGGCCCCCTGGAGAATCGGCACTTTCCATCCCTATGCTCAGAATTAGGAAGTGTCAAAGGGGCCAAATTGATTTTTGCTGACCCTTCCTGAGATTGTAGGCTGGTGAACATTCCTTCTGCTGAATTTCCTTTGTCTGTCTTAGGCCTGGACACTGTTGTTGACTTATTTCCAGATTTTAATTTCTCTTTGGTTGAAGACTGCCAACTGTCTCATAGAGTGTTTGATTTATTTATTTATTTATTTATTTTGACATGAGGTCTCTCTCTGCCACCCAGGCTGGAGTGCAGTGACATGATCACGGCTCACTTCAGCCTCCACCTCCTGAGCTCAAGGAATCCTCCCATCTTAGCCTCCCCAGTAGCTGAGACCACAGGCACATGCATCATGCCTGGCTAATTTTTGCATTTTTTATAGAGATGAGGTTTTGCCGTGTTGCCCAGGCTGATCTCAAACTCCTGGACTCAAGTGATCCGCCCGCTTCGGCCTCCCGAAGTGCTGGGATTACAGGCGTGAGTCACACACAGCTGAGTGTTTTTTTCCTGAGTCTGGATTCCTCAGGGGCATTTTACTCCGGCTCACAGTCAGCGTTTGTGATGGAACGCACACTGGGTCGTGCTCGGAAAGGTGGATTTGTGTTCCAGCCACTCCTTTATCAGCTGCCTGACCTGGGCAGGGTGGCCACGTAAGCCACCGTCCAAACCAGGACGTCCTTGAGAATGACAGGGAGGGAGAACAGGCACCGTGGGGAACATCCAGGCCAGGCCCAGGCCCAGGCTGTGCTGTCCATGGCCTCCATTTCCCCAGGTGCCTGTGGATGGGGAACTACCCAGAGACACTTGGTGAGCTAGAGCCCAAGACCATCATGGCAGGCCTGTATGACGGGCGGGCCTCGGGGCTGCTTGGGAAGCTGGCTGGAAAGGGCCAGAGCTGACCTGCAATTTTATTTATTTATTTTTTTTTAGAGGGAGTCTCGCTCTGTTGCCCAGGCTGGAGTGCAGTGGCGCGATCTCGGCTCACTGCAACCTCCACCTCCCGAGTTCACGCCATTCTCCTGCCTCAGCCTCCCGAGTAGCTGGGACTATAGGTGTCTGCCACCACGCCCGGCTAATTTTTTATATTTTTAGTAGAGACGGAGTTTCACCGTGTTAGCCAGGATGGTCTCATCTCCTGACCTCGTGATCGTCCCACCTCGGCCTTCCAAAGTGCTGGAATTACAGATGTGAGCCACCATGCCTGGCCTGACCTGCAGTTTTGAGTGTCTTGTTGCAGCCCGGTCCTTCCAGACCAAGCCCTAGTCAATATTCCAGACCAAGCCCTAGTCAGTAGTGTGCACTGTGGTGGTCATTGGGGAGCCTTTGCTGTATCCTTGCACAAAAGCTGGCCTCTGAGTGGGCTTTCCTAAGCAGATTCTCCCCTTTCCTCTGATCCTGCCTTCAGAGGTTCTCTAAAAACCCATTCTGGCCAGGCGCGGTGGCTCACGCCTGTAATCCCAGCATTTTGGGAGGCCGAAGTGGGCAGATCACCTGAGGTCAGGAGTTCAAGACCAGCCTACTACTGGTCTACAAAACCCCATCTCTACTAAAAATACAAAATTAGCCAGGTATGGTGGTGGGCACCCGTAATCCCAGCTACTTGGGAGGCTAAGGCAGACGAATCACTTGAACATGGGAGGTGGAGGTTGCAGTGAACTGAGATTGTGCCACTGCACTCCAGCCCGGGCAACAAGAGTGAAACTTCATCTCAAAAAAACAAAAAAGAACCCACTCCATGTGTGTTCACGGATTTCACAGTGTTTCTGGCTAAACCCCTCCTCTCTTCCTGCCACACACTGTCGTCCATTGTACTGTAGCTCAACATGTGAAAAACAGATGTGTTGGCCAACAGCAGTCCTGGGGCAGTTGGGCAACGAGGTGGAGGAAAGTGAAGTTGGTTCTCTCCATCCTCTCACAGTGTCTCCCTGATTGGAGGGGCAGTTGCCCCTTCACTGACCAGGGCAGGCAGTGTCCCCAAAGGGAAGTGGGTCAGGGTGTCCTGGGGAGGCTGTCACCTGCTGTCAGTCAGCACCGTGGTATGGGGACATCCTTAAGATCATTTAAGTTTGAGACATGCGGCCTACACTGACAGTGATTCCAGGAGGTAAATATGTATGTGTTTAAAAAAATAAACAAGGGAGGCCAGGCACAAAGGCTCATTCCTGTAATCCCAGCACTTTGGGAGGCCAAGGCAGGTGGATCACCTGAGGTCAGGAGTTCGACACCAGCCTGGCCAACATGGTGAAACCCCATCTCTACTGAAAATACAAAAATTAGCCAGGTGTGGTGGTGCATACCTGTAATCCCGGCTACTCAGGAGGCAGAGGTAGGAGGATTGCTTGAACCTGGGAGGTGGAGGTTGCAGTGAGCCAAGATCATGCCACTGCACTCCAGCTTGAGTGACAGAGTGAGACTCCATCTCAAAAAAATATGTATATGAAATAAAAATAAAATAAATCAATAAACAAGGGAAATGCTGGGATAAAACCTAGTTACTTAGTGTACCTGGACAGCCATTCTGAGCATGATACCTGAGTCAGTTTCCTGGGGCTGCTGGAATAAATGACCACAAACTGGATGTCTTAAGACAAAAGAAGTTTCTTCTGCCACAGCTCTGGAGGCCAGAGTCCGAGATCAAGGTGTCAGCAGGGCCGTGCTCTTTTCAAAGGCTCTGGGGGAGGCCTTTATGCCTCTTCCAGCTTCTGGGGGGGTCCAGGTGCTCCTTGGCTTGTAGGCATATCACTCTGATCTCTGCCTCCATGTCACCTTGGCTCTCACCTCTGTGTGTGTGTGTCTCTCTTACAAGGACAACAGTCATTGGATTTGGGGTCCACCCTAGTCCAGTATGACCTCATCTTAATATTGAATTATATCAGCAAAGACCCTATTTCCAGGCCAGATGTGGTGGCTCATGCCTGTAATCCCAGCACATTGGGAGGCTGAGGTGGGTGGATCACCTGAGCCCAGGAGTTTGAGAGCAGCCTGGGCAACATGGCAAAACCCCATCTCTACAAAAAATACAAAAATTAGTCGGACATAGTGGTGTGTACCTGTGGTCCCAGCTACTCAGGAGGCTGAGGAGGGAGGATCACTTGAGCCTGGGAGGTGGAGACTGTAGTGAGCTGAGCTGTGATCACACCACTGCACTTAGCCTGGGTGACAGAATGAGACCCTGTCTCAAAAAAAGAAAAAAAAGACCCTACTTCCGATTAAGAAATAAGGTTTTCACAGGTACCAGGGCTAGAACATGGACATATCTTTTGGGTAGAAACAGCTCAACTCATTACAACAACGGAAAAATCCAAATATTGTCATGTAAAGATTTTAGTTTTCTATATTTCAAAAATACTTCAAACTGTTTTAAAAGGTAGATAACAAATTGAGGGTAAGTGCTCACAACAGAGAACAGGGTTAATATGTAAAGAGTTCTTATAAATCTGCCAGAAAACCATGAAGATCCTAATTGGAAAGGAAATGATGGGCACCCCTGGAAGGAGAAATGTTTAAGGAGTTATAGAAAAGCATTCAACATCACTGGGAATGAAAGAAATGTAAATACAAAGCCTGGGAGTGGTGGCTCACGCCTGTAATCCCAGCACTTTGGGAGGCCGAGGCGGGTGGATCACTTGAGGTCAGGAGTTCGAGACCATCCTGGCCAACATGGTGAAACCCCACCTCTACTAAAAGAAACCCACAAAAATTAACCAGGCGTGATAGCAGATGTCTGTAATCCCTGCTACTCAGGAGGCTGAGGCAGGAGAATCACTTGAACCTGGGAGGAGGAGCTTGCAGTAAGCTGAGATCGCACCACTGCACTCCAGCCTGGGTGACAGAGCAAGACCCTGTCAAAAAAAAAAAATAAAGAAAGGTAAATGTATATGAGCACGTGCAATGCCATTCGTTGGTGATCATCGGGCAAAGCCCCACCCACTTTCTCAGACATCCCCACCGGAGGATCCCATCAGTCACAATCCTCACTAATTAGACCATTCAAATTCCCCAAAATAAAAAAAGGGAAAGAGGTATAGACTTATCTTAAGGGTCTTAAGTTCTGGCATTTTTCTATTTAATAATATATATTGCTATAAAATGGAATTACTACCAAAATTTAGAAAATCTTTTAGCAGAAGATACAGCCCTAATCTTACCACTCCAGTACAATCATTATTGACATTTATGATGTACTTCGTTATAGTATCAAAACAATTCCAGTATGTGAACGCTTTTCTTTCTTTCCTGTTTTCCTTTCTAAGTGACGCTCAGTGAATTCTGTGTATGTTTCTCCCCTGCATGCATTGGTCAAACAGTCTGTAGAGCAGGCACCTAGAATTGGCTTGCCGGCTGCCCTGGTTGACATTTCCAGTCTTACTGGCATGGACAAATTACCCTCAAAGTGATTTTACCAACTTTCACGTCCCCAGCAATCTATAAAATACCCTTTTCCCTTCATTTTTGCCAAAAGGGTTAGCAACTTTTAAAATGTTAACTGGACATTTGGGTTTCTTCTGTTGAGAATATTGTTCTTATATTTTGTATATTTTTTAAAAATGGATGTGTATCTTTTCCTTATTGATTTGTAGAAAGTATTTATATATTCCAGACATTCTGCTTTTTTTTTTTTTTTTTTTTTTTTACTTTTGTTTGTTTGTTTGTTTTTGTTTTTTTGAAACTGAGTCTCACTCTGTTGCCGAGGCTGGAGTGCAGTGGTGCAATCTTGGCTCACTGCAAACCGCACCTTCCAGTTTCAAGCGATTGTCCTGCCTCAGCCTCCCTAGTAGCTGGGATTACAGGCATGCACCACCACACCCAGCTTACTTTTGTATTTTTAATAGAGACGGGGTTTTGCCATGTTGGCCAGGCTGATCTCAAACTCTTGGCCTCAAGTGATCCGCCCGCCTCGGCCTCCCAAAGTGCTGGGATTACAGGCATGAGCCACTGTGCCTGGCCCCTTTTTTGTTTTTTAGGCGATTTTAATAAAATGTCATACTTTTCTCCATGAAGTCCTTGCAGCACATCATTTGTTCGAGCTGTTTCTAAGCACTTTTATTGTTTTGTTCCTTTTCAAGAATATTTTCAAGGTGTTGGTTATGCAGCGTGTAAGTTTGCCCAGGCCACCATAACAAATACCACAGACTGCACGGCTTAAGCAAGACAGCGATTTTCTCACAATTCTGCAGGCTGGAACTCCAACATCAAGGTGTTGGCAGAGGTGGTTCCTTCTGTAGGCCCCTCTCCTTGGATAACCATCTCTTCCCTGTGTCCTTACGTGGTCATCCCTCTGTGCGTGTCCTAAAGTCTCCCTTTTTTTTTTTTTTTTTTTTGAGACTGAGTCTCATTCTGTCACCCAGGCTGGAATGCAGTGCACAATCTCGGCTCACTGCAACCTCCACCTCCTGGGTTCAAGTGATTCTCCTGCTCCAGACTCCCAAGTAGCTGGGACTACAGGTGTCCGCCACCACGCCTGGCTAATTTTTGTAATTTTTTAGTAGAGACGAGTTTTCACCATGTAGGCCAGGCTGGCCTCGAACTCCTGACCTCAGGCGATCTGCCCACCTCGGCCTCCCAAAGTGCTGGGATTATAGACGTGAGCCACCGCACCCAACCCTAAACTCCTCTTCTTAAAAGGACACAGTCACATAGGATTAGGGCCCACCCTAATGACCTCATTAAAGACCCCATCTCCAAATGAGGCCACATTCTGAGGTGCTGGGGGTTAGGATTTCAATATATGAATGGGGGGACACAGTTCAGCCTGTGCCCTGGGGTATAGGAACATGAAAGGTTTTTATAAACTGTGTTTCTACCCAGCTGTATTCTTTTTTTTTTTTTTTTGAGACAGAGTCTTGCTGTCGCCCAGGCTGGAGTGCAGTGGCAGGATCTCAGCTTACTGCAACCTCTGCCTCCCGGGTTCAAGCTTCTCCTGCCTCAGCATCCTGAGTAGCTGGGACTACAGGCACATGCCACCATGCCCGGCTAATTTTTTGTATTTTTAGTAGAGATGGGGTTTCACCATATTAGCTAGGATGGTCTTGATCTCCTGACCTCGTGATCCGCCTTCCTCGGCCTCCCAAAGTGCTGGGTTTACAGGTGTGAGTCACTGCACCCAGCCACTACCCAGCTGTATTCTTATTGGCTTAAACAGCTGATAGGTTTTCTTGGATTTTCCACATGCTAATCATAGCTGCAAATGACACCTTTGATATTTCCCTTTCAATCCTTTATCTTTTACTTGTTTCTTATTTTATTGCCCGGCCAGCATCCTGAGTGTAATGTGGAATATACATAGTCATGGTGTGCATTCTTGTCTTGTTTGTGACTTTAAAGCGAAGGCTTCAAATGCCGTTTGGTCCAAGTTTCTGGTAGGAACCCTTCAGCAAACCAAAGCAGGTCTCCTGCATCCTTGGTTTGGTAAACATTTTAAAAATCAGAGCAGGAGGCCAGGTGCAGTGTCTCATGCCTGTAATCCCAGCACTTTGGGAGGCCGAGGCGGGTGGATCACCTGAGGTCAGGAGTTTGAGACCAGCCTGGCCAACACGGTGAAACCCCATCTCTACTAAAAGTACAAAAATTAGCCAGGTGTGGTGGCAGGTGCCTGTAATGCCACCTACTTAGGAAGCTGAGGCAGGAGAAGCTTGAACCCGGGAGGCGGAGGTTGCAGTGAGCCGAGATCGCGCCACTGCACTCCAGCCTGGGCAATAAGAGCGAGACTCCGTCTCAAAAAAAACATGAGATCGGGCATAATATTGATTAATTCTGTTCTTCATCTGGCCGGGTTCTTCTTAAACATCACTTCCTTAGTGGGGGTGGAAGGGCTTTCTCACATCTCCAGGCTAGGTTGGTCCTAGTCCTACACTTTCTAGCCTTTTGTGACACTTGTCCTATTTTGTTTTTGTTTGTTTGTTTGAGATAGGATCTTGCTCTGTCACCCAGGCTGGAGTGCAGTGGTGCAATTTCAGTTCACTGCAGCCTCTGCTCCCCAGGCTCAAGTGATCCTCCCATCTCAGCTCCAGAATAACTGGGACTACAGGTGCACACCACCACACCCAGCTAATTTTTGTATTTTTTGTAGAGATAGGGTTTTGCCATGTTGCCCAGGCTGATCCCAAACTCCTGGGCTCAAGCAATCCTCCCTCCTTGGCCTCCTGAAGTGCTGGGAATACAGGGTGAGCCACTGCTCCTGGTAGCTTGTCCTATTTTTAATCATGCATTTATTTGTCTTCCTCACTAGACGATCTGCCTTGATCAGCTGTCACTGTGCATCCCCACTGAGCAGTGCTTAAGAGGACTTGATAAATATTCGTGGAGTGAACGTACTTCATCACATTTCTGTGATGTTTAAGCTTACTGAGGAGCTTAAATTACTCTGTTTTAGTAGTTTTTACGGAATGGCTTGGTTTCGTAATTTTCCACTTTCTTTCTCAGAACATTTCTCGGGTTCTCAGAAACAATTATCGGAATGTTTCTCAGCATATTTTCTAAGTTGCCCTATTGTCATTAATTAATAAAAAGTTACTATACGGATCGAATGCCTATTTACATGGGCTTTACGGATATCGTCTCTTAATTCTTGCACAGTGCATATGGGGAACATATGACCTCCATTTTACTGAGGAGAGGCTTAGGGAGGGTTGGGTAATTTGTTTTTTTTTTTTTAATGATAATATTCCATTTTGCTAAGCATGCTTTTTTTTTTTTTTTTTCCTGAGATGGAGTATCACTCTGTTACCCAGGCTGGAGTGCAGTGGGGTGATCTCGGCTCACTGCAACCTCCACCTCCTGGTTTCAAGCGATTCTCCTGCCTCAGCCTCCCGAGTAGCTGGGACTAGAGGTGCATGTCACCACACCTGGCTAATTTTTGTATTTTTAGTAGAGGCAAGATTTCACCATGTTGACCAGGCTGGTCTCGAACTCCTGACCTCAAACGATCCTCTCACCTCACCCAATGTGCTGGGATTACAGGCGTGAGCCACCACTCCCAGCCTCCCACTGCGCCTGGCCTCGGGTAATTTGTTTGAGGTCATAATCTAATGAGTGACTAAGCTGAGCTCAGAAGTCAGGCCTCTCCGATCCAGAGCTTTAACTCCAAGCTGTCCTTAATCATTTAAAACGTCTTGAGGAATAGGTTCCTGAGGCTGCCTGGAGAGACGCAGAGCAGGGACTCCCATGCCCTTTGCAGAGTCAGGGTACGGTCGTCTCAGCACGTGCTGAACTTGGGACTCTTGGTTTTGTGTCTCCAACCTGCGGCCGGCTCAGACACCATCCAGCACATGAGAGACAGCAAGCACATCGTCGTGTACCATCGAGGACGCTACTTCAAGGTCTGGCTCTACCATGATGGGCGGCTGCTGAAGCCCCGGGAGATGGAGCAGCAGATGCAGAGGATCCTGGACAATACCTCGGAGCCTCAGCCCGGGGAGGCCAGGCTGGCAGCCCTCACCGCAGGAGACAGGTGCGCAGCCTAGGTCCCTTGTCCTGTTTTGGGGGGTGGTGGAGGCGCTCTTCCTCACTGGGGCCCATCCCCACCAGGGCCTGTGGGAATCCTGGCACGGGACTCCCCACCTCGGCTCTGTTTTTCTCTGGGGTCTCCCGGCTTGGCAGGTCTCAAGAGCAATGGGGACATGGTGGGGGGTCCCTGGCCACCCCTGTGTGTGTGTCAGGCAAATGTGTGTGGAAACACTCCAGAGTCCAGGACAGGGAGAAGTGAGGATTAGAATTAGGCTTTTTTTTTTTGAGACGAAGTCTCGCTCTGTCACCCAGGCTGGAATGCAATGGCACTGTCTCAGCTCACAGCAACCTCCGCCTCCCAGGTTCAAGCAGTTCTCCTGCCTCAACCTCTCCAGTAGCTGGGAGTGCGCCACCATGCCTAGTAGAGACAGGGTTTCACCATGTTGGCCAGGCTGGTCTCAAACTCCTGACCTCAAGTGATCCACCCACCTTGGCCTCCCAAAGTTCTGGGATTACAGGCATGAACCATATGCCTGGCCAGGATTAGCCTTTCTTACGGGGCTGTGGGCATATTTATTAATTTAGGAAACAGAACAAATGGAAACCAAGGCCCCTGTGTTAGGGTTACATTTCCTTGCCTCAGTGAAAAAGAATCAGGCCGGGCGCAGTGGCTCACGCCTATAATTCCATTGCTTTAGGAGACCAAGGCAGGAGGGTCACTTGAGCCTAGGGGTTTGAGATGTGCCTGGGCAACAGAGTGAGACCCCATCTCTACCAAAAAATTAGCCAGGCTTGGTGGTGCGTGCCTGTAGTCCAAGCTATTCAGGAGGCTAAGGCAGGAGGATTGCTTGAGCCCAGGAAGTTGAGGTTGCAGTAAGCCATGATCAAGGCACTGCACTCCAGCCTGGGTGACAGAGTGAGACTGTGTCTCAAAACATAAAAAAGAAAGCGAATCAGCCCGAGCTTGGTTTTCTCGCAGGTGTGGTGTGTATTGTATAGGAGGGTTTCTCACCTCAGAGCTGTGCACACTCAGGGCCGGGTACCTCTTTGTGGGGGGCACTGCCCTGTGTAGCGTTGGATGCTGAGCAGCAGCCCTGGCCTCTGCCCACCGACTGCCAGCAGCAACCTGTGTGACAACCAGAAGTGTCGCAGACATTGCCCAGCATCAGGGGGACACTGTTGTCCCCAGCTGAGAGCTGCTGCGTTCCAGCAGTGTGACAACTGCTACGCTATCGCTGGGAGTAAGGCGGGAGGGGCAGGTGTTGGGGCCCCTTCTGCAAAGATCAGGAGAGGTTCTGTGCTGCGTGGAGGGGCCGCAGGTGGGCTGTGTCTTGCAGAGGGTGGGAGCAGACCAGGAGGACAGTGGGTGTCCAGGGGGTGGAGCCGCATGCCCCGGGGTAGCAGAGCAGGCAGGAGCCGTGGAGTGGGCTGGGCAGCTGGGCCACGGTGCCAAGCTGGGGAGGGTCCCAGGCACCCAATCATATTTGAGCTTGATTCTGCAACTGGGTGCCGCTTCAGGTGGTGTAGGGTGGGGTGGGGCCGGGGGTGCATGAGTAGGTTAATGTGGGAGATTCTTCTGGTTGGGCAGGGAGGAGGGGCCCTGGACACAGGGATGCTTTTCGGTGGCCCAAGTAGTGAGGGCCTGAAAGAGGGCCAGGCCTGGGAGCAGGAGCGGGATGGAGGAGGATGTGTGCGGGCAAGCCGGCGTTGTTCGGTATCTGCTGTGGTGTTGACAAGGCTGGAAAGAGCGGCGGCAGGAGATGCATCTCGGGTGAAGATGCGCTCATCCGATGCCCTCCTCTCAGAGCCTGGAATCCCCAGCGGAGGAGACGTGGGGAGCCTGAGCCGGCGCCGCGGGGCCTGGGCTCCCTGTGGGTCTGTAGGCGCCTCGGTCCCGATGCCCCCTCTGGATAGGGCCAGATCAGCATCTTACCCATGGGAGTCATTCACAGGAAGGGCTCCGTACGTGCCGGCCACCGTCAGCGTCACCTTTGTTCCCCGAGCGGGGTGCACTGAGGCCTAGCGTGTTTCTAGGCTTATTCGCCCTGCGGGCCGCCATAGCCAAGCACTCCTAGAGAGAAGAAGGTGGGGAGAGAGCCAGATGGCCCCGATCTGGAAGGGTGGGCAGTGGCAGAGGGTCCTGGAGGAGCTGGAGTGAGAGGGACCCGGGAGCACTCGAGGAAGCCCAGCTGGTGGGTCTTCCAAGAAGGAAGTGGGCATCACACCAGTTCTGTGTATTCAAATAAGACGGGCACGGAGACCTCCTTGTGGAGGGGTCACATGGGCATCTGTGGAATGCACCTGGGGGCTGATGGCCTGGGTTCCGACTCTGCCTCAAAATAGCTGTGACCTAATCTTTCCGTGCTTCAGTTTTCTCATCTGAAAAATAGGTACAGTAGCATTGAGAAGATCAGTAAGTTGGTACACAGAAAAGGTTTGGAGCAGAGCCTGGCATGAGGGACGCACTCTTACGCACTTACTGTGACCTGGGCTGCCGGAACTTACCTAGGGTGGTTCCTGTAGAGGGGAGGGAGGGTGTGTCAGGGAGCGTGGAACAGGGTGATCTGGGTCTGCTGCTTCCTGGCGGCTTTGCCCACGGGGCCAGCCTGCAATCTGGCCGTTCATTTAGTCAGCATTTATTGAACAAAAAATACCCACCGCTCCCCATGCTGTGGTCTGGAGACCAGGAGCAGGTGAGAGTCCTTCCAGCAAACAGTCTCAGATGGGGAACATCATCAACATGGAGTTTTCCTTCGAGAAATTCTGAAAAACTGCAAAGGTTTGATTGTGTCATTTCAAACATCACGCTCCATCGCTGCAGGTCGGGCTGCCTTTAATCGTATTTCATCTTCACTGCAGAGTTCCCTGGGCCAGGTGTCGTCAGGCCTATTTTGGACGTGGGAAAAATAAGCAGTCTCTTGATGCTGTGGAGAAAGCAGCGTTCTTTGTGACGTTAGATGAAACTGAAGAAGGATACAGAAGTGAAGACCCGGATACGTCAATGGACAGCTACGCCAAATCTCTACTACACGGCCGATGTTACGACAGGTACCGTCCTTACCTTCTGAGAGACAGGAGTTTGCCCATGAGCTTGGAAGAAATACCCTGTGTGCCTGACACTCACCCCTAAGTATCTATAATGCTAAGAAAGAAGGTGGCATAAAAATATAACCTTCAGTTTTATTTTATTTTATTTTTTGAAATGGAGTCTTGCTCTGTCACCCAGGCTGGAGTGCAGTGGCTTGATCTCGGCTCACTGCAACCTCCACCTCCCAGGTTCAAGCGATTCTCCTCCTTCAGCCTCCCAAGTAGCTGGGATTACAGGCGTGTGCCACCACGCCTGGCTAATTTTTGTATTTTTAGTAGAGACAGGATTTCACCATGTTGGCCAGGCTGGTTATGAACTCCTGATCTCAAGTGATCCACCCACCTCAGCCTCTCAAAGTGCTGAGATTACAGATGTGAGCCACTGCGCCTGGCCAACCTTCAGTTTTCTTCCCTCTGCCAAAACTATCACACATACACAGCCTGAGCTGCAAATCTGAGATTCTTCCCTCCTCTGTGCATGACCACCTTTGTTTGGAGATGCTCATGAGATGCAGGGCTGCCAGGTCCCTGGACTCAGGCAGGGGAGAGTGGCAAACAGGGCTAGGCACAGGGTTAGGCCAGGGTGTTGGCATGTGGCTATCTCAAGTCCTCTTTTTCTTATCTGTAAAGTGTTGGCCAGCCCCGCCCCCTGCAGGGTGGAGCCAAGGATTGGCTGATGAAGGGGTCATGTGCCCACGGGAAGAGCCTCCCACCTCTCCCCAGTTGCCTTGCGATAACAACAGGTCCTGACTTCAGGCTGCCAGGATATAAGCGCTCATCTTTGTGTCTGGGACAGGGAAGAAATGAGTGATTCAGTGTCCTGTTTGTACTTTCACCCTCACTCCACAGAGACTGAGTGTCTGCTCACTGTTAGAGGGACAGGTGCAAAGTGAATTAGTCCATCCAGGATGAAGCAGAGAGGTGCAATGTCTCCTCATTGTTGCCTCTTTAAACACTTAAGTTCCACACATGTGTGTTTCACGTAGGTGGTTTGACAAGTCGTTCACGTTTGTTGTCTTCAAAAACGGGAAGATGGGCCTCAACGCTGAACACTCCTGGGCAGATGCGCCGATCGTGGCCCACCTTTGGGAGGTGAGTTTTCACACTTTTCACTTGAATGTGGAAGTTGCTTTTGAAAATCCAAACCTGGCCAGGCGCAGTGGCGCACACCTGTAATCCCAGCACTTTGGGAGGCCGAGGCGGGCAGATCACCTGAGGTCAGGAGTTCAAGACCAGCCTGGCCAACATGGTGAAACCCCGTCTCTACTAAAAATACAAAAATTAGCCGGGCATGGTGGTGCATGCCTGTAGCCCCAGCTACTTGGGAGGCTGAGGCAGAAGAAATCGATTGAACCCGGGAGACAGAGGTTGCAGTGAGCCGAGATCGTGCCACTGCACTCCGGCCTGGGCGACAGAGCGAGACTCTGTCTCAAAAAGAAAAAACAAAAAAGATAATCCAAACCCCACAGTCAATTTAGTTTTGTAATATTTGCGTGATTATAGAATATGAATTTTTCACTTGTACTAGTAATGCACATGAAGTTAAATCACTAGATTAAAGGCATCCCTGTCTTCCTTTCCCATAACTTAGGTCCCTTGAACAGCAGTGCATCTCCTGCCATCTCCTTAGGGAACAAAAGAGTGAAATGGCAGTTGACTCTCAGGCCGCAGCTTCACAGCAGAAGTGAAGCTCGGTTTTTCCTGGAATAAACTATCCCTTATGTGCTGGATTTCCTAGTGTTTCCTACCTACCGCATTTTTTAGGCCAAATAGAAGCAAGCATGTGAAAATCTGGGTTTATAAACATGCAGCGTGTCTTTTACCTAAGACATCATTTTAATTCTTAAAATTACCAGGTTATTTGAAAACCACAAACCCCTGTCCCCCTGCCTGCACCTGTGGATTGGCCTCTACCATTGTTTTTTTTTTTTTTTTTGAGACAGGGTCTTACTCTGTCACCCAGACTGGAGTGCAGTGGCACAATCATAGCTCACTGTAGCCTTGACCGCCCAGGCTCAAGACATTCTCCCACCCCAGCCTCCCAAGTAGCTGGGACTACAGGTGTGTGCCACCATGCCCAGCTAATTTTTGTATTTTTTGTAGAAACAAGGTTTCCCCATGTTGCCCAGGCTGGTCTTGAACTCCTGGGCACAGGGGATCTGCCTGCCTGGGCCTCCCAAAGTGCTGGGATTACAGATGGGAGCCACCACACTCAGCCTTTTTTTTTTTTTTTTTTTTTTAATAATTCGTTACTCTGAACTGTTTGACCTGTTCCGTGTTTGGCATGAGAAATTAAATGAAAGTTTTGTTTCCTTAACTCACCGGTCAGGTTCTTGTTTAAAGTTGCTAAATTCTAGGATCATCATCCGTAGACTTGACACAGAAAATACTGTGGTCACTTGTTGTGATGAGACTTGAGATCTTTTTCTTTTAAAGCAACAAGCCCCTTTGAGATTCACATTGACTATAAAGACCATCTTTTTGCAGTGTTTTAAATTTTCCTGCTGGCCTAATAAATGAAGTGGAATAAAATGACCTGAAAGTCACGGCGTGTGTGGGAGACAGGGCCCAGCTGCAGGCTGAGCACCTCGCTGTTCTTGATAGGGCATGGAGCCGGGTTTGTGTGTCTGAAATTAGAAATTAGTAGTGGCCAGGCGCGGTGGCTCACGCCTGTAATCCCAGCCCTTTGGGAGGCCGAGGCAGGCGGATCACGAGGTCAGGAGAACGAGACCATCCTGGCTAACACGGTGAAACCCCGTCTCTACTAAAAATACAAAAATTAGCCGGGCGTGGTGGCTGGCACCTGTAGTCCCAGCTACTCAGGAGGCTGAGGCAGGAGAATGGCGTGAACCCGGGAGGCAGAGCTTGCAGTGAGCCGAGATCACGCCACTGCACTCCAGCCTGGACGAAAGAGTGAGACTCCATCTCAAAAAAAAAAGAAAGAAATTAGTAGTAAACTTGTGAAGACATCATAATGTATGACCTTCTTTTTTCTTTAAACTTCTGTGAATGTTTTGAATTTTGACTTTTTTTTTTGAGATGGCGTCTTGTTCTGTCACCCAGGCTGGTGTGCAGTGGTGCGATTTCAGCTCACTGCCACCTCTGCCTCCCCGGTTCAAGTGATTCTCCTGCCTCAGCCTCCCGAGTAGCTGGGATTATAGGCACATGCCACCATGCCCGGATAATTTTTATATATATATAAACCTGACCTCAAGTGATCCACCCGCCTTGGCCTCTCAAAGTGCTGGGATTATGGCATGAGCCACCACGCCTGGCCTTGACGTTTCTTTTTATAATATTGTGTCTGTCTATTTTTCCCCCAAGAGATAAACAAATTCTGGTGCCAGTTTTTTCTTGCAAAGTCTTCGCACTCACTCTCCTCTCTGCCTGGAAGGCTTTTCCCCCTGGCTTCCCCTGGCTCCTGGCCCCGTCAGGTCTTCCTTAGGTCTCAGCTGACCTCACTTCCCCTAGGAATGGCACTGCCCTGCTACCCTCTCCCAAGACTAGGTTAGGGGCTCCTGTCTCATCTTCCTCTACCTCTTTTAATTGTCTTACTTCTGGTTGGAGTCTTGGCAAAACCTCCAGCCACTCCTTCAGCCAAGGGAGGTTTTCTATGTAGGAAAAAGGATAAAAAGGAAAAAAAAAAACATAGTGCTCTAGGCTTTAAGACACCAGTATGACCCTAGGACATTAATACCTGATAAAAAGCAGCCAATATTAAAAGGGCTTTTCACCACCACCAGGGTTCTTTGGCGATGTCGACAAAAGCTGAGAGAGCCTTTTAGCTACAGAGCGCATTGAAGATCAAGCTGCCTTCAGTGTCTCTGGACGTAGCAAGAAGGCACGCTTTAATAAATCTCTGCACAGCATAATAGCCCGGGCTTGTTATACCCCAGGCCAAGGACTTCCCGAGTCCTATATGCCTAAGAGCTGTTGTTTGGCAAAAGAAAAAGAGTCGGGACCATAGGCAGCTGGATCACACAGGGTACATTTATCAAGTAGAGAAATCTACTGGATATTTACAAGATCAGGCTTGTTTTTTAAAGTTCTCTGGATAAGGATAAAGGGATTTTATCTTAGACCAGGGTGGGCACGTAGAAGTAGTGGTGTTTAGTTGTTAGCGTCCAGCAGACAGGATGGCCTGACTCCAGGGACCCCTGGCTGGGGGCTTATGTGATCCATACACAGATGGGGACTGACCTAGTCTCACATGGGGGCCCAGTGCAGTCCCTTAAAGACAGATCTAGTCAAACTTGAGTCTGTTTGTTCTTGTTCTTGTTCTATTTTTATTTTTTATTTTTTGAGACAGGGTCTTGCTCTGCCACCCAGGCTGGAGGGCAGTGGTGCAATCTCAGCTCACTGCAACCTCCAACTCCTGGGTTCAAGTAATTTTCCCACCTCAGCCTCCCGAGTAGCTGGGACCACAGGTGTGCGCCACCACGCCCAGCTGATTTTTGTATTTTTTGTAGAGACGGGGTTTTGCCACATTGCCCAGGCTGGTCTCGAACTCCTGGCTTCAAACAATCTGCCTGCCTCAGCCTCCCAACATGCTGGGATTACTAACATGAGCCACCACACCCGGTCTTGCTCTTGATTTATTTCTGATGTTTCTGTGTCAGGCTCTTCTGGAGCTCTGACCCAGAGCAGGTGGAACCTGATCAAGTCTGTTCGTTCGCTGGCTCAGGTCAGCCTGGATTGTGACCCCCACGTATTAGCGGCACCTTCCACCCGCCCCGCCGCCTCGCCAGCCGACAGTCACCCCGACCTTGTGTTGTTGTTTTTACCTCCCTCACTAGAATGTAAGCTTCCTGAGCACAGGGATTCCTCTTTTAAAAAAACTTAATTTTTTTAGTTGAGATATAAGTCACATACCTTAAAATCCACCCTTTAAAAGTGTACAATTCAGTGGTTTTTAGTATATTCACGAGGTGCTTGTGCAACAGTCACTGCTTAGCCTCCCGAGTAGCTGGGATTACAGGCGTGCATCGCCACACCCACCTAATTTTTGTATTTTTGGTAGAGGCGGGGTTTCCCCTTGTTGGCCAGCTTGGTCTCGAACTCCTGACCTAAAGTGATCTACCCGCCTTGGCCTCCCAAAGTGCTAGGATTACAGTCGTGAGTCACAGAGCCCAGCCTAATTCTGTACTATTTTTATCACCTCCAAAAGAAATCCCTCATTCCTTTCTCCCCCAGGTTCCTGATGACCACTAATCTTTCTGTGTGTATGTATGTGCCTATTTTGGACATCTTATATAGATAGAATCATACAATATGTGGTCTTCTATGTCTGGCTTCTTTTTTCTTTTCTTTCGCTTTCTTTTCTTTCTTTTCTAGAGACAGGGTCTTGCTCTGTCGCTCAGGCTGGAGTGCAGTGGCACAGTCATGACTCATTGAAACCATGACCTCCTGGGCTCAGGTGATCTTCCCACCTCAGCCTCCTCAGTAACTGGGACTACAGCCATGTGCCACCACACCTGGCTAATTTTTAAAATTTCTTGTAGAGATAAGATCTCACTATGTTGCCCAGCTGGTTTGGAACTCCTGGCCTCCAGCAATCCTCCCACCTTGGCCTCCCAAAGTGCTGGGATTACTGAAGTGAGGCACCGCGCCTGCCTGCTTCTTTTCACTCAGCATAATGTTTTCAAGGTTCAGTACGTTGTAACACATACCTGGAATTCATTCCTTTCTAGGGCTGGATAATATCTCATTGTATGGATTGACCACACTTTGTTTATCTCTTCATCAGTTGATGGGCATTTGTGTTGTTTCCACTCTTTGGCTATTATGAATAATGCTGCTCTGAACATTCTGTACAAGTTTTTGTGTGAGCATCTATTCATTTCATTTCAGTGAGTATGTACCTAGGAGTGGAACTGCTGGGTCATACAGGTATATTTCACTTTTTAAGGAAGGGCAAGAATTCTTGTCTGTTTTGTTCACAAAACACAGTTCTTGTCTGCGCTGTCACCAGGGCTTGGATGCCGCTGATGCTACAGTGGTTCCAACCCATAGTAGGTGCCCAATAAACACCGTTGAATAAATTGGCTTAGGTTTACTTGCCAGTGAAAGGAGAGCGTCACAAACTTGAGCAAGCCCTTAGCCCTCGTCTGTCCTCTCTCTGTCACATCTGACATGGAGATCAGATCCACCTCATTAGGTGCTGAGCATACTGGAAGCCTTAACAGCTGTGATTCAAACTTTGTAACATCTCTGCAAAGAACAACCCTCTCTTCATGTTGGAGGTTAATGTGTTTTATGTACCACTGTTAGTTTTAATAATTTTGTTCTATTTTTGACAGTACGTCATGTCCATTGACAGCCTCCAGCTGGGCTATGCGGAGGATGGGCACTGCAAAGGCGACATCAATCCGAACATTCCGTACCCCACCAGGCTGCAGTGGGACATCCCGGGGGAAGTAAGTCCGGATTATCCAACCATTGTTACTTACCTGGGATGGGAAACACATTTGAAGTCTTACAGATGAATTTTCCAACCGTAGTTCCTGCCCTATCATGAGCTCAGTTGAAGACCACTGAGGCTGAAAGTTGTTTGCTCAGGGAGTTCCGTGGGTCTGCGGGGCTGTCACAGCTCCTGTTGCCTCGGAAGCCTCGGTAAATATTTCTTCTTCTGTTTGAAGCTCCTGGCTAAGACTGTCAGCGCTATTTCCAGCTTAAACTTAACTAGACATCTACAGAATGCTCATAATCAAAAACTAAAAGCCAAAATCACATAGGTTAGAGCTGAAAGCCTCTAAATTGCTCATTTATACTTCTCAAAGTTTAATTCATTTTGGCACCTCTTAAACATGCTCAGAGGCAGCCCATTCACAGGAGCCCTTTTGGGAAGGAATTTTAGGGTTGCAAATACCAAATCCTAGTTCACTTAATCCAAGGAGAAATTCCCTGGAGTCCAAGATACCATTTTCTTTTTCTTTTTTTTTTTTTTTTTTGAGATGTAGTCTCGCACTGTCACCCAGGCTGGAGTGCAATGGCGCGATCTCAGCTCACTGCAACCTCTGCCTCCCAGGTTCAAACGATTCTCCTGCTTCAGCCTCCCAAGTAGCTAGGATTACAGGTGCCTGCCACCATGGTGAAACCCCGTCTCTACTAAAAATACAAAAATTAGCCGGGCATAGTGGTAAGTGCCTGTAGTCCCAGCTACTCCGGAGGCTGAGGCAGGAGAATGGCTTGAACCAGGGAGGCAGAAGGTGCAGTGAGCAGCGATGGTGCCACTGCACTCCAGCCTGGGCAACAGAGGGACACCCTATCTCAAATAAATAAAAATTAATAATAAAAAGTAAAAAAATGTGTTTCTTGATTGCCACTGTGTGATGACGTCATCATAAGATGACGTGTGACTATTTGAAACACCCTTTGGGGTCTCACTGGAAGCCAGGGTGCCCCCGTCCCCTACCCATGTTCCTGTTAGCGTCAGAACATATCTGTACGGGTCTGCAGCAACCTCAATTCTTGCCTTCTCAGAACGAATTTGACTGTGGGGCAGAAGGCAGGAGAGACCAAGTTTAAAAGCGGGAAAGTTTATTTTAAAAACTTTAGGAACGAAAGGAAGGAAAGTACATTTGGAAGAGGGCCAAGCGGCCAACTTGGGAGATTAAGTGCGAGGTTTGACCTCTTGACTTGAGGTTTTATACATTGGCATGCGTCCAGGGTCTTGTGTTACTTCTCCCAATTCCTCCCTTGTTGTGGGCTGTCCGCATGCACAGTGGCTCCAGCGCTTGGGAAGGGAGCATGCGCAGTATGTTTACTGGAGTTGTGCGCATGCTCACTTGAGGTGTTCTGCCCTTGCCTGTCTAGCACTGCTGGAGGAAGCTCATAGTCCAGTTAGACGCCGCCATTTTGCCTCTCAGTGCGCATGCTTCAGCCCACTCGCCCAACGCTTGAGATCTTATCGGGAAGCTGCTGGTCACCAGCTCCATTTCTATCTACTGAGAGACTGCCTTTCCCTGGCACCGGCTGTGACCTATTATTATTTTAGAGAGACAGTTCACAACCACCTGACCATCACTGATGGTCGCGTGATATTCCCAGTGTGTGTCGGAGGAAGCCCTCTCCTGGCCTGCTCATGTCAGACCCGCTACCTGCTATAACATTGCAGCTGCTCCTCCGGGGTCAGGGAGCCATGCCCCTAACTTACTAGGGCTTCTGGGTCAGGAAAACGTTTGTGTACTTCCCAGTACCGAGTTTATAGCTGCACTAAAAACCAGCCTCCAATTTCCTTCTGGGTGTGCGTCAGTACTTTTCTCCCCTCGTTCCGTAAAACCTTTTTCTTCTTTCTCTCAAGTGTCAAGAGGTTATAGAGACCTCCCTGAACACCGCAAATCTTCTGGCAAACGACGTGGATTTCCATTCCTTCCCATTCGTAGCCTTTGGTAAAGGAATCATCAAGAAATGTCGCACGAGCCCAGACGCCTTTGTGCAGCTGGCCCTCCAGCTGGCGCACTACAAGGTAAGAACTGACCGCCTAGGGTTTTGTCGTGAGCACTTTGGGGGTTCCTACACCTGCCCAAGACTGTTCACCCAGTGGGGAGGGAAGGCCCGAAACCCGGCATAGGAGAAGCACAGCTCCCCCCGACCCCGGTCTCCGGGGGCCGGGTGGCGTTGGGTGTTTCACCACGCACGCGGGCAAAGTTCGCAAATCCCCCTCCAGCAGGCGTAGATTCCCAGCTGACACGGGAGAGGGAGAGTCTGGGGGATGAGGACAAAGTGAGATCTCATCACTCTACAGAGGGAGAGTTAAGCCCCATAATAAGCCCCGAATCCTAGCATTTGCTAAAGTGGAAATAGTGTGGGCAGGTAGGGGAATAGTCAGTTACGTATTCGTCTGGCGCTCGGTAAATCTGCACTTCACACAGGTCAGGTGAACATGGTCCACGTTTCATCTGTCGCTCTCTGCTTGGGAACAAAATAAAAAGCTTCTTGCATGACTTAGCTTTCAGCTTAATCCTTTCCTTTTGGCAGAGTAAATCTTCCTTTCACCATACTAAATTAAATTTTGGTATTTTCATACAGTGGAATATTATATAGCTATTAAGTGATGTCTTTGGGCAAATTACTTAACGTCTCTGGCCTTTGACATCTCCTTCCATAAAAGGAGAAACTCCAGCCACTTGGAGGTGCCATGGGCTGGATCCCCTGTATACACATGGCATTTCCATCTCCCTTTTCTGAGCACTGGCCATATTTTGGCTTGCACCTGGCAACCCCTGTTGGAGGAGCAGCCTGCACCCCTAGCAGGGACATAAATGGGTCTTCTTGTCCATTGGAGGGAGCATTCCATCCCAGACAGGGGGCCCTTGGTTTCTGGGGGCAGCACAAGTCATCGTGGCATTGGCTTGAGATATTCCCAACTTTTTTTTTGAGACAGAATCTCACTCTTGTTACCCAGGCTGGAGTGTAATGGCATGATCTCGGCTCACTGCAACCTCCACCTCCCGGGTTCAAGCAGTTCTCCTGCCTCAGCCTCCCGAGTAGCTGGGATTACAGGTGTGCGCCCCCATGCCCAGCTAATTTTTTGTATTTTTAGTAGAGATGGGGTTTCACCATGTTGAGCAGGCTGGTCTCGAGCTCCTGGCTTCAGGTGATCCACCCGCCTTGGCCTCCCAAAGTGCTGGGATTATAGGCGTGAGCCACCGTGCCCAGCCTTGTATTAAAACTTGAGTGCTGTACACATATGCAGCGTGTGGCACTGCCCCCCCAACCTTGGTAACGATTGTGCCATTGTTGAATTTTGCTTGGTGCATCATGTACCTCATGCTTCACTGTCTCTGCACCTGGGAGGCACTCTTGTTATCCCATTTTTAAAAATTTACAAGTCCCCATTATGCCTCAGAAAATCTTGTTTTCCCATTTTACAGGTGAGGAAACAGGTGCAGAGAGGCCAGGTGCTTGCCAGGGTGGCACTAGGCAGGGATAAAGCGGGCCAGCGGCTCCAGAGTCTATGCTCTCTCCACCTAAAGTTAAGAAAACAGTTACAGAGAAGTAAGAGGCAGTGTTAATATCAGATGAACTGGAATGAATGGGCCAAAATCGTATTTAAAATGCATGCTAATACAGTCTGTAAAGACTGTCACAGTTATGAAGCCTTGCTTTCCCAAGTAACATGCTCACTATGCGTAAACCAGAAGCAGCTGGGCAGAGTACCAGGAGCACAGTGACAAGCTCCTGTCTGTGACAGATCATTGACTAAAGATCATGTGATTAAAAGGTGACATGGAATAGAGGCATCGCATCTCAGAATCAGTGAGCTGGATTTTGAGAATTGATGAGCAGATTTTGCCCGTAAACGTGCAGTATGAGGGCATGCAAGCAGTTGATACCTTACCTACAGAAAGGATGTTATTTTATCTTTTTAAATTTTTTTCTTTTTTAAAAGAATTCCCTGCAAGTAAGCGCAGGACTTAGGAGTTTAGTAAGGAAATGCCACGCTCCAGTTTAGTACATTTTGAAACATGCTGAAATGACTATTCTGCAAGCAGTACAAATTGGTGACGTTGACTCAAGGTAGAAAACCTGAAAAGGCCTCTGGTCCAGGGACCAAAGTGAGAGGTTGTCAGGGAGCCACCCTTGTGACTCCAAAGAGCTTGCAGCTCAGAGACTCCACAAAGGAAGCCACCCCATCTGCTCCCCAGAACCCACGTGGCCCAGGTGTGGGAATGAGCTGCAAGGGGCACCAGCCACTGTGCCATGTACTTGGCAGGAGCGAGCGAAACTTCAGGACGGCCCCGAGGAAGGCATCTCTTCATCTCTGCCCTCCACACTCGGAGGTGAAGCATCTTGCCTGAGGGCTCCAGCTCGTACGCAGCAGGACTGAGATCGGAAGCAGGCAGGCTTGTTCGAGAACCTGTGGCTCTCATCACTGTGCTGCAGCTAAACGCAGAAAAAGGAAGCACAGACCAGCTTCCCGCATGAATGGAAGTGCAGAGACCCTCCATAAAATCTTAGCAACTAGAATCCAGCACTGTAGGAAAAGAATAGTCACCCACAGTGGCGTACACCAGCGGTGAGAGGCTGGTTTTGTGTCAGTAAATCCAGTCATACACTAAACCATACTGTTGGGTCAGAGAAGAGCCTAGATAGTGAGTTTCACAGATCCTAAGAAGACGTTTCACGTTTAACATCCATTCCTGATAAGAGCTCTTGGTCAAGGGGCTTAGTAATAGGGCTCTTTCCTTAACAGGATAAGTGGCATCGTGTATTAATAGCTAGCTACTGCTTCAAAGTAAAAGTGTGGGAGGCAGTCCCCTTAAAACAAGAAAGATGAGGATGCCTCTAGCAGATGACAGGGTAATTGGGCAGGAAGAACATTTATGTCTGTTCAGGAGATGGAACAGCAGAAAGGCTTTGACGATTAAGAGGCACACCCAGTGAGCCGGCCCAGCGCAGAGTTGCACAAAGACCACCAGCTTTCTTGCACAAGGATGATGGCCAAGTGGGAAATATAATAAGAGAATGTAATAGAAACGAGAATCTGGGGCCCCACCTTCCAGGCATACGTGTATAAAGCAGACTGGACTCTGGGAAGAAGGCCGAGGAGCACTCGCCCCCCAACTCCTCCCCAGGGAGAGGGAGAAAAAGCCATGATTTTGGATGAAAAAAAACTTCAGAACCATAGAGGAAGGGATGTTCCCAGTTCACACTGTTTTTTTTTTTTTGAGACGGAGCCTTACTCTGTTGCCCAGGCTGGAGTGCAGTGGCACGATCTCGGCTCACTGCAGCCTCGGCTGCTCACTCGGCTCCCAGGTTCAAGTGATTCTCCTGCCTCAGCCCCTCGAGTAGCTGAAACTACAGGTGCCTGCCACCACACCTGGCTAATTTTTGTATCTTTAGTAGAGACGGAGTTTCACCACGTTGGCCAGGCTGGTCTCGAGCTCCTGACCTCAAGTGATCCGCCTGCCTCAGCCTCCCAAAGTGCTGGGATTACAAGCCTGAGCCACCATGCCTGGCTTAGTTCACACATTTAATATGAACACAGTGAGAGGTCAGGCAGGGGCTTCAGGAGAGGAGCTTGCCCAGTTGATCTTGAGGCTTGAAAAGGCTAACATTTGAGAGTCACCTGTAACATTTTTGAAAAGAAAAGCAATCAGGCGGAGGCAGGACACGGGGAGGTGGACATGTACTTTTTCAAATCCTAAAACTTAAAGTGTAGGAGTTAGAAGACTGTTGTGATTAAAGTGGTCTCAGTCCTATAATCCTAGCACTTTGGGTGGCTGAGGCAGGTGGATCACTTGAGTCCAGGAGTTTGAGACCAGACTGGGCAATATGGGGAGACTCTATCTGTACAAAAAATACAAAAAAAAAAAAAAAAAAATTAGCCCAGCATGGTGGCGCATGCCTGTAGTCCAAGGTACTCCGGAGGCTAAGGTGGGAGGATCACTTGAGCCCCGGAGGTGGAGGCTGCAGTGAGCCGTGATCGTGCCACTGCACTACAGCCTGGATGACAGTGAGACCCTATCTTTAAAAAAATTGTTTTTAATAAAAATAAAATGCTGCAGTCCTCGTACAAAAGCAGGCCTGGGAAATAACGTGTAATGGAGGGAGCATTTGACATCAGTAGGGGACGGGGAGCTGGTGAGTAAATGGAGCTGGGAAATCTGGCTAAGTGGTTGCCTTTGGAAAAAAATAATCCAAGAGAAATAAGGAGTCAGACCAGAAACTGTGGTTCACAAGAGAGGAAAAATACGGTCAATGAGTGTAGGTAATAAGCTTAATCTTACCAAGAATCTAACAAGTACAACTTAAACAAGACTAGATTTTTGCCTACGGGGTTGGTAAAGGCTTTTTTTCATGTTGGTGAGGGTGGACTGAGGCAGGGATGTTCATAGAGCAGCTGGGAATAGTTTTAATAAATTTAGGGGCCCCATGGCAGGACTGGGAGCAGCACAGACCACACAGTTGGAAACATGCATCGGGGAAGAATAACTTTGACCCTGCACATGATCCATGAAAAAGGGTAGGTACACAAAAAACACGTGTGAGCAAGCTTACTGTAAAAATGTGAGGAAATCTGGCCAGGCGCAGTGGCTCGTGCCTGTAAACCCAGCACTTTGGGAGGCCTAGGCAGGTGGATCACTTGAGGTCAGGAGTTCGAGACCAGCCTGGACAACATGGTAAAACCCCATCTCTGCTAAAAATACAAGATTAGCTGGGTGGTGGTGCACACCTGTAATCCCAGCTACTTGAGAGGCTGAGGCGGGAGAATCACTTGAACGTGGGAGGTGGAGGTTGCAGTGAGCCGCCAAGACCACGCCACTGCACTCCAACCTGAGCAATAAGAACAAAACTCCGTCTCAAAAAATAAAAAAAGAAGAAGAAGAAATCTTAAAAGTTAATGCTGGCAGGCCGGGCACAGTGGGTCATGCCTGTAATCCCAGCACTTTGGGAGGCTGAGGTGGGCGGATCATGAGGTCAGAAGATCGAGACCATCCTGGCTAACACGATGAAACCCCGTCTCTACTAAAAATACAAAAAATTAGCCGGGCGCGGTGGCGGGCGCCTGTACTCCCAGCTACTCGGGAGGCTGAGGCAGGAGAATGGCGTGAACCCGGGAGGCGGAGCTTCCAGTGAGCCGAGATCGCACCACTGCACTCCAGCCTGGGTGACAGTGCGAGACTCCCTCTCAAAAAAAAAAAAAAAAAAAAAAAAAAAGACTGGAAACTAGAAAGTGTCTGAGACAGGTCTCAATTTATTTAGAAGTTGATTTTGCCAAGGTTAAAGATGCGTGCCTGGGAGACAGGCCTGTGCCTTCCTCCAAAGGTGGTTTTGAGGGCTTCAGTATTTAAAAGGAAAAGCAGGCAGGAGGGGAAGGAAGGGAGGGCGTGGCCACGTTACGGAATTCCCATGATGCAAGAGAAAAGGGGCGGTAGGGGAATCGTCAGTTACATATTTGTTACACAAAACCCGGTGAACCCAGAGTGGAGACATTTCGCCTTTTATCCGTCACTCTGTGCTTGGGAACAAAAGAAAAAGGCAGCTTCTTGCACGAAGCTTTCAGTGTAATCCTTTCCTTTCGGCAGAGTGAATCTTCCTTTCATGATACTAAATTAAAATAGGGTATTTTCACACAGCGGAATATTATATAGCTATTAAGTGATGTCTAAGGCATATATATGTGTATATATATTTTTGAGACAGGGTCTTACTCTTGCCCAGGCTGGAATGCAGTAGCACAATCACGGCTTACTGCATCCTCGACCTCCCTGGGTGCTGGCGATCCTCCCACCTCAGTCTCCCAGGTAGCTGGGACTATAGGCATTTACCACCAGGCCCGTCTAATTTTTATGTTTTTTGTAGAGATGGGGTTTCACCTTGTTTCCCAGGCTGGTCTCAAACTCCTAGGCTCAAGCAATCCTTGGCCTCCCAAAGTGCTGGGATTACAGGTGTGAGCCACCACGCCCAGCCATCTATGGCATATTATACGGAAAAATATTTAGTCATAAAACAGTTTGTGAAAGTCAGGTGTTTCTTACAATGATCTGCAGACTGTGGCTCATAGGCCAAACCTGGCCCTTCAATGTTTTTGTTTTCATTTTTGTTTTCATGGCTTAGAAAGCTAAGAATGGCTTCACATATTTAGTAGTTGAAAAGCAGTCAACAGGCGACCAATACTTTGTGACATGTGAAAATTACGTGAAGTCTCAGTGTTCATCAGTGAAGCGTTCTGGGCACGGCCATGCCCGGCTTTCACATGTTGTCTGTGCTGTTCTCACTCCAGTGGGAGAGCGGAGTAGTCGCCACAGAGAGCACCTGGCCCGCACAGCCTGTTCTGCATTTTACAGAAGTTTCCCAACTCTTGCTTTGTTACATGCAAAGTCTAGAAAGGATAAATGCAAAATATTAGCAGGTGATGTTGTGAAGTTTCCTTTTTCTTTTCTTTTTTTTTTTTTTTCCTCCTTGATAGAGTGTCACTCTGTCACCCAGGCTGGAGTGCCGGGCGTGGTAGTTGACGCCTGTAATCCCAGCAGTTTGGGAGGCCGAGGCGGATGGATCACCTGAGGTCAGAAGTTCGAAACCAGCCTGGCCATCATGGTGAAACCCTGCCTCTACCAAAAAATGCAAAAAATTAGCTGGGCGTGGTGGCAGGTACCTGTAATCCCAGCTGCTTGGGAGGCTGAGGCAGGAGAATCCCTTGAACCTGGGAGGCGGAGGTTATAGTGAGCTGAGATCGCACCACTGCACTCCGGCATGGGCGATAGAGTGAGACTCTGTCTCAAAAAAATAAAAAATAAAATAAAAATGACAGATCCATTAAAGTGATCTATTAAAAGTATACATCAGATTTATTCATTCAAAAATTAACATTCAGACCGATCTCAACCCAGCTGGGAGCTGCAGAGCCTCCCTGTGGTTTTACATAAATCCAGAACCTTGCTGTGGCCCTGTGGGTCTCTTCTAAGCTTCTGAACCTTTTTTCTGCCCTGGACCCCTTGGGCAGCCTAGGAGAGCCTGGGGACCCCTTCTCAGGGGTCCTTCAAGGTTATACACAATATAACCTTGTGTTATATTGACCCCTTGAAGGGGTCCTTCAAGGTTATGCACAATAACCTTGTGTATTTCATTTTATAAAGCATAACCCCAGCACTTTGGGAGGCTGAGACAGGTGGATCACTTGAGGTCAGGAGTTTGTGACCAGCCTGGCCAACATGGGGAAACGCGTCTCTACTAAAAATACAAAAATTATCCAGGTATGGCAGCACGCATCTCTAATCCCAGCTACTCAGGAGGCTGAGGCATGAGAATTGCTTGAACCCGGTAGGCAGAGGTTGCAGTAAGCCAAGATCACACCACTGCACTCCAGCCTGGGCGACAGAGTGAGACTGTCTCCAAAAAAAAAAAAAGGTAGCCCCTCCCGCATTGTTCTGTTCCCTAGTTCCCTGTTCCTGTGTTATTTCTATTCAGTGGCCTGACTTGATGTGATAGAATTTTTTTGTTCATCCCTGTCTCCTGCTAGAATGTTTGCTCATTGAGGGCAAAGGCATGATCTGTCTTACAACAGTATTGCCTGTGCCGGGAGCATCAGTAAATCAGTATTGAATATTGAATATGGATTGAATGCTGACACTAGACAGTGGTATTAATTCTAGTCTGCAGCAGTTATTTGCCTCCTGCTTTGGAAGCCCTACCAACCTGAATCATTAGCCCCATAGTAACAGTGCTAGTGTGTGATGCCATATATGTCAGTATATCTATAGACTGTCTTTGAATCCTGCTTCTTAGAAACTGGAGATGTTTTGGTGGCAGCGAAGGGCCATCCTCCTGATGGCGGCTGGTCACAGTGGGTCAAGGGTGCTGCAGTTGTAACCTGGTTTGGCTCTTTGATGGCGTCTGAGCTCCAGTGGGGCTTGCACACTAATATTCAATGCATTTGCCAAGAAGTTTTTTAGATGGCTGTCTTTTAAACTGTGGGCACAAGGCATGACTGTTCTCATAACTTACACAATTAAAGTTTGATATTGGAACATTGATTTCAAATGAATCATTGCATCATATAGTTCAAGTTTACCTTTATTAAATAACTAAAATGCCACATTTCCGCTTTCCCTTTTATCTGCTTCTCTCCCTCTCCCCACTTCTTCATTGTGAGCGCCTATGAAGTGCTCTGTAGTGAGGAGATGCGGGAAGGGCTCTGAAAGGCGCGTTTGCTATCAGCATGGGAAGCAGGAGGCCCCGTGGCCTCATGGCAGGCCCCAGGCCTGTGACCCCCGCTCCCAAGGGAATCTTGAGTGTCGTGTCATGCCACCAGGGTTGGTGGCATCTGTGGGTTGGGGAAGAGAGCTCCCCAAGGCGGCCAGCTACGTTGGGGGGATCCTGGGGGCTCAGCCAGGTCCTCACTGCAAGTGCTGCTTAGCGCTGGTGTCCAGCGTGCTCCCACGGTCTCTAGACGCTTCCCTCTGCAAAGCCGCTGCTCTTGTCGACGCCTTCAGTTTCCTTTTTCTGCTGGCTGATGCACTCTCATTTCACTGGTTCTGGACGCTTCCTTCTGCCTTTCAGGGGCCCTGGTCCTGGACGCTACCTTCTGCCTTTCAGGGGCCTCCTCTCCTCCAGAGATCTTGGCTGCACTGTGAGGAGCCTGACTTCAGCTGGGCCTGTGTGCAGGTGCCAGGCCTTCCCCGGCTGAGCGGGTCCTGTGCTCTGTCTGACTCTCCGTTCCCCAGCTGAGTGGGTCCTGTGCTCTGTCCGGCTCCCCGTTCCCCAGCTGAGTGGGTCCTGTGCTCTGTCCGGCTTCCCCTTCCCCAGGCTGAGCAGGCCCTGTGCTCAGCCCAGCCTTGCCTCTGGCACCCTCTTCTGGGTTCATTTGACAGTATCAGCCTGCCACATGGTGTCCTTTGCAGATGGGTGGGTCTGCCACCCTGGGGCCACCAGGGCCTGTGCCAGGGTGCACACTAATGTGCAGGGATGTGTCTGGTCAGGAATCATTTGGGTCCATAAACTGCTGCTTATCACCTTCTCGTCCCCACTTGGAACCTGGTCCTCTTTGAGCTGGCCTGGTGGCCCCGGGCCCCTTCTTGGGGCAGCACGCAGATGCTGTTCCTCCCACAGCCGCGTGCTGCCTTGGACTCAGTCTCTGTCCTTATCCACCATCTGCTATTCCCAGCAGGGGCCCTTGCTGCACTATCCCGTCATCTCCACCAAGGCTCAGCCTCAGGGGCATCAGCCCCTCCTGCCGTGCTGTCCTCTCTAGGCCCAGATGCCCACGTTCCTTGACCCCATCCCCTTGTCCCTCCCTGCCCTCCCTTTTCTATTCTCTGGGTGTGGGTTCCATGGTTCTTTGGGATCATCCCTTACCTTGACTCCCTGGTCCCCCTGAACTTACCTGGGGAGCCTGCAGAGGCTCCCGGGTTCAGCCCAGCTCTCCAGCTGCTGTGATTCTGTTCCCAAGGCACCAGCCTAGCTGGAAAAAAAGCATTCAACAGCTGGCTCGTCTCCCCTCCCCACGAGTGAGCGCTGACCGCAGTGGGCCAGGCACCATGTTTCCATGCCCCTGAATGCCACATCACACCCCTCTCCCGCTGCCAGCACCTCCTCTCCAGCCTGGCCCTCAGCAGGCCCGCTTTCTTCTGCTTCACCCAGAAAACAGGAGCTTTTGGAAGAGACCTTCCCTGTGCATCTGCCAGCCCACCCGAGGCTTCCTGTCTAATGGGGCAGTGGCTGTGCTTCAGGCTCCGGCCCCACCCACTTCCCGCCCTCCTGCTAGACATTCTTCCTGCACCCCAGCACAGTCTCTCCCAGATCATTCTCACCATCTTCCAGACGCAGTGGAATTGCTCCAGGCAATACGTTGTGTCTTTAAATCATTTCAAACACAGATCCCCTGCTGTGCACGGCATTCCTTCTGTACACTGCTGCAGGCTGCACCTTAGCCTGAAGGGAATGCAGCAGAGGTGTGTTGGACTCGGGGGTGGGGGGGGTGTCATAGTATCAGTTGCATCTTGAAACAGAAACCTGGTTAACCTAGAAACTGACCCACCTCCACCAGGCCCTTCCTGAAGCCAGTGACACCTGTCTGCTGCCACGTCACTACCCACATGTAAAAGCGGCCAGAGACTGAAAATATGATTCGACAATAGGCTGGGCACAGTGGCTCACACCTGTAATCCCAGCACTTTGGGAAGCCAAGGCGGGTGGATCGCTTGAGCCAGGAGTTTAAGACCAGCCTGGGCAATGTGGTGAAACCCTGTCTCTACAAAAAAAATTTTAAAAAAATTAGCATGCACCTGTAGTCCCAGCTACTCAGGAGGCTGAGGTGGGGGGATCACCGGAGCAGGGGGAGGTTGAAGCTGCAGTGAGCTGTGATCATGCTACTGCATGCCAGCCTGGGCAACAGCAAGACCCCGTCTCAAAAAAATGTTGACAATGAAGTCCACGTCTCCTTGCCAATCTTACCCAATCCTTCCTTACGTTTTAGACATATCAGCATGCCCTGCCGTGCACTGAAGTACTTCTCTTTCCCCAGGACATGGGCAAGTTTTGCCTCACATACGAGGCCTCCATGACCCGGCTCTTCCGAGAGGGGAGGACGGAGACCGTGCGCTCCTGCACCACTGAGTCATGCGACTTCGTGCGGGCCATGGTGGACCCGGCCCAGACGGTAATGTGCCATCAGGCTGAGGACACAACGTGCTTGTCACACTTCCCTAAAAGGCTTCTGGAGGCCATCACTCCAGCTTCTCTGATCTCATCATTCCTGTACCTTCTTCTTTAGGGGTGCTCAATTCAGCTTCTTTCCTCTGCCCCTTTCAAGGGTACAGAAGGTATTAAAATATTAAAAGGTAAAGGTAGGGACAAGGACAGAGACGCATGTTACAAATGATACTTCTCCAAATCATATTCTACTTCCTGAGAGTCTTTAAATTAGGCCAGGACACACAATGAGGAAAGGCATAGCAGGTGGCTGCTTTGGAACTGAACAGGTGGTTGGTGTCAGGGTAGGTGAGCTGTGACTGTCGCACGGGACCTTCCATTGGTTATTAGAGCCATTGCCACGCTGGGCCCCAAGTGCCAGGCTGGGGCCTGGGGGTTTTCTGTACATTGTCCTTTAAATTTTCTTAGCAGTGGTCCTGAGAAGTGTCATCAGTTCATTTCCATAGATAAAGAAACAGAGGCCTAGATGAATTCAGCAGCTGCTGGGCCATTCTGCTCACTAATGGCCGAGGTCAGACCCAGGCCACTGGGTCCGCCTGACTCCAGCGTGCAGGTGCTTTCTGCTGATCCCCAGAGCGTGCAGGTGCTTTCCGCTGATCCCCAGAGGAGACACTGGCCAGGGCTCTTTTTTCCGAGACAAACTTCATTCTGGAAAGGCTGTCAGACCGGGCGCGGTGACTCACGCCTGTAATCCCAGTACTTTGGGAGGATGAGGTGGGCGGATTGCCTGAGCTCAGGAGTTCGAAACCACCCTGGGCAACATGTTGAAACCCCGTCTCTACTAAAAATAACAAAAAATATTAGCCGGGTGCGGTGGCTAACTTAGATCCGTAACTGCTCAACTTGAGACATGCAACATATGTCCTTCCCACCTTTTGTCACTCAGGTGGAACAGAGGCTGAAGTTGTTCAAGTTGGCGTCTGAGAAGCATCAGCATATGTATCGCCTCGCCATGACCGGCTCTGGGATCGATCGTCACCTCTTCTGCCTTTACGTGGTGTCTAAATATCTCGCTGTGGAGTCCCCTTTCCTTAAGGAAGTAAGTCTCTTCCACTTCTTCCGTCAGTTGTATTGGCTAGACCAAAACTTAGTAAATTACTACAGCCTTGCATGAACATATTTTAATGTCAGAATGGGCATTTGAAAAAAACGGGTCTGTGGGTGTAGCTGTCATAAAATGGAAAATGTGAGCAGCGCGTTTAGTACTGCATTTCTTCAAAAACTTCGCTGTCACATGTAGCCCCTGACTTAATAGACCCGAAGACCTCGAGAGCTTACGTCACAGTAAGACGCACGGAAGTAACTAGGGAGTGATGAGCTGTGAGCGCGTACCACCTTTGTTTTAAAAATCCTTTATTTTATTGTAAGTTTATGAAATATATTATTATTGTTTTTTGAGACAGGGTCTTACAGTGTTGCCCAGGCTGGGCTCAAACTCCTAGACACAAGCAATTCTTCGTCCTTAGCCTGCTGAGTAGCTGATGTGCACCACTGTGCCCAGCTCAAATTTAATTTAAGTTTTATTTATTTATTTATTTATTTTTTATTTTTTGGAGATGGAGTCTCGCTCTGTCACCCAGGCTGGAGTGCAGTGGCGCCATCTTGGCTCACTGAAACCTCCGCCTCCCGGGTTCAAGCTATTCTCCTGCCTCAGCCTCCCAAGTAGCTGGGATTACAGGCACACGCTGCCATGCCTGGCTAATTTTTTTTGTTGTTGTATTTTAGTAGAGACGGGGTTTCACCGTGTTGCCCAGGCTGGTCTCGAACTCCTGAGCTCAGGCAATCCACCCGCGTCGGGTTCCCAAAGTGCTGAGATTACAGACATGAACCATTGCGCCTGGCAAATTTAATTTTTAATAGTGGCTGTATTTAATAGCCAGCTTGAAAATTCTCTGAAAATATGGCAGCTGGCTCGTGGGAGTTGGTACAAGTCTGACACCTCTGTCCCCGTTCCGAATCTTACTCCATATATCTGTTACCTTCACTGTCTGAGATGCTATTTGCTGGTATGCCCCCACCCCCACCCTGCACTCCCTGCCCCAGTCTGGGGGCCCCACCCACCCCGCATGCTCTCTGCAGATACGCTGCCCAAGCCAGTGAGGCCTTTGGAGACATAGACTTGTGGTGTGTGGAACAATCAAAAGACCAAGCCAGGCTTTTCTCGTCTTCCCAAAGCGACTCCTGAGGGACGGTAGAGGAGGGGATTAGGAAACATTTCCCTGTTTCACTCAATAGGTTTTATCTGAGCCTTGGAGATTATCAACAAGCCAGACCCCTCAGCAGCAAGTGGAGCTGTTTGACTTGGAGAATAACCCAGAGTACGTGTCCAGCGGAGGGGGCTTTGGACCGGTGAGTGCGGCGGGGCTGGGCGAGGCGCAGTGGGGCGTGGTGATGGGATGGGTAATGGGGTGTGATGGGCCCATCTCCGTGCTGGGTGCCCCCGTTACCTTGCGGTTCTACCGCCGTAAAGGAATTACTGCTGATCATTGCTATGGATGTCCTTGGCAGTCTTGCACTTATTTTTTATTTTTTTGAGACAAGGTCTCGCTCTGTCACCCAGGCTGGAGTGCAGTAAGCATGATCATGGCTCATGGCAGCCTGAATCTCCCCCATCTCAGGTGATCCTCCCACCTCCACCTCCTGAGTAGCTGGGACTACAGATGCATGCCACCATGCCCAGCTAATTTGTGTGTGTGTGTGTATTTTTTTGTAGAGACAGGGTTTCACCATGTTGTCCGGGCTGGTCTCGAACCCCTGGGCTCAAGTGACCCGCCTGCCTCAGCCTCCCAAAATGCTGGGATTACAAGGAGAAGCCACCGAGCCCCGCCAGTGTTGCATTTAGAACATTAGAAAGTCCCTTTTTCACGTTGTCTCATTTCCCAGCAACAAATTCAAATTCCCTTGTCCTCCAGGTTGCTGATGACGGCTATGGTGTGTCGTACATCCTTGTGGGAGAGAACCTCATCAATTTCCACATTTCTTCCAAGTTCTCTTGCCCTGAGACGGTATGTATGAAAAGAAGTTCCTTTTTCTGAAGATGGGGTATTTTTGCTTTATTCTTTTTAAGGAAACACATCTTTAATTTGACAGAAAAAGTCAATTCAACTGCCTGCTTTTACTTGATTTCGGGAATTTTCACATAAATGGACTGCTTTTAAAAAAAAATTTTTTTTTTTTTGGAGACACAGTCTCACTCTGTCGCCCAGGCTGGAGTGCAGGGGCGAGATCTTGGCTCACTGTAACCTCTGCCTCCCGGGCTCAAGTGATTCTCCTGCCTCAGCCTCCCAAGTAGCTGGGACTACAGGCACCCGCCACTACCCCGGCTAATTTTTTTGTATTTTTAGTAGAGACAGGGTTTCACCATGTTGGGCAGGCTGGTCTCAAACTCCTGACCTCAGATGATCCACCTGCCTCGACCTCCCAAAGTGCTGAGATTACAGGCATGAGCCACCGCGCCTGGCCTAAATTTTTTTAATTAAAAAATTGTTTGTACAGACAGGGTCTCCCCACATTTCCCAGGCAAGTCTTGAACTCCTGGGCTCACGCGATCCTCTTACCTCAGCCTCCCAGTGTTGGGATTACAGGCTTCAGCCACTGTGCCCAGCCATAAGTGAATTTCAAAATTCTCTTTACCTAGTTTTAAACAAATGTATCTCAGCCAGGCACGGTGGCTCACACCTATAATCTCAGCACTTTGGGAGGCTGAGGCTGGCCAATCACTTGAGGTGAGGAGTTTGAAACCATCCTGGCCAACATGGTGAAACCCCGCCTCTACTAAAAATACAAAACTTAGCTGGTGTGGTGGCACACGCCTGTAATCCCAGCTACTCAGGAGGCTGAGGTAGGAGAATCGCTTGAACCCGGGAGGTGGAGGTTGTAGTGAGCCAGGATCATGCCACTGCACTCCAGCCTGGGTGATGGAGTGAGACTCCGTCTCAGAAAAAAAAAAAAAAAAAAGGAAATGTATCTAATTTGGTTTAACATGTTTACCTCTGTTGGCAGCAATGGTTTTGAAGCTTAACGTTGGAGTGCTGCTGTAACTTTCAGACTCTTTAGCACTTGGAAGATGAACTAAAAATAATGGGTACACACTAAGAAATCTGCATACAGAGCAGGGGACCCCCGGCTTCCTCTGTGGATGGAACAAGGGACCTCCTCCCTAGCATGGCACATTGCCCTTATTTATATTCTGCTTTCCTTGTCGTACATAGCCTGGCAACCCATGCCACTGTCGCTGTTAACAGAGGAAGTTGGGGTTTATTTGTTCACTGCGGTTTTCTTTTGTTGTTTGTTTGTTTGTTTGTTTTAGACAGGGTCTCACTCTGCCACCCAGGCTAGAGTGCAGTGGTGTGATCTCGGCTCACTGCAGCTTCAGCCTCCTGGGCTCAGGGGATCCTCCTACTTCAGCCTCCTGAGTAGCTGGGACTATAGGGGAGTGCCACCACACCTGGCTGATTTTTGTATTTTTTGTAGAAATGTGGTTTCACCATGTTTCCCAGGCTGGTCTTGAACTCCTGGGCTCAAGCGATTCCAAAGTGCTGGGATTACAGGCATGAGCCACCATGCTCAGGATGGTCATTGTGTTTTCCGTGGGATAAACGCATTGGCATTAGGGGAAGGCTTAGATCGACAACACACCCGCACAAACACATCAGCTGTCATCTCTTTACCCTCAGCATTTCTCTGGAATGTCTAAGTTAAGCTTTAAGACGTTGGTCAGATCTTAGAGAACTGGCAGAAAGGAATTTCAATGAAACATTGGGTCAGATTGCAAATGAAAAAGCTTGAAATGTGGGGATGGCCACGTTTTAATAGGTTTTTGGTTTTTGTTTTTACATGAAAGGATTCTCATCGCTTTGGAAGGCACCTGAAAGAAGCAATGACTGACATCATCACTTTGTTTGGTCTCAGTTCTAATTCCAAAAAGTAATTCCACTGGAGCTGCTGGGAAGGAAAACGAGCTCTTCTGATGCAAACCAAATGAAAAATAGGCATTAATCCTGACCTTAGCTCGGGATGAAACACTGCTCTTAAAAAAACTCAGTTTTCCTTCCAGAAAATGTGGGTGTTTTTTTTTCCTAGAACAGTATCTCTCCCCTGTGAAGCATAACCCCACTACTTCCAGACTTGCCCTCCCTTGGGGGACATCTGATAAAGTCTCCCCTGATGTCTCCGCATCGGCTTGGATTTATTAAGGGATGCAAATCTTGTTGAGTTAATGAAGGAATTAGTAGGGTTGTGGCTTCACACACAGTGGAATGGAAATGGTGTGCTTTCTCAGTGGCAACCGAAGGCCTAGTGCTTAAGGGCATTTAGCATCATCCAAGCAGGGTAAACTTTTGTTTTGTTAAAAGAAAAATGTGTTATTCAAGTTGGTGTCCCCAGTTGTAGCTAACACATCTGGAATGCACTAACCAAAATGCTGTGCTTTGGAGACCTGCTTTTGTCACCGTGGGTAACCGTTCCCGTCTGGTCCAGTAGCCTGTGTTTGCCTCTCCACATTTGAAGCAAGCAGGATGCAAGGTCTTCAGTTTTACTGACCTTGTATGTCTTCAAGTCTTCACAACCCAGTGCCTTAAAAATGAAAGGCCCTAAATGTAAGGGAGATGGAGAGAAAGATTTATTTTGTAGAGTCTTTGGGTGGAATTGTGGGTATACTGTTCCCTTCACAATTGACTGAGTATGGATAACCGTACATAAGCATTTGCTACACCCCACCAGCCCCCTCCCCCTCAGAAACACCAGTTCCTTCCCAAGGGCAGCTGTGCCAGACTCCCCTCCCGGGACTGCCTTCTTGTCATCATAAGCAACAAAAGAAATAACAGGCACATGTCATAAAAGGGGAGCAAGGGCCGTGATGGTCAGATAATTCACTCAAGAATAAAACATGACACGTGCCTCAGGAGGATCTCTTTCCCAAAGTGACAGCAAGGAGGGCAGGGCATCGGCCACCAAGCGGGGACTAGCAAGTGAGGAAGGGGAGGGCAGCCCACCGTGGTGAGGAGAGAGTGGCTCCACGACCCCAAGGGATGGCCTTCTCCTCCCACCCGGTGAGGGGAAAGACTCACCAGAGGGTGATGGAGACAGTATGCCGGCTCACCTTGGTGACCAGCCAAGATGTCTCAAGTGACAGTGCTAGGTGTTCACCCAGCCTGTCCTTCAGATAGGAGTGCCTTCACGAAAGCGTCTCATGGACCACAAAGCAATTATGCACTGAGTCATCTTCAGTATTTAATGCAAAAATGAAGCATCATGGAATGAAATTCCCACTGTCTGTCATGACAAGCTTAGCTGTCCATTGTTTTAAATTGTGTATTTATTTTTTTGACCACTTGGTTCTAGTTGGGCCTGACTCCTTCAGAGTGCTGCACCCCGATAGTACAACAGCGATGGCTGAACTGTTGGAGTCGATGGAAGGTGCTTGCCGGAGAACACGTGCCTTTTTTTTTTTTTTTTTTTTTGAGATGGAGTTTCACTCTTGTTGCCCAGGCTGGAGTGCAGTGGTGCAATCTCGGCTCACTGCAGCATCTGCCTTGCAGGTTCAAGCGATTCTCCTGTCTCAGCCTCCCAAGTAGCTGGGATTACACGCCCAACACCATGCCCTGCTAATTTTTGTATTTTTAGTAGAGACGGGGTTTCATCATATTGGTCAGGCTGGTCTCGAACTCCTGACCTCAGGTGATCCACCTGCCTCAGCCTCCCAAAGTGCTGGGATTACAGGCATGAGCCACCATGCGCGGCCCACATGCATGTTTTATGTATGTATACTTCATGATGTAAAAATCCCACCTTTATGGGCCAAAGATTTTTTTTCTCCTGAAAGCAAGAAAAAATGAAAACAAAAGACAAAAAAAAAAAAAAAAGCGTCCAGGCGCGGTGGCTCATGCGTGTAATCCCAGCACTTTGGGAGGCCAAGGCGGGCGGATCACGAGGTCAGGAGATGGAGACCATCCTGGCTAACACGGTGAAACCCCGTCTCTACTAAAAATTCAAAAAATGAGCCGGGCGTGGTGGCGGGCGCCTGTAGTCCCAGCTACTCAGGAGGCTGAGGCAGGAGAATGGCGTGAACCCGGGAGGCGGAGCTTGCAGTGAGCCGAGATCGCTCCACTGCACTCCAGCCTGGGCGACAGAGCGAGACTCCGTCTAAAAAAAAAAGCAAAAACAAACCAACAACAAAAGCCCCTGACTGTCCGTCAAGCAGGCAGCGGGGATGTAGCTCTCTCTGCCCTGGGCAAGAATAGCACTTCCCGTTAAAAGCCAGCAGCCGGCGTCAGTCCCTATCAGAGCCAGCTAGATCATGCACTGTTGACCACTGAGCAATCTGTGTTACACTAGAGTTCACAGGGCATTTTGAGTGTAGACGTGAGTGCTTAAACATATTTGGGTTTCTCTCTCAGGTTTTAAATGTTTCAAATGTAATTGTTGCTCATCAGTGCAGTTATCAATGCAATTTTATATTCCTTGAGGGGAGAAAGAGGGGTCTTATTGTACATGTCCAAGGGGGGTGATAAGAGTATTATCTGTTTAATTTAATTGGAACAAACCATTGTCTTAACGCAGCCATGGTTTGAATTTGTTATCTTGGGCTGACCGGTGCATGTAAATACAGTATGCTCTTTGGATGTAAATCTTAGAAATGCAGTGTGAATGTAGGTTATCATTAATAAAACATTAACCCCAGTCTACTACAAGATTTGTTTCTGTCTCTTTTGTTATATTAAGGGGATTATAAGTCAAGGACCAAGTTCAGATACTTGAGACAAAGTGGAAAGTCTCAGCATATGGAAACAAGGCCTTGGAGGAGACCATGGACATCACCAAGTTCATGTGCTGGGCTGGAAAGAAAAGCCTGTTGATTTTCACTTGCTGTGCATTTATTCATCCATTCCATTGCCTCAATGCTGAGAACAGTGCCTGACACATAAAAGATGCTCAATAAATATGTTAAAAGTAATGCATGAATTCCATTTTTCTGTTTTTCTTGAGCACCTGTATTAGGCCATTCTCACATTGCTGTAAAGAAATAGCTGAGACTGGGTAATTTATAAGAGGTTTAATTGGCTCTCAGTTCTGCAGGCTATACAGGAAGCATGGAGGCATCTGCTTCTGGGGAGGCCTCAAACAGCTTTTTACTCATGGTGGAAGGCAAAGGGGGAGCAGGCATTCTACATGGTGAAAGGAGACAGAGAGAGAAAGAGAGGAGGTGCTCTCTTACACATTTGCAAACAACCAGATCTGAGAGAGAGAGAGGAGGTGCTCTCTTACACACTTGCGAACAACCAGATCTCACAGGAACTCACGCACTCTATGGTGAGGACAGTAGCAAGAGGGATGGTGCTGTTCATGAGAAATGCACGCCCATGATCCAGTCACTTCCCATCAGGCCCCACCTCCAACATTAGGGATTACCACTGAACCTGAGATTTGGGTGGGGACACACATCCAAACCATATCAGCGCCTGTTCTAGGCACTGGGGAGACAGCAGTGACCCCACCAGGTTCTGGCTGTCTCATTAGTCCATTTTTACATTGCTGTAAAGAACTTCTTGAGACTGGGTAAGTATAAAGGAAAGACAGTCAATTGACTCACAGTTCAGCATGGCTGGGGAGGCCTCAGGAAACTTATAATCATGGCAGAAGGTGAAGGGGAAGCAAGAAACCTGTTACATGGCAGCAGAGGAGAGAGAGTGAGGGGGAATTGCCGAACACTTTTAAGCCATCAGATCTTGTGAGAACTCACTTCTTATTGCAAGAACAGCGTAGGGGAACCGCCTCCTTGATCCAATCACCTCCCACCAGGCCCCTCCCTTGACACAGAGGGATTACAATTCAAGATGAGATTTGGGTGGGGACACAGAGCCAAACCATATCACAGAGGAAAAAGAGAACAAGCCAACCAGTTGAAGGATTTTAAGTGTTCTGAGGCAACTAAGAGGATCATTGGGAGGGGGTGGTAGCTGGCAGGGAGGTTGACCCACTTAGAGTGGGTTGAGCTGAGACCTGAGAGACTCGACGGAGCCAGCCCGGCCAGTGCAGCAGGGCAGCAAGCATCTAGGAGCAGCAGGTGCAGAGCCTCCAGGCTTGATTGCAACCCGTGGGTGACCCCCACAGGTGGCTGTGTATGCCTGGCATGATGCTACTCAGTAGACGTCTGATTCTGATTAGTAAACGAATGAACGGTGCAACCTTGTGGGTTACTCTCTCGCTTGGGCCACTCAAGCTATGCATAATTCTTGGGCTCTTCGATTTATTATTTTTATTATTTTTTCTGCTTCTGTGAGTGTTTTTTGTTGTTGTTGTTTTTGTTTGTTTGATTTTTGAGATGGAGTTTCAATCTTTTTGCCCAGGCTAAAGTACAATGGTGCAATCTCAGCTCACTGCAACCTCCGCCTCCCAGGTTCAAGCAATTCTCCTGCCTCAGCCTCACAAATAGCTGGGATTGCAGGTGTGCACCACCATGCCTAGCTAATTTTGTATTTTTAGTAGAGACAGGGTTTCACCATGTTAGTCAGGCTGGTCTTGAACTCCTGACTTTAAGTGATCTGACCACCTTGGCCTCCCAGAGTGCTGGGATTACAGGCATGAGCCACCACGCCCAGCCCCAGGCAAAATTTTCTTGATTTTTGAATGTTAAATGTACAACTAAATAGTACACGGTGTTGCTGTGCCTTGGGTACTACCCTTTAAAAATTTAGAAAAGTATTTAATTTTTAAAAGTGAGATTAGAAAGCTGATGTTTTACATTCTTTATTTTTACCAAAACAGTACCTGAGTAGACAGTACCTGAGGCTGTCTCCCCAGCACCCACTCCCACCAGTCCCTCTACACCCTTTGCAGTTTTCGCCATCACTTGAATTAAACTTTCACCTCCTCTTGATTAAACAGTGATATCTATTGACTCCTTAAAGATGAAATAGCTCATTCCCCACCCAAAATTTGAGACTTTCATTGTATTTGTGAGTTTTTTTTTTTTTTTCTGAGAGGGAGCCTTTCTCTGTTGGTCAGGCTGGAGTACAGTGACACAATCTCAGCTCACTGCAACCCCCATCTCCCAGGTTCAAGCCTCAGCCTTCTATGTAGCTGGGACTACAGGCGTGCGCCACTACGCCCAGCTAGTTTTTGTATTTTTTAGTAGAGACGGAGTTTCACTATATGTTGGCCAGGCTGGTCTCGAACTCCTGACCTCAGGTGATCCACCCGCCTCGGCCTCCCAAAGTGCTGGGATTACAGACGTGAGCCACCACGCCCAGCCGTATTTGTTACTTCTATTTCGGGACCAACTCCATCAGTTGCACCTGTAAGCTGCGTCACCAAGGACCGGGAGTGGGTGCAAGGCTGGGAACGTGCGGTGCAAGCCCCTGCCCTCTGTCCACCCGCAGCGTCCCAGGCCGGGATCTGTCTTGAGAGCTCGAGTGTAGAAAAATGTTTTATTTTATTTTATTTATTTTTTTGAGACGGAGTCTAGCTCTGTGGCACAGGCTGGAGTGCAGTGGCGGGATCTCGGCTCACTGCAACCTCCACCTCCCGGGCTCAAGCGATTCTCCTGCCTCAGCCTTCCAAGTAGCTGGGATTACAGGCGCGTGCCACCACGGCCAGCTAATTTTTGTATTTTTAGTAGAGACGGGGTTTCACCATGTTGCCCAGGCTGGTTTTGAACTCCTGACCTCAAGTAATCCGCCTGCCTCGGCCTCCCAAAGTGCTGGGACTACAGGCGTGAGCAACCACGCCTGGCCAGAAAAATATAACTGAAGCCCAAGGTCAGAAGCCAAGCTAGGCAGTCCCACTTAGCGCTGCCCGAGTTGATGGGGACCTCAGTTTCCCCACCTGAGCCTGGATCGGCTGAACCTGGGAGTGCCTCCCCTGACCCGCTCTGGCAACAGCGGCAGTCCAGGCCCCGCCCCTCGCGACTCTGTCTCCTCCCGCCCCAGACCACGCCCACCACACCTCCCTGGCCCCGCCTTTACCTCCCCGCCCCGACCTCGACTCCGCCCCACGCCCAGGCCCCGCCCACTGCCCGGGCGCCTCTTCCCCTCCCCCCAGGTTCCTGTCCCTCACCCTTCCCCCTTCTCCAACCGCCAACGGCCGCCTGCGCCTGAGGCCCGGCCCACGCCCCATCCCGCTCGCTCCACGCTGCGGCAGCCCCGGCGGCCCCAGGTGCGTCCCTCCGAGGAGGAATGACGGGGCGGTCCCCGGGCTGGGCCTCGGCTCTGCAGGCGGGGATGGGGGCTGCCGGGCCGGGTCGGGCCCCTGCGGGTGGGCGGAGGGCGGCGGGCCGTGGGCGAGGCCGCCCCTCACCTGGTCGCACCTCACCTGGCCCCCCCTCCCCTGGCTGCTCCTCACCTGACCCCCTCCTCGGCCGCCCCTCACCTGGCCCCCTCCCCTGGGCGCCCCTCACCTGACCCCCACCCCGGCCGGCCCCTCTCCTGGCCGCCCCTTACCTGGTCGCCCCTCCCCTGACTCCCTCCCCTGGTCGCTCCTCACCTGGCCGCCCCTCACCTGGCCCCCTCCCCTGGCCGCCCCTCCCCTGGTCGCCCCTCCCGTGACCCCCTCCCCGGCCGCCCCTCCCCTGGTCGCCGCTCACCTGACCGCCTCCCCTGGTCGCTCCTCACCTGGCCGCCCCTCACCTGGCCGCCCCTCACCTAATCGCCCCTCATCTGGTCGCCCCTCCCCTGACCCCCTCACCTGGTCGCCCTTCCCCGGGCCCCTCACCTGGCCCTCCCTCACCAGGCCGCCCCCTCCCCTAGCCGCCCCTCACCTGGTCCCCTCCCCTGGCCGCCCCTCCCTTGGCTGCCCCTCCCTTGGCTGTCCCCTTTCCTGGCCGCCCCTCCCCTCGTCCTCTCCTCTGGCTGCCTCTCACCTGGCCGCGTGTTGCAGGTGCGCGGCCCCCGCCATCCCGCCCCGCCGCCCTGCGCCATGGAGGAGGGCCCTCTGCCGGGCGGGCTGCCCAGCCCCGAGGATGCGATGGTGACGGAGCTCTTAAGCCCCGAGGGTCCGTTCGCTTCGGAGAACATCGGCCTGAAGGCCCCCGTGAAGTACGAGGAGGACGAGTTCCACGTCTTCAAAGAAGCGTACCTGGGCCCGGCGGACCCCAAGGAACCCGTCCTGCACGCGTTCAACCCCGCGCTGGGCGCCGACTGCAAGGGCCAGGTCAAGGCGAAGCTCGCGGGGGGCGACAGCGACGGCGGGGAGCTCCTCGGGGAGTACCCCGGGATCCCAGAGCTCAGCGCGCTGGAGGACGTCGCGCTCCTGCAGGCCCCGCAGCCGCCCGCCTGCAACGTGCACTTCCTGTCCTCGCTGCTACCCGCGCACCGCAGCCCGGCGGTGTTGCCCCTGGGCGCCTGGGTCCTGGAAGGAGCCTCCCACCCGGGCGTCCGCATGATCCCAGTAAGAACCGCCTGGGGAATGGGCACAGCTCCCCCTCCATCCCTTCCCCAACCCATCTGAGGCTGCTAGTGTACCCCAGGATTTCCCTCTACAAGCATTTTCCCTGGTGACACCACACACAGCCCACCGGAGTCACTGATTCTCGGTAGAGCGTATACTCTTTGTCGTCTTCCTAATCCAACATGCATCGGCCCAGCCAAGCCCTTTCCCCTGGAGGGAATTCTGCCCTGCACCAGTCGTCCAAAGCTGACCTAACCATGCAGACGGCGGACAACAAAAAAAGGGGGAAAGCTAGGACGTAGGTTCCCTTGGGCCCTGTTGCTATCCTTGGCTTAAGGAGAGAGGCCCGCTGTCTGCTGGTAACTATTGTCTGTGAAAACAAACGCAATGTGGTGGAGGGTTGGCGTGTTTGCATCTTGCATTTTTTTTTTCCTTTAACTTTACCAGGCTTGGAATCCACAGCAAGGACTCAGAGTTAATACTTGGATTTTCCGGGCCTTGAAGTCAAGATGTGAGATCTTCCCTTTGCTAATGAGTAATAGCTCTTCAAGCATATGCAATGTAAATCAGAGCCTAAAGAAATGCTTGCCAGCTCTCAGCCGACTGCCCTCTCTAGCTGTAGATGACCGCTGATAATTTTCCGCTTTGTTCTTGCCAAAACTAATGAGTTTTCAAAGGAAACAAAGGGTCCCAGGAAAATGTGTTCTCGACCCCTCAAAAAGGACCCAGCTCAGAAAACGAGACCACTCATCCATGAGGTCATTTTAGTAAGTTGTAGATGAAGCGTTTGTGGGACACAATGCTTGAGTCAGTATTGAGATGGCTGGAGCCTGACCCTGTATCATAAGCCAGAGCAGCAGGAGCTTGGATTTCTGCTCTTCCGGTTTTCTGTTATGGTAATTGCCAGTCCTTAGTGTACAGGAAAAGGATGGGCAGAGGCTGGGGCCTCCACTGACCTCTGTTTGTCCTCAGAGGAGCCATAGAGCTCACCAGTTCCCCCAGCCGTTTCCCAGGACAGAGGTCTTTCTCACAGCCTTTCTCAGAGGGCTTGAAATGTTAAGAACTGCATTTTGCTGCCCAGCCGGATTGGTGTCCAGCGCCTCCTGCCCGTAGGTCCTAGCTCGGCTCATTTCCTCACAGAGTGGAGTCAGAAAGCATTAATCAGAACAGGGAAGATAATACAAAAATTAACCGGGTGTGGTGGCGCACACCTGTAATCCCAGCTACTCGGGAGGCTGAGGCAGGAGAATTGCTTGAACCTGGGAGGCGAAGGCTGCAGTGAGCCGAGATTGCACCACTGCACTCCAGCCTGAGCGACAGAGTGAGACCCTGTCTTAAAAAACAAACAAAACACACACAAGAGAATTCTCTGATGTTAAAGATAGTAAAATTCTCTTTAATCCAATTTTAAGAGATTGCTGGTCTGACAAACTAAAGGAGAGACTTTGCTTTTTAAATTTTTATTGACTGCTTTCTGATTCATTAATAAAATGGACCAGATACAGCACAGACATGTTTATCGTTTAAACAGAATGGAATTATTTTCAGTAAATATTCAGGATCAGTTGCTAATTTCCTTCTTCTAGAAATTCATTCCCACATGTTGACCTTTGTTTTGAAAGGTCAGAAATGGAATTTTAGTATAAGTAGTTCAGATATTAGTTGCATAGGTCTGAGGAAATGATATATTTATTATAGTAGTATTTGTTGATTACAGGGAGATAAGTTAAATCTAAACTGGGATGACGTGCATAGCACATCCCCCAAAGCAGCAAGTAGAAGAAAATTTTATGTGTATTTATATGAAATTTAAAATTTCTAAATAAAGCTACTTAAAATATAGCTAAACTTTATCTCTTTTAAGATTTATACCTAGATGCTAGTCTGCTGTGCTGAGTGATTTGCCCATACATGGGAAATATGATTTGTTTGGGCCTCTGATTTTATTGGGCTGGACAAGCTCCAATTTGAGTCACTATCTGCATTTTGAAAGATACCTGCTCTGTGATTTTTATTTGAGGTCTTCAGTATGTTACCTTAGAGCCACCATCTTTTTGGAAGGGCTCTGTGGCCTGCCTCCTGGCCTTTGGGGAGCCCCACTGTCCTCTGGTCCAGGCAGCTCGGGCAAGTGTAGGTGGAGGAGGAGGGGAGGGGAGGATGCAAAGCGTGGGTTTCCCAGTCCTCCTCACATTCCTACAGATTGTAAAAAGCAGCATCCCAATGTTGAAACAATCCTGATTGTAATTTTTTTTTAACCACGAGGATTCTTACTTTTAAAAATTCTATTGATTTTCAGTATTATCCCTGTATTTCTCCATATCTTTGGTAATTTTGTCATCGGGTTGACAGTTGTTACAGAAGACAGCTTGAACACAAAGCTGGCAGCCACTCCCTACTCTCCACCATTTCATGTTTGTTGTCCTACTATTAAGGCAGGAAAGGGCTACTACCTAATTACAAATCTTCCTATAAACACATCATAAATAATATTAAAACGTTACCAAGGATTTGGGGCTTTTTGAGGAAAAAACAATTGACTAGAACATCTAATTCAAACTACTGAGCATGCTGGAAGAATGTGTGATGGGGCTGGGCTGGAATGCAATGGCACTGTCTCAGCTCACAGCAACCTCCGCCTCCCAGGTTCAAGCAGTTCTCCTGCCTCAACCTCTCCGGTAGCTGGGAGTGTGCCACCATGCCTAGTAGAGACAGGGTTTCACCATAACTTCTACTTATCACTGAGATTTCAATTTTCTAAATTATGCAACTGCAAGAGCCAGTGTCCACCATGTGTTCTCTAAAATAATTATTGCTTTTTTCTAGGTTGAAATCAAGGAAGCAGGTGGTACTACTACAAGTAATAATCCGGAAGAAGCAACTTTGCAGAATCTTCTTGCTCAGGAATCCTGTTGCAAGTTCCCATCGTCCCAGGAACTAGAGGATGCCTCCTGCTGTTCTCTTAAGAAAGATTCCAACCCAATGGTAATTATGCTAAAGAAGATGTGTAGGACTAACATTATACTAAATGCTGGACCCCATCATTACTAAGTCGACTGATCATTTCACTCGTTTTTCATTTCACGTATGTATTGTATCAGGATTTTTGGTTGTCTCATTAGCAAAACAGGGACATGAGCCTTTCACATCTCACCTCTAAGATTCTCATTTCTACTCCATCTTAGCAAATTGAACAAAGATGAGGACATTGCTGTATTCATTAAGGAGAGCAAGCACAAATCACATCAGTTAGTGCAGTGCTGGGGTCAGGGACTGCAGCTGAGCCTCATGGTTTGGCATATTGGTGTGGGGCACGGTCCTGTGGCTTCAGGGCAGAGCCTGCTTCCTTCGTGTCCCAATCTCTCATGATAACAGGTAACGCTTGTATAGGGTACGTAATCAGTCACAGCTGTGGTTTATGTCATATTTTTGCACCTTTATTTAATCCTCCTAACAACTCTGTAGGATAGGCATTCTTTTTATCCCCACTTTATGGGTAAGAAACAGAGATGTTACATCATCTACATTGGTCTTCATAATTAAGTGGTGCATCTGGGACTCCAGATCTCACGTGGCAAGGACTAGGAATGGGGAGAGTGTCGCCCACAGCATTCCCTTAGCAAAGCACCCAGAGTCCAAGAACCGATCATTGCCTTTCCCCCAGCAATTCTTTATTCCTAGAAATGAGGCCCTTGCTGTAAGGCATAGACGTTAACAAGCAAATACTTGAAAATGAGCCTGTCATGAGTTTGGTTTAGCTGTGGTGTACACTAACATTAGCCTCTCCATCGGTGGTTCTATTTGGGGCTGTGGGTTCTGATAGCAGTTTTTCTAGGACCCTAAAAGCAGGTCAGCAGGATGAGAACTCTCCGACTCCCCAAGACTGCAGAGTGATGTTAGCACATTTCCCCAGAGGGCAGAGCCAAGGCTCCCATGTGGATAGGGCCCAGGAGTGTGCAGTAGAGGCAGGTCTGCAGAGTTCACTCTGAGCCTTTCCTGTGTGTGTGTGTGTGTGTGTGTGTAGCTATAACTTTATCCTCCAAATACAAATACAACTCCAATTGAACATGAATGCTGGCCTCTCATCAGATGTCAGGATGATGTGGAATATTGATCCAATGACCATAGTAGGTCCAATGTGTATTACTTTGATAACATTGGTCCTTTATGGTTCTTTGGGTTCTCTTATCTAGATTATAAGCAACTTAAGTGTATAAAGCACAGCTGCTCTGTGTAGTTGTGGTTCTGCCAGCAGAATTGGAAGCTGTGTCCAGGCAGAAGCCACAGCATCTCTCGCCTTTCTATCCCCACATGCCACAGCCTGAAGCAGGGCTGGGCACACAGTTCCCTCAGTGCTTTTGCTTGACTGATGGGATGGACTGGCAGACCCACCCGGCTTGCGACCATTTATTTATGGTCAGTATCCAAGGGGGGTCTGACAGTGCTGCTCAGGCCCAAGCAGATCAGTGTGGCTTCTTAGAACTTTATAGTTCTTGGACTAACCTTTCTAAGCTGTACTTGTAGGAAATAAAATAGATGTGTTTTTAAAACCCCATGTGTTAAATAATGACATGTGTGTGGCAGGAAAGGACAGTTGGAGTAAAATTAGAGAGGATTTTAAGTGCGTGCCCAGGGACTCAGGGACATGCCGCCAGGGCCTCAGTGCCCACTGGGGCTGAATGGGCTGGGGCTTAGCGGAGCAGCACCCTCTTCTGCTCATGTCAATGGTGGAGTGAGGACAGGACAAAGGAAGCTCTGGGGCATGGCTACCTGATCCCCAACTAAATCAGACACCTGTGGAGAAAGCCAGGCACAGGAACTTTTTTCTGTTCACACACTGGACGCATCTCAGGAAACATTTCTGGGTTTTTCTTTTTTTTTTTTTTTTTTTTGCCCTTTGGTGTCTCCAAAGAGCATGTTAGTGTAGAGTAAGAAATCGAAAACAGATCTATAGTTTTCTATCTTCCATTAAAATGTAACTTCTGGATTAAAGCTATTTTCTCAGATTTAAGTTTATTTAGGTTCATTATTACTGGAATTATGTTTCAAAAATGAAACCTGATTGTTCTTTTTCATTTTAGGTGATATGCCAATTGAAAGGGGGCACACAAATGCTATGTATAGACAATTCTAGAACAAGAGAACTAAAAGCACTCCATTTGGTTCCTCAGTATCAAGATCAAAATAATTATCTACAGTCAGGTACAAAGTTAATTAATAAAAAAAACTATGTCATATATGTAAGTTGGTAAATGAATATGTTTGGCTTTGTATATAAAGTGAAATGGCAACCAGGATATTAAATAGGAAATTTGGCAAACCTCGTAGTCCATATTAGTAAGCTAAGAATATAAAAATGTATATCTATAGACTAATTTTTGTACCCTGTACTGACTGTCTCAAATTCTTGGATAGCTGTCCCTCATGTCACCTAGCTGCTGAGAGCTTTGTGATCCTAACAGGTGATGACTCAGACCGACACTGCATTGGTAGGAATTCCACAAATAGGTGCCTCGATGTGCCTAGATTGAAATATCAGCCTTTCCCAGACTGACCTGATGGGTTGACTTCAGGTGTGGTGTAAACACCTACATTTTAATGTAAACATTTCAGTGTAATCAATGAGAACTATCATTCTGCTTTAATCACCATGAGTTCTGAAATAACAAAGGATTTGTCTGACATTCATTCTAAGAAATTCATTCTTACCTGACTAAGAAACTTTTTTAACCTGGCACAATAATAAGAAATGACCTGTAAGTACTTGATTGTTCTGAAATTCCTTATGCATGATTAGAGAAAGAGTAAATGACGTATTTTAGGATTGTGTTTAACAAAAGTGAGATGCTAATTCTTGAAAATTAGGCCTCTCTATGGGGACTGCACGTAATCACATTACCCTAGATCTTGAGTTAACGAGAGAATATTCACTGTCAGGTGATTCACTGACCTTGCCTATAACTTGAAACTAATAGCAAATCCAGATGTAGTTTCACTGGCCTTTGAAGTCCAGGGCAAAAAGACAAAGCGTGACTCCCTGTCTCCCCATTGCATCCTGATTGTCTCCCTGTCCAGGGACAGAATAAATATCCTCAAGACATTGACTCTTTTCACAGTGAAGAAGCTGAGGTTGGAGCTTTGGCCTCATCTCCTATAGGTTCATGCTGCATCTCTGATCTCTACAGGCAGGGAGAAGGTCTTTCCTGCTCCCCTTCCTCCTGGCACATGACAAAATCCTAGTGCCTTAAGGTCTGCAGGAGGAGAGAGTTTATATAGTGTTTTCCAGTTCAAGTTCCTTATCATATAATCATACTCCCCCCACCTGCATCTCCTTTGTTACACTGTGCACATATTAAACATCACAATAAAGTACGTGCATCCTGCTGCCTGCGTCTGAGATTCCTCACTCAAAGGATGCCTAGGCCTGGAGGAGAAAAAGTGTTCAGGTGCTTCTACTTGAACTCATGAGCACAGAGGCTTACACACCCTTAGTGTCTCAAGAATGTTTTTCATGGCACTTGTAGACCAAATAAGTACCTATCAGTTCCAGTACTAAGTAGTTTAGTCTAAATAGCTTAGTAAGTATTTATATCCAAACAACTTAGTAACCACTTGAAAAAAAAATACACATAAATCGAAAGTAGTGCTGGCTGCCGTGGCTCACGCCTATAATCCTAGCACTTTGGGAGGCTGAGGCAGGTGAATCACTTGAGCTCAGGAGTTCAAGACCAGCCTGGGTACCATGGCGAAACCCTGTCTCTACAAGAAATACAAAAAAAAATGAGCTGGGCTTGGTGGTGTGCACCTGTTGTCCCAGTTGACTGGGGGGCTGAGGTGAGAGAATTGCTTGAGGCCAGAAGGTTGAGGCTGAGGCTGCAGTGAGCCAACATCGCACTACTGCACTCTAGCCTGGGTGACAAAGTGAGACCCTGTCTCAAAAAAAAAAAAAAAAAAAAAAGTAGTTCCTGTGGTATCCAATAGATGTCCCTGGGCTTTCTTTAAAATCATAAAATACCAGCCTGGAGTGCTGGCTCACGCCTGTAATCTCAGCACTTTGTGAGGCCAGGCCGGAGGATTGCTCGAGCCCAGTAGTTGAAGACCAGTCTGGTCAATGTGGCAAGATCCTGTCTCTACAAAAAATGAAAACATTAGCCAGGCATGGTGGCACAGGCCTGTAGTCTCAGCTACGTGGGAGGGTGAGGCAGGAGGATCACTTGAGCCTAGGGGGGTCAAGGCTGCAGTGAACCGTGGTAGTGCCACTGCACTCCAGCCTGGGCAACAGAGCAAGATCCTATCTCAAAAAAGCAAAAAGAAAAAAAAAAAAGAAAACATAAAATATCCAGCGAAGCTGGGTATGCCTATAGGCTCAGCTACTTAGGAGGCTGAGGCAGGAGGATTGCTTGAGCCCGGGAGTTTGAAGCCAGCCTCGCAACATAGCGAGACCCTATCTCAAACATTTTTTTTCCTAGTGAGTTTGCTGTGGCTATGCAGGGCACCTTGGCACACAATTTGGGAACCAGAGCACTAACAACATTGTTTTAGCCTAGTAGAGCAACCCTGGAAGCTCAGATCAAGTAGCTTTATGACCATCTCCCCAAAAAAGAAAAGAAAAATGAGTATATTAAGTAAAATACTGACTTGAAAGGTTTTAGAGAATAAAATGCGTAACTAGCATCAAGATAAGTTGAAATAACTTTGCACAGGACATGTCCATAACAGACTTTTGTACTTTCATCCACGTGTAAGTGGAAGAGGAACGATAGATGCTACAATTAATTTTTAATTATCTTCCTTACAGATGTCCCTAAACCAATGACTGCTTTAGTAGGGAGATTTTTGCCAGCATCAACAAAATTAAATCTCATTACACAACAAGTGAGTCATTGTTTTAATTTAAAAAATACAATTTTGCATTATTGTCTCTTAAAATTTTGATTGTTATGGTTGGAATTACTCAGGAAATATAATTTATTTTCCATTTAAAAGTCAAAGTGAAATACTTACCAAGTGTTCAGTCCCTGCCCCACTGTGTCAGACACTGTGGGCTGGAGTCAGTCTCGGACACAGTTATTCTTCACCAACTTGATGAAGCCCTTTTGCCCTTTCCTGCAGCCTCCAGACCGGCATTCTGCCACGCTTGCTAACTTGTCCTCTGTGACCCCACCAACAGCATATTCCACCTCCTCGGTCCAGAACGCTCCTCACCCTCCTCAGTGTTATGGAAATACTTTTTTAAAGTTTGCTTTTATGATTACACCATGATATGTGTATATTACATAAAAGTAGAGGACAAATACGCTCTTTTTCCCGAGTTTTGGTATGAAGTGTCACCTCCCCGGAAGAGCCTTCCCTAACTCCCCAGCGTAGACGTCCAGCCACAGTCACAGTGCTGTCTCCTGCTCTGCATGGCACTCTCACTGGCTTGCGTTTTGTGGTTGGTTGGTTTGTCTGCATCCACCCACAAGAATGCAGGCTCCATAGGGGCAGAGGCCATATGTGTCTCGTTCATCTCTGTAAAATGAGAATCAGCACAAAGCCTGGCCCATGTAGGGCACCCACTCACCCTTCAATAAGGGCAGGCACTGATCTGTGAGGTAAGTGAACCTCAGAAAACAAAACACACAACTCCGCCCTCCTGCAGCTTACATTTTACTGCAGGAGATAGACAATTAGCAAATCTAATAGGAAGCCAATTACATCATCTGTTAGGAGAGCAGAGGAAGCGGATTGGGGGGATGGGGATTTGATGGGGAAAAAGCCTAGTTGCAGGTTTAAAAAAGGTGATCATGGCTCCGTTGTGAAGGTGACATTTGAGCAAAGCCTTTAAAGAGATGAGGGAATGAGCTCTGTGAAGCAAGCTGTGGAACATCCCAGGCGGGCCTTGGATAGGGTCATGCCTGCTGTGGTGGCAGCGAGGAGGCCACTGGGCCTGGGATAGTGTGAGCTAGGGGAGCAGGGCAGGGAGGAAGTCAAGGCACTGGGAGGATTATGGCTTCCACTCTAAAGAGGGGCTGGTGGGGAGGAGGGGTCAAGGAGAACGGTGAGCCTGTTATGGCAATAATCTCGGGGAGAGATGATCGCTCAGATCAGGTGGTGGCAGTGGAGGTGGCAAGAAATAGCTTCTAGGGATACTTTGAAGGTTGAGTCAACAGGATTTGCTGATGGATTGGATGTGGGATGTGAGAGAAAGAGAGGAGTCAAGGATGCGCCCAAGGTTTTCAGCCTGGATGATTGGAGAGATGGAGTTTCCATCAACAAAGATGAGATGGTACAAGTTTTTCAAAGGCGTCCAGGAGTTCCGTTTGGATATATTAAATTTGGGATGCCTCAGAAGATGTTGCGTAGGAGTTTAGAGTGAGGAAGGGCTGGGCAGGAGGGATGAGATTGGGAGTCCTAGTGTATAGATGGCGTTGAAAGCCATATGAATAGATGAGATCTCAAAGGAAGTGAGTGTAAATTGAATTAGATATTTGTTGAATGAGTGAGTAAATACTTCTCAAGTGATACATTGGCCAAGATAAAAGAGAGTGTTATCAGTGCAGGAGGTGAGTGTAAGTCGGGATCTGGCGAGCACGCAGATGCAGTCTGTGTTGGAACCTCATAGAATCCTCCTACCGTCTGGCCCCCTCCACGCTGCTGGCCTTCCTTTCTCTGCTGTTTCAGCCACCAGTCCAGAAGGCACACATTGTACTTGCTCTTTCACCTCTAAGATCTTCCATGAGAAACACCCATTTGGCCACAACTTGCTGTCTCCCCACCTTCCCCCACCTTTCCTTGACTGTTTATTATCGTCCCCATTTTGGCCCCTTATCCAGCATGGACCTCAAGGACAATTCTTTTAGCAATGCATTTGCTGCTTCTCGAGAATCGTTTGCTTCCTTGCCAGACCCCAGTTCTGTATATTCTTTGGAGTGTTACCACCCAAAGTGTGGTCCATGGACCAGAACTGTTGGGATCACCTGGGAGCTTGTTAAGAAGTGCAGAACCTCAGGTTCCACCCCAAACCTGGGATTCAGACCCCCTGAATCAGATTTGCATTTTCATAAAGGCCCCAGGTGACTTGTGCACACAGCAGAGTCTGAGAAGCCCTGCCTCCGAGTTGACTTCCTTCACTCCAAGAGGACCAAACATTGCTGAAGAAACTCGTGGATTCCAGCATAAAGTTGCCCTGGATTTACAACCTATGGAGTACATAAGAGATGTCTCTGCTTTACTTTGGGGCTAAATAAGCAAAGGGGGAAAAAAAGTAATTTTACCTGGTTTATGCGAATAATTGCCTCAATCCTGAGAACTATGACATCCTTTCTCCAAAAGAATGCAAAACTCTTCAGACTGACATTTGAAGACAGGGGCCTAACAATTAGGTGTCCAGGTGAGGGCAAAAGGGACACCTGTCTCAGGGCCTTGTGAGCACTCCCTTCTGTGCACGAGCAAGAGGAGAGCAGGAAGGGGTTTCCCGGGAAGAAGCCTGGGGACTTAAGACTGATTGTAAATGAGGCAGTGGGACCCAGGAGGCTTTCTCAGTGTCTTCCAGCCGTAATGGATGGTGATGACACACAGTTTAAACTGGGCACAGAATGGAGGAAGTGCAGAGGATGAATACAAGACGCATTTTTTTTCTAAGACTATACTTCTTAAAGCTTTAAAAATAAATTTATTTAAAGATACATTTCCATTTTTGGACAGAGGAAGGGACAAGGATATGAGGTTTAATTGTGATATATGCAAATAATCTGAAAACCTAATTGTATTTAGTACTGTTAATTTCTTCAAGCTACTGAGTAGAAGAGAAGTAGGCCAGTGATGGCTTTGCTGCCTGTTCCTTTCCCTGTGAACAGCCTCCACAGGCCATGCTAATGAGTAACATAAAGAAAGATGAGACCTGGGAAAGCAAAGAACATGGACAATGCAGAGATGATGACATTGCTTTTGAATTTGTTAAAACTGGTTACAAAATATTTTTTTGAATACATGAAAAATCATGGTTGCCAACAAGACTTCAAATGTCAAGATCTGTATAAGAACATTTCTAGTTTATGGAAATTTGTCATTAAATTTATTTCATAATTGATAGTCTATAAAAATGAAAAGGAGTTCCATGACAATACCCCTGGCCAGCTGAGTGACAGCTATGGACGGCCTCCAGCCCGTGGAGGCCAGCCCTGCATCTTTGCACACTTCCAGACATCTTTGCACACTTCCAGACAGGCTGTGACACACCTCAGCACTAGACCTTCCGAATGTCAGTGGATTCCTTGTGGTAATAAGGCCAGACATGGTTATAAAGGGATGGTGATGTAAACCTTTAGGGAAAAAAAGAATCATTTTTATCTAGGGGGCTGGCTGACTGGAACTTTAAAAATCCTTGCTAATTCAAAATATCCTTGCCTTTGACTTTGAACAGCTTGAGGGAGCCTTACCATCGGTAGTCAACGGGTCTGCTTTCCCCTCGGGATCAACTCTTCCAGGACCACCAAAAATAACTTTGGCTGGGTAAGGATTAGAAGCAATACATTGTCACTCTAATGTAATAATTTAAGAGACTCTTGGATACGTTCACGATTTTCTTCTATACTATAAAATGAGCTTCACTGCACACCTTCATGACTTCTGAGAAATGTTTTTACCATCAGCAATGCCACTAACGGTGTTGCTGTCTGTGTCTGGTTTCACTGGGGCTGCAAAGGCTGCTGGAAAGTCTGGCCCATAACCTGCATCTGTCCCTGTCCTCCTGTCCGCTGTCCTATGTTGGTGTTTCTGAGGCTTGTTGCCATTTATAGCTCTTTGTCTTCATTCCATGTTGATTCAAACTGTACTGGCCTCTCTTTTTTGCTGTCGTCCGTGGAAATAATGGTGTGGCAGCCATGCAGCATGAACGGGGGGCTGCAGAGTGCCCTCCAGCTGCCTCCGCCCGCTGCCTTCCATGCTGAGTTGGCTCGAGCTCTATGGCAGGTGCTAATGCATGATCTGTCTTCACATCTCCAGGTGGACATAGGCTGCACTTATCTGGGACCTCATCTTGCTATTTCTTGCCTGTCTTGTGTTTATAATCTTGCTATTTCTTGCCTGTCTTGTGTTTATAATTGTTGCTAATTAAACTAATCAGCTGGTTGAAATTATCAGGTTAACATTTATGTATTAACAGTGGTTTGGGCAACCCTCTCCATTCGTTGAGCCCTGTAGTTGATTATGGAGATCAGCATATTCCTGCCTCCAAGAGGTGTTTGTTTGTTTGTTTGTTTTTTCTTGTTTTTTGTTTGTTTGTTTGTTTTGTTTTTTTGAGACGGACTCTTGCTCTGTCACCCAGGCTGGAATACAATGGCATGATCTCTGCTCACTGCAACCTCCGCCTCCTGGGTTCAAGCAATTCTCCTTCCTCAGCCTCCCGAGTAGCTGGGACCACAGGCGCATACCACTATACCAGGCTAATTTTTGTATTTTTTAGTAGAGACTGGGTTTTACCATGTTGGCCAGGCTGGTCTTGAAATACTGACCTCAGATGATCCGCCCATCTCAGCCTCCCAAAGTGCTGGGATTACAGGCGTGCCCGGCCTGCCTGCAGGAGTTCTTTGGGCCCACAGTCTAAGGCAAACACATACCCTGGGCCTGAGAGACAGCAGTCAAACACCTTACAGGATACAGCCCGCAGCCTCCAGTGCTTTCCAGGCTCCTGCAGAGTTCTGCCATCGGGCATGGCTTCGTGATGGCCTTGGTAAGTGTGAGGAGAGTGGTTTGGGGCTGGAATGAAAGGCCGTGAATCTGGAAACACACTGGAACCGATCAACGCTATCAGCCCTCATGGTCGCTGAAGGGCGTTGGTTGCTCCTGGGCACCGCTGCTTCAGTTTCTGCAGTGGCTCTTTCAGCTGTTGTAATTCTGTGCCTAGGCTGTTGACAACTTTTGCTGAGTTGGACAGAATAAGACTGTGGGCCATGCTGCTTGCTTCACTCTCTGGGTGTGATGGATCGGTGAGGGTGCAGTTGCTATGATTGTAATTGGTCATCTCATCATGGCTGTTAACATTTCTGGACCAAACAAAAATGACTTCAGCTACTTCCAGATTCTGCTGATACATTACACAGGATGATCTAAAAGGCTACAGTTCTGAAGATACTCATCTTTCTTGTAATCTGGGGGCATCTGGTCAATAGTATTGCCTCTGTGCTGTATTGTGTCTAGAACATTCAAGGACATTTGATACTTCTCATACTTTAATTGCGTGCTCTCCCAGTTGCAGCACCCTCTGAGGCTTCTATGTGTTGCAGCCGATGGGCATTTGCACAGAGCAGCAGTCATGACAGCGTTTTCAGGGCAGCTATTTCTCCTTTTCCCCCTTTTCCTCTCCCCCGGCTTCCCATTCTCCTCCTCCTCCTTCCTCTTCTCGTCCCCTCCTCCTCCTCTTTGTTCTCCTCCCCCTGCTCTTCTTCCTCTCTCCTTTTCCTCCTTCTGTGTCTATACTAGATTATTTTCAATCAGTCACATGTTTTTCTTTATTTTGAATGTTACAAAATATTTCTCTATTGTAAACGGTGTGCCAGGAAAAACATGAGATGTGTATTTGTATTTTTTATGCACATAATTACTTAATCCAATGCCTCTCCACTTAATTGGGCCTGATGATTTTTATCTCGACATCTGCAATACTGATGATATACTGGAATCTCTACCAATTTATTTTTGGTGGTAAGAAAGCAGTCAGAGAACGTTTTGCTGGTTATTTCATTCCGTGTGAGTTCCCAACCAAGACTGTCAGCCCAGTGTGGTTCAGCCATATCTAACCTATAGAGGCCATAGAAGCAGTTCAGCTTAGGCTGGAGGCCAGCAGGCTGAGTGTGCGAGCTGACCCGATGGTCATTTGTTAGGGTTGGGGGGTGAACTGGCTAACTTATTAACTAGCTTATCATATTAATAAAAACTCTTTAATACAAATCCTTGTCCTGACACTCTGTAGCTTTAATAATCCTATTACCAATCTGGTAATAAATGTGAATTCTGACACATTGTTGATGCTACTGGTTTTAGTAACATAATGAACATCATAATAAAGAATATTCAAGAGTCCGCTTCTCTGGAAATTTTTTTCCTAAAGATGAGGTTATCTTGTTGTGGTGTAGTTTGTTTAGAATGCTTTTCTGAGGCAGAGTTGTCCACATCTCTTCTAACTCTTTAATTTTTAGATGGGCACTGAGAGAGCAGTCCATCTGGAGCCATGGAAGTGAGTTTCCACTTAGTGTCCACTGCAGTCAGAGGCCCTCACTGCCCCTGCACTCCGTGCTCATTCCTGATGGGTGTCTTTACTGGCGCTGTTATTTCAACTGGGTCATCCTGTTGAGTAATAGTGAAGAAACCTTGCCGCCTTAAAAGTTGATGTCAAGTTCCACCTCCTTCAAAAGCATTTGGTTTTCACTTCTTCCATCTGTGCCGAACTATGCTGCCTCTGAGTTCCTGCAGTGTTTACAGTCGGTGTAGCACAGTGTGCTGGTTGATTATTCTGAGTTCCTGTGGCATTTACAGTCAATATGGCACCATGTGCACAGTCCGTATAGGACAGTGTGCTGGTTGATTATTCTCTTCTGTGCTCTAATGTTTCCATTGCCTATGTCTCATGTCCCTGCTGACTTGGTGGACTCCTCCAGGACAGGCACTGTATATTAAACAGATAGTTATCCTTGGTGTCCCCTGAAGCACTGACCACAGTCCTGGCCACACAGTGATTTATAGTAAATGCCTGCCGGCCTCCTCCTGACTCTGTAGATACTCGTGGGCCTGTCACCCTCCCTCCACAGTTACAGTGGGTCCCCACTGGACTGCCTCCGCAAGCCCCCACACCACTTCCTCAACAGAACAGTTTTCGTTCCTCTGGACAGGAAGTGCCGGGCCACCCTGTGCCCCAGCTCAGGGCAGGTCTGAGAGGGCCGAGGGCAAGAGCAGTGAAGTAGCTGTCAGAGCCCCCCCTCTGAACAGGCCCAGGTCTGACCCACAGGTGGACAGGCCAGGTGGCAGGATAGCTAGACCTGCCACCTCTAGGCACCCATGAGGGCAAAAAGCTGTAACTGTTCTGTCTCTAAAGGAAAAACAAAACTAGATGAATTCTCAATTAATACAGCATTCAGCAACATTGTCTTTACCTCTAAAATGGGAGCTCTCTCCAGAAGCAGTCAAAGTTAGCAGCTTGCCCCCATGTCAGGTGCCATGAGCTGTTTCCCATGGGGAGTGGGATGGGTCACTAAACAGATGCACAGGTGGTGAGAGCAGGGGCGGAAGACCAGAGCAGTGAGGTGAGGGCAGGCCAAGTGGGGGAGGATTTGGAACTGACCTCAGCCCCGACAGCCAGCCAAGACTGCTGAGCGTGCGGGCGCTCGGAGCACAGAGGACAGGGCGAAGACTTTGCCTCTCTTTAGGGCGTTTGTATTAGTTACCAACCCCTATGTTCCATGAGATGGCGCGAGGCTGACAGCAAGCACGGACTGTGTGCCAGGTGCTGTTCTAGCTCTGGGGGAAAACCCAAGACTAAGATGCAGCCTTGCTCAGAAGTGGCCAGTGCGTTGCAGAGATGAGGCCTGTGTACATGACCTCAAAGAGCACACTGACAGAGATGCATGCCCCCACTGGGCACAGGGACAGCCCTGTCACAGAATTCTAAATTAAATGCTATATTCGTTTAGAATTCATCTAGTTTGGTTTTTGTCACATGGTGTTTTGTACACGTGCCCCTCCTTGTCATCACAGCCTATTGAACCACTTCCATTGCAAATGTTCTGAGCTCCTTGGTGAGTGTCTCTTCTGAGCAATGCTTGGGAACTTCTCCCGATGGTTTAATGTGCAGCTGCCCTCACATTTAGCAACACCCAGAGACACGTTAGAGGAAGAGTTTGTTTCTTCTCTAATGCCCCTGAAGATGACTTCTGAGCTAATCGCCAAATGCAGTTAGGAGGGAGTTGTAATAATCCCTTCCTAAAATGAGGAAAGTCCCCAATGATCACATGGCACACTTAAGTGATTACTAACATGCTTTGATATTGTTAGTAATATTACAGCGTGGACTGCTTTAGCACTGGTATATCTGAAGATGAACGACGCTTCATCTATTGTTCTTTAATTTGTACTTCCCATTAGCATTCAGATTTTGGCGGGGAAAGAGCTGTTCAGTGGGGAGAGGAGCACAAAAAATAGAGATTTAAATAGGTCAGGGGGAGAAGAACTCCAGGAAGACATCTTGGGAAGGGTGAAGAGCCTTAGGACCCTGCTCCGCATGCACACTGGCTCCCTGGGCATGTGTGGCTGTGTTTGGTGGTGCTAGTTCCATCACATTGGAAACTCCCACTTCATGATTAGGCATCTGTCAATAATACCTATAACGATCTGGTGTTGAGATTCTCACAATGTGTTGAAAAACACCAGATGCTTAGCTAATTCTCTATATAAGGAGTAACCAGCTGAATACATTTTCTTTTTTAATCTTTATAGAGTAACTCTTAGTTCATGGGACACAAAGTCTAAAAAGCCATGTAACTGTACCAAATCCCAGTGTCTGAAATTGTAAGTAATCACAAATCCTTCATTATTAAATATGAAATAAGGTTACTTAGAAGTCAGTAAGTGGAGCATAGTCTAGAGAAACCGGAACGGCTAGCACTGCACGTGTTACAGTTACTTCTCAGCAACCTTGTCCTAATGCTCGTTGTCAACCAAAACAGCGAGAAGCAGCCACTTTTGCATGAAGCTGGTACGAATTTTTGGTATTATCTTGGCCAACTAATTTAGTCAAGATACTGGTGGCTCACACTTCAAGGGGCGTAATTTTTCTTGGGTTTTGGTTTGCATCCTCTAGCCCCTCAGACAAGTGCTAACGATGTCATTGTTGAGCGTTAACTGTAATATTTCCACATCCCATTTTTAAAAAGTTTTATGAATTGGTTTATTCTACATTGAAATTTTCTCAGAAAGTTCTCCCCCAGCCAGGAGGTGTGGTCAAGGGATGGTAGGGCCAATTGTCACGTGGAGTCGGGGGCTGGAAGTAGACGATGTGGCTGAAGTAGGAGGCAGACCTCATTGCCATGCTTGACAGCACTAGGGGCATCAGTTTCCTCGGCCACCCTGCCAAAGCTGGCATCTGGTGTCTGTGCTGTCTGTCCTCCCTCAGCTCTTGCTGTGGGCTGCTCACTTTCTGCTCTTATGTCTGCCTAGCCTTAAGTTACACGTTGAAAAGGGAGAACATGTCCTAGTCCCAATGTCTAACGACCCTAACCACAGTCTTCACGTGATTTTTCCATTACAGAGCTCCTGCTGAAGTCACTGAGAGCCCCAGTGATGGGACAGTGATGTGGGGGTGCACCAGTGGGTAGAAATCCAGAAGTCCGTGAAACTTAGTTCACACAACCAAAGTGGAAAAACAAATTGATTTTTAAAAAGTAATTGCAGACAGTCTAGGGTTGACTGTCTGAAAATGTTTGAGCTCTCATTGGTTTAGTCTACGAGGCCATATACTTCTCTGAACATTGGAAACGCCATGACATGACTGATGGGGAAGCTAAAGACGCAGCTCTGGGTAAGGAGGAGGAAGGACAGTGGGAGAAAGCCTGGACCCTGTGACGCTGTCAAGCCAGAGCAGGCCTTCCCAGATGGAGATGTCAGATGTGGAGGAGGACCAGGTGGTGGCATCCAGAGGACAGAGCTGTGCAGGGTGGTGGGCTCCTGGGGATGGGAGCTGCTCAGCTGCTGGCTGGGTGTGGGGACCAGGCAGGTCAAATGACCATGAAGCCTAAAGCAGGGTGTAGACTGTAACTGGGGACAAAATGAGGTAACTCCTAAGGACTTGGAAACGAGATGACTCTAAGAAAGGCTTAACTTGAATTACGTCAGAATGGAAGGCCAAAGAAACAGCTTCTTGTCTAGAAGCAGCTTCCTAGCTTAATTGGTGACCGACACATGTAAGAAAGAATGTACCATCACGAGGGCACTCGGTCAGCATTGGAACAGAGGAAAGGAGGCCCAGAGTGTGTCCAGTGCTGGCAGGCGACAGAGCACTGTCTGTAAGGGCACGGAGATGCCTTCTCCACGAAGTGCTGTGTGCAGTGGGCAAGAGACTTAGAGCCCTCCCAATCTACTCGATGTCTACACACCTCGAATTCTGTGCTCAACATGCAACTGTCTGGCCATTGACTTAGCTTCCTAGTAGCTCCATACTGAGAAATGAGAGGCCTTGGAGAGACAACGTGAACATTTTGGGCACTGGAAAAGGATGTTATTTCCATCATGAATTGACGCATGGCATTCTGATCATGCATTGTGATTTGGCTGGAATCAATCCATCACTGAGAAACCAGTTATCTCTGGAAATACTAATAAAGTTTGTGTTCTGTTTTTGGAAAAGCTAAGGAATAGGTAAATTCACCCAAGCAGTGAGGTCTGTTGGTGGCAGACCCCTGACCTCGTGCTGGTGTCTCTCCATACATGCCACCTGTCCTCATGTGGAGACACTTGGTTCAGGTGAAGGAACATAAGCTGGGGATCCTCCGTTGCTTGCTTCACTCACACTTGTGGCATCATCGCCATCAATAGCTTTCCATTTCTTTTACCTTTTTATTCCCCGCAACTAAGTCATGAGCGCAAGGCAATGGAATGTAATTTTCTTAGCGTGAGTTAGTCCTACTCTCATGGGAGTCTCTGCTGTATACAGGCTATGAGGGATTATTATTATAATTGCCATCAATAGAGATAAAAACACATGACAGTATTTTTTTTTTTATTTTATAACTCTTTTTTCAGACAGGGTCTCACTGTGTCACCCAGGCTGGTGTGCAGTGGCTCAATCGTAGCTTACTGCAGCCTTGACCCCCTGGGCTCAGGTGATCCTCCCAGCTCAGCCTCCAAAGTAGCTGGAATTACAGGCATGCGCCCTCATGCCCAGCTAATTTTTTGTATTTGTTTTTAGCGATGGCATGGGTAAAAATCGATTACCACAGTCAAGGCTCCATGGAAAGTGATAGTACCCTGCTCCACTTCTCCCATAGTCTGTCTCCCTCCAAGAAGCTTCCACTCTTAGCAACTTCTGCTTTCAGGTTTCCTGGGGGAACCTCCACACCTGTAAAGATTGTCTCCTGCCCTCTTCCTGTGGTAGACAAGCGTTTTACTCGTTCATCTTCCTCCTCCACATAGAGCTGGAACTACCCTTTTTAGTTCCTCTCTTAGTTCCTTACCCCTGAAACTTGAAACAATGTACCCCAACCTTTTGTTGCTATTGTTTCAGTAGCCATAAAAAGTTGGGAATTATTTTTAACTGATAAATTAATCTGGATGATTAAAATGGTGTTGATGTAAACTGAAGAGGTAGTTAAATGCTTTCTATTTTATTGGAAACTTACTGATGGATTTTAAATTTTTTTTTTTTTTTTTTGAGACAAAGTCTGGCTGTTGTCGGCCCAGGCTGGAGTGCAATGGTGTGATCTCGGCTCACTGCAACCTCCACCTCCCAGGTTCCAGCAGTTCTACTGCTTCAGCCTCCTGAGTAGCTGAGATTATAGGTGCCCGCCACCATGCCCAGCTAATTTTTGCATTTTTAATAGAGACGAGGTTTCACCATGTTGGCCAGGCTGGTCTCAAACTCCTGACCTCAGGTGATCTGCCCGCCATGGCATCCCAAAGTGCTGGGATTACAGGCATGAGTCACTGCGCCCAGCCAGATTTTTAAAGTAATTAACATCTACCTTTCCAGCACTGTTACAAATGTCTTTCTTAATCATTTTTGTATATGTTAAACATTGATTTGCTACATCATTTTTTAAAGCAACTGTAAAATATACAACTTAAAAATTTAACGTAAAATATAAAATATAAAAACGTTTATAACAGGCCTATTTTGGTATAGGCAACAACATACAGGCTTGCGTTGGAGGTACTGCAGCTTCAGCTCCACAGCCACAACAGAGCAAATCACAATAAAGCAAGTCACACAAGGTTTTTGGTTTCCTAATGCATGTAGAAGTTATGTTTATATAACTATAAACATGCTGTAGTACAATCAGTGTGCAATAGCATTCTATCTAAAAAGTACATACCTTAATTTAAAAACACTGTTTCTAGGAAATGCTAACAATCATCTGAGCCTTCAGCGAGTTGTCATCTTCTAGCTGGTGGAGGGAGGGTCTTGCCTTAATGTCGTGGCTATTGACTGTTGAGGGTGGTGGAGGACTGAAGGCTGGGGTTGCGGTGGCAGTTTCTGAAAATAAGACAACAATGCAGTTTGGCACATCAACTGACTCTTCCTTTCAGGAAAGATTTCTCTATAGTATGTGATGCTGTTTGATAGCATTTCACCCACAGTAGAACTTTCAAAATTGGAGTTAATCCTCTCAAGCCCTGCACTGCTTTATCCACTCAGTTTATGGAATATTCTAGATCCTGTATTGTCATTTCAGCAGTGTTCAAAGCATCTTCACCAGGAGCAGATTCCATCTCAAGAAACTGCTTTCTCTGCTCATCTGTAAGAGGCAATTCCTCATTCATTACAGTTTTATCATGGTAATGAAACAATTCAGTCACATCTTCAGGTTCCATTTCTAATTCTAATTCTCTTGCTATTTCTACATCTGCAGTGACTTCCTCCACTGAAGTCTTGAACCCCACAAAGCCATCCATGAGGGTTGAAATCAACTTTTTTTTTTTTTTTTGAGACAGAGTCTTCCTCTGTCACCAGGCTAGAGTGCAGTGGCATGATCTTGGCTCACTGTAACCTCCACCTCCCAGGTTCAAGCCATTCTCCTGGCTCAGCCTCCCAAGTAGCTGGGATTACAGGCGCCCACCACCACGCCCAGCTAATTTTTTGTATTTTTAGTAGAGACAGGGTTTCACCATGTTGGCCAGGATGGTCTCAATCTCCTGACCTCATGATCCGCCTGCCTCAGCCTCCCAAAGTACTGGGATTACAGGCGTGAGCCACCACGCCCAGCTGGTTAGAATCAACTTCTAACCTCCTTTCAATGTTGATATTTTTACTTCCTCCCATGAATCATGAATATTCTTAATGGCACACAGAATGGAATAATTTCCAGAAGGTTTTCAATTGACTTTGCCCAGATCCATCAGAAGAATCACTATCAATAGCAGCTATAGATTTATGAAATGTATTTCTTAAATAATGAGACTTGAAAGTCAAAATGACACCTTGATCCATGGGCTACAGGATGGATATTGTGTTTGCAGGCATGAGAACAATATTAATCTCCTTGCACAGCTCCATCAGAGCTCTTGGGGGGCCAGGTACCTGGTCAATGAGCAGTAATATTTTGAAAGGAATCTTTTTCTGAGTAGTAGGTCTTCACGGTGGACTTAAAATATTCAGTAAATCATGCTGTAAACAGATGTGCTGTCATTCAGGCTTTGTTGTTCCATTTGTAAAGCACAAGGCAGAGTAGTTTTAGCAACATTCTTAAAGGGTCTAGGATTTGCAGAATGGGAAATGAGCATTAGCTTCAACTTAAGGTCACCAACTGCACCATATCCCAATAAGAGAGCCAGCCTGTCCTTTGAGGCGTTGAAGCCAGGCATTGACTTCTCTTCTCTAGCTGCAAAAGTTCTAGGTGGCATCTTCTTCTAGTAGAAGGCTGCTTCATCTACACTGAAAACCTGTTGTTCAGTGTAGCCACCTTTATCAGTGATCTCAGCTAGATCTTCTGGAGAACTTGCTGCAGCTTCTCCATCAGAACTTGCTGCTTCACCTTGTACTTTTCCGTTATGGAGATGGCTTCTTTCCTTCAACCTCATGAACCAGCCTCTGCTAGCTTCCAATTTTTGATGTACAGCTTCCTCACCTCTCTCAGCCTTAACGGAATTGACAAGCATTAGGGCCTTGCTCTGGATTAGGCTTTGTCCGGTTTCATCTTCTCTCCAGACCTCTCAGGCTTGCTTCATGTCAGCAGTGTTTTGCTTTCTTATAATTTGTGTGTTCACTGGAGTAACACTTTTAATTTCCTCCGAAAGCTTTTCCTTTGATTCACAGCCTATCTTGGCTTTCGACATGCCTTCCTCACTAAGCTTAATCTTTTGATTTAAAGTGAGAGACGTGGGACTCTTCTTTTCTCTTGAACACTTAGAGGCCATTGTAGAGTTGTTAACTGGCCTAATTTCAATATTGTTGTGTCTCAGGGAATATGGAGGCCTGAGGACAGGGAGAGAGACAGGGAACCGCCAGTTGGTGGAGAAGTCAGAACACACTCAGCATTCATCAGTTAAGTTCATGTTCTTACATGGACATGGCTCGTGGTACTCCAAAACAATTGCACTTAAGTTCGTGCTCTTATATGGATGTGGCTTGTGGTACTCCAAAACAATTACACTTAGTGACATCAAAGAACGAGGATTGCAGATCACTATAACAGACATAACAGTAATGAAAAGGTTTGAAACATTACAAGAATTACAGGAATATGATAAAGAGACATGAAGTGAGCACATACTGTTGGAAAAATGGAGCCGTAGACTTGCTTGATGCAGAGTTGACACAAACCTTCAATTTGTTTTATTAAAAAAGCATTACCTGTGAAGCCCAATAGAACAAAGTGCAATAAAATGAGGTTTGCCTATAAGTGTTAAATTATACATTTTTGGACAATTATTTCATAGAGTGAGAAGGAGCACTGTCCACTAGGATGGAGAGAGGTCTCTTCCTCTCAGAAAAGCAGGAATTGGTTTTATACCATGAGTGTAGATATTTTTTAGGACAGTTTTTTTGTTTTTTTGTTTTGTTTTTGTTTTTGACACAAAGTCTGGCTCTGTTGCCCAGGCTGGAGTACAGTGGTGTGATCTTGGCTCACTGCAGCCTTCACCTCCCAGGTTCAAGCAATTCTCGTGCCTCAGCCCCCTGAGTAGCTGGGATTACAGGCATGCATCACCATGCCCAGCTAATTTTTGTATTTTTAGTAGGATGGGTTTTCGCCATGTTGGCAAGGCTGGTCTTGAACTCCTGGCCTCAAGAGATCCGCCCACCTTGGCCTCCCAAAGTGCTGGGATTACAGACATGAGCCACTGCACTCAGCCTTTTAGGACAGTTTTAATTAGCCCTTTCATATATTGATTGACTTTAAGAAAATCCAGACTCAGTTTCATTTCATTATTTTTTTTTTTTTTGAGACAGGATCTCACTCTGTCACCCAGGCTGGATGAATTGATATGCAAAGGTGGTATGATCATAGCTCAATGCAGCCTTGACCTCCTGGGGTCCAGCAATCCTCCTGCCTCAACCTCCTGCTATCACAAGCCAGCTTTTTTATTTTTATTTTTTTTAGAAATAGGGTCTCATTATGTTGCCCAGGCTGGTCTCAAACTCCTGAGCTCAAGGAATCCTCCCACCTCAGCATCCCAAAGTGCTGGGATTACAGGTGTAAGCCACTGCACCCAGCCCAAACCCTAAAATTTCAGGCATAGATTGTACAGTCTGTGATATTGTTTCTTCACGTGGCCTTTTGTCTCTAATTAACTAGATTAATTATTGCCACCAGAATTCTGTGGAGTAGAAGGTGAAATCTGGATGGTCATTTTTTTTGGTAGTCTCTTGTTGCTTACTCACACTTTTGATTTCTTATTTTAAATTTAAAAATATGAAATAATTATCTTCTCTGTAGCTCATAACTATAGTAAAGTCTCTGTCTCATTCTGTGTTTGTTTCATCTCTTGAATTTTTCTCCTTATGGCTTGGAACCTCACATATTTTGTGATTTTTTTAAACTGCGAATTATAATCACTGGGGCTTTCCCTGTGGGAGTTCTTTGAGGCTTGTTTTGAGAATGTGCTCTTCAGAGAAGGTTTGTTTGCTTCCACTTGGAGCTTGGTGGCACTTCCAACTTGGATGACTAACAATTTTTGGCTAATTTTTTTTTTATTAGGCTGCACAGTATGAATTCAGATTTCAACCTGAAGTGAGCCTCCTCCCCTCCCACCAGCCAGGATCACACACACATTTCCTTGCCATTTGTTTTCAGGGCATTTGTTCCCAGAGTAGATAGAGCCCTCCGCAGTTCTGGTCCATGTGTGGATCCTGCAGCAGACCTTCTACCCTGAGTGTGCCTTCGACTGGGGTTAATATACGTAAAGCACCTAGAGCACAGCCCAGCAGATCACACATGTCCTTGTAAGTGTTTGCCACAGTTAGGGTTGCCATAGTTCCCCCTTTCTCCTCCACGCAGCAGTTAAAACCAGCGCCTTTGGTTGCTGGGATCAGCAGATGCTTCAGAGGTCACTTCAGGCTTCAGTTTTAGCTTGGCCCTCTGAATTTTGCCCTCTGTTGGGTTTCCTTAATTTTTTACCAGCTCAAGTAGCCATCTAAAAGGTTTTAAATATTTAATTCAATGTTATTAAGTGTTTTATAGCAAGCAATATGTCAGGATGGCCAATGAATTAAGAATGAGTTTAGAATATATGTCATTGAGCTGGGCATGGTAGCTCACACCTGTAGTCCCAGCACTTTGGGAGGCTGAAGCAGGAGGATTGTTTGAACCGAGGAGTTCGAGACCAGCCTGGACAACATAGTGAGAACCCGTTTCCAACAACAACAACAACAAAAAACTGTCATTTTAGGTCTTTTCAACCACCAAGACTAAAATTTCATGATTCAATATGCCTGTGGGAAGTGAATCTGACAGAGGGTATCATGAGTATTTCCTTGAACAGTATCATCACCCTCTCAGCAAGCCACAGGGCAGGATGACCCAAAAAGTGTTGCAGTGTTGCCAGTGTGCCAGCATTGAGGCAGTCTGCACCTCCAGGACAGCGTCTTTAATGGAATGATGCTCACTGCAACCTAGATCAAGGTGGGATAAATGTGATGTTAGAATTTCTACTAAAAGTTTTACATTTCTGCTTTTGTCATTGAGCTTTAAATCACCTGGAATTGATTTTCGTGATTGGCATTAGGTAGGGATTCAATTTTATTTTTTTCCATACGGACAATTAATTGTCTAGCACCATGTATGGCAAAACACAGATATAGTCCACGATATCTGCAGTGCAGCCCCGTCAGCTCTCAGGGTTTGATTACACATGGGTCTGATTTGGGGTTCTCAATCCCGCTCCAGACATGAATTCTGCTTCTTATTTGTAATGATTTGTCTGTGGATTTCCTTCAACTTTCTATTTAAACAATGATCTTATCACAGATATTGGACCGTGATACCTTCCCCATCTTTGTACTCTTTTCCCTTTTCCTTGCCTTATTATACTGGCTAGAACCTCATAGTGATGAATGGAAGTTCTGGTCTGGGGCACTGTTGAATTCCTCCTAAATTCTAAATATTTCTAAAATTCCCTTGCCTTGCCCTAAATAAGATAGTTGCTGTAGGTTTTTGAGAGATGCCCTTATTAGGTAGAATACATACTCAGATGCTATAACAAAGACTCAAAACTACAACCATTTCAGGACTAATATGGTGGCTAATCAATGTTATTGTCTCAGATTTCTGTCTTAGTTGCCCTGACATCTTCAATGGAGGGCTTGCATTTTGTGGTCTAAGAAGGCTGCACCAGCCCCTACCCTTATGTTCATCTTCCAGACACTGGGGAAGAGAAAACAGGAGGGCAAGTGCACACTCCTTAACCTTTCATGGCAAGACCGGCATTGTCATAATCACTTCCACTGATAGCCCTTTGGCCACAGCCTAGTCATGTGGTCGGGCCAACTAAATAGGAAGCTGGGAAATGCACTCTTGAGGTGAGCCAACCATATGCTCCACTACAATTGCTGCCACTGTAGGATAAGGGGAAGTGGCTGTTGCAGGACTGACTGGCTTCTCTGCTACGTGCCCTTCTCAGGTTAAGGATGCTTCCTTCTATTCCTAGTTTCCTAAGGGATTTGCTATTATTATAATTATCGGAATTATAATAAAGGACTGGTGAATTTTATTGAGTGCCTTTTTATGTATTTGTTGAAATGATCAGATTGTTTTCCTCTTTTAATCTCATAATATATCTATGACAACAAACTTTCCAATGTTAATCTGCCTTTGCATTCCAGGGATTAAGCCCAATTTGATTATTATGTACTGTAAGATTTCGCTCTTTAGGATTTTTGAATCTTTGTTCACAAGTGAGATAGACCTGTAATTTTTCTTTCTCATATATTCTTTCATTTTGGTATCAATATTGTATTGCCTAATAAAATGCGTTAGTTAGGCTTCCCCATCCCCACCCCACTGGCTTCTTTTTCTCTAGCCTCTAAAAAAGTTTGGGTAAGGTAGGATTTATTTGTTCATTGAACGTTTGAAAAAACTTGTCTGAAAAACTGTCTGGGTCTGATGTCTATTGGAGTTGGAGTGGTGAAGGTGATAGGTTACTCATTCACTTTCTTTTGTAGTTTGTTTTCTTTTTTATGTTTTTTCTTGAGTCAATTTTGATATTTTATATTTTTCTTAAAAAGTATTGAATCCTCAAAACTTTCAAATTTATTCATATATTCGTATTCATATATTCTATATTTAAAGATGACCTCTGTATCTATAATTATGGCCTTTGACCTTTTCTAGACTTTCTCGATCAGTTCTAGGAGAGGTTGTCTATTTTGTCAGCCTTCTCAGAGCACCAGCTTTTGGTTTTATTGATTTTCTTGGTTGTGGTTCATGAAGTACATTAATTTCTGCTTTTTACTGCTGTCTTTATTATTTCCTTCTCTTGTTTTGCTAGCTTTTTGTGTTAACTGCTTACCTTATTATTTTCAGTCTTTAAATTTTTTTTTTTTTTTTTTTTAGGAAATGCACTTAAAGCTGTAAATTACCCCTATGGACTACTTTACTGCATCCTACAAGAGTTGATATGCAGTACTTTCACTATCATCCGCTTGAAATAGCTTGTCGTTTTTATTGTAATGTTCTCTTTACCTCATGAGTTATTTAGATGTACATTTCATAGTGTCCACATTTGTATTATATATACATATATGTGTATGTATATGTATATATTTTTAAATGATATTTTAGTTAATTCTTTTCATTTAATTACTCTGTAGTTAGATAATGTAGTCTGTACGTCAATTCTTTGAAATTAATGAAGACTTCCTTTAATGAAGACTTAATACAATCAATTTTGAAAATATTCTATATTAATTTGAAAAACATGTATATTCTCTATTTGTTAGGGGCAGTTATCTATCCATTCACTGGCTTATTTTGTTGTTTAAATCTGCTAATTGCTTATTCAATTTTGTGTGATTTTTATGTTTTTGCTAAAAATGTGTTGAGATCCCTCACTTAAGATTATGAATTCGTCTCCTTTTTCCTTATAATTCTATTTTGCTTTATATATTTCAGATCTATAGCATGAAGGTCATACAAATTCATGATTGCTACATCTTTTTGGTGAATTATTCCATCAGTTGTTAATGACTATGCCTCTGTATCTTGGCGCATTTTGCCTTCAGTTGTTTTTCTGTCCGACGGTAATGTTGCTGCACCATGTTTTCTTTCTCTAGTGCAGTATTAGTGAGTTATGCTTTATAACATTCCTTTAGTTTTGCACTTTCTGTGTGGCAGTTTTGTTTTAGGTGTGTCTTCTGTAGGTTAAATATAGCTGAATTTTTCAAAAAAGCAAATCTAATAACCCATGTTCAATAGCTTTCTTTAATCTATTTGCATTCTTTGTCTGATTATTGACACATAGGGACTTATTTGTAACAACTTTTTTTTTTTGAAGTTTTAAGTTTTATTTAGGTTCCTTTTTCCCATTCAGATGGCAGCATTCCATACATTCTGCTCTGTGCCTTGTCTTTTAAGATAGTGGCAAAATATGCATAACATAAAATTTACTGTTTTAAACTTTTAAAATATACAATTCAGTGGCATGAAATATATTCACAGTGTTGCGCAACCACCATCACTGAATTTTTCCAGAACTTTTTCATCATCCCAAACAGAAATTCTATACCCATCAAACTCTCCATCATCCCCTTTCCCCAATCTCTGGTAACCCCTATTTTACTTTCTTTCTTTTGACTATTCTAAGTCCTTCACATAAATGGACTCATACAATATCTGTCCCTTTGTATCTGGCTTAGTTCACTTAGCATAGTGTTTCTAAAGTGCCATCCATGTTGTAGCATGTGTCAGAATGTCCTCTCTTCTTATGACTGCATAATATTCCATTGTATGGATGAATCACGTTTTGTTTACCCTGATGCTGCAATGGACACTGATGTAGCAGGTATCTGGTTGAGTCCCTGCTTTCACTCCTTTTGCGTACATACCCAGAAGTGGAATTGCTGGATCATATAGTAACTTTCTGAGGAACTGCCGTATCTTTCCATAGTGGCCATACCATTTTATACCCCCACTAGGAATATACAATACCATCTTATTTTGCATTTTCTGATTACTGCTTTTTCGCTTGCTTATTTTTGCCTGATTTATGTTTTGGAAAATTAGTGCTAATGGCAAAGTGGAGGAAGTTGAAAGCGAGGTTAATTAGGAGGCCACTGCAGCAGCACAGACCTGAACCCGGGCAGGGGTGGTGACAATGAAGGAAAAAACACAGATTCCAGAGACTTTTCCAACATATGCATTGTATCATTTTTTCACTCATTTATTCATTCATTCCATAAATATTTTTGAATGCCCATGATCTCAGGAACAGGGAAGACAGAGTGAGCAAGAGAGTTACGGTCCCTGCCCTCCCAGCACTCACAGTCTAAAGTGACTATTCCCATATGAATCATCATGTAATTAAAGGTCGGAGTGGAACCATGGAAAATGTGGCAAAGGAGCAGTAATGGGCTGAGGGGGTGGGACGTGTTGAGCAAGCATGGCAGTCGGGGAAGGCTTCCCTGAGGAGGTGTGTTTGGATTAGGGGGAGTTCATTGGGTGGAAGTAGATTGAAGGTGGATGCTAAGAGTGTTGTAGGCAGAGGAAACAGCAGGTGCAAAGGCCCTGTGGCAAGAGAGGGAGGGTGGATGGTTCTAGGAACAGAAAGAAGACCAACACCACTACTATAGTATTGTTTATATTTCCAAGATATATAAAACATCTACATGCTCAGTATAAAGTGAATTATTAAATAAATCAAGGTGCTGCTATAGTATGGGGTATGTACAGCAATTAAAATGGTATGTAAATCTATTTACATGGGAAACATTCATAACATACTGATGAGTAATAAAAGAAAGATGTTATCTTTATTACTTCTATTGATAAGTAATAAAAGCACACTGAAGCAGTTTGTAGAATATGATCTTATTTTTGTTTACATATAATCTGTAACCAAACAACATATACTTATTTCAGTATGTATAGTTTTACAGAAAAAGTCTGAAATATATTCATCAAATGATCATCTCTAGGGAATGAGATTCAGATTGGATGTAATTTGTTTCTTTTTACTTATTTGTATTTTTAAAAATTCCACAATAAATATGATTTACATTTATCAAAAATAAAATTAATAAAAGACATTTCTGAGCCAGAATCAGTAGATTTGGCAACCCTTGGATGTGGGGAAACAGAGCAAGGTAATTGTCAGAACCAACACAGGGGCTGTGTTACTGGGCAGATGGTAACACCATGGATGGAGAGCAAGCACAGGAGGAGAGAGTGGCTGGAGCAGCACGAGGGGTGCAGATGAAGACCGTGGGTGAAGGGGTGGACACGCTGAATTGAAGATAGAGATTTCTGACTGGAAGCTGGGATGTGGTTCTGGAACACAGTAGGGTCTAAAGCTCTCAAGAACAGTGAAGAGAGCCCTGGGTTTTCCAGGAGCTGGTTGATTGCCTTTGAGAGTCTGTGGGCAGGAGGAGGAAATCTGAACGCAAAGGTTAAAGAATGAATGGGAGATGAGGAATGATAAGAGCACATGTGGACAGCCCACCCTTTCATTATGTTTGGGAAATAAAACAATAAGGATTTTAGGGTCTGGAGTGTGGGAGAGAGAGCAGGTTTGGTGAAAACAGATTTTAAAATCTTCAAAAGATTAAAAGGGCAAGAGTTAATAAAATCAGTCAGCAAAAGAGTGTACGGTGAAAAAAAGAAGTGTGCCTAGCCTGGACCTCGGTGAGTAAACATACTTTTACTGGGTATGCAATTCTAGGTTGTCAGGTTTTTTCTGCCAATGCTTTGAAAACAGTCTGCTGTTTCCCATTATTTCTAACAAGCAGTCAGATGCAAGTCTAGGTAATGTATCTTTCTACTCTAGTGCATTTGAGATTTTCTTTTTGTCTTTGGTTTTTCTTTTTGTTTGTCTTTCTTAGAGTTCATTAGGTTTCCTAAATCTGAGCATCCACAGTTATCATCAGTTCCGGAAAACTCACAGATATCCTCACTCCAAAGATGCCTCTCCCCCATTTTCTCTCCTCTCTCCTTCCGTAATGCTCACCAGACAGACACGTTAGCCTCTCTAACTCTTGACTGTTTCTCTTAACCTCTCTTGTATATTTGCAATCTGTCTTCTGTGCTGCATCTAGACTAATTTCTTTATCTTTTATTCTGTCTTACTCTCAGTTTATTATTTTTATCCAAATCACATACACATATAATTTAGAGAGCCACATAATTGTACCAGGCTCATGACAAAACATAGTAGTACCCTGACAATTGTTCCTTATTTTCTGACCCCCAGGAACTTTCAACTCTTTTAACTGAATCTTCTAATATTTGCTTCCATAAGTCTAAATAACAGGTCTGAATTACTCCTCGGCTTTTCAGTTTGGTGTGATCTATTGTTTTTGTACTGTGGGAAATGTGGATTTAGCTTTATTTCCTCTCCCACTCACACACCAACCCCTACCAACACACACATTTCCCACACCCAGACATGAGATAGACTTGGTTAGATTAGCATTGAGTCTTTACATTTTTATGACGATGAAAACTCTGGTCCCTGCTGAGCCTTCATGAATTATCCTTTCCTGAACTTCTTTACCTTTCCCTTTCTGTTCATACCCAGTACTTAGTCTTCTATGCACACAACACTAACATAACACTAACCTCTCCTCTGGTTGTGTAACGGTCTTCTCAACATGCCCAGAAGTGGGGGCACTGTCAGTCCTGTCGTGAAGGCTTTTCCTGAGCTGCCTGGCCTGGCCTGCCATGGAGGGGCTGGTTTCCAGGCCTGTGTGCAGCTCTCGTCTTGGACCCCCCTCTACTATCATGCTAAGGGGTTCACCAGCTTCTTTGTCATGTTTGGGCTCCTGACTCCTGGAGCCCGCATCTTCCTTGTGGGATTCACAGCCTCATTTTGGTGCAGTGCCTTCTCCAGTAGCTTCCATGAGGAAGAGTACATGGGATGTAATTTCTTCAGACCTTACGTGTCTAAAAATGTCTTAGTCTATCCTCATGCTTAGATGATAATTTAGATTGGGAGTATAACTTCAGGTTGGAAATGGTTTTTCTTTGGACTTTTGAAGGCCTTACTGCATTTCTTCTAGCTTCCAATGTTGCTAGTGGAATTTTAACATCATTGTTTTTCTTGATCCTCTGTATGAAAACTGTTTTATACTTTCTAGAACCATAGAGGATCATCTCTTATTCCCAGTGCTGCAGAATGTGCTCATGCTGTCTTGGTTCCAGTCTCTTTCCTAGCTACTGTGCAGAGCCCAAGGCAGGTCCTTTCCCTTCAGAAACTCATGGCCTTTAGTTCTGGGAAATGTTCTGGAATTATTGTATCCCCTTCATTCTTAATATTCAGTATTTCTGAAATTCTTACTATATAAATGTTGGATTTTCTAGTCTGGCCCACTGTTGCTTTCTCCTCTGATTAGTTCTAGTTTTCATACCTTCTAGGTCTTTCATCACTGTGATTACTTTTTTGCTTCCTAAAATATCTTTTTTCATATCCTGAGATTTTTAATAAGAATTATTTTCCTGTTTCATCGATCAATAACTTTTCTTAGTCTCTCTAAGGCTGTTGATACCACTTTCCTCCTAGTTTTCTTTTCCATGCATGGTCCGTTTCTCTGGGCCCCTGTCTTTCATACTCTGGAAGATTTCCTAACATGTCTGTGGATCCCTGGGCGTCACTCTGCTCATACTTAAGAATGAGGTGTGGGCTGACTGGGGGCTGCAGGTGAGGGGTGGGCTGACCGGGGGGCTGTAGCTGAGGAGTGGGCTGTCTGGGGGCTGTAGCTGAGGTGTGGGCTGACTGGGCCTGCAGGTGCACTGCTGAGGGCTTGGTCACTGTAGCTTCACCACAGGGTGGTCACTTAGCTATTTTATTGGGAAAGCTCAATGTCAAATTCTAGATATTTTCTCCTGGGCTGGTCAGAGTCCTCAGAGGAGGCTTTTCTAGTCTCCTGCTAGAATGCTAGAAGCTGAGTAGAAGAAACCTAGGGGTCTCAACAATCACTTTTCTTGGATTTGTTCATTATCATATCCCACGCCCAATGGTTTTGCTCCAAGAGAGTCACTTTTAGTCTCTGCCACGGTGGCAGGGGGGTCCCAGCTGCTTAGGAAGGAGGAGTCATCTGGGGACTCATGCCTTCCTGCAGAGAATCCCCCTGGTTCTCTTCTTATCTCACCTGGCTTTGCTCTCCCTTGGAGGAACCTGGTGCTGCCCATTCCAGAGCCTTCCGAAGCTCCTTCCCAGCTCTTTCCTGCTGACTTCAGGTTCAGCATTCTTGAGTCTGCCACGCCAGTTCTCTCGCCCCTCTGCTATCTGGTGTCCAAATCTTCTGTCACTGTCCCCTTTCCCTTCTTTCCATCTGCGTGGCTTGCAGGTTCAGGAGAGACCTCTATAGTTCCCCTTTCTCCCTGCAGGGGATGTGTCTCTCCTCTCCCCTGTTGTGGAGTGGAGTTGTCTCTAATAATTCACTCCTTGGGGAGCTCGCCTTTCAGGGATCCACACTTTATGAGGGGTCTCTGGTCTGATGCCCAGACTTTGTCTCCTGTCTGCTGCACATTGGAACCCAAGCTCCGGGTCCCTAGGGACTGGCAGATGCCCCAGGGCAGCACTTAGCTGCTGCAGAACTCGCCTCTCTGGGTTCACAATTTCTTGTCTTTTTGGCCTCTAATGATCCTCTTTACTTTCCTGTTGACTTGACATTAAAATATTATTTTAAAATATGAAAATAATAATTATGAAAAGAATTGTGTTTGGGAATTCTGCCCCAGAGAGGTTTCTGCAGACCTCTGGTCTCCTGCACGGCCCTCGCCGTGTTCCTGCAGCACTATGGGAAGCTTCACACGCCCAGGGTTTCCCTCAGCAGCGCTTTGGGACTGGGAGGCTGAGCACCACGATTCCCACTCTACAGCTTGCAAAGCTGACTGGCACATGGGGAGAAGGCGGCAGAGCCGATGTGGAAAACGAGTTGGAAGCTCTTTTCGATGAACCATGCTCACAGAAGACAGTGACAGGGGTCTTCTCTGGTCACAGGTGGAAGCCATGGGGTGGCTCTCTGGGGCGCGGGTCATAGGTGGCACAGTAGGAGTCCTTGCCTTGATGCTACATTTTCACATGAGTTAAGGAGAGCGTCGCCCTTGCCCATCCCAGTAAGGGTAAAGCGCGTGCCTGTAAACACCTCTCTGCCTTACAATGCAGGAGCAGGCGTCTTACAAGACCTTGGGAGGGAGACTGGCTGCCAGCACTGGCGGCTCTCCCAGGAAGCCCTCAGAGCCAATCCACAGCACTGCCACCCACCTGTGTGGCCCCAGGAGTCACAGGGCATGGTGGTGTCCACTCCAAGGGCCTCACTAGACTCAGGATTCTCGAACAACCCTCGCATTACAACCAAGAGGTGTGACTGCAGCCGCCTCATCCATTCCTTTCCTCTGCCATTCACTTCCCCCTCACAGAATGAAAGCGAGTTAAGGCCTAGGCCAGGTTCCACCTCTGGGTCCCATTAGTTTTCACTCAAAGTCAAGGTCTGGTGAAGAAGTGAACACACCTTCAGTCATGTTGGATGGACTGGGGAAGTTGATGGGGACAGCTCTTCATTACTTGATGTTTCTGCCCACCAAACTTATTGCGCTCCTGGGAAAATGGCGGAGGGCAATTAGGGGCCAGGGAGGATTGATTGATGCAATGGATTTGACAGGAAATTGTTTTGCTTTGCAAAATCCTATATTATGAAACAAATGGTTTTAACTAGTTTTACTCCCTTCTGTGTTAGTCACTGGTGAGCATTATCCTAGTTGATCTAGTTCTCATATAAAAGGAGTCTGAGCCGTCTATGAAAGTGTTCAGTGTTCTGACTGCAGCACACTGCCCGCTCTTTCCTTACACGTGTGTGCTCTTCTTTTCACTACTCACTGTGCCGTCTGTGCCTGCCACTCACTCTGTCCTTTCCTTCACAGGTACTGTGACTGCTTTGCCAGTGGGGACTTTTGCAACAACTGCAATTGTAATAATTGTTGCAACAACTTGCATCATGATATTGAACGGTTTAAAGCCATTAAGGTAATAAATGTCCATTAAATGTATGCATTTTAAAAGCATTTCAAACTGTTTGAGATGTTCATAAAATCACCTTCAGAGATTCCTCATTGGAAAAAACCCACAGTTTTGAAGAATTTACATTGAATACAACTTGATTCCTGCCGGTGGGGGTATTGAACCACGACAAGCGGCTGTTGTAAAAGTGGTAGGCAGAGAAAGGCCTTTTCCCTTTTATTATGTGGGAAGGCTTCAGAGATGCAGCAGTCTAGGAAGGTTCTGATTCAAGAACATGCGAATGTCCACTTTATCTTGGAGTTTAGACATTTGGGGTCATCTTACATAGCAGATAAGCATGAGCTGGAGCAGTGTAGCCGCAAAGGTGTAGACAGTCCACTGCGTGAGAAGGCTAGGGGAAAGTGATCAGGCAGCCTACATTTTCAATTGTAAAATTTAACAATTTAAATTTCACCCCTCAGCTTCCAGAAAAAGAGAAGAATCTAGGTTTTCCCAGAGACGCAAAAGGTTACTTTGATGCCCCCGATGGCCACTCTGCTGAAGGCTAAACACAGGAGCTTGCAGCTTTTATCCCTTTCTTTAGGCACAAAAGATAATCAGGGATAAAGGAGGGACAGTTAGGCTCAAGGCTGTCAACCTACTCCAGGGAGACACTTCCGGTGCCCACTCATTCACGAAGGGAAATTGAGAGCCATTGACTGTAGACCTGAGAATGTCCTGTGCAAATAGAACACAATTATAAGGGTGTGGCTGCTCTCTGCATTGTTTTCTAAAATAATTTAATTCTCCTCTTGAATTATGGATAAATGACTTGAAATATCTAACCAATTTTGATATAGCCAGAGCCATAGGACAGAAGAAAATTGTCACGCATGTAAACTTTAGTACATTTTATTTAGGGATAAAGAATACTATCTACAGTTAAAACTGTAAAAACAAAAAGGGTTGGAATTTTCATACATTGCTGATAGGCATATAAAGGGGCACAACCACTTCGGGAAACTGTTTGACAATAGCTACCAAAACTAAACCTTTGTGTATGCTATGATCCAGCCATTTCCTTCCTACAAATATAGCCAATAGAAGCAAGCGCCAATGTCCACTGGGAGATTTGTACGGGAATGTTCACAGCAGCTTCATTCAGAGTAGCCAGGCACTGGAAACAGCCCAAATGTCCATCCGTGGTAGAATGGATGAATTGATGCATTGATGAAAAGCAGGAGCTACAGCTAAGCGCAGCAGTGCGGACGGACCTCCTAGTTGTTATCTGAGGGAGGCAGCCGACACGGGAGTACAAGCTGTGGGATTCCACTTACCTGAGGCACCAGCATAGGCAAACCTAAAGCCCTCTATGTCTGAAGAGCATTCCCCGCGGGGGTGCACCGCTGAGGAGGAGTCACAAGGCAACCTGTGGGGCCGCCTGTCCTCTAACTTGACCTTGGTAGCAGGTACACAGGTGTGCACAGGTACACAGGTGTGCACACATGCACAAGATCATCATGCCACAGCTGCAGATGTGTGCCTCCACTGCCTGTCACACTTCAGTGATCCGTGAAAATGCCTAAAGCCGCGCACCGCAGGCTGGGGCTGTCCAGCAGCACATTCTGTAGCGATGGCCCTGTGCTAGGGGCCGTGCTGCTGGACAGCACCGATTCCAAATGTCAACCCCAGGAAGCGGAACGGAGGCCACAGACTTCCACTGTGACCTCTGTATTTGAATTTTTACAAAGAGCGTTGAATTGTTTTGTATGTAAAGATATGTATGTATTTGTGTGTATAGATAGATTAAAAAGGGACAACAAATAGACCTGGATAACATATCGTGTGTATTGCTTGGGAAAGGCATGGCCCAGCGGTTGAGACCTGCTTTGAAGTCAGCACAGGGACTTTGAATCAGGATCTCGCCACTTACCAGCAGTTATTTAACCTCTCGGTGCCTGGGTTTCTCCGGGTATAAAACAATCATACGTTAGTTGCTGAGGATTAAATGAGAGGGCATGTATATATAAATCCCATGGAAAGAAGCCTGGCACATGGTGTGTTGAGTTGTGATCAGGCAGTGTGAGCTGCTAGTATGGTCCACGGTCTCAACCATCTTAGGAAAGAGGGCCCCAGAAATGCTGGATGGAAATGTGTCCACACGGAAATAATGATTTTCTTTGCATCTTTACCATCTATTATTTTTTTACAGTAAATATGTAAGACTTGGAAACTCAGAAAACAAAACATGAAGAAACCTTAGCTACAATATATCTTTTTGTGTATGGAAACAAATGGAAATCAAACAAGAAGGGGCTGCACCTTCTGAACCATGTCAAGAGACTCTGTTTATTGTGGCATCTTTTACAACAATCAGATTCAAATGAGATGCCCTTCATTGAGCTGAGTTTTAAATGATAAAATCCATCCTGATGGAGCTTCCCATTCTACCCTAGGCATGTCTTGGTAGAAATCCAGAAGCTTTCCAGCCAAAAATTGGGAAGGGCCAATTGGGCAATGTCAAGCCCCAGCACAACAAAGGGTGCAACTGCAGGAGGTCAGGCTGCCTGAAGAATTACTGCGAGTGCTATGAGGTTAGTGCCCAGCTCCCTAACTCACTAACAAAAAACACAGGTAAATATGTTGAGTAACTTTTGTGGTTAAAAAAACTTTGCTGTAATTTAAAAAGATAAATATAATTATTTTTTTCTTCCAGAGTTTCTAGAAGGACACTTACATCAATCTGAATTAATTTCCCAAATACAGCTGAGCTTTGTGAACCGGGTCAATTTGCTGAGGGCTCCTTTTGGAGCATGTTGCTTCCCCTGAGCCCAGCCCTGAGTACCCAGTGAGGGTGCCCTCTGCGTGGCTTTGTCCCTCTGTGGCCACTGATCCACGCTGGTCCTCCAACAGGGTGGAAGCTCCCGGAGGGCAGCCGCGCCTCTTCCTCCCTGAGCAAAGCCCAGGTGCTCTAGGTGGGGCCGTGGGGGACAGTTTGGCCTCAAAGTCTCAGTCAGTTCCAAGTCCCTGTGGCGCTTGTCCCCAGACATCCATTCACCTGGTGCTTTGACCAAGGGTAGCTCCTCCCTGGCTCACAGCCCCATCAGAGACCAGAATGGACAGCCAGCCTAAGCCAATGGAGAGAGGCTAACAAAGCAAGCTGCAGATCACGGCCTGGACAAAAGCTTTTTCTTTTCCCAAAGATTAATGAGGACCCACTTTCCCCTTCAGTGCTGTCGCAGTTTCACCTCTCTTTGCTATTTCTCTTTTCCTTTGTGTTGAGGGAAAGGAGGAAAGAGAAAGTGAGGGAACCCTTAGGCCCTATCAGGGGAACAGCCGAGCAAACCTTCCTTACAAACCTCTGTTTTGGTTTGCTTGAGGTCTTTTGGGGGTTCCTGTGAATTATACTTTTCAAAGGCTGTCTGTCACAGAGGGTTGGGCTTGAGAACAGTCCACCTGATTCTGGAGACATGCACTGAAAGACCTGGGAAGGTGGACCCCACACTCCCCAGCTCGGATGTGGAAAACACAGTCAAAACACGACAGAGATGCACAGTTGAAATGGGACTGACATCACCCCCGAGGAACCACTTCCAATCGCACCCACAGCAGCTCCTCTGTCCTGCAAAACACCTTCACTGGCTGCCATGGAACTGTGGCTCAGCCCACTTCCCCAAGGCAGAGCCTATGCTGGGCACAGCCCACAGAATGTGCAGGCTCAGAGGAAAGGGATAGCACTGCCCTTTAGTCTCTGGCATTCGTGTAGACTAGAAACTCTATAAAGCCTCCTGCTTCAAAACACCCAGAGGTGCAGATGAAACAGAACGCATCCCCCTGAAGATGCATCTCTCAGCTGGAAAGAACAGAGGGAAATCCCCGGGGGGCTGAAGGAAAGAGAAAGCCAAAAACCATAGTGATTGGCAGTGCCAGCTCTTGGTCAGCCCCTGGGGCCCACATGAGCAAGAATTTGGCATGAGGGGGCAAGAGGGGGCTTGCTGGGTACAGATGGGACATGCCGGCCCCCTCAGCATCACATTGCCAGGAAAAGCTTGAAACAAAATCCACCCACAAGGCAGCAGGAGAGGTCTCCCCTGACAGCTCCCAGCCACAGGCCTGCTCTCAGGCAGATTTCGAATTCTACTCTCTTGTACATTCTCTGCACCCATAGAACCAGCATAATAGCCTCACATGCTGAAAGAGAACCATAAGCTAGAGTTTTATAATCAGCTAAGGCAGGCTTTCTTCAAAACAAGTCAAAGAAGCAGCCTGCTGGCTCCCGGGTAGAGAAGGGAGAGCAACACCCTCTCTCTGCTTGGGACTCACACCCATACACTCGGCCTCCACTCTGTCAGCAGCAGGACTATGGCATCTCCACAACAGCAGCACTTGATGAAAACTGCAGGTCACACACACACACACACTCTCAAACGCACACATTCAAACACACACAGTCACACACACATTCACATTCACTCACACATATACACACACATACCCAAACCCCACATACACTCATGCACACACACGCACACTCGACACACACACACCCCACACACACTCATATACACGCTCAACACACACACACTCTTACACATTCACACTCAACACACACACACCCCACACACACTCATACACACACTCACGTTCAACACACGCTCTCACCCACACATTCACACTCAACACACACAGACACACACACACTCTCTGTCATGGGCAAATATACGCGAAGAATTATTTAAGGTCCAAATAGAATTTGTCAGTTTTTGATGACTTGTGAGACAACCTAATTTTATTGAAGCATTTTATATTACCAGGCCCAAATTATGTGTTCTTCTATTTGCAAATGCATTGGTTGCAAAAATTATGAAGAAAGCCCAGAACGAAAGACACTAATGAGCATGCCAAACTACATGCAGACTGGAGGTTTGGAAGGCAGCCATTACCTGCCACCAACGAAATTTTCAGGACTTCCAAGATTCAGTCACGATAGGTAGGTACTTTGAACTAACCTCTGCTAATAGAGGGAACAGAGGTTAATTTGAGAGGAGAATTAACGACAATTTATACACTGGAAAGAATGTGTGAGCCTGCAGGGGCGGGCGTGTGTTTGGGGGCAGAGGGAAGTCGTTCCTCCCTCCATGGGCTAATCCTGGGTGGCCACTGTGTTTCCTTAGAGGCCCCGCTGCAGAAACCTGTTTTGTCCTCTTTGTCTTCTCATCCTCACTGTCTGAGTTACTCCCGTTTTGTACCAGACAAAAGAGCCCTGCTGCCAGGATCACCAGCAGGGCTAGCAGAGTTCTGACACTGCCTTTGCGTTAATATAGAGCCACAACGACCCAGCGCAGCAAAGACAGTGCGTACCTCCCTATCCTTTATCGTGGGAAGTGGCAGCAAAGAGCTGTACTTGGTCCAGATTGTTTTCCTTACTAAGCAGTTGTGGATCCGGATTAGTTGGATAATTTTGCATTTATCAGTTTTGAAGCCACATTGTAATCCTAGTAGTTCTCAAAGTTGAGTCATAGTTTTACTATCTATTAGATTCCATTCATTTGTTTAAAAAAAACTTCGAGTTCAATGTAATGGTCATATCATGATAAACTACCAGATGTCATTAATTAATATTTTGCAAAGCCAAATTCATGCTTATTTGGTTAGAGAGATATCAGAAATACTCATGATTGTGACCTACAGGGGTCTTTTTTTTGAGACCAGGGCTTTCACTCAGTTGCTCAGGCTGGAGTGCAGTGGTGCGATCACAGCTCACGCAGCCTCAACCTCCCCAGGTTCAGGTGATCCTCCCACCTCAGCCTCCTGAGTAGCTGGGACTACAGGCACGCACCACCACATCCGGCTGATTTTTCTACTTTTTGTAGAGATGGGGTCTCGCCATATTGGTCTCGAACTCCTGAACTGTGATTCATCCACCTCTGAGTCCCAAACTGCTGAGATTACAGGCGTAAGCCACCGCACCCAGCTGACCCACAGAGGTCTTTATCAGTAAAAATTTACCAAAACCTGGCTGCATTGTCTGTGAAGTGATGTGTGAAAATGTCATCGCCTGCAGCAGGATGTGTGTTCTGTGGAGTCCGGTGGGGGCCTGTACATTGGAGCCTCGTCTTGCAGTGTTAGCAGCCCTTCTTTTCCCAAGGGCAGCCCTATCTTTTCTTCTTCAACCAAAGTCATCGTGTATTGTCTTTATAGAGAGACTTTAATCCAACATTTTGCTTTATTTTTATAATCCAACACTTTTTAATGTTTTATAAAGCTTTCCTGAAAATTTTTCGACTTAGCGCCACCTGGGTTGCTATCTAGCTAAGCCACAGTTGCCCCCTGAGCTCAGTGGGGAGAATAGCTGGCGCTATGTGATGCGGTTCAACTTGTCTTCCAGAACCTCTTTCACAGCTCCAAGCGGCATTGATGGGGAAGGCTGTCCTGACAGCAGGACCCCAAGGTTTGACAGGCGAGTCCTCAGAACCTTGGCCTTCTCTGGCTGCACGTGGGCCTGCGGGGAGGACAGGCAGACACCCAGCGTGGACAGGACTCAGAGCAAAGCTGCTCGGCTTGTCCCCGTGCCCTGCCTCAGCCAAGAGTCCTGCTTCTGCAATTTCCTGCCTGGCCCACGTGCTTGACACTGTAGCCCGGGATCCTCTGGGTTCGTCAGTGAATCTAATTTTGAGGAAATTTCAAACCCGCCATGAGAGGCATGTCAAAAACGGACAGATTTACTTGTCCTCTGTGTTATTCTTCTAAAACCAGTTAATCCTTTCTTTCTTTTCTTTTCTTTCTTTTTTTTTTTTTTTAAGACAGGGTCTCCGCCGGGTGTGGTGGCTCACGCCTGTAATCCTAACACTTTGAGAGGCCGAGGAGGGCAGATCATGAGGTCAGGAGATCGAGACCATCCTGGCCAACATGGCAAAACCCTGTCTCTACTAAAAATACAAAAATTAGCCAGGTGTGGTGGTGCATGCCTGTGATCCCAGCTACTCAGGAGGCTGAGGCAGGAGAATCACTTGAACCAGGGAGTTGGAGGTTGCAGTGAGCCGAGATCGTGCCATTGCACTCCAGCCTGGCAACAGAGCAGGACTCAGTATCAAAAAAAAAAAAAGGGTCTCACTTTGTTGCCCAGGCTGGTCTCAAACTCCTGGCTTCAGACCATCCTCCTGCCTTGGCCTCCCAAGGTGCTGGGATTACAGACCACTGTGCCCAGCCTAATAGTTTCCAGTATGAGGAAGACAACGTTAGATTTTAGTGGATGATGTTCTTTAAAATAGCATGGACAAGCAATGTTCTGTTGAATATAAATAGTACTGTAGGTAGAAATGGTGCACTGTTGAGCGGCCTTTAACTGCTCTGTTTCTGACAGGCGGCCTTCCTCATGCATCTCCTGGGAGGTGGTGGAGGCCACATGCGCCTGCCTGCTTGCTCAGGGAGAAGAGGCCGAGAAAGAACACTGCTCCAAGTGCCTGGCAGAGCAGATGATCCTGGAGGAATTTGGAAGGTGCTTATCACAGATTCTCCACACTGAGTTTAAATCTAAGGGATTGAAAATGGAGTAGAGTATAAAGTGTGAATGCATGTTGATTTTGTCTTAGTCTAGAAATCTCTAGTTTAGAAAGGATGTTTAGGGGAACATGAGGCTGGCTCTGCAGCAACAACCAGGCTCCCCTGCATCCCTGGGCCCAGGGAGTTTACTCAGAGCTCTCTGAAGATGTGGCAACCCATGCCCCCTTTTCTGAGGAGGTGCATGGCCTGAGCATTGTTTGTCTGGCCCAGAGGAGAGAGCTTGGGTTCCCATAGTCCTGGGAGAGTGTCTGCAGGGCGGCGGAGGGCAGAGCAGGGCAGGGGAGGGCACAGCAGGCCCTGCGAAGGGCAGAGCGGGGCAGGGGAGGGCAGAGCAGGCCCTGCGGAGAGCTCACTCTGGTCGACTCTTCCTCTCAGAGAATGTTGCTCTGGAGGCTGCTCTGCATGAAAACCCTAATGGTTTCTTGTTTGTTTTTCAAATTATTTAGAAATAAGTTCTCCGGATGGGCTGTTGTGATACCACTTAAAATCTCTAGAGAACTACTGAACACCTAAAGATTTTCTGTAGCGTAGATATTTCCCCAGAGGCACGCGAACTGTCAGTCTTTCCTAAGGCCCCCGGGAGACGCAGGCAATGGGGCCTCGCAGGCCAGGCTTGCACCAGCATGTCTTGAGTTAGAGGACTTAAAATTATCCAGTTTCTTCTGTGTTTCTACTTGAATTGTGGAAAAGCTCTATTATCCAATTAACTTCTCCATAATTATTGTTGTAATATTATTATTGTTTGTAAAACATGGTTCACATAACTAGCTTGTGGAAACCAGCAGGTAAAATGAATTCTTAAGTTGACGCTTTTGGTTCTGTTGTAAAGCAAAGATGAATAAAAATTTCCAATGTCTTCAATTGTTGTCATTAACTTAGTAACTGAAAATGTGTTCATCTGATGAGTACCCACCCTGAAATGTATTGAGAGAATATTCTTTCATGTTTCTGCATTCATTACTAGTGTTGGCCACTTAGAGGGTGTTCAGGAAACTCAAGTACAAATGCAGCAGAGACAGAAGTGTGGCTGCCGGGCCCAGGCACTGGGCACATAAGTGAGCAAGCAACCAGGGAGGAAGCTGTCTTTTGTGGAGCTGTCTGGAACAGTCTAGTTGCAAACACAGCCACAGGAAGCCACAGAGGAGAAAAGGAAGACTGAATTCTTCCCCTTTGCAATTCCCTTTGGACCCCTGGGATCCAGAGTCTGTGGCAGAAAACCAGAGGTAAAGACATGCATTGTGAGACGTGGAACCCTCAGCCAGCCGTACACCCCACTTGCTGTGTGTGCTTTCAGTCCTGTCAGCATCGCGGCGAACAGGGAGGCGCACTGCTGGGGGAGCCACCTGGCCTCCTTCACCCTTGGGAGCTGGAAGGTGACCTGGAAATGGGGACTTTGGGAGCTGCCTCTGGGGGGGCTGCCTCCATCCTGCTGTCCCTCTCGGCAACACTGCCAACAGCAAGATCTGCCAGCCACATGAGTACTGTTAAAGTTTCTAGTAGCTACATGTAAAACTTTGAAAAGGAGCAGGTAAAATTAGTTTTAATAATCTTTTATTTATCCCAATGTATCCAAAATACTATCGTTTCAATGTGTAATCAGAATGAAAATGATTGAGATTTCACATTCCTTTATGTGTACCCAATATTTGAAATGCAGGGTGTCTTGTACTCACAGCAGGTCTCAGTTGGCACCAGCCACACCTTAAGGGTTCGGGCGCCTCAGCACAGCCCTGGGGCACCGAGTGGAGGGAGGAAAAGGGAACAATGTCCTCCAGCATTCTCCTGAGGCAACGGCTGCCTAGGGAGATCCTGAACCAGGTGTGGCCCACCCGCGGAGCCCAGAGGAAGTGTGAGCAGGGAACTCAGTGTGGGGCTGGGGATACAGGCCCCCCACTTTGCACAGGAGCCTGCGCTGGCCAAGGATGCTCTGACTGTGGCCAGGTGTACTGAGCTAACGCCTGGAGGTGAGGGAAGAGCCAACCTGGGCAGGCACGAGCCCTGCAGGGTCTTCCGGCAGAGAAGAATTCACTGAGTAGGTGCCACTTGCAGGGAATCCCGTCTGAGAAGTGAAAGCCGAGATACAGACGTGCATAAAGCCACTATGCTGACCAGAGACAGTACAGAAGATGACTACAAAGCTAGAAAATCCCATCTCTTATGTGTTTGGCGGAGAGCCAGTGCTATTTTAAAACGATATACAAATTAACATATCATGTTCTTATTTGAGAGTGTAGCTGTGCAAATTTAACCATATCTTTTTTTTTTTTTTTTTTTTTTTGAGACGGAGTCTCACTCTGTTGCCCAGGCTGAAGTGCAATGGCGCGATCTCGGCTCACTGCAACCTCCGCCTTCTGGGTTCAAGTGATTCTCCTGCCTCAGCCTCCTGAGTAGCTGAGATTACAGGCGCGCACCACCACGCCCGGCTAATTTTTGTATTTTTAGTAGAGGTGGGGTTTCACCATGTTGGCCAGGCTGGTCTTGAACTCCTGATCTCAGGTGATCCGCCCCCCTGGGCCTCCCAAAGAGCTGGGATTACAGGCGTGAGCCACCGCGCCCAGCCTTAACCATATCTTTCTACTCTGTACCTACTAAATAACTCGGACCACCTTTGTGATTAAGGTTAGATTATCTGTTGGTTTTGGGTTTTTGTTTTGTTTATCCGAAAGAAAAAAAAACCTTGTTTTTTCATAGACACGGAGAAGAAATCATTGTTTAGAATGACACGCGCTGAAATCGCTCTTTCCTGTCAGTGAACACAGGCTGCGCACTGCACAGAAAGTCTGGCGGCCAGGGAGCATCCTTAGGAGAGAAGGTGCTGTTGGCGGCGGAAGGTCAGCAGAAGGCTTGGTGTATTTTTCATCTCGGCTTGGATGCTCCTATCCCTTTACAAACCTCTCACCAGTACCTGAAGTTCTGCCAGCACTGGTCCCCTTTCAGTGTGGGCGCGGTTTCAAACCATAATAAACAAGTTATCGTAAGGAGTCAGTTAAAATACTGTCTTAGGGAATTCAAAGGTTGAACCCTCATCCAAGATAAAATGATCAGAGCAGCCAGAGGATCCAGAGAGCAGGAGGGGGCGCAGAAGACGAAGCAGGGAGGAGGCCTCCCGTTCTGCAGGCGGCGCGCTCTTTAGGAAGGCACCGGGCACAGCTTTGTGCATGGGGCCGGCTGTGCGGTCTCCGTGCTGCACTCTCTCCCCAGGAGTCCTTAGCCTCAGAGGAGGGAGGAAGCACGACAGGAGGGATCACCGTGAGGCATCTTCCCCCAGCCCTGCCTCCATCCTGCTCCCAACCCCCGGCCCCCGGCAGAGACTGGAGAGCCACAGGGAGCACTGCCCGGCCCCAGCCACCGATAAAACTGGAATTGAAGACTGTCATTGCATGGATGTTCTCTTCATATATTTAAAAATGACTATCAGGAAAAAGTTTGAGCCTCCTAAAAATGGTAGCTGGTTTGTTTTTCAACAACAAACTTTAATAAAAACTTTAATGTTTGATATTTTAAATTTTGCCTTGACTTTCAGGAAATTCAAAAGTAAATCTATTCAATACCAGAAATCACATTAGCCCAGGTTTAGGATTAACTGTCCCTCTCTTTTTTCCATAAAGCTTTACTTTTTTAAACATGCTTTTTATTTGTACTATTACATACATCTTTTACTGTAAACCATTTCATATGTTTGTTGGAAATAGATGGACTATAGAAACATTATTACCGAATTATGAAGACAGAGTCTGCAGTGACAACCTTTTTAATGATGATTCCCTAGAAATATATATATTTTAATAGAGGCAGAGTCTCACTCTGTTGCCTATGCTGTAGTGCTGTGGTGCGATCATAGCTCACTGCAGCCTCAAACTCCTGGCTTCAAGCAATGCTCCCAGGTAGCTAGAACTACAGGCTCACACCATCATACTCAGCTAAGTTTCTGTATTTTTATTTTTTGTAGAGACAGGGTCTTGCTATATTGCCCAGGCCTCAAACTCCTAGCCTCAAATGATCTTCCCTCCTTGACCTCCTGAAGCACTGAGATTACAGGTGTGAGCCACCATGCTGGGTCTCTATTTATTTATTTTTTTTACTAGAGTATTTTTTAGGGTAGTTTTAGGTTCACAGCAAAACTGAGCAGAAAGTGCAGAGATTTCCCATATAATCCATGCCCCCCAACACCGCAGCCTCCCCACTACCAACATTCCTCACCAGAGCCGTCCTTTTGTTACAACTGATGAACCTACAGTGATACACCATCATCCAAAGTGATACACCACAAACCCAAAGCCCATGCTGACGTTAGGATTCCCTCTCGTTATTCCACATGCTATGGGTTTTGACAAATGTACAATGGCACATATCCAGGGTTACAGCACACAGAACAGTCTCACTGCCCTAAACCACCCCTGTGCTCTGCCTGTTCATCCTTCCCTCCCCACAACTCCTGGCAATCACTGATATTTTCACTCTCTCCACAGTTTTACCTTTCCCAGAATGTCACTTAAGTGGGATCATACAGTAGGTCGCCTCTTCAGACTAGCTTCTTTCACTTAGTAATATGCATTTATGTCCTTCATATCTTTTCATGGCTTGATAGCTCATCTCCTTTTAGCACTGAATAATATTCCATTGTCTGGATATACCACTGTTCATCCCTTCCCCTCCTGAAGAACATCTGAGTTGCTTCCAAGTTTGGGCAACTCGGAATAAAGCTGCTGTAAATATCTGTATGTAGGTTTCTGTGTGGATGCAAGTTTTTAATGCCTTTGGGTAAACATCAATGGATTTACCCAATGATTCTGGATCATGTAATAAGAATATATTTAGTTTTGCATGAAACCACTATCTTCTTCCAAAGAAGCTGTTTCATTGAGTATTCCCACCAGCAGTGAATGAGAGTTTCTGTGGCTCCGCCTCCTCACCAACACATAGCGTTGTCAGTGTTTGGGATTTTGCCGGTTCTAATAGGTGTGTACTGGTATCTCATTGCCATTTTAATTTGCAGTTCCCCAGTGACATATGATGTTGAGCATATGTCCATATGCATACTTGCCAACTGCATATCTTCTTTGGTGAGATGTCAGTTGAGGTCTTTTGCTCATTGTTTAATTGGGTTGTTTCTTTTCTTATTGTTGGGTTTTAAGAATTCTTTGTATATTTTGGATAACAGTCCTTTATTAGATACGTCCTTTGCAAATATTTTCTCCCAGTCTGTGGCTTGTCTCCTCACTCTCCTGACAGTGTATTTTGCAGAACGGAAGTTTTTAATAAAGTCCAGCTCATCAATTTTTTTTTTCGTGGATCATGCCTTTGGCATAGTGTCTAAAAAATCATTGCCATATCCAGACCATCCATACTTTCTCCTGTGTTATCTTCTAGGGATTTTATTTTATTTTATTTTATTTTTGAGATGGAGTCTCTCTCTGTCCCCCAGGATGGAGTGCAGTGGGGCAATCTCAGCTCACTGCAACCTCCGCCTCCTGAGTTCAAGTGAGGCGACCCTCCTGCCTCAGCCTCCTGAGTAGCTGGGATTACAGGCGCCTGCTACCACACCTGGCTAAGTTTTGTATTTTTAGTAGAGACGGGGTTTCACCATGTTGGCCAGGCTGGTCTCGAACTCCTGACCTCAAGCAATCCTCCCACCTTGGCCTCCCAAAGTGCTAGGATTACACGTGTGAGTCACTGCACCTGGCCAATCTTCTAGGAATTTTATAGTTTACAACTTACATTTAGGTCTATGATCTATTTTGAATGAATTTTTGTGAGAGGGATAAGAGGCTTTATCTAGTCTTTTTTTGCATATGAATGTTCAGTTGTTTTGGCACCTTCTGTCAGAAAGGCTGTCTTTTCTCCATGGTATTGCTTTTGTTCCTTTGTCAGATATCAGTTGGCTCTATTTGTATGAGTCTGGGCCCTCTATTCTGTTCCATTGATCTATTTTTCTATTCTTTTACTAACACCACACCATCTTGATTACTGTAGCTTTATAGTAGCCTTCCAACTTTGTTCTTTTCTTTCCATTTTTTTTTTTTTGGCTATTCTGGGTCTTTAGGCTCTCCACATAAACTTTAGAATCAGGTTTTTTGTTTGTTTGTTTGTTTGTTTGTTGTTTTTGAGACAAGATCTCACTATGTTGTCCAAGTTGGAGTGCAGTGGCATGTGATCATAGCTCATTGCAGCATTGACCTCCCAGACTCAACTGATCCTCCTGCCTCAGCCTCCTGAGCAGCTGGGACCACAGGTGTACATCACCATGCCTGGCTAATTTTTTTTATTATTTATAGAGACAAGGTCTCACTATGTTGCCCAGGGTGGTCTCAAACTCCTGGGCTCAAGCGATCCTCCTGCCTTGGCCTCACAGAGTGCTGGGATTATAGGCATGAGCCACCATGCCTGGCCCAGGAATCAGTTTTTTGCTATCCACAAAATAACTTGCCAGAATTGTTATTGGAATTGTGTTGAATTTATACATCAGATTTGGAAGAACTAATATTTGACAATATTGAGTCTTCCTATCCACAAGCATGGAATATTTCTCCATTTATTTAGCTCTGTATTTATTTCTTTCATCAGAGTTATATAGTTTTCCTCATATAGGTTTTGGTAAATGCATGCCTAAGTATTACATTTTTGGGAGGTGCTAACGTAAGTGGTATTGCATTTTTAATTTCAAATTTTACTTGTTCATTGCTGGTATATAGGAAAGCTATTGACTTTTGTTTATTAACCTTGTATCCTGCAACTTTGCTATAATTGCTTATTAATTCCAGGACATTTGTTGTTGTTGTTGATGATACTTTTAGAGTTCTACATAGATGATCATGACGTCTGCAAACAAAGCTTTATTTATTCCTTCCCAATCTGTAAACTTCGTATATCCTTTTCTTATCTTATTGCATTAACTAGGCATTCCAGTACAATGTTTAAAAGAGTGATGAGAGGGGACATCTTTGGCTTCTTTTCTCACTATTAATTATGATATTAGCTGTAGGTTTTCAGTAGGTGTTCTTTACCATGTTGACAAAATTCGCCTCTATTTCTAGTTCTTATTAGGAATGGGTGTTAGACTTTGTAAAATGCTATTTCTGTGTGCATTGATATAATTAATGGATCTTTCTTCTTTAGCTTGTTGATTTGATTAATTACATCAATTGATTTTTGAATGTTAAACCAGCTTTGCATACCTGTGATAAATTCCACTTACTCATGGCATATAATTTTCTTTACACATTGTTGGATTTAACTTGCTAGTATTTTGTTGAGGATTTTTGCTTGTATGTTCATGAGAGATATTGGTCTATAGTTTTCTTTTAATGTCTTTGTCTGGTTTGGGTATTAGAGTTATGCTGGCCTCATAGAATGAGTCAGGAAATATTCCCTTCAGTTCTATCTTCTGGAAGAGATTATAGAGAATTTAAAACAATTTATTTCCTAAATGTTTGCTAGAATTCAACAATGAACACATCAGGGCTTCCAAAAATATTTTAACTTGTTTCTTTAAAAATTAAAGTTTTCCTTTTGCGATAACTATAGATTCACATGCAGTTTTTGTTTGTTTGTTTGTTTGTTTGTTTGTTTGTTTGTTTTTGTGACTGAGTCTCACTCTTTCACCCAGGCTGGAGTGCAGTGGCACTATCTCGGCTCACTGCAAGCTCCGCCTCCCGGGTTCACACCTTTCTCCTGCCTCAGCCTCCAGAGTAGCTGGGACTACAGGCGCCCGCCACCAAACCCGGCTAAATTTTTATATTTTTAGTAGAGACGGGGTTTCACTGTGTTAGCCAGGATGGTCTCCATCTCCCAACCTCGTGATCCGCCTGCCTCAGCCTCCCAAAGTGCTGGGATTACAGGTGTGAGACACCGCACCCAGCCCACATGCAGTTTTAAGAAATAATAGAGAGAGACCGGGAACAGTGGCTCACGCCTGTAATCCCAACACTTTGGGAGGCCGAGGCTGGTGGATCACGAGATCAGATCGAGACCATTCTGGCTAACACGGTGAAACTCTGTCTCTACTGAAAATACAAAAACAAAATTAGCCGGGCGTGGTGGCGGGTGCCTGTAGTCCCAGCTACTGGGGAGGCTGAGGCAGGAGAATGGTGTGAACCCGGGAGGCAGAGCTTGCAGTGAGCTGAGATCGTACCACTGCACTCCAGCCTCGGCGTCAGAGTGAGACTCCATCTCAAAAAAAAAAGAAGAAGAAGAAAGAAAGAAGGAAGGAAGGAAGGAAAGAAGGAAGGAAGGAAGAAAGAAAGAAGAAATGATACAGAGAAATGCAATGTACCCTTTATCCAGTTTTCCTAATGATAATAACATCTTACAAATCTATAGGACAATATCACAACCAGGATAGCGACATTGATACTGTCAAGAGACAGAACATTTCTGTCACCTCAAAGGTCTCTCAAGTTCAAGTTGCCCGCACACGTTTTCCTACCATCCCCATCACCTCCCTAGCCCCTGGTAACCACTAATCTCTTCTCCATTTCTGTAATATTGTCATCTCAAGAATGTTGGATACATGGAATTATATAGTATGTAACTTTTGGGAACTTTTTTTTTAAAGACAGAGTCTTGCTGTCTCGCCCAGGCTGAAGTACAGTTGTGTGATCATAGCTCACTGTAACCTTGAACTCCAGGGCTGAAGAGATCCTCCTCTGCCTTAGCCTCCCAAGTAGCTAAGACTACAGGCACTGCACCACCATGCTTGGCTAATTATTTTTATGTTTTATTTTTTGTAGAGACAAGGTCTTGCTACATTGTCCGGGCTGGTCTTGAACTCCTGGCCTCAAGAAATCCTCCCACCTCAGCTTCTCAAAGTGCTGAGATTACAGGCATGAACCACCACTCTCAGCCTGTTTTTTGTTTTTTCCCTTTTTTCCATTCAGCATAATTCTCTGGAGACTCATCCAAGTTGCTATGTGTTTCAACAACTCATTTCTGGCTGGGTGTGGCAGCTCACACCTGTAATCCCATGGCTTCAAGGGGCCAAGTCAGGAGCCTGGGCAACTGAGTAAGACCTTTTCTCTAAAAAAATAAAAAATAAAAATAAAATAAATAAACAAAAAACCACACAATTTATTCTTTTTTATTGCTGAGTAGTAGTCCATGGCGTAGATGTACCACAGTTTAACCATTTACCCATTGAAGGACATATGGGTGGTTTCTAGTTTGGGGCTATGATGAATAAAGTTACTATGAACATTTGTGTACAGGCTTACGTGTAAAGCTAAGTCTTCATTCTTTGTAATAAATACCCAGGAGTGCAATTGGTGGGTTGTGTGGTAGTTGCATATTTATTTTTATTTTTAAAATTTAATTGTTTTGAAATTTGTGTGGGTGCATAGTGGGTATATATATTTACGGGGTCCTTGAGATGTTTGGATACAGGCATGCAGTGTGAAATCAGCACGTCCTGGGTTATGGGGTATCCATCCTGCAAACATTCTTTGAGTTACAAAAAATCCAGTTACACTTGTTAACTCATTTTTAAATGTACAATTAGGTTATTATCATCTATAGTCACCTTACTGTGCTATCAAATAGTAGGTCTTATTCATTCTTTCTATTTTTGGTACCCATTAACCAAGTTGTATATTTAGTTTTTAAAGAAACTGCCAAAATGTTTTCCAAACGCACTGTACCATTTTGCATTTCCACAAGCGGTACGTGAGCAACACATTTTCTCTGCATTTTTGCCAGCATTTAATGCTGTCACTGTTTTTTCTTTTAGTCATTCCGATAGGTGGTTAGCAACACCTCATTGTGGATTTAATGTGCATTTCCCTAATGACCAATGATGTTAACATGATTTCATGTGCTTATTTTCCATGTATATCTCCTCTTTGGTGAAATATCTGTTTATGCATTTGCCCATTTTTAATTTGACTTATTTTTCTTTTTTTTTTTCTCTTTACGGTTGAATTTTCAGAGTTGTTTTTTTGTTTTGTTTTGTTTGTTTGTTTTTTTTGAGACAGAGTCTTGCTCTGTTGCCCAGACTGGAGTGTAGTGATGCGATCTCGACTCACTGCAACCTCCACCTCCTGGGTTCAAGCAATTGTCCTGCCTCAGCCTCCGGAGCAGCTGGCATTACAGGTGCCCACGACCACACCTGGCTAATTTTTGTATTTTTATTGGAGAAGTCTAATATATCTTTATATATAACTTTCATGGATCATGCTTTTGGTGTCAAGTCTGAGAACTCTTTATTTGCCATAGATCCTAAGGATTTTCTAAAAGTTTATAGTTTTACATTTTGCATTTAAATCTATCATCCATTTTGAGTTAATTTTAAGAATAAGGTGTGAAGCCAGGTGCAGTGTTGCATGGCTATAGTTCCAGCTACTCAGGAGGCTGAGGCAGAAGGATTCCTTGAGCCTAGGGGTTTGAGTCCAGCCTGGGGTTTGAGTCCAGCCTGGGCAACATAGTGAGATCCCATCTCTAAAATTAAAAAAACAATGTATGAGGTTTAGGTCACAATTCTTCTTCAACTTTGATTTTATTTTTTGCCTATAGATACTCAATTGCTTCAGCACCATTTGTTGAAAAGGCTATCCTTTCTTCATTGATTTCTTTCACGCCATTGTCAAAAACCGATGGATGTATTTGGGTGGGTTTATTTCTGGATTCTCTGTTCTGTTGATCTATGTATCTATACACACAGTCTTGATTACTGTAGCTTTTAACTCAGGTAGACTCTTCATTATTTTTCTTTTGCAAAACGTTGCTTTAGCTGTTCTACTTTCTTTGCCTCTCCATATAAATTTTAGAATAAGCTGGCCAGGTGCGGTGACTCATGCCTGTAATGCAGCACTTTGGGAGGCCAAGTCGGGCAGATCATGAGGTCAGGAGATCAAGACCATCCTGGTTAACACGGTGAAACCCTGTCTCTACTAAAACCACAAAAAATTAGCCAGGCGTGGTGGTGGGCGCCTGTGGTCCCAGCTGCTCAGGAGGCTGAGGCAGGAGAATGGCATGAACCCAGGAGGCCGAGCTTGCAGTGAGCCGAGATTGCACCACTGCACTCCAGCCTGGGAGACAGAGCGAGACTCTGTCTCAAAAAAAAAAAAAATTTTAGAATAAGCTTATCTATTTCTTCAAAAAATCTTGCTGGGATTTGATAGGAATTGTGTTAAACTTGTATATGAACTTGGAGAAAACTGACATATTTACTGTGTTGAGTCTTTCAATCCATGAACATGAACATGAACATGGTATGTCTCTACATTTATTTAAAACTCCTTTGGTTTCTTTCATCAGTGTTGTATAGTTTTTAGTATATAATGATAACATGTTTTATTATATTTACATATTTACACATACTTTTTTTTTTTTTTTTTGAGATAGTGTTGCTCTGTTGCCCAGGCTGGAGTACAATGGTGAGATCTGTAATCCCAGCTACCCATTAGGCTGAGTCAGGAGAGTTACTTGAACCTCAGTGGTGGAGGTTGCAGGAAGCCAAGATCACACCAGTGCACTCCAGCCTGGGCAGCAGAGCAAGACTCTGTCTCAAAACAAAAAACACACAAACAAACAAAACCAAGTTCACAGGTTCTTTCCTCTGCCCTCTACATTCTGCTATTTAGTCCATCCACTGGAATTTCTATTTCAATTATTGTATTTTTTAGTTCTAAAAGTTCCATTTGGTTCTTCTTTCCAATTTCTGTTTCTTTGCTGAAACTTTGTATTTTTACTGTTTAAAGTATGTTTGAAATAGTTTGTTGAAGCATTTCTTTTTTATGATGTCTGCTTTAAAATCTTTGTCAGATAACTCTAATACTCACTATGTCAGTGTTGACATCTATTGATGGTCTTTTATCAGTTTGAGATCTTCTGGATTCTTGGTATGATAAGTGATCTTTGAAACCTGGACTCTTAGGGTGCTATGGTATGAAACTCTGGATTTTATTTGAACCTTCTCTTTTAGCTGGCTTGTTCTGATATTGCCCTGGAGGGGAAAGGCTGGGGGTGCCACCTCATTACTGCCAGGTGGGGACAGAAGTCCAGGCTTCCCACTCAGTCTCCACTGACACCTGGGCATGGGTGGGCTGCTCCTCATTATGGCTGGGCAGGAGTGGGAGTTCCAGCTCCCCACTAATACCTCCCTTGCTGGGAGGGGTAGGAGCGCTTTCTTACTGCACCCCTCTGCATGGTCTCTGCTAACACCACAGGAGAAGGGGGTGGCCTTGTCACACTGGGAGGCGGTAAAAGTGCTGATTCTCCACTAACCTTCCTCTGACACCACCCCAATGCATGGAGAGAAGTATGCCTATTACTGTGTGGGAGGAGGGACACAGAATCCAGGCTCCCAGGTGGTCTCTGCTGACACTGTATAGGGGGTCTTGTTACTGCCAGGGATGGGGTGGTTGTGGGGGATGAAGTCCTGGTTCTTTACTTGGCACCCTACAACTTTCCCCTGGTTGGGGTTTGGGCCACCTTGTCACAGCCTTATGAGTAAGTCTAGGCTCCCCACCTAGCCTTGGCTGGCCTGGTGAAGCCACAGTGTTTGCTGGGGTGTTTGTCTGGAGTAGAGTGGTCATTATCTACAATTCTCTGTCTTACCAGGCTTCCCTTTCCTGGTCCTTTATCTAGAGAGGGCAGCTTTTGTTGGGGCCTTCGTGGTCTGTGCCTGTTGGCATTTCTAGGATGCTGGCTCCTTCAGCCCAAGTCTAAGATATGTGAGGCAAAAAGAAAACCCAGGGAACTCACCACGGGCTGAAGTTCCTAGCTGGTCTGCCTATTGCTTGGGCTTTCAGAGTCTTCTTATGTTTGCTTTATATATGATGTTCAGGATTTTTAATTGTACTTAGCAAAAGGACAAAGGAAAATTCTACCTCTACTCCATCTCCTGGAAGCAGAAATCACTGGATCTTTTTTTTTTTAAAGTTATATCAGAGACTGTCAAGCTTTCTGGTTTCTAGAGCCTTCTTAGTTTTTATCATGATAACACAGGATAAAATCTTGTAAACCAAAAAGTATCAAGACAGATCTCAATCAAGGTAGAGGTTTATTTTGCCAAGTTAAGGACCATGGCTCGTGACACAGCCTCAGGAGGTCCTAAGAATATATACCCAAGGTGGTTGAGTTACAGCTTGGTTTTATACGTTCTATGGAGACAGAAGTTACAGGCAAAGACATAAATCAATACATGTAAGGTATACATTGGTTTGGCCCAGAAAGGTGGAACATCTCAATGAGTGGGGTAGGGTGGGTGCTTGTAGGTTATAGGTGGATTCAAAGGTTTCCTGATTGGCAATTGGTTGAAAGAGTTAAGCCCTTCTGAAGAGTTGAAGTTAACTTGAATTAAGGGAAGGTAGATGGAGGTGGGAGGGGGTGGTTGTGGAAGGCAAGGTTCTTGTTATGTAGATGAAGCCTCCAGGTAGCAGGCTCCAGAGAGAATAGACATTCAGGTGAATGTCTCTTACCAGACCTTAGAAAGGTGTCAGACTAGGAAGGAGATTCTCTATAGAACGCAAATTTCCCCCACAAGAGTCAGCTTTGCAGGGCCATTTCAGAATATGTCAAAGAAATATATGTGGGGCTAAAATACTTTCATTTCCTTCAGGGCTTGTTATTTGTCATGTGATGCTATACCAGAGTCAGGCTGGAATTTGGTATCTTATTGCTAAAAAGAGGCTGATTTGTCAGTCTCAAGATCTCTGTTGTAATGTGAATGCTGGTCCCTGGTCAGCTGTGTCTAAACTCCATGGGGAAGAGGCATAATGAGCATGTCTGGCCCCTCCCTTCCCGTCATGACCTAATTTTTGAGGCTTCTTTGGGGTCTCCTTGGCCAAGAGAGGGATCCATTCAGTTGGTTAGGCGGCTTAGAATTTTATTGGAGGCTTACAATCCTGACTCCAAAATGTACAAGAATCCCCTTTTTTTTTGCATTGAAATAAAAGTTTCCTGGGCCCTATGTTAGAAAATGATCAGCTGTAAATTCTTTACATCTTTGGCGTTAGGGTTTCCTTATCCCTGTAAGACTCTCTCTTCCCTCCTGTTTTCTTTTTTAATTAAAAAAAAATTTTAATTACTTCTTTTTATACGGACAGGGTCTCACCATGTTGCCCAGGCTGGTCTCCCAAAGTGCTGGGATTACAGGCATGAGACACCACACCCCGCGTCTCTTTCTTCCTCTTAAACAAAGCACTTTTCCTCCTTCCTCCAGGGACCTCCTGAGCCCAGGCCTCTTCCTCAGACTGGCCCACTGCTCACCCACCTCCACCATGCCAGGCGCCCTCAGGCAGCATCACCCTGGCGTCTGCTCTGCTCCTGGTTAGATAGAGCAAGTAGGAGGTGGACGGGCTTTCATGCTGATCAGCTTTTATGATGGAGACAGCCACCTCCTCCAAGGTGCACAACCTCAACACTCTCCACCTCTCCATTAGGCATCTTGGTGTTTCTCAGGCCTGTCCGTAAATTCTTCGCTTCCCGAGGTGGCTGGAGAACACCTTCCCTTGAAAAGACTGCTGTTGTTAGCAACAGATTGATCCAGGATGGCTGCGGCCAGCTCCAACCACGTTCTCTCTGGGAAGTAAAGACATCACCTCTGTAGCCTTGTCCATCACAGCAAATGGCACCACAGCCGCTCCTGGCCCCTCACTTCCTTTCCCTCACCTTCTGGCTGCCACCTGCCACACTCCGTTTATACCTAAAAGGAAGGCAAGGTTTAGACAAGGAGGTAGATGATGCCACAGGGGGAGAGTCCGACACCTTTGTGCTGCTGACCCTGGGGCCCGCACCCCTGCACAGAAGTCCCACACCTGCACGGAGGCTGCACACCTGCATGGAGGCCGCACCCCTGCACAGAGGCCGCACACCTGCATGGAGGCTGGGCTCCTTGGCCCTTTTTGAACACTGCTCAGGAGGCTCGTGCGAGCCATGTGCAGTGCGGAGAGCCCAGCACTCAGCACAGCGTCATTAATCTCGGGTCCTTCAGGTACTTCTTTCTCATGGTGTAGTGAGGAGAGACACATCTGCAAACAATCAGAGTGACAGGCATGCTGATTAGGGTGGCACCGCACATGCTGGGGCGGAGGAACGGGAAGGGCACTCTGGATAAGGTGACCCTGGAGCGGAATCCTGTGGGCTGCTTAGGAGTTCCCCAGGCCTTGGGAGGGACACATGCAAAGGCCTTAGGTCAGCGAGGCAGGGCCGCAGTTGTGGGGTCTGCAGGACTGAGTGCAGGAGGCTGGGGGGCGGGCTGAGGCAGAGGTGGTGTCCATGGCCACTGGATCTGGGGGCAAAGGCTACAGGAAGACCAGACAGGACAGGCTGCACACCGTGGGGCTGGAGCCCAGTGGCCGAGGTGTGGTCCCCAGACACACCCACTCATCTGCCTCCTCCATGCCAGGAGCTCCCTAGGCCTTGGGAGGGACATGTGCACAGGCCTCCAGTGAGCAGCAGCAGCGGCAGGAAAGCTTGCTGGGGGCCCAGCTCCACCAGCTCCAGCCCACCCAGCCCTCTTGGCTCCAACACCCTGGGGAGGGGCCTAGCCACTGCCTCCTGACAAGGCCTCGGGGAGTTCTGGTGCCTGCCCAAGTTGGAGAACTAGAGATTTTAAAAAACATGGAAGAGTGTAATCCCAGCACTTTGGGAGGCCGAGGCGGGCTGATCATGAGATCAGGAGATCGAGACCATCCTGGTTAACGTGGTGAAACCCTGTCTTTACTAAAAATACAAAAGAAAATTAGCCGGGCATGGTGGCAGGCGCCTGTAGTCCCAGCTACTCGGGAGGCTGAGGCAGGAGAATGGCGTGAACCCAGGAGGTGGAGGTTGCAGTGAGCCGAGATCGCACCACTGCACTCCAGCCTGGGCAACAAAGTGAGACTCCATCTCAAAACAAAACAAAACAAAAAGTGGAAAAGGATAAATGCGGATGGTGAACAGGAAGTGAGAAGGTGGGCCCAGGTGTTTAGCCCACCAGGTGGATGACGTCACTACCTCCGGGCTGGGAGTGGTCTGAAGCGCCGGCGACCCAAGGCCACCAAGCGTGAGCGTGGAGCCTGCAGGAGAGGGAGGCAGCCAGGGTGGAGCTGGGGCACAGCTGACTGGTGGTGGAGGGGGGGGTCACCGAGCAGGGAGAGGGATGCCAGGGCTCTGTGCCCCTTGAAACAGGTCTTAGGCAGCAAACTGCCAATGGGGGGAAACTGGGAAACCACCTCCCACTCCCACCGCACAGCCAGCTCTGGTGAAACCAAAAAGGCCTGTGTACCACCTCCCACGTTGACAGAAATGTCCGGCTTTTCCCCCTCGCCTACCTTCTTTTTTTTTTTTTTTTTTTTTTTTTTGAGACGGAGTCTCGCTCTGTCGCCAAGGCTAGAGTGTGATCTTGGCTCACCGCAATCTCCATCTCCCAGGAGCAAATGATTCTCCAACCTCAGCCTCCCAAGTAGCTTGGATTACAAGCGTGCACCACCATGCCCGGCTGATTTTTGTATTTTTAGTAGAGATGGGGTTTCACTATGTTAGCCAAGCTGGTCACAAACTCCTGACCTCAAGTGATCCGCCCACCTCGGCCTCCCAAAGTGCTGGGATTACAGGCATGAGCCACCGCGACAGGTCGCCTGCCTTCTTTTCGAAACTTCTGGGATGATCTTTTTATCTCTGCTCAAAAGACTCAGTCTCTGTCACGTTAAGAGATATTCCCACAGGCCTTCCTTCACACAGCACCATCCCTGCACACACCTCCTGCCCTTGCCTTTCTACCTGCCCGCCCATCTCTCCTCTCCTGCCTTGCTCCTGGCCCTCCCACCTGGCCAACACGTCTGTTCTCAGCACTGACCACCTCCATGAGTACCACGCAACTCACCCATCTGTTTAAGGTTGTTGTAGTCTTTTTCATTCCCATCTCCCTAAAATATCAGCTCCACGAGGGCAGGGGTTTTGTCTGTTTTGTGTTTTTGTTCATCTCAGTAACAGACTTACCTTCATAATTACATTTGACTCAGCTTAATATGGAGATAAATTTATGTCCCCTGGACATGCAATAACAGGTGGTGTCTCAGATGCTCTTGACGGTAGAATTTGGGTTTAAAATTCATGTCTAATCCACGATTATGATCAAGCTTTATCTTTTAAAACCCATGGGTGGCGCTGGTGATGAGACAGAGGTGTGGAAGAAAAAGACAATTGCAAGTAATTGCTATTCTTTATTTTGCCACTCAAAATAATTACCAAAAAAAAAAAATCTTAAATGATAACAACACAACATCAAGGCAAAGAGAACAGGAATGGCTGACTCTGCATAAATTGGCCGAAGATTATCCATTATCTTAAGGTTTGACTTCAGGTTACAGCACACAGACAAACATGCCCAGGAGGCTCTCAGGACCGCTCGATGTCTTCTGAGGAGGCTGCGGCGGGGAGATCCAGGAGGCGGTCGAGGGCACCGGCCTCTGCAAAGGGAAGAGCCACATCTGAGCAGCAACTTCTTAATATGCACATGAGAGAATTACAACCACGACACATGCTACAGGAAGCGGCGTGTGGTCGTCCTCTGTAAAGATTCTTACCAGATTAAACCCAGAATCAGGGACAACACTCTGTATTCCTCACTTCGTAATGATTTAACTCCCACAGTTAGTAAGCATTTAAAACTGTCAGACTTTTAAATTCAGGCTTTAAAGAGGTATAATTCCTAGCTGAGTAATGAGAGCTGGTATATCCTAAGGAAAGAGTTTCCATGTTACAAAATTAAAAACAAATGAAAAACAAAAATCTAGCAGAGTCCCTCTGCCCCTTGTAGGAAAAGTCACCCCAGCTTTTCTCCCAGAGGCTCCACTGGGCTCCAACAGAGGGAACTTGGTGACTCGGTTTTGAGATTTCTAATGAACACCGCCTTTTCCAAGACCTTCTCTGGCAGTCTCCTTCCCCCGCTCCCCTCCCCTCACTCCTCTTCCCTCTCCCCATCGCCACCTAAAGTGCAGCCCGATAACACTGCAAATGAAAAACATCCTGATCCAAAATGAACCCAAGGATTAGCCTTGATTTTTCAAAACTGGACAAAACTGTGATGTGCAACTGAAGGTCTCCACTGGAGAGGCTAACGGTCCATCCCTCCTCCCCACCACCAGCTCCCTGTTAACTCTCAGAGCAGCAGGTGAAGGTCTTCTCCACTGGAGAGGCTAAGTGGTCCATCCCTCCTCCCCTCCACCACCTCCCCCTTAACTCTCAGAGCACCAGGTGAAGGTCTTCTCTGCTGGAGAGGCAAAGCGGTCTATCCCTCCTCCCCACCACTGCCTCCCCCTTAACTCTCAGAGCACCAGGTGAAGGTCTTCTCTGCTGGAGAGGCAAAGCGGTCCATCCCTCCTCCCCACCACCACCTCCCTGTTAACCCTCAGAGCACCGGGGCCGCTTTCCGGCTCCCTCCACTGCTGCAGTAGGACCTGTGTGGTTATCTGATCAAGGCCAGATGCCCATCGTAGAATGAATGCCAAGCGTAGTGTGCGGAGGTCTCCTCATCCCCAGTGTTTGCAGAAGACACTGGAAGCCAGGATCAGAGCCTTTCCAGTTAGATTTCAAGGCAGCCTGCCTGGCAGGAAGGCTGCATAGAGAAACACTGCAGTCTAAGATATGGGCTTCTATTAATTTCCCATGCTTAGAAAATATGGTTTAGGGCCAGGCACAGTGGCTCACGCCTGTAATCCCAGCACTTTGGGAGACTGAGGCAGACAGGTCACTTGAGGCCAGGAGTTCAAGATGAGCCTGGCCAACATGATGAACCCCAGCCTCTACTAAAAATACAAAAATTAGCCAGGCATAATTGTGCGCACCTGTTTTCCCAGCTACCTGGGAAGAAGAGGCACGAGAATCACTTGAGCCCAGGAGGCAGAGGCTGCAGTGAGCTGAGATTGCACCACTACATTCGAGCCTGGGCGACAGAGTGAGATGAAGGAAGGAAGGAAGAAAGAGAGAGAGAAAGAGGGAGGAAGAAAAAGGAAGGAAGGAAGAGAAAGAAGAAAGAAAGAAAAGAGAGAAGAGAAAGAAAAGACAGAGAAAAAAGAAAAGAGAAAAGGTTTAGGACGGTTCACAAAGAACTTGGCCTGTAGTATACCTCTGCCCTAAAAGGTACAGCAGTTGTCACCGTGTGAATAGATATGGTTCCAGTAGAATGAGCTGCACCCTGAGGCCCACTCTCTTCCTGGGACCAGCGCTGGCCCGATGGCCCTCCACGACGGTAGAATGCCCCTGCCGCAATCCCAGCCCTCTGGAGCTAGCTCTAGTGTTACATTCTCTGTTATCCCGACACACAGCCAAACAGGACTTTGTACGTAGATAAGTAATCGGCTACTTCCCAGGGGGATTCTATGGGTTCTCTTCTCGATGGGCCTTTTACGTTTCCAGTGTACTAAGAGATGAATGTTAAGTTGATGATATTTCACATACCTTTGAGATGCAAGAAAGACAGAAACTCAATGATTGTGCGCATGATATTGTTTTCAGGTATGGACCTGTCAAAGCTTCCTAGAAGAGAAAAGATCAACATTCACGACTTGTGCAGAGGGTGCTTCAGTGTCTCAGGTCATCCCCCTCCCTACAGAGGAGCTGGGCGCTGCAAGGTCAATGATCTGATCCCAGCAGCCTGAGGCCCTGCTGTGCTTTCCAAGGCCCTTGTTCAATGTGAGGGAGTTGGGGAGATATCCAGTTCGAGGCCTCGCTTTTCTTCTTCTTCTTCTTTTTAATTGAGATGGAGTCTCACTCTGTTGCCTAGGCTGGAATGCAGTGTCATGATCTTGGCTCACTGCAACCTCCGCCTCCCAGGTTCAAGTGATTCTCGAGCCTCTGCCTCCCAAGTAGCTGGGATGACAGGCACCCACCACCACGCCTGGCTAATTTTTATATTTTTGGTAGAGACAGGGTTTTGCCATGTTGGCCAGGCTGGTCTTGAACTCCAGACCTCAGGTGATCCACCCGCATCAGCCTCCCAGAGTGCTGGGATTACAGGCAGGAGCCATCGTGCCCAGTCCCGCTCTTCTGGAGGCCCTGGTGCCTGGGCAGCCTCCCAGCCTAGAAGGACCCCTTGCTGTCTCGGGTTTGCACGTTCTGTTTGCAGCTGCTGACAGGTGTGGCGAGGCCACATCGTCTTAGTCAAGTCATGGCCAGGCTTGGGCTGCAGCTGTGGACAGCCCCGACACCCACAGCTGTCCCCTGCATGCACCTGGGAGCTGGTGGAAGTGAGGTGCCCCGGGGCCCGGGATAGGAGTCCTCTCACCTGGTTTCATGTCATCTTCGGGCCGCAGCTCCCGCTTGCTGGTGAGGCCATTCTTGTCGCTGAATGACCTGTGGTTGCCAACGGCATCTGTTTGCAGATCAGAGAGGAAAGCCTCTGGGTGTGACTGTCATGCACGCCCTCCCCACACCCAAAGAAGGACACAGGGCTGCCTGTAGCCAACACACACACGCAACTCGACTGTGAAATAGAGCCCAGGGACAGACACCAGAGCAGAGGGAGCGATTCTCCACCCAGCTGAGGTAAGAGCTTGGCCGCTCACACCAGGGTCAAAGGGAATGTGAGGGTTTGCACAGGGTGGGTGGGAGAAAGGGAGGTGTGGCTCCTGAAGTGGGGGAGAGGCCCAGAACCTGCCCTGTTGCAGGGGTTGCGCCTGGGTCCAGAGGAGCTGGCATCTGAGCTGGCACTGAGCTGGCATCAAACTGGGTGACTCCCTGGCAGACAACAGGAGCTGGGTCCTCATGTCCCTGAAAGCATGGGGGACGCTGAAGAGTTTAAGTTGTGACTGAATCTGATTTTTATTTTCACTCTGGCAGCTGTGTGCAAGATGGACTGGAGCCAGAGAGAGAGAAGGAGAGAGACAGAGGGAGCGAGAGGGTCACAGAGGGAGACAGGATGGGGGTGGGGGGTGCAGGAGCGTGTGTGCGTTCCCGTGTGTGTGTGGGTGTGTTTCGTGGTGCGAAAATGGAGGAACTGTGATTGCAAGCACAGAGATCCCAGAATTCCAGGGAAGAAACGATGAAGGCTGTAAACCAAGAGGCGTGGGGTGAAGAGGAGGGCTGGATTTGGGGCTGTGCAGGAAAGGAAATGGAAATGAGAGATGGGGACGAGGGTGAGGACGCCTCTGTGTTTCCAGCTGGTTGGCCTGGGTGGACTGTGCCATCTACAAGGCCAGACAAAGGAGAATTAACGCGTATTTCCAGAGATGCCGTTCTTGGTGCTAAATTTATAGAGGAATCATAGGTCGCCTCATGTCACTGATGCACCCTCAGCCACGGCCACACTGCGTTCAGCAGCAGCTGGTGCAAAAACATTGCTTTTGCTGCATTTCTAGCAGATCCTAGAAATCAAAGGCACATTTTTAAGTATTTTGACAAACAACTCGTCTAGCTACAGCTGAACAGGGCCGTAAAATTGATGGCGAAAATGAGTTTGTTTTCTAATTAGGGGTCAAACTCTTCTTGACAAATAGATTTTCAATATTCCAAAGCAACACAGATAAATGTTCTCATTGACCAGTTCTGCCTTTGTTTTGGGCCCGTAGCACACAAAGATGAGGTGCCCTCTGAGTGGCAGAGCTCAGGGTTGCAAAGGGTTGAGGAAATCAGCCGACCCTCAGGCAGGTCAGGCCACTCCATGGGCAGGGAGAGGATGAGAGGGCCGCACAGAGACCAGCAGGCTCTGTGGTGAACAGCCTGGACCGATCCGCACGCGGCCTCAGGCGGCTCTGTCATCCCCGTGTCTGTTTCTTAAAGCCTGACTCTGGGGGTCCTCTGAGTGACCCCGATAAACAAGCGTCTGCAGGAGGAGGAAGCTGTATTCGACTCTGGGACTGAGAACTAAGTCAGCTTTCCTTGGCATGGGGAGAAGAGCACCATTCTCCCCATTTGCTGCTCCGCGGGGCTCAGATAGGCCCTGCGTGCTGTTCACATCCTTCCTCTGGCAGAAGGCAGTACAGGGAGGCTTTTAAGGTGGATGGTGAGGTGTGGAGGGGAAGGTGAGTTACAGGAGGGAACCAAGGCCTCCTCTTGTCCCCTCCTTTGGAGGAAAGTCAGAAGGCATTGCTGCACAGACCAAGGATGTGGAGAAAGTAGAGGCCTGGGACAGGGGCGGGGGCGGACACGGGGAGGTGTCAGCCTGCAGTGTCCCATCTAGGGCTAGGGCTCACCTCAGGCAGCAGGGGACACCGCTGACACAGGTGACAACAACAGGACAGGGAGAGGGAGGGGACACAGGCTTGGGCAGGCAGGGTCACCTGAACCTTGTTTTGAGGGGAGCCTGTCTGGGCTGCCTTCAGGCGATCTGGCAATTCCCGTGTGGAGCTTGGAGAAAGGGAAGAGGGAGGCAGGATTTGGGGTCCGCTGACCTAGGGTGCTCTGCAAGCCGAGGAGTTGAGTGTTTTGGGAGACCCGGGGGCCTGGGGAGAGGCCCAGAACAGGGCCTGTAAGGACTGCAAGGCGGGAAAGCCCAGGAGAACTTGAGCAAAGCCCAGGGTGGGAATCTCACCCCGGGACAGGGCGGCAGAGCCGGGGCAGGAGAAGCTTCTGGAAAGAACCGTACACAGATCAAGTGTGCAGAGCAATGGAGACGGGCAATGAGGTCAAGAGGGAGGCCAGAGGGTCTGCCCAGCCGCAGGCGGAGGGGCAGGAGCCAGGGTTCAAAGCGAGGGGCAGGTGGGGTCAGGAGTGGGGAGGCCATGCTGTCAGTCACTTACGTGGGCCCAGCAGGTAGCCCGCGCTGTTCAGGGTCCAGCCTCGTTTTTCCTTGGCCTTGAAGGGAGAAAAGGGGATCAGATGCCAGGGCTGTGCCTGGAGCCTATGCTGAATGGGTGCACCCAGGCTTTCCCGGCATGGCAGAGGACTTAGAACAATGCATGTGCTTTTGGATAGCTCGCGAAATTCCAGGTTTACCCCTAAGTCGGCTATATTTGACATGAAAATGGAACCACTTTATTTACGAAATACTTCACTTGAGGGCCTGAGCCCGCGCACTCTCAGCGCACTGCACCTGCTTTAGTGACGCTGAGGCCACGCCAGTGGCTCCTAGCCCTCCATTCTAACTAAGCCCTGCGGAACGGGCGAGCTTCTCGCTTTCCCGAGGCGCTGACCCGAAGCGCAGAGCTCTCCCGGCGGCCTGGTTATAGCCCGGGGCTGTTGATACACTCGGAGAAGCGCGCGGGGGGAATCCCAGGGAGCCCCGGACCCTTCCCGCGACGCCCGCAGCCAGGACAGCGCCCGCCTTTCCACTTTCCACCCCCATCCCCGCGGGCAGGGCGGAGGCTGCCTCCTCCAGGAAGCCCTCCACGCCCGGCCGGCTCTGATGTCCCCTTCGCTCGGAGGAGACGCGCCCCGCACTTACCGGCGACCAGAGCCCCGCAGAGGCAGAAAGGGCCGCGGCGAGGAGGAGGGAGGCGAGCAGGAGGGCGCTGCCTCGGGCCATCTGGAAGGGAAGGACAGGGCGGGCGGGTCGGAACCCGGAGTGGGCTGCGCCCCGAGGCAAGGAGTGCCGGGGCTGCGGGGAGGAGCAGAGGCGGCGGCCGGGCCAGGGCCCTGGCAGAACCGTCCCTGGGCAGAGGAAAGCCGAAGGGGAGGCCTCCCGGGGGCGCAGGGTCGGCCCGGCGCCAGTAGTACCTTGAGCTGCGGCTGCGCCCGGGTTCGGAGCGTCGGGGTCCGGGTGCGGTGGCGGGTCTGGGCGGCAGGTCCGGGCGTCGGGCCGGGTCGGGTGGGCTCTGGCGGCCTGGGGCGCTCACCGCATGGCGCGGCCGGCAGCAGGGGCAGAAGGCGCGGGCCGGGTCCCTCCACGTGTCCGCCGCCCGGTGTGGCCGCCGCCACCGCCGCCGCTGCTATATATGCGGCGCACCCGGGAGCCGCCCGGAGTCGCGTCACCGGCTCAGCGCCCGCCTCCTGCACCCTCGCCGAGCCCCGAGGGCGACGGGAGTGACCCGAGCTCGGGTCCTCTGGGCCATCATAGGCGGGTGCGGCGGAGAGCCCCCCCTCATCCCGCGGGAGAGACTCCCCCAAATCTGCAGAGAGAACCCCAAACCCTGTGGGAGAGACCCTAATCCCGAAAGACAGAGCCCAATCGCCCCGCGGGAGAGCCCCCAGACCCGTGGCCCAAGTCATCGCTGTGGCGTCAACCCCACTGCTCCCCCCGGGGTCCCAGCCCCAGAGCAAGCCTGACCCCCCACAACGTCCCACGCCTGCGGTCTCCCTGCAGCTTCTCCTCCCAGCCCCTACCGCTGCAAAAGCCAGCTGAGCTCCGCAGCACTGGAGACCCCAGAGGGTGACGGGCAGGGACGACTCCTCAGTCCGAGCCAGCCCCAGCTGGGAGGTCATGGGGTACCCGGGGAATGGCGGGCAACACTTGGCCCTGCGCCCTGGCCGGCTTGTGCTGGGGCTGGAGCGAAGGTTCAGGCCTCGGGAGCCGTCGATGGCGGGGAGGGCAGGCGTTCCCGGCTCCCTGTGCCCAGCGACCTCCCTCCTGTTTCACTAAAGGGGGGCTGTGGATCTCAGGGTCTGCTTGGCCATCCCATTGTGGGAGCTGCGGGACCGTCGAGCATCCACAGGCACCAGCTCAGAAGCTCGGCCTCTCAGTGCCTCCCCTGGCTGCCTGGTCCAGTTGTAAGAGGGAGCTTTAAGCAGGTCCAGCCATTGGGCAACTGGTTAGGTCCAGAGGGAGAGCAGCCCAGACTCCCAGAGGCCGCCAAGGGGTGGGCGGTGGGCAGAGCAGCAGCAAGAGGCTGTCCTTGTGCCCAAGGCAAAGACATCCCACAGGAACAAGGCCCTCCTTGGCTCCTCCACAAACCCTTCCTGAGCTGGGGCCAAGTCCCGAAACAACCCAGGAGAGAACCCAAGCCTAGGCTGTTCCTTCACCCCATTCCCAGGCATCAGGGGAGCACAGGATCCCAGGCATCACACTTGTACAGTGTGGCACCTCCGGGCTTCCGAAGAGCACGGGGTCATCTGCTGAAAACTCGCCTGACCTCCCCTCCCACTGGCCAGACACCACCCAAGTCCTCAACAGCAGCAGCTGGGTTAGGATCTCCCCACCCACTGGGCTCAATATCAGATGGGTTGATGTCACATCTGTGGGTTGATGTCCACAGGGCACAGGACGAATGATGATCATGACAGTGTCATCTTACCTGTCCTCTACACTTTAGTCTTGGGAACCTTTGCACAGACAGCTACAGGCTGCCCCCAGGAGAGATCCGTCTGCCTCCACGTGGCTGGGGAAGGACAACTGGGCTTTCAAGAACTCTGGCGAAGGCCAGCGGCTGCTGGAGAAGGTGCAGGGCTGCAGCCTGGTGGCTGAGTGTCTGCTGTGGTTTATGGGAGGAAGAGGAGGAGACAGGACTTGGGGAGGGGTCTTAGGAACAGACTCCTGGCACGACAGTGGTGAGGGGTGGGGTGTTCCCAAGGGCACAGTTTGACTTCTGGTCATCCCTATTTCTTGCAGCCTGGGGAGAGGAGAGTCAGGCACAGGGGACCCTAACTAGGACTCACAGGCTGATTTCGGAGCCCACAGTAAACCCTGAAGTGGTTTCCTGCCGGGAGTGGGGGCGTGGGAGACAGTGAGTCGCCATGAGAGTCTGGGCCAGCCGTGGGCAGAAGGACAGCCGAGAGGCGGAGGAGCAGAGGGCACGTTCCTGTGACTCTGCAGAGAAGTGACAATGATGTCCTCTCATGCCCCATGTCCTTGTGTCTAGATGACATCAGGGAGTGGGCAGGGGCTGGGCTCATGGGTGCCTCTTGGCTACCTGAGAAATACTGCAACCTTTGGCCCCCGGTGGTAGTGGGAGCCCTGCTACCATCCCAGAGCTCTTTCTTGCTTTCTGCTGAGAACAAATCCAGCCCAGTGCATAGCACATCTTAGTCAATTCCAGCCTTCTCCTTTCTTCCACGTTAGGCCCCCTTCCAAATCCTGCCAGAGCTTGACTACACTTATTTTCTCTATTTACTTTGTCACAGAGGCTCTTAGTCTGTTTAAAGGAGCACAAACTCTAAACCTAAATCCTTGAGATGGATTCGAAAAGAGACTCAAAGTCCATCCCTTAGTCATGGGCTGGAATTTGAGGTACATTAAACTTTCAGCTGTCTTCATTTGGGCCTATGTACTCTTTTTGTTTCCTTTTTTGCTTTCAAAGAAACTTCAGACTGGGCGCAGTGGCTCACGCTTGTAATCCCAGCATTTTGGGAGGCTGAGGTGAGTAGATAGATCACTTGAGCCCTGGAGTCCAAGACCAGCTGGGGCAACATAGCAAGGCCTCATCTCTACTAAAAATAAATAAATAAATATTTTTTAAAAATCAGCCAAGCATGATGGCACGTGCCTGTAGTCCCAGCTACTCAGCTCAGGAGGCTGAGGTGGGAGGATCACCTGAGCCCAGGAGGTTGAGGCTACAGTGAGCCACGATCAAGCCTGCACTCCAGCATAGGCAACAGAGCAAGTCTCTGTCAAGAAAGAAAGAAGGAGGGAGGGAGGGAGAGAGAGAGAGAGAGAGAGAGAAGGGAAGAAGAAGAAAGAAGAAGAAGAAGGAGGAGGACGAGGAGGAGAAGGAGAAGAAGAAAAGAGAAGGAAGGAAAGTGAGGAAAGAGAAAGGAAAAAAAGAAAAATAAATTTCAGGCCGGGTGCGGTGGCTCATGCCTGTAATCCCAGCACTTTGGGAGGCCAAGGCGGGTGGATCACAAGGTCAGGAGATCGAGACCATCCTGGCTAACATGGTGAAACCCCGTCTCTACCAAAAATACAAAAAATTAGCCGGGAGTGGTGGCAGGCGCCTGTGGTCCCAGCTATTTGGGAGGCTGAGGCAGGAGAATGGCGTGAACCCAGGAGGCGGAGCTTGCAGTGAGCCTAGATCGTGCCACTGCACTCCAGCCTGGGTGACAGAGCGAGACTCCGTCTCGAAAAACAAAAAACAAAAAACAAACGAAAAAGAAATTTCAGGGTAGGTTATCTGGTCAGAGCCTCCTTATTAAAAAGACATTAAGCAACTGGAAACAAATCTTCACATGTATTTTGAATTCATTTAAGAAAGCTCCATTGAATAATTAGACACATGTATTCAAAATAAACATGCCCATGCCTGATTCCTCCAGGTCCCTAAGTTCTTTTTCCACGTGGGATGACACCCACCGTCTTGCTTCCCGCTTAGTCTGGGTGAGTGGGTCTCGGTATAAACCCTGGCTGGGACCCTGGCCCGGAAGTGCGGTGACCATGGGAAGGCTACAGACAAGCAAGGCAGTGGCCTGAAGGCGTGCTGGGGTTTCCTGAGGTCGGCAGATTCCTTCAGACAAATGAGGCCAGCACACCTGGGATGACAGACACCTGCCTCCCGGCACAGACTGTGCTGGAACCACAGCCAGTGTGCTAATGGCTCTTTGCTCAGTAATGACCCAATGGCAGTCATTGTCAACCTGTCATCTTGAAGACAGCCCAGTGTGCAGCAGACAAAGTGGGTCACCATTAGAGTAATCGAAATCAAGCAGAAAGCCTGATGTCCCCCGCTGCCTTCGAGCCAGCCCATCTTCCTTAGAAGCGCTGTCCACCACCAGGAAAAACCACCCTGAAGCTGAGAACTCAAGCAAGGGTCAAGGGTCACCTGGGCCATGCCCACTGCACGGGAGCTCAACCGTCCATTGCCTGGCAGTGGAGCTGCAGTGGTGAAATCAGCAGCAGGGTCCCTGCCCTTGCGGAGTTAGACCCTCACGGAGACCCATTACAGTTGGCCCCTCTGTATCTGTGAGTTCCCTGGCTGTGGGTTCAACCCACTATGGACTGGGTCCTTGTAGGTAGGCCTAGGATGGGTTTCTCTGTACGAATACGTACAGACTTTTTTCCTTGTCATTATTTCCTAAACAATACGGTATAACAACTATTCATGTAGCATTTACATTATACTCAGTATTATAAGTAATCTAGAGATGATTTAAAGCATGTGGGAGGGCCATCGCGGTGGCTTATGCCTGTAATCACAACACTTTGGGAGGCCGAGGCGGGCAGATCACTTGAGGTCAGGAGTTCGAGACCAGCCTGGCCAACATGCCAAAACCCTCTCTCTACTACATATACAAAAACTCAGCCAGATGTGGTGGCGGACATCTGTAATCCCAGCTACTCGGGACGCTGAGGCAGGAGAATCACTTGTACAACTGAACCCGGGAGGCAGAGGTTGCAGTGAGCCGAAACGGCGCCACTGCACTCCAGCATCTGGGTGACAGAGTGAGACTTCATCTCAAAAATAAAAAAGTTAAATTAAAAATAAAGCATATGGGAAGATGTGCGTAGGTTATATGCAAATACTATGCCATTTTATATAAGGGACTTGAGCATCCACGGATTTCGGTATTTGCGTGGCCAGGGGTTTCCTGGAACCAACCCACTGTGGACATGGAGGGCCAACTGTATGCAACAAATGGTTATTGTACAAATAACCACCCCATTGTCGTGGGAAGGAGATGCATGGATTAGGGGAGCTGAACCTGACAGGTGAGCAGGACTGACTGGGTACAGAATGAGGTCCAGCACACTCCAGGTGGAGGGGGTTACATGGGTACGCCCCCTTTTTGGTCCTTTTCCATTCCTTCTTCCTGCTGCCTGGAGTGTGGACGTGAAGGCTGGAGGTGGGCAACGAATTTGGACCATGAGGTGATGGCTTCAGGTGACACATCAAGGCCGAGGGAGCCTGGGTCCCAGTGACCCTGAGCCTGGTCCCTGGGCTGCACACTTCCAGGCTTGTTTCACAACAGAGGAGAAGAAGCATCTCTCTTATTTAAGCCAATGGCCCATAGAGGTTTTCCATCACGTGCGGTAGGAATTGTTCCAATCAGTTTCACAGTGGTCAACAAATGTTTGATGAATGAATGAATGAATGAATAAAAACACGTGAGAGGGTACACCACCTCCACCGCTGCTGAGAAGCTCATGTCTGCAAGACGGGCTCATCAGAGGGAGAGGTTTGGACGATAACGTGACGAACGATACCACCTATCAGTCCCACGACCATCTCGTTACTACTCAAGAAATGAGGAAATGGCTCGATGACCTAAAATTGGCATTTCTTTGACCCTGCAAATGTCTGTGTCCTTGATTCCCCCATTCCCTGATTTCCACGCCACCCAGCCCCACTCCAGTAACACAGCAGTCATGAAAAAAGACCCTAGAGTCGCTCCCCTAAAAAAATGAGTAGCTGGCAAAGGATCTGGCTAAGGTGAAAGTTGTATCAATGGATAGAATTATACCATTCTATGAATGAGTTTTTAATATATGTATTCGATTATTCGACAGAACCTTGTTAAATGGGTTCATTATACAGGGTTGTTTCATTCACAGAAACAATTGGGTGCTTTTACTAAGGGGTTAAGGTAGTAGAAATTGGAGTTTCGAGTGCAAGCTGAGAAGGGAGAAGAGGAGGAAGAGCAAGTTTTGGAGGTTTGAGGACATTGGGTAACAGAATGCCATCTTTAAAGCAGCCTTCTGGAAGATTCTTTCTGCATGCATCTTGCTGGCCAGAGTCATGCCCGGCCACAACAGAGGCTTGGAAACAGGTTGGAAACAGGGTCTTTTATTATGGATGATGTTGAGCTCACTTGAGTTCTGGAGCTGAAGGAGGAGGGGGACATGGAATGTTGGTGTGGGCCAGTACAGGCTCTGCCACAGGCAGGGCCCTAAGTCCATGTGTTTTCGTAGTTGTAAATTTTTTGTGAAATGTGAAAGCAAGCCATAATCACAGCCAGTTAAGACCTGTCTCTCGACACATCACTTCCTCAGTTTCCCCTCAGACAATGTGGTGCTGGAAAGGCCACAGGCACTTCTAGGCTCTTTAAGGGGAAGTTAGATTGGGGATGCATTTAGTTCTGGATCATGGTGGGTGTATTTATAGCCACCTATATATATATAGGATGTATTGATCTCACTTGCATAGGATGGCTGAGTTGCCGCTCGCCGTCTGCTGTGGGAATAGTTCTAGGAGTGCCCCGCTGCCCAAGCACCCGCTCCCCTAGCACTGGAACACGAGCTGTGTGGCTGGCACGCATGCTGCAGCGTTGGTGGCACAGCCCTCGTGGAAAGCTGTCGTCTCCCAGGGAGATGGGCTTGAGACAAGCCTGGGGTCACTAGGATAATTTGGAGAGCTGCATCTTTGAAAAGTGTTTAGTCAGCTTTTTATTAGTGGACACATTCTACCAGCGTCTTGGGAGCCACGGTGGCTTCTCAGGAAGCCCCTGCAACCTCCCACCCCAGACGCAGTTCCACGCAAGCTCAACTCTCCCCTCCAATTCCAGGGTGAGTGGAGGGGGGATGTCGCTTTTGATGTCTTGCTTTGCTCAGCTCACAAGTCCTGGGCTCTTTAGCTGGAGCCATCCTTGTCTGCAGTGTGGCACTCTCTCCTCCCTAAACCCACCACCTGCATCTTCTTTCTCCAACAGACCACCCCCGGCCCGCTCCTTCACTGCCCTGGGCTCTGTGCCAGGGAAGCCTCTCCTTCCCAGCCCCCAGCCCCGCCCCCCACCATGTAGCCTCCCCTCCTGCTCCTTGGTGAACTCATCCCATGGGAGATGAGCTTCCTCAGGGACCTCCTTGCTGGTCAGAGGCAGGGTCACAGCCGGGAGTCCGTGAATCCACCTGTGCCCTGGGTGACTCATCCAGCTGGGGGTTTTCTGGGTAGCTCAGCCTGGAGGAAGAGGGGCTGCTAATGGCCTTGCCAGAGGCTGACGCCTGCAGTTGGGAGGGGTGGGGGCGGGAAGTAGGTGACTCAGCGACAGGCCCTGGACAGCTGCCCCTGTTTCCTGGCCCTGAGTCAGGCCCATCAGCAGCACCCAGGGCCATATGGGAACCCGTCTGGCTACCAGGATGTGGGTGTGCAGGAGGAGGACAGGCAGCTGGGGGGCCACAAGGAGGGGCAGTGGGAAGAGAGAGGGGTGCTTCCACCTGGAGGCCTGAGCTGTGCAGGAAAAGCTCTGACCTGCTTCTCAGGGACCCAACATATTTTTTTTTTTTTTTTTTTTTTTGAGACAGAGTCTTGCTCTGTTGCCCAGGCTGGAGTGCAGTGGCACAACCTCGACTCACTGCAACCTCCGCCTCCCAGGCTCAAGCAATTCTCCTGCCTCAGCCTCCGGAGTCACTGGGATTACAGGCACCCGCCACCACACCCAGCTAATTTTTGCGTTTTTAGTAGAGACAGGTCTTGAACTCCTGACCTCAGGTGATCCACCCACCTCAGCCTCCCAAAGTGCTGGGATTATAGGCATAAGCCACTGCGTCTGGCCCCAAAATACTTTAGAGGACTAAAAAGTGATGAGTATTTACCTTCTGGAAATACTGCACCCGTTTACAGCCTCTTAGAATCTAAGTGCCTCTTTCCCCAAATCCCCAGCTGGATGCTAGCAAACGTTTAACATTTTCACCAGTCTGACGAGCGAGACTGTTGTCATCGGCTTGGGCTGCCATAGCAGAGTACCACACACCAGGCAGCTTGACCAACAGAAATGCATCATCTCACAGTTCTGGAGGCTGGAAGTCCAAGATCAAGGTGTCGGCAGAGTGGTTTGCTTCTGAGGGCTGTCAGGGGAAATCTGTTCTATTTGCCTGTTCTGGACATTTCGTATAAATGCAATCATAAAATCTATGGCCTTTTGGGTCTGGCTTCTTTCACTCAGCATGTTTTGAGGTTCACCCATACTGTAGCATGAATATTTCATTCCTTTTCATGGCTGAGTTATATTCTGTTATATGGATAGACTACTTTGCTTTTTGTTTTTTGTTTTTTGTGTTTTTTTTTGAGACGAAGTTTCACTCTTCTTGCCCAGGCTGGAGTGCAATGGCACAATCCTGGCTCACTGCAACCTCCACTTCCCAGGTTCAAGCAATTCTTCTGCCTCAGCCTCCCGAGTAGCTGGGATTACAGGCATGCACCACTACACCAGGCTAATTTTGTATTTTTAGTAGAGGTGGGGGTTTCTCCATGTTGGTCAGGCTGGTCTAGAACTCCCGACCTCTGGTGATCTGCCCACCTCAGCCTCCCAAAATGCTGGGAGCCACCACGCCTGGCTGGATCGACCACTTTTTATCTATGCATCAGCTCATCAACACTTGAGTTGCTTCCCCCTTTGGCATTTATGAAGACTGCTGCTATGAACATTTGTGTTCAAGGATCTGTTTGGACATCTGTTCTCAATTCCTATACCTGGGAAGTCAGTTGCTGGGTGATACAGTAGTTCTATGTTTAAGGAACATTATTTAAATGTTTGATAATTTGTTCATTATGGATATTTCACATTAATTTGGACTTACAAATATTGCACTGAAATATTATTTATCCTGATCACTGAGTTTTTTTGGCACCCTGCACGTTTTGTACCCAAGGCAAGTGCCTCACTCACCCAACCCAACCCAACTCCCCAATGCCCCTCTGCAAGGGAAGAGAGGACAGAGTCAAGCTGTTTCTAGGAGGCAAAGACACCTGGGTGATTCTGCACTTTGTTTCCTCTGTCTAGAACATTCCTCTATCTAGAACATCCTTCCTATTTAGGGTGATCAGCCATCCCAGTTCCCTAGGCTGGAAATCCCTGAGAAGTTTCCTGGGACACAGAATTTTCCAGGTGAAAACCAAAAAGCCCCAGGCAAACCGGGACAGTGGGTCACTAATTCCCTTCAAATCTATTGGCTGCTCCCTCACCTTCTTTGAAAATCTAGTGGCCAGGCACGGTGGCTCATGCCTGTAATCTCAGCACTTTGGGAGGCCGAGGCAGGCAGATCACCTGAGGTCAGGAGTTCGAGGTCAGCCTGACCAACATGGCAAAACCCCGTCTCTACCAAAACACACACAAAGAATTAGCCAGGCATGGTGGCAGGCACCTGTAGTCGCATCTACTCGGGAAGCTAAGGCAGGAGAATTGCTTGAACCTGGGAGGTGGAGGTTGCAGTGAGCCGAGATCCTACCATTGCACTCCAGCCTGGGCAACAGAGCAAGACTCAGAAAAAAAAAAAAAAAAAAAGGAAAGAAAAGAGAGTCTGGTGGGGGGGCATGGTGGCTCACGCCTGTAATCCCAGCACTTTGGGAGGCCAAAGTGGGCGGATCACTTGAGGTCAGGAGTTCAAGACCAGCCTGGCCAACATGGCGAAACCTGGTCTCTACTAAAAAAATATATAAAAATCAGCCAGGCATGGTGGCACGCGCCTGTAGTACCAGCTACTTGGGAGGCTGGGGCAGGAGAATTGCTTGAATCCGGGAGGTGGAGTTTGCAAGTGAGCCGAGATCGCACAACTGCACTCCAGCCTGGGCGACAGAGCAAGACTCCATCTCAAAAAAAAAAAAAAGAAAAACAGAAAAGAAAATCTAGTGGAGCTGCCCAGGCTCTGCCCAATCCCTCCTCCCTGCAGGGTCCTCCTTGACCTTCTGTCGTACTCCCCTGGGCCCTTCCTGCCCACCCGAACCCCAGCTTTCCCTGAGCCCTTCCTGCTTTTGTCGTTGGCTCCTTCTTTATTCCAAATGTCCCCCTAGGTAACTCAGGCGCAATTAGGTAAATAAAAACACAGAACACGCAGTTAAATGTGAATACCAGACGGACAGTGACTGATTTTTGAGTGTAAGTACGTCCCGTGCGACATTTGGGATGTATCCTACTAAGACATTCTTTGTTTTGTCTGAAATGCCAAATGTATCCGACGCCCTGGGTTCTTGTGCAACCCGCAGTGCCGGGGTCCGTGGAAGGTGGGGAGCCCGTATCCTCCAGGACTGAGACACTGAGGTGCAGGGATGAGATATCTTACAGCAGCGCAGGCCATGGGGCTGTCTCGTTTCCACCGAAAAGTATTTGGGGTCTAGCGCTGCTCTGAGGAAAAGAACTGCTATGCTCCATGTTTTTGTCAAAGAAGACATAGATCTGGCAGAAAGATGGACATAAGCGCTGATTAAGAGAAAATCAAGTTGACAGATCCTTAGTGGTAAGAGCTTTCTTCTCCGTGATGCATGAATAACAGAATAAATAGTATCCCTGGGGGGAAGATTAAATTCTCAAACCCTGTTATTGTATTTGAAGAATCAGGCTGACTTCCCAAAGGAAGGACATTGCCAATTACCATCGCCAGGGCCCTCCATTTCCGGGAGCACAGCTGTCTTGCAAGCTGTCCGAACGGCAGCCCCGTGCCCAGCAGCTGGCCACCGAGTGGGGCTGCATCACCAGGGAGACTGAACACTGTTTGCAGTGGGGGCGAGGGTGGGAAGGAGGTTGCTGTGATTTTCGCAGGAAACAAAACACGGGAACAGCTGTCAAACCTGCACTAGGCTTCACCCAGCCACTGCCCAGGCCCCAGCTCAGGGTCCACAGAGCCTGGCAAAGTTCTCCCTCCCAGCCTCCCACGAGCAATGTTTCGGGTATTTATTGCCACATAAGAAATTGCCCCAAAACTTAGTGGCGTAAAACAATATGATTTTGCGGTATGGGTGGGGATAGCTCATTTCTGCTCCATGCAGCATCACTTGGGGTGGCCCCTCCAGGCATGGCAGATCCACTTTCAAGGAAGCAGACTCATGGCTGGTGAATGAGTGCTGCTTGGAGGCTCAGGCCTCAGCTGGAGACAGTGGCCAGGGCCTTCATTCTCCTCCATGTAGCTGCTTGGACTTCCTCCCAGTATGGTGGCTGTGTTCCAAGCAGGAGGAAGCAAAGGGCAGCCTCTTAAAGGCTAAGCCTGGAACTGGCACATGACTTCTGTCATGTTCTGTAGGTCAAAGCAGTCACAGGCTGACATGGTTTGACTGTGTACCCACCCAAATCTCCTCTTGAATTGTAGCTTCCACAATTCCCACATGTTGTGGGGGACCCAGTGGGAGGTAATTGAATCATGGGGGCGGGTCTTTCCCGTGCTATTCTCATGATAGTGAGTATGTCTTATGAGATCAGATGGTTTAATAAAGGGGAATTTCCCTGCGCAAGTGCTCTTTTGTCTGCCACTGTGTGAGACATGCCTTTCACCTCCCACCGTGATGTGAGGCCTCCCCAGCCACATGGAACTGTGAGTCCATTAAACCTCTTTCTTTCGTAAATTGTCCAGTATCAGTTATGTCTTTATGAGCAGCGGGAAAATGGACGAATACACAAGCTCAGCCCAGATGCAAGCGGGTAGAGAAACAGACCCCACCCCTCAGGGGGCAAAATCTCAAAGAATTTTGGCTCTCTGCTGTACACTCCATCCAGTGCTGCCTGCCCTTCCTTGTCCAGTCCCTACTCTGTAGCAGCCAGCTCCAACTTTGCAAAATGCAGCCCTCACCATAACTCCCTCTTGCTAGGAGACCTTGGTGGCTTCATTATTCTCTAAGGATCAAGCTCAAATGTTTTATCGTGGCACTCGAGGCCCTCCAATGCCTGACCCTTGCCTGTCTTTGCATCCCTCCAGCTGCCCAGCTTCTCCACTCCAAACACTTGATCCACACACCTGGGCCAGACTGTTCCCAGGGACGCACTTCCTTGTTCTGGACACATGCTATACACGCAGCATGCTTCCCTGCCGGCCTGAGCTCACGGACAGTGACATTGGGTCAGAAGAACTTGAAGCTTTCAGGACAATTAAAAATCACACTCCCGGCTGGGTGCAGTGGCTCACGCCTATGATCTCTGCACTTTGGGAGGCCGAGGCAGGGGGATCACGAGATGATCAGGAGATCGAGACCATCCTGGCTAACACGGTGAAACCCCGTCTCTACTAAAAAGACAAAACATTAACCAGGCGTGGTAGCGGGTGCCTGTAGTCCCAGCTACTCAGGAGGCTGAGGCAGAAGAATCGCTTGAACCCAGGAGGCAGAGGTTGCAATGAGCCGAGATGGTGCCACCACACTCCAGCCTGGACAAGAGTGAGACTCCGTCTCAAAAAAAAAAAAAAACAAAAAAAAACCACACCCAACCTCAGCCACATTTTATTATTCTATGTACACTTAGAAAACAAAATTATATTTTGGGGTTCAAAGCACTTTTTTCCCCTCTAGGGTTTTTTTATCATTTGTTTCTCAATAATGAAAACAGAAACAGAATAGGACATTTTCAGGTATAAATGGGTCAAATATCTCTTATTTTTAATTAAAAAACCCATCAAATAGACACAATAAAAAATGATAAAGGGAATATCGCCACTGATCCCACATAAATACAAACCACCATCAAAGAATACTATAAACACCTCTGCACAAATAAACTAGAAAATCTAGAAGAAATGGATAACTTCCTGGACACATACACCCTCCCAAGACTAAACTAGGAAGAAGTCGAATCCCCGAATAGACCAATAGCAAGTTCTGAAATTGAGGTAGTAATCAATAGCCTACCAATTAAAAAAGCCCAGGACCAGACGGATTCACAGCTGAATTCTACCAGAGGTACAAAGAGGAGCTGGTACCATTCCTTCTGAAACTATTCCAAACAATAGAAAAAGAAAGACTCCTGACAACATCATCCTGATACCAAAACCTGGCAGAGGCACAACAAAAAAAGAAAATTTCAGGCCAATATCCCTGATGAACAGCGATGCGAAAATCCTCAATAAAATACTGGCAAACCAAATCCAGCACTACGTCAAAAAGCTTATCCACCACGATCAAGTTGGCTTCATCCCTGGGATACAAGCCTGGTTCAACATATGCAAATTAATAAACGTAATCCATCACATAAACAGAACCAAAGACAAAAACCACATAATTATCTCAATAGATGCAGAAAAGGCCTTCAATAAAATTCAACACCCCTTCATGCTAAAAACACTCAATAAACTAGGTATTGATGGAACATATCTCAAAATAATAAGAGCCATTTATGACAAACCCACAGCTAATATCATACTGAATGGGCAAAAGCTGGAAGCATTCCTCATTGTCTCAGCCCAAAAACTCCTTAAGCTGATAAGCAACTTCACCGAAGTCTCAGGATACAAAATCAATGTGCAAAAATCACAAGCATTTCTATACACCAATAATAGACAAACAGAGAGCCAAATCATGAGTGAAATCCCATTCACAATTGCTACAAACAGAATAAAATAGGAATACAACTTACAAGGGATGTGAAGGACCTCTTTAAGGAGAACTACAAACCACTGCTCAAGGAAATAAGAGAGGACACAAACAAATGGAAAAACATTCCATGCTCATGGATAGGAAGAATCAATATCGTGAAAATGGCCATACTGCCCAAAGTAATTTATAGATTCAATGCTATTCACATCAAGCTACCATTTACTTTATTCGCAGTGTTAGAAAAAACTACTTTAAATTTCATGTGGAACCAAAAAAGAGTCCATATAGCCAAGACAACCCTAAGCAAGAAGAACAAAGCTGGAGGCATCACGCTACCTGACTTCAAACTATACTACAAGGCTACAGTAACCAAAATAGCATGGTACTGATACCAAAACAGATATATAGACTAATGGAACAGAACAGAGGCCTCAGAAATAACACCACACGTCTGCAATCATCTGATCTTTGACAAACCTGGGCTGGGTCAGTTGCGGGTACCTGGTTCTGAGGGGCAGGGGGCGGGGCCAATCCTAACCCAGCCACAAGAGGATGCTCTTTCTAGAAGACGGTGCAGAAATACCAGACGTCCCCTGGGAGGGGCTCCAGGTGATCACTGCAGCCTGAAGGTGATCGTGAAGGGAAGTGGAGCTCTGCAGAGAGGCCAAGGGGACTGCAGAGCCTCCCATAGCGGCACCCAGTTGCCTGCTGTCCTCCCCTCCGCCCGTCCATCCCCAAAAGCAGTACTGGGGAAGGGACTTGAGGAGGCTCTGCAGTTTCACAGGATGCAGGTTCTAAACAAGTTCCCAGAGGCCGCGTCTCCCGTGGCCCTCGGAGTGGGGTCTGACTCTTGCCTCAAGGGCCACCGTGGCAACGCCAGCTCCTGCAGTGATGCGGGTGCCGGACGCCCTGCCTGGCTCAGAGGCCGCAGGCTCAAAGGCCGATCTCCCGGGGCCTGCCCAGCAAGAGGCAGGGCGGGGTGGTCCCCACGCCCAGGGCCCCTCGAGAGCTGGTTCTGTGGGGATGAAAGGAAACTCGAGGCCGGTGGCCCAGCTCTAACGTGCAGCTCTAGCGTGCGGGGGAGCTGTGAAGTGCCCGGGGGGGCCCCCGGAGAAAGGACTCCTGCCAGCCGCCTCTTCTCCACCTGGGGTGGAGCGTCTGTGGCGTGGCCTTGGTCCGCCGAGACTGTGGACGGTCTGGCTATGCTGTCCCCTGCTGAACCTCTTCCTGGGAGGGGCCTCAGGGGTTCTTGCTCACTCCCAGGACCTGTTCACGCGTGTCCACAATTTGGTCCCCCTTGTGCCTGAAAACCTTCCAGGAGGACGCTCGCCTTCCACTGTCCACAGCCCCCAGGTGGGAAGGCCTTTTGGGGGCGGTCAGGCCACCTGCAGGAACAGAGTTCGAACCTTGTTCTAGAACGCGTCATGGAAGTCAGCCTCCCTCCCCACCCTGGTTTCAGATGTAGAAACTGAAACCCAGCTTGGGGACCGCCTTCCTGAGGACACAACGCTGGGTAAGGCTGGGCTTGGCCCTGCTGGGGAAAAGGGGTCAGGGTGGGATCTGGGGAGCAGGAAGCTGTCCACTGTAGGAAGAGGGGAGGGGAAGACCCAGAGAAAGCCCCGGCTCCTGGCCGCTCCCCAGCCCAGCCCAGCCTCAGCCCCAGGCGGGTCCAAGGTAAGTCAAGGGCTCCGAAGTAAGCTTCCAACGGGAAGGGGTGAGAGCCGAGGGCTGTCTTCACAGCTGGAGGGGTCTGAGTCCCAAGCCAGGGAAAGAACTCTGGGTCAGCTGACCCTGGTGGGTGTGGAGCAGGCCCCGGAGGACACTACCAGCAGGCCGCCGGGCAGCTGGGAGTGTTCCAGGTGGCTTCCAAGGACCCGTGACGCTCCCCACGTTCACCCACTGCCCTCCGTGTGGGAGCGCACTGGGGGTAGAAGTCCTCAGCACAAGCAGAACGGCCACTGTCCTGCAGGGAGACATTCCCCTCTCTGTTCCAGAAGAGTGTGTGATGTCACGCCAGCCTCAGGGGAGGGTGCCGGCAGTCTTGCCCGGGCCACCAGCAACAGTGGCTCTCGAGGAAGGACCCGGAAGTTGGCCCGCAAAGCTGGCCCCAACCCACTCTGATCTGTGGTCCCCTCCATGGTTGCAGGAAGAGTGGTCTCTTTTGTCTTGGCTTACGATCGTCCAGTCGGGGTGAGATACGTGTAATTTGCGATATTTATGCTTATTTTGCTATTTCAGTTTTGATCAATGAAAGGACATCTTTGCCTAAGAACACAGTTTTTATTACTAAGACAATCACAGGTAACCCCCAGAGAATTTAGTCTCATAACTGTGACAAGGGAGAAAAGAATATAGTATTCTCTTTCTCCTTTTGAAAATAGTTCTACTGCCGGCCGCGGTGGCTCACGCCTGTAATCCCAACACTTTGGGAGGCTGAGGTGGGTGGATCACGTGAGGTCAGGAGCTCAAGACCAGCCTGGCCAACATGATGAAACCCCATCTCTACCCAAAATACAAAAATTAGCTGGACGTGGTGCCACACGCCTGTAACCCCAGCTACCTGGGAGGCTGAGGAAGGAGAATCACTTGAACCCAGGAGACGGAGGTTGCAGTGAGCCAAGATCACGCCATTGCACTGCAGCCTGGGTGACAGAACAAGACTACGTCTCAAAAAAAGAAAAAAGAAAGAAAAAAAAGAAAATAGTTCTGCTGTGAAAATGACTGTTTGCATTACCAAGAAGAGATTTCAAAGTTATCTTAAAATGTTCCTGTTCCCAAGAAGCAGTATATAGTAATAAAGACATATATTCACCAAGAATAACATGTCCAGAAAGACAAGTTCTTAAAAACAGAATGAGTGACAGTGGGCACACCATGAGACTTAGTCACCTCCAAGAAGGACCTGGGTAGGAAAGGAGGGGCTGGGAGGGAAACTGCACCCCTTCATTCCCACCCCACCCCAGCAATTCCAGGCACAAACAGTTGAGCTCTGAGACAGATGAAAGCTTTTCAGTTCTCAGAAGTCCAAAGGGCTGACCCACTTTGCCGGTTTGCATGGTTTGCCTGGAGTGGCATTAAGGCCGGCTTCTTTACAGTGTGTCTGAAATACAATCATTTGACTCCTTTGGTCGCTTTTGGGTTTGATTTTTCTTTCTGCGCCTCACCATGGGGCACAATGGGGTCCATTACAGGACTTTCATCTGCTGTTTTCTTTCTGAATCCAAGTCCTCGGTGGCCCAGAGGCCTTGATGGCACGGCTGGGGGGTGGGGGGTGCAGGGCGGGGAAGGAGGGTAGCAGGTCGTGCCGTTCAGCGTGATGCCCAGGCACGTGTTGCGCCGGCGAGGTAGTTTGGGGATCATGCTGGCGGGGGGACTTGCACGGGGATGGGGACTGCTTTCCCAGTCTCAGAGGACGTATGTGTGTTGATTCAGACTCCAGATGTGGGAAATCTTTTGGCCCATAGCAAAACATATTGCCAGTGTGCAGTTTTTTTCGGAGAAACTTTTCAGTTGACAAAGTGGGTCCAAGTGGAGAGGGCAGGGGCAGGGCCTCTGGTCTCACCCAGCCCCCATGGTGAATTGTAGGTGACTTTGGGGGTGAGGGCAGGTGGGGGGCTGGATCCAAGACAGCTCTGGCCTTGGGGCTCTGGGTGGCCAGTGGGGTGCTGGAGGGAGTGGAGCCTCGTGGAGCCTGATGTGGAAAGTTCAGCCCAGGTGGCTGAGCTGTGACCCCAGCTGTGGGTGGACCCTGGGGTGGGCAGATGGAGGAGCACGAATACAGGCGAAGACAGGCCAGCACTGAGGGTGGGGATCCCTCATCTCCCCCACATTCCTCATCTCCACTGTACCCCTCATTTCCACTGTACCCCTCACCTCCACTGTACCCTCCACCTCCACTGTACCCCTCACCTCTCCTGCACCCCTCATCTCCACTGCACCTCTCATCTCCCCAGCGCCCCTCATCTCCACTGTACCCCTCATCTCCACTGTACCTTTCATCTCCCCAGCGCCCCTCATCTCTGCTGTACCCCTCATCTCTCCTGCACCCCTCATCTCCACTGTACCCCTCATCTCCACTGCACCTCTCATCTCCCCAGCGCCCCTCATCTCCACTGTACCCCTCATCTCCACTGTACCTTTCATCTCCCCAGCGCCCCTCATCTCTGCTGTACCCCTCATCTCCACTGTACCACTCATCTCTCCCTCACCCTCGTCTCCCCCTCACCCTCATCTCCCCCGCACCCCTCATCTCCCCCGCACCCTCGTCTCCCCCGCACCCCTCATCTCCCCCGCACCCTCGTCTCCCCTTCACCCTCGTCTCCCCCTCACCCTCGTCTCCCCCGCACCCCTCGTCTCCCCCGCACTCCTTGTCTTCCCTGCCCTCCTGGTCTCCCCCATGCTCCTCATCTCCTCCACACCCCTCGTCTCCTCTGATGATTCCTCTCCTCTGTGATGGTCATTTGGAGCTAATGCCTTTTAGGCAGTTTACAGGGGGGATCTCCAGCATACCCGTGTCTGTTCTGATGCGCATATACATGTGTGCTTACAGGTGTCCTGGGGAGCACATTGGACTCATACCCCAACTTGGTTGTGCAGAGAAAGTGTTTTTTCTTTATTTTGCCCATTAACTAATGTTCCCAGCATCACCCACATTTGTGACAAGTGCCCTGAGCCACATCTCTGATTCCCTCTGTATAATGCCTGATGTTGGAATTATTCATCAAAGAGTATGAACATTTTGAGGACTCTTGAAATTAGTGGGGAACTTCCCAACTCCATCGGTTCTCCTGCCTCCTCCTGTTAGCTGGAGCTCTCCCCAGGCCGGAAATGAGCCTCAGTGCCACCCCCACCCTTTGTAAGGAATCCAGCCTTGGAGGATGGCAGGGAACCCCTAACTTCTCAGTCTGGAGGCACGATGCACCCCGTGTTCATAGCAGCATTGTTCACAGGACCCAGAAGGTAGAAGCACTCACACGTCCGGAATTGAAGTGTAAGCAAACGGTGGTCTATGCACACAGTGGAGGAGTGCTCAGCCTTAAAAGCGAAAAGAGATTCTGACGCATGCTACAACGTGGAGTAAACGTGAGAATGCTCATTAGGCTCGCTGAAATAAGCCAGACACGAAAGGGCAGATCTGGGCCGGGTGCGGTGGCTCACGCCTGTAATCCCAGCACTTTGGGAGGCAGGGGCAGGCAGATCACTTGAGGTCAGGAGTTCAAGACCAGCCTGGCCAACACAGTGAAACCCCGCCTCTACTAAAAATACAAAAAAAAAAAAAAAATTAGCCAGGCGTGGTGGAGGGCACCTGTAATCCCAGCTACTTGGGAGGCTGAGGCGGGAGGATCGCTTGAACTCGGGAGGCAGAGGTTGCAGTGAGCCGAGATGGCACCACTGCACTCCAGCCTGGGCAACAGTGTGAGACTCTGCCAAAAAAAAGAGAAATGTATAAAACAGTAAATATTCTATTATCTATGTTTTCCCACTTTTTTATCAAGTGAATAAAATGACTGGAGGGAATAATTATCCTTGAAGTCATGTGATTCTTAGCAAATTCCCCCCAAAAAGTAATACGGAAAAATGTTTTTATAATTTTGAAACCTAGCATCTTAATTCTACGTGTTCCCAGCAGAATGGGAAGTGCGGCGATGCCCCAGCCGGTTGGGTGGCAACGCGCGTGAGTAATGCGACCGTCATCCACGATGGCCTTGGCAGGCTGTGGGGCTGCTTAATGGTGAAAATGCTTTTTGATTATTATATAAATTCATGCCTGTCAAGAGAATCATGAGGGCGCCGTGACCCTTTTGATGGCATTATCCCAACTTCTTCACGTCTTATTTCTGGGTCATTGTGATGGAAAGGTTCATAAGTGAGTATTATCGTTCAGATTTGAAAATCCCAGCCAACACTTCTCGCATTTAGCTTCATGTTAATAGTGGATCTGAATATGGAATTGTTCTTGGCAAATACCCAGCATGGTGTCTGCCTCTTTATTTTCTTGGGGTAGTTAGACAGTGTTTCCCCCCAAGGGTCCCTCTGTGGGGGGACTGTGTTGAGTTGGGGGGACACAGGCAGACATCCACAGAGGAGGGAGTGCTCCCCAAACCCAAGCCAAGCCCAGGACCCCTCTTCCCTCATCTCCTCCCGCTTTGTGGTTGGGGGCTGCCCCATGCACGTTGCCAGCCCACGTCACTGACCAGCACCTGGACCCTTGTCCATCACCCACCCGTTAGCTGGTCTGCAGCACCCAGGATTTCTGTGGATGCCCACGCACTGTGCCGGGGTCCGCTTTATGGCTCTGTGCACCCAGTCCCCAGCTGTGTCTGGTGCCCACAACTCACTGCAGCACCCTTTCTGCAGAACTGCCCTCAGCCCATGGGAGCTGCCTGGCTCAGTGAGGCCTGGAGCTCCTGTCTGTGGAGCCCCTGATCAATGGCTGGATGAAAAGCTCAACTTCCTTCCTCAAGATGGGACGACCCCAAGGGGCCACTCATACACCAGAGCTTCACAGGGGAGCAGACTGGGGCTGGCCTGGCTGCTTCTGTCCTGCCAGCTCCCTCCACTCCAGGGCTCTCCTAGCGGGCACCCTCATAAACCACTTATACCAAAGCCCATGTCCAAGATGCCACTGAAGGGAACCCAACCCAGGGCAGGAGTTCAAAAGACCTGGGCTCCAGTCCTCACTCGAATCAGCTGTGTGCACCATCCGTGAGCTCACAGTCACTCCCATAACCACCTCTCCTCACCTGCACGGGCCAGTGCCTGGCAGCCTTTCTGGACCATGATGTCCCCCATCCCCAACCCAACCCACCATCATAGGAGTGACCAGGCCGGGCACCTGACTCCAACTAGGGTCAGTCAAGAACTCTCCCTTCAGAATTTGGGACTGGGACTAAGAAAGAGTTCTCTTGGGGGAGCCCAGTCTGAAGAAGGGAAGCCTCCTGCCGGATGTCACTTTCCACCCTCGAGGTGGCTGGGCGGAGAGAGAGGAAATACAGCCACAGGGCAGAAAGTAGAGCCCGGGACTGAGCAGGTGCAGGCACGCTTCCGTCCCGGGTTCCAGGGCTCCTGAGGCCTGGCTGCCTTCCTGTCCCTTGAGGTTCCAGAAATGCACCTGGGAGAAGTCCTCCTTTTCAACTCATTATTGCAAGTCAATTTTTTTCTTTTTGAGATGGAGTCTCAATCTGCAGCCCAGGCTGGCGTGCAGTAGCACAATCTTGGCTTACTGCAACCTCCACCCTCCGAGGTTCAAGCGAGTCTCCTGCCTCAGCTTCCCGAGTAGCTGGGATTACAGGCACACACCACCACGCCCAGCTAATTTTTGTATTTTTAGTAGAGACGGGGTTTCACCATGTTGGCCAGGCTGGTCTTGAACTCCTGAGCTCACGTGATCTGCCCACCTCAGCCTCCCAAAATACTGGGATTACAGTAGTGAGCCACCAGGAGATGAGGGGTACGGTGGAGATGAGGGGCTGCCCTTCCCTCATCATCCACCCAAGTCCTTCCCAGACCCTTCCCTGGACCGGCCCAGGGTCCCAGCTGCTCACGGCACCCCAGGTGCTCCCACACGTCGTGCCCCCTGCCGTGGTCCTGTGGGAATGCACGTGCAAGAACACGGAGGTGTACGTGCACGAGTAAGTGTGTGTGGGTGTGTGTGAGCATGAGTGTAGCGTGTCTGATGGTGTGAGTGTGCACAGACATAATTCATGCAGGTGTCTGAGTGTGCATGAGCGTGGGAGTGCAGAACGTGGTGTCACACGTGTACACAGGGTGTGTGCTGCAGTGCTTTCGTAGTGTGTGTGCATGTGCGTCTGCCTGGGTAGCTCCGGGTGTGACCTGACCCTTGGGTCACCAAATTCCCTCTGCTTCTGGCTGGTGCCAACAACCTTCCTATCTTTGGCCCTGCTGGCCTCATGTCAAGGAAATCAGGGCTGAGGCCCTGAGGAGGGGTCGACTCTAGGGGGTGCAGGTCAGAGGGCAACCTGTGCAGGGACCTGGAGTGGGGGCAACTCTTTTCTTCTCCCCAGGTGGTGGCCCTGCTGCCCATTTAAACTGCATTTGCAAAAATTATAAAGTGAGAAAATGATGACAGTGAAAGAGATCTGACATAACCAAGCCCATCTTGCCTTTAACCTCCAAACTGCCCTTGGTCATTCAAAGCTAATTCTGGGAGAAATTGAGTTTATGGTTTAAATGATAACAGCCCTTCCCCCAAATTAAACCATCTTTATACAATTAATAAAAGTCCACAAGGTTAGGATTATGAGAGGGGCCTGAGTTCTGCTAAGATGTAGGCAGAGTTACAGGATTCTCAGCCATTGTTCAGGAGGTTACACGATTGCAACTTCCCCAGTTATGCCTGTAAATAACATCACCATTTTAGAATCTAAGACTGGCGTTCTGAGATGTCTTTTGAGGCTTACATTTCTGACGACAAGATGACTTCATTGGACCAGAGACTCCTGACGCAAACAGTCCTGTGGCCCCCACCAAGAAGCAGGCTCAGCACATGAGAACTGTTGTCCAGACTCCTGGGATTGCAGCCCCAACCAATCAGTGGCACCCACTCCCTAGCCCCCTGCTTGCCAAACTATCCTTGAAAAAAACCTATCCTTTGAATTTTCAAGGAGGTTGATTTGAAGAATACTAAAACCTCGGTCTCTCATTTAGCCAGCTCTACATGTATTAAACACTTTCTCCACTGCAATTCCCCCATCTCGATCAATCAGCTTCATCTGGGTAGTGGGCAAGAAAAGATAAATCCACTGGGCGGTGACACTGTCAGGGACACTGTCTCTCCCATTCCTGCATTGGCTTGGGGGCACCTGCTGGGTGTCCTGCTCCCCCACAGCCTCCCCACCTCCCTGGGCCTGGATCACGACTCACATCTCCCTCCATCCCCACTTCCCTCTGGATCTCAGCCCATGGGCAGGTCAATTACTCTGGAAAGCGTACAGACTCCAGTTTCCCAAATTGAATTTGACTTATTAGGTTATCTCTGCCCTTTTAAAAAAGCATCACCATGCCTGGCGCATTTCCTAATTGAATAATAGATCACAAATGAACTTTTCATAAAACAAAACCAAAAAGTCAATCCCCAGAAAAGATGATGAAGTGAGGAGAGACTTCCCTCCACCTTCTGTTTCTTACGGATCAGTTATTTCCTTTACAGAGAAAATCACCTCCCACACATCAGAAGCAAAGCCCAGTGGACCACGGGACTGCTTCTCTTGTTACAGACTTGGGTGACTTACAGAGAGCAAACCCTGAACGCTCCGGCCCAGGACATGAGGTGTGGGAAGAGCTGAGACTTCCGGGAGCCAGAAGAGCCCCCATGGCCCCAGCTCAACGCTGAGCATCTCTTGGTCCTTGTGCAAGCTGGGGCACTGGGCTGGTGGAAACCTCCCCTAGCAGCCCAGACTCCCAGCTCCCCTCCCAGCCAACAGACACAAGGGGGCCGCTCGCACACGAACCCCAGATTTTCCCAGGTGGGTCCGTGGTGGGGTGGGTGTAAATATTGGAATCAGGACCAGAAGGCAGTCACCTTGTTGCCCCCCCTCCCCAGGGCTTGTGATTGGTCTCCACAGCTGGAACGGGGCTGCCACTGTGCCACCCGGGGTCACAGATAACCCAACTGGGGCCGCAGGGTGTCCCTCGGATGACAGTGGCCCCAGTCACTCACATGCTTCATGTGCCATAGGCTCTGCAATGGCCACAGAGCCCTCTCACCCATCCACCCAGCAAAAGCTGCAGCCACCACTCTTGTCAAACAGGGACCCACAGCATCCCCAGCCCCAGGGTGGAAGGAGAATTCGGGCTGATTTGTGTCCAGCTCTGAACAGTCAGGGACATGAAGGGTGCTCCATGGACACCAGTCTCTGCCACAGCCCTCTTCATTTCATGCTCCCTTGGCACCTTGTCCCCATCTGGGACAGTCCAAGGCATAGCCATGACCCCGGCCCCAGTCTCAGCAATACAGCTGGTCACACTCAGCTAAAGTGATTCCGCTCCCCACCAAACCCCCGCCTGCCTGGAGCAAATCTGGAGCGAGAGCGTGGCCGGAGGTGTTTGACCCAGAGAGAAGAAGCTTCAAGGACGGGCATCCCAGCACCGCCCTGGCAAGGTCAGGGCCCCCATCCGAGTCTGTGCACCCCTTTAGGCTGGGACACTGTGACTTTGAAAGCACGTCCACTGGCCTGGCTCTCATCCTGTAACACAGGGATTCTCAGTCGGGGGGTTCTGTCCCTGGGGCACGTGGCCATGTCTGGAGACATCGCTGGTTGTCACACCTGGGGCAGGTGCTACCTGCATCGAGTGGGTGGAGACCAGGGAGGCTGCTGAACGTCCTACACTACACAGGGCAGCCCCTCCAGCCAAAAATCAGCCCTAAATGTCAATGGTGCTGCAGTTGGGAAACTGCTGTGAGTCCTACGGTGTGTGCGGGACCCTGACTAGTAGATGGGGAAACGGCGCCGGGAGAGGCAGGTGACAGAACAAACCACACTGCACCGGAATCCATTCCTTAAAGCACCGTCCACCTCTGCACTTTCTCTCTAAAAAATGACTTTCCGTGGCTTCCTACTGCCCAAAGAACAAAATAAAGTCAGAGCCTTTATCTTGGCCTTCACGGTCTCCCCAAATCCCACGGGGTGCTCTCTCTGGCCCTGCCTTCCTCTGCTCACCCTGCAGTTTTGCTTATGCCGTTCCCTCTCTGCGATGCCCTTCCAGGTGCTGGCCTTTGGCCTGGAGGTCCCAGGGCCTCCATTTCCCCAGCGGGCGGCTGCTATCCCAAACTCCCTCAGCTGGGGGGATTTAAACCACAGATGTCTATTTCTCACACCTCTGGAGGCTGGAAGTCAGAATCGGGGAGCGGGCCGGGTGAGGCTCATTCTGAGGCCTCTTCTCTTGGCTTGTGGGTGCCGCCATCTGGCTGTGTGCTCACATGACCTCTGGGCAAGCTCAAGGGGTCGCAGAGAGAGGGAGAGACCACTCTCTGGAGTCTCTCCTCATAAGGACATGAGTCCCATTAGACCAGGCCCTGCCCTCCTGACCCATCTAACCCTCCTGATCACCTCCCAGAAGGCCCCATCTCTCATCACACTGGAGGTCGGGGCTGTGACGTGAGTTTTGGCAAGCAGGCGTGGTGGCTCACACCTGTCATCGCAGCACTTTGGGAGGCCAAGGTGGGTGTGTATTGTTTGAGTCTAGGAGTTCAAGATCAGTCTAGGCGACATGGCAAGACCTCATCTCTACTAAAAATAAAGATAAATTAGCCGGGCATGGTGGTGCACCTGTGGTCCCAGCCACTCGGGAGGCTGACGTGGGAGGATCACTTGAGCCTGGGAGGTCACGGCTGCAGTGAGCTGTGATTACACCACTGCACTCCAACCTGGGCAACAGAGCAAGACCCTGTCTCAAAAAAAGAAAAAAAAGAAGTTGGAGGACACACATTCAGTCTGTAACACCGACTACGAGCTTCCCCGGCCCCTGTGCTTCTGCCTCCACCTCCAAGGCCCCTCCTGGGCACACAGATGCCTGGCACTGTGTGTCGGTAATCCCACCCCAGGGAACTCAAAAAGGGCAGTGCCCACCTGTCAGGGCACTCAGAGCCTCTCTCCCACTGAGCCCTGGTCCTCTGAAGTCCTCCTGGAGCCACCACCTGGGGCCTGAGGGCCGACGCAGGTCAGAGCTTGCCGTCCCTGCCCAAGTCACAGTGGGCCAAGCACCAGCCCCTACCCTCCAAAAAGAGAGGTGAGGGGGCTCGGCCCAGGGACCCCTCCCCCAGCCCCGTCCATCTGCCCGGAGAGGACGATACCGCTCAGTACTTGCTTTTCATCAGAGAAGGAACCCTGGCAGCGAGCACATAATGGCCTAATTTAGGCTGAAATTATCGGTAATTTGGGCCATTTGAAACTCAAGGGCTGATGACTGTTTTCCCTGAACACAGGGTAAAGATGAACCCCAGGGAGCAGGGTTTCTGCGGTTAGATCTTGTTGTTGTTATTTGATGTGTGTGTAGCTGAGCCATGAGCCCCTGCCTTTGGCTATGAGCCCAGACTCTTGCATTGTGTCCGGAACCTCCCAGGCAGTGCCGGCAAACGTGATGTCCTGTGGGCCAAGTTCCAGCGCAGGGCAAGATACAGATGATGCTGAGGAGGGGCCTCGCCGCCCACTGCCTGCGGGCCATTCTCTCCCCATAGCATTTGCACTTTTATTTCTTTACTTGCCTTTCTGTTGATAGCTTTAATATTTGAAAATGTTAAAGGCAAATAGAGTTTTATATTTGAATTCGCCTTGGCGTCACCTAACAAGATTTGGGTCTCACTTGAAGCGATGAAAATCACATTTGGAGAATATTTGTCAGAATTCAGAACGTGAGCGGAGAACATTCTAGCGAATGACCCTTCTGTGTGGAGGCCAGCTCACAGGAGACTGCGCAAGAGCTCGCCTCGGATGTGTGATGTTATTCATACACAGAAGGGACTGGGTGCCGAGAGGTCTCGGGGCTGCCTAGGGCCAGCAGACGTGTGATCGTCAGGCAGCCGCCTCCCCATCCCAGGCCTGGATCTAGCTAAGGGGAAAGTCTTCGATTCCCCAATGAGCTCTGAAGAGTGGACAGTCCTGGAAGCAAAGACCACATGAGTGTAAACCAAAGGTCAGCAAATGTTTTCCAGAAAGGGCCAGGCAGTGAATTTTTTTTCTTTTTTTCTTTTTTTTTTTTTTTTTTTGCGGAGTCTCACTCTGTCACCCAGGCTGGAGTACACTGGCATGATCTCAGCTCACTGCAACTTCTGCCTCCTGGGTTCTCTTGCCTCAGCCTCCTGAGTAGCTGGGACTACAGTCAAGCACCACCACTCCCGGCTAATTTTTGTATTTTTAGTGGAGACAGGGTTTCACCATGTTGGTCAGGCTGGTTTCAAACTCCTGACCTCAGGTGATCCACCCGCCTCGGCCTCCCAAAGTGCTAGGATTATCAGACGTGAGCCACCGTGCCCGGCTGACAGTGAATATTTTAGGCTGAGCTGGCCACAGAGCCTCTGTCAAAACTACTCAACTCTACATGAAAGTAGCCACAGACAACACAGAAATGAACAAGTGTGGCCCTGTGCCAATAAAACTTTATTTATGAAAACAAGCAGCGGGCCAGTTCAGCCCACAGGCCGTAGCTTTCTGAGCTCTACTCTGGATCCATGCGTGGCTGTGAAGGGTTCTTCCCCTCTGTCCTGCATCCCTGTCTGCTCCTCTGGGCCTCTCTTCTCTGTCTTCCTCCAGTTCTGCCTCAGTTGTTACTTATGCCACTTTCCCGGCAAGTCGGCTGCCTTCCCTCCCACCATGCCTCTTTCTCTCCCGTCTCTTCCTCCCGCTCCTGCCTTTCCCCTGCCGCATGTCTGGACCTATCACCTCCTGAGGTTTCCTCTTCCAGCCTGTCTCTCTCCAGTTACAGAATCAAAGGTGTATCTGTAGCTATCAGAGTCACGTGTTTCTGGCCATGTTTACAGGATTTTACATGAGAACAACCTGAAAACTACCTGATCCTTCTCTCCTGGCTTGATCCTGGCACATATCTGGGTGCTTCCTGCCGAGTGGAGGTGAACCCAGACACTCGGTCAGGGCTGGAGTAGGAAGAACTGTGGTGTCGGCCTTTACTGGCTGACCTGCTGGCCAGTGGGAGCTACTGATGGTCTCAGAGGTGTGGCTCAGCCTGCCTGGCTGAACCCACTGCGCGTCAGGGATGTGCCTGGACTCTGCAACCCACATCTCACCATGAGGTGGCCGCTGCAGCTCGGGGCTTGTTCACCCCACTGCCGGCTCTGGGAGAGGAGGTGCTTGTGCCCTTGTCCTGAGGTCCAACTGTGTGGAGGGAGGGTCTCTGGGGCCCATCCTAGGGAGGGTCCCAGTGGCACATAATCCTGGGCACCTCCAGCCTCTGGCCCATCCTCCAGCAGGCAGACCACATGGAGAGGGTCCCCTCTCTGACAACCAGCCGTGAGCAGGGCCCCTGACAGCTGCCCCCAGCCTCCCACTGGGGGGTTTCAGAGCCACATTCCCTGCCCCTGACTTAGCAGGATGGGGCCTGGCCCCTTGAGGTCCTCCCAGGAGATTCTCATGATGAGCTCTGCCAGGGAAGCCCTGTTCCAGGGGTCCTGGAGGAAGGGAAAGGGTCCTACAGCCAGCGCAGGTCACAGTGCTAAGAGACGGACCCAGAGGGCCAGAACGGAGGCCCCCTGGGGAAGGCTGGGTGAACTAAGCAGAGCTCTAAAGGCTGGCAATTTCCCTGGAGGCTGAGAGACCTCAATTTTTAGAGCCCCTCTCTTGCACACACCCCTTCTGGGAGGGTCCCAGCAGCATCCACACAGTCATTTAAAATTTGCGGAAGTTGGCCGGGCATGGTGGCTCACACCTGTAATCCCAGCACTTTGGGAGGCCAAGGCAGGCAGAACATGAGGTCAGGAGATTGAGACTATCCTGGCCAACATGGTGAAACCCCATCTCTATCAAAAATACAAAAATTAGCTGGGCGTGGTGGCGTGCACCTGTAGTCCCAGCTATTCAGGAGGCTGAGGCAGAAGAATCACTTTAACCCGGGAGGCAGAGGTTGCAGTGAGCAGAGATCGTGCCACTGCACTCCAGCCTGGCAACAGAGCGAGACTCCATCTCAAAAAACAAAAATTGCAGAAGTCAGACGCTTTGTTCAGTCGGTGAGGACTGTAGGCTGGCTGCGCTCTGGAGTTCAGGTCCCCTCTGCTGCAGTGGTACTAGGGGCTGTAAACATTTGTGGGATCTGGCTGAGGGGAGGTTGAGCTGGGGACACCTTTAGTGTGGATTGGGTGGGTGGGTGAGATTTTTTTGTGGCTATTGTAACAAATGACCGCAAATTGGGTGGCTTAAAACAACAGACATTTATTTTCCCACAGTCTGGAGGCCAGAAGTTCACAACCAGGGGGCCAGGGGTGAGGGTGTGTCCTGCCTTTTCCATCTTCTGCTGGTGGCAGTGCCTGGCACTCCATGGCGGTGGTGCCTCACTCCAGCCTCCACCTGTCCCCCTGGTCTTCTCCCCTCTGCGTGTCTGTGTATCTGTGTCTCTGTGTCCTAAATCCACATTTCCCTCTTAGAAGGACACAAGTCATGGATTTAGGACCCCCCCACCTACCACCACCACCCAATCTAACCTCATCTTAGCTTGATGACTTCTGCAAAGACCCCATTCCAAAGAAGGTCACATTCCCAGGCACTGGGGTTAGGCTTTGAGAGTTTTTTCCCGCCGTAAAACAATGCCCATTTATGATCTCGTCACTGCTGCAAGTCAGAAGTCTGGGTGCAGCAGGGCTCATCAGCCCTCAGCTTGTGTCTCACGTGTCTGAAACCCGGGGACGGGCCGGGCTGCGTTCCTTCCTGGAGGCCCAGTTGGTGAATCTGCTTCCAAGTTGATTCAGGTCATTGGCTGAGTTCAGTTCCATAGAGTTGCAGGGCTTGAACTTGTCCTCTTAGAGCATATAATTCAACTCACCACAGTGGGGTATATCTATGTGGTTCAAGGTCTCTTCTGGTGCAGTTAGTTTGCCACTGGTCCTCCCCACATGGGAATGTCTCTGTCTAGGGACAAGGTGCAAATTTGCTGGCTTGATGCAGAAAGGTGAGGCCTGATGTGGTATATGACCCATCCCACAGCATCCAGCTATGGAGGTAGGGGTGCCCAGGAACCTGGGTGATGGATGGAACTGAAGCTGGCCCATGGGAACGCCCTCTAATCAGCAGACATGTGGATGGTCAGCAGAGGGGCCGCCCCTGCTGCAGCCCAGTCAGACAAAAGCACTTTCCTGCCAGGAATACGCTCGCTCACGCAGATCATGGCCACAAACCCACTTTTGCACATTCTTTCCTTTTGTGATGGGAACTGAATAAAGCAAAACTCGTCACAATTCCTGTTTGCAGAACAAGGAACTGCAGCTCCCACTACAAACGAGCCCATCTGTGGACACTGACACACAAAAGAAACTCAGGAGAGGCTTTCCCGAATGATACCAATCCTAAGAATGTACACAACGTCACCAGCATTGGGTTGTGAAGCTTCAGGAACTTTCTCTACACCATCAATAATGAAAAGTAAATTCGTATCCATCGTGGAGGAGGAGAGGCCATATCATCTTTCTGTTCTCTCTGCAGAAAATCATAAAACAAAGTCCTTGTCCTATGAGAGATGAACAATGAGTACACACATTCGAAAATACCGGGGCACAGGTATTGTAGAGCGAGTCAGGTGACTAAGAAGAACTGTGATTTTTCCACATTTTGTAATGTTGATGACACTAATCAGCTTTTTAAAATCTGTAGTTTTCTGTGACTTCATTTCTCAGTCTAAGCGATACTCACTTCTATGCCTGTGTTTGTCTTAGTTATTTTATATTCTTTGTCTTTTTTCTTTTTTGTTTTTGACAGAGTCTTGCTCCATAGCCCAGGCTGGAGTGCAGCGGTGTGATCTCGGCTCACTGCAACCTCCGCCTCCCAGGTTCAAACAATTCTCCTGCCTCGACCTCCCAAGTAACTGGGATTATAAGAGTGCACCACCACGCCCGGCTAATTTTTGTATTTTTAGTAGAGGTGGGGGTTTTACCATGTTGGTCAGGCTGGCCTTGAACCCCTGACCTCAAGTGATCTGCCCGCCTGGGCCTCCGAAAGTGCTGGCATTACAGGCATAAGCCACTGTGCGCAGCCTATATTCTTATTCTTAAAGAGGCCCCCCAGATTATATAAGCTCAGACCCGGCAAACCTGGGTTTGGCCTGCCTGAAAGATGAGCTGGGCTTTCACAGAGGGTGTAGTGGGAAGTGGGGAGGGAAGTTGAGGGGCTGTGGGGGCTGGGGCCAGCGTGTGAGGAGGCTGAATGCGCCTGTGGTACTAGGGAGCCATGAAGGGTTTCTGGGGAGAGGCGTGACTTCTAGGACCCACGTCTTAGGCTTTTAGGGCTGATGCGTAGAGAGGCGCACCCCACCACCCATCCTCGGCCACCCCACCAGAGACCATGAGGCTGGGCGGCAGCATCTGCCCAGGCTGTCCAGGTGCCATTGGGGGACCCTCTTCTCTGCCATCACTGGCACCCACAGAAGCCTGCAGTGCCATTCCAGGACCTGAGCCAGGTGGCTTTGGACTCAGTGGCTGCAAGAGCCGGATATGGTTAGAGGCCTGGCCAGGGCATCTCCTGAGATGGCCCCTGGGCGCGGGGCTGGGCGTGACCAGGAGGGATTGGAGGTGCATCTTCAGTGGATGGTCTCTGCTTTTGTCCTTGTGGGGATCCCTCGCTCACACTCCTCCACAGCTGTGCCCTTGGTCCAGTGAGGGCAGCATGGAAACGGCACTTCACAGAGGGGGTCTGGAACAGAACTAGCATTGCCACATCTGCCAGTTTCAGGCTGCCCCAGAAGGGCGGAGACCCCTCCTCCTGGCCCCTTTCCAGGCTCACGCATCCAGTGTGTCCCAGGCCACCTGCGTGGGTGATGTCCCCAGTTCCAGCCACTCCCAGCCGCCCAGGGCCCTGCTCCTGCCTCCAGAGGCAGGCTGCACCCTGAGGTTTGGGAAGCCAGTGGGAGGCAGCACAGAGGTGCGCCCGAAGTCATCGCTCCACATGTGGCCCCACAAACGTGAGAACGTCGAAGGGCTTTGCTTTGCTACACTCACTCCTCCTTTACCCCACAAACTTTCATTGGTTGTGCCCTTGGGGATAGGCCTGAGCCAAGCACCTGATGACGGAGTTCCCAGGTGATCCCATCCTGGCCTGCAGAGCTGGGTAGGGAGAAGCTCTCTTCCCTGTTTGGGACACTGGTGTGATGCCTTTAGCTGTGCAGCCATCTTAAGACCATGCGGTCACACACACGAGGATGAGAGGCAATGTTCTGAAGATGACGGCTCCCCAGCACTGAGGACCCTGGCCCCTGCCTGCCCCCCTGGGAAGCAGAGCGAGTCACATCTGCCTTTATCACCTGCAGCAAAGCATCGGGACTGGTCCACAGGGATGCCTCTGAGACTCTAGGCTGGGGCATTAGAACGAGCTTTGTGCTCAGGGAGGATGAATGATGTCCACGCTGGGCTGTGGGGATGGAGGAGAGGAGTCTTTGGTAAAGGGGCTCACAGGCTAGTGGGGAGCAGAGGGACTGAGTACTCACAGCCAAGTGACAAGGTGACAAGTGTTTTGATGGGGTTAGGGCTCAGTGGGCTCAGCCCGCCCAGGCATTTAGCGAGGCCGAGGTATAGGGAGGGCCTCGGAAACCCTTCCCTGTGTGAGGAGTTTGATGCACAGGGTGCTGCCCCTGGACACGGGATGCTCAGGTGGCCTGCTCCAAACCGTGAGCCACCACCCAAGGACCCTGGCAGGCCTCCACCCCGTGTGGTGGCTGCAGGTCCTGCCAAGGCCCAAGGACACCCAAGGCCAGCTTTAATGGGGCCCAAAAGACCCAGCTGCGGGGCCCAGGGCTGAGGGAGGGTAGCTCTGCCCAGCGGAGCCTCTGGGGCCAGCCCGCCCTCTTCTCCTTTCCAGGAGGCCCAGCACGGCAGAGGCTGGGCTGCTTTCTGCGCCTCTGCTTTCATTTCCTTTTTCTTTCTCTCCACCTGTAGCCCCAGATGTAGATCCATTAGGCCAAGGTGCCTCTGCTTCCACACCACTGACACTGGGGGCCACATGGTTCTCTGCTGTGAGGGGCTGTCCCATGCCTGGGAGGACATGAACGGCCCCCCAGCTTCCACTCACTGATGTCAGCAACAGCCTCCCCATTCCCCACTGTGTGGCAACCAAAAACATCTCCTAAAATTGCACGTGCCCTGGGGCAGAATACTGAGCTGGACTGTCATGAGGGCTGTCTTTCAGGAGGCTGGGGACAAGTGACACGGATCTAAGAGCAAGCCTTCATGGTCCCTTAGCCGCCAAGGCCAGGGTGTCCCAGGGGGCACTGGTGAGCAGGACGTCTGCGGCCCCTTCCTACCCCCTTCCTGGTGGGGCCCGACTCCCATACCCTCCCAGTGACGGACAAGCCTTGAGCCACCTCCCACCTCCTCTGGGGAGATGAAGGGGGCCTGGGGACCATCTCCCTGGAGGGGCTCAAACTGCCCCCACATTGTGGGAGACAACTTAGGTCAGGTCAGAGGGCACAGCCAGGTCAGGACAGACGCCCCTGCTGACCTGGGCTCCTGCCGTTTCCTGGAACACTCTCCTAAGGAGCCCGGCTGGTGGGGCACTGTCCACGGAGCTCCTGTCTGATGTGAGGGTCCTCCCGGCCCTGGCACAGCCCCCTAGGCAGCAGGGTGCCCACCTGAAGAAACACTCGACTGCCACCAGAATCCCACCCTTGGGCACACCGTGTTGCCCTCGTTTTCAGAGCCAACTCCCCCACAGGTTGCTTCCTGGTGCAAGGATGCGGCGAGAACACAGCACGTTGTTCTGGGACTCTGTGTCCCCGGGTAGGAACAGTGGCAGGAGACTACAAAATTCCTGTCTAGCATGTTGACACTTGCTCGATAAAAACTGAATTGTGTCTGGGCCTTAAAATGTCACCTTGCAGGACAAACGCGAGGGAGGAGTTCGTCTGCCCACAGAAGGCACTCACGGCAGCGGAGATGGGCCCTCTCTCCTCCCTCCCTCCCTCCCTCCCTCTGCGGTCCCTGCCTGCTAAACTGGGGACGCTGGGGGCTTCATGTCCTCCCGGCTTCCTGTCTGGCTAAACTCTAATGTGAGTCATTTTGCCTCACAGCATCAGGCCAGGGCTTGGCTGGCCCAGTGGGAGCCCTGGTCCAGGAGAGGTGGCCGTTCAACTGGGGCCCCACCAGGACAGGCAGGTCCTTCAAGAAGCCAGGGGCCCCTTTTGTGGGTAGGGAATTTACCTCTCAGAGGCCCTTCTCATGGAGAGGCAGCTCCTACCTCTACTTCCCCCGCTGGCCAGCCCCAGCTGCTGCTGGGAGCCAGAAGCCACTGCCATCAGAATCCCTGGGGAGGGGCTTAGCAACCAGCCCACAGCGGACGGGCCAGGGGGCCAGTGCCGGCCTGGGGACACCATGGGAGATGGCATGGCCAGGAGCTGCTCTCAGGGGCCCTGGAACAGGCCAGGGGGCAAGACGGGAGGGAGCCGGCCCAAGACTGCACTGGGTGAGGATGGGCGCTGGCTGTGACCTGGGTCCGGAGAGCCTAGTGGCCACCTAAAAGTACTGTTTAGATGAACATTTTTTGTTTCTGTAACTCAGGTCACCATTCCCACCAGAATGGAAAAATACACTGTGCTCACTTGGTGGATGGAACACTGCAGAGCAACGAAGACAGCAGCGCTCCGGCCACCTGCCACCCACCACCCCACGAGGATTGCACAGGCTCAGAGCACGGGAGCCCGGGAGCCACCAAGCCTTGCCCTCGGCCGGGCTGCCTTCGGGAGGGGGACAGGGAAGGAGCAGGGTGGGGACTTCGGGACGCTTGATGTTCTGGGAGCCGCTCTGCAGGGGCACACATGCCAAGAAATTCATCGAGTGGGTCCCTATGAACTACAGCTCCATTTATTTTTTTGTTTGTTTGTTTTTTTAGACGGAGTCTTGCTCTGTCGCCCAGGCTGGAGTGCAGTGGTGCAATCTCGGCTCACTGCAACCTTCACCTCCTGGGTTCAAGCAATTCTCCCTGCCTCAGTCTCCCAAGTAGCTGGGATTACAGGCACCGGCCACCACACACAACTAATTTTTTTTGTATTTTTAGTAGAGATGTTTCATCATGTTGGTCAGGCTGGTCTCGAACTCCTGACCTCAGGTGATCCAGCTGCCTCGGCCTCCCAAAGTGCTGGGATTACAGGTGTGAGCCACCGCGCCCACCGCCAGTTGAATTTTAGTTGTGGCGCCAACGCTCTTTTAAGCCTGTAGTCTGGCTGATGATGAAGCTCGCGTGCTTTCATTTTGCCTTTTGTGTCCGGCTCCTCTAGAGCGTCAGCTCCATGGAGGCAGGGACCATGATGTCCCCAGGGCCACGATGTCCCCAGGGCCTGGTGTGCAGCAGGAGCCAGCGGAACGACCACCCCTGCTTCTGGGCCACTCGCAAGAAGAGAGGTGCCGGCAGGAAAGGGAGAATCCGGATGGCGGGAGTCTGCCACGGATGGCTGATGCGGCGCCAGGGAGCAGGGCCGCCATCCAGGGCCCTAAAGTGGCCCATGACAGGCCCAGGTCGGGGAGCGGAAGAGGGTTCCAGGGCGCCCGAAGGACCTGGACTGAAACCCAGCATCCAGCAGAGCAGGCGGGAAAGGGGAGCTACCGTGGCGGGTGCTGATCCCTGCAGGCTCCGAGGACACAGGAAGCTCAGCTCTCCATCAGAGACGCCAAACAGGGCGGCGGTGGCTGGGATTTGGGGAGGGGTCCTCGGAGCACTCCAGGGCCCAGGCAGGAAGCAGCGGCCAGGACACAGCCGTGGGCAAGAGGCTTGGAGGGTCCGGTGGGAGTGAAACTGTCCTCGCTGGGACACAGCAAGAAGGTTGAAGGTATGGTGGGGTGGGGCTGTCCTCGCCGGCCCTTTCCCGGCCCCGGGGTGAGTTGAATAAAAGCTCAGATTTGAAGGCTTTTCTGCATTGCCTCCCTTAATGGGCTTAATGTCTCGGCTGAGCTCTAATGCCAGTCATTTTACCTCCCACGCATAGATTTCAGAAAAGAAAGCTTACAATGACCCTAGTCCGCTTTAGCAGAGAAAATAAAATAGTAGAAAAATAATAGTAAAAATGACTGTGTAACGTTCGTCACTTTTATTTTTGTATCTGTAAATGCAAGGATGCTTACAGTTTTTTTTGCTTACAGTTTTTTTCTCCCCTATCTGCCTGAATTTTTAACAATGCAAGAGATTAGGATTAATTTCCAAATAGCGCAACCTTTTTGGAAATGCACATTCTCCACAAATGAACAAACTGCTTGTGGTAATTAAAGTAATGTCGTGTGCTCAAATTGCTTGTGCTAATGAGGCTAATTGACAGCAGCGAGTATTAACCGCAATTAGTCATACATATCTAATAGCATCGCTGGTGCCTATGATTTTCTACGTGGAGGGGATTTTACATCTGCTTTCAGGATTTCCATCCTTGGCTATATGCATTTCTCTCAAAAGGATGCGCTTTTTCCTGGCATTCAGTAGTCGGGTGCTCTTTTCAAAGGTGAGAACAGAGTTGCTGGGGTAGAACATTTTAGGTGGGCTGATTTTTAAAGGATGTGGCAGCTTATCAACAGGGATAAATGCTGATGTCATGGAAGAACTGGGGTCAGAACTCAGAGGGGGGGCTCCACTGGAGAAATACCACGATAGAAAAAGAAAGACCCTAAAATCCAAAATGCTTTTTAAAAGGAAGCAAAAGCTGAGCACGGTGGGTCACACCTGTAATCCCAGCACTTTGGGAGGCCGAGGGGGGTGGATCACTTGAGGTCAGGAGTTCAAGACCAGCCGGGCCAACACGGTGAAACCCCATCTCTACTGAAAACACAAAATTAGCCAGGCGTGGTGGTGTGCACCTGTAACCCAGCTACTCAGGAGGCTGAGGCAGGAGAATCACTTGAACCTGGGAGGCAGAGGTTGTAGTGAGCCGAGATCGCACCACTGTACTCCAGCCTGGGCGACAGTGTGAGACTGTCTCAAAAATAAATAAATAAATTAATTAAAGCAAAACAATCAAATATATACCTTTTTATGGCACTAGAAATTCTATGAAAATAAAATATTTTAAATCCCCATCAAGGAAGCCACTCATCTGGGTGCTTTCTCTGTGTATCTTCTCTCCATCCAGGAGCAGAGGAAGCCCTTGGGGGCAGGGGCAGGGTCTGGCTGAATTATGTGAAACAAAACCTGGGTGCTTAATTTCATTCCTGAGAAAGGACGTTGGCAAAAGTTCATGGGACTGATGGGGCTGAGAAGTCAGATCCCCTGAAATAAAGCTTTTCATAGTGATCCCTCAGCCCCAGGGACCCAGAAGCAGAGGTGTGGGTTCTCAGAGAGAAAACTTCAGTTTCCCTCTTGGTTTAAAAAGAACATGTCAGGAGGGCCGGGCGTGTTGGCTCATACCTATAATCTCAGCAATTTGGGAGGCCAAGGTGCATGGATCACTTGAGGTCAGGAGTTAGGGACCAGCCTGGCCAACATGGTGAAACCCCATCTCTACTAAAAATACAAAAATTAGCCGGGCATGGTGGTGTGTGCCTGTAATCCCAGCTACTTGGAAGGCTGAGGCATGAGAATTGCTTGAATTCAGGAGGCAGGGGCTGAAGTGAGCCAAGATGGGGCCACGGCACTCCAACCTAGGTGACAAAGCAAGACTTTGTCTCCAGAAAAAAAAAAACAAAGAATATGTCAGGAGGCAAGCAGAAAGGAGGGTCACGAGTGGGGCACATAGCAGAGATTCTTTGGAGGAATCTAATTTCAGGGCAATTGGCCCCAACTTATCTCCAAAGCAGAGTTGGAACGGACTCTTTCTCACTACCACTGGTACCTGCCCAAATCTCCTAGACCAGCCTAGTACACCCTAGCCCCCAGCTGCTGTGAACATTGGCTGTTAACCTCTCACTGCTTTCCCCTCAATACAGAAGTGCCCTCAGCTGACGGAAATCACAGCCAATGATGACCTGATGCAGGCAATTAAAGGCCAGCCCTTTGCCTCAGCACGCTCCTAACCCCACAGTCATGGCCATGGCGCCACAGTCTTCCAAGCTCAAGGTGGGAGAATACAGAGGACAAGGCTGGCAGAGGAGCTGGAAATGTAGGGAAGAAATCCTGAAACAAGAGAGCTGTAGAAGGGGTGAGACCCAAATCTGAGTCTAAACTCTGCCCCAATCCTTGGATGGCCATCAAACTACAAACACGTATCAGAGACTTGAGGAAGCTTGGTGAAAAATGAGGGAGATATGAGAGAGGAGTCTACCCTGAAAGATATAAGAGGACTAGGTGATATTCGTGAGTTTTCTGCTCCTTTGAGTGCATGTATTCCCCAAATCATGCACAGCATGCATGGCAGAAAGTTGAATCCTTATTGGTTTGAGGTGTCAGAAGACAAAGTGTAGGGCTGGCTGAGCAGCTGGAAAATTAAGGGTGAACCCCCAAAGCAAGGGAACTACAGAGAGGGTGAGCTGCCAAATCTGAACATAAACTCTGCTCAAATCCTTGGCTAAATATTGAGCATACGGGTGCAAAGGGTTGGCTACAAAGACTACAGCTGGAAGTTGAAAAGCTGAGCAGAGACATCAGCCACTACACACTGTGGAGGAGGCAGACTCTACAGTTTCAGATCAAGCAAGTTAACTGCCTACTGGAACAAAACCCAACAATCTTCAGAAGAACATAACAGAATCCAAAGTTGCTACAAAATACTACCTACAATGTCCAGTTACCAACAAAAAATAACTAGACATACAAAGAAACAAGAATGTATGATCCATATTTAGGAAAAAGACAGTGAATAGAAGTGGATTCTGAATGGACCCAAAGGTTAGATTTCATAGACAAAGACTTCAAAGCTGCTATTTTAAATATGATCAGATAATTAAAGTAAAATATAGTCTTAATGAATAAACAGAGGGGAACCTCAACAAAGAAATGGAAGCTACAAAAAAGAATCAAATGGAAATTCTTCAAGCTGAAAATTAAAACAACAGAAATAAAAATTTCACTGGATAGGCTCAATAGCTTATTGGAGACAGTAGGAGAAAAAATCCATGACCTTGAAGATAGGTCAATAAAATGTATTTAATGCAAAGAACATAGAGAAAAAAGACTTCATTTTTTACCAAGAAAAAGAAATATATCCTGAGAGACCCACAAGACTGTATCAAGCAGTCCAACATGCATGTAATTGGAATCCCAGAAGGAGAGGAGAGAAGAAAAGAAAGGAAAAATACATATATTTGATGAAATAATGGCTTAAAATTTCCCAGATTTGATTAAAAACATTAACTTGAAGATTCGGGAAGCTCAGTGAACCTCAAGTCAGATAAAGCAAACAGACAAAAACCTCGACACATCGTAGACAAGCTACTAAAACCCAACGACAAACAGAGAAGCTTGAAAACTGCAAGAGAATAAAAACAATACATTATATACAGGGGAACAACAATATGTGCCTGGAGGAAAATGAAACAACATATGCAAAGTGCCGGAAGAAAATGAAAGCTGTCATCATGATTATTTCCAGTGAAACTGTTCTACAAAAATGAAAGCCAAAGAAAGACCTTTTCAGGTAAACAAAAGCTGGGAGAATTCTTTTCCAGCTGATTTTCACTGCAAGAGATGCTAAAGAAAGTATGCCGATACTTGATGTTTCAGTAACTACACTTTGTTTTTTTGTTTGTTTGTTTTGAGACAGAGTCTTGCTCTGTGGCCCAGGCTGAAGTGCAGCGGTCTAATCTTGGCTCACTGCAACCTTCACCTCCTGGGTTCAAGCGATTCTCCTGCTTCAGCCTCATGAGTAGCTGGGACTACAGGCTAATACCACCCCACCTGGCTAATGCTTGTATTTTTAGTAGCGATGGAGTTTTGCCATGTTGGCCAGGCTGGTCTTGAACTCCTGACCTCAAGTGATCCACCCGCCTCAGCTTCACAAAGTGCTGAGATTACAGGCATGAGCCACCATGCCCAGCTGTAACTACACTTTTTTTTTTTTTTTTTTGAGACAGAATCTCGCTCTGTCACCCAGGCTGGGGTGCAATGGCGCAATCTCAGCTCACTGCAACCTCTGCCTCCCAGGTTCAAGCAATTCTGCTGCCTCAGCCTCCCCGAGTAGCTGGGATTACAGGCACCTGCCACTACACCTGGCTAATTTTTGTATTTTTAGTAGAGATGGTGTTTCACCATATTGGCCAGGTTGGTCTCGAACTCCTAACCTCATGATCTGCCCACCCTGGCCTTCCAAAGTGCTGGGATTACAGGTGTGAGCCACTGCGCCTGGCCCACATTTTTAAGTAGTTACCACATTTCATGATTTCACATGGTTGGGCGGCTTCTGGGCTTTGTTTTGGGTCCCCTCCAGCCCTGCCGTCCTCCCCTAGGAACCCAGACGAACCACCTGCCGTGTGTTCTGTGCTCACCCCAGGCTCACACCATCATAGAATCTTCCGGAGGATGTGCCCTGTGCTCACTTGTTCTTTCTTTAATGAGACCACGTTTTACACACTTTCTGGAAAATGGCATTTTGTCTCTGATATCCAGTGACAACTGGGCAAGGGTTGAGACTATCCTTTATCCTACTTTGTATTCAAACCCCAGCTTCAAGCTGAGGAGTCATGCCTTTCCCTAATTCTGCAAAATTCAGGGCTAATATTTTTTCAAATACTGCTTCTCCATGGTCTTCTGGATCTCTCCTCAGACTGCGTAGCAGCCCTTCCCTCCTCTCAGAACTTTTTTCTCTTTATGCAGGGTTCTGGCTGAATTTCTCAGCACTGGCTTCCAATTCATCAGCTCTCCACCTATGTCTAGTCTAGAGTTTAGCCTGTCTATTGAGGCGCGTTTTTTATTTCAGTGACCATTTTTTATTTTCAAGATTTCTAATTGGTTCTTTTTAAGCTTTTTGTTTTCCTTCCTTCTTTCCTTCCTTCTTTCCTTCCTTCCTTCTTTCCTTCCTTCTTTCCTTCCTTCCTTCTTTCCTTCCTTCCTTCCTTTCCTTCCTTTCTTTCCTTCCTTCTTTCCTTACTTCCTTCCTTCTTTCCTTCCTTCCTTCTTTCCTTCCTTCCTTCCTTCTTTCCTTCCTTCCTTCCTTCTTTCCTTCCTTCCTTCTTTCCTTCCTTCCTTCTTTCCTTCCTTCTTTCCTTCCTTCCTTCTTTCCTTCCTTCCTTCCTTCTTTCCTTCCTTCCTGTTTGGGGAACCGTATCTTCAGTTCTAGGTTTCTTCATTTCTCTCCTTGAGCCTTCCAAGCACATTTATTTTAGTCTTTATCAGACTATTCTACAAAATTAATTTCATCTGCAGTGGATTCTAATTATTGACTGGATAACTTTGTGAACATTAGAATTCTGGGCGTGTTTTGGAACATCGGTTTGCAAGCTCTTCCGAGCTGGTATGACTTTTCTTTCTCTTCCCTGTTCTCATTGTTTCAGGATTGCTGCCCCCCTACCGCCTCACCCCTCCAGCTCCTGGTTCTTTGTCCCAGCCATCTCCTGTGGTACTGTGCTGTGTCTGCCTTGTGGAGACCCTGAGGATGTTCTGGATGGAGTTACCAAGCCCCCGACAGGCTGGTCCAGTTCCTGGCCTCCACAACGTGTGTGTCCTTTTGCCTCGGGAGACCAGCTGCTCCCTAAAGGCTGCAGCCCCCAGCAGAGTTTGGCCTGTTTTTCTGCCTGTTTCACAAGAGAGTGAGCCCCCCTGGCTCCAGCTGCCCACCTGCACGAAGCTCTGTTAATGGCTGGGACCTCCGTAGCACCTGGGCCCCCAGCCTGGTGCTGGGCCTGGGCTTCAGCTTCTCTCCAACTCCCATCTACTCCACATCTGGTCCTGGGAGATGTTTACTTTCCTTCTGAGCCCAGCAATGTCTTCTTAGTTTTCTCTTTGTCGAGGCCATGGATCATTCCTCCGGGCCATGTCGAATGTGCTGTGTTTATCTTGTCTGTGGAGACGAAGGGCCGAAGTGTGAATGCACAGCGCCACCTTAACCAGACGTTCAAATCATTCTTTTTAAAAGCTGCATAAAACTCCGCGGCATCCAGTGCTCCCCAGGCGGTGGGTGTTTTTGTTTCATGGTTTGATGGGTTTTTTTTGCCCGATGAATAACGCTGCTGTGCATCAGGGTGCATACAGCCTTAAATACCTGTATGCAGCTTTCAAAGCTGTTCTATAATGTCTCACTTTATTCTTTCCACATTTGCAGCTTTTTATCTTTGTATCTTATCTTTTTTCTGAGTTTCTTTTGGTATATTTTGTTGTTCTTTTTCCAGTTTCTTAAAATGAAGAGCTGTTACTCAAAAAAAAAAAAAAATTCTAGAACAAGGCAGGCATTGAGGTGAGCCACGTCTTCTGGCCCCCACTCTGCCGTGTGCTGTCTACTTTGTGAAGAAGTGTGCTTCTTCTTAATGCTTCCGAGAGAGTTGGTAGCTTTCATTTCATGGCAAAGATTATCAAGGAGTGTTTCTACATTTCCAAGAGGATTTCGGTCACTTTGAAAAAGAGAAGATCAATTTTACTGTGGTATGATTTTATTTATTTATCATTTACTTATTTTTAGGGTCAGGGTCTCGCTCTGTTGCCCAGGCTGGAGTGCAGTGGCATGATCACGACTCACTGCAGCCTCCGACTCCTGGGCACAAGCAATCCTCCCACCTCAGCCTCCCAAGTAGCTGGGACTACAGGCATGAGCCACCATGCCTGGCTGTGGTATGATTTACATCTGAGAAAACTAACCCATAGGTTGTAGGCAGGATAATGGCCCTCACCCAGATGTCTACATCCTAATTTCCCACTCCTTTTACATCTGTAAGATTTTGCTTTGTGTTCTAAGACCAGGTTTATTAGGTGTACACACATTTAGAACTGTTACATGGTCCAGGTGGACTGGCCCTCTTAATGCTGATGAAATGTCTGTATTTTACTCTGGTAACTCTTCTTCCCTCGCAGCCTCCTTTGGTGTCAGTAGTTAATAGTGCCACATCAGCTCTGCTCATTTAGCATCTTCGTGGCGTATGATTTCAGTCCCCTTCAGCCCTTCTGTGACTTTCTATGTGCGTGTCTCTTATAAGTAGCATACGATCGAATATAATATTTTACTCAATGTTACAATATTTGTTTTTAATTGGAGCATTTTGTCTATATATATATATTTTGAGATGGAGTCTCACTCTCACCCAGGCTGGAGTGCAGTGGTGCAATATGGGCTCACTGCAACCTCTGCCTCCTGGGTTCAAGCAATTCTCCTGTCTTAGCCTCCTGAGTATCTGGGATTACAGGTGCCCCTGCCACCACGCCTGGCTAATTTTGTATTTTTAGTAGAGACGGGGTTTTGCCATGTTGGCCAGGCTGGTCTTGAACTCCTGACCTCAGGTGATCTGCCCGCCTCAGCCTCCCAAAATGCTGGGATGACAGGTGTGAGCCACCATGCCCGGCCTCCATTTATATCTAATGAAGTGAATTCAGTTACACAGATGTGGGTCTGGACCCGCCGCCCACTGTCTCTGTGTTCTTTGCCCTCCTTCCCCTCATTTTTTGCCCTCTTTGATGTGCCGTGGAAATTCGCGGACGGCGTTGGCAGTGCGAAGCTTCGTTGGGGAGAAGGGTCGGGCAGGGATGCTGCAATCCACAACTCAGATCCGAGAAAGGCTCCCCGCCCAGCCAGGAGTGCAGGGTGAAGGCTGGCCAGCAGAACAGCCCCGTGCTGGCCTGAGATGGCTGGGCTTAGCACTTGGGGGGAGCGCCCCATAAGAGAGTGACCTTGGTCCTGCTGCCTTGCTCAGTCCCTGGCTGTGCTGAGCTGGGAAGGCAAACCCTGGGGGAGCTGGCAGCTGGGGGCTGCCCCTGACCACATGCCTCGCAGCTGCTGGGCAGAGCATCCTCTGTCTAAGGAGGTCTGATTCTACCCTGTGTCTGCCATTATCCGCCCTTGCACTGGCCGGATCCCCTTTTCCACACATGTGGGAAACCACCCTTCCAGGGCCCCTCTCTCTGTGTATTTAGAAGAGGGAAATTAATGGAAAAAATGACAGCCCCATAGCCAACTGCGTTCATCTGGGAACACAGTGGTCCCTCTTGTCCCCGCCTCTACTTTCTGTTCTAAATTGCCCTGGCGCTCAGCTGTCTCCTGTTGGCATCAGGTGCATCTGGTGGCTGGACCCAAGCCCTATGTTCCTGAAGACTGTGAGCCCCTGTGAGTCCCTGCTAACCATGCCCTTTTGGGGTCAGAGTTGCTATTCAGATCCATTTCCGGTCATAATCGGAAGAGGGGGTGCCAAGAAGCACCTGCCCACGTCGGGTGTCTGAGTCCCACATGTATTCCTCTCTGCCGCCTGCTCTCAGGTGACAGCAGCCCCCATGTCCCCCTGCTGCTCAGGGCCAGCCACCCCCACTAAGAGGGTGGCTCCTCTTACGGCTTGCTGGCTGGGCCAAAAGGAGCCTGCAGTACCCTGGTGGAAGCTACAGCTTGTAGTTCTGTCCTCTGGCAAGCAAACACCTCCTTTGGAACCAGAACCGCTAACCTTGCAGAGCCAAGACTGGGGAGATGGAAAACACAAACAGGGGTGACCAGGAGTGATGCTGAGTGGGCCGCCCTGCTCCCACCCCTCAGCTCCCAGACCTATGTGTGCTTTCTGCTGAGAACACAGTGCCATATGAAGGCCTCTGACTCAATGTCCCCATGCCATCCGGGATGACGGGGCCTGTAGTTACAGGGCATTGCTTCAGCTCTCCGTGTGGGAGGCCACTCCAACACCCAGCCAGTCCAGCAGCTTCCGAACAATGAGACGCAATGAGTAGATCCTAGGGACACAGACCCTTTCCCACATCTCCTTCACTGCAAAGTGGCTTCCCTGATCAGAAGTGATGTTGTGAGCCCTTCTACGCCGATGAACAGGACATTCCTTAAGCGCTTGGACAGTGATGCCAACTGAGGCCCTGGAGCCAGGAAAGACAAACTCCTACCTAGAAGAGATGTCTATTTTTGTGCAAACCACTGGCCTTTCCAGAATGAAAGAGGCCCAGTGGGTCCACTTGCTGTCAAGTGGCTGGTTGGTCTCCTGTGAACCTGGGCCACACTGGCAGTGGGATGCTGGTCTCCTGTTGCTGGCAGGTTGGACATTCAGATAAGAGAAGGAGCCAGATGGTTTTGGGAGGTTGCAGTCCACACTGTTGGCCTCATGCCTGCCCTCTGTCTCAGCTGTGGCCGCTCCGTCCATGTGCCTGTCTTTGTTGGGTTGGTGTAGCCACTAAGGCTGGCTCCCATCAGTGGGTTGAGTGATCTTGTCTGCCTGGTGGTTCAGTGCCTCTTCCATGGAAGATGCTTGGGCTGCAACAAAATGCAGCAGGACAACCCCCCAAAATAAAACACCTACAGCCCCAACCCAACAACTGATAGGCGATGTCTGGGAAGACTGTGACCCGTAGTACTCAGCCTATGAGGAAACGGGGGAGAGACCTGTGCACTAGGGGATAAATTGCTTGTTGAAACCGTGCTGGGTGTGCCTACTCATCAGACACCCGAGCTTACAAGACCATCATTAAGAGTCCCACTTCCGCTGTTCTCCGGGTCTCTTGAGTCCATCCTTTGGGTTTGGACAGGCGAGTTTGTTTCTCACACCTAGTCCCAGTCTTTGCTGTCTCATCCTCACAAGCAGCCCACCCCGAATTCTCTCTCTCAGGGTGTACTGTCTATTCGGCATCTAACTTTCAGAATATTCTTTTTCTTTTGCAATAAATTACTCTGTTACCTCTCCTCTGCTGTGTGTCTCTTGTTTAAATTATTTTAAACTAAGAAGATGAGAACCAAGGTCTCACAACAGCAACAATAGGAGACTCAAGATGCAGCAATTGAGACGGAGTCTTGCTCTGTCACCCAGGCTGGAGTGAAATGTCGGCTCACTGCAACCTCCATCTCCCAGGTTCAAGCGATTTTCCCGCCTCAGCCTCCTGAGAATCTGGGATTACAGGCACACACCACCATGCCCAGCTTTTTTTTTTTTTTTTTTTTTTTTTGTATTTTTAGTAGAGATGGGTTTTTTCCATGTTGGCCAGGCTGGTCTTGAACTCCTGGCCTCAGGTGATCCATCCACCTTGGCCTCCCAAAGTGGTGGGATTATAGGCATGAGCCACCATGCCTGGCCTAGCAATTGCCTTTTTATTCTATTTGTTAGAGACAGGGTCTTGCTCTGTTGCCCAGGCTGGAGTGCAGTTGTGTGATCACAGCTCAGTGCAGCCTGGAACCCCAGGGCTCAAGTGATCCAGCTTCAGCCCCGGGAGTAGCTGGGATGACAGGTGTGCATCACCACTTTCATGTGCGTCCATGTGAAGAGACCACCAAACAGGCTTTGTGTGAGCAATAAAGCTTTTAATCACCTGGGTGCAGGCGGGCTGAGTCCAAAAAGAGTCAGTGAAGGGAGATGGGGTGGGGCCGTTTTATAGGATTTGGGTAGGTAAAGGAAAATTACAGTCAAAGGGGGGTTGTTCTCTGGCGGGCAGGAGTGGGGGTCACAAGGTACTCAGTGGGGGAGGTTTTCAGCCAGGATGAGCCAGGAGAAGGAATTTCACAAGATAATGTCATCAGTTAAGGCAGGAACAGGCCATTTTCACTTCTTTTGTGGTGGAATGTCATCAGTTAAGGCGGGGCAGGGCATATTCACTTCTTTTGTGATTCTTCAGTTACTTCAGGCCACCTGAGCGTATGCGTGCAAGTCACAGGGGATGCCATGGCTTGGCTTGGGCTCAGAGGCCTGACATTCCTGCCTTCTTATATTAATAAGAAAAATAAAACAAAATAGTGTTGAAGTGTTGGGGCAGCAAAAATTTTTGGGGGGTGGAATGGAGAGAGAGAATGGGCGATGTTTCTCAGGGCTGCTTTGAGCGGGATTAGGGGCCGTGTGGGAACCTAGAGTGGGAGAGATGAAGCTGAAGGAAGATTTTGTGGTAAGGGGTGATATTGTGGGGTTGTTAGAAGGAACATTTGTCATTTAGAATTATTGGTGATGGCCTGGATACAGTTTTGTATGAATTGAGAAACTAAATGGAATAAGAGAAGGAGAAAAACAGGTATTAAAGGTCTAAGAATTGGGAGGACCTAGGACATCTGATTAGAGTGCCTAAGGAGATTCAGCATAGTCCTGTCAGCAAAGATTATTTATTTACTTCCAGAGTTAAGAGTGGCAGTTTGGGGATAGCACCAGGAGATATCAGCTGTGATGGCTTGGAGAAACAGTGTAAACCAGCAGTGTAAACAAGAGCAGGGCATGTATGAATAGTTGAGAACGGTGAATAGGAGTATGACTAGACAGAAGATAGTAGGGATGACAAGTTTTTTGGGGGCACAGTCTAAGTTGGTCTGGTGTCTGGAATGAGACTGGGGCCTAATAAAAAGGAGCGTCTATACAGGAGCTCAAATGGGCTGTACCTTGTAGCATTCTGAGGACAGGTCTGACTTCTGAGAAGGGAAAGTGGTAAAAGTATTGTCCAGTCCTTTTTAAGTTGGTGGCTGAGCTTGGTGAGTTGTGTTTTTAAAAGACCTTCAGTCTGTTCTACTTTTCCTGAAGACGGAGGACCGTAAGGGATATAAAGGTTTCACTGAATACTAAGAGCCTGAAAAACTGCTTGGCTGATTTGACTAATAAAGGCTGGTCTGTTATCAGACTGTATAGAGGTGGGAAGGCTAAACTGAGGAATTATGTCTGACAGAAGGGAAGAAATGACTGCGGTGGCCTTCTCAGACCCTGTAGGAAAGGCCTGTACCTATCCAGTGAAAGTGTCTACCTAGACCAAGAGGTATTTTAGTTATCTGACTCGGGGCATGTTGAGTAAAGCTAATTTGCCAGTCCTGGGTGGGGGCAAATCCTCGAATTTGATGTGTAGGGAAGGGCCTGAATAATCCCTGAGGAGTAGTAGAATAGCAGATGGAACACTGAGAAGTTATTTCCTTGAGGATAGATTTCCATGATGGAAAGAAAATGAGAGGTTATAAGAGGCGGGCTAGTGGCTTGTACTATAGCATAGCCTGCCTTTGCTGGTGTGTGGCGATTAGGCCTGATGGAACTGCCATCAATAAATCAAGTGTGATCGGGGTGAGGAACAGGAAAGAAGGACATATGGGGAAATGGGGTGAATGTCAGGTGGATCAGAGAGATACAGTCATGGGGGTCAGGTGCGGTATCAGGAATAATGTGGGAGGCCAGATTGAAGTCTGGGCCAGCAACAGTGGTAATTGTGGGACTTAACAAAGAGTGAGTACAGCTGAAGGAGCCGGGGAGCAGAAAGTATATGCGTCAGGTATGAGGAAGAAAATAGATTTTGGAAGTTATGAGAAATGTAGAGAGTAAGTTGAGCATAGTTTGTGATTTTGAGGGCCTCTAAAAGTATTAGGGCATCAGCAGCCGCTGCACGGAGATATGATGTCTTGGCTAAAACAATAAGGTCAAGTTGTTTGGACAGAAAGGCTACAGGGTGCGGTCCTGGCTCTTGTGTAAGAATTCTGACCACACTAACCATGCCTAGGAAGGAAAGGAGTTGTTTTGTAAGGGATTGAGGTTTGGGAGATTAATCGGACATGATCAGCAGGGAGAGCACGTGTGTTTTTATGAGAATTATGCTGAGATAGGTAACAGATGAGAAAGAAATTTGGGCTTGACTGAAGTAATGGGGGCTGTCTGTGAAGCCTTGTGGCAGTACAGCCCAGGTAATTTGCTGAGCCTGATGGGTGTCAGGGTCAGTCTAAGTGAAAGCGAAGAGAGGCTGGGATGATGGGTGCAAAGGAATAGTAAAGAAAGCATGTTTGAGATCCAGAACAAAATAATGGATTGTGGAGGGAGGAATTGAGGATAGGAGAGTATATGAGTTTGGCACCACGGGGTGGATAGGCAAAACAATTTGGTTGATAAGGCATAGATCCTGAACTAACTTGTAAGGCTTGTCTGGTTTTAGGACAGGTAAAACAGGGGAATTATAAGGAGAGTTTATAGCTTTAAAAGGCCATACCGTAGCAGGCGAGTGATAACAGGCTTTAATCCTTTCAAAGCGTGCTGTGGGATGGGATATTGGCGTTGAGCCGGGTAAGGGTGATTAGGTTTTAATGAGATGGTAAGCGGTGCATGATCGGTCTCCAAGGAGGGAGTAGAGGTATCTTACACTTGTGGGTTAAGGTGGGGGGATACAAGAGGAGGACGCAAAGGAGGCTTTGGATTGGGAAGAAGGGTGGCAATGAGGTGTGGCTGTAGCCCAGGAATAGTCAGGGAAGCAGATAATTTAGTTAAAGTGTCTCAGCCTAATAAGGGAACTGGGCAGGTGGGGATAAGTAAAAGGAGTGCTTAAAAGAGTACTGTCTAATTTGGCACCAGAGTTGGGGAGTTTTAAGAGGTTTAGAAGCCTGGCCGTGAATACCCACAACAGTTATGGAGGCAAGGGAAACAAGCCCTTGAAAAGAAGGTGATGTGGAGTGGATAGCCTCCGTATTGATTAAGAAGGGGATGGACTTACTTTCCACTGTGAGAGTTATGGGAAGCTTGGCGTCCCTGATGGTCTAGGGGGCTTCTGAGGCAATCGGGCAGCGTCAGTCTTCAGCCGCTAAGCCAAGAAGATCTGGGAAGCAGTCAGCCTTGGGCCAGACTTCCAGGAGCTCTGGGAGTGGCTGCCAGGTGAGTTGAACAGTCCGATTTCCAGTGGGGTCCCGCACAGATGGGATGCAGCTTAGGAGGAATTCTGGGCTGTAGGCATTCCTTGGCCTGGTGGCCAGATTTCTGGCACTTGTAGCAAGCTCCTGGGGGAGGAGGTTCTGGAGGAACGCCTGGCCACTGCGGTTTAGGCGTTCGGAAGTTCTTGTGTGCTGGAGATGTGGCTGGGGTTTGTCTCACAGTGGAGGCAAGGAATTGCAACCTTTTTCTATTATTGTACACCTTGAAGGCAAGGTTAATTAAATCCTGTTGTGGGGTTTGAGGGCCGGAATTTAATTTTTGGAGTTTTATTTAATGTTGGGAGCAGATTGGGTAATAAAATATATTTTGAGAATAAGACAGCCTTTTGACCTTTTAGGGTCTAGGGCTGTAAAGCGTCTCAGGATTGCTGCCAAAGGAGCCATGAACTGGGCTGGATTTTTATATTTGATGAAAAAGAGGCTAAACGCTATCTGATTTGGGATAAAGAAAAAGGAGCATTAACCTTGACTATGCCTTTAGCTCCAGCCACCTTTTTAAGAGTAAATTGCTGGGCAGGTGGGGGAGGGCTAGTCACGGAATGAAACTGTAAGCTGGACCAGGTGTGAGGAGGGGAGGTGATAAAAGGATTATAGGGTGGAGGAGCGGAGGCTGAGGAAGAATTGGGACCTAGCTCGGCCTGGCGAGGGAGCAGCCTGGGGAGGAGGGGAGAGGTCAGATGGGTCTGTAGAAAAGGAAGATTAGAAAGGCTCAGCGACACTTGGGATTGGGACTGAGGGGACAGGTGGGAGGGAAAGGAGGAAGATTTGGGATGAGTTGCACTGGGAACAGAGACTAGAGAGGGACCGATGTGTGAAAGAATGCCTGGACATCAGGAACCTCAGACCATTTGCCCATTTTACGATAAGAATTATTTAGATCTTGTAGGATGAAAAAATTGAAAGTGTCATTTTCCAGCTATTTGGAACTACTGTCAAGTTTGTATTGGGGTCAAGTGGCATTGCAGAAGAAAATAAGATGCTTAGATTTTAGGTCAGGTGAGAGCTGAAGAGGTTTTCAGTTTTTGAGGACACAGGCTAAGGGAGAAGAAGGAGGAATGGAGGGTGTAAAGTTGCCCATAGTGAAGGAAGCAAGCCCAGAGAAAAGAGAGTAGAGACATGGAGGGAAGGGGTTCGGGAGTTCTTACCTTCCAGAAAAGCAGGAAAGGGGTTGGGGCGTGGAAATAAGGGGTTGGGGTGCAGAGATAAGAGGTCGGGGTGTGGAAATAAGGCATGTGGTGCAGAGATAAGAGGTCAGGGCATGGAAATAAGGGATTGGGGTGCAGAGATACGAGGTTGGGGTACTTGCCCCTCCTCTAGAAAAGCGGGACTTGCCACTCAGGGTGAAGGAGAAGGGGTTGGGGTTTCTTGCCCCGCAGAAAGGTGGAGAATGGGTAGAGACACGGAGAGAAGGGGTTGGGGTACTTGCCACTAAGGGCGAAGGACCAAGGCAGGCGTCCCTGCATGGTCTGACACCTCTGAAACCTGGGTGAATAATCAAAGAGGCACCCCTGCAATGATTAAACACCAAGGGAAGGCTGCCTTCCCTAGTCCGTGACCGGCGCTGGAGTTTTGAGTCCATGGATAAAACGTGTCTCCTTTCTCTCTACCAGAAAATGAAAGGAATTGAAATTAAGAGAAGGGAGAGATTGAAGAGTGGAAAGGAGAAAGTGGTTGAGGGACAGTGAGAGAGGTTGGAGAAGAGAGTAAGAAGAGGCCACTTACCCGATTTAAAATTGGTGAGATGTTCCTTGGGCTGGTTGGTCTGAGGACCTGAGGTCGTAGGTGGATCTTTCTCATGGAGCAAAGAACAGGAGGACAGGGGATTGATCTCCCAAGGGAGGTCCCCCGATCTGAGTCACGGCCCCAAATTTCATAGGCGTCCATGTGAAGAGACCACCAAACAGGCTTTGTGTGAGCAATAAAGCTTTTAATCACCTGGGTGCAGGCGGGCTGAGTCCAAAAAGAGAGTCAGCAAAGGGAGATGGGGTGGGGCCGTTTTATAGGATTTGGGTAGGTAAAGGAAAATTACAGTCAAAGGGGGGTTCTCTGGCAGGCAGAGTGGGGGTCACAAGGTACTCAGTGGGGGAGGTTTTGAGCCAGGATGAGCCAGGAGAAGGAATTTCACAAGATAATGTCATCAGTTAAGGCAGGAACAGGCCATTTTCACTTCTTTTGTGATTCTTCAGTTACTTCAGGCCATCTGGGCATATGCGTGCAAGTCACAGGGGATGCGATGGCTTGGCTTGGGCTCAGAGGCCTGACAACCACACCTGGCTAATTTTTTAAATTTTTTGTAGACATGGGGTCTCGAATTCCTGGGCTCAAGCAGTCCTCCTGCCTCGGCCTCTGAAAGTGTTGGGATTACAGGCGTGAGCCCCGGTGCTCAGCCTGTCTTTTATTTTAGAAGGTGTAGTAGACAGACGTTAAGGGAACCCCATGATCCCTGCTTCCAGGTATTCATGTCCTTGTATAATCTCCCCTGTTGATTGTGGGTGGGATTTGTGTGCTACAGTCTAAATATTGGTATCCCCCAAAATTCAAATGTTGAAGGTTGCAGCCCGATACAATAGCATGAAGAGGTGGGGATTTGGAAGGTGTTTAGGTCATGAGGACTCCACCCTCACAAATGGAATTGGTGCCCTTATAAAAGAGGTCAAAAGGCACCCCTGCCCCTTCTGCCCCGTGAACACACAGGAACGAGGCTCCATCGTGGAAGCAGAGGGCCAGCCCTCACCAGACACCAGATCTGCTGGCACCTTGATCTTGGACCTCACAGCCCAAGAACTGCGAGAAATAAATTTCTATTGTTTATAAAGTACTCAGGCTAAGGTATTTTGTTAGCAGCCTGAATAGACAAGATATCGTAATTGCTTCTAACTAGTAGAATACAGCAAATGTGATGAGATATCATGCCCATGATTACATTAAGATTTGGGCTAGAGGAGACCTTAGCCTCATCAAAGGATTACATTCTGTGTGTTTGAGGCCATATTTACCTGCTCTAGCAAAGATACCACGTCTGGTGCAACAGCGCCACCAGGGCTATGAGCTAGTTAAGTCGGCTCTAAACTCTAGTTAAATTCAGTGTCATCTGGCTTCTGCAGGCCAGACCGGAGAATTAAATGGAGACGTGATAGGAACCACCCATCCTTTAGATCTTTAAGTGTGGCCATTATTTCTGCCCTCCTTTCTGCCACCCACTCACTCCTCTGTAATGCAATATGTTTTTCAAATGTGGTAAATTTCACGTGCATCCGTGTGAAGAGACTACTAAACAGGCTTTGTGTGAGCAGTAAAGCTTTTAATCACCTGGGTGCAGGCGGGCTGCGTCTGAAAAGAGAGTCAGCGAAGGGAGATAGGGGTGGGGCTGTTTTATAGGATTTGGGTAGGTAAAGGAAAATTACAGTCAAAGGGGGTTTGTTCTCTGGCAGGCAGGAGTGGGGATCTCAAGGCGCTCAGTGGGGGAGATTTTGAGTCAGGATGAGCCAGGAAAAGGACTTTCACAAGGTAATGTCATCACTTAAGGCAAGGACCAGCCATTTTCACTTCTTTTTGGTGGAATGTCATCAGTTAAGGCGGGGCAGGGCATATTCACTTCTTTTGTGATTCTTCAGTTACTTCAGGCCACCTGGGCGTATACGTGCAAGTCACAGGGGATGCGATGGCTTGGCTTGGGCTCAGAGGCCTGACATTCCTGCCTTCTTATATTAACAAGAAAAATAAAACAAAATAGTGTTGGGGCGGCAAAAATTTTTGGGGGGTGGAATGGAGAGAGAGAACGGGCGATGTTTCTCAGGGCTGCTTCAAGCAGGATTAGGGGCGGCGTGGGAACTTAGAGTGGGAGAGATTAAGCTGAAGGGAGATCTCATGGTAAGGGGTGATATTGTGGGGTTGTTAGAAGAAACATTTGTCGCATAGAATGATTGGTGATGGCCTGGATACGGTTTTGGATGAATTGAGAAACTAAACGGAAGATACAAGGTCCGAATAAAAGAAGGAGAAAAATGGGTATTAAAGGACTAAGAATTGGGAGGACTTAGGACATCTAATTAGAGAGTGCCCAAGGGGGTTCAGCGTAATTACTTGCTTGGTTGGCAAGTTTTTGGGCTCGATCCTTGAGTTTTTTTATGTTGTCATACACTAGGCTAGATTGATTTAGGTAAAAACAACACTTTTCATTTAAGAATATACAGAGTCTTCCTTTTCCAGCAGTGAGTAAGTCAAGGCCTCGGTGGTTTTGGAGGACAACTGCAGCTAAAGAGTCATCTTGGGCCTGGAGGACTGATAAAGTTTGTGATATGTCTGATGCTAGCAGAGAAGTCATTAGACAGGCTACGGAAGGTCATGACAGAGGTTGAAATGCCTGCTATTCTAATACTGAGAGCAATAGTGAAGGCAGAAAGTCTTTTTTTTTGTCATGTCGGTGTCATGAGGGGAACAGGGAGCTTTTTGGTGCTATTTACAAATTGAATTTTGGGAGTAAGGAAAACTAGTGTGCATGTGCCTGTCTAATTAGCAGGTAGACACATGTAGGTAGAGGATCTACAGAGGAAGAAGAGACCTTGTGCGAGGCAAAACTGGAGATGTAAAAAGGTGAGAAGGAGTGCTGAGAGGGGTGTGTTGTACTTAGACTCCTAGGGATCCAGCTGGGGCGGCAGCTGTCAGAGGTTGTAATGGGGACTGATGGGGTAACTGCGTAGAGGAGGAGGTTCAATTTTCATGTTGTATGAGAAAACGTTGAGTATCTACGAGAAACCTTTCACTGTTATTTTTGGGGCTGAGTATAAGTAAACAAGAAGAGGGCCTGGGAGGAGAGTCTGATGAGCAAGGGGAAGGTAGCCAAGGATGGAGTGAAATACAGGGTAAGTGTCTTCCTAAGCAATAATTACTGCTAACGTTTTTAAGTTTGTCAGTATTGATAGAGGGCTTGTCTGTAATACAGAGCTGGAAGGCTTTAATTGTTTCAGTGATGTGTGTAGTTGGGCTTCGGAGATGAAGAGTAAAGGAACATCGAGAAGGTGAAAGATTACCTAGGGGAATTCCGGTAGGTCTTTGCCAAGAGATACATAAAGGAGCGGCCACAGGAATAGTAGTTTGTGTTGTAAGAGGTCCAAATATGAGGGGAGTAGAGTTAATATAAGGAGAAATGTTTTTTAAATAAGTGCGGAGGAGGGCGGCATCTTGCTGATGTGAAATGTCTGGGGAAGTTTTGCTGGACTTGTCTAGAAAGTAAATGAGTTCTTCAGGAGGGTAAAGGTGAGGGCTGTTAAAGGAAGTTTGGAGGTGTAAGGAGACAGGAGATGTTGCCTAGTCTGTCTGTAAGGTGGGGACAGCTGTGTAGGCACTGGAAGAAAGGGAAATGCAAAGCCAGCAGTTGTTCACTAAGGAGGGATTAGAGGTGGCTAGGAGGGAATGGGTAAGGTTGATAGTGTGGTGGAGATAGCTGGGGAGAGGTAAAGGGTGGCATAAGAATGAGAATGAGAATAAGAGTGAGTATAAAAGTAAAGAATAGAACTTCATCAGGGTGGAAGTATTGGAGGGTGCCCTGCCAGCAAAGATCATCTACTTACTTTAAGAGGGAATTAAGAGTGGCAGTTTGGGGATAGCACCAAGGGATATCAGCTGTGATGGCTTGAAGAAACAGTGTAAACTGGCAGTGTAAACAAGAGTAGGGCATTTATAAGTAGTTGAAAACGGAGAATAGGAGTATGACTAGACAGAAAATAGTATGGATGACAAGTTTTTTGGGGCTCGGCCTAAGTGGTGGGGGTAACTTCTTTGTTGCAAAAAGTAGGGTAAGGACGAACAGACCTAATAGAATGAAGGGATGTATTAGGCTCATAAGGGTTATTACTGTTCTTCAGAAATAGGAGTGAGTTTAAGGGAAGTAGGGGAGAGTACTTGCAACTTCCAGGAGGAAGAGGAGGGATTAGGCTGGCTGTCCGATGGACACAGCTTTATTCTGGAATGGTGAACCTAGTGGGGAGGATCCTGCAGGCGGACGGCAGTCAGGGTACTATAGATGACTAAGTAGGGTCCGGTCCATCGAGGTTGTAGAGTTTGAGGGGTCAGATTTTTAACAAGAACTGATCGTTTAGCTAGGGTGTCTTCTTATGGCTGGGGATCTGGAGTAGGCAAGAGAGGATTACAGCTTGGTGAATTTCCTGTCTAGCCTGCTGGAGGACTGGAAGATAGTCGCCTAGAGGGCTGGTGTCTGGGATGAGGTTGGGGCTAAGCAAGAAAGTGCGTCTATATAAAAGTTCAAATGGACTGTACCTTGTAGCATCTTGAGGACAGGCTCTAATTCTGAGAAGGGCAAGAGGTAAAAGTACTAACTAATCTTTTTGAAGTTGGTGGCTGAGCTTGGTGAGGTGTGTCTTTAAAAGACTATTAGTCCTTTCTACTTTTCCTGAAGATTGAGGACTGTAAGGGATATGAAGGTTCTACTGAATACCAAGAGCCTGAGAAACTGCTTGGGTGATTTGACTAGTAAAGGCTGGTCTGCTATCAGACTGTATAGAGGTGGGAAGGCCAAACTGAGGAATTATGTCTGACAGAAGGGAAGAAATGACTGCGGTGGCCTTCTCAGACCCTGTGGGGAAGGCCTCTACTTATCTAGTGAAAGTGTCTACCTAGACTAAGATATTTTAGTTTTCTGACTTGAGGCATGTGAGTAAAGTCAATTTGCCAGTCCTGGGCGGGGGCAAATCTTTGAGCTTGATGTGTAGGGAAGGGAGGGGTCTGAACAATCCTTGAGGGGTAGTAGAATAGCAGATGGAACACTGAGAAGTGATCTCCTTGAGGATAGATTTCTATGATGGAAAGGAAATGAGAGGTTCTAAGAGACGGGCTAGTGGCTTGTAACTTACATGGAAGAGGTTATGAAATGACGACAGAATAGAATGGGCTTGTGAGGCTGGAAGGAGATATTTTCCTTGGTCTAAGAACTATTTGCCTTGTGTGGGAAGAGATTGACAGGTGGAAGTTTCAGCGGGGGAGTAGGTGGGAGTGACTGATGTGAAGGAGAAAAACTGGCCGTGAGGGACAGAAGTTGCAGAGCTAGCTGCTTGTCTAGCTACTTTATCAGCATAAGTGTTGCTGTGAGAGACAGAATTTGGAAAGCTAGCTGCTTGTCTAGCTACTTTATCAGCATAAGTGTTGCTTAGAGCAATGGGATCTGACGCCTTTTGATGCCTCTTGCAGTGAATGACTCCAGCTTCCTTTGGAAGTAAAGCGGCCTTGAGTAGAGTTTTTATTAAAGAGGCATTAATGATGGAGGACCCTTGTGTAGTGAGGAAACCTCTTTCAGCCCATATGACCGCATGGTGGTGCAGAATATGAAAGGCATATTTAGAATCAGTATAGATATTGACGTGTAGTCTTTTTGCAAGAGTGAGGGCTTCAGTTAAGGCAACTAGTTCGGCTTGCTGAGAGGTAGTGGAGGCGTGCAGAGCGGTAGCCTTAATGATAGATGTGGAAGATAGTATAGCATAGCCTGCCTTTGCTGGTGAGTGGTGATTAGGCCTGGTGGAACTGCCATCAGTAAACTAAGTGTGATCAGGGTGAGAAATAGGGAAGAAGGCAATGTGGGGAAATGGGGTGAACGTCAGGTGGATCAGAGAGATGCAGTCATGAGGGTCAGGTGTGGTATCTGGAATAATGTGGGAGGCTGGATTGAAGTCTGGGCCAGGAACAATGGTAATTGTGGGACTTAACAAAGAGTGAGTACAGCTGAAGGAGCCAGGGAGCAGAAAGTATATGTGTCAGGTGTGAGGAAGAAAATAGATTTTGGAAATCATGAGAGCTGTAGAGAGTGAGTTGAGCATAGTTTGTGATTTTGAGGGCCTCTAAAAGTATTAGGGCTGCAGCAGCCGCTGCACAGAGACATGATGGCCAGCCTAAAACAGTGAGGTCAAGTTGTTTGGACAAAAAGGCTACAGGATGCGATCCTGGTCCTTGTGTAAGAATTCTGACTGCACAGCGCTGCACTGCGGCTGTGTGTAATGAAAAGAGTGGGGATGAGTCAGGGAGAGCCTGGGTGGGGGCAGTCTCTAAAGCTGTCTTCAAGGAACAGAAAGAGGAGTGGGGAAAGGATTTAGGATCTATGGGGTCAACTAGGGTTTTTTTTGTGAGTTTATATAATGGTTTTGTTAGGATGGCAAAACTAGGTATCTGAAGGCGAAAGTATCCAACCATGCCCAGGAAGGAAAGGAGTTGTTGTTTTGTAGAAGGGGTTGGGGTTTGAGAGATCAGTCGGACACGATCAGCAGGGAGAGCACATGTGTTTTTATGAAGAATTATGCCGAGGTAGGTAACAGGTGGGGAAGAAATTTGAACTTTGAAGGGGGATACCTGATATCTTTTGGAGAATAAATGCTGAAGAAGCAGAAGTGTGTCTTGTTGAGAAGATTCAAAGGAGGGGCTACAAAGAAGAAGATCATCAATATATTGAATAAGGTGAGAAGCGGAGGTGTGGAAAGAAAGTAAATCATGAGAAAGAGCTTGGCTGAAGTAATGAGGGCTGTCCTTGAAACCTTGTGGCAGCACAGCCCAGGTAAGCCGCTGGGACTGATGGGTGTCAGGGTCAGTCCAGGTGAAAGCAAAGAGAGGCTGGGACGAGGGGTGCAGGGGAATAGTGAAAAGGGCATCTTTAAGATCAAGAATGGAAGAGTGAGTTGTGGAGGAAGGTATTGAGGACAAAAGAGTGTACGGGTTGGGCAGCACAGGGTGGATAGGCAAAACAATTTGGTTGATAAGGCACAGATCCTGAACTAATCTGTAAGACTTGTCTGGTTTTTGGACAGGTAAAATGGGGGAATTGTAAGGAGAGTTTATAGGTTTTAGAAGCCCATGCTGTACCAGGCGAGTGATAACAGGCTTTAATCCTTTTAAAGCGTGCTATGGGATGGGATATTGGCGTTGAGCGGGGTAAGGGTGGTTAGGTTTTAATGGGATGGTAATGGGCATGTGATCGGTTGCCAGGGAAGGAGTAGAGATGTCCCATACTTGTGGGTTAAGGTGGGGGGATACGAGAGGAAGACGCGAAGGAGGGTTTGGGTTAGAAGGGCGGCAATGAGATGCGGCTGTAGTCCAGGAATAGTCAGGGAAGCAGATAATTTGGTTAAAATATCTCAGCCTAATAAGGGAACTGGGCAGGTGGGGATAACTAAAAAAGAGTGCATAAAAGAGTGTTGTCTAAGTTGGCACCAGAGTAGGGGAGTTTTCAGGGGTTTTGAAGCTTGGCCGTCAATACTTACAACAGTTATGGGGGCAAAGGAAACAGGCCCTTGGAAAGAAGGTAATGTGGAGTGGGTAGCCCCCGTATCGATTAAACGGGATGGACGTACCCTCCACTGTGAGAGTTACCTGAAGCTTGGCATCCGTGATGGTCCAGGGGGCTTCTGAGGCGATCAGGCAGTGTCAATCTTCAGTCACTAAGCCGAGCAGATCTGGGAAGGAGTCAGTCAGAGAGCCTTGGGCTAGAGCTTTAGGGGCTCTAGGAGTGGCTGCCGGGTGAGCTGGGCAGTCTGCCTTCCAGTGGGTCCCTGCACAGATAGGACATGGCTTGGAAGGAATCCTGGGCTGCGGGCATTCCTTGGCCCAGTGGCCAGATTTCTGGCACTTGAAGCAAGATCGTGATGGAGGAAGTCTTGTAGGAATGCTTGACTGCTGAGCTTAGGTGTGTGCGGCTTAGGCATTCTGAAGTTCTTGAATGCTGGAGGTGTGGCTGGTTTTTTTCTCACAGCAGAGGCAAGTAATTGTAACTTAGAAATGTGTTGCCGTCTGGCTGCTTCCTCTCTATTATTATACACCTTGAAGGCGAGGTCGATTAATTCCTGTTGTGGGGTTTGAGGGCCAGATTCTAATTTTTGAAGTTTTTTCCTAATGTCAGGAGTGGATTGGGTGATAAGATGCATATTAAGAATAAGGCGGCCTTCTGGCCTTCCTGGGTCTAGGGCGGTTTAGCGTCTAAGGGTTGGCTGCTAAGTGGGCCATGAACGGGGCTGGGTTTCCGTCTTTACTTTGGGTAGTTTCTTTCTTTTTTTTTTTTTTTTTGAGGAATATACTTTATTTATTTATTTTTCATTATGATTATTATACTTTAAGTTTTAGGGTACCTGTGCACAACGTGCAGGTTTGTTACATATGTATACATGTGCCATGCTGGTGTGCTGCACCCATTAACTCGTCATTTAGCATTAGGTATATCTCCCAATGCTATCCCTCCCCCCTCCCCTCACCCCACAACAGTCCCCGGTGTGTGATGTTCCCCTTCCTGTGTCCATGTGTTCTCATTGTTCAATTCCCGCCTATAAGTGAGAACACGCGGTGTTTGGTTTTTTGTCCTTGTGATAGTTTGCTGAGAATGATGGTTTCCAGTTTCATCCATGTCCCTACAAAGGACGTGAACTCATCATTTTTTATGGCTGCATAGTATTCCATGGTGTGTATGTGCCACATTTTCTTAATCCAGTCTATGGTTGTTGGACATTCAGGTTGGTTCCAAGTCTTTGCTGTTGTGAATAGTGCCGCAATAAACATACGTGTGCATGTGTCTTTATAGCAGCATGATTTATAATACTTTGGGTATATACCCAGTAATGGGATGGCGGGGTCAAATGGTATTGCTAGTTCTACATCCCTGAGGAATCGCCACACTGTCTTCCACAATGGTTGAACTAGTTTACAGTCCCACCAACAGTGTAAAAGTGTTCCTATTTCTCCACATCCTCTCCAGCACCTGTTGTTTCCTGACTTTCTAATGATCGCCATTCTAACTGGTGTGAGATGCAATCTCATTGTTGTTTTGATTTGCATTTCTCTGATGGCCAGTGATGATGAGCATTTTTTCATGGGTTTTTTGGCTGCATAAATGTCGTCTTTTGAGAAGTGTCTGTTCATATCCTTTGCCCACTTACTTTGGGTAATTTCTTTAAGCTTGTCATAATTAACAGCTTTGTAAGCTGCCTTTTTAAGCCCTTCAACTAGGCAGGAAATCACGTAATCTCGCCTAGCTATACCTGGGGAATTTGCCTGGTAGTTCCATTGGGGATCCTCTCAGGAAACTGCTCTAATGCCTTCCTGGAGGCCTGGCTCGTGAAGCCAGCGGTTATCAGCGTGAGATTGGACTTGAGAAAATCTCTTTCCCGTTCATCTGGGGAGAGGGTAGAAGTCAGGGTGACATTTTAGTCACTTTAGGTTAAATTGTAGGACAGAGTTAAATATTGGAATTCCTGTATATATTTAGTGGGGTCTGATGAGAAAGAGCCTAAACGCTGACTGATCTGAGAGAGGTCTGATAGAGAAAAAGGTAAATGTACTTTGACTATGCCTTCAGCTCCAGCCACCTCTCTAAGAGGAAATTGTTGGGCAGGTGGGGAAGAACTAGTCACAGAACTAAACTGTAAGCCGGACAGGGTGTGAGGAGGGGAGGTGGTAGAAGGATTACAGGGTGGAGGAGAGGAGGCTGAGGAGGAATTGGGACTTGTCTTGGCAACGAGCAGCCTGGGGAGGAGGGGAAAAGTCAGATGGGTCTGTAGAAAAGGAAGACTGGAAAGACTCAGCAACGCTTGGGGTTGGGACTAAGGGGACAGGCGGGAGGGAAAGAAGGAGGATTTGGGAGGAATCGCATTGGGAACAGAGACTAGGGAGGGAACGAAGCGTGAAAAATGCCTGGACGTAAGGCACCTCAGACCATTTGCCTATTTTTCGACAAAAATTATTTAGGTCTTGTAGGATGGAGAAATCGAAAGTGCCGTTTTCTGGCCATTTAGAGCCATTGTCAAGTTTGTATTGGGGCCAAGCGGTGTTGCAGAAGAAGATAAGGCATTTAGGTTTTAGGTCAGGTGTGAGTTGAAGAGGTTTTAGGTTTTTAAGAACACAGGCTAAGGGAGAAGAAGGAGGAATGGAGGGTGGAAGTTTGCCTATAGTGAAGGAGGCAAGTTTAAAGAAAAGGGAGAGTAGAGACACGGAGGGAAGGGGTTCGGGGGTTCTTACCTTCCAGAAAAGCAGGAAAGGGGTCAGGGCATGGAAATAAGGGGTTGGGGCACAGAGATAAGAGGTCAGGGCGCAGAAATAAGGGGTTGGGGTGCAGAGATAAGAGGTCGGGGCATGGAAATAAGGGATCAGGGTGCAGAGATAAGAGGTCGGGGCATGGAAATAAGGGATCAGGGTGCAGAGATAAGAGGTCGGGGCATGGAAGTAAGGGATCAGGGCACAGAAATAAGAGGTCAGGGCACGGAAATAAAGGATTGGGGCACAGAGATAAGAGGTCAGGGCGTGGAAATAAGGGATCGGGGGATTCTTGCCCCCCAAAAAAGCAGAGAAGGGGTAGAGACACAGAAAGGGTTGGGATACTTGCCCCTCCCCCAGAAAAGTGGGACTTGCCGCTAAGGGTGAAGGACTAAGGCAGGCATCCCCGCGTGGTCTGACACCTCTGAAACGTGGGTGAATAATCAGAGAGGCGTCCCTGCAATGATTAAACACCAAGGGAAAGCTGCCTTCCTAGTCCATGACCAGCGCTGGAGTTTTGGGTCCATGGGTAAAACATGTCTCCTTTGTCTCTACTAGAAAATGAAAGGAATTGAAATTAAGAGAAGGGAGAGATTGAAGTGTGGCACCAAGATTGAAAGGAGAAAGAGGTTGAGGGATAGTGAGGGAGGTTGGAGAAGAGAGTAAAAAGAGGCCGCTTACCAGATTTGAAATTGGTGAGATGTTTCTTGGGCTGGTTGGTCTGAGGACCTGAGGTCATAGGTGGATCTTTCTCACGGAGCAAAGAACAGGAGGACAGGGGATTGATCTCCCAAGGGAGGTCCCCCGATCCGAGTCACGGCACCAAATTGCATGCGCGTCCATGTGAAGAGACTACTAAACAGGCTTTGTGTGAGCAATAAAGCTGTTTATTTCACCTGGGTGCAGGCGGGCTGAGTCCAAAAAGAGTCAGCAAAGGGAGATGGGGTGGGGCCATTTTATAAGATTTGTGTAGGTAAAGGAAAATTACAAAGGGGGTTTGTTCTCTGGCGAGCAGGAGTGGGGGTCTCAAGGTGCTCAGTGGGGGAGGCTTTTGAGCCAGGATGAGCCAGGAAAAGGACTTTCACAAGGTAACGTCATCACTTAAGGCAAGGACTGGCCATTTACACTTCTTTTGTGGTGGAATGTCATCAGTTAAAGCAAGGACCAGCCATTTTCATTTCTTTTGTGGTGGAGTGTCATCAGTTAAGGTGGGGCAGGGCATAATCACTTCTTTTGTGATTCTTCAGTTACTTCAGGCCATCTGGGTGTATATGTGCAAGTCACAGGGGATGTGATGGCTTGGCTTGGTCTCAGAGGCCTGACAGTAAAATATACATAACATAAAATATACCATCTTAACCATTTTTTAAAGTTACAGTTCACCTGGGTGCCGTGGCTCACACCTGTAATCCCAATACTTTGGGAGGCCAAGGCAGGCAGATCACCTGAGGTCAAGAGTGCGAGACCAGCCTGGCCAACATGGTGAAACCCGTTTCTACTAAAAATACAAAAATTAGCTGAGCGTGGTGGCTTGTGCCTGTAATTCCAGCTACTCGGGAGGCTGAGGCAAGAGAATTGCTTGAAACTGGGAGGCAGAAGTTGCAGTGAGCCGAGATTGCACCACTGCACTCCAGCCTGGGTGAAAAGAGCAAAACTCCATCTCAAAAAAAAAAAAAAAGTTACAGTTTAATGGTATTAAATTCCCCTAATGATGTTGTATAACCACAACAATCATCCGTCTCCAGCACTCTTTTCACCCGTAAAACTTCATCTCTATATCCATTAAGCATTAAACACTAACTCCTCATCCCCTGGCACCCACCCCTCTATTGTCTGTCTCTATAGATTTGACAACTCTAGGCACCTCAAATAAATGGAATTCTGTGGTATTTGCCTTTCTGTCACTGGCTTATTTCACTGAGCCTAATGTCCTCAAGTTTCATCCATGTTGTAGCATGTTGTACCATTTCCTTCTTTTTTAAGGCTGAATAATATTCCACTTTTTGTATACACAGCATTTTGCTTAGTCATTCATCTGTCAGTGGATACTTGAGTTGTCTCCACTTTGCAGGTATTGAGGATAATGCTGGCATGAACGTGAGTGTCCAAATATCTCTTCAAGACCCCGCTTTTAATTATTTCATATATATACCCAGAAGTGAAATTGTTGCATTATATGGAAATTCTATTTTTAACTTTTTGAAGAACCTCCATACTGTTTTCCACAGCAACTATACCGTTCTACATTCCCAAAGCACACAAGGGTTCTGATTTCTCCACATCCTTGCCAACATTTATTTGTGTGAGTGTGCATGTGTTACAGTAGCCATCCTAACGGATGTGAGGTGGTAGTTTGGATTTGCATTTCTCTAATGATTAGTGATGAGCACCTTTACATGTGTTTGTCCTTTGTATATCTTCTTCAGAGAAATGTCTATTCACGTCCTTTGCCCATTTTTGAATCACGTTGTTTCTTTGTTCTTGAGTTTTAGGAGTTCTAAATATTCTGGATATTAATCACTTATCAGACGTGATTTGTAAATATTTTCTGTTCTGTGAATTGCCTTCTTACTCTGTTGACAGTATTTTTTTTTAATTATTATTTGTAGAGATGGGGTCTCCCTATGTTGCCTAGGCTTGTCTCCATTTCCTGGACTCAAGGGATCTTCCCACTTTGGCCTCCCCAAGTGCTGGGATTACAGGCATGGGCCACTGCACCTGGCTTATTGACAGTATCTTTTGATGAACCACATTTCAAATTTTTCATGAAGTCCAATTTGTCTATTTTTTTCCTTTGTTGCCTGTGCCTTTGGTGTCATATCCAAGTAATCACTGCCACATCCAGTGCTGTGAAGCTCTTGCCCTATGTTTTCTTCTAGGAATTTGTTTTAGGTCTTAGATCCAGTTTGATTTTTGTATATAGTGTTACGTAAGGGTCAAATTCTGTTCTTTTGCATGTGGATATCCAGTTTTCCCAGCACCATTTGTTGAAAACACTGTCCTTTCCCCACTGAACGGTCTTGGCACCCTTGTCAAAAATCATTTGACCATAGGCCAGGCATGGTGGTTCACGCCTGTAATCCCAGTACTTTGGGAGGCCAAGGCAAGTGGCCACTTGAGGTCAGGAGTTCGAGACCAGCCTGGCCAACATGGCAAAACCCCATCTCTACTAAAAATACAAAAAGAATTAGCCAGGTGTTCTGGTGCACACCTGTAATCCCAGCTACTCAGAAGGCTGAGGCAGGAGAATCGCTTGAACCCAGGGAGTGGAGGTTGCGGTGAGCTGCACTGCACTCCAGCCTGGGCAACAGAGGGATATGTCTCAAAAAAAAATCATTTGACCATAAATGCCAGGGTTTATTCCTGGGCTTCTATTCTATTCCACTGGTTTATATGTCTCTCTTTATGCCAGTACCATAATGTTTTGACTACTGTAGCTTTGTAGTAAATTTTGAAATAAGGAAGTATGCGTTCTCTAGCTTTGTTCTTTTTCAAGATTGTTTGTCTATTTACGGTCCCTTGAGGTTCTCTATTAATTTTAGAATAGATTTTTCTATTTCTGCAAGAACATATCATTGGGATTTGGATAGGGATTACATTGAATCTGTAGATGCTTTGTGTAGTATTAACATTTTAGCAATGTTATGTCTTCCAATTCATATACAGGGAATGTGTTTCCATATCTTAATGTTTTCTTTAATTTCTTTCAGCCGTGTCTCGTAGTTTCTATTGTACACACCTTTCACTTCTTTGGTTAATTCCTAAGTATTTTATTCTTTTTATGCTATTGTAAAACGGATTATTTTTATAATTTCCTTTTTTAGATTCTTCATTGGTATCATATAGAAACACCACTGATGTGTGTGCATGTGTGTTCTGAGCAGGGTCTCACAATATTGCCCAGGCTGGAGTGCAGGATGTGATCATAGCTGACTGCAGCCTCAACCTCCCAGGCTCAAGTGACCCTCCTTCCTCAGCTTCCCAAAGTGCTGGGATTAGAGGTGTGAGCCACCGCACTCAGCTGATTTGTGTGTGTTGACTTTGTATCCTGCTACTTTGCTGAATTCATTTATTAGTTCTAATAGTTTGTGTGTGTGTGTGTGTGTGTGTGTGTGTGTGTGTGTGGACACTTTAGGGCTTTCTACATTTTCAAATCATATTATCTGCAAACAGAGATAATTTTACTTCTTCATTTCCAAATTGAATGCCCTGTATTTCTTTTTCTTCTTAATTTCTCTGGCTAGAACTTTTAGTGCTCTGAATAGAAGTGGCGAAAGAGGGCATCCCTGCCCTGTTCTTGCTCTTAGAGGATAATCTTTGTCTTTCACTAATGAGTAAAATGTTTGCTGTGGGTTTTTACGTATGGCTTTTACGTTGACGTAGTTTCCTTCTGTTCCTAGTTCGTTTGTGTGTGTGTTTTTTTTTTTTTTTTTGACAGGGTCTTGCTCTGTCACGCAGGCTGGAGTGCAGTGGCATGATCACAGCTCACTGCTGCCTTGACCTCCCTGGCTCAAGCAATCCTCCCACCTCAGCCTCCCGAGTAGGTGGGACCACAGGTACGCACAACCACGCCTGGCTAATTAAAAAAAAATTGTTTTGGCAGAGACAGGGTCTTGCCACATTCCCCAGGCTGGTCTTGGACTCCTGGGCTCAAGTAATCTAGTTGTAAAAAGTTTAAAGCTGGTTTTTAAAAAGCCCAACTTTCATCATTGGCAGGATGTGCGTTCTGATAAAATTACTCTTACAGCTAGAAACAAGACCCTTTCCTTGCATTTCTAATTGTTTTGTTCCACTGCGGTATTTATAGTTTGATGAAGAGCATCTTACCCCTGCACAGTGCTTTTAAACTCTGCTGTGCCTGATATGAATACTCTTATTTTCTGCTTGTACCCTATTTTTCTATCCACTTATTTTCAGCCTGTCACTTTTATGATTATTACATCAACAGCATATTCCTGGGTTCTAGTTTCAACCCCAATCTGACCACCTGTCTTCTAAAGAGAAAAAACAGATTTAGTGTAACAATGTATTTCTTGGTTTGTTTAGGAAAGGACACCAAGGTTCAGAAACAAGTGAGAATTAGGACTTGAAAGACAAATGGGCGGGGGGAACTTCTTAGTTTGTCTTTTGAATTTTTATTACTTTTTCAGAGATGAGGTCTCACTGTGTTGCCCCGGCTGGTCTCAAACTCCTGGGCTCAAGCAATCCTCCCGTCTTGGCCTCCCAAAGCACTGGGATTACAGGCGTGAGCCACCCTGCCCAGCCTAGAAAGCATTTTTGACTGAACCAAAAATGCAAATCCTCACCAAAATCTCTCAGTGAAGTCACTAAGCTCCCATTAGAGTGGAGTGTGGAGAGGCCAAGGGCACTCACCTAGTGCCAAGATCCCACAGAGAAACATGAGGCCAGGGCATGGGCACCTCCTCCCAACAGGACCCCGTGACTGGGCCTTTGAACCATTAGATGCAGCCCTGGAGCCGCGGTCAGAGCGTGGCTGTCCCCGAGAAGGGAAGCAGCAGCCGGCACGGCCTGTTCTCCCATCTTCACATCACTCCCTCCATACAAACCACTGCTTCCCACCGCCTCCTGTGACAATGCCTGGCGAGGTGGTCATGCCCCCTTCAGCCCTCCTGAAGTGCCCTCTGGGAAATAAGGCACGACGGACAAATGGATTCAACATCCTTTTCTTTTTAAAACTAAACCTTGCTTGAGGGGCATGGTTTGGATGAGTTCTCTGACTTCATCCCTGGATTAGACAAATGTCCCCCCCTGGTCACGGGCAGAGGACTCCATGAGACGTGTCTAACCCAGGGATGCAGACTTCTCCCTTCGGCAGGACAGAGTCTACTGTGTGGAAGAGGACGATCCGGAACGTGTCCTCTCCATGGGCGGGCAAATCCAGGCTGGAGCCCAGAGCATGCCCTGCTCCTCGGTCTCTCCTCCTTGGCGGGGTAGGAAAGGCAGTCCCGGGGCCACGGTGCATGCCATGGGGGGTGTTCTCCCTCACAATGCTTTCTATGCTGCACTTTTAACTTCTCCTTTTCCTTAGTTCTAAAAGATTAAGGTGCAAATCACATACAATCAAATGCATAGGTCTTAAGTGTAGGTTTTGATGAGTTTGGACACATGTATACGTTCACATAACCACCATCACCAACAAGCTGCGGAAGACTTCCCTCACCCCAGAAGGTGTCCCTGTGCTCTTTTCAGCCAATCCTTCTCTCTTCCCTGCCAGGAGAAAACACTATTCGAATTTCTCCCATCAATTCGTTTGGTCGGTTTTAGAGCTTCGTATAGATGCTTACATATCTTACTTCTTTTGCTTAACGCATTTATTTATTTATGAGACAGGTTCTCACTCTTGTCACCCAGGCTGGAGTGCAGTGGCACGATCTCAGCTCACGGCAACCTCCACCTCCCGGATTCAAGTGATTCTCGTGCCTCATCCTCCTGAGTAGCTAGGATTACAGGTGTGCACCGCCACTCTGGGCTAATTTTTGTTAAAATTTTAGTAGGGACGGGTTTTCGCCATGTTGACCAGGCTAGTCTTCAACTCCTGGCCTCAGGTGATCTGCCTGCCTTGACTTCCCAAAGTGCTGGGATTACAGGCGTGAGCCACTGTGTCCAGCCTTCAACGTTTTTGAGACGTATACACATGGCTGCATTCATCACGGTTCACCCCCGTTGGTTACTAAGTAGAAGTCCATCGTATGACTACACCAGAATCTGCTTATCCACCCTCCTGTTGTTAGACATATTACGAATAAAGTGACAATAAATATCCTTGTACAAATCACCTGTGGACATGTATTTGCACTGAGTATCTAGGAGAGTCTGCAGGAGTATGTCTAATTTTTTAAAACCTCCAAACCAAAAAAAGAATTTGCCCACTAGTTTCCTAAACTGGAAGTATTATTTTAGACAGTAATAGGTGAGTTCTAGCAGCTGCACATTCTCCTATCTGGTGATGTCTTTTTCATTTGAACACTAATAGATGGAAAATGGGACCTTTTTGTGATTCTAACTTGCCCTCCCCAGGAAGTGATGATGTTAAACAACTTTTCATGTTCTTATTGGCCACTCATGTATACACAGGTCCCTGACTTAAGACGGTTCAATTTCAGGTTTTTGGACTTTACGATGGCGTTTCGGAAGCATTAAGCTCTCAGCAGAAGCCACACTCTGAATTCCGATCTTTTCCTGGGCTGGTGATGGATGCGCAGCACAGTGCCCTCCTGCAGTACTGAGCGGTGGCAGGGAGCAGCAGTCCCAGCCAGCTGTGCCATCGCGAGGGGAAGTGGCCGGCATGGATCGTTAAGTCAGGGAACATCTGTCCCTTCTTCGTGAATATCTGTGTTCAAGTCTCTTGCTCATTTGTTAAATTGGGCTTTTCATCTTAATTTTGGTTTGCAGTTTTCTCCCCTATATCCGAGGTCTGAGTCCTTTGTCAGGACACACAGTGTGATTTCTTGCCTGGCATTCCGTTCCTTGCTTGTCCATTTTCAAGAGCAGAACATTTTCACGTTGATGGAAGCCCGATGTCTTTCTTCTACGGTATGTGCTCTGCATCCAAAGCAGCCTTCGCCCATCCCACATTTTAGATAATTTTTTCTTCTAAAAACTTCACTGTTTAAGCGCTCATGTTTGGATCTGCAATCTATTTTGGATGAATTCTTGTGTATGACGTGCAGTAGGAATAAAGGCTCATGTCTTTCCATACGGATAGCCAGTTTTATTCACAGACACAGGTGGTGGCCAGACCTGGCACACGGATGCAGCTGACCCTGGAAGCTGAAGGGCAGTGAAACCCATCTGATTAAGATGCTCAACTTTTCTGAAGGTAAAGGTTTTAAATAATAGGTGGGATTGAAGTGGAAATTTAGAAAGGCTAGCAGGTGACATTATGGGGTTAAGTGAGTAAAAGTTAGCTAATGTTTGTTAAACATTTACCGTAAGTAAAAAGCTATTCAAGTCTTTGAACTTGTTCCTATTGTTTCCCCACCCAACAGAAAAAGCTGACACCAAGACCTGCCTAAGGTCACACCATCATGAGTGGCTGAGTTGGGCTGTGATGAGCCACCCGGCTGGAGAGCTTGTGCCCTGGTTACACGATTGCCAGTGAGATGCCTATGGACTCGCATGTAGAGGTGGGTACCCAGACAGCTCAGAGTGAGCTGCCTGCGGGCCCAGCATGCAGAGGTGTGTACTCAGTGCTGTGTGAGATGCCTGTGGGCCCAGGCACGGAGGGATGCATGCGTGCCCAGAAAGCAAAAGGCTGTGCAGAGGACCTGCTAGGAGGTAATGACTAGAGAACATGTTTTTAAGCAAACAGGTGAAGGGAAAATGCAAAATAAGGAGCTACATAAGCATCACATCTTAAGAATCATTATGGAGCACCTAACTGTGACTTGTTGGGCTGGGAGCCAAACAACATAGGTGGGACACGCTGCACATAAAAGTAACAAGCTGGAGGTCCAGAGGAACCCTTGGAGCCGTCCCAAGACTGAGAGCCGGTGTCAGGCACCACCTCTTCTGGGCACCTGGGCTATGGCAGTGGGGAGGATGAGCCCCTGATCCCAGAGGCCACTCTCTCACACAGTGCAGTGCAGTCTTTCTCACACAGGACCTAGTGTAACACGGGACCTAATGGCAGGACACATCAACCCATTAAAAATCCAAGCAAGGTACAAGAGATTTCTAGAAACAAAGAATCAGGCTTTATTTTTGTTATTTTGAATACAGGTATTGTATTGTAGACATCTGTTAGTCTCATAATTCAGTATGGCCAACACACAGAAATTAAAAGTAGAAACAAAATGAGGGCACACTTGCTCCTGTCCTTGGCTTGGCCCCTCCAACCTCCAAAAGAACTGTCCTCCCCATTGTCATATCCTTTCCCTGCTACGAAAGACAAAACAAAATGATGCCCCAAAGAAAAGTCCCAGAGGCTCTCTCCCAGCAGTCAGTGGGATGAAGCAAGACACTGTTACCTTGGGTAGGATGGAGAAGCCACCAGGTCCATACCACAGAGGCCACAGTGGGATGGAGAAGCCACCAGGTCCATACCACGGAGGCCACGTGTGCCACCAGTGGAGCCAAACCCTGGCCATGGCTGGCAAAACTCACCACCAGGCGAGACCAGAGCATATTATCTACCAGTAATCCCCGAGGTCCAACGCCATTCAAGTCAGGCAGCCCTGAGGCAAGCAGGAGGAGCCCTGTCCTCTGGGGGTGCTGCTTCCAGAGGAGGCCCAAGGACAGTCTCTTCAGAGAGGGGCTCACCCGGGAAAGGGGGTTCCTGAGGAGGCGTGCAAAGGTCAAGGGACCCACCCTTGCCACCTGTCCCAGGGCTTACTGCTGACTCCACTGTCCTGGGAGTGCTGGAATCTCCACACCACTTAAAATGAAAAAGGAAATCAGAAATAATAAGGCATTAGACGTTTGATTCTTTTATTTCCATATGCAATGTAATGTTTAGGCACGCTGCTTGGGATGCTACTTCTAAAAAAATTGTTGGCCATTTTTCAGAATATCCTTTTGGTTTTAAATACTGGTCAGGAAAAACAAATGATGTAAAAATACGTGAATAATTTTCTATTACAGAAATGAAAAACTGATTTGCATCTAAAAGTGCAAGAGGTGAAGTAATTTAACCCTTTCACCAGACGATATGGCAATATACAATATATTGCTTGAGCTGTTTGAGAAGGCTGTGATGTATTTTTGTATTGACATAGAAAATTATAAATTACATTGAATTAGTATCCATAATCACTATATATATACACAAACCAGTTCTAAAAAAATACACTGGTTTAAATTTATGAGTGAAAACCTCACAAGGTACAGTAAACAATTAGCATGCTTCGGTGCCAGATTTTGATTTCTACTTTTAAAATACTAGCCTGTAAAATGAACGCACTCTAATTCCATTAGCAGCACGAGCATTTTCAACTGACTTGCCTAATAGGATTTATTTTAGGTCTGTTAAATATGCAGATTGCTCTGAAATGTTCATTGGTGATGCTTGTTAACAAGGTAAATTTTGGTGAATGGGTTAAAAGGCAGATGAACTACCAAATGAAACAAAAAAACAAACAAAAACAAAAGCCAAAAAAAAAAAAAAAAAATCCCAAAACACAAGCCATATACACTCCAAATAGTCTAGTGTTTCACTTGTAGGAATAATCATTTCAAGCAAACAAGACTTGAACAGAACATATGGCTTTACGATAACATCAATTTATCAACTATGATGTAGCAATAAATACTTTACTTAATCTCTACCAATAGACTTACATTTTTGATCCGTTTTAAACAATACAGAAAACAATTACCAATCAAAAACTGGTTATAAAAAGAACACCAAATATTTCTTATTCAAAATCACTTTTGTAAGTTAGAACAACCAAAATAACACTTAGAGGGCATTTTCATTCTACAACTCCTTGTCGGCCTGGAGGAAAAATGAATTCATAATTTTGTACAAGGTGAAAAATGTATGAAAACCGCCTAATACTTTGGTCACACTAATAATTGTCAAAGTTATGTTTCAAATACAATAGATCTGTGTATTCACTTTTATAAAACTATTCTTACAGCCATTTTAACTATAGTATTACTACTATTATTACATGGGTGGCAAGATCTTATTTCACAGGCTACCCATTATTTAGAACAATACAATATAAACATACGCAAAAATTCTTGGTATTTGTCAATGTGCAATATTTTTACACTTCTGAATTTCTCTGTACAATGTCTTAGAATCTAGAATATAAAGGTTGCTGGTCCTGATCCCTTGCAGAGTGAGTGCAGCAGTGACAGCTTGGTGGGCTCCAGCTGACCCCTCCAGAGCCCCTGAGTGGTGGCGGTCTGCAGTCCTCAGTCAGCAGCAGCAGACGTCACCCGTCATACAGGGCCATTCACTGAAGTGTCACCTGGTGCGCTTGGTTGGCCAGTCCTAAGGAGCAACAGACAGGCATCGGAGGCACTTGCAGCAGAAATATGAAAAACAAAACCTACTTAGCTGAGCTCCCCAAGGGCAGGGACAACTTATTTTAACATTGTTTTGAACTTAGTAAGTTTTTAATAAAATGATATGTAAATGAATGGAGCAAAAGCTCTAGAAAAATCTGAGTGAGTGCATCTAAGCTTCATCACCGGGTGAGCAGGCATTCAGCAAGGGCAGCAGCAGAGCAAATGCTCTGGGAGAACCGCCCCACCGCGGCCTCCAAGAAGCACAGGGAGTGACTAGGTCAGTGGGGTATAAACTGTGGCTTCCAGAGCCTTCAGGAGCTATGTGTTCACCGCTCCTTCAAGAAAGCTTTTATGTGACCCACAGATTGGAATCCACATACTATTTCACTTGGAAACAGGATTCTGCTACTAGGAAAGGGGGGAAAAAAGGAAAGGAAAGGAGGTTTGCAAATAAACTACTGGAAAAAAAAAAAAAGGTGTCCACTTGAAGAACATGTCCCACAAAGCAAATGTTAGGCTCAAAACTGGGAGGGAATAACAGGTGGGACAGTATATAACAAAGTGTCCAGGTTTTGCCTTCCTGCCAAAATTACAACCTGAATATATAACCTATTCGGGAAGGCTTGACCAAAATTGTATCAAGCAGACTTGGGAAAGGGTGCTTAGGGCCGTAACTGGGATGCCCACAAGCACTTTTCCACTAGCATTCACAATTTACAGCTAGAATGCTACTCATGCCTTATACCTGCTGGTTATACAGTGAGCCAAAAAGTCAGCTCTGCACACACAATCCACTCTGCTCACTTACTTACATCTGATGGTGGCTCCGTGTATGAGAGACATAGGAATCGAGACTTCTGGAACTAGACATAACTGGTATATAACTAACTTGCCTTCACTTAAACAAGCTGAGTGATCTTATAAGTAGATTTCTTAGCCCCTCTCAGTTCTGTTTTCTCCTCTGTAAAATGGGAAAAGAACCCTCCCCACGCCCCACAGGGCTTCACTAGTATACATATGAAATAAGTACATAATGTGTGCAGCATGCTCAGCACATCAGAAGCACAAAGGACATGCTTGATAAAACAGCTGTGAAAAGTGAGATCATGTGGCAATGCAGATCTTTAAGTGTGACAGGAAACAGCGCGCCTGCCAATCCAAGGAACTGTGGTATCTGGCTGGGACGGGAACCACACAGGAAAGACGGGTGAGCTTCAATATCCCATGCTGTCATACGTCACTTTAGAACACGTGCAATCTAGGACGCACTCTAGGTCTGCCCTAATGCCCACTCCAACGTCACCTCAGAGATCCTCTCCCCCGCACCCCAGCTCACATGGACCCCTGTCCCTTCTTCGTGGCTTCTTGATGAATGTGCCTCTAGTATGCCCCGAGACCACTGGGTGTCCGTGTGCTGCAGCTTTATGACCCGGCCTAGACCAGTGGCCACCACACACAAACGTGTGTCAGAGGAAAGAAGGACAGATGGATAAAGGCATGGACCCAAGTGATGCCCCTCTTCTTCCACTGGCTGACCCCATCTTTTCCTCCATCCCTTGGCCCGGCAGGTTAGGGCAGGGCTCTTCAGAGCAGGCATTCCCAGCCACAGAGGAGAGCAAGTGGCTTCCCCTTATGCAAACAATTCTTCTGTGCTCAGAAAGCCAAGGAAATGACTCCAGAGCCTTGTGCATCCTTATGACAGAGAAACCAAGAATATTCCCCTGAAGCAACTGCCCCAAACTGGGATAGACCTGGACGATCCTGCCTAGGCAGCCCTCAATATAAAGGAAATTTATAGGTAGAAATCAGAGAGCTGAAATAATTGATTGGGAATGAGACCTATAAAGGACCATTAAAAAATACATTGAAACCCCAAGAAAGAGAGTGACTTGCCCAATCCGTAGAAGCAGAGTTGAGGCAGCTTCCCAGTGCTAGAGGGCCACCCTGCCTCTTCCCCCAAAAGCCTTCACTAGAGCCAACATGCTCAAATAGTTCTTAATTTGTTTGTTTTATATGCAAAAAAAATATTTCTAATCACAAAAACAAAGGCTTTATTTTGGCTACAATTTCCACAGGAGGAACACAAACAGCTTGCTACACTGTGAATACAGGATTTTGGACCAACAAAGAGTGCTCCCTGCTGGTTCCCACTGGTTATGCTCTCATACAATGCTGGCAAGATTTGGGGGAGGATGGGGTGGGGGTGGGGGGTTAAAACTTCTCTGAAATAGCTTTAAAGGTCATTTTATTCCTTATGGAAGGAATATACAATCTTAGCTACATTTGTTCACAGAAGTTGATTGTGGGAAGTGCTGAACAAAGCTTCCTGTGGCCCAGGGGTGCAGCCTCATCTTTGGGCCATGCTCAGTCTTGCTAAGGGCCTGGCATGGGCTCCGGGTGGCTGAGACTTAGACTGGCCCATCCCTTCAGACCACTGGCTCAGGCTAAGCAAAAAGTGACTAGAAACAAAACATCACATTCTAAGTCACACAGCTCTGGGAGTGGGCATTTCATACTTAAGATTACAGGGAGTCACTTAAGCACTAAGAATTATTTAGCTACATGTATGAAAGGGCTCCAGCAAGTTCTCCTTGTGTCACACAGGGCAGGAATGTGGGCAAATAGGCACCACGATCTGCTCGTGCCTGGCGGCTGGATGACTTTAGTGGGGCCAATGAGAACTCAAGTCCTGGAGGGGCTCAATGCCACCCTCAGCTCAGTACCTCAACAACAAGGGTGAGGAGACCCCTCTGTTCGGAGCCACTTCTAAAAGAGCGAGTGATGTTAAAGAGTCTCTAAAAACTGGTTTTCAGTTTCTGCGCTAAGGAGAGGAACTGCTGTTTCTAAGTTCTCAGCTCAGTCGGACTCAGCTCATTAAGGACTGAGAAAACCCTGTCCTGCCAGGTCAGCGGCCTAAGACTTGAGCACAGCTGTAAACGATCCCTATAGTCCCCTCCCAACTCCCAGGAAGCAACAGGCAAGGTCAGGGCAGGGCCTGGGTGGGTTTGAGGAGGCGGGTGGTTACCTCTGCTCGGGACTGCTGCTGGGAGGCCTGGGCGCCGCGCACTTCGCCTCTGCAGTCTCGGGACACTCCTCTGCGTCTTTACAAGCAGCATCTTGAGAGGTAGACAGTTTCCCTTCCTCACTGCAGTAAAGAGGATGACAGGCACATCAAACACCCTAGGGACCAGCACCTAGGCACCAGAGGATGAGGTCACATGCAGATGGCTCTGGAGTCATGACTGCCGCGGAGGCAAAGCATCCTGGGACTGAGCATGCGCAGGGTGCACGATCACACAACCACAGACAGTGACTGGGGAATCACAAAAGGAAAGGGTCGCACACAGGTGGGAACCAAAACAGGGACAATGTAATGTGGCTGGCGTCTGATAAAGAACGGTCCCATAACACTGTACATACCGATAGGATTTCAACACTCTGAAGCCCAGTGTGCAAAACAGAAAAAGAAATGTACAAGAGTTTCAGAATACTCCTAGAAATGAGGAATTTGGGGGAATAATATGTCCACGACTGCACGTAAGCAAAACTGCAGACTCGGTGAAGGTGTCAAAGAACCTGTTTGAAGGAATGAGTCTTTAGTTAAAGCACTTTGCTTTTGGGGCCAAGCCCACCATTAAAGCAGCAAGACAGACCCCATCAGCTTGCTGGCTGGAAGCCTCAGTCACATGAGGTCACCGTGTTGACTGCATCGGATTTCACGGCTCCTCGAGTTGCCCTCGAACAATGTGTGAGAAGCACAAACGCCAGAGGGAGAAGAGGGGGCCAAGAGCTGATCCTAAGGACACAGAGGATTTGGGTAAAATGAGACCCAGAAGGACTGTTTTTCCCCCTTAGATGGTTCTTGGTGGAGAAAGACACAAGAGACACTCTCCTCAGCTCTGTGGGCTAGAAATTTAGACTCTGCCTATTCAGTCTGGGATTCCCCTTTTTACATAATCACAATGGCACTAATAAGAGTGAAAGGTCCATCACTCAGAGCTGATTCTGTCCTGGATTTTGCTTATGAAAAATCTCATATTAGGATGCATTCTTGGGTCGTTTCCAGATAGTTCCAAGCAATTTATAAGTAGGAAAATGAGTTAAAATCATATGATTTAGTGATCATCTGAATTACCTGGTTCCTTCTTTGTAAAGTTACTCTTCTTCATCCCCATTCTCCACTCCTTTCCCTTCAAAGCAACTAATGTGTTTCTAATTCTAATTCTTTAAAAAATAGTCATAACACAATGTGTATTCTGAGTCGCTAACTGGGATGGATTCAACTCTACATCTCATTGTATTTACCTCTTAACTCAGCAAGTCGGGGAGACCCACTGTCCCCACTGACTGTGGCACAGCACCCGTGGCGTGCACCTACCACTCTACATGGCTTCTCCCAACCAAAGCTGCCCTCCACCTCACACTTCCATGCAGGGTGCTGTGACGACCATCACTGTCCACGGCCCCTGGCAGACCTGTCTGGGCGTTTCTCAGTACTTGACACCCAGGAGTGAAGAGTTGTAGGCCATTTTTCTACCTACAAAGAAGCCCACGCTACTACCCAGAATGACTGCCCTGGTCTGTATTCCTCACCAGCAGGCCACCAGGGCCCCGCAGGCTGCAGCCCACCGCCACTCAACATCATCCACCTTTAACTGCTGCTCGTGTAAGAAGAGTATCAAGTCCTATATTGTTATCGTTTATAATTCTCTGATGAGTTTTGAGCATTTTTGTTTGTTTGTTTGTTTTAGCTTTTAAGGCTTGTCTATAAACTTATCTTTTGCCAATTTTCTAATTTGGGTTTTCTTCTTCTTACTAGTTTATAGGAAGTCCTTGAATATATAATGTCAGTCTCTTGTTGATTTAGCTACTACAGATGTTTTTTTCAGTTTGCCATCAGCCTCTTAATTTTGTCTGCAGCATTTTATCAACCAGAAATTCTTAACTTTAATATAATCTAACTCAACTCTTTGCATTATAGTTTCTGTTTTTGAAGGCTTTTTTTTTTTTTTTTAAAGAAGTCCTGCCGAGGAAGGAGGCTCACTTGAAGCCAGGAGTTTGAGATCAGCCTGGGCCACAAAAATAAAAAAGTAAACAAACAAAAAAATTAAGCCAGGAGTGGTGGCACACAACTGTAGTTCCAGCTACTTGGGATACTGAGGTGGGAGGACTGCTGGAGCTCAGGAGTTGGAAGTTACAGTGAGCTATGATTGTGCCACTGCATTCCAGCCTGGGCAACAGAGCGAGACCTCGTGTTAAAAAAAAAAAAATCTAGATTAGATATAGACTGACAGATGATAGATTAGATAGGCAGACAGACAGATAGATAGATAGATGACAGACAGATGAGATAGATACAGAAGTCCCTTTCTGCACACAGGTTAAAAAGACATTCTGTATTTCTTTTATTAACCATCATGAGACTCTGGCCTCCGGCCTCATCACTTAACTCTAGTGCCTCAGTTTCCTCACCTGAAAAGCAGGGATAATAATCCCAGTACCTATCTTATAGGGTTCCTAAGAATAATCCATGAGCTACCACACATGGAGAGTGTAGAGAGCAGGGCCTGGTCCACAGAAAGCACTGCACATGTTTTTCTTATTGTCTTTTAATCCAGCTGGAGTTGTTTTAGAATGTAGATTAGGGAGGATCTTGCCTGACTTTTCCTTTTGGTGAACCAGCCCTTCCTCTCCCTTCCCCATTATTAATCCCTCTATTTCATCACACTGACACCTGTACCTGTTTGGACACTAATATCAAAACTGTTCCAATCACTGTGACTTTGCAGCGTGACTATCTGGCAGGGCAAGTCCCTTTTTCAATCTTCCCTTTTGGTTACCTCTAAGCAATTTGGGAACCTTCATTTTTCCATATAAATTTTAGAGTATTAAGTTACTTCTAAAAATCCAACTGAAATTTGGATTGAGACTGCGTTAAACACTAACTTCAGGATGGCAGATGTCTCTGCAGCACTAAGCTATGCCATGGTCTCCACTTGTCCAGATTTCTCTATAGAGACTTGGGTTAAGATCATTCCTGAATAATTTATATTTTGATGTATTTTGGAATAATACCTTGCTTTTTATGTTCTGGTTGCTTACTACTGATGAAGAAAAAGACTACTGATTTTTTAAACTGATTTCTTACTCAATAGCTTTACTGAATTCTTATTAGTTACAAGTTTGCTACTGACTTGGTTGTAGGTAATCATTACCACCTGCAAAGAACAACAGTTTTATCACTTCCTCCTGATCTTTACCTATAACTCTATTTCCTTTTCCTTCCAGGACTGCCTAACACTGGCAATGAAAATGGACATCCTTTAAGGCTTCATCTTAAAGTGAATGCATCTAAACTTTCCTCATTAGGTGTTAGTTTTGCTGTAGCATTTTGGTATTGGTATTTAACTTATACCAAGTTAATGAAATTCATTGCCAGGCGCGGTGGCTCACATCTGTAATCCCAGCACTTTGGGAGGTGGAGGCAGGTGGATTGCTTGAGCTCAGGAGTTTGAGACCAGCCTGGGCAACATGGTGAAACCCCATCACTACAAAAAAAAAAAAAAAAAACTACATAAATTTGCTGAGCATGGTGGCGTGTGCCTGTAGTCCTAGTCCCAGTTACTTGGGAGGTTGAGGTGGGAGGATGGCTTAAGCCCAGGAGACAGAGATTGCAGTGAGCCGAGATCCACATCACTGCACTCATCTTGAAGAAGAAAGAAGAAAGAAGAAGAAAGAAGGAGGAAGGAGGGAGGAGGAAGAGGAGGAAAGAAGAAAAATAAATTCACTTCTGTTACTGGTTTTCTCAGAGTTTTAATCATATATAGCTATGGAACCTTATAAAAAAAATCAAATGACTGACTTTCTGTCTAACACCATATATGGAGATTAAACTGACAGATTTCTCTGACTTTGAGCCATCCTTGCCTTCCAGGATAAACCCTAACTAATCATTATAAATTATTTTTAATACACTGTTGGATCCAGTCAGCAAATACCTTACACAGGATTTTTGCATTCAGTAGCCTGTAAGTGGCATGAACTGATCATTTTCTGTAATTATCTTTATCTGGTTTTGGAATTCAAATTTCACTGCCCTCATAAAAAGAGCTGGGCAGGTTTTGTACTTTTTCTATCTTCTCTAACAACTTAAGATAGGAATTAGTAGACTGGTGAGCACGAAATAGCATTTACTTACTACTGTAACTGACAGGTCCCATTTACTCTGGATTTGGTTTGCTCCTTGTTTTCCTCCACAGACAGTTGCTTGTTTGCATCCTTTGTCCATTTAAAAAAATTAGACTATCTCTCATTGATATAAGGTTATTTCTAATATCCTGGCTACTGGTTCTTTACTGGTTGTGGCTTGTCTTTTCATTTTATGTCTTCTGGGATATTAGAAATTAAAGTCAAACTTACCAAGATTTTCCTTTATGGTTTGGCTTTTTATGGTTAAAAAAATGCCTTACACCCAAACTGTAAAGATACTCTCTTTTGTTGTCTTCTAAAAGCTGTACAGTTCATGCTTTTCATATTTATGTTGAGACAAAATATCTAATTTTATTTTTCTACTATGTGGATAATCACTATTTACTAGTCCACTCTTTCCTCATTGAATTATAATGGCATTCTAACATGTAACAAGTTCATGTAGTGGAGGGGGTCTCTTTGTATAATTCTTTGCCAAAGCCACACCATCTCAGTAGCTTTACTAAGTTTTGTTTTCGCTTTTGTTTGAGACAGGGTCTCATTTTGTCCCCCAGGCTGGAGTGCAGTGGGGGACACAGCTCACTGCAGCCTCGACTTCAGCACCCCCAAGTAGCTGGGACCACAGGCACACACCACCACACTCAGCTAATTTTTGTATTTTTTGCAGAGACAGGATTTTGCCACGTTGCCTAGGCTGGTCTCAAACTCCTGGGCTCAAGCAATCTGTCTGCCTAATCCTCCCAAAGTGCTGGGATTACAGGTGCAAGCCACCACACTCGGCCAGCTTTACTAAGTCTTGATATCTAATATGGTGAAGCCCCTCACTTTTTTCTTTAAAATGTTTTTGGCTATTCCTGGCTCTCTTTGGTCTTATGACTATTACAATCAGTTTCTCAATTTCCATGAAAATCTCTATTGGGATTTTGATGGAAATTTCATTAATTTCATAGACTAACTTGTTCAGAAATGCTAAAAATATCTTCACATTGATAAACATGGCAAATCTTGGTATTTATATTCAGGTCTTCAATATATTCCATGAGATTTTAAACTGTTTTCCCATAAAGGTCATATTCCTAGTTATAGATAAGGTTTTACATTTTTATTAAAAACAGGCACATTTGGAATATCTTATATTGATTTATAGGATGCAAGTGATTTTGTATGTCTCCAGTAAACCTGCTAAACTTTTCTATTAATCCTTATCTACAGATTCCATTGGAATTTTTATGTATAAATCATAGCCTATCAACAGCGACTATTTATTTATTTGGAATGCTGCATTTGCTAAGGCCACCAGCACAGTGCTGAAGACAAATAGCAACTGTAGGTCCCACTTTCTGGTTCTTGTCTTTAAAGGGAATACTTCTAATGCCTCACTGAAGAATCAAGTCTACTCTAGATTTTCTAGAGATACTTACCAGTTTCACCTATTTACTTTCTATTCCTAGGCTGCAAAGAAAATCATGAACAGCTTTAATTTGTAATCAAATGCTTTTCTCCTTTTGTCTGGGAATTACTCTGAATAATTTTTACCATGTACACACTGGTGTTTACATTGTGTCACTGGAGCACATATCCTTGGTCATGACTTTAAAATACATTGCTACATTTGGTTTGCTAGCTTTTAACTTAAGTTTTGAGAATAATTGCTCATGTATGAAATCAGTCTACAGTCAGTTTTCTTCTTTCACTCCTTGTTTTGTAGTGACCTCGCAATAAGCAGGGAGGCATTCCTTCTTGTAATGGCTGGAATGGTCTCTAAGACTAAAGCTCTAAGCACAGGCTTAGCTTCAGTCCTTAAGTTTTGACAGACATTTTTCCCATTATTCTCTCAGTTTTAGGTTTTTAATATCCATTACAATTCCTTTTTTGAGTTTAGAAGTGAATTTCTAAGGGTCACGTTCTTTTAAAGCTATCATTTTGCTACTGAATTTTCATGACTGCATTATGTCCTGAGATAATCATCTGTATGTTACTGAAAATAAGTAAAGGTTTTTGTAAAACCAGTCGACCTGAAACCGGTTTTCATGGGCCATGCTCTGTAGCCTGTTACACAAGCCAATTTCTATTGTGATTAAAGATTTATCAATTCTCATAGTTCTATCAAACTGCTAGATGTAAAATACAGTCTTCTGAACACATTTATGGGGGAAAAGGCACTTAGGGGCCTAAACTCTCCATCTCTTCATTAAGATTTATTGTGTTTAATGGAGACAACAGAAAGACATCAAGCTAGTATCTGAACATTCATTTGAATCAAATTAAAAATTTTAATGTTTGAGGTTTCTGCCCCACCATCCTCCCAATAACCTGAAGCTACCAGCAGGATCTCACCCCTGGTTACCTTTTGAAGACCGCAGTCTCTGTCTTGGCATCTACAGTGAGGCTGAGCGTTTCCTTCATGCCGCCATTCATCACTGTCTCAGTTACCTTGTCTGTACTTTCTGCATCCTCCTCTCCGTCAGAGCTGGCTTCCATGGCCACACTGCCTGCCGCTGAAAAGAACACAGCTGATGGTCACACACAGCAAGCCCGAAAAGGAACTGGCACCCCACCACTGTACAAACCCATCTACCCAACGTGACATCTACTGCTTGAAGAAAAAAAAGAGTGAGATGGCTTCTGCCTGCTGTTGTCTGGGCCACATTCTTGATGGGGAGAGACTTCTTAAAGATGCCCACTAAAGAGGGGTTTCATGGGTTTTCTTTACTAGAGACTAGCAAGTCGCCTACATCCCTCCCAGCTCAGCGTCCACCTCCATACCCAGCTTCTCCCAGCAGACACTTGTGCTCCTAACTGTTCCAGTGTGGGGCAGAGCAGGCAGTTACACACTCTACCCTCTACTCACTTGTTTTCCTCAGTTGGGCTCTATTTGCTTTGCTTTGTTTTAAAAATTACTTTCTTGTGGTGTTGCTGGTGGATCGTTTCTTTGTTCTCTAATGGGAAGCCAACATAGGTGATGAGCCTGGCTGAGGTGAGGCTTCCTGGATTCAAACATCGACATCACCACTTCCTAGCTGTAGACTACTTGGACAAGGAACCTCATCTATAACCTGAGTTTCCTCATCCAGGAAAGGGGATCAGTGCACCCACTTACAGAACCACTGAGGAGTCAAATGCGGGAATCTGTATCAAATGTTCAGGAGGATGATGAAACCAGCATTAGTTATTGGTTTTATTCCTTTCCCTTGCCCCTGGGAAGGAGGGTTCTCACACCCTCTACCAAAACCTCATTTCATTTTCTAAGAACTCACTCCTTAAGCCCACCTCATGATTCGTGCCCTCCACATCCTTTTGGTTCCCATCACACTCCCTTTGCTAGCATCCCCCTCCTCCCAAAGCCCCGTCCATCAAGGTGAAAACAGTTCAGGGCCGTGCAAGGAACACATTTGACTAGGTAGAGTAATAGGAAAACCCACTGGAACTTTAGAGATTCCCAGGACTATTCAATCTGCTTACAATGGCGAAGTGAAAATAACCAGCCCCATAGCTCTAAACAAACCCAGATACACCTACATGCTTGAGCAAAGCAAACTCCAAGGGACAACTACACACAGGCTTGGCTGCACACGTCTAATTCCAGTTTTATTCACCCTGGGTACTATGGGCTTAGGCCTTCTTCCCTCTAGACCTCAGTTTCCTAATCTGCACACTGCATGCCTGGTAACTTAGAGCCCTTACTCTTTCCAGAGTCAGCATGCTGTGGTTCTAGAAGGACAGGCACAATTTCTTTCATCAGCTGCCCTGTGGACATCAGACCCACCATCTCACTCCCGGGCTCCACTAGCCCCTGAGCCTGAGAATCAGGTCTGGTTTGACAAAGCAGCCACGTGACCCTGGCGTGTACCCAGGCCTCTCTGCACGCACCTTCTGGCTGCACTGCCAGGGCAGCCGCACTGGGAGTCAGAGGGTCCATGGGTTCAGTGCTGGTTTCCATTTCCACTGGAGAATTACTCCTTAAAGAATCTTTTGTGCTTTCAAAAAAGAGAAAATTCAGATATTAGCAGCAGGGAATGGTCCTCAGTTACCCCAAGATTCACAATAAGCCTTTACAAGTAAGTTTTTGTTAGGAGACATTAGCATCTGTGTAAGAGTCACTGGGTTACAAACTCCAGTGACACATGGATCTAAGTGCCAGTAGCTGTTTGAAGAAGGACATGAGTGCGGGCAGGCAAATGTTCTGTTAAGCCAGCAAGGCAGTAAGACAGGGACTTTGTAAAGCATTCTAGACAGGCTCATCATGTCCCAACTTCTCATCCCACCATAGTCACTAGGAGGCTCCCAGAGCTTGAACAGCAAAGACGTACATTGTGCAATGGCAACGGTATTTATCAGGTTGACTGGTTTTACAAAAACCTTTACTTATTTTCAGCCACACTGCCTGGGAGAGACTGGCCCTCTTAATGATATTTGTTGTTGGAACTGTGGAAACATAGTAAAAAAACACCAAATGCCTGAGCAGTAAGGGGTAGGGGTGAGGGAGATCATTACACTTCCTCTTTTATCCCTCATTCCCACAAACTCAGAGACGTGCACACAGAGGGTAAAGAGAAGCAAGCTGCTTCAATCACACCCTCAAGTAACCAAAGGCTCTTATCCTCGGGTTATAAACAGACCAAAAAAAGGAGTAGGCGGAAATGTATGTCCTGTACTGAAAAGCGGGGTAGACGAAATAACTCATTATTTTGGAGACATTTTTCACAAATCTCACTTGTACCTCTGAGTAGTAACTTAATGCTATTACTATGGTTACTACAAAGCAACATGGGTTTCAGCCTATTCTTTGGTTTGTCTAAGACACTAACTGTCAGCCCAAAACAGCTTGTCTTCCTATCTTCCGAGTTACCAATGATTGGGAGCCCTTAATTGACAGCACTGGACTAGCTGCAAGTGAACTGTAAGTTCATATTATCTACTGAATTCAAGATCCATTTTGTTTGCCTGCCACACCCCACACAGAGGTGCTGTGCCTGTCAGGATTTCTTGGCTTCACCTCATTCCTCTTCTCCTCAATTCTGTCCTGACAGCTCTATGAAGCCAGAAAAGCTCACGGAGATGCATCTTCTGCTGCGTCCTGCTAACTCCCTGGGACCGCATCCTCACAAGCTACTTTGTTCAAGAACTACTCCCATTTCCAATTAATCCAGGAGGAAAGGAAAGGAAGATGGTGATTGTTCTTCTTACAACACAGAGCTGTGTTAGTATGCTGATGTTTAATCTTTTTCAGGGCAGTATATTCAACTTGGAAGTCAGTCAAGGTGAAGAACACACGTTAACAGCAAACACCTGACCATTCCCAGGTCCCCCGTGGAAGGGTGTAGAGACAGCACATGTTCGCTCACCTCAGGGAAGACGTGAACTCTGAAAAAGAAGCCCAGCCCGTCTCTTTAGTTGGCATCGGCTCCTCTGTGCTCCAGACATCAGATCCCACAGAATCCAATGGAGCACCGTGGGTTGTTTCCATTGGGACATCAAAGTTAGCTGACCAGTTGGGTGCTAAAAAGAGGGGAGAAATTCTATTTGGAAAACACTTCAGTCGTTTCATGTACCACAAGGTATTTATCAAAAACACATTAGCAAAAGAGACTGGAGCTGTGGGAGAAAGACACTCTCACCAATGAGGGCAGGAGCGGACAGGGCACAGCCACCTGGAGGGCACTCTAACAATGATCCCACATTCTCAAACCTCCCATTTCTTTTTATTATTATTTTTTTGAGATGGAGTCTCGCTCTGTCGCCCAGGCTGGAGTGCAGTGGCACGATCTCCGCTCACTGCAAGCTCCGCCTCCCGGGTTCACGCCATTCTCCTGCCTCAGCCTCCTGAGTAGCTGGGATTACTGGCACCCGCCATCACGCCTGGCTAATTTTTTGTATTTTTAGTAGAGACAGGTTTCACTGTGTTAGCCAGGATGGTCTCAATATCCCGACCTCGTGAACCGCCCGCCTTGGCCTCCCAAAGTGCTGGGATTACAGGCGTGAGCCACCGCGCCTGGCCTCAAACCTCCCATTTCTAACAACTGTTCCAAAAGAAATACTACACAGAGATTCAAAGCTACATGCACAAAGAGGGATTAATGTTAATTTCTTAGTTTTGACAAATGTACCATGGCTGTATTCATACTTGGGGAAGCTAAGTGAAGGATATATGGAGACTTACTATCTTGGCAATGTTTCTATAAATCTAAATTATTCAAAAGTAAAAAGGTTATTTTTCTAAAAAAAGAACATGTTGATTATTCAACTCCAATAAACTAGAAATAACCTTAATGCTTCCCAGTCCGGGTCTGACTGCACTTCGCCCATTCTGCGGGCTCCCTGCAGTGCACTGCAGTTAGGCTTCCTAAGTCCTGCAGAACCAGGTCTGGCCTCAGAGGCTGAAGCGGCAGGACTTGCTTGAGCACACTTACGGTCTGTGGGGCTCTTCTTACTATGCTGCCTGCTGGCCAAGTTTGGGTCTAATCTGCAGGTCTCTCCTTAAATGTCACCTCCTCAGACATGTGTCCCTTCTGATGAAGTCAGGTCACTGTGGATCTGCTCTAACTGCACACCATGCTTTTCCTTCACAGAGTGCTGAATCCTCAATTCTTTGCTGGGGACAAGCCAGATGTGGGAACCACTGCATTCCATCAGGGATATTATCATAATTAGGAATCTCTAGGTTGCAGGAAGGAATGCTAGGGAAACTGGTATAAGTTATTTAAGGGCTTAACCCAGACACAAGTGACTAAGATTAAGAAGTACCCGTGTAGAATAGAAATGTTCTGAGTTTAAAGACAGACTTGACTGTGACTTTCCCCAAGATATCTGACTTCATCTGTTTGATTTCATAATGACTATTCACTTAGCAAAGATCACAGGAGGGCCTGCACAGAGTAGGCATTTAATTAGGGTGCGCTCCATGCTTCTTGCCCACCTACCTGTGTGAGTGTCACAGGGCTCCACTGACACCAAGAAGGAATAAATGCTTGAATGTTTGAAAATCTCACCTGAAACCTCCAAAAAGTCAACTTGACAGTTATTTTTGCCTGCCCACTCTATGCAAAGCTCTGGAATCATTCTATCTGAGTTCTACTCTACAACTAAATTATATTACACACAAATGACTTTTCTGTTATCTCTTTGAGATAGTCTTTCCCAGATGAGCTCCTCAGAGTCCGTGTAACATTTTAAATGATTCTGAATGTCCACAAAACCTCCAACAGAAGCCACAGAGACTGGTGGAATGGCAGAGGCTCTCTGGGGCAACCCTGTAGCCCTGAAGCCCTGAGAGAGAATCTTCCCCAACCCTACCCACTTGTGTCTCCAGAGATCTGAAGATGCAAAAGCTGTCTTTCCCAAGGAACAGAGAAGCAGGAGGCCTGGTTCCCTGCCACACTTAACCCCGGGAGGTAGGTAAACGCGAACCTCATCCAGGGTGCTCGCCTCCTCGCTGCTTATCCCTACACCCAGGCCCACAGTCACAGCAGCAGCGGCACGCAGTCCAGCCAAGTGTGTTTCCCTCCCTGTCACTTAACCATACCCAGCCTGCTAAAAGAACCAAAGATTCCAGAATGTCATTCGGCCTTCGAACAAAAGGAAATCCTGTATACACCACAGCAGGGATGAACTCTGAAGACATTATGCTAAGGGAAACAAGCCAGTCACAAAGATAAATACTGTATGATTCCATTTATATGAGATCCCTAGACTAGTCAACCCCAGAGAAACAGAGAGTAGAATGGAGGCTGCTAGGGACTGGGGAAGTAGAAATGAGGAATTGTTTAATGGGTACAGAGTTTTAGTTTAGGATGAAAAAGTTTTAAAGACCTGTTACACAACAGTGTGAATATACTACTGAACTGTACTTTTTTTTTTTCCCCAGATGGAGTCTCACTCTGTCGCCCAGGCTGGAGTGCACAGCATGATCTTGGCTCACTGTAAGCTCCATCTCCCAGGTTCAAGCGATTCTCCTGCTTCAGCCTCCCGAGTAGCTGGGACTATGGGTGTATGCCACCATGCCCAGCTTTTTTTTTTTTTTTTCAGTAGAGACAGGGTTTCACCCTGTTGGCCAGGGTGGTCTCGAACTCCTGGCCTCAAGTGATCCGCCTGACTCGGCCTCCAGAAAGTGCTGGGATTACAGGCCTGAGCCACTGCACCCAACCTTGAACTGTACATTAAAAAAACCAACAACAACAACAACAAACCCTACAGATTCCAGAGCCAACAGATCAGGGCATCTGCCCTGTCTCCTCCTCACACCTCCCTGCTGCCTGGAGCCCATCTTGCAGTTCTCATTATTTCTCATGTGTAACAGTTCAATGTCTTCATGGTTCTCCTGTCTCTACCATGCGTTTTCTCGTCCATTTTTCACTGTTGCCATGAATGTCTTGAAACAGAACCAATAATGATCTTCTTAGTCAAATCCTCAAGGGCTCCCTACAACCTTCAGAATACAACTCCTGATCTGGCCTCTGGCCTTCGCTCCCGCCACCTCATCCCCGAGCCATGCAAAACAGCACGTTCTGGGCATTTGGATTAGCTGTTTTCTCTCTCGCACGGGCAAATCCCTACGGGTCCTTCAGCCTCATACCCACCTGCCTCTACAAAGAGGCCTAATGGAAGGCTCCCCTCTTCTAGCACCCTGTACCCATTCCCCTGCACTGCCCATCTGCTTCCCCAGCCGACCCCAAGCCCCTGGAGGCAGAGTCTGTGGCCCGTTCACAGTTACAGGCCTAACACCTGGCATACAGTAGGAACTTGACAAAGGCATGTTGACTGAAACTGAATTACGGACAGAAAAGTCCACTTCCTCCTCCTGAGGGTGGGCTGGAAAACAGGCAGCAGAAAGAAGATCTCTCTTCTTCTCCCATCCCGTTTCCTTATCTGCAACATGTGGCAGTTTGCTGGATGACTGATCTGGTCCCATCTAGCTCTGAAGTCACCACAAGGTCCACCCTAGCTGGGCTTCAGCCTCTGGGATGAACATAAAAAAGGCCTTGCAGGGCAATCAGAGACTGGCCAGGCTTGGGGCAAGCCTCGCTATCAGCCCATATGGCTCCTTCACATGAACGTTTGTTTCCCAAACCTTTAGAAGTTTTTGAAGTATTTTTAAAAGGCCAGCTAACTCAAGTCTTCCTAGCAAGGAGCAGGGCACAAGCAAGCACTCAGCTGGACAAGTTTCAAGGCTGTGAGCTTCTGAAATCAACTACGAAGAACGCACTGAAATGCTTGTTAAGCTAAGGCTGCGTCCCCTGGCTGATTCCACTCACGAAGCCACACAACACAACCATGTCCTCCTCTTCCCACCAACACAGGGCCTTTTCCTTCTGCAAGAGCACACAGGGTACACAGCCAGAAGACTGACCTAGCAGTGGGCTCTGTCCTCCAGCCAGACCCACACAGCTGACGTTCATTTCCTACCAGGAAGGGGAGGTACCTTATCCACAAATGCATTCTGTGCTCCTTCCCTGAAGCTGTCTCTGAAACTTAAACCTCCAAGAGGAATTCACTTGACAACACGCTTCAACCCAACCTTTCCTTCAGATATCATCTCAGATGCTGTGAACTGCTCCTTTGCCAATTGTTCACAATACCTAATTCCAACACAGGGCAGCTGATCTGAAGAATGAATCCACTTACGTTCACTCAGGTCCACCTCCATTTTATCCTCCGTGTTGGCACTGCTGGGTTCAAACAAGTCTTGCTTTGCTCCATCTTCTTCTTCAGAGTCTGTACTTTCCTCACTGTCTGTACTCCCCGAGCTAAGGAAAAACAAGACCCAAGTATTTAACACTGCTTATCAGCCACCAGCTAAATCCAGAAAATTCTAACAGTCATCCAGCAACAAAAGGTCCTGTGGTGCTTCAGCAGGATCACATCTGTCTGAGCACCACGTGGTCAGGATGCCCGGGAAGACTCAGCTTTGCGTGCGTGCTGCCCAACCTCACACTAAGCCTCCACCACAGGAACACATGGGCTCTGCTTAAAGTGGAGGCCACAATCTAAGAACCACCTTCTCGAAGGGGTGGAGGTGTTCATTTCACTGTGGTGTTCATTTGTACTTTCCTAATGACCAAGGAGGTTGAGCATCTTTTTAAATGCTTATTTGCCATCTTATATCTTAACTGTCTTTTCACACTTTTGTGCTTTTTAAAAACTGAATTGTCTTTTTCTTGAGTAAAGAGATTTCTTAACTCTATACACAAGTCTTTTATCTAATGTGTCATTTGCAAATGTTTTCTCCCAGTGCATGGTTTGTCGTTTCATTCTATTAAAAGTGTCATTTGAAGAGTGAAAATTTTAAATTTTGATGATGTTCGGCTTACTAAAATCATTCTTTTATGGATGGGCATGGTGGCTCACGCCTGTAATCCCAGCACTTTGGGAGGCTGAGGCGGGCAGACCACCTGAGGTCAGGAGTTTGAGACCAGCCTGGCCAACATGGCAAAACCCCATCTCTACTAAAAATACAAAAATTAGCTGGGTGTGGTGGCGGGCACCTGTAATTCCAGCTACTCCAGAGGCTGAGGCAGGAGAATCACCTGAACCTGGGAGGCAGAGGCTGCAGTGAGCTGAGATCACGCCACTGCACTCCAGCCTGGACAAGAAGAACAAAACTCCGTCTCCAAAAAAAAAAAAAAAAAAAAAAAAAAAAAAATTATTTTTATGTATTGTGTTTTTGGTGATACATCTAAGAAATCTTTGTCTAACTCAAGGTCACAATGATTTTCTAAGTTTTCTTGTAGAAGTTTTATAGTTTAATGTTTCACATTTGGGTCTAAGATCCATTTTGAGTTAATGTATTATATAGTAAGAGGTACGAATCAGTTCACTTTTTTGAATATGGATGCCTGATGGTTCCAGCACCATTTGTTGAAAAGACTATCCTTTCTTCACTGAATTGCCTTTCGCCTCTATCAAAAGTCAGTTGTCCATATATGCGTAGGCCTGTATTTATGGGCTCTCTATTCTGTTCCACTGATCTATGCCCTACCTTCTTGCCCATATCATACTGTTTTAACTATTGAATTTTAAAATAAGGTAGTGTTTGTCCTCCAATTTTGTTGTTCTCTATAAGAGTTGCTTTGGCTATTCTAGATCCTTTTCATTTCCATATGAATTTAAGAAGCAGCTTGTTAATAGCTACAAAAAAGGCTGGAAGGATTTTGTTTGTGTTGAATCTATAGATTCAACCTGGGGAGGAGAGCTGGCAGCTTAGTATTATAATACTGAGTCTTCCTACTTATAAACATTTACCAAGTTGTCTTTATCTCAGCTATGCTTTAGGCTTTTCAGCATACAGGTCTTGGACATGTTTTGTGAGATTTGTCCCTACATATTTAAATTTTTTCTTTTTTTAAAAAAATAGAGATGGGGTCTCCCTATGTTCCTCGAGCTGGTCTCGAACTCCTGGGCTCAAGAGAGCCTCCTGCCTTGGCCTCCCAAAGTGCTGGGATTGTAGGCATGAGCCACCATGCCCAGTCATATTTAACTCACTCTCTCTCTCTCTCACTCTCTCTCTCACTCTCTCTCTCTTTTTCTCTCTCTCTCTCTCTCTCCTCTCTCCTCTCTCTCTCTCTCTCTCTCTCTCTCCCCCTTTTTTAAGAGACGGGGGTCTATATCGCTTAGGCTAGAATGCAGTTATTAGGTTGTGTAAACATTTAAAGTTGCTATGTCCTCTTAATGAATTGACCCCTTTATCATTATATCACTTTCTTTATCCCTTTCCTTTGAAATCTTTTGAGATTAATACAGACCTTCTGGCTTTTTCTTAGTGTTAACATATCTTGTTCTTTTTTGTGTTTTCATATATACTTGTTTCTTTGTATTTAAATCATTTCCCATAGGCAGCATTAATTAGGCCTCATTTTTTATCCAAACTGACCATCTTTGTTTTTTGTTTTTTTATCTTGGCTCCCTGTAGCCTCGACTTCCCAGCAATCCTCCTGCTTCGCCTCACAGCAGGCACACGCCACCATGCCCAGCTAATTTTTGTATTTTTTGTAGAGACAGGGTTTTGCCATGTTGCCTAGGCTGGTCTCAAACTCCTGGGCTCAAGCAACCCATCTGCCTTGGCCAACCAAAGTGCTGGGATTCTAGGTGTGAACCACTGTGCCCAGCCAATCTCTGTCTTTTAAATGAGGGTGTCTGCATCGTTTGTTTCACATGGTTATTTAGGACTAACTCTATCATTCTGCTGCTCAGTAGTTTTGTTTGTCCAGGCTGCCCTTTGTTCTTTTTCTGCTTTCTTTTGTATTTTATGATTTGATTTTATTTCCTTTGTTGGCTTATTAACAATAACTTTTCGTTTTGTTATTTTAGTGACTATTTTAGGGTTTACAGTATGCACCTTTAACATCACAATCTATCTTCAAGTGACATTATAGGCCTCAAACCAGAAACAACCAAAACATCCATGAATAGGAAAATGAATAAACAAACTGTAGTGTATCCTCTTAATGGAATACTACCCAGCCCCTGCCCAACCCCACAAAAATAGAAATGGACTACTAATACATTAGACAACATGGACAGCTCTCACATTAATTATGCTGAGTGAAAGAAGCTAGACAAAAAAAGTATAATGTATTGATTTCATTTATATAAAACTCTAGAAAATGCAAACTAATAGAACAAAAAAACAGACGGTTGTGGGGGACGGGACAGGAAAGAGGAAGGTATTACAAAAGATCATGAGAAGACTTTTTGGGGTGATGGTTAAATTCATGATGTTGATTGGGATAATGGTTTCACGGATGTATATACATGTTGAAATTTCCACACTGTACAACTGAAATAAATGCAGTTTACGTCAAGTATGCCTCAATAGAGTTGTTAAATAATAAAAGCTGCCTTCTGTCATCAGTGTTCCCTCTGGGTATCAGGTGCCATCTCCCCCAGGACACAGTCTTCCCTGACACACTAAATTCTCTGTGCCTTCCACACGTGGTGCTCTGTGAAGATATACTGTATTACTGTCCTCATACATATTAGTCATGCTGTGGGCAAGCATCATTTAGTGAATCCATTCAACATAAGAAACAAAATCTCAGTAAATGATGGCAAACAAGTCTGAGTGTGACTTTATCCAAACAAACAAACAAAAATGCCATGAAGGTATTTTTCTTTTGCTGTCTGGCTCTGGAGCTATAGCAGCTATCTTGTGATCATAGGAGATAACTCAACATGCAGAAGACGAGAGCAGGAATAAATAAAAGATGCCCGGTCTAACAGCCTTATTCAACTCCCTTATCAACTCTGGACTGTAGAGACAAACACAGCTTTACTTGCTCAAGCCACCGCTGAGTCTGCTATAACCTGTGGCAACAAGCATTCCCACAAGAGGCAACATAACTGGCAGCGAGAGGTGATGCTGAGGGACTCCCCGGCAAGAGGACTGGACGGCTGGAAGAAGGGATGAGACAGTTTTACTTTTCATTGCATACTCTTTGATTCCCTTTGAATTCTAGGCCACGTGAAAACATTACTTATTATAAGTAAATGAATAAAATGAGTAACAATAAATGAAATAAAAATGAAAGTTCAGCTGTTGTTCAAATATTCCTCTCTTAAGCTGCTGATCAAATATTCCTCTCTCTTAAATATGAAGATTCTGACAATGAATGCTCATATAACAAGATTTGTCTGTGTACAGAAGCATCATTTATTTAGGTTCCTGTGATACGGATGATTTAAAAAAAAAAAGGACTGGATTGACCCAGATATATTAATTGACATGGCCCTATCTTCCCCAAATAGATTAACTTTTAAATACAATTTCCCCTTCCTTTGGGAAGTTTTCCATCTTTTACAAGAAACAACACATAACTGCTGTTGTAATTACTGATGACGGAACATTTATTTAGTAAAAGGCACTATGTGACTACGCTTGTCTGCAACATTTCCCCTTTGGAAGACGCTGGGCCCCAACACCTCACGAACTGTGTCTAAACACCTGCAGCATTTCCCAGCAGATCACTGTCACACTGGAAGCACCAACTCCCGCCAACAAGGGCATTTCTGGCCATGACAAAAAAAAACACTGGTTTCTGGGTTAACATGTATGTTTGGTGATGACACAATGTATGTCTCATGATAATCATTTTCTTTACAGGTTGGCTATAATTACAACTATAACCAACTATCTTTCACCTGGATCGTCTTTGGGATTCTGGTGTGAATGCGATGTGCTTTTCCTCCCATATATCTTCCTCATCAGAGCCACCATCATCAAACTGTTGTATTCTTTCCTTACAACATGCTTCAAACAAGGCAATATTTCCCTAAATAAAAATGAGAGGAAAAAAACAACAAAATAAATTTAAAGTCAAGTTATCTTCTCTTAAGCATTACCAATGTAAATTGCATTTTTTCACTGCTTTACAATATGGTGCCTATCACATACACCAAAATAAAATATAAACACCTAACATTAGTTTCTGTGTCCGTAACAAGAATTCCCCTAAAAAAAGACTGGGTTTCCCTAAAAAGACTAGCAAAAAGAAGCATAGACCATATCCTCTTTCATCTCATCAAAGCATCATTGTAATCCCAGGAGCCTCCCCTGTCCTGGAGATGCGGTCCCAGGTCTGTCCTAGCAAGGAAAAGCAACCGTACTTATTTGCTTTTACTAGTCCAGCTGAGCAGTGATAACCTTCAATGGCTCAAATCAGCAGTTCCTACCTTACTCCATCAGCAAATAAGCCAGTGGTCTCTCATGCTAGTCAACATAAAATCAATAAACTGTCTCCATTCAGGTGACACGACTGTCTCGGTGTTTCCACAGAAATGCCTAGTAACGAGGGGCTTGCCCTGACCCAGTCCACATTTCTCTCCTGGCAATACAAAGGAGTCAAAGGCAGTGGGTTGGTGTCAAACTGCAGCCTTCTCTTTGAAGTCAAGTGTCTACGCTGCAATCACAAGTGACCCTGGTCTTATTAGCTCCACCAAGTCATAAACCAGGGCTGCAAAAATCACATGCCCACGGGTGCCAGGTAGGCCGTGGGACAGAGTGAAGTATGTAACACCAATTTAGGATTAGGGCTCTAGAGCACAGGGGTCCCAGCATGTGGCATCCACACAGGGACTCACCCAATTTTTAACCTCTCATGTGCCACACTGCTCACAACAGAGTTTATACTTACACTTTCATTTGTATTGAGAGTAAAGTTGATGTCTGATACTCGATCAAAAGAAACACTGTAAAAAAACAAAATAAAAGTGTAGGAAGCATTAATTACTATCAGCTCACAGAAACCGTATTTATGAAAGTTTCCAAATTTAAGATATTTACACTATCATCAAAATCTCTATAAATAAAAAACAAACAGAAACAACCTTCTTATATTAAATGATGCCAGCTCCCTTGGTATTAATGAATTTATGTAGGATAGGAGGGCTGCAATAGAAGCCTTCTGAGACATAAAGCCTTTGGGACACCCTTGAATCCTTCCTATAAAAGATTTTTAACATCTATGGTAACAACCATAGTTCCATGGGCCATACTAATATAACCAAGAAAAAGGTTATTTGCAAAGAACCAAGTCAAAACATGAAGTATACAAAAGCTGTCAGACACTTGAGTTTTCTCCAGGGATAGTCAAACTCATACACAAAATACATAGACACCCATGAAATCTTATGCTGTTAACAAGATATCATCTAGAAAAGCAAGGAGGGAGTAAAAGAATTCATTGCTTATTAAACATAAGTTTGAAGAGGAGGGGCTATCTTATGATTCTTAAAATATTTGTTCCACTCAATCACTAGTCCAAGCATGCAATACAGACTGTAAAGAGATTACAGATCCTAACTAGGAAGATGAAGCAAGAGTCCAGGCACGTGAATGTCGAGACACCAAACAGGGACCTGCAGGGTCTGGTGTGAGGTGGTGGATCCTAGCCTGAGTAGAATGCTCCTGGGGTATGGACAGAATATCTTGTGTTCTTGCTCTTTTTGAGTTAAAATGAGCCAATTCTCAAGGCACGTAACAGCCTTCAACTCTTGCTGTTTACAGCGGCACCTCCATTCCACTGTGCCCATACGGCATGTTTATAGCACAATTAAGAGCGTGCTGTAAAAATATTTTAGCTTCTCACATACTGCAAACTGCAACCTGTGACAAACAACAGGCTCCACTGGCTGTGGTTCAACAAATTATTGAGAATTTACTGCTTCCAAAGACCACAGCAGATACTGGGTGTCTGTGGCATAACCGTGTCTCCTGTGAGAATCATCATCCAATATTCAAATACCAGCTGCCTTCATTTTTTTTCTTAAACTCTGTGTCAATGAGCTATAATATCTACCTCAAAATATTTTGTTTATAAATCTCTTCTATCCCAATGTCAGATGCTAGACCACCTGTTTTCATTTCTATTAACTACCTACACATTTTCTACTCGTTAATTCTGTACAGTATCAATAATTCTCATTTCTCTGCTTCTTACCCTGACTGCAAAATGAGTGGTTAGTGTGTCTGGCTCTTGCAAAAAACCCAAATCTACCTTCTGATGAGTCACCTAGAGATGAGAATACATGTAGGGCAGAGCTTTTCCTGCCAACCTGGTCATCTGCTGGAACGTGATGCCCCAGTCAACAACACAGGGATTAATAATTTTATTATTATTATTATTGTTATTGTTATTATTGAGACAGGGTCTCCCTGTGTTGCCCAGGGTGGAGTGCAGTGGTGCAATCCTGGCTCACTGCAACCTCTGCCTCCCAAGTTCAAGTGATTCTCCCACCTCAGCCTCCTCAGAAGTTCGGACTACAGGCACACACCACCCAGCCTGGCTATTGTTTTTGTATTTTTAGTAGAGACAGGGTTTTGCCACGTTGGCCGGGCTGGTCTCGAACCCCTAACCTCAAGTGATCCGCCCGGCTCGGCCTCCCAAAGTGCTGGGATTATAGGTGTGAGCCACTATGCCAGGCCAGGATTAAGGACTTTATAGATAATACTATTTAACGTTAAGAGCTAGAATTAAGAACAGTGACTTGAATTCCTAAAAGTGTAATCTAATAACAATAGGCTTCTGTGAAAGAGGTCAAACCCTATAGGTGAATGCTTCTTTCCTTGCAGTGATTTTTTTTTTTTTTTTAAAGACCGAGTCTTGGCCAGGCGCAGTGACTCACGCCTGTAATCCCAGCACTATGGGAAGCCGAGGCAGGCGGATCACGAGGTCAGGAGATTGAGACCATGGTGAAATCCCGTCTCTACTAAAAATACAACAAATTAGCCAGGTGCGGTGGCGGGTACCTGTAGTCCCAGCTACTAAGGAGGCTGAGGCAGGAGAATGGCGTGAACCCAGGAGGTGGAGCTTGCAGTGAGCCAAGATAGCGCCACTGCACTCCAGCCGGGGCAACAGAATGAGACTCTGTCTCCAAAAAAAAGGGACCACGTCATGCTCTGTCACTGAGGCAGGAGTACAATAGCACATCTCAGCTCACTACAACCTCCGCCTCCTGAGTAGCTGGGATTACAGGTGCCTGCCACCACAACTGGCTAATTTTTTATATTTTTGGTAGAGACGGGGTTTCACCATGTTGGCCAGGCTGGTCTCGAACTCCTGACCTCAAGTGATCCGCCTGCCTCAGCCCCCCAAAGTGCTGGGATTACAGGCATGAGCCACCGCACCCGGCCACTGCAGTGTTATTTTAAGTCCTAATTATCCAGTCCCAGGGCCAATCTGCTGGAACTAGAGGAACACCGTGGAAAGAGCAGGTTCCTCCCACTCACGAATGCTCAAGACTAAGAATCCCGCAGAATCACACATACATCTACCAAGAGCAAGGGTGTGCAAGAGCAACAGCGGAAACAGAAAAACATACTCACTTGCCAATGTCATCTTGATCTGCAAACTTCTCATCGTTGAAGCCAAACTGGTCAATAAAATTGGACGTCATTTGTTGCATCTGATAATCAGAAAAGGCCTGGCAACCCCAGGACCAGTGACAGTGATATAATGATTCTAATGATATTCTACATACTATTTGCCCATTTGTGTTCCAGAAATCATCTTATTTACATAGCCATAGGGCTATAAAAGTTGGTGTGTTTTTCTAAAAGAAAAATCAAATAATTTCAGACACAATTTGCCAAAAAAGGAAACGTTTGAAATTTGGTCTACAAATCATTCTAATGCACATGTCACTGTAAGAAACACTATGTGACCACTCTGTCCTCTATTGTGAATTATCTTTAGAGAGAGGTTTGGATTAAGCCTAGTTTAAAGTGATCACATGACATGGAACAGTCTGAAATTATAAGGTGTATCAGTCACCTCTGGACACAACCAACTTTATCCTAAGATCCAACAAGTGGTGACCACCCCCTCCCTCCTTGCCACCTCCTCCACCCCCAATCTACTACAGCAAAATCACACCAGAGGAAAACCGACTGATGAACACAAGCATAATCCTAGAAACAAAATGTTCAGGGACATTTCATTTCTTTTTTTAAAAAAATTAAGTCTTAGAGGCTGGGAAGAATATAAAACGAAAATAATTTCTACCCTACCTACCTTATGAAGAGAGTAAACGTTTGACTATTTATCCAAAATCACTCTGAAAAGTCTCTAACACTAGAAGACCCACAGAGGAGCCAGTTCTGTTTCCTTAACACCAAATCTAGAGAGTACCAGACTTGTTCGGGTTTTTAGTTGAAAATGTGGGGGGGGGGGGTGTTATAATGGACCCCAGGAAAATGTTGATATTCTAATTTAAAACAAGCAGGCCCAAAGAAGCAAGTGAAATCAGCAAGTATGTTCTTACGTATTAATCAGGAGTAAAGAACATATGAAGACAAACTAGTGCCACCTCCTCATTCTAACCCAAACAATAAATACAGTGACCAGAGCTGCATACAGATGAGACTGCCGTTTTCTGTGGGTGAGCCCATGAGGGGCAGGGAGGCGGCTGTTGGCTCAACTGAAGGCATCACTCCCACTGGCATTTGCTGGGAAGGAGGCAGCTGTAACTGTATTAAACCACCTTCTCCTTGGTTCCACATATGGGCAGAGCCTCCAGATTCCACCTTGCAGATGTACACTGCAGAAATGCCTCTACCATTAATTCCTGATTACTCATTCTGGTGGCAGGGAATTATGGCATGGATAATTATTGCAGATAATTTAAAAATAAACCTTATATTAGGCTTTGGAAGGTATCTATACTGCTTAGGTCTGAAGAAAAGCTCTATATGTCTAGTTTGACTAGACAGAGAGAACCCAAAACCTCCCTTGTCGCTCATGCAAGACAACAGCACACCCACTGCCCCTCTGCTCACTCCCACTTTTGTGCTGCCCCCTTTCTTGCCCCCAGAGGTGATATTAGATGAGCACATGGGGGCAGGGAGCAGGGGGCAGCAAGCGACTGGCTGTGGAATGGCCACTTGGTAAGGCATGGAGTGTAAACCAAGGCTGAGCACGGGGGTCTGGCTGAAAGCAGAAGGGTAGGGACAAGTCCTGGGCTGCTGAGCTGAGTTCTGGACCTATGAATGGACAATGACAGCCAGCATTAATATTAATTACATCAAAAAGAAATCAGTTCTTCTGAACTGCAGCTTTATCTTTTATGAGGCAAAACAGATGCTCAGTACCTCAAAGATCTGGTAAAGAACCATGAAGTGATTCTGTTGAGTAAGCAGCATGAACCACGCTCTGAGTTTATCTACAGATCAGAAATGTGGTCACGTGAGGGAAAAGTTCCCTCCCAATTGTTTTATTTTTCCCCTCCAAAAAAAAATTTTTTTTAAGAGACAGGGTCTTGCCATGTTGTCCAGGCTAGACTCAAACTCCTAGACTCCTACCTCCTAGTAATCCTCCTACCTCAGCCTCCAGAGCAGCCAGACTACAGGTGCATGCCATCGCAGCCAGCTCTCTCAAAACTGTTATACCTCTAGTGATCCTAATGTGATTCTCCTGGGTGTAAAGGGGAAGAAATATTCCCCAAAATGTTGTTATATTTTAAATGCTTCAAAAATAGAATGCAAATACTAAATATGAATGTATACATACATACATGTACATACAGAATACATATACAGATATATATTTATCTATTCATCCATCTGGAGAGATACATAGCAACTGACACAGACACTAGTAACTTCCATGCAATAATGCACAGAAAAAAGGAAAATGATCAGATGTAATCCTCATTAGTTCTAAGTCAATTACAGCTTCTAGCAAAGAACTTCACATTTCAAATCTCATTTTTACTAATAAAGCTACCAAAACTTACAAATATATGTAAGTGAAGACTGTTATTGTATCCTATTTAAAGGTATATAAAAAGTGCTTTGAACTCTGAGAAACCTATATCTGGAAAGCACAATATAGCTGTATAATTATTTTTAAAAAGCACACTTTCCTAGTACTGTCATCCTGGCCAAAGTCAGAAACTGTTCAAGTCACTGAGAAGTGAGCCAACCACTTTAAGCAAATCTCTTAACAGTAATGCCACCCAGGCAACAGAAACTACTGGTCAACTAAATGTGGCCTAATTGCCTACCAGCAAGCCCGTATGTGATGTGAGGTAGTGGGAAATGATGAGTCAGTGTTTCAGAGCCCATATGCGGCAGTCAGTCTGAATTCTCCAGACCTCCATGGGGGCCTCACCCTCCAAACTCTATAAGGCAGAATCAGGGAGGTGGGGAGTCAAACACCAGACTTTAGGAGACCAGACAAGGCTAAAGGGAGAAGCAAATGGGCAGGGCACAAACGCCTGGAGGCACTCCCCACTGGTGACGTGGCTGGGTTACCTGGTTAAATTATCTGCCCTGAGCTCTCTACATTCGGGGACTTTATCAACATGATGCCCAACCTCAAACGTGAATGAGAACTTGAAGTTCAAGTCTACAAACTAATATTCTGATCTTAATGGAGGCTATGATGAAACTCTAATAAATTAACCAAGACCTTTTTTGCATTCTCAAAATTTTAAGAAGTGCTTTGGAGTGTATTTATTTTCAAAATGATCCATGATTGGTTTAAACATGCAAAGAAAAATGTACTGGAAGCTTGTCAATCAGAAAAGAGTAATTATTCTTCCACTTTGAAAAGTTCATATGAAGTGGGTAAATTCTGCAAGCTAAGAGCTTGGCAAGGGCTGTTGTAAGTTAGTTTTGTGAATGAAATGGCTTCGTACGCACGTGAGCTGTCGGTCAAACAAACAAAATAATGTAAGAAAACTCTCCCCAGAACAGGTATGACCCTGGAACCAGATATCATGAGAAATAAAGGAATCCACTTTCCAAATGCCTAAATTTAACCAAATCTAGACTAAATTGACAGCCGAAGTTCCAAGTTTATCATTATTACTAGTAAGGTGTTCTTTTTCTTAAAGCTGTATTTCAACAGGTACAAAATTACCTTGATAATTTACATTTGATATCATCAAGCTTCATTCTAGGGGTGGACCAATGTACAGCACTCAGGTTCATGGCCAACTGGGTGGACTATTTCAGTACTCTACAGGTGCCTCAGTGGAGGGAGAGCCCATTGTCCAGGTGCTTCCTGGGACAATACCAGAGCGCTCTGGGAAAAGGGCTGCTTGCAGGCACGAGGGCTCACAATGAGCCATGGTGGGCCACCGCCACGGCCCGTGCAGCCTAATAGCAAGCCAAGGCAGGAAGCTGTGAGAGCTGCTCAACAGTGCCCCCTAGGGACTGGCTACTTCCTGACCCTAACCTCCGGAAATCTGCTGTCAAAGGCAGAAGTGTCAAGAATCAACAGAGAAGTCAGCCAAATGCTGAAATGCTACTTCAGACCTATTTGGGAAAGGTAAACTCTAAACTGTCTGAGTATTAAAATCAAACAATTGCTTAGCTCAACCAATACTGGAATATGACAGGTGTAAGACTTACAAGCCAAAAGACAGGGCCAGCATAAGCATGTGAAGCTTCATCTAAGACGAAGCTTAGAGACTAAAAAAAAGAAGCCAAGCAACAACATTCTGTGCTGGGTGGGAAGGTGTCCCCGTTAATTCTATTGCTGCACCAAAGCAACATGTAAGCCAAGGCATTCTGGTCCTGGCTAAGGACAACTTCTCCATATGAAAAGCTGATAGCCTGCAAAAGGGCTTCTGTTTTTCACTCCCATACCTAGTAGAGAAGTGAAATCATTTGTCACTTCTCCAAGAACTAACAATGGATGATAAATCAGTACATTTATTATTCATATCGAGGCTTTCCCCCACAAAGATTATAAGCAGGTGGTAAAGGGAGATGATAAATTCAGGGGCAGGCAGAGAGGGGTTGCAATGAATTACTTCAACTAAAAATTTACTTTAGATGTAACTATAATAGAACTTACATCAGGGGTATTCGTGAGAGTTTACTTTTACTTACATTTTAAACGTCTTATTTCTATTATTTTTACCAGCAGATCTCTACTACACAAATCTTTAAGCAACAACTCAACTATTGTAAAGGTCTGTGTAACAAGCATGTGTGAGATGCCTTCTTAACTATTCAGTTCATTCAAATCTTCTGAAAATGTACTTGACTCATCACTGTTATCAGGGATGGAACAATCCCTTGAAACATAACCAATACAAATCTATCTTTCATTTACCCAGCACTTCCTATTTTAAATGCTTTGGTCTAACTAATAAGTAACCCCAAATCACATTCTAATACATAATCTGACTCTGAAGCTGATTCATAAAAGGCAACTAAACTAAGCATTTAAAATAAAAACAAAAAGCAAAGCTTTAGGCGTGACTCACTTGCTGCAAAGAAGAATCCTGTGAGAAACCCGTTTCTTTAAAGTCAATTTCATCATCACTGGATGAATGAATATGGCAGGTTGTAACCTATATGCATAAAAATGTAAAAGACTATTTAACATAGAAAAGTTTTGGACATTTGTATCAGCATTTTTATGGAAAAATCACATTTAGTTTTTTTCTCAACGTGTAACAGAAAAAAATGAAAGTCAGTCACAGTTAAGCTGCCAAACCCGCCCAATGTGTCAAGGGCACCCTTCCTTCCCTCGGGCCAGGCTGCTGCCCTGCCACTCCCTTCTAGTTATTCCACTCCTCACTACTGACATCGCCAGAAAACAGACAAGAAGAAAGGTGAGTTACTCCATTTAAGTGATTTTGATAATCACCTCCAATTAAATGTTTACAAAAAGAAAGACAGAGGTAATGGCACAGATGAAACACAGAAACCCTTTCTATGTACGGGGCCTGCAGGGTCCAACTGCAATCCCCAGGGATTACCAGTGCGCCAGTGCGCCACTCAAAAGGTCAGGTTTAAATATAACCATTTCAAATTCTTGGACTTCCTGCCCACACTAAGAAAACCACTGTCTAGTAGTACTAAATGTGACTTGAGTCGACAGCTTCCCACTCACAAAAGACCCCAAATCATCTACCCTTGAAAATGTGCACCCTGCCCCCAGAACTTACAACCAACTTTCAGTAATTAAGCAAAAACACAAACATGAACTGCTCACCAATTCATCGTTAAGTGATTTTTATTAATTACAAATGTCACACAATATTTGGGGGAAGCATTAACAATTAGAAATCAGATAAACAAATAATTAAGTACAGCACTAATAGTAGTGATTGCTATATGGCAAGGGATAAACATGGACAGTTTGTAAACTTCTAGAAAGAAGTACTATATTTCTGCGGGTAACTTACACTGTATTCTCTGAGCTGTTTATTCTGTACTTTTCACAGAAGTGTTTTGGGCAGGGAATGTCATCTTAGGGAAGACACGGGCTGCTGCTACCTGCCAACTCATGAGGCTGTACCTAACTGGCCTGGTCTGTTTTGCGAAGTTGTTCCAACACTGGTTCAATAAACCCACAGTAGAATTCAAATAGGTCTGTATAGGGTATGTCTTGTAAAATTCTGAGCAAATCACTGCCTGAACAAGATGAATCTCCCTTCCTTTCCCCAACCATCTTTGGTAAAGACACCAAGCCTGGATGAAATTAAGCTGTGATAACCCAGTGTTTCCAGTTATTTCACTCTCCATCCTCTCAAAGGTATAGATAAAGCACTCCCATTCTGTTTGTGAATCTGGCCTGATGAAATCAAAGGTAGATTCCGTGATCAAGGAACGGCACCTGCTTGAGTCAAGAGTGGCTTTAGTGAGTTACTGGGTAAAGATGTGGGCATGGGGATGTTCCAGGAAAGCCTTGCCAGAGTGTAGAGGAGGAGTGGGAATACTGCTTGGTCATGGCAGCTGGCATCTCACAGGACTATGTTAAAGAGCAAGTCAAGTGGTTGTACTGCAGTGCACTCAAGAGGAGCTTCGGGCCACTTGGCTGGCAAGCCAGCACACATATCATGCTGGGCCAGTGTGTTTTAGGGGTGTAACCCCATGGTGGGGCACAGAAATAGAAGGCCATGCAAAGAACTGAGCAAAATAGGACAAAACAGAGTTGGCGACTCTTAGCCAAGTCTTGCTGTCTAAGTTAAAATAGGATTCGATGTATCCTCATTCACACTTTCGCTTTTTCCTACAAAATAAGATTTTAACACTCTTTAATTAAAGATGAGAAAGAAACTAACTTTTATTGAACTACTATGTGCCAGACATTGTGACCTCCCCTTCGCATGTTCTACTTAAACTGGATCCTCAAAGCAATACTAGAAGATATTTAAAAAAGCTTTCTCCAAAATGAAACTAGTTTTAGCAACTTATTAGTAACACAATGCACACACATCTTCATAATTACATTAATGGAAGATGTGAGTCTGATTCTACCTACACCATCTGAGTCTGAAATCATTAACAAAATGAGCTAAAAAGATGATCTACCTAGGCTGGGCGCAGTGGCTCACGCCTGCAATCCCAGCACTTTGGGAGGCCGAGGCGGGCGGATCACGAGGTCAGGAGATCGAGACCATCCTGGCTAACATGGTGAAACCCCGTCTCTACTAAAAATACAAAAAATTAGCCGGGCACGGTGGCGGGTGCCTGTAGTCCCAGCTACTCAGGAGGCTGAGGCAGGAGAATGGTGTGAACCCAGGAGGCGGAGCTTGCAGTGAGCCGAGATCGTGCCACTGCACTCCAGCCTGGGTGACAGAGCAAGACTCTGTCTCAAAAAAAAAAAAAAAAAAAAAAAAAAAAAAAAAAAAAAAAAAAGATTATTTACCCATGGGGGAAACTTGCTAATCAGAATCCCATTGGTTCATTATTCAGATGTATACAAAACTGAATTCCTGATCTACACTTCCAAACACACTCCTTTTGAGGCATCTTCAGCTCAGTCACTGCCACCTTCACTCTTCTTCAACTAGAAACCTCGGTCATCTTGTTTCCTCCAGCCCACCCACCATGTCCACTCTACCTTCAAAATGGAGCCAAAATCCCTCTCCAGACCCATCGCCCTTCACCAAGTCTGTTATCAGCTCCCCAGTGCAAGCCAGCACTCCCCTCACCTGGACTAATGTCACAGCTGGCAGTTCCCCAGTCTCCCTCCTCCTAGCTCTTGCCCCACCTAGCAGTCTGTTCTCAACCCAATAGCCACAGCCATCTTTTAAAAATATACATCAAGGTATGGCACTTTTTAGTTCAAAACCTAACAAATTCTCATTAGATCAAAATTACCATAGACTAAAAAGCTGTAGAAAATCTGGCTGTTTGGCGCCTTTCTGGCCTCAAGTCCTTCTGTTCTCTCCTTTGCTTACTGTTACATCCACACGGGACAACATGCAAGTCCCTGCACACACTAGGAACAACCCAAATTCGAGTCCTCTGCATTTTGCTCTTCCCTCTCCACTCCACAAATGCACCTTCCCAGTGAGATTTTCCTTGACACCAGATTTTAAACTGTACACCTGCCCCAAAGACTCCCTAACTCCCTCCCATGCGTTGGCTCCTTAGCACTTACCATCTGAAACACGCGCAGTCATGCATTGTTTCATGACAAGGATACATTGTGACAAAGGCAATTCTGTCATCATGCGAACATCATAGAGTTCACATGGTAGAGCCTACTGCAGACCTGGGCTATCTGCTACAACCAATTGCTCCTAGGCTACACACCTGCACAGCACAGTACTGCACTGAATACTGAGGCAACTGGAGCATGGTGATAAGTATTTGTGTATCTACAAATAAAAAACGTGCAGTAAAATCGAGTATTCTAATCTTATGGGACTACTGTCATATATGCGGTCTATTGCTGACCGAAACATTATGCAGTGCATGACTGTATATTACACATATTGTGTGTGCACACGTGTCTCTTACTCATTTGTTTATCCATCTCCACTGAAGCAGAAATTTTTGCCAATCTTGTCTAGTACTGTATCTTCAGTGTCTGGCACATTGTAGGCACTCAAATATTTACTGAATTAATGAATACTAATAATCACTGAATATAAACAAATACAGCAAAAAGCAACAAGTATATAACACTCTTGCCAAGCTAGATATACCGTAAGTAAAGTGCACTCTTGTTGTAGTGCACACAGTTTCGGAGATATTATCTTCTTTCGAAATAAAATTTTCGTTTTGTTAACTGTTGTTACAGGAAAAAGCAAATTGGTGTTTACTTTGGATGATTAGGTTCCCAAGGGAAATCAGAAGTGTGAAATGACTGTTAAACTCTGAGGCCCGTATTAGTGACAAGTGAAAGCTAGAGACTTATTCCTTGATCCTCAAAGTATGGTCCCACTGAGGACCCCCAGCATCAACATAACCTAGGATTAGTTAGAAACACCCACTTTCAGGTTTCACCCCAACCTGCGGAAACTCCTGGTGATTAATACAGGCACACATTCAGATCATTCTACATCTCTTCTTCTACACACTGTCTTGTCAATGATGGGAAAGAAGCATCAACAATTTTAAATACATTTTCCCCCTTGGGGAAGAGGGCAAAAAATGAAACAAACTCAAATTTTTCAAAGTCAGTACAAAAACATGTCCTATGTTCTCTAAATTCACTCTACCTAAATCCTTGCCAATTTTTAGTTTGGGGACTTGGTCAAAACACAGAGGTCTTTGGATATAATTAAAACACCAACTTTTGTTCATCATAAACTCCAAACATAAAAACACAGGGAGTATATGAATCTGCTGTGCACGTATTTGGGTATGATGGAGCCAAAAGATTAAAGCACTTCGAGTATCTCAGAGAGAATTTAACTAAAATGTTACAGAAGTGATAGGAGCCTGGGGCTGGGCACAGCTTATCCAAAAGAAGTGAGCAAGTCCTCAGGTACACAGCCAATAGGACAGGAAAGTGTTCAGTGTATAAATGAATGTATCCTTGCTGTAAACAGAAAAATAACATGTCAGGTTAACAATGCACTAACTTAAGCACGTGGTGCTGAACTGGGCTGACTCCACTTCTATGAATATACCTGAAATGACTTCCAGAGAGGTAGCCAAGCTATTCTAAAATCAAGGAAGTCAAGGCAGTGTATCTAATCTTATCTATTTGGGAAAGGGAACAGGGCATAAGCAAGCTATTATTTAACTACCAATTCCAGTGACAAGCATGTTAAGAAGGCAAGTGTAACTACCACATTTCAAACATGGGCACTCTTTTTCTATGTCACTTTTGCAAGGGTAAGGCCCACTGCATTTACCAAGTTGTGTTTATAATAATATTTACAATTGCGTATTTTCCTGAAACATGGTACCCAACCCCACTGAGATACAGCTTGAACACATTCTGGACAGGAAAATGAATGGCCTGGAGGATACGATTAAAATCTCCTTGGTGCCTAGACCTACTATATAAGCATATTAAACACTTGGAATAGCTGTAGCCCTCACAATACTACAAAGCAAAACTCCCTATCAGAAGGACTTAAGACTAAACGGAAGTGGTATTTAAGAAAGGGCTCGGGAATAAAGAATTGAAGAAGTATTTAGATCCACCTGAAAGTCTCAACAGACAGCAAAATTCTGGAGTGGGGCTAACTCAACAGGGGATATAGGTAATGTTAAAGGGCCCTATCAATCTAACCACTTTTGCTTTATAAGCCAACTTATGATTTTGTTTGACTTTAGATTATGCAGTCCGAGTATGATGGCAGAAAAGCAGAGCAAGCAAAGAAGAACCGAGACGCAATCTGAGTGACAGATGGAGCCCAAAATAATTTTTTTCTAACACAGTCTACCAGGGGCTGAACGTTTTATTTTTGCGGGATGACCACACCCTTCTATGGGGATATATGTAGTAACATTTACACACAATCCCAGAGCAGATCTGCTGACAGCATACTATACAGTAAGTGAGCATTATCTGAATTGTAATGAAGTCCTTCTTTATTACAGAACTGCTCACAAAAGAAATATGCTTGAGTTACCTAAGATAAAAACAATTGTTTAAAAGTCTGGTAACAAGCTTAATTGGACATTTTTGACTTCTAACTTTTAAGCCAATCAAAGGATAATTTTAAAAGAAGTTTCCCAAACAAAATCAGATTACTAAATATTCCTTTATAAGACAAGACAATAGTCCCCTTAAAAGAGACTATATTGCCTGCAAAGGAATCAACGTGGGAACCTCCAAAATTAAGCAGTATGATTTAACAGTATGGGAGAGGACAATTCCATTCTACAAAAAAAACCCTGATTATCCAGAACACTCAAGTTAAACGATAGTCCGAGTATCTATCTACAATGGGTAAAATATTCATTAAAAATGACTTAACCCTTCCTTGATGACCCAGGGCTGTCAATACTAATGTCATTTTCTCTGCTGGGCTGTGGTACACAGAGACACTCGGGCTATTAGGCCTTAGGTCTATTTTAATTAAATGGCCCCACATAGCTTCCTTTTAATAGTTACCTCAACTTCATAATTCTTCCAACTCTTAATACTTCCTAATTCTATCATTATTCCCCGCTTAAAAAGTGTGACTCTGTCAGGAGTCTGGAAAAAGATGACCATATTTTTAGGCAATCTACAAAGTAGGGGGCACAGCCCTCCAGGGAGTGACACAGGAGGACCAAGTGGCTGCTCTCTGGCTTTCAGAGCCTGCTTCCCTGTTGCTTCAGGCTGCCAGATCATTGAATTCCTAACAGTCAAGGTGTTACTGCATATTAGAAATTCAAGACTGCCACTGCCAAATTTGAAATATAGAATTAAACGCCAAACATAAACACTTCAATGTCGAGTCACGTGCTGCTTCTGTCTAAGCAAAGGCCACCCCTCGACTATCAGCTGGCATGTACTTGTAAAAGGAAATGCTTTCCCCATCTTTAAAAGCAGAAAAAAGCAATACTTACCTTAAAACTTAAATGTGTTTAAAAACCAAAAAATACATTCCAAAGTCCAATATAATTTTTAAAAAAATTATCAATGCCATTATTCCCTGGCTCAAAGTCCCAATTCTGGTAAAAAAATTTTAAAGCTGGGGTTTCAAAGTCATCTACAAAATATTCCCCCATTGGGAATGATGTAAAACGAGGGTATACTCAACTCAATAATATCAGAAAAATATCCAACTGAATCTTTCGCTTTCCTAAGCACCCAGGGTTATCAGTGGCATGTGGCCACAAACCCAGCAGAATGAAAGGAAGGCAAGAGGCTGTTGAGGTGCTCGGCAGCAGGGCATGGAGGGAAATGGACACTAAGTAGGATGTGGAGCAGAAATCAGTGACTTCTCAATATCCTTCTGTCATCCCAGGCAGGTAATTAGGAGTGGACTAGACAAATGGGCAAGAATATTGTGAATACTGACCTCTCTCCCTGGTAAAGAGATAAGAATTTATCTTTGGCTCACAGTTACTGAGGTAAATGGAAGATCTTTTACATCTTTCTGAATAAATGGGCAAAGGCTAAGAGCACTGAAAGAATAAAAATGTAACCTTGTAAAACCTACTAGATCTACCGTGTTCCTCTTGTTAGTTTCTCCTAAGGAGCTTGTGCAGAACGTCTCCCATCGTTCCCTGACTTCGTCGGGAAGATCTTCAGAGTGAGAAAAGCAAAAAAGCATTATCACCACAATGACCTCCACGGAGACAAATAAAGTAAGCAGGTAATATAAAAGTGGGCCTACTCACCTGGTTCATCAATGGTGAGCAGGCCCTATCAGCTGAGAAACTGGGTGACAGCCAGCCCAGTGCTCTTAGAGAAATGGAATTATTAAACCTTCCATAGGCCCAAATCCCATGGACTTTCAGGAACCAGAATCCCCCTACCCAATGGTATAGGCTTGATGAGGCCAAGAGCCCTAAGGTAGCTTGTGAACTTAACAAGTTTCTGAAAATGCTCTGGTAGAAGCTTAACCTGGAAAGTGTGTTTCCAACAAGCTTTTCTGAGAAAGGTGGTAGGTGTTTAACGTGTCGGGGGTAGGGGGATCTTTTTCCATGGTCAAGTTAAGTCTAGAAAATGCTGCAAATGACAGCTCCTGCACACTTTCTTGAAATGCTCTCATTGGCAGCTGGCCAATGAATGTTCCACAGAACCTAGTATGGCTTTTCAAATTGCTCTAAGATCATGTTTCCTAAATATTTGTGTCATGGGCCAACGTGGATACACAGGTAATAGTGAAATTCTACCTTCTAGAGAAATGTTAAAGAAAAGGATAAACAACTGCTTTTCTGAGAAAATCAAACCATGACGTAATTTTAGAGGCCTAACTAGTCATCTGATAATTCTGGTTTAAAACAGCCATGCATGTGTGCACACTCACAGAAGTGTACACATGTACCACCTGGCAAGCAGCTTCCATAAAGGAAAGTCTGATCTAAAAACTCAGTCATATCACATGGCCATTTCTTCTTAGTTAGGACATAAAGATAAACTGTGTGGTGAAATGGCCCAAGGAAGAGGCTTATACCTCTTATGCCTCTCTCAAGAAGCAAAATTAGAAGTGGGCACACACCACTTTTTCCATCCCTGGTGACAACTGTGGTTTTAGTGCACATTCAACAGGGAATAGCCTCTTGAACAAACAAACATTCTTAAGAAAAAATGGAAGACCCACTGGGAAATGATTTTAACTGAACAAATTCTGTACCATGGATGTTAAAGACTGTTCACATTCAGAATAGGTCTCAGGATTGGTAATCCTGTTGGTACAAAAACCCAGAGTACACAGTTCTCTCATTTTAGAAGAAGGCTCATGGCTTGGGGCCAGTGTAAAAAAGCATCCATATAGTTTCTTCCAAATAAGCTTGGGCTGATTAAACTGAAATGCTATACAGAAAGAGTCCTTTAGAAGCCAATACCCCTCATTTTAGTGACAGCGACATCAAAGAAATGCTGATAAATGCCCTAATATTCCAGTTAAAGAAACTTAATTCAGAGGCTATATAGAGGCCTTCAGAAAATAAAAGGCAAAATTATAGCTGAAGTGGCTCAACTGCTAGCATATGAGTACTTCACACTCACAATACTCAAAAGCATGATTCACCAAGCAATGCTCTTTAAGAATGACAATAGGTGACTCTTATATGCTGAATCCAGCCAAGCCTGCCAATGCTTATGGAATGGTCTGTAACTACATGAACATAAATACAACCAAAAAACAACACTGTTCAAACACATTCTCAAGAACCTCATTCAAATACATAATTTGCCAAATATAAAGAAGTCCCACAAATCACTATTAAAAATGCTACATGCATTTCTACTTGACCCTTAAATCCTTCCTGCAACCCAACAAAAATGTAATTCAAATTTCACAAATAACTTACCTTTGATAAGCTGCTGCACTAATGCACTGTTGGGGCCCTTGTCAGTGCTGTGCACGATACAGTTAGCTATCCTCGTTAGGTGTCCCATGTAACCATGCCGTCTTCCTCCCTCAGCCCTGACAAGAGGTAAAGGACAAATACTCAGATTCCTGATAGGATGAAGTGATGAAACACTCGGTAAATACTGCGGACTTTTAAACAATCATTTTAAACCCTGAAGGCACTGAAGAAAATGACGATGGACAGAAAAGAAAAGAAAAACAAAGGAATGGAAGGTGCCAGAATATGACCATGCAGCATGGTCAGGGAGGGGTGTGAAATTGTAAAAGATTATATGGCAGCCTCAGTCAACAGGCCACAGTTTATTCGAATCTCAAAAATCATCACTCACTGTCAATAACACATTATTTTTTAAAAGATCAAATAAACCTTCTCTGATGCCTAATGTTATTGTGATTTTATTTTACATCTTTTTAATGAAACTTTTTCAAACCTTAATCAGATTATAAGGAACTGAGGTAAGAATTCTGCTGGTTCATTTTCTTAAAAGATAGCAAATTTTTATTATATCAATGAATAGAAATAATTATCTACCAATGACATGTCTCAAGTTAAGATATTAGCTGATGTGAGACTTGGCCAAGATAGGAGACAGTCAACTAGTACTTGACCATACACCATTCTGAACACATGCAAACAAACAGTCTTTGTCCTTTTCCCATTTAAGGTCTCATCTTCCCAACCATGATCAATCTTTACACTTAATTCGTATCAGGCCAGGCACAGTGGCTCACGCCTGTAATCCCAACACTTTGGGAGGCCAACACAGGTGGATCACTTGAGGTCAGGAGTTTGAGACCATCCTGGGCAACATGGCAAAACCCCATCTCTACTAAAAATACAAAAATTAGCCAGGCGTGGTGGTGCACACTTGAAATCCTAGCTACTCAGGAGGCTGAGGCAGGAAAATTTCTTGAACCCGGTAGGCAGAGACTGCAGTGAGCCAGGATTGTGCTACTGCACTCCAACCTGGGTGACAAAATAAGACTCCGTCTCAAAAAAAAAAAAATTATATATATATATATATATATATATATATATATATATATAAAATAAGTAAACTCATATTAATCTGATTTCTCTACCTATTTACAAAGTGCCAAGATTTTAAGCTCTATCAAACGAAAGATTTTTGACTGCAGATAGCAGGGAACAAACACTGCAGAGATTTTTGCTTAGAGAGAGAAAAGCCTTTCAGGAGCAATAAGAAAAAAAAAACATCCTATGCTTGAAGGCTTGCTTGGAAAATAAAGTATCTGCTAGAGAATCTTAGAGGGCTTGGGGGTGCCTAAGGGTAAGAAGTACAGGGTTGATTATTTAGGTAGAGACAAGGTCTTGCTTGTCATCCAGGCTGGAGTGCAGTGGTGCAATCACAGCTCATTGCAGCTTCAAACTCCTGGGCTCAGGCAATTCTCTCACTTCGGCCTCTTGAGTAGCTGGGACTATAGGCAAGTACCACCACATCCGGCTAATTTTTTGTAGAGCCAGGATCTCCCTATGTTGTCCAGACTGGTCTCGAACCCCTGGCCTCAACCAATCCTCCCATCTCAGCCTCCCAAAGCAGTGGGATTACAGGCATCTCCCACCGTGCCTGGCCAGAGTCAATCTTCACTGAGTTGCTCAGAGTCTCTTTTAGTTCTTCAGTAAGATCCAGAGAGCCAGGTGTTACCTACAGGCAACTGAGTCACTCTTCTGCACACCCTCAAGTACACAAGTGAAAGAAAACAAAGGCCCATCTCTAAGGTGACCCACAGCTTCAAACTGCTTCAGGCTGTTGTGCAAGGAAACAAGGAAAGTTCTTTCGGGATCCCCCTAGACAGAGGGAATGGTATTCACCAGGCCTCCAGAAAACGGGACTCACCAGGAGAGCAGGGCACAAAGGATATCTGAGCCCTGGCCAGATGAGGAGGCAGCAAGAAGACTGGAGGTTGGGAAGGACACAGAGAAGCCAAGACGGAGTCAGACATATAACCAGAGATGTCAACTGGGCCACAAACAGCATCTCCAAAGAGCTCCATTTGGAAGAATGTATCTGAGGTCTACCAATACTAGCCCCTTGCCACAAACAAACAAACAAAATGCCAATTTCCCACATGAAGCCAAATCAAAACCCTAGTAGCAGTGCTTATTAAACGATTTAAAAAAAAAAAATCAAACCTCACAAAGTAAGGCTGACTCCCAAGAGTCATCTAGCTTTCCTGGAGACACAGAGACACATAACAAGAATGCTGGGAAATGATCAACTACAAAGGACCATGAGAGAAATTTTGGGGGTGACAGAAATGTCTTGATTGTGGTGATGGTGACTTCAGGCATCAGTCAGAATTCCTAGGAATGTACACCTAAAATGAGCTTTACCATATGAGAATTATATCTCAATAAACCTGTCTTAAAAACAAACACAGAAGCATGCCTTCAGAGTGTTTCCCAAACACGCCCTTATGCCACCATGCTTCAGAATCTACGGGGTGACATAAAGGCTTCCAGGGCACTAGAGAGGAATGCTGTTACAGACAACACCTGTAAGAAAACGTTTTGTGTAACAAAGCTACTTACATGTATCAACTAATACTTCACATAACCTTGCCAATCAGCTAACAAACATTTTCTAAAAAGAAAACACTGAGCAATTTTTTTCCTCTAGGTCCCTGTACAAAGCAACTCTTCTCTACAATGAAAATATGTACGTGATACCTTCTGTTCTGAGCATAAGGTGACCAGGACAAATACACTAAGTCACATCATCAAGGACTTAACTTTAACCTTATAACTCTTAGAACAGTAGCCATTCAAAAAGGACCAGGAAGTTTCAAAGGCAGCACAGAGGTGGGGAACACTCCGAACTCACTTGTTTTGCCCCAAAAACAAGAGGACCTAACAAGAAATTATTAGTATTATAAAAACAACTGTTACAATGAAATAATCTGGGGAAAAGTTTAAATTGTAAAATGGCCAGTATCATGTAATTATTTCCATTTTTTTCTGACTAGGGCAAGGAGGTATTATTTTCCTCATATTACCAACCAAACTGAATTCCTTTCAAAAAAACAATTTACTTACTGTTTCTTCTCATTCATTTCCCAGGCTTCAAGTATTCGTTCTATTAATTGACATTTTTGGAAAAGCTGAAAAAAAAAAAAAGAATATTCCAGTTAATACTTCAAAGCATCAAAACTTTAAAGTGAAACAGAACTCTAGGTTAAAGAGAATAGTAGTATGCATAATCTAGCAAGCTAAATGTTACTAAGCCAAATGCAATGTGATCATCAATCTACTGCAGACACCCACAACACTACAGAGATTCAAATCAGGATCCACACCCTCCACAGAACATCTACAGGAAACTCAGTATTATAGGTAGTGCAGTTAACTACCTATAGTTAACTATAAAGGAAAGCCAGGTTTTATTAGCTGTGAAAATTCAGAACAGAAATATAAAACCTGAGCTAAATTAAAATGGAATAAAGAAAACTATGCCTTGGCAAAAATTTAACTTAGAATCCAAAGTAATGCTTGTACTTTTAAAATGTGAGCACGTCTTACTTCCAGATGAACTAACATTACTGCATTAATATTAAAAACAGGTGGGTTTTGCCCAAAGTCTGCAAGTCAGTGACAACTGCTGTAGGCTGCAATACTGGAATGTGCAGGGCTAGTTCTTCTCAGGTGTCATTTGTCTTTCCCATCAACTTGGCTGTTCCAAGCTAGCCTTTTCTACATTTTAGGTTTGCGAGTAAACCAAGTGTGGGCTAGAAATTTTAAAAGTACCATAGAACTACCAAGCAAGAAAAAATCTGAAGACTGACTTAGTAAAATTATCTCATATTTGACAGAAGAGAAAAAGAGACCCCAGGAAGACTCTCAACATCACAAAGAACTCAGTTCTCCTGACTTTCAGTCACGTATTCAGCAAAGAAACTACACTCTGGTCAGCCAAATAATAGTGCAAATGTTTTCCATAGTATTTAAATTTCTATGATTCTTCAAATCATCAAAGAATTTATATATCTTCAAACCTATTAATTTTACCAAATAAGGAGGCCACTTAGCTTTTTTCTTACAAGACTGTTCATTTAATAGTTATTTGTCCAGTACTTGATTTATATAATGATTTATATGTTAAAAGTGAAACGAACACATGATTGTCAAATATTTAGACTCTGAAATCTAACCTCAAGCCCTTTAAACCTCAATTCACATCACAGTCAAGTGGAAAACTGCTATAACCAGGAGAGAGTGGGAGAAAAACGAGACCAAATAAGCTTACATGTTTTAATAACAAATTATCACCAGTGGAGTCTTGATCGGTAATTGTGGCATTTTCTGTGTTTTCAAAAGGACTTGCAAGAATCAGTGCAATACAAATTTCCACTTGTGTATGCAAAAAGTTATTCCATGTATACTTGAAGAACATGTTCTACAAAAAAGAAAAACCATGTTTTATTCGGTTACCTCAATGTTTAAGCCAATACTTAAATACATTTACAGAACAGTGATTTAATAAAGTAAAAATGATGTGCTCTCAGTCCAAAAGGACCAATTAAAAGGAACCTGAGTTCACATTAGTACTTGCATAACCACAGTTTCATTTTCTGTGGTTTCAGTTACCCACAGTCAACCATGATCTGAAAATAGGTGAGTATAATACAGTAAGACATGCTAATCCAAGAGATGACATTCACATAACATTCATTACAGTATAGATTTATAATTGTTCTACTTTATTATTAGTTATTATTAATCTCTTCCTGTGCTTAATTTATAAATTAAACTTTGTCACAGGTATGTATAGGAAAAACACATAGTATATATAGGGTTCGATAGCTGTGGTTTCAGGCATCCAAAGGAGTCTTGGAAGGTATCCCTCATAAATAACGAGGACTAAATGGGGATGTGAAGTATTGCTTTAGAGCCTAAATGGCGTGCTATCTGCTTATCTGACATGCCAGAACTGGTATGGAATCTAGTAAAAAACCAACAACAAACATACAAAGACAAGAGTACGTTTCTCCAAGAGAAAGGGAGTATCTTTTTTCTCTTCAAAGCAACTAACACAAATAGTTAGCGTGGTAAATTTTCTATAATTTTCAAAAAAATTTATAAGAGGCCAGGCGTGGTGGCTCATGCCTGTAATCTCTGCACTCTGGGAGGCCGAGGCGGGCGGATCACGAGGTCAGGAGATCAAGACCATCCTAACACGGTGAAACCCCGTCTCTACTAAAAATACAAAAAAATCGCTGGGTGTGGTGGCGGGCGCCTGTGGCCCCAGCTACTCAGGAGGCTGAGGCAGGAGAATGGCGTGAACCCAGGAGGCGGAGCTTGCAGTGAGCCAAGATCACTGCACTCCAGCCTGGGCGACTGAGCCAGACTCCATCTCAAAAAAAAAAAAAAATTGTAAGAATTTCATTTTGATGCAACAAATATTTACTGATGGTTTTTGTGCAGGGTATTGTATGAGATGCAACATGGCAGACAGAGATACACAAAAATACGGTCCACAGTCTTGAGGTGCTCATGACTCAACTCCAGCATACAAAAACTAGAGCTATCAGCAAAAACAAATGAGGATACGAGAGGCAGTAACGTGAATCTCCTGGAAGTACAAGGGTTTTCAAATTACTTGAAAAGGTAATAGCATTACAAAAGGGAAAGAATTTCTAAAAGTACAAAATGCCATATTTTGGAAGTCAATTTAGTATGTCATATTTAGGAAATGGTTGGGTCTGGTTATCTAATCTCAAAATGAAGAAGTAATGAGTAACTCCTCCAGTAGTCTCATCAAATTTAGTCTCATCAGAAGTAGTCCTAAAGATTAACAGAATAAATTAACAATAACTGTATATTGTTATTAGTAAAATTAAAGACCAGTGATCAATGACTTAGGAACGTTATATTCCCGGAGTTTTATACACTAGAAGGTAGGACAAAAACTACGTCCCCAGAAGGCAATGACCATGCTAGCTATCAAAGAAACTGTAATTCTTTAAATCTTCATCTCTTTTTCCAAATTGCTCCTGTTTTCTGTGCTCTATACTGATTTAACCCAAAGCTGAAACCTAACAAAAATATCTCGGTGACGCTAGGAAGCACAATGATGTGGTTGATAAAGCACGTATGGGTTTGAAATTGGGTGAATTCAAATCTTGGCTTCACCGCTCACTAGCCATGGAATGTATCCTCTCTCTGGGCATGATCTGAAAAACACATCCTCTCTCTCACTGTAATGTTCACCCGAGGGTCCTGGAGATCACCCAGGATCACATGAATAGTGTACATAAGATGAACATTACAATGCCTGTCATACAGTGAACAAACACCTCCTTTGAAACACCCCCACATCTCCCCCAAATATATGATGTGACCAGATGTCTTGTGAAACCTGCTAAAGTGTTAACCCTCGCGCTTTCTGTGCTGTGGGTGGCAGCACACAGAGAAGAAGCATGGGCTCCAGAGCTGGGCCTATGGATTCTAAGCACAGACTCTGAAACTGGGGAATTCAGGGGTCAGGGAGACCTAAATCATCCCTGGGCTTTTCCTTCTCCTTCCATCAGTAAGCAGGCTAATAACTGTGTCTCAAGGAAGAGTCAATCCAGACTCAAATCAATTAAGACCATATGGCGTCAGGTACGTTATACAGATACCTCCCAGTGGCAAGAAGATAAAGGTTTGTCCCCTCACTAAATATGAACAGAAAACAATGCTGCACCCAGCAGTCATTGTCCACGAGACGGAGCACGAGGGAAAAGCCGATGTCTCTTAATCATCTTCAAAATCCTATGTTACAATTCTTTATATAAAGCAACAGTAGATGCCTAGTGAACAATTATAAGCATTCGAAATTTATAATAAACTCAAGGCAAAAACTACATAAAACACCATTTATGCTCAGACCAAGAAAAGTCACTGACATAATGTAAATTTGTAAGGTTGTAACTTGGTTAAATATCCATGAAATATCAATGGCAAATTAAAATGTCTGTGAGCAGGGAAAATCTCACCAATATGACTCCAATGCTATTCAGCTCCATAAGGTCCCCATTTATACTGCTGGTATTGGTTTGAAGCAGGCTGGATATCAACCTAATGACATTCAACCGGGTATTCCCCACAGGAGGATCCAGCACACCCCATGTGGTCTTCATCACACTTTTCTGAAGAAGAAAAAGCTTTCCAATTAAATTCAGTTAAATGAACAAAGCAAATGGTGTATTTGCTAAGACATGACACTAGTTTAAACCCTGCAAACAACATGGCCTGAATTTTACACCTGAAACAACATCTAAAGCTGCTCTTGATATCTTTAAGATACAATGAAATAACCAAGCAGGAAAAAGGAAAAAAAAGCAAGGAATTTCCCTGGATCATAAATTTTATAAGAAATCAAGTGTCTCCCTGCCTCAACATTCCAAGCTGTTATGAGAAGAAAGCAGAAGGCTACAGAATATCCTAGGAAAAAGTACAATATTTCAAAATCTGACCAGAAATCTAAACTAAAAGAAGTTATGGCCGGGCACAGTAGCTCATGCCTATAATCCCAGCACTTTGAGAGGCCGAGGTGGGTGGATCGCTTGAACCCAGGAGTTTGAGACCAGCCTGGGCAATATGGTGAGACCCTGTCTCTACAAAAAATACAAAAATTAGCCAGGCATGGTGATGCACACCTGTAGTACCAGTTACTCAGGAAGATGAGGTGGGAGAATCACCTGGGCCTGCGGAAGTTGAGGCTGCAGTGAGCTGTGATTGTGCCATTGTACTCCAGCCTGAGCAAGAGTGAGACACTGTCTCAAAAAAACAAAAAAAGGAAGAAGGAAGAAAAAAGGAGGAGGAGGAGGAGGAAAGAGAAGGAGGAAGGAGGAGGAGGAAGGAAGAATAAAGAAGAAGAAGAAGTGGTAGTAGTAGCAACAGCAGCAGCAGCAGCAGCAGCAGCCGTGGTGGTGGTGGTGGTAGTAGTTGCTACAAGTGGTTTTGGAATACAATCCTCAGTCTGAGCCAAATCTGTGATAAAAATGCAAATTCAGACGTTGCCTCTGGATCACAAACCTGAAATGTGATCAATCTAAACCTGTTCTTGTCCATCAACAGGAGTTTCTATAGCCTGAAATCACAAAAGTAGAAGCAGAACATTTCCTAACTTTAGAAGTCTGAGAGGCAAGGGTGGCACGTAACAGCCTAGGGCAGGCTGCCCTTTCTGCCCCTCCCCATCCACATCAGTAGCCTCACTCCCTCTGGCTCCCATCCTCCCGAGGACTCACAGAGCTGTAAGGCCCACAGTTCTGCTCTCTATGGAAAACAGCTCTAATTGGCAGGCTTTGTAAAAAACTTCATGGATCTACTTACAGACACATCATACAGTAAAACCAGGTGCAAACGGTACTCCGAGACAGACATATCATACAGTAAAACCAGGTGCAAACGGAACTCACTCAGTTCTCGGAGTAACAGAGAAGTCCAAACAAGACACTGCCTTACTTTTGAATCGGGGCCCAGAACCAGATGCCACCTGTTTGTCCACCCAGAAAGAAGATGGGTGGGCCACCTAAGACACAGGTCAGGCCCTTCCTCACACACCTTCTTCCCTGTCAGATCCTTCTCCCACCTCCGTCTTCCACTTGTGATGTTCTCTCCTCTTCTAAATCTTTTCTTTTTCTTTCCTTACTCTGTTTTTCTTCCCAGGACTGGCATGAAGGATGCCACTGACCATCATTGTCAAACACCAACAGAGGCACTTTCCCTAAGGGCAAGCACCAACACTATGGTCCACATCCAACACAGGCTGAATGCAGATAAGATGTGGCTGGAATGGAACCAGCAGAGTAACGCAAACTGTGAGCACAGTGATGGAACCACGACCTGCTCACCAATGGCATCAGGTATCTGAAAAGATGATCTGGAGCTGAACTAGACTCCCTTGGTTATATAAGTTATCCTGTGCTCCCCCAACTCCAAATAGTTAAATAAACAGAAAACATCTAATTTACAAGTGAGAAACTAGTATTCTAAATTCCCAATAACTCGCACAGTAGATAACCACCGAGATACACCAGATTCAATGATATAGGGCAGGAAAAAAAAGGAAACTTAAGAACTGTTGCTGGGAACAGAACTCACATGGAACTGAATCTTCCACCCTAGACTCCAAAAGCAAGTGATTATCACCCTAATCTAAATCTGTATCAATCCAAGGGGCGAAAGAACACCATTTATAGACTGCTGACAAAACTCTTGTGGGTCTTCACTGAGGAAACAGTCATTTAAAATTAGCACATGGGAGGCTCTGTACTGAAAAACCCCCAAATCATATTCTCTCCAAATTGTATACTAACTTCAACCTACTCTTTCTTAAATAAGGTCGACTATACATCAGACATACACTGCTCCAACTCTGAGTAAGAAAACATAATTTCAAAGATCCGTTTCTGAAAGATTAGCTTTTCCTGAAACATTCAAAAATAATATGCTACAAGAAGAAAATTCTTTTTTCTTTACTGGCATGTAAGTACCCAAGAATTTACAGAAGAATGAAAAGGTAAACTTCCTAAACTGATGAATATTTTGTTTAATTCTCCATTCTCCACTCAAAAGCAGTAAAAATCACTGGCAGTGTTATCTTTTCACTCATTTTGTACATGCAGACCACAGCCAGTTCTGCCACTCCTAAGGCCCGTACACATTCGAATGACTGTTTCAACCAAATTACTCGCTGGGCAGCCATGCTTAACATAGCTCCCCTACCTTGGGTGGCTCCAGCAGGAGTTCATGAAAAGATCCAAGTCTTCCTCTGATGGCTTCTAGAACACTCTTGTTTACTGAACAAGCTGAATGGCTCATGCCTGGTGGGCAGATCTCTATATGGCCTTCAAATCTTGAAACAAAGCAAGGAATTTTAGTTATTATAATTTCAGAACAAATCATTCAAGGTTATCGACCATGTATGTCTTTACTTAATGATTATATCAACTTTTCTGGCTGCGGGAAAAAAGGCTAGGAAAAAAGCATAATGAGGCAGAAGAGGGTTAATGAAACCTCCATGAGGCTCAGACTCTATAACCTGCAACCCAAACAGCTACAGTATCAGGTAAGAAATTACATGTGATTTCTTCCCATTCTAAACCTTCTAAGTCTTCATAACTATTATACAGTAACAAGTCTCTAAGTGACCAGGAAATTTGGAAAGCGAAAGGGATCCAACCTCTGGATTATAGGGCACCCCAAATTGCCTGCCAGTTTGGGGTGTTATTAATGAACAGGCCTATACTTGTTCCATACAGTTTTTCTTAGATAATCAACATTATTTCCTATTTAAAAGGTTTAAAATTATTCTACATAAAGTTCAATCTATACTCATTATAACCTACTTCTTGCAGGAAAACAATTACAGGTAGAATGAGAACTGGGTAAATACTCAAGGATAAGAATTCTGGGTGACATTATGAATGTTTAACTTTCTAAGAACTGACAAACATTTCTATGAAGTGGCTGTATCACTTTCCATTCCCAACAGTAATGTGTGTGACTTCCAGTTGCCCTGCATACTGCACTGAGTACTGTCTATTCTGTCTGTCTGGTTTAGCTAAGTAGTGGGCTGAATGATGCTCTCCTACCCAAAACATACGTCCACATTCTAATACGTAGGGCCTGCAAATGTCACCTTCTTTGGAAAAAAGATCTCTGAAGATGAAATTAATTAAAGATCTTGAGATGAAAGATTATCCTAGATTACCCAGGGGGGCCTTAAATGCCATCATAACTATGCTTCGAAGAGAGAAGAGGCAAGACAGACACACAGAGGGGAAGGCAATGTAAAGAGGATGCAGAGGGGTCACAAGCCAAGGAATGCCAAGAACTACTAGAAGCTGGAAGAGGAATGCCTTAGTATCTCTGAAAGGAATCTAGCACCACCAACACCTTGATCTTAGACTTCTAGGACTCAGAACTGTGAGAGGATAAATTACTGCTTTGTTTTTGTTGTTTCCTGGGCTCAAGTGATCCTCCTCCCTCAGCGTCCTATGTAGCTGGGACTACAGGCACATGTCACCATGCCTGGCTTTTTTTTTTTTTTTCGGTAGAGATGGGGCCTTCTCAAGTGATCCTCCCCCCTCAGCCTCCCAAAGTGCTAGGCATGAGCCACCATATCCAGCCTAGGTATTCTTCATATACCTGGATGTAAGTCTTTTCTCACACGTTATCAATATTTTCTGGCAGTCTGTGACCTATCTTTTAATTTTCTTAACAGAGTCTCGGAGCAGAATTTTAAAATTTTAGTGTAGTCTGAGTTATCAACTTCTGTTTTATGAATTGGGTTTTGGCAATGTATCTAAACAATCTGTACATGACTCTGAGACAAAGATTTTCTCCTGTTTGCTTCTAGAACTACTAGTTTTATGTCTAGTTCTATCATCCATTTTGAGTTAATTTTTGCATAATCTGCAAAATATATATCAAAGTCCAACGTTCTGCATAGAATACCTAACCATTCAGGACGATTTACTGAAAACGCTGTCCTTTCTCCGCTGAACTGCCCCCATGCCTCTGTTAAAAACCGCCTGATCATGGGGATGGGTCTACTTCTGGACTCTGCTCTGTCCCAGTGATCTGTATGTCTATTCTTTCACCACACTGTCCTGATTGCTGTCGCTTTGTATTAAGTCTCAAAATCAGAGTGTGAGTCCTTTTCTCTTGCAAAATTGTTTTGGCTACTGTACTTTGATTCTTGTGCAAGTTTTAGAATTCACTTGATTTCTAAAAAATCCTGCTTAGATTTTGTTCGGAATTGCATTGAATCTGCAGGTCCATTTGGGGAGAAGTGACATCTTAACAATACTGAGTCTTCTAATCCATGAACAGAGTATTTCTCTCCATTTATGTAGGTCATCTTTGATTTCATCAATATTCTATAGTTTTGGGGCATTAAGCCTTGCACACATTTTGTTAGGTTTGTATCTTAGTATTTTCTTTTCTCTATGCTATAAAAAATAATACTTCGAAAAAATTTCAAATTCCAATTGCTCATTCCTAGTACATAGAAATGCAATTAACTTTTGAGTGCTGACTTCATACTTGCAATCTTGCTAAATGTATTTGTTAGTTCTAGGAGTATGCGTTTTTTTTTTTCTTTAATGTTCTTTAGGATATTCTACAAAGACAATCCTGTCATCTGTAAACAGATGCAGTCTCACATCGCCCCCTCCCCTCTGAATGTAGCAACACAGACTCCATCGCTACAAAACATAAAAAAAATTTGGCTGGACATGATGGCTTGTGCCTGTAGTCCTAGCTACTTCAGGAGGCTAAAGTGGGAAGATCACTTAGGCCCAGGAGATCAAGTCAATAGTAAGCTATGATTGTGCCACTGCACTCCAGTCTGAATGGCAGGCCTTATCTCAAAAAATATAAATAAAATGAAAGAGGGCTTTATCAGTTTTCATCCAAGTTCCCTTCTAATACTAATCTGCTGAGATGTTTTATCATAAAGGAATTTAACAAAATGATGATATGTTTTTTCTTCATTGATCTGATGTGATCAGATCTGCTGTCTGTTGATGTGAAGATTTTGAAGGATGAATGAGCCTTGCATTCCCAAGACAAACCATACTTTGTTATGATATATATTATCCTTACAATATACTGTTAGACTTGATTCACTCATATTTTCTTGAGGAATTTTACATTTCAGCTCTTGTGGCATTTTGTTACTTGCAGTCGGCCCTCTGTATCCACAGGTTCTATGTCCACTGACTCAATTAACTGGAAATCAAAAATATTCAGAGAAAGCTGGGCGAGGTGGTTCACCTAGTCCCAATGACTTAAGAGGCTGAGGCGGAAGGATCATTAGAGCCCAGGTGTTCAAGGCCAGCCTGGGCAACATAGTGAGACTGCATCTCTAAAAAAAGGTGGAAAAAAATGCCAAACAAAAAATAATACTATTTAAAATAATGAAACAGCTTAACATATATCATTTACATTGTATAAGGTATAAGTGGCCGGGCGTGGTGGCTCACGCCTGTAATCCCAGCACTTTGGGAGGCCGAGGGGGGTGGATCACAAGGTCAGGAGATCGAGACCACGGTGAAACCCCGTCTCTACTAAAAAATACAAAAAAAGTTAGCTGGGCGTAGTGGCGGGCGCCTGTAGTCCCAGCTACTCGGGAGACTGAGGCAGGAGAATGGTGTGAACCCAGGAGGCGGAGCTTGCAGTGAGCCGAGATCGCACCACTGCACTCCAGCCTGGGTGACAGAACGAGACTCTGTCTTAAAAAAAAAAAAAAAAAAAAGGTATAAGGAAACCAGAGATGATTTAAAGTACACAGGAGGATATGTGTAGGTTACATGCAAATACTATGCCATTTATACGAGACTTGAGCAACCGCAGATTTTGGTATGCATGGGAGTCCTAGAACCAATCCTCAGCAGATACAGAGGAACAAATATAGCTTTTGTTCCCATGATTTTGTGTAGTTCACTATAGTTTCAAAGTGATGCTGGCTACATAAAATGAGTTGGAAAGAGTTCCCTCTACTGTATTCTGACAGAGTTCTTCCATCTTTGGTAGACTTCACCAATTGAGCCTATCTAGGCCAGGAGTTTTCTTTGTTAAAGGTTTTCAATATAAGTTCAATTTCTTCAACTGATATGGGGCTGCTCATGCTACCTATTTCTTCTTGAGTGATCTTTGGCAATTATTTCCTCTAAGGAAGTTGTCCATCACATATAAACTGCTGAATCTGTTTAATGCATTGTTTGTAGTAGTCTCTTATTATTCATCTGAACTCCACAGGAAACAGTGTTAAAGTCCATAGCACACAGTCATTCCTATTATTTGTAATTTGTCTCTTTTCTACTTTTTTCCTAATTGGGATGGAAGTTTATCAATTTTATTGATTTTTTCAAAGAACGAGCTTTTGGCTTCACTGATATTCTGTATTATTTTTCTCATCTCAAGTCCACTGACTTCTGCTCTGAATTTTATTATTTCTTTCCTTCTGTTTGCCTTGGGTTTAATTTGTCCTGCCTTTACCTTTAATTTGTAAGGTAGGAGCTTAAATCATTGACACACATTCTTTCTTCTTTTCTAATATAACCACTTAATGTTATAAATTTCCTTCTACTGCTTTAACAGCATTCCATAATGCAATGATGGCCTTGTAGCATGAGTAGCAAGAGGGTACTGTACTGCTGGGGTGGGAAGAGGGCACCGTACCGCTGGGGTGGGAAGAGGGCACCGTACCGCTGGGGTGAGAAGAGGGCACCGTACCGCTGGGGTGGGAAGAGGGCACCGTACCGCTGGGGTGGGAAGAGGGCACCGTACCGCTGGGGTGGGAAGAGGGCACCGTACCGCTGGGGTGGGAAGAGGGTACTGTACCGCTGGGGTGGGAAGAGGGTACTGTACCCCTGGGGTGGGAAGAGGGCACTGTATCCCTGGGGTAGGAAGATGGTACTGATTTTCCTAGAAAGAGACAGGTAGGCAAACAACCCCCAAACTACAACATACTTGAAGCAGTGCCATCACACTGCCCTTCCATTAGTATTGACCAAAGATTAGGCAAAGCAGCAACAGAGATCAGGAATTGGGGAAGCAGGGGTTGGTTGGTAAGGTTATCTTCACTATTTTGCTAGAAACCAAAATTACACCGCTAAAAGTAAATCCAGAAACCCTGAATGGCTGAAGTTTCATATGCTAAGGATGCACTCTATCCCTTGCTTAATGAATGAATTTTGGGGTAAAAAATACAAAATTCCAACCTCTACATCACACAATCCCGGAAAACTTATACATACCTCTTCAGATTCTCATGCTCTAAGAGCAGTTAGAAAACTCTGATAATGAGTAAATCTGCACTGGACATAAATTATAAAGAATAACATGACACACATGAAATGGCTGGTCCAGGGGCGAAGGCCACACATGTGAAAAGCAAGACTTTATTTTTGATTATAAAACATGTAGAAGAAATTTGTCCTCAAAGCTCAAGCCACCTGCCCATGCATTTTAAGACAGCCTCTGCTCAAGTGCCCTCAAATGTGAAACCCAGGAAAACACCACCTGAAGGCCTAAGTATCTGCAGAAAGGAATGAAAGGAATCACAAGACAGAGAGACGTTCTGAATGGCCAGGAGAGCTACCCACTGACCAGGAACACCTATTTTTAATTATCATGAGCAAGAAATAAGCTTCTCTGTTTTTCAGCCATTATACATGTTTTTGATTATAGCATTTATTATAGTAAGCATTTTCCTAACTACCACTACCAAAAAAATATATGACTAGAGTCTAAATACTGCCAATAAATAGTGTCACCAAAACATAATTTTCAACTGCATCCCAATATGTGGTATTCATATAAAATTAGGCTATGGTTTATATAGCAGAAGAAGAATCAGCAACTGCAATTCAAAGGTACGCTATTACAGCTTATCCACTAAGAATTTAACTCTTAAATCTGAAAGCAAAACAACATGGTTCATTTTGTAAGATATAAGAAAAGCTTACGTTGGTCGTCGTGTCTCAAGTAAAGTCAGCAATATCTGGATTGCACTGACTATGGCTGACTCATTTTTCTCCTTGTGGAAAATATTTGATAGAAGCTGCTCTATAATTTCTTGCCTAGGGAAACAAATCAATAATCACTAACTGCAGTATCACTTATCACCAACAACCTCAGAAAAAAAGACGACGGTACAAGACAAGCATCACTGAAGAGTTCATACTTGGGCATATTTGTTTTACTATTTTATTTCTATATACTTATTAAAGTAGGCAATTGATCCTATTTATAAATTACACACATGCACCCGCACACAAACACACTCACTCACTCACCCTTCTATCTCTTTCCCTCAGCAAAATAACCTGGGCCATGCTTGTCTTTGCCAATTTTGTCGAGAGCCAACAGAATCTCAAGACCAAGTCACCTCCTACTCAAACCAAGACTCTGATGATGATGATGACTGGGGCTGGGGGTGGCAAGAAGACATAGAACCTTTCACCCTCACTAAAGAAGGGAAAACGTTCAGAAAGGCTAATTAGAACCCATGAATGTTTTCCTACAAAAGCATAAATGTGTAATTAGCAAAGATCTAAAACAGAAAAAAGAAAACATCAGTTGTTGCATTTTACTCTACAAATAAAATTTGAAAAAGCAAAATAAAATGGCAGCAATGAAATAAATGTGACTAAATTAAATGTCCAAAAAGCATTATCTGCAGGCTCTTTCCATTACACTTCTCTCATACATAGTAAGATAACAATTAACATAAACCAGTTCATTGAATTTATATGAACATTCTCAAGGAAAACTTTAGTTTCTTAGCCTCTCAGTAATTTTCGAAATCCATGTGAATTAAGAAATGGACGCCAGGTGCAGTGGCTCACGCCTGTAATCCCCACACTTTGGGAGGCCGAGGCAGGCGGATCACAAGGTCAGGAGTTCGAGACCAGCCTGACCAACATGGTGAAACCCCATTTCTACTAAAAAACACAAAAATTAGCCGGGCCTCGTGGTGCACGCCTGTCATCCCAGCTAATCAGAAGGCTGAGGCAGGAGAATCGCTTGAACCCAGCAGGCAGAGGTTGCGGTAAGCTGAGATCGCGCCACTGCACTCCAGCCTGGGTGACAGAACGAGACTCCACCTCAAAAAAAGAAAAAAGAAAAAAAAGAAAAAGAAAAGAAAAAGAAATGGAATCTCCCTTACAGTGTGACATGCAGCTGGGTTGTCCTTGGTTGCTCACCTGACACCTCATCCCAAGGTATAGCTGTGTTCAGTGTACTGTACACCAGTTCCTTGATCACCTCTTGCCAACGTAGGGCAGGAAATAGGAGAGAATCTCTTTCTATTTTGGGGAAACAAAACTAGTATCTAACCTAACTTGAGAAGGTCCCCTTGCAAGAAGAGGTTTTTCAAGTACTCTCAGACCAGCAATAATTGCTTGTGAGATCTCTCACCAAAAGAGTACTATAAAAGTCACTTAACACACAGCAGTCTATACACTAACTATTAGGTCTGGAACCAAGCTCTGGAAAACAAACTATCTTTTAAAATAAATATGTTTTTCTTTCAACAGCAGCCTCACCCCAGGTGGAGGGGTACTGACAGCATGTGACTGTGGAGGTCCACACTCTCTTCATTCAACCATAGCGCTCTTACTCATCAGAGGGCACTGTCACTTTCGTCAATACAGATGCCTGAAGATGGCTAACAGAGGCCCTAGCCATTTCACCGCTGTGTCAAATTGGAAGTCTACTGTATCCATGAAAGAATTCTACTAATGGACAAGAAAAACATAATAACCAGCGAAAACTTGACAGTCAAAATACAATACCACAATAGCTACGCCATCTTCTGAGTTTTACCTAAACACGCAAGTATCACCAAACCCAGAAGAAATAATAAACCAAAGGACTGAAGCTTATCAAACAAAATAAAAGGAATGCCTTCACATTCTTTCAATAAAAAGATATTTAATTACATGCGAGAAAATATATTCATTTTCACATTTTAAAAAATAGCAGTTTCTGGATAGACATCACTAAAACTCATGATATGAGCTGTTTCCTGCATGAAGCCATCCAGGTTCTTTATCCCTGCCTTTGGGACAATGGCTCATTGTTTTTTTTTTTCGTTTTTTTTTTTTTTAATGAGAAATTCACTTACAAAAAACCAACTGGCTCAAGTGAATGGGATCAAACCCAACTTGTTATAAGGTCATTAGTATCAAGAATTCAGATACAGAGTCTATTCTAACATAACTGTTTTTAAAAAATTTTTGAACTTCAAAAATTTCCAGTCACTAAATAAAATGCATTCAATTTAAGCCCAGATTGCTTCCCAAGCCAAACATTCTTTATTTAACACTTCAGTCCGCTTTCTGAGATTTCTTGGTACCTGCTCTTTAGCATCTTCTTTAACCTTAGCTCATTTCAAATTTTTCCATATGTGCTATCTGTGCTTAACATTTATGCATGTGATGTTCATATATACAGTGGAGTCCACACTGTGGGTTACCTGGCATCATAATATAGAGCTCGGCAAGCTATGTGTACATTATGTATTGCCAGTACAGTGATTTAATATGTAATATCATCATTATTAAATAACTATGATTTATCAAATAGATATTACATATTATCACATAATATATCAAATATATACAGATGCTATTATGATTAATAAGTTTACTAAAATGGAAGTCTTTTCTCACTGTGTATTGTCTGAATCAACAGACACTAAAAAGATGTGCAGTGTGTCAAATATTAGAAGTGGTTGGTTCTTATTCTCAAACAGACTGTGGGAAGCACTATGACAGATTTTCTTTCCACTGTTAAATGCAATGGAGGTTTTACTTGGCAACAGGGCCATTGATTCATCAGGTCCATGTATTTGAACACATTTACTCCAACTAATTTAATGATGTAAATTCTAGGCATTTACCTATCTTCATCCAGAAATTAGCTACCTGATCTAGGACTAAAACACAGCTTGAAATATAAAAGCTAGTGCGCACATGGGCTCTGGTGGCTAGGTTACACATTGGGTCCAAATAAAGCTGTGTGGACGGAAGGCTTGGAGTGGCACGAAGAACTTAGCAATGACTACTAAGCAGTCTGATATTCAGGCAGAACCTGCACTGTCTACTATGGGAGCCATTCACTACATGTGGCTATCAAGCACCCAAAATTTAACTCGTCTGACCGGCATGTTCTAAGTGTAAAATACACATTGGATTTCCAAGACTTTGGGCAAAAACATTTTAAATTACATGTGGCTTTGATTCTATTTCCACTGGGCAGCACTGTAGTGAGCCATATGAAACTGCTGATATTCAACATTTCTAACCTACTGAAATGGCAATTTTACAAGGTTCAACCTAATTAATATCACAATTAGTATTTGAATGTGGGGTGTCTTATATGTTTTAAAGGACTATATATGCCATAGTGCAAGAATTACTAAAATGGGACAGGTAAGATGCCATTTTACTCAGAAGCCGGCAATCTTTTGTAGTTTTGCTACTTCAGAGAACTCAACCCCTTCGTATTCTACATGCTAGGAAAACACAATTCCACTTCGCAAAGACAGGGTTGAAGACACATTAACTTGTCTGTAATGTATTCCCTGCCTGTCTTACATATGTCCAGGAAATAATACATTTTATTTTAATAAAACGGCATTATAGGTAGTTAAGCCAAAGATGCAAAACAGCCTCAATATACAGCAGGAATAAAAAGGATTGACAAAAGCATTAAAAACAACAATAGAAGTAAACCGAAGCAAGATTGCCATTAGTACTTAACAATGCTAGCTGTATGCATACTTCCCAATTATTCTCCCATAGTGAGGAGTGGCCTGATTATTCTCTATTAAAATAACGTTCAGCTGTTTGAATGCAGGTCAAATATACATGCCCATGTTGACAGTAAACATTCTTTTTAAAAACATGTGAATCTAGAAAAAACAGCACCCCATCCCCAAGCTGTCTTCAACCTAAACATGAGATAACTGTCCCTAATCGGCTGCAAAGATACAATGAATCCTTAAACATCATCTGACAAAAGCTGCTGAATAAAATGCACAACATTCGTACTTACACAAGACTATTCTTCATCAAAAGACCCTTGGAAGCTGTGACTACAGTTATTTCTAAATGACTACCACATCTTAGGATGGCTCTACAGAATTCCATTTTACAAATAATTGGAAAACTCAAAGTCTAGATATAAATGTCATTTATCTTCTTACCCTGCCAAACTTCTACTGAGATAAAAGAAGCAGGTTTCCCTACCTTCTCACCCACCCAAGGTTATTTTCAAGGCACATGATTCCCACATAAGGAACACTTACCAATCACTCACAATGGTAACACATGGAACAGCATCAATATGAAAGAAGAACAAGAACAGAGTTTTACACATACTTTTCTAGAGTGGCAAGCAGGGGGTCGGGCTCTGTACTGTTCTGAATTTGTAACATCTGGTCTCTGCTCAGGCGAACAATTTCACAAAGTGATTGTGATGCATTTGAATGTCGCTAAAGGAAAAAAGTACAATTTTAACCATAAAACATGTTAGAAGTTAAATTTATAATTTAAAAATGAAAGGGAAAGTTATTTAAGAAATAACAAATTAACACTGGCCATAAGCTTCAGTGCGCAAAAGGTCAAGGCCAAGAGAGATCACATCACAAGTATTGTATTTTGTCAGGTGAATGAGCTTTATAATAGTGCACAGTACATTACTGCTATGTGCAGGGAGATGTCGTCAAGGTTCTGATGAGGAAAAATTTCTAAAATAGTTGGGAAAAAATACAGATTGAGCATCCCAAATCGAAAATGCTCCAAAATTTAAAACATGACACTCAAAGGAAATACTCACTGGAACATTTCAGATTTCTAGGTCCAGGATGCCCAACCAGTATAATGCAAATACAGGTATTCCAAAATCTGAAAAAAACTGAAATCCAAAATACCTCTGGTTCCAAGCATTTCAGATAAGGGATACTCAACGTGTATCCCCAAAATACACTCTTATCAGCATAGAAGGATGCACATACTTTTTTTGAATTAAAAAAAAGTGAAAGTACAGCTGGGTGCAGTGGCTCACACCTGTAATCCCAGCACTTTGGGAGACTGAGGCAGGCAGATCACCTGAGGTCAGGAGTTCGAGCCCAGTGTGACCAACATGGAGAAACCCCATCTCTACTAAAAACACAAAATTAGCCAGGCGTGGTGGCGCATGCCTGTAATCCCAGCTACTCGGGAGGCTGAGGCAGGAGAATCGCTTGAACCTGGGAGGCAGAGGTGGCGGTGAGCCGAGATGGCACCATTGCACTCCAGCCTGGGCAACAAAAGCGAAACTCCGTCTCAAAAAAAAAAAAAAAAAGTAAAAGCAAATACAGTTTTCTGGAAAATGCCAATGGATAAGAAATATTAAGCCTTCTCTCAGTGTATTGACCTTACAGAAAAGCTCTAAAATCTCAGCACCCAAACACATTTTATTCTCTGGATTAAGAAACTGAGCATAACTCAAAGACTGAGCAATGTGCTCCCAATACAGGCAGAACACTCATATTCTAGAAGAGAGGAGAGCACAGATTAGGATATCCAAACCCACTGACTGGAATCAGGAGCCTAGCATTTCCTTGGTAACTATCAACTGGCCAGTATAATTTTAACATGGAATTCATCACTTAATACAAAACAGAAGTGTCAACAGGACTGTCCAAAAACCAAAATTAACTTTCTTCTAAGTCATGCAGAGAAGGTACTCATGTCCACAATGCAGTGTCCTTCTCAAAAAACTTGTTGCAGAATTGGACTTCTCCATTATCAATTTCTCCTGGGCCCTTCAGACAGCCCCTACTGAGCAATCCTCTTCCTAGCCCATTGAGCAATCAAGTTCCTCTGCTCAAGAACATGAACCTAGCAAGGAGTAAGCCTCATTCATGGAAACTCCTCCCTGTCAACGGGGCAGGCCACACTCCTGTCATGGCTCTCCACGGCCTGCACAGGCCACACTGTCATCACAGGGAAACCTGCTCCTAGAACCACACTCCCCTGCCCACAGGAGGAGGGCTTATCACCCCAGCTAGGTTGAGAGCACCTTCTAAGCAGGGGCTCCCACATTCCCAATCCATGTCTGCACTGGATGTGTCCACAATGTCAACTCTGCTAACAGTAACAACTACTGCAAAGGAGCATACCTTGCATTCTCCCAAAGAGGGATAATGGGGAAGTGACAGTCCCTTTAATAAAGTCCAGGTATGAAAAGTTTCTGAATGGATCAGAGTGAAAGGGTTTCGCTCTACTATCACAGAAAATGTATTTCTGTGAGAGAGAGGAGCCTCCATTGCATGTCTCTTCCTGCACAGCTCCTCTGCTGTGCTCGCTCTCCCATCTAACCTGCAACCTAGAGACACACAAGGAGATTCTCCCAGCTTCAGGACAAACTTTGAATTGCCCTTAAACCAACTCCTTTGTAGATATTAGGCTGAACCATAGAGAACTATCATGTCTGTAGGTAAAAATGGATGACTACTGCCAATTTTATACGGCTTGGCCAAGATACTTAAGGTGGTAACCTTATAGATCTCTTCTAGAGACACACACACCCACTGGTCCCAACAGGCATTCCCTCAGCACAGAGTTCAATCTGCAAACTCCAAATCTAGCTTCAATCCTGTAACCAAGTCAACCTTTAGCACCTAGGACTAAGGCCAAACCTGTCAGAGCTTAACAGCCACGGCTAGGAAGTATAACAAAGTTACTGTAGGGGCTCAATGGTGACCAACATCCCACTTCACTGCCTGCAAAGCTGTAAACAGACTGGATAAAACAAATGCAAATGTGGCCACATCAACTGCTACAGATGGGTATAAAAATAAAAAGGAGGCCGGGCACAGTGGCTCACGGCTGTAATCCCAGCACTTTGGGAGGCCGAGGCTGGTGGATCACAAGGTCAGGAGTTCAAGACCAGCCTGTCCAAGATGGTGAAACCCCGGTCTCTACTAACAATACAAAAATTAGCCAGGGTGGTGGCGGGCACCTGTAATCCCAGCTACTCGGGAAGCTGAGGCAGAGAACTGCTTGAACCTGGGAGGTGGAGGTTGCAGTGAGCTAAGATCGCGCCACTGCATTCCAGCCTAGGCGACAGAGGGAGACTCCGTCTCAAAGGGGAAAAAAAAAGTAAAAAGGAGCATAAACAAAGGAGGTTTGTACAAAAACCAGCTGGTTCAGCATGAAATACCGGCTCTAGAAAGGAGATGGTGCTATAACAAGGGCCTGCTGTTGTACACTTCTGGAAATTTTCTGAGTATTGGCAAAATGTAATATTGTTTAGAAAAGTATCAACTTTAAGAACACTAGATCGCTGCTATTCTCCCTGTATGCTCTGATCATGTTCACATTTAATATAAGTATGCTCTGTGCCCAATAAACAGTTTTTTGTTTTTTTTTTCTAATCAAGTTTACAGTCACACAAGTGAACTTACATCTTCTTCTTGCGATGGATGAACTATTTCCACAAGCCTCTGGATAATTTTCTCCTCATTTAACCACTGTAAAACACATTGTAGAAGTAATCATAGCAATGAGTGGCTCTTGTTCAAGCCCCAATGTAGATTAACATACTTGGAAATATCCATCACATTTTAAGTAGAATGTTACAGGTTTCTCTGGACTTTGAACACTACAGAAAATTAAAAGTCCCCCAAGGAAAATGCCAGTGAATATATTGTTTTAACAATGGCCAACAGTACCAACAACTCCCCAAATTACAATACCCACACACTAAAATTCTATATATCAGCTTCTTAGCCATGAGGTCACCTCCAGACATTTAGGACTAAAAGGGTTTGTAGGTTAGTTCTTAAGAAGAGAGGGCTGGGAGATTAAGAAGGATGGAATTTATACATTTTCTGTAAGAGCACGTTCATTCCAAGCTTCAGAAAGATTGAGAAGAGCAATATTTAGCACCAAGTCTCTGGGTTAAGAAAAACACAGGATGAACAAATGGGACTTTTAGATTACAAAACCAAACCCACTGCAGGAAACGTGGGGGCTGGAGGAAGCACAGAGGCAGAGTTTTTCCGCCCTGTCATGTGCTGGCAAAGAGCTATGGCCATCTCCTTTTAATCCATGTATGAAATGCTACAGTGAATGAAAACATAAAAGGAATCCGAATTCAGAAAAAATAAAGGAAAAATCATCTGGCTTAACATTAATGCCATAAGAAGCCCAAAACACCATCATCAACAAGGCAGCTCACTACCTAGAAAGGACACCACCCCTCCTCTGCTCATAAAAAGCCCGGAAAGCTAAAGGAGACTAGGGCGGGCAGCGGGGGCAGAAATCAAACACAATTTGCTTAAGGAACAGAGAAGAAACCCTGACACTCTCTGGCTGCTCAACGAAAACACCAAACAAAGGAAAATGTGAAGCTATTAGGTAGGCACCACAGAGGTAGAGGCCCAACTTCATATTTTAATATCTGTTTTAAAATGTGCACACAAATTCTCCGAGAATCTTGTTCAAATGTATATTCTGATTCAGTAGGCCAAGGAAGAGACCTGAGATTACAGATCTCTAACAAGCTCACAAGTGATGTCTAGGACCATTCTTTGAGTAATAATGTCCCGAAACAGAGGAGAGTAAACATCTATGTGAGGGGCGGGGCATTCCTGACCACTACAGGAGAAACCAGGAAACTTTCCAGGCGGCGAACTAATCAATCCCAGACTCCTGCTGTCTCCACAGCTATTCACAGGCACCTACATTCCAAGCCCACTTCTGTAGTCATCTCCGACTGTGGATCCACAAAATCAAAAGACATTTAGGGGTTTCTAACTAACCTTTCCCCAACCTACACCTTTATCAACCTCCTATCGCTCTCTCTCTCCAGAAACACACTGATTCCTTTGGAAACCAGACAGGTCCTAAACTTGAACCCAGAAGCAACCAAAGGAATAAACTGGTTCCAGTAAACCATCCTGAATAAATCTCTCCCTATGATAATTCCAATATAAAGGTGATAACCCCCTCCCTGTCCTCAGTCTTCCCCAGAATCCTCAACCTCTTTTGGGAAAAGATACATCTACAAAGACACACCCAAAAGGAAACAGGTGTCCCAATTTAAGGTCCCTGCCAACAGACAAGTCCCAGGACACCCACTAGATACACCCAGCTGTTTACTCACAGTGATCACAGTGCCTGGGTCACCAACAAATCCAGCCCTGACACCATCACATAAATGCACACCTGGCACACCTCCCTACCTCACTGGAACATGCCCTGCCCTGGGCACCACCTGAAAGACCTTCCTCCTCATAGGCCCTCCTAGTCCTTGAGGTCTTAAATAACAATTAGCATTCTCAACAAAACTCATTTCCAAAGAAATGAGTAAGTTCTAAGGTTGCAGGTTAGTATTAAAGACGGATAGACTGAAGCATGGTTCTGCAAAGCTTCTGAGAAAGGGAAGAAAGGGAGGGGGACCGGGAGCAGTGGCTCACGCCTGTAATCCCAGCACTTTGGGAGGCCCAGGCGGGCGGATCACCTGAGGTCAGGAGTTCGAGACCAGCCTGGCCAACATGGTGAAACCCTGTCTCTACTAAAAACACAAAAATTAGCCAGGTGTGGTGGCGGACACCTATAATCCCAGCTACTCAGGAGACTGAGACAAGAGAGTTGCTTGAACCTGGGAGGCAGAGGTTGCAGTGAGCCGAGATCACGCCACTGCACTCCAGCCTGGGCGACAGAGTGAGACTCCCAACTCAAAAAAGAAAGGAAGAGGGAAAGACACAAAAGACAAGAAGAGAAGGCAGAGATGGGAGCCTGGGAGAAACCTTATTTTCAAGTTACTCACACCCTCCCCTCTTCCCACCCAAATTCTACCTGAGACATCTATTCAAGAGGCACACATCCTAAAAATCACCATCTGTCTACATTTTAAAATATGTCCTTCTCAAAGTAAACTCTGTTCTCCTTATCCTTTGCTCCTCTGTACCCATGAGAAGAGAATTACTTCTGAAGCCTGAATCCCTGGATACATCAACACCTCTCCGTTTTGACCTTCAGAGGTGGCCCTGAAGAGCGTGGCCTCATAACATACTCAAATGGGACTTAGAGCTCCCAACCCTCTCATTTCTGCTTTTACCATCAGAACCAGCTTCAAGACAAATGCTCAACCCATAAAGTCTCACCACCCCCATAAAAAGCAAACCAGCAAAAGGAAAAAATACTCACAACAAAACATCCTACATACCTAGGGATGTGCCCATCTGAAATTCTAGTTCTGCAAAATCTGGATCTCTTCCTATCTTGGAACAACCTTTCTTCCCCACCCTGTTACCGGCTCCCCAGACAACCCTCTGCTACCAACCCTAATCCCATGCATTCCTTCCCAGCACACAGCAGCCTGGTGGGCTCACATGCCAGCACCCTAACCCCAGTCAACAGCAGGTCAGAATTCTACTCACATTCAGCACATCTTGCCTGGGCTGTGGAGGTTCGATACACGTCAGGAGCCTGAGCAACAAATCCATGATAGCAGAAGTTCCTATGTGCTTTATAATAAGGTCTACAAAATCATGCTTCTTCTTTAAGAAATCCACAATCTAGAGAAGAACAGATCAGAAACTGAAAGACATGTAACTTGGAAACTATAAACTTTACCTTTTAAGTCCCAACCCCGACTCCTCCAAATTCTACCACTACTTTAGGTTGAGAAATGGCAAATGCTGAATTAGCAACAAGGTATCAAATTGGAAAGCCTGGCTAATAGTTACAATACTCAAAATACCCCTTGGAAAAAAATCCCCTAAATTAGCACGTCCATTAATACAAATACAACTTAACAGAATCTTTTATTTCTATTCACTTTCATTATTCATTCTCAAAGAATGGTGATCAAAAATTTAATATGCCTATAAAGAGCAAGAGAATATACCATTTTACAGTTTATGAACATAAAGCATGTCTGTTAGATTTTGCACTAAAATAAGTAATATTCAAAATCCTAACTGGACTCTAACAAGCATGAGAAAAAAATTTCAAAACAAAGATTTCTACTCTAGTCAAAATAACTAACTCACCTGGCTACACAAACATCGCCTTTGATTTTGACTTCACCAATTTACTCCAATAGCTTAGCACAAGAAGGGCAGCTGGTGGAGAGGCAGAGAGCTACCCTGAAGGAACGTGAGAATGGCCACGGAAATCAGGCCCCTGCTGCTGGTCTCTTCTGCTCTGGGAGACCAGGGAGATGACTCTGTCCCATGCATCCCTGTGTCCCATACAGCCTTGTTGCCTCTGCCTCTGTCCATGCGCACGTGTCATCTATTCCCAAACCCTCTGCGAGTCCCAGGGGGAGTGTCGCAGCTGCTATATAACAGGATCTCACTGAAATTTCTCAAAAGCTCTGGGGCGTGGGGGGTTGGATAACTCACCCCCACCGCCACACCCCATTAGAGATGAGGAAACCAAGGCTCAGAAACTATCTTCCAGAGCTAAAAGGTGGCTGCCTGGGATTTAAAATTGGATATGTATGCCACAAAAGCCACAATCTTTCCATTATGCCACATGAAGTCTAATAGCCAGAAATGACAACTAAAACTGCTTCATACAATTAGGTATAAATACAGGATTAACCAACACACATTGCTTCTCTAGACAATGAGGTCAAGCATTATGATATAAAACTTCAAGAAATGATATGACACATAAATAATTCACTCACAATTGGATCCCACAAGTTTTTAAAAGGACAGTAGAGGAGAAAGGACGAAAAAAGTCACATGTGTCCCAAGTATTCCGTAATTCAGTGCCAGAAACACCAAACCTGGAGCCCAAAGGAATAAATCCCAGCTAGTGTGGTGGACAGTACAGCACTGTCAACAGGGACCTGTGGCACAGATGACCCCGCTGGGGTGCTGACTCATGCAGCACTGAAGATGCCCCACCATCCGACTTCCTGTTCCATGAGCTAACAAATGCCTTTATTGGTTAAGCCAGTTGAGTCTCAATTTTTGTCCTTACAGTTGCATACACCCCTACTAATACTATCACATAACAGAAAACCTTTATTTACACTCCTAATTGGCAAAGGATAAAGAAATGCCAAGTTTGATCTTAACTCACAGCCACTGAATCCTCTTGCTATCATTCATACAGTCCTGACAGGGAAGTGTAACAAGCAAAAGGCCGAAGGGCTCTTGTCTCAGAACATAACTGGCAAGGTTTTAAGTGTATTCTCTCTCTTTATGTGTACACTGAAAATCGGGGCTCGCCAACTTGGATTCCAACAGCACAGAAGTGAGGAGAAAAAGCACAATGAAGCATAATGTCTGGATAATGGCTACAACAACCATCCCTGAGAACTGCCTGGTAATATCAGGGTGATAGGATGGCTTCCACTCTCCTAAAACAGCCAGCAGTTCTTGTATTTCTAACTAGAAGGCAGAAAAAAAGAGACAATCTACATTAATCATGATTTGGGGATTATTACCAAAGTGAAAAGAATCTCATTTCCAATCAACTTAGAAAGCTTATCCTACTCCATTAAGTGAAAGAAAGAAATATCTCTTTCTAAAATAAAGCATGTATCCACTTTGCCTTGGCATAGGACAGGACACACTGGGCCCAAAATAGCTCCAGTCCTTCCACAAGTGCTGATAGCAACAATGGGTCACCCAGAGCCATTTTCTATCATGAAGGATGGCAGGACCAACTGGTTTGACCACTTTTGCCCCGTATCATCACACCTATACTTGCAATTCTGGCAAATCTGCTATAGTTTATACTTGAATATCTGAGGCTCTAGTTGTTCCCTGAGTGCCTATTTCCATAAAATGACTAAAATCTCCAGATAAGCAGATCCTTTTTCACAACAATATCCACTAAAGCGGTGGTTCTCAAATGTTAGCATGCATCAGAGTTAGCTGGAAGGCTTGCTAAAACCCAGACTGCTGGGCCCATCTCTCAGAGTTTCTGATTCAGCAGGTCTGGAATAGGACTCAAGAACTTACATTTCTAACAAATTCTCAGGTAATACTGAGGGGCTGCTGGTTCAGGGACCACACTTAGAGAACCAAGTGAAGTTTCTGTCAAACCACACTGGATAGGAACAGCACAGCTGCAAATGTACACAGCAGTCTATACACTCAGATGTCTCAAGCCTGACACTGGAGAAGTTTTGAGTAGAATCAAAACAGAATCACCATTAGTACAAACCAATCACCAATTACATTTGTGGGAAAGGTTTTTGGTTTAAGCTTCATCTCTGATCATCAATGGGGGAAAAACAAAACAAAGCAATTGTTTGGTGACATATTCAACTGCTTAGTTATTATACTTGCCATCTTAGTTAAGCCCTGTCTTCACAAATGGGTACCCAATATTCTCATCTTCTACCCACTTCTCAAAAGAGGAAACTAAAGTATGCTAACAAATTAAGTGAAATTTGAGATTATGCCATATTAGAAATATTCATTAACATACAAATAGTATGTGAGTGCTTAGAATGTTTAAGGTTTAAAATACATTCTCTTATACAACCTGAACTTAAGGCAAAGTTAGAACTCTTAAAGCAACAAGTACTGGGGGATCACCTCAAGGGGATGATCAGCCCTAATACTTACCTTTTGGAAAATCATATTTACCTGTTCTGGTTTTCTGCTGATAAGAATACTTAGCACCTTGCTGAAGAAACTGGCAAGTAGTGGATTCAAAGGGGAATCGTTTAGGAGGAAGCTATATAATTTCATTAGCAAGGATTCATCTTCTCCCAGTCTATCATTCATCTGGGAGACATCAGAAGTGAGCAACTCACAAGATATATTTGGATACCTAGAAGAACAGGATATTTACATCATCATCTTTATTAACAGTTTAATTACATAAAGATAAACACAAATCAGAAAGGCTTCCCAAGATTTTGTGAAAAAAATAAAATCGTTTACTGGAAATCAGGAAATCATTTCAATCCATTCTGTTCAACCTACCTCCAGACTAAAATAAATTTTCTACTATCTAAAAAATTGTTTTTAAACCAAGCTTTAACAAGAATACATTTTCCCTGAAGAAACTAGAGCGCACCTAGTACTCAGAAGCCCAGAGAGGTCATGCTGCAGGGCCCGGGCCTTCTCCACGATCAGCGAGGAAAGCGGCTGGACGTACGAGCCATCAGGCTACAGCCTCCTCTGGCATGGGAAGCAGCAAAGCTTGCGGACAACTGTGGAGGACACTGGTTTCCAGGAAACTGCACTGCATGCAGCACCTTGTAATGACTTAAGGCACTCTGTAGGGACCTGGACCAGCCTTTATCTTTAGATGGGTTGTAAATGGTACTAAGTCTATATTACATCTTAAGAGAGTAAGCATCCTACTATAATGAAGGGGGGAACAGGACATCAGCCTGGGCTACCAAGGCAGGAAGCAGTATACAAAAAAAATGTTGTCCTAGCTATTTAGGAGGCTGAGATTAGAGGATCACTTGAGCCCACAAGTTTGAGGCTACAAAGAGCTATGACTGTTGCACTCCAGCCTGGGCAAGAGTGAGACCTTGTGTCAAAACCAAAACAAAACAAAACTAGTGCTCTCCACATCAGCCTTCCAGTATCTGGATATCAGCACAGACACAAAGTCAGCCCACCATGAGTCTTCACCATGCTGTCTCTCCTGTAGAAGGCCCACGGCTAAGAACATGACACCTGCTCTATATGGACCCACACAGGCTCTTCTACAGACCCCATGGCTTTAGAAATGCTTGCCTCTGACAACCAGACCACTGACCCTCTGCAAACAGGCAGCAGGTCCATTTCCTCCACTTACTCCTACTATGACAATCTCGTGTCTGTTTTCACTAGCAACAACAGAGACGTTGAGCCTATCCAGACGATACTCTAGCTGACCCAGAATTACTCTGCTCTTACACTCCTCCCTGCTGGACAGCCAGGACCCAGCGCCCCAACAAGTCATCAGGAGTGGCAAGCTCAAAAGCTGAGCAAGACAGAGAGATGGCAAAATAGCCAAACGTGGCTGCATGACAAAAGAAACCAGGGAAGACTGGGGCAGGAGGGACACGTATACGACACACCTGGGGCATCCAAGGCAAGCAAGTGCTGCCTGCAGCAAGACCCTGGCACAAAAAGACCACTGGTGACGAACCAGAAAGCCACGGCACTTGACAGGCTCTGGTGTGAGGCCTAAAGACAGAAGAGTATGAGAAGGTCCCAAAATGAGTCTTTGTATAAAGAAAACAGAAAAGGAAAAAAAAAAAAACAGACCTGGCAGATGTATGGGTCTTTGGGAAGTAAAGTCTCCTCCCTCAATTTACGTAGCATGGGCTTCAAGATGCCAGAATATAAACCCCTGTAAAGTACCCATTATCCCAGGAGTGGGCTGATGCAGCGGTTACAGGTGCAGCTACTAGAGTCACACTAGCTAAGTTCAAAACCGGCCTCTACCACTTACATGCTGTATAACCTTGGACAAGTTACTTAACCTCTCTGGGCCTCAGTTTCCAAGTTAGTAAGATTAAGACAATAGTCCTTATCTTATGGAGGAGGGGAGTAAAAAAGGCTGGGAAGAGGGCCTGGCATAAAGTAAATAAGTGTTTAATAAATGACAGCTGTTTTCATTCCTCTTTATTTTCACTATAAAATGGCAGAATGCTGCTAGAGTGGGTTGGGGAGATGCACTCACTCAACTGTCTTAATGTGGAAACTGCTGACAAACAGAAGATCAGTAAAAGGCAAGCGGACTCCTGGCTGTGAATCAAATGCATGAGTGTTTTCTCCAAACTCTGACAGAGAAAGTCCAGATGAGCAACTTTAAAATTTGTTCACTTTTTCTAGGTGACTGGGTGGTATGACCTAACTCAAGAAGCATGCATAATGTTAGCCATTACACAAAAAGCTCAGAGTTCTGGTTCCAGACAGGCTGGGGCTACTCTCCTTCCCTCCCTCCTTAACATTCAAGAAGCTTCTCAAGGCCGAGCGCGGTGGCGCACACCAATAGTCCCAGCACTTTGGGAGGCCAAGATGGATGGATCACCAGAGGTCAGGAGTTCATGACCAGCCTGGCCAATGTGGCAAAACCCCATCTCTACTAAAAACACAAAAATTAGCCAGGTGTGGTGGCACACACCTGTAGTCTCAGCTATTCAGGAGGCTGAGGCACAGGAATCACTTGAACCTGGGAGGCAGAGGTTGCAGCCAGCTGTGACTGCGCCACTGCACTCCAGCCTGGATGACAGAGCAAGACTCTGTCTTAAAAAAAAAAAAAAAAAAAAAACAGCAGCTTCTCAAGCACCCAAAGATGCCTCCACTCCACCCTCGGCAAGACCCCTCCTCCTCCATAGGCTCTGACCTCGCTTCCTTTGCCTGAGAACACAGAGAAGGCAATCAGAAGGGAACCCAGCCCTATCACATCCCCACCTACAGCTGGGCACTTCCTCCTCGCTCCAGGGGAGTGGCCCTTGCTCCTGAGGTCATCTCCTGCATGTATGCTCTGGACCACATGCCCCCACCCCCGCCCACTCCAGCACAATGCATCACTCGGCGGCCTGCTCCCTCACACTGGCTGTGTTTCCTCTGTGCTGCAACGTTCTCACAGGTCATCACTTCCATTTAGGAAAAAACAAAACCCCACACCACCCCTGACTCCAAATCTGCCTCGACCTACCACTTCCTCTCTGCTCCTGTTACAAGAAATCACTTCAAAGAGTTGTCTCTGCTTGCCTCCAGGCTTTCACCTGGGCCCCTCCAAAGAACCTGTACTGATGGGGCCCATGATCTCCATGTTACAAACTGAGTGGTTTCTTATGAGCAGTACCGCTAACCCACTGTCCCCCCTCCTTCCTGAAGCCAGACTTCCCTTGGTTTCCAGGGTAGCAGCCCCCAGGTTCTCCTCTTGCATCCAATCACTCCTCCATCCCTCAGTGGAACCCAGGCCAGCCCACACTACCCATCTCCAGTTTCAGAAGCTTTCTTCTAGCTCCATCAGCTCTGCAGGCGATCTCATTCAGCCTTGTGGCTTTACATGTCCTCTGTCCACCTACCACTAGGCCTCATCTCCACCTCATGTCTAACAGGCATTTCAAATGTGACAGGGCCAGACCCAAACTCCTGCCCTTTCCCTCTGCAATCTTATTTCACTGCCATAAAGCCACTCCATCCTCTTAACTGCCCAGGCCAAAATCCTCATAGTCACTCTTGACACTTTATCTCCCATTCCATACCTAGAGGAAACCCCTTCAGTTCTAACTTCATCTAGTGCCTCTGGAAATCTGACCGCTTCTCAACAATCAGGTCCACTAAGATCTTGTTTTTCTCTGCTGATCACTGCAGCCAACTGTACTTCCACTTCTGTCCTCCTACAGTCCCTAACCACAGAGCAGGCAGAGCACTCCTAAGGAACAAAGTCAGACTATGGCACAGGTTGCAGGAAGTCAGGGACCCCAAACAGAGGGACCAGCTGAAGCCATGGCAGAAGAACGTAGATTGTGAAGATTTCATAGACATTTATTAGTTCCCCAAATTAATACTTTTGTGATTTCTTATGTCTGTCTTTACTGCAATCTCTAAATATAAATTGTAAAGATTTCATGGACACTTATCACCTCCCCAAATCAATACCCTTGTGCTTTCCTATGCCTGTCTTTACTTTAATCTCTTAATCCTGTCAGTTGAGGAGGATGTATGTCACTTCAGGACCATGTGATAATTGCCTTAACTGCACAAATTGTACAGCATGTGTGTTTGAGCAATATGAAATCTGAGCATCTTAAAAAAAGAACAGGATAGCAGCGATGTTCAGGGAACAAGACAGATAACCTTAAACTCTGACCGCAGGTGAGCCAGGCGGAACAGAGCCATATTTCTCTTCTTTCAAAAGCAAATGGGAGAAATATCGCTCAATTCTTTTTCTCAGCATGGAACATCCCTGAGAAAGAGAATGCGCACCTGGGGGTAGGTCTCTAAACTGGCCCCCCTGGGTGTGGTCATCTCTTATGGTCAGTGCAGAGGTGAGACAGACTCCAGTCTCCCATAATGCTCCCAGGCTTATTAGGAAGAGGAACTTCCCGCCTAACAAATTTTGGTCAGACGGGTTGATCTCAAAACCCTGTCTCCTGATAAGATGTTATCAATGACAATGGTGCCCAAAACTTCATTAGCAATTTTAATTTTGCCCCGGTCCTGTGATCTCGCCCTGCCTCCACTTGCCTTGTGATATTCTATTACCCTGTTAAGTACTTGATGTCTGTCACCCACACCTATTTGCACACTCCCTCCCCTTTTGAAAACTTCTAATAAAAACTTGCTGGTTTTTGTGGCTTGTGGGGCATCACGGAACCTACTGACATGTGATGTCTCCCCCGGACGCCCAGCTTTTAAAATCTCTCTTCTGAACTCTGTCCCTTTATTTCTCAAGCCGACTGACGCTTAGGGAAAACAGAAAAGAACCTATGTGAATATCGGGGCAGATTCCCCAACATGCACACATTTGCTCAAAACCCTCTGGTGGCTTCCCATCTCATCCCAAGTATAGCAAGCATCCTGGCTGAGCCTACCAGGCCTTGCATGGCCTGTCTCCAGAGGTGCTCCACCTTCACTCCAACCCTCCCTCCTTCCATTTTCCCTCATTCACAATGCTGCCCCTTCTCTGGCTGCCCAGATGTTCTTGGGGCACACCAAGCACATGAGCACATTAGTGCTTCCACACTTGCTGTTCCCCCTGCCTGGATGTTCCTGGTTGTAAGTGCCCACCTGGCAACCCCCTTAATTCCTGCATGGCTCTGACCAGATGGCACCATCTTAATTAGGCCTTTCCTGAGCTCCTCTGCCCACCCCACCACCTTCAGCAGTCCCTGTCTCGTCATGCTTCATTTTTCTCCAGAGGTCTTATCTGAAAAATTATTGGGGGACTTTTTAGTCTGGTTTACCCCAATACAGCAATTACTCCATCATCCCAAAACTACACAATCCCAGTCTAAACTTCCTTAAATGACTGTAGTCAACCATAACCCTAAAGCACTTTCAGATCCCAGCTGAAAAACCCCTCTATGCTAATCTAGCTGTGGCATCATCCAAGATATGTTACACACAGGTGGTGACTCTGCTCAGGGCAGAAGCATGGCAGAGTACTGCCCTATCCAACTCAAGTGGTGCTCCTTCAAAATGGTACCATGCAGAAGGCTGTGTCCAGAGGAGGTGCATTTGCTCTTGCAACCTCAAAGGCAAAAACACTGACGAAGCAATATAATACAAGTGCCACACTGTTATAACGGCGGGGGGTGCGCAGTACTTTTGTGGAAAGTAAGCCCTTCATAGAAGGCATGCCTACTCTTCAATGATTAAAACATTACTAGCCTCATTCAGCATATGAGGAAACAGACCCAAGAAGGGTAAGCTCCCTGCCCAAGCTCTCAGAGATTGGAAGAGAAGAGGGTCATACTCTTCTGAGGAGGCTGATCCAAAATCTGTGCTCTCTGATGCATACCACACTCCTCCATCAGGGATAAGCCCCAATTCAAGTAGCACCACCCACATGCTAGTTCACTGTGAAGGGAATTCCAAGTAGCAAAGTGTCTATCATTTGGGGGATGACAGCACACTAGTAGGTCTGTCACGGCCTCCCGGGCTCAAGTGATTCTCCTGCCTCAGCCTCCCGAGTAGCTGGGATTACAGGTGCCTGCCACCAGGCACAGCTAATTTTTGTATTTTTAGTAGACTCGGGGTTTCACCATGTTGGCCAGGTTGGTCTCGAACTACTGACCTCAGGTGATCCACCTGCCTCAGCTTCCCACAGTGCTGGGATTACAGGCATGAGCCACCGCGCCCAGCCTTTCCTCCTCTTTTATTAAGACACTAATCTCTGAGTGAAGGCTTTCACTAAATGCAAAGTGTCAATGTTAATGGTTGGCAGAGAACATGACATCTCTGAAGACCTAAGCCACTAGCAACTTGAAAGCATTAACAAGTATTATTTCCCTAACAGCACATTTCTCCCCAAGACGAAAGGAAAAGATGTCTGAAAAGAAAGGTAAACTGAGGGACAAATGGCAAGAGAGACACTACTAAAAGCCTAATTCTTCCTGTTCCATTAAGTTTATGTAATGCATCAATTTTTGTTTCTGAAGTTGCTCTATTTTCTGGGGGGAAAAGAGCCAAATATTTCAATAGAGTTGGATATGGAGAAATAATTAACTGAAACCCCAATACTTTACATACCTATGGAGAGTTTCCAGGGGTTTGTAGAAAAAGTGTTACAGTGATGGTAATAAAGGATTCTTACTGTACTGTCGTTCTCTTTGTAAGCAGATTAAACTAGCAGACAAAATCCACTGTAGTTACCCATGGTACCCATTCCTTTACTTTCAGTGAATGAAAGGTCAGAATGTATTGTATAAGCAATGCTCTTCACAACCCCAAGCTCTGACTTAGATCTGCTGTGCGATTCTGCATAGTCACATCATGTCCATCTTCCTATTTGCAAAGTAAATATTTTAATCATCTTACTATTTTGAGATATTTATCATCATTGTTTACAAAGCACGCTGCCTTTCCAGAAAACCTTTGAATGAAATTCAGAACGCTCATTTTTAAACTCTTGTGATTCCCTGGACTTACTGCTAGAATGGATTTTGCGCTCCACCGAGCCTGTCATTCTTGACTATCTTACCCTTCTGTAAATGGCAACAGTCACACTGGAGAATCCTTGAACAAGAGCTGTATATTCTACCCCCACTTCACTTTAGTCCCACTCTACAGAGAAGATTGAATTGTCTTACTTGTATCTGATCTTTTCATCCATGTCTTGAGGTGGTTCTTCTATAATGAATGAGACTAAATCTTCGAGACATTCTGCTTTTAACAGAAACTCTATAAGTTTGCGGTTCTGAGCTTTACATTCCTGTAAAACATCTTCCTCATCCATTAACTCCTTCAGTGTTACATCTTCTCTTTCTAGAAGTGTGTCTATGTGGGATGATGAGTGAAGATCAAATTTCCAAAACATGCTGGTCTAAACAAAATGCAGAAAGTATTTCATAAAATTTCAACTTTACAAATTAATTTTCCATAATTCATATTTCAGTTCAGTTTTACAATCTAAAATGCCAACTTGGCTCACATAAGTTAAATAAGCTTCACACTGAACCTATAAAATACTTTTTAATGCGTTACTGGCAGGATTTTTTCCTTCTCAGAAAAGAAAATATTTTAATAGATAAAAAATTTTGACTTGAAAATGCTCAAAGCTAAAACTTGGGATGATTTTAACCTGCAAAAGTAATTCATCCATACTATTAAGAAGTGATGCTGGGAAAGGAGAAAAGTCACCCTTTTCTTAAGGGTGAAAAACAGAATATCTTCAGCAACAAGTGATAAGCAGTGAGGCCTAAATATCTAGAAGGCTTCAGAAGACTAAAGAACTAAATGATCACTGCAAACCAGTACTTTCATAGTCAAAAGCCTGAAGCAATAAACTGGTAAAATCTGTGCCATTCTTAATATACTACTAAAAACTGAAAACTAATTCTTGAGGAGTTAGAGAAACTGATTCTCCTCTGTTTACTAGGAAAACATGACAATGAAACCTAATCACTACGCCACATACATATTCATTCCTCAGCTTCATGCCCATCCTTCCTCAACAAGGAAAACAGAGTTTGTTACTTCAAATTATAGAGCTAAAAAAAGTACTTATTTGTTACAAATGGAAATATAAAACAGAGGGTTCACTACATGATCTACAGGCTGCCATTCATGATGGGATGATCTCAAATGCCACTTTTGAGACACATGACAGGATGATAGCATCACAGGAAAAGACCTCAGTAGAGACCATTCAAAGACCTTTCCTATCTGTCTAAATGCTCACTGCAGAATTCCTAAACCAGAGTTTGTTAATACATACTGACTCTCTGTAACCCCCAAACGAAAACCTACATATAAGCTGGAGCTTCACTACCCACTTAGTGAGGTGTACCATTATCATTATCTCCAAAAAAGCATGAATATCCACATGCTATTTAAAAGAGCCTAGGTAAAAGGAAGGAGGCTGCAAAGGATGGTAATCCATGTATAGCACACATTTTTAGAAGTATGTATTTGGGCCGGGCACACAGTGGCTCACACCTGTAATCCTGGCACTTTGGCAGGCACAAGGCGGGAGCATCACTTGAGGTCAGGAGTTCAAGAACGGCCTACACAACATAGTGAGACCTCATCTCTATAAGACAAAAAAAAATTCAAAAAATTAGCCAGGCATTGTGGCACACTCCTGTAGTACCAGCTACTAAGGAGGCTGAGGCTGTTGTAAGCCATGATTGTTCTCCTACACTCCAGCAGGGCAACAGGGTGAGGACCCTGTTTCCACAAAAAAACAAAAAACAAAGAAAAAAACAAAACAAAAAAAACCCACCCACTTTAGGAGATCAGACAGGAATACATCCTGATTTTATGCTTTTATGAACATCTGCCTCAAAAAAAAAATGTTTTTTAAATAGAGATCATAGAGAGCAAAATCATTTACACTGCTAGTATAAACACTGATCAATCCAGGAATAACAGAAGGAAAACAAACTCTGTACCATGGTTACTCAAGGCTCTGTAAAAAGTAGATCCACTTCACAGGATAGGCAATGAGATCACTGAACATTTTATATGAGCATATAATTTAAAATATAGGCAGAGTTTTTTGTTTGTTTTTTGCGAGACAGAGTCTTGCTCTGTCACCCAGGCTGGAGTGCAGTGGCATGATCTCAGCTCACTGCAACCTCTGCCTCCCAGGTTCAAGTAATCCCTACCTCAGCCTCCCAAGTAGCTAGGATTACACCATGCCATCACACCCGGCTGATTTTTTTTTTTTTTTTTTTTTTTAGTAGAGACGGGGTTTCACAATGTTGGCCAAGCTGGTCTAAACTCCTAACCTCAAGTGATCCACCTGCCTCAGCCTCCCCAAGTGCTGGCATTACAGGCATGAGTTACCGTGCCCGGCCAAGCAGAGTTTTAAAGAAGCTTCCAAAAGCTCCTTAAGGAGCAAGTTTTAAATAGGAATATTATAAAATGTGAAGGGTGTTATAAAAGTCTTCCTTGTTTCTAAAAAAAACTTTAAATGCTTTAAAGGACACATGGCGACAAGCTCACATCAATTAGCAGCAACAGGACCAAGACATATTTAAGGATGGCAGCCACTGTGATGATCCACCTGGACACAACATCTTACAAGAGGAGTCGATGTGGAGGACTGATGTTCAGCACAAAGCTCTGTGGGATGACACAAAGCGGGGGCCCACAGTCGCAGGCAGGGCTGTCTTGTTCCTCTATTCGATTAGTCTAATAATTATGTCCAGATGACATCACAGACCATGCTAGAGAAGCACAACTCCTCGCACTGACAGCAGCCACTATGCTGCTAGGCTAACAGGACTTCTCTGCTCCAGACGAGGGGTGGGTAGGGGCATCCGCAGAAGCCACCCAGTGGGCAATGTAACACATTTGCCGTGAAGGAAACAAGAGCAAGCTAATTCTAATACAAATATTAAAGAAATAAGGGCAAAGATGAAATACAAGTAACAGGAAAATAACTTTGGGGAAAAGGTCAGTGGATATAAATCTTAGAAATAAATGCTTTTTGTGATTTTCAGATGAGTGGGAAATGGCAAACAAAGTAACTTTATTATGCCATTTGATACTAATACAACTAACAAGTAGAAAAAAAGACAAAAGTATACCAAAAGATAACTTCAATGGAAGAGGGAAAAAGTTGGGTTTCCATTCATTCCCCAGAGGAAGAGAAGTGGTTCGCTGTCTGAGGGCACAGAATAACAATGCCAGTGCCACCCACCATGCTTCTGGTGGAATAATACAGCTCATGCACCTCTACGTTCTTAAAAATCACAAAACCTTTTTTTAAAATATATTTTTACTACTCTTCCCCACACTTAGTATTAAAGGCAAAGTATGAAAAATACTAAGAAATAAATCAGAAAAAAAGTGAATCTGGCATCAAGCACTTATTTTTAGCTAATAATAAACAGGGTATACGTTCACCAATCAGGTGAGAAGCTATGCCTAAAACCTAGATAAAATGACACTTCTGAATTATGAATCAAGATACAACTTTTTTGCCTCAAGTAAAAACTGACTTCCCAAATCTCAACCTTATTATAAAGGAAACTCATTAAACACTGGATTTCTAAAGAAGAGTGGTAATTAGTTGTGATGAAATAAGAAGGTGTTGGCAAACCAAATCCAGCTCACAGCCTGCCAGTTATGAATGATTTTGACATTTTTTAAGGGTTGTTTTAAGAAAAAAAAGGAATATATGACAGAGGCCATCTGCGGCCCACAAAGCCTAAAATATTTACTACTTGGTCTTTTGCAGAAAAGTGTAGTGTCCTTTGTTCCACAGGAAATAAAAGTCCCATTAACACCCACTTTGCTTTCTGCAGTCTCCTGAATCCACCCAACGTCTACCCCACAGCCCTTGCGCCCTGCCCAGTGAGGTGCTGACAGTCACCCGTCTCTACTCTCCCCTTCCTGGGGCACTCACCGTGTAGGTGTGGCCACATGACAGAGTTTCCTCCATTGTGCCAGGAACCATCAAACCTCCCATGGTCCTTCACCTGTATCTAGCTAAATGCTGAGGACCAAAAGAACCTGAGGGATGGCAGAACCAAAACATGGAACGTGCCGTGGTCCCCAAATCACTATATGGAAGAAAGCCACCTACTGCTGTAAGTTCCTGCCCATGCTGTTCCAGTGAGCCAGAAGCAACATTCCTGTAGCAGAGCCCGTGTGCTCCAGCAGCGTGGCCTAACTGATGAATGAGGTCCTCCAATTCCCCAGCCATCACTTTGTGGGTTTACTACGCTGATTTTAAACTTGAGATTTAAACACAAGAAAAGGAATTCTTTAGCAATTATCTGTTGTAAAGTGATTAATTCCTTTTTTTTTTTTTTTTTTTTTTTTTGAGACAAGGTCTTGCTCTGTCACCCAGGCTGGTGTGCAGTGGCATGACCCTGGCTCACTACAACCTCTGCCTCCAGGACTCAGGTGATCCTCCCACCTCAGCCTCCAGAGTAGCTGAGACTACAGACCCGTGCCACCACACCTGGCTAATTTTTTTGTACTTCTGTAGAGACAGGTTCTCACTATGTTGCTCAGGATGGTCTCAAACTCAAGCAATCGACCACCTCTGCCTCTCAAAGTGCTGGGATTACAGGTTTGAGCCACCACACTCAGCCAGCTAATTCCTTTTGCTCCCCACTATTCGGAGTTAGAATAGCATTTTTCAAATAAGAACACCTTGAAATACATTTTAATGGTGAGTTTTCTTTGTATTGGACATACTACAAACTCAAAACCAAAATATATCCACAGCTAATTCCTTACACAAAAATTATGTATTTTACCTTTTAGCCAAACAGCAAGCTGACTGGAAACAAATGGCACTGGTAAATTAGTCACCCCTGCTGGGCCTTCGCTTCTATGTGTACTCTTTCAAGTAGAAAGAAACCAGGTATGAAATAACAGTTACAAAGTTCAACTGGCCAGAGCCCTGAGGTAAAATGGAGTCCTTTAAAAAATATAACTACTCTAAACTACACAGAAAAACCAAAAAGTCAGAACTTCAACAACTTGTTTTTAGTAAACATAACTATCCTTTAAAATTCACAACCCAGACTACACAGTCACACAACAAATAATGACAGGGATACAGACTGAGAAATCCTTCGTCAGGTGACTTCGTCGTTGTGCAAACATCATAGAGTGACTTACACAAACCTATACAGTCTAGCCTACTACACACCTAGGCTATCTGGTATAGCCTATTGCTGCTAGGCTACAAACCTGCACAGCATGTTACTGTGTACTGAAATACAGACGCAGTAGTGACAATGCTAAGTACTTGTGTATCTGAACAGACACTACCATGTTAAGATGTTGTTTAGCTGAAGTAGCAAAATCACCTTAAAGAATCCCCCCAAACTAATCATTCATATCAGTCATTAGGTAACAGGAATTTTCATTCGTATCAGTCATTAGGTGACGGGAATTTTTCAGCCCCATTATAATCTTATGGGAGCACTGTAATATATGCAGCATATGACTGTTCTTAAAATTAGGGATAATTTCTTCCAACAAACCAGTCAGTGGAGCAAAGGGTTTAGTAAAGCCAAACTACCCTCTAATCTTTCTTCAAAATCCTAGAGTTTTTTGTAAGTTGGATTAAGTAGTTTGAAAATGGAGTTTCCTCCAAAAGGGCTAAGATTAAGAAAGCAGGTCACTGGGGAGTCATTTGTTACTTGATGTCACAGATGACAATGTCTGCTGTTCCCCACCTTCCTGTAACGTAAGACAAGTGAAAACTGCCATCTTATATACACAAAATAGGATCAAAGGATCCATTTGTTGAGTAAATCTATTCATCGAAGATCAACTGCTTTACTTAATGACCCTCTAAAATTATTTTAAAACCTTCATGATATCAAAGCCTTTCAAAATCTGAGGCCAAGTACCTTGAATTCAAGGCATTCAAGCAGTGACACTCTCTGGAAAAAGGTGCCACCCTGTCTCTGACACAGGAACTAGGAACTGGTAAAGTGGCTAAATTATTTATAAGAGGTAGAACAAGAACATCAGTCTATCTGTAAAATTTGCCAAGGCACTGCTAGTCGAATGCTAGCATATTCAATAGGGGTCCAACTATAATTTATGTGAACCACCTACAACCCTTTGTTTTCATCAAATATACAAATCCTCTCAACCTCTTCTAGGACTACTAAGAATCTTACAGACCTGGATTCTAACACCAGCTCCACTATTGGCTAGCCCTGAGGCCTCAGGAAAGCTACTTCATCTCTAAGCCTCAGGATCCTTAGCAAAACAGGTTGTAGAGAGTCAATAAGAAAGATCCGCAATAGCAGCTAGAACATACAGGCACCAACATACACACACTCAGGCAAACAGAAGCTGCTAAGGCAATGAATATATCCAACAATGAAATCAGTGAGCTTTAAAGCTTCCCAAACTTTCAAAGGCACAGGAATGAATAGTCTAGGGCCTTGTCAAAATGCAGTCTTGGCTGGGCATGGTGGCTCACGTCTGTAATCCCAGCATTTTGGAAGGCCAAAATGGGCAGATCGCTTGAGCCCAGGAGTTTGAGACCAGCCTGGGCAACAGGTGGCACACACCTGTAGTCCCAGCTACTCGGGAGGCTGAGGTGGGAGAATCACCTGAGCCTGGGAGGTTGAGGCTGTAGTGAGCTATGATCATACCACTGCAAACCGGCCTGAACAAGAGTGAGACCCTGTCCTAAAATTTAAATAAATAAATAAATAAATAAATAAATAAATAAATAAATAAAACACAGTCTCAGATTCTGACTCAATAAACAGGGCTCAGGCCTGAGATTCTGCATCTCTAGTTCCCAGATGCTGCTGATGCCTGATTTTAAACCACTGCTGACAGCTTGTAATTCATAAATGGAGGATCATTTTAATCTACATCTTCACAAATTTAAATACATATATTCAAAATAACTATACAGCCATGAAAAACATAGGAAAAGCATACTAGTGCAAACAGTACTGTGTTATTTCAGAAACTACCTCTGAAAAAGTTGATATCAGTGGGTTTTCATTCAACAAGACAGAGGCAGAACATACCATACCATAAACATGACAAAAGATAAACTATTAGAACCCTGAAGAAAGAAACTACTGGTGATCCTACCCACAAACAAGCAGTCAACTGTGGGGATGACAAGATCGTCAATGAATTTCAAATTCAAAATCTCCTATTCATATGAACTCACTATGCTTAAATTTGGCAACTTTATATCTAAGTACAATAAACTGTATACTATCAACTGCGAAATAACTGTACCCAGGACTAGCTGGGCCCAGAGCAAAATGTTCAGAGATTTCAAAGAAGATTCAAAGATTATGATGGCTTTCAAGACAGAACCCAAACAGGAGAGCATTAATCCAAGTGTTTCTGAGCATGCGAGACTGCACAGGTCACACACCCATCAAACCAGCTCTGTCTATACCTTTTAATAACTGGCCCCATTGGAATCCTCAAGATAGCAACACCGAAGTGAATATCTGATATCATATGCCAGACTGGCAATAAACACACATAAGATATTTCTAGTAGAAGTTGCCGCTACCTAAACATACGGAGCACAAACAGAACAAAATAGGAGAAGCAGCTGCTTCCACCCAAGAAAACACACAAGAAAGACTTAAGACAACAAAATGTGTTATTGACTTTTAATACTATATATTTAACAGAACACTACAAAGAAAATATTTGACACACAAATTTCACACAATCTTATACAAAGACATGCAAGCACACGCTGCCCAAGTTCTAATTCCTATACACCCCAAGTCTCCCTTCAGCACTCCCTTCTCTCACCACTATTAAAACTACTAGAACTACACAAGCTCTATCTGTCATCCAAGTCAGACCCGTCTAACAGAAATAAGAAATAAACTTTTGAGCCACACATTAAATGTTCTAGTAGCCACATCAAAAAAGTAAAAAACAACTAATGACATTAAATTTAAAAGTATCTAACAGAATATATCCAACAGGGCTATATTATTTCTTTTGGTACTAAGTCTTCCAAATCTGATGTGTATTTTATGCTCACAGTACCTCTCAATTTCAACCAGCTACATTTCAGATGTTCAAGAGTTACACATGGCCAGTGGTTGCTGTACTAGACAGCCCCACTCTAATGACATTATGATTCAGTCTCTCTCCGCACTGAAATGGCCCCCATCTCCTTCCACAGCTACAATCACTAACGATGTTTTCCACACAAGGGCCAATGTGGGGTAGGTAAGAAGAGGTTATAGGCCATGTTTTTCCTCTTTTTTAAAATAGAAATATACAGGAGATATCATGTATATTCTTGAAATGTAACAACTTGGGCAGATATTCTTCAACTCAAAAAAGTAGATCACAAGAAAACGAGAACTGTTTTGTAGCCTCTAATACCTAGAAACATTTATAGCAATAACAAGAAAGTTTTCAAATCCTTCATCTTGAAATAATGCAAAGAGCTAGATCTTGCATCAAGAGGCACAGGTGGGTCATCACTGGTTTAGACTTAAGGAGCCAAATTTAAAAACAGATGCATGCCGGCTGGGCGCGGTGGCTCACACCTGTAATCCCAGCACTTTGGGCAGCTGAGGTGGGTGGATCATGAGGTCAGGAGTTCAAGACCAGCCTGGCCAAGATGGTGAAACTCCATCTCTACTAAAAATACAAAAATTAGCCGGGCACAATGGCAGTCGCCTGTAATCCCAGCTACTTGGGAGGTTGAGGCAGGAGAATCACTTGAACCCGGTTGGCAGAGGTTGCAGTGAGCCGAGATTGTGCCACTGCACTCCAGCCTGGGAGACAGAGTGAGACTCCATCTGGAAAAACACACACACACACACCCAAAAACAGGTACATATCTCTGAGAATTGATTTCATTTTATAAGCTAATTCAAAATATATTTTCAGAAGAAGGAACAATGCCTAGGCCACTCGAAAATGTTGGGAAACAAAGATACTTGATTAATGTGGACAAAAAACTAGAATTCTCACTCAACCTCTAGAAAACAGACCTCACAGCATCCCTTGATTATTCCATAAGCGGCAGACGTGTTTACACCGAACCTCTGGCCGAGTTTATAAGCAGGCTGGGGAACAGGATGTACTCAACCACCAAGCTGAGGCAAGGCTGTTCATACTGGCTCATCTACTGATGCAGTGTCCAGACACCTGGAGGCTGAGGACTTCCTTCTAGGCTTGGATTCACCCATGCAGGAAGCTTAGTTGAACAGTGCCTGACAAGACCCAAATGTGAAACTATGGGCTCCAGGAGGGTCTGGTGACTGCTTCCAGGCATGCTGAAAGCTGCATGCCACTAAGAAGGGGCCAGGGAGGAAAGTGTCTATTAACAGGAAAAAGCAGAGTCACTCCCACGGAAGTTATCTCTTAGTGTTGTAAGTTAATGAGAAACTCTTCCCCCTGACAGCAAAGCTCAATGCCCAGGGAAATTTTCACAAGAAGGGGCAGAAACATGGAACACAAAGGAGTAAAAGCAGCTGGTCTTTAAAAGCAGCTCTCAATAACTTCTAAGGAAAAAGACCACAAAACACAGAAAGTTCACGCAGTAGCTGTTTCTCCATTCTTAGTGAAGTGTCAATTTCATAAAGGTGCAGCCCCCCCCCCCACACACACAAATTAAATCAAATATCAGGTGCCTACTAGAGTCAATATATTTCTTTAGAGAAGAGGGTAATACAAACTCAAACCCAGTTTTATCGTATCTCTGCAACTGCTTCTTCCAAAGAAGGTGTCAAAAGCAATCAGCTTTCTACCACCCAGGTATTCCAGAATCTTTTCCAGTTTCAACTTGAAACTGCTTTGATATTTCAAGCATTTCTTTGAGAATAAAGGAATCAAATCCATTTAATATGCTATATTAATCAACAGGTATTAAAGTATTAATATGAATTATGCTAAGGAATACAGGAGTAATATGACAGATGGTCCCTAAAGCCTTGAAAAATACAATAAAATTGAGAACAGAGAAAACAGAGACAGGCAGGCATACATTTCAACCTTGTTCCACAGAAAGGTAGCTCAAGGGAGGACAACCTGGCCAAAAATGCCTCATTATATATCAAGCCTAAGTTGAGCCTCAAAATACAGGGAGCATTTAGGAGGTGATGAATGGAGCTGCATAACATATTCCAGGCCAGGCGACGCCTCCCTGAAAGCAGTGGACAGGAAGACCCAGTAGCTTCAGGAGTCACAGCAGTGAGAAGGCCCTGAGGACAACAGGAAGGAGGAGCCTTTGGGTAGGTGGTAGGATTAGGTTGGCAACACAAGGCCAGACCACAAAGGGCTGTGTGTGAATGCACGGCACTGTGCAGGCTTGCTGCAGAAGCAGACAGATCCAGTGAGTTTTAACTGAGGAAAGTATGCATTAAAATATCTACAGCAGAGATTCAACAAAGTATTTTAATAACATAGAACAATTCTGAACAAAAGCAGACATTGGAAGTGACGTGGAGATGACACTGATGCTGTGGTTAGTACACTCTCAACAGAGTTCGTATTTCCTACAAAGGTGAAGGACAGAGGGAAGAGGACAAACCTCTTTTGGGTCTGGCCAGGTGTGAATATGACTTAAATATGGGACAGGAAAGAAGGGGATGAAGGTAAGACGCCTGAGGTGGGGCACTGTAGAGACTGGTCACGGTGCTAAGACAGACACTGGAGTCTGCAAGAGCAGATCTGGAGTGTGAATGCGTTAACTGTCAACAATGTGAAAGACAGATTGGAGAGGGGTGAGCCTAATGAAGAGGGGCCCACCGGAGCAGAAAATGATGCCTTGCAATGGCCTCTACGTTCAAAGCCAAGGTATCCGCTACAAGATTTCACACTAAATGACCATTACTTCTCCAATGTCACCAGCATTCTGCCTCCTCCAAGTCTAATTTCCACTTTTTCTTCATTCTGGAGCTGTACTTTGGTGTCAAATGATACAAATTTATACTTGCCTTTAGAATTCTAAGCTGTCTGGGAAATACACAACCCTCAGAAGGCAAATGTCTATATATACACCCTGTACTAACTCCAAATACACTGCTAAGATGCTAACAGCAAGACAAGATGTACAACCTTATCATTCACTTCACTTTTTTAAAGTCAACCACCAACCAAAAAATCCAGCCTTACTTTTGTCAACTAGTTCAAATTAAAGCAACTACAGTAACGTGTTCCTCTACAAATTCTCATTATGAAACCTTGAATGTACAGGAATTTCTGTGCCTATTTTCCACAATTTCAAAAACTTCAGTCCAAGTATATGCAAAGCATGGGTTATTTCTACTACGAACAAGTTTCATTGAAGTGAGACTGAGGGGTTGTGTGGGGAAAGGCAAGTAATAAGGATGGCACAATGGTAGTCGAGTTTTTGCCAGTTGTCTTCTTAAGAGATGAAGGAAACCGAGGAGAGGCAAGGAACACCCAGCTGGTTCCAGATGCACGTGTGCATGCTGGAGGTGAGGGTGTGTGAATAGAGGTAAGATGGTATGATAAAAGCCAACGTTAGCCAGGCCCAGTGGCTCACATCTGTAATCTCAGCACTTTGGAGGGGACAGTGGTAGGTGGATCACTTTAGTCCAGGAGTTCAAGATCAGCCTAGGCAACAAAGGGAGATCTTGTCTCCACCACAGAAAGTACAAAAAATCAGTCGGGCATGGTGGTGCACACCTGTAGTCCTAGCTACTCAGGAGGCTGAGGTGGGAGGATCACTTGAGCCTGGGAAGCAGAGATCACGCCACTGCACTCCAGCCTGGCTGACAGAGTAAGACCCTGTCTCAAAATTTAAAAAAAAAAAAATGTAAGTCAAAGTAAAATCAGTAAATTCTCATAGGCCCTAGAAAGGTTTCCCATCTGAAGCATCCAAGATTCTTGGAATTTCTGAAACTGGGCAGGATTCCAAGAGCGAACAAATGAGTCAAACATCAGAAAGGAAGCAACAGGTAACTGGAGGAGAGTAGGAAACATGGTTATGACTGGCATGGCTATTTGCAACAACACAAAAAGTTTCTAAGTCTCCAAAACTGAAGAGATACGAGGTGGTCCTCAGCAAATGAAAAATGGTGAAACTGCTTGGCTAGAAAGGGAATTCTATACTAACGTGGTGAAGGCAAAGCTTGGAAAATCCAAGTCAGTGTGGTTTGTATTAAGTGAAACCCAGTTATGTGCCATTTATAACTCACCCAACTTGAGGTAAGTGACAATGGTCATTTATTATTCAAATATCTTACAGACAAGGTACCCAAAGAAAATGGCCTTTCCTAATCAAGTAGAAATTCAGGAGCACACTGAGATGCTTTTGGCAAATGGTCAAAAAGAAGCAGTCTTCAGATTAAGAGCTATCAAATTCTATAATGAAAGACAGATTGGCAACTTAGTCACAAAAAAATCTTTCAAAAGCCCGTTTTTTTAAAGTTTTAGCTATTATCGTCAATCTTCCTTCCCTAGCAAACTTTGATCAGACTGTATATAACCCTGAAGTATTCAGGGCTATCTCAACAGCTTCAGGCTAGCAGCAATAAACTGTTAACCTTCAGGAAGTTCTTTCTTTTGTAAATGTTTTACAGTATGCAACCTAACGTGCAAGAAAAATTAAAGTAGATTCATAGACTACTGAGACTGCTCAGGAATAAAAGCTCAACAGAGAATGGTCTTTATAGCTCCTTATGAAAAACAATCTTCAATCTCTCCTAGCTATTCCACAATCACATTAACTGTCTGGACACTGCAACTTTATATAAAGGTGGAAACATAATTTTTAACAGCAGCTACCAATTATTAGGTGCCTACCATACTGCCAGACTCTGGGCTTCATGCTTTTAGATACAAGATACTTCATACCTTCAAGGTTTTGTTCTCATTTTGCAGATGGAAAAAAACTAAAATTCTGAGAGTTCAAATGACTTACTACTGAAGACCAGAGCTAGTAAACATGCTAGCAGAAATGGGACACAAACCCAGGTCTGACTAGCTCCAAAGTGTGCACTTTTCCTAGTCAAAGAAGCAGTCATCAAGAGCATGACCCCAGCCCAGCCAGCTGTGTGTGGCCTCAGCTTGTAGAAGGCAGCAACGGCAGGTCAGCCTTGCAATCCAATGGCTCTCAGGACAAGTTCAGGAAGAGGAACCATGTGCCTCTGTGCACAGGGTGGAGAATCACTTCCCAGACAAGACAACTGGGCATTCAGCCTGAAGAGCTCTGGACAAGCTCAGCTCTTGTGGCCAGGGGCTCTGATGGCATGGATTCACAGGATGCCACAGGCTTGTCAAAATGCACAGAAAACACAAAGCTAAGAGGAAGAGCTAATAATGGGTAAGTCAGCAGTCACACTGTTTGACACAACGAAACAAGAAAAATTTATTTAACATGAATGAATATAAAGTCCTTTTCAGACAAAAACTGAAAAACAAGATAGGAAGAATGCCAGGGAGAAGAAAACTGCTGAAGTGAAGAAAAGAAACAAAAAAGTCCAAAGATTTCAGTTCATTATAAGTCCAATAGAAAGTTCTAATATTACGATGTAACTAATAAGCAAAGAAATCCCAGAATATAGTAACAGATAAATAATGTCTAGGACCAGAGGAGAAATTAATCCCACTGTGGACTGCCCTGAGCACATCACGTCACACCAGGAAATAGCATATCCTGTTCTGAAGGAAAACAAAGAGTCTGGCAACCACATGGCATCCAAAGAGATGGCCAGGACAGCAGAAAGGCTCACTACCTGGAGGGATAAAGTAACTACCTTTGAATATATTTAAAAGCTTAGAAGAGAAGACCTGTCTTGTACTGTACCCAAGGATGAAATAAGAACCAGTAAGTAAAAAGTGCAAATTATCTACAAGCAATAGAAGCAAAACTTGCTAAAGATGAGGTCTGTGGCTTCATGAGAGGCCCCTCAATTGGAGGCGCCCTGGCAAAGCCTGAATGATTTTCTATAGGAACAGAAGGAGTTCCTGTTCTGGACAGGAAGGTTGTACTAAATGATTAACATGCTGTTTTATAAATCTCAAAATCCATTGGATATAAAAGGTACAATACATGGCTACATTTGGGCTGACATGGAGCTCCAGTAAGAAAATAGAAAAGATTATGTAACCTTCCAGATGCTTAGTGGGTTGAACCCCACGCATTCTCCACTGCTCTGGAAACTCTAGTAACACAACAAAATAAAGGACAAAGGAGAAAAAAGGAAACTACAGCCAAGAACGCCAACAATTCATGAAAAGACAAAAAACTTAAACGATTTAGGAAGTCCAATATTCAAATAAAAGAAGTTTTAGAATAACATATTATAATCTATCACCCACCTCTTGGCCAAGAGAAAAAAAAAAGGGGGGGGGGGGGGCAGGGGGGCATGGGTAGGAAATAGAAGAAAGCAATTCTCCCAGAGCTTAACAAATGTGGCTCTCCTTAGGGCCTGCACAGGCCATCACAATGAGTGGTGCGACAGATCCCCCCAAGGTACTGAGTGTAGTTCCATGGTAGCAGAGATGAAGTATCTAAACCTTCTAGTGGTGGGTGGGGAGGAGGGGGACTCACAAAAACAACACAAAAAAAGGACCATAACTTAGGATCAATTCTTGAAACCAACGTTTTCAGACATGGAAGGTCTGACGGATCTATTCACACATTTTCAGGCAGCTACTGCAGAATGTTCTTCACCAAAACATGACAATACATAAAACCAGAAATACGAGACATCAAGAGATAGACGACTCCCAGAAGAAAGGTGAGGAGAAACACCAGCAGTTACGGAGAAGGTCAAGTGCAACCAGTACAGAGGAAGGCATGAGGCAGAGGGTTTGGAAAAAGTGAGTCCAAGAAAGAGACACAGCTGACTGCCAGATGTATCTGACCACACTGAAGAGAATTTTGCAAATTTTGTTAGGGATTCCGGGAATAATTAACCAAAATATACATACCTTTAATACTGACTTTATCCAAAAGGTGAAGGAGGGAAGGAGCTATCCATGTAAGAACTAAAACCTCCTCTTCATAATTAGAAGCCAAGTAGATTACAAACAGCTACATATAGGCAAATTATTTAGAAATGTGGAAATAAGGGAAAACAGCTATGTGATGAAGGTAGCAGTCCCAAGTGAGTAATTCAGAGATAAGAAAGATGGAACAATTGTTATTTTTTGCTATAAACCTTGTGATATACCTCTGACTTTTTAGCCTCCATGAACAGTCTTCATGAAAGAACTACAGGCAGAATATTTTCAAAGAAGTTGAGAAAAGACAACCTACAGTAGAATCTGATAGGATATGCTACAACTGATTCCGGTGGTGTATAGAACAGAAAAGGGCTTAGTTCAACAAACTTAGAAAACCTATAAAAATGTAAGGTGTTTAAAGCTTACAGTTATTCTTTGATTATTCGCCAGCAGGCATCTGGAGACTTTTGAAATCCATCACCTGTTACTGAACCAGTAGCACCAACAGTAAACTTCATGCACTCATGGACTTAACCATCCCGGTTTGCCCTATCCCACAGCAGCTTGATGTGGTGAAGTTTTATTGTGATCTTCTGAGCACAGGGCAAAGAACGAAATTTTTCTGAACAAGAAGAACAGTTGTAAACGACCATTACTGAACACTGGATAGCTGTAGAAATCTGCCTTTGCTGAAGTCTCAATGGCTGACATGTGAATCATCTACTACATTAATGTCATTTAAACAACTTTCTCTGGTTGATAAGGAAGGTCAAGCTGCTTCATACACTTCCTGTAGGAGATGAGCTCTCCATTCTCATACAGATTGGCAGTGGACATGTTTTCTGAGCTGAAACTACAGTTACATAGCATTTTGCAGATCTTGATGCAAAGGCAAAGGCAATCTCCATATTTCAAAATCCATTCAGTTGTGCAAGTAAGGAGCTATCGCCTAAACTATAATTAGAAATGATTAATTTACTATGTAATGACATGCTAAAAAGCAAGTATCAAGAGAAGAATCCAAGAGAATTCTACATATGCCTTCCAAATAATGAATATACTCAACTGAAGTAATATGCTTGGGGACTGATAGAGAATGTGGGAGTACCTACCTGTGTAAAAAGACATTTCCAAAGATGAAAAATGTAAAACCTTGCTGCAGATCAATATTAATAGATTACATGTACCTTTGCAATAGATTTTGATGGGAGCAACTCTGACTTTAAAGACCAATTAGGTGAAATATTATCCCCCTAGAATAAAGAATTCCAGTCTTCTCACTAGTAAGAGAGAGCTGTATTACAGAAAATTGAACTAAATTATTACATTATGAATCTCACCAATAACAAAGCCTGTAAAAAATTGTTGTGTCTCTTGGTATATAAATACCTTCATAAAATCCTCTTTTTTGCCTCTTGGCCCGCAAAACCTAAAATATTTATTAACTGGCCTTTGCAATAAATGCTTTGTTTGCCAGCCCCTGGTCTAAAGTGCCCTATACCTACAGTGCTGTTCCTCTCCAGGAACCCTCCTAACCACCTGGCATTGATTCTAGGACTCCTGGAGACTTTGAAGGGTTCACTCTAGTGTAGGACAGCATGCTGACGAGCAGAGATGTGTAAAAGGAGGAGGAGGAGGAATAACTAAAGGTAAGAAATTGTTCCACAAGCTGCCAAAGCTAAGAATCTCTATCAGCAAAGAAAAACAAAATAAACAAGGAGAGAGAAGGAAAGTCTCAAATATTATCCTGAGAAATGCCTCTGACATTTTAGCTCCTACCACCAAACAATTAATGATACCTTATTTTGTGAAAAGTACTAAAGATACAAAGAAGTTACAGCTGTTTGCTCACAAAATACTTAAAATGTAGTTAAGAGAAAAAAATAATCCTAAAATAACTTAATGAGATGCTCTGAGAGTTCACAAAGGAGTGATCACAAGGGAACTGGAACAATCCAAGGTGGTTTGACAAAAAAGGCAGGAAGAAAGCTGAGCCCCAGAAGACGTGAATTCAAATACAAAGAACAATAATAAAACTCTGTGAGGCCGGACGCGGTGGCTCACGCCTGTAATACCAGCACTTTGGGAGGCCTAGGCAGGTGGATCACTTGAGGCCAGGAGTTCAAGACCAGCCTGGCCGACATAGTGAGACACCGTCTCTACAAAAAATACAAAAATTAGCCGGGCGTGGTGGTGCACGCCTGTAATCCCAGCTACTCAGGAGGCCAAGACCGGATAATCGCTTGAACCCGGGAGGTGGAGATTGCAGTCAGCCGAGATCGCACCACTACACTCTGGCCTGGGCAACAGAGCAAGACCCTATCTCAGAAAACAAACAAACAAACAAAAAAACTCTATGAGACAAGGGGCCACAAGGGGAATGAATACTTGCAGAGAATTCTCCACATGGGATTCATCCGGAAGAATATTGAGGTAAAGCTGAGGAAATCCTAAGTCGTGTACGAGAATCTGAATATCGGGGGCAAGAATTGGACATCACTGTTTAAGCTCAAGGGGAACCTGCAAGGGTTGAGTAGGACTGTTCTTCAGGAGCTGGGGCTGAGGAGACATCATATGCAAAGTAGTATTTCAGATGCCTAGGAAACATCCACCTGCCAGTTAGAAGCAGAGACCCCTCACAGCAAAACCACCATAGTATCTCTCCAGGCAACAAAGTCTGACCTAGCTTTGCAGCCGTGGTAACAAAAAGAAAAAGACAGTTGCAAGAGTCAACAGTAGAACCAATAGGCCCTGGTAAATCACTGCTCATCAGGATAAAAAGAAAGCCAAGTAAAAAGTGACTAAAATTTCAAGTCTTAGAGCTAGCACCAGTTCAGGAAGGTAGATGATTAAATGATTTTTGTCTACCTTCTAGAGATACAATGGGGACAAGTGAAATTTGATTAACTATGTTTGCATGTCCCCCAAAAGGACCTACTGCGCCACTTCTACCACTTCCTAGTAAATGCCAACTGAGCCAAAAGTCAAATATGCAAATTCAATCTCTAATCTTTAATAAAAACTTCTAAAGTGATGGAGATTAGGACTCAGAAAGACAAAAGTGGCTGACCAGAAGTCAAACGTCCTTTCGCTGGTATAAAACAAAAACAAACACACAGACAGAGTCCCGGTGCCCTGGAAGCAGTGGCCTGGGCGGCGAGTCTTTCTCTGCATGCTACTACTTCAGCTTACTAGGCCTGGCTGGTCATTGGCGCCCCTCTCAATAACCCCCTATAAGCTTAGAATCCCTTGAGTTCTGCAGATTTAAGATATACCAAAGCAGACTGAAGAGGCTGTCATTTAACTTCCTAAAAATACCACAGTACCACAGAATCATATTGTACCTAGCTCAGAGAGACTGGTCTCCACCTGGTTTGCTAAGACTCCAGGGTCTCACAATAGAACCACAGCTTTCCTTGATGTCATTAATGGAAGGAAACTCCTGCTAATCGTAATGGTCTTACCTTTCAAACCAAGTTTAAAAATTAAAAGAAATGTTTTCTTCTTTGTGGCTCCTTGCCCATTACAGGTTATCCTGGTAACAGTTTTCCTCCAATTTACTGCATTAGCAGATTAGCAGGAATACAGTGGGATATGGATATGAAACAAGCTCTCCTGTAAAAGAAAAAAAAAAGCAGATAATCACATATGTTCTCTTTTGGTGTGATGATAGCTGCCATTAAAGCATACTGGGTCAGGGTCTTGGGCCACACAGAACTATACCACAGGGAATTAAAAAGTTCTAGTTAATCACTAAAATTTTTCTATATGAACATAAGAAAAAAAGCACTGTCATCTCTCTACCTTAGCTTTTATCCTACCCTAAACAGTATCTCAGAAGTAAATACAGATGTCATAATAGCACTATCAATGAGTGAAGAAGAAAAATACATATTCTTACCTTTGTCTTCTGAAAACATCAATTCTATTCTTATCCAACATAGGGTCCACTATAAAGGCACCACACTTTTACTAAAAAATACTAAAATTTTACAATTTCCTTCCTTTAAATGCCCCCTGGCAGTCCACTTAATACGTTTTATCAGGAAGCGTGAGTAGAACATTAAGATCACTGAAGTTCTAGCTGTACTCAAATTCAGTCTCTAGTGTCAATTAACCAAACACTGCACATGAAAAGAATAGAAATTATCTTTCAAGGTATGCACTTCATATATAGCTTAATACTGTGGAAAATGACTTAAACTGTGGACATTGAACTAATTAGAATTCCTCTAAGTAGTGAAGCCTGACAGGGCCAAAAAAAAAGAAATCCTCTAAGAATGCAATCTACAAGGCATTTCCAAAACAATGCTGTTCATCTAATGCCTTTCCCCCATAAAACTCATACTACATTGTGATAGCAACATTTTCCCTCAAGTAAGATAATAAATAATGTTAAACATTTGTTAAAATCAATCAACAAAAATAACAGTAACAGGCCTCGGTGCAAATTAAAACGAGTATATTTAATTTTAAAAATAAAATATTTTACCAGTTAGGTGGTTTTTGACTATACACTGCAAAAAGTATAATCATCCAAATTTTTGCTTAAAATGAGAACAGACCATGTGGCTGTGCTGCTGGAGTCCTTAGACAAAACAGAAAGGTCCTGTATGGCAAATCCCTCTTCCCTCCAATTTAGGATCATGTATCACATCTAAAGTCCTATTTCCTTAATTTCCTCTCATCTGAAACAGTTCAACGTTTTTTTCCATTCATTTCACTGACATCTTTGAAGAATATGGGTTATGTGCTTCTGGCAGTAGTACTACATAAATGAAGCTTTGTTTCTCCTGGAGCATCACAGAAAGAGACAAGATGATGTCAATTTGCCCCATTATTGGTGATAATTTCAATCACTTGGTTAAAATTATATTTGCCAGATTTCTTCACTATAAACTGAGGATTTTCCTTTGTAATTAATTCATAATATGTAGAACAATACTTAAGAGACTATGTTCTTACAACGTTCATCCAGTAGTTTTAGTGCCAACTGGCAATTCTTGTCTGAATCAATTGATATTCAGTTATGAAAATGATGAGGTTTTTGAGGCTCTACTGTTCCTCCTGACATTCAAACTTCAGTGAGGGATGCTCCCTTCTCCCCACTTATTCTTTCCTTATGTCATCAGTATGGACTCATAGATTCGTATTTTATTAACTTTTTTTTTTTTTTTGAAGACAGGGTCTTGCTCTCTCGCCCAGGCTGGAGTGCAGTGGTGCAATCTCAGCTCACTGCAACCTCCACCTCCTGGGCTCAAGTGATCCTCCTGCCTCAGCCTCCTGAGTAGCTGGGATTAGAAGCAACCGCCAACATGCCTGCTTAATTTTTATATTTTTTGTAGAGACGGGATTTCACCATGTTGGCCAGGCTGGTCTCAAACTCCTGACCTCAAGTGATCCGTCCGCCTTGGCCTCCCAAAGTTCTGGGATTATAGGTGTGAGCCACTGTGCCTGGCCAATTAACATCATTATTCATTCTGATGTTCAAATTGTCCCACATTTGGCCAGTGGGAGCCCCTTCCTGCATGCTCTTGTGTGCTTTTCATAGTTCTCAAGCACTTCCTTATTTCCTCATGTAACATGTTCTGGATTTGTCTTATGCATTCTCTGTTCGGCTTTGAAATCTGCCATTTCTCCAAGGAGTCTTGGTTCCTTTTAGTGGGGGATGTAATTTAAAATGAAGGTCTTAGAGCAAAGTACGTTCATAGATACTGAGGCTGTCACTTCCTCTGTCCTTTTATAGCAAACAAAGCTGGGAAGGAATGTCAATTTCATATGCTCCAACTCTGTTGTGTATCCCTGACTTTTAAATATGAATGAAAACCAAGGATTACCAGACACCTCCAGAAAGCCTCTACCATAAAAAGCAGCAAAACAAACAGAAAAATGCAAGTTAGAGGAAAAGACCATCAGAAAACAGGAAAGAAAATTGAAAGCCTAAAATGGAACATTTTAGCAACGTTTTCCAACATCCAACCAACAGGGGTTCTAAAAAAAAAAAAAGAAAGAACAAAAAAACAGAAGAGAGGAAATCAGATAAATAATTCTCAAAACCGTTACTTAAAACAGACCCATACCAAGGAACATCACTGTTAAACGGCATGACCCTGGCACAAAGAAGAGCCTAGGTCTTCCATAACCAAAAATCTGAATAGTTTCAGATTTCTCAAGAACAGAAAACAAAAAAGTGAAGTAACACATCACATCCATTAGGATGGCTACTATAGGAAAAGAAGAAAAAAAAACAGGAAATAAGTGTCAATAAGGATGTGGAGAAACTGGAACTCTTGCGCACTATTGGTGGGAATGCAAAATGGTACAGCAGCTGTGGAAAAACCGTTAACATTCATTCCTCAAAAAATTAAAAATAGAATTACTATATGACCCAGCAAGTCCACTTATGGTTCTACACTCAAAAGAACTGAAGGCAGGGTCTTGAAAAGATATTTGTGTACCTGTGTTCATGGCAGCATTACTCACAACAGCTAAAACATGGAAGCAACCCAAGTGTCCATCAACAGATGAATGGGCAAGTGAAGTATGGTAGAGACGGAGTATCCCCTGTCCAAAATGCTTGAGACCAGAAGTATTTCAGATTTCAATTTTTTTGCATTTTTAAATATCTGCATATACATAATGAGATATCTTGGGATAGGGCCCAAATCTAAACATATAATTCAGTTGTGTTTAAAGTATACTTTATACATATATCCTAAAGGTAATTTTACACAATATTTTAAATTAACTGTGTATTGTGTGTCCATATTGTGACTGCAACCAGTCACATGAGGTCACATGTGTTGTATGAGGTCAGGTGTGGAAACTTCCACTTGTGGCATCGTGTTGGCACTCAAAAAGTTTCAGATTTTGAAGCATTTCGAAATTTCCAATTAGGGATGCTTTAACCTGTATATACATACAATGGAATATTATTCAGTCTTGAACAGGAAATTCTGATATACGCTACAATGTAGATGAACCATAAAGACGTGCCAAGTCAAATAAGCCAGTCACAAAAATGACAAAAATGTATTTTGAATAAAGGCAGAAGACTATGTAATTCCAACTTATTGGAGGTACTCAGAATAGTCAAAATCAGAGCCAGAAAGCAGAACAGGAGATGGAGGACGGTGCTGATTGCACAATGTTATGAAGGTATACTATTAACTGTACACTTAAAAAGGCTAAGATGGTAAATTTTTTAATATGTATTTTATTACAATAAAAAAATGATAATGGGGCAATGTCTAAAGAATTCTGAAGAGATCCGTTCTGGCTGAATGTCTGTCCTCCCTCTCTTCCACTCATATGTTGAAGTCCTAACTCCCAGCATGGTTATATTTGGAGAAAGGAAGTAATTACAGTTAAATGGAGTCACAAGGGTGGGACCCTGAATTGACAGGATTAGTGTCCTTATGAGACACCACGTGCACATGAACCCAAGGAAAGGCCATGTTGAGAAAGTCTGGGTCATAATCTCGAAAGACACAATCCTGAATGCCACAATCCCGAATGCTGAATGCTCATGTGCAGTGGATTCTAATTATTGACTGGATAACTTTGTGAACATTAGAATTCTGGGCGTGTTTTGGAACATCGGTTTGCAAGCTCTTCCGAGCTGGTATGACTTTTCTTTCTCTTCTCTATGTTCTCATTGTTTCAGGATTGCTGCCCCCCTACCGCCTCACCCCTCCAGCTCCTGGTTCTTTGTCCCAGCCATCTCCTGTGGTACTGTGCTGTGTCTGCCTTGTGGAGACCCTGAGGATGTTCTGGATGGAGTTACCAAGCCCCCGACAGGCTGGTCCAGTTCCTGGCCTCAACAAAGTATGTGTCCTTTTGCCTCAGGAGACCAGCTGCTCCCTAAAGGCTGCAGCCCCCAGCAGAGTTTGGCCTGTTTTTCTGCCTGTTTCACAAGAGAGTGAGCCCCCCTGGCTCCAGCTGCCCACCTGCACGAAGCTCTGTTAATGGCTGGGACCCCCGAAGCACCTGGGCCCCCAGCCTGTTGCTGGGCCTGGGCTTCAGCTTCTCTCCAACTCCCATCTACTCCACATCTGGTCCTGGGAGATGTTTTCTTTCCTTCTGAGCCTGAAAGATCAAAAGCCCTAAAGTCTAAAATCCTGAAAATTACAATCCCAAAAGATCAAAATCCCAAAAATATAATTCTGGAAAAAAATAATTTAAAAAAACTTTCAGAAGACATGTATTTCTATTTTCAAAGGGGGATTTCAGGCCAGGCATGGTGGCTCACTCCTGTAATCCCAGCACTTTGGGAGGCCAAGGCAGGTGGATCGCCTGAGGTCAGGAGTTCAAGACCAGCCTGGCCAACATGGCGAAACCCCGTCTCTACTAAAAATACAAAAATTAGCTGGGCGTGGCGGTGCACACCTGTAATCCCAGCTACTTGGGAGCCTGAGGCAGGAGAATCACTTGAACCTGGGAGACAGAAGTTGCAGTGAGCCGAGATCACACCACTGTACTCCAGCCTGGGCGTCAGAGCAAGACTCCGTCTCAAAAAATAAAAAATAAAGGGGGATTTGAGAAACATAAAAAAAATGAGAGAATACGTCATAGGTCACTTTACACAATAAAATAGGCAATAATCACATGCATATTTTTGCAAGGATACAAGGTATAATTCAAGTCTAATAATGACAGTCACATGGGTAGACTAACAGTCATGAGCAGACAAACTACATTCATAAAGAAATAGGTTAAAAAAAAAAGCAAAATGCATAAATGCATATAACAGCCAGCATGGTGGCTCAGGCTTGAGATCCCAGAGCTTTGGGAGGCTCTGACGGGTGGAATGCTTAAGGCCAGTTCAAGACCAGCTGGGCAACACAGTGAGATCCCACCCCTACAAAAAAAAAAGTTTTTTTCATTAGCTGGACTTTGGAGCAAGCACCTGCAGTCCTAGCTACTCAACAGGCTAAGGCAGGAGGGTCACTTAAGGCCCAGGAGTTTGAGGTTACAGAGAGATATGATCACGCCACTGCACTCCAGCCTGGGTGACAAAGCAAGACCTTGTTTCATTCATTCATTCGTACATACATTAAAATGCGTATAACTACGGGTGGTAATTGTATGCAATCAGCTTTACAACTGCAGTCATCTACAACCTATGTCTTTTGATGAGATCTACCAAAAACCACGATGGATCAACATCACATATGCAGTTGCTCAGAGAGCTAAGATCTTTAATTTTATCTTTCACAAATGCAGATATACAAAAAAGGACATCTCTTCATTTACTGAGGAAGTTTCAACTGTTTTACACATATGTACAACGCTTACACACAAAGTCAACACTAAAAATGTACTTTTGTGGAGTCAAATGTGCAAAAAACGCATAAAACAAAAACAATATATACAACTTATACCACCAGTATTGAATATGATGTGAAGACTAAATATATAGCATAGCAAACTGGCGCTATGTGTGAATGGGCAGAAGTCTTATAGGACTGAATAATTTGGCAGAAGAGATTTCTTGTAGTTTTTGTCTGTCTTCACTACGTCTATGATCTTCGAAACACCTGTTGCACTTGTATTTGAAGAGTGGTTGTGGTCTTCAAACTCTTTAAGTACATGCTGTCTGTTTCAAAGTCTGTTATGTCCAGCTGTTGCAATTAAGCAATTTTCTGCTTTCATAGCCCCAATAATAATTAACTTTAACATTTTTATCTTTCACCATTACGTAGCCTCATACACTTATCACAGCCTTTTTGCAAGGGAACAATTTCACAGATCTGTTCCATTGTGTTTTAAGAAACACAGTAAGAAGGAATATTTGACTTCCCCAATACCAGATTTGTATTAAGCTTCTCCAGCAAGACAGAACTGGTAAGATATGTATACAGATACATGAGAGGGGATTTATGCGGGGAATGAGCTCACACGATTATGGTGCTGGGAAGTCCCATGACAGGCAAGCTGAAGACCCCCGGGATGCCGGTAACGAGGTTCAATCCAAGTCCAAAGGGCCTGAGAACCAGGGACGCCAGTGGTCTCTAACTCAGTCCACAAAAGCCTCAGGACCCAAGGGGGCTGCTGGTGTATATCGTGGAGTCCAAAGGCTGGCAACCCTGGATTTCTCACATCCAAGGCAGCAGAAGAGTCTGGACCCTGGTTGATTGGATGGTACCTGCCAACACTGAGGGCAGATCTTCCCCGCAGCCCACTCAGACTCACGCATTAGTGAGTGAGGTATTATCAATTACAAAATAGGGATAATAACTAATAACAGGAATGGACAAGCACTTGTACAATGCCAGCACAAAAGGTTTGTAAGGGCAGACATTCATACCTGACGTTTTGTGATTAAGCAAGTGCGTTTAGATGCTGTTTGAGAATTTTTCCATCTCCTCTGAAAACACTCTCACAGACACACCCAAAACCTAATGTTTCACCAGGTTTCTAGGTACTCCTTAGTTAAGGTGTCATCTAAAACTGAGTCCACAAGTCCACCTATTGTCAACCTGGCACCCACACGCATCTCCTTAAACCATACTTAATTTACGAATAAAGACAATAACAAGGTAATAGTTCCGTCTAACGTGATGCAACTATCCTACGCACAACCAAAAACATACTGTCCCTTCCCCGGTAATTGGCTTTCAGGGCTTCAACACTCAGGATTTTAATCTTTTGTGATTTTCAGGATTTTAGAGATTATGATCTTTAAGGATTTTGATCTTCAGGGATTCTGATCTTTAGGTATTCCAACATTTGGGATTATGGTGCTCCAGACTGTGTCATCTGGTATGATGATTGGCACCACATGTGAGAAGAGATGGTGTCTCTAAACCAGAAAGAGGCCACTCTCTAGAAACCAAATTGTCAAGAAGCTTGATCTTGAACTTCTAGCTTACAGAATGTGAGAAAATAAATTTCTGTTGTTTAAGCCACCCAGCCTATGATATTTTGTTATGGCAACCCTGAGCAGACTAATATAGAAGGAAAACTATTTCCAATCCAAAAGCATATACACAGTCAAACTTTATCAACCACGAGTACACAGAAAGACACACAGTCTCAACAGGTCTAGCTCCTATACACCTTTCTCACTGAAAACTACTGGCAACTATGCTCCACTAAAACTAAGGAGAGCAACAAGGTAACACAGAACACAGGAATAGGAGATCCAATGGGGAGAAAGAGGTAAAAAGAACCCCCAAGGTCACAGAATGGGAGAGCCAGCAGTCCAAACTAGAAAGATTCCTTCAAAAGGATAAAGATGAGGGAAGATCTGAATATGTAACTGGCTAAAAGTCTGAGGCTAAATTAGTGATAAGTACATTTAAAAAACACACACACACACACACACACACACGGCTGGGCGCAGTGGCTCATGCCTGTAATCCCAGCACTTTGGGAGGCCGAGGCGGGTGGATCATCTGAAGTCAGGAGTTTAAGACCAGCCTGGCAAACATGGCGAAACCCCGTCTCTGCTAAAAATACAAAAATTAGCCAGGTGTGGTGGCACACACCTGTAATCCCAGCTACTCAGGAAGCTGAGGCAGGGGAATCACTTGAACCCAGGAGGCAGAGGTTGCCATGAGCTGAGATCGCGACACTGCACTCCAGCCTGGGCAACAGGGTGAGACTCCAACTCAAAACACACACACACACACACACACACACACACACTCTAACACAGTAACACATTTCCAGAGGAAACCAAAAGTTGTTTAGGAAAGGAAAGTATTTGTAATTTATACCATTTAACAGCTATAAATAGTATACATGGGCCGGGCGCGGTGGCTCATGCCTGTAATCCCAGCACTTTGGGAGGCCAAGGCGGGCGGATCACAAGGTCAGGAGTTTGAGACCAGCCTTACCAACATGGCGAAACCCCGTCTCTACTAAAAATACAAAAATTAGCCGGACGTGGTGGCGCGTGCCTTAATCCCAGCTACTCAGGAGGCTAAGGCAGGAGATTCGCTTGAACCCGGGAGGCAGAGGTTGCAGTGAGCTGAGATCACACCATTGCACTCCAGCCTGGGCGACAGAGCGAGACTCCGCCTCAAAAAAAAAAAAAAAGTATGCATGGTCGTAATGTAGTATACGTGGTTGTAATGAAAAAACTAAATAGTGATTTAACCAAAATGTTAACAAACCTCTATTGGGTGGATAGGGAAGAGAGAAAACAGGGATGAAGGTGCAGTAAAGGAGAGAAGAGAGAGCCAATCCTTATCTTCCATGTCAGAAAATCAATAGACACTGGTTAGAACTAAAAAAATCAGAAAGTATACACACAAGTATGAACCCTTCAAATACAGTCTTCAGACATATGGAGGTAAATAAGTATTTTTAACTGGTTAAAACAGTCCAAAGTATTACACTATCTCCAGGAAAGGGAAAAAAAGAGAGTGGGATACTTAAGGACTCCTGTTTGTCTTACCCAATCTAGAATAGTTGACTCCAAAATATGGACATATAAAGCTTTAGTTTAAAGAAAAACCTAGAAGTTTTTAAGAAAAAATGCTGGGGCTCATGCCTATAATCACAACATTTTGAGAGACCAAGGCAGGAGGATCACCTGAGCCCAGGAGTTCGAGACCAGCCTGGGTAACATGGCAAGACCCCATTCTCTACAAAAATTTTAAAAATCAGCCAAGCATGGTAGCACACGCCTGTGGTCCCAGCTACTCGAGAGGCTGAGACAGGAAGATCACTTGCCCAGGAGGTTGAGGCTACGGTAAACTGTGTCGCGCCACAGCACTCCAGCCTGGGCTACCTAACAAAACCCTGTTTCAAAAAAAACAAAGAAGAATGTTGGACTGGGAAGAGGTATTAAATGTTGAGAGACCAGAGAGCTGTAATATCAGGTCACACAGGTAATGAGAAGCTAAGACAAATCACTTAACCTGAGTATCGATTTCTTCATCTATAAAATAAAATAGGCCAGGTGTAGTAGGGGCTCATGCCTGTAATCCCAGCACTGTGGGAGGCCAAGGTGGGCCAATCACTTGAGCTCAGGAGTTAGAGGACACCATGAGCAACATGGTGAGACCCCCACCTCTACAAAACTTATCAAAAAAAAAAAAAAAAAAAAAGGCCGAGCACAGTAGCTCACACCTGTAATCCCAGCACTTTGGGAGGTGCCAAATCAGGTGGATCACCTCAGGTCAATAGTTTGAGACCAGCCTGGCCAAGAAGGTGAAAACCTGTCTCTACTTAAAAAAAAAAAAAAATTTGCCGAGTGTGGTGGCAGGCACCTGTAATCCCAGCTACTCGGGAGGCAGAGGCAGGAGAATCGCTTGAACCCAGGTGGCAAGGGTTGCAGTGGGCCGAGATTGTGCCATTGCACTCCAAACTGGGCAACGAGAGCGAAGCTCCGTCTCAAAAAAAAAAAAAAAAAAAAAATTAGCCACATGCAGTGGCTTATGTCTAGTCCCAGCTACTCAAGGGGCGGATGTTTCAATGAGCCAAGATTGTGCCATAGCACTCCAACCTGGGTGATAGGAGTGACACCCTGTCTCAAAAATAAAAATAAGAGAGGTGGGGTAAATTAACTCTAAATTTTCTTGTTGCTTCAACAATTTATGAATCTAATATAAAAATAATCAAAGCTTTAAACATGGTACCAGTGGCTACAGAAAAAATTAAGCAGGACTTGGTAAAAAAAAAAAAAAAAAAATAGAGAAGTAAAATAAAAAAATAAAATCTGCTTTAAGCCCAGAGGGACTGAGAACGTACTGATGGTGAAGGAGAAGTCAGACAAGCACGGTTGAAGAAATCAAGATCCAAGGTTTCCTATCCTCACAGGGAAAGAATTTAACTGACAGTATCCAGACATACTACAGCACAACACCACTAAAAAAAGCTAAGCCACAAAGAGATGCTTTGAAAGTTAAACACAAACAGATGAGGGTGGAATCCATAAGGATGATGAAAGGTTCTCCCTAAAGAACACTAAAGGTGAAAACGGGGGAATTCTCCAAGTATTTAATTTCTATTTACATCATAATCAAAGGACAGGGTGAGAAAAGGACACGGTTAGAGTAAGACTACTCTGAAACACTGGGAGCTGCTGCACAGCATCATGGAAGCTAACGAGGAAGACTATGGTTTTAATCATCAATAATATCAGATGTGGTTCAGTAGTTGACAGCATTAGACTATTCTCTTAGAGGAAATGAATCCAAAGCCCTCTCTCCAAAAAAGAAATCAAGACAGGAAAAGAAAATAGTATACTTTTATTTGCAGCCAATCATTCCTTCAATACACTGCATTTTTCTCAACAGTCATACAACCTAACCCTGTCACACAACCTAACCCTGTCACACAACCTAACCCTGTCACACAACCTAACCCTGTCACACAACCTAACCCTGTCAAAAGATTTCTCTTCTTTTCAGTACTGCTGACTCTGATAACACCAATAAAGAGAATGCAAGTGTAACATAATATAAAAATAACATTTAAGAATGAGGACTGCTTTGGACTAAAACACCAAAACCACAAATTCTCAACTAAACAGCATCTAAGTGAACTTGCTTAATCACAAAATTTGAGAGCAGCAGGAATGAAAACTATCCTTACAAACCTTTTGCGCTGGCACTGTGCAAGTACTTTTCCATCCTATTATTATCATCCCTGTTTTATAGTCTAGGAAAATAAAGGATTTACCCCAAATCACTCTTATATGGACACTAAATTTATTTAAAAACAAAAAGCCGGCCAGGCACGGTGGCTCACGCCTGTAATCCCAGCACTGTGAGAGGTGGAGGTGGGTGGATCACGAGGTCAGGAGTTCCAGACCAGCCTGGCCAACGTGGTGAAACCCCGTCTCTACTAAAAATACAAAAAAAATAAGCCGGGCTTGGTGGCTGGTGCCTGTAATCCCAGATACTCGGGAGACTGAGGCAGGAGAATTGCTTGAACACAGGAGGCAGAGGCTGCAGTGAGCCAAGACTGTGCCACTGCACTCCAGCCTGGGTGATGGATCAAGACTCCATCTCAAAAAAAAAAAAAAAAAAAAAAAAAGGCCAAAAAACTCACTTAGGCCGGGGAAAAAAAGCAGTAGTAATCTGCTCCCTATCCTCTCATATAAATTTTTTTTTTTTTACACATGAGGTGTTGCTATGTTGCCCAGGCTGGTCTCAAACACTTAGGCTCAAGCAATCCTCCCACCTCAGCCTCCCAAAGTGCTAGGATTACAGGTGTTAGCCACCTCACCCAGCCTCATATAAATTTCTAATATAAATACCATGATATTCCTGATGTAAACTCATAAGAGGAAATCATAGCTATTGCATAACATGCAAGAAAGCATTTTCTCCTGAGAGCACATATCATACACAACTAAAGATGCACTCTCCATTAGACAGACAGGTGGTATATCACAAAGCTTGGATACACAAAAGCAAGAAACACTAGTTTTTAACTGGCATCAGGAAGTCCCAGGACAGGCCACCTCAGAATGCCCTCCTAATGCAAATCTCAAAAATCCCATTGCTGCAAGTACCCTCACACGTTTTCTAAAGCACCCAAGTTTGAAGAGATGAAGGTAATGAGATGGGAAGATAATTCATCTCTACAAGGACTTGTTCACCATTTTTACCTTCAATGCCTAGCACACCGTAAATTTAAAAATCATCCACAAAATTTTGAATACAAAAATCATCAAAAATAACTGCATAAATGCCCATAATCAGGCAACAACCAACTTCCATGACTGTTGATAAATAACCTAATTCCCATGTCTTCAGAGGCATCTTCCAACAAAAATAACTATAGACAGGCAACTCAATCAGCCAATTTCAGAAACACCAACCATTTTAGTACAGCCCGAGGTAGGAACACCAAGACTTCTAAGCCGTTAATCAATAATCACTATACCAAAAAAAAAAAAAAAAAAATGCAAAAAGACTACTGTGAAAAGTACAAAACACCCAAAGTAAATCCATACTATCACCTCCTAAAAGCAAAATCATGTATGTAAAGTACTTGAAGTAAAGACTTTGGCACCTAATTGGACTACATCATTGTTTGGCTATGCACCCTAATGGACACTCAAATCACTGCAGGCATATATGAAGCCAACACAATCTAAGCTGCTATTAAAACAGAGCCAAGTCATAAATTAGTACATCAACATCTAGAATAAGGCCCAAAGAACTACCTCTGCCTGTTGTAACAACAGTGGGCAGGGACGCACAGCAAAGGTACAAATGACTACATGATCCCAATCACCGAGCTACATTTAGTGGGCTCAGCCAAGGTATACAATCAAGCTTAATTTGATGTAAAAGCTGAAACTTCCATAATCCATAGTACAAAGGTAAAAAAGACCAAAACTTCTTATATGGAATCTTGGCAATCAAATGGTTATTATCTGAGATAAGTGTACAAAGATTGCTGAAAGGTGAGAGGAATGGGGAAGATGATGGTCAGGGGAGACAAAGCCTTAATTAGGAGGAAAAAGGGTTTTTTTTCTTTGAGATATAGTGCATAGCATGGTGAATGTAGTAAATACTCATCCCACTGTGCATTTCAAAATCACAAAGAGAATTTCCAATTTTCTTCCCACAAAAAAGTGTTTGTGGTGATGAATGTTAATTAACTTGATTTAATTATTCTGCATTGTATACATGAATCATAACATCACTTTGTACCCTATAAATAACAGCTATAATTTATCAATTTACAGTTAGGAATTTTTTTTTTTTTTTTTTTTTTTTTTTTTTTTTTGAGTATAAAGGGCTGGGTGCAGCAGTTCATGCCCATAATCCCAACACCTTGGGGACTGAAACAGGAAGATCACTTGAGGCCAGGACTTAGAGATCAGCCTGTGCAAAATAGCAAGACCCCGTCTCTACTAAAAATATAAAAATTAGCCAGGCGTGGTGGTGCATGCCTATAGTCCCAGCTATTCAGGAAGCCAAGGTAAGAAAATTGCTTGAGCACAGGAGAACTCAAGCCTAAGGGTGGGATTTTTATTAGGTTGGTGCAAAAGTAATTGTGGTTTTTGCAATTAAAAGTAATGGCAAAAACCACAATTACTTTTGCACCAACCTAATAAACTGGCAAAACAAGATACCTACAACGCGGGGGGAAAAAAGGAAACAATCTCATACAGGTTCTTATCAGTGTCCAAAAATAAAGAAAAAAAGGATAAAACATGAATGAAGAAAAGGCTCAGGCCAGGACTAGTTGTAGCACTATCCCAAGCTCCAAGAGTTAAGTCTTTACTCCCAGTTTTGAACCTAAACCTTCTAATGTGTAGCTGGCAATTCTAGTCATACTTGTATGCCTTAGTCTCCACCGTTAGCATTTCTAAAAAAAGATTAACAAGAAAGGGAAACACTCTACGGCTGAGCTGTCCAGTTCCACAGCCACACACAGTTACTGAGCATCTGAAACATGGCTAGGAAGGCAAAGGAGCTGGTTTTTTGTTGTTGTTCCACCCCACTCCCCTGGGAGCTGAATTTTAAATTAATTTTAACTACTTATATTAGGTTGGTGAAAAGTAATCAGGTTTTTGCCATTACTTTTTATTGCAAAAACTGGAATTACTTTTGTACCAACCTAATACAAAGTTCTACTAGACAGCACTGCTCTGACTCACGTTAAAACTAAGCACACACATACCAAGACCCTATCTCTCTAAATAAATAAAAAACAATAATTCAATTTTTAAAAATCTAGGCACAGAATAAATGTTTATGGCCTGTAATCTTAGATGAATAAATTCTCATCTTCTAGGTCTTAACTTTCTCAACCAAAAAATGTAAGAGTTCAACTCGATTGTGTCCACGATTCTAAATGAACTAGTGCAGCATATAAATTAATATTCTTCATTCAAACAGTAGTAATGTAATTAAAGCCACATACCCCTTAAAATTATGGGAGGTACCTCAAACTGAAGACACAAGGGTATTATATGACCCCTCCATATGGCCGAGGAAGTTCTGTCACTATTTGAGCAAGTCACCACATCTCTCTGAGCTTGTTTTCTTATCTGTAAATGAGAGGTTTAGACTAAATGATTACTTAAGACACTTCAAATCCTAAAATTCTTCATTCCTTTAGATCTAAGAAGACATAGAAAAGAACAAATAAGTGAAACCAAGATACTCAAAGAAATAAGGAAAAATTATAAAAACCAGTTTAAACTCTTAAGAAATGAAGTAAATTGAAACCAGACCCCAATGACAGAGGCTGTAAAGTTGTACAATGTCAATGTGCTCTGCTAGGAGGCTGATTTGGTCTACTGGCACGTGCCTAGTTTTTCATTTTTGCTTTAGTCCACACGTAAAAACACACTGCTATCTCCAAAGAAGGCCAAACTGCAAAAAGTTCTATACAGTCAGGTGCGTGTAGCTGGGATGAGAACACACAGCTCACAAAGGTTTGGACTGTTCTTTCCCCCAACAAAAACTTGACCAAGAAAATCTTCCTACACTAGACAGCTATAGTAGAATCCCCATTGCTGCTTTCAGGGCTCTCAAATTGTACCAGGAGCTTGCTTACTTTGTCAATGAGCCAAACCAAGTAAAACGGGATGCTCTCTTGACAGGGGGTACACTTACTTTTAGCTGCAATAAGGTAAACTGAAGTGTGCATTCATCCATAAAGATATTGTAAGATATCCTTTCCTATGGCGTATAACTCAGTACATATATGAAATAGGAAAGAATCCACTCGAAAGAATCCTAACAGGTATCTGGAGAAAGGAATATAGCCTACTGACTTAAGTGAAACGTGAAAAAGTAGAGGGTCAGGGCAGAAGGACAAGCTCTACACAGCTCTTTTCAAAGGCACCTTTCTATATACATTGTGTGGCCTATACCAGACCCACCTGTATATTTCTCAATCTTGAAAAATTTTAATGAAAAAAAGTAACTCTCAAAGAACCTGACTTAGAGCATAGTAAGAAAAAAAAAACAATTTCTACTTTCTTCAAGAATATAATGCTTTACCTGATATAGACATTCCTTTGTTTTACTGCTGATTTAACCAGGCCACCACTGATGACCATTTAGTTTTCACTTTTTGCTATTACAAAATATGCCAGTATTTCCAGAAGTGGATCTGCTGGATCAAAGAATGTGCGCTTCTAATTAGGCACGTGGCCAAGTGGCTCTCCAATGAGGTACATGGCCAAGTGGCTCTCCACGGAGGTCAGCCCTACCCATATTCCCCCAGTGATGTGTGAAAGCCTGTTTCCACACACCTGGTCAACAATGCATTTGCTTTTCTCTTCAGTGAGGATGGGCACTGTTCATATATTGAAGAACCATTTATACTTCACTTTTCTGCCAACTGTCTGTTTATATCCTTTGTCTACTTTTCTACTGGGTTGGTCTTCTCAATGATTTGTAGGGGTTATTTTAAAAAAAGAAAAAGTTATTTGTCTGATAGCATTCCCTCTTCACCTCATTCCAATCTGCGATCTCTCTACCACTCAGCTCAAACTGCTCTTTCAGGTCACTGACAACCTCCAGACAAGGCTAAATCCAAATGAAACTCTTCTGTCCTCACGTACACCTCACTCTCAGCAGCATGCAAGGCAGTCCCCCAGAAGACGCTCCTCATTAGAACATTCTCCTCGCCTGGCTTCTCTGATGTCACACACTCGTTGTTTTCTCACTGGCCATTTCTCAGTCTCCCTAGTTGGAGGGCTGCTCCTCTCCTTCCTTCCTTCCTTCTTCTGTCCCACTGATAACACAGAGGCTCCCACAGAGGTCAGGCTGTGGACCTAGCACACTTCCCTGAGTGCAGCACATTTGCTCGAAGTAAATTCACATTTGTTTTATTTGTGCTGTTTCCCCAGCAACTAAAACAAAGCGCTGGGAGATTCAAGACAAGTTCTGTTGAATAAACGAAGCCGTTTCCGTGGGTTTTTAAAATATTCTTCTCCAGGCCGGGCACGGTGGCTCACGCCTGTAATCCCAGCACTTTGGGAGGCTGAGGCAGGCGGATCACGAGGTCAGGAGTTTGAGACCAGCCTGTCCAATATGGTGAAACCTGTCTCTACTAAAAAATACAAAAATTAGCCAGGCGTGGTGGTGTGCGCCTGTAGTCCCAGGTACTCGGGAGGCTGAGGCAGGAGAATCACTTCAACCTGGGAGGCGGAGGTTGTAGTGAGCCAGTATCACACCACTGCACTCCAGCCTGGGCAACAGAGTGAGACTCCGTCTCAAAAACAAACAAACAAAAATTCCTCTCCATAAACACAACTAAGGTCCAAATTTATAAAACCAAAACAACCATCATGGCATTTCAAACACAGGTAACCCAATGACTAGTAGACATTTCCCTTTGGTTATCTCACAAGCACATGGTATTTAATCTCCAAAATGGAGCTTTTGCTCTCCATCACAAGCTGCCCATCCAACCAAACCTCCTCTTCACCATGCCCTCCCCATCTCAGTAAAAGGCACACCCTAGTTGTGAAAGGCAGCCTGGAAAACAGCCCTGGCTCCTCTTTTCCCTTCCAATCCAATTCACCAAAACATTGTCAGTTCCGCCTTACACTTTCCCTTCTCTGCATCTTTTGCCACAACCTGGAATAAGGTAAACTGGAGTGTGCATTCATCCATAAAGATCTTTTAAGATACCCTTTGGACACAGCTTCCTAATTCATCTCCCAGTCTCCTCTGGCCCCTCCAACCCACTGTTTACTTGGGTTCTTGGTTAGCGCCCCCTGCAACTCCCATGTGAGCATGAACAATAATGATAATAATTCTGATATATGCTCTGTACTATGGTGGCCACATACGGCTTTTGAGCACTTGAAATATGACTAGTTTCATCTAAGAGGTACTAAGAGTATAAAATATGCAATGGATTTCAAAGATTTAGTATAAAAATGTGAAAACATCTCAATTTTCCTACTGATTATATGTTGAAATAATATTTTGGACATAATGGGTTGTATAAAACATATTAAAATTAATTTTATGCGTTTTTTACTTTCTTCATGTGGCTATTAGAAAATTTAAGATTACATACATAGCCTGCATTGTCTTTCGTAGAAACACTGTCCTGAGCATTTCATGAGGGTACCAGCACCATGTCCATCATCTTTAACCATGTACACAGTAAATCCTCACTTAATAGTGTCAACACGTTTTTTCAAACTGCGACTTTAAGCAAAACAACATACAGCAGGTTCTTGAATAACACCATTCCATTATAACACTGATGAGGCAGACAAAACTGGTTCAGTTCTATGTCATTTTGCTTAAGTTTGCAGCTTCCAAGAACCTGTTAATGGTGTTAAGTGAGGACTTACTGTATGACCAAAGCACAGGAAGCGCTAGGACTGGCACCGGGTAGGCACCCAAGGTATCTGCTGAATGAATTAGTGGCCAAAAATTGGTATCATTTACATACATTCACTTATAAACAAAACATGAAAAATTTAATTATTACTTGAAGTTGAATGATACTTTAAAAATACAGTTGGAATTAAGAAAACAACTCTTTCAGTTTAAACTCTGGATACACACGCATTTTAAGAAATAATTTGAAGGCTGGGCACAGTGGCTCACGCCTGTAATCCCAGCACTTTGTGAGGCCAAGGCGGGCAGATCACTTGAGGCCAGGAGTTCAAGACCAGCCTGGCCAACATGGTGAAACCCCATCTCTACTAAAATTACAAAAATCAGCCAGGTGTGGTGGTGCGTGCTTGTAATCTCAGCTACTCAGGGGGCTGAGGCACGAGAATCATTTGAACCTGGGAAGCAGAGGTTGCACTGGCCGAGATCCCGCCACTGCCCTCCAGCTTACATGACAGAGTGAGACCCTGTCTCAAAATAATACTAATAATTTGTCTACTTCTTCAATGTGCAGGGTTAATCACATTGTAATTTATTCTTCTAACTTTTCATCATGAAAGTTTCTGTTAGAAAAGAAAGAGACTGGAGAACACTACAAATTCAATGTTAACCCACAAAGAACTTAAGAATTTTGAGTTATCAACCCTTAACATATTGTTCATCACAACTCCAAAACTGGCAACAAGAGAAGGAAAGCCAGCAGACAGCACGAGGAGAAAACAAGTAGACAATAAACATGAAAAAACTAACAACAGCAAAATCCATGCTAACGATGCCCTGCAACATTCTGAACTGCCAGTGAGGGCGTGATGCACTCAAGATGACCAGACTGCCACTGGCCTCCCGTACACACAGAAAAGGAAGGCGGCGGAAGTGCCTTCCAAAATGAACCCTCACCCTTCAAGTATTGAACAGCTCTGGTCTAAATGAATTTCAATGTGATTTAGGTTAGAAGCCCTTAAAAATTTCAGTTTAGCTCCACATTCAACCTCCAGAGACAGATCACAACCAAAGAAACAGCACCATTTTCAGATAAAAGTTTTAGGCTGAGCACAGTGGCTCACGCCTGTAATCCCAGCACTTTGGGTGGCCAAGGCAGGCAGATCACGAGGTCAGGAGTTCAAGACCAGCCTGGCCAAGATGGTGAAACCCTGTCTCTACTAAAAATACAAAAATTAGCCGGGCGTGGTGGCACGTACCTGCAGTCCCAGCTACTTGGGAGGGTGAGGTAGGAGAATTGCTTGAACCCAGGTGGTGGAGGTTGCAGTGAGCTAAGATCACACCACTGCACTCCGGCTTGGGCAACAGACTGAGACTTCGTCTCAAAAAAATAAAAAAGTTTTAAAGTGAAAGTCCAACAAAGTGTATTCTCCAAGAGAAACTTCCTCAAGATCCAACTACCAGTGCACATAAAACAGAGGCTACACAACACTGTGGGGAATACCACAAAACAAAAGAGCCCAGTCCTCCCACAAATGGAAGGCATGGTGGGAGAAGAGCAAAAAATGAGGAACCCATATACAAAAAAAAAAAGGTAGGTCTTATTTGGATCCTGATTTGCCACTGCCAAAATTAGAAAATCACACAAAAAAGTTATCACATGAAACTAGAACTTTCAAGTCTAAGTATTGAATAATATCAAGCAAATGTGTGTTCATTTTATTTTTAAGATGTGAGGCTTTGTGGTTGTTACGGTTAAGAGTCCTTATTCTCTGAGAACATATACTAACATATTTATAGAAGAAGCAATAATTATTTGAATATCTTCAAAATATAATGGACAAAATTGACAATAAAGAAAAAAAGATTTAATAGAACTCCTTCACCTCAAAAGACAGAATGAGGACCCACAGAATAGGTAAAGATATTCACGATATATACATCTGACAAGAGATGCCTGTCCAAAATACAAAAATCCTACTAACTGTTGTTTTAAAATACATCTCAGCTGGGCACAGTGGCTCTTGCCTATAATCCCTAGCACTTTGGAGGGCCGAGGTGGGAGGAATGCTCAAACCCAGGAGTTTGAGACCAGCCTGGGAAACATGGCAAAACTCCAACTACAAAATATACAAAACTGAGCCGGGTGTGGTGGTGCGCGCAACTGTGGGCCCAGCTAGCTACTCAGGAGGCTGAAGTGGGGGGATCCCTTGAGCCAGGAAGGTCAAGGCTGCAGTGAGCTATGATCGCACCACTGCACTCCAGCCTGGGTGACAGAATAAGACCCTGTCACTTTTTTAGAAGTCCACAATGTGCCTCTCTTCTAACAAACAGAACATGGCAAAGCTAGATGCTACGTGACTTCCAAGACTAGGTCACAAAAATGATAGCTTCCACTTAGGGGCTCTTTCTCTTGAATCACTCTCTCAGTGGGAAGTTATCACCATGTCCTGAGAACAGGAAACTCAGACATCCCTGGCAAAAGCCGATGTGAAAACGACCTGAGGTCTCCCACCAACAGCCAGAACCAGAACCTACTTGCCAGGCATGTAAATGAGCCACCTTAGAACAGATCCTCCAGCGGATCCATGAAGGCTTCAGAGGGCTAATCACACCCAAGCCAGAAGCAGACAACCATGCCACTCCCAAGTTTCTGACTCCCAGAAACTGCAAGATAATGTTTATTGCTGTTTTAATCCACTACGTTTGGGGATAATTTATTATGCAGCAAAAAATAGAAAGGTAATAAAAACAGAAAAAAGATAATAGAAAAAAAAAGGCTTAAACATATGTTTCATAAAAAAGGATATCCAAATGACCAATAAACGTATGACCTCACTACTGTAAATTAAAATTGCCCTAAGTAAGACATCTCTACACAGCTACCAGCATGGCTAAAATGAAAAGGATGAAATACTGGAGAGGATCCAGAGTAAGTGGAACTTTCACACACTGCTGATGGAAGCCTAATTTGGTACAATAGCTTTAGTAGATGCCACTACTATACATATACCTCTATGCCCTAGCAATTTCACCCTTAGGTATACTGAACAACAGAAATGCATACGTATGTTGTTGACCAAAAGATACAAACTGAATGTTCAGAGCAGCAATATCTGTAACAGCCCAAAACTACCATCTATCCAATGTCCATCAACAACAGAACAATTTCATATGACAAAATTTTGTGAAGCAACAGTAACAAATAATCAACTGTATGCAATGACTTCAGTAATTTTACAAACAATGCCAAGAGAAAGACACAAGAGTACCTACTGTAAGACTCTATTTAATAGAAACAAAACTGGGCAAAACTAATCAGTGCTGTTAGCTGTTAGAATACCGGCTGCCCCTAGAGAGGGTGTGACTGGAAGTGGACACAAGGAGACATGTGATGGCTGCTTGCCCAGGTGGATTTCAGCTTATGAAAATCTGCTTATTGTATGTACTTTTCCGTATTTCTATTGTGATTCAATAGAGTTTTTAAATAGTAATAATATAGAAGAGAAGTGGGAAATGGGGAAGTTAAGTGGGACAAGACTGGCCTTGAGTGTATGGTTGTTAGAGCTGGGTAACTGATAGTTTCATTATACTGTTCAATTTCTGCATGTCCAAATTTACCCCTAATAAAACAAGTTTTAAAATGTATTAACATAAAACTGACTGGAACTGCTGGTAAAATAGCAACTGGGGTAATTTTTCTGGCCACTGATAACAAAAAGGTGTTAAAATCTATATACCCCTTGGTCCAATTATTCTTTTATTCTAAGGTGTTTATACTGAGCACAAAGTCATATATAATAATGTCCAAAGAGCTTATAATAGAAAAAGAAATGTCTAAATATAGAGGAAGATGACACTGTGGGGAAAACCACAGAACAAACTATCCAGGTCATCCACAAATACATGGTTCCTAAATATCCAACAATAAACAACAATGATCTCATCTGAACCAAGGTTCTTTTATCTATCCAGTGAAATAGTCATTAAAAATGAGGCAATCAAAACTCAGAAAAAAACACAGGAGTTAATCTTTGTGGCCACGGATTAGGCAAAACTTTCTTAGATATGACACCAAAAACACGAGATAAAAGAAAAATAAGATAAATTGCACTTCAAATTAAAAGTTTTCATCCTTCAGTAATAACACCATCAAGAAGTGAAAAGAAAACCCAAAGAATGGAATATTGACAAATCATATTTCTGATAAAAGATTTATGTACAAGGTTGGGCGCAGTGGCTCATGCCTGTAGTCCCAGCATTTTGGGAGGCCGAGGCAGGCAGACCATTTGAGCCCAGGAGTTTGAGACCAGCATGGGCAACGTGGTAAATCCCCGTTTCTACAAAAAATACAAAAAAATCAGTCAGGCGTGGTAGCATACGTCTGTAGTCCCAGCTACTCAGGAGGCTGAGGTGGGAAGATCACCTGAGCCCACGAAGTCGAGGCTGCAGTGAGCAGTGATCGCAGCACTGCACTCCAGCCAGGTGACAGAGTGAAACCCTGTCTCAAAAGACAGGAATACAGAGGCCGGACGTGGTGGCTCATGCCTGTAATCCCAGCACTTTGGGAGGCCGAGATGGGCGGATCACGAGGTCAGGAGATCGAGACCATCCTGGCTAACACGGTGAAACCCCATCTCTACTAAAAATACAAAAAAAAAAAAAATTAGCCGGGCGTGGTGGCGGGCACCTGTAGTCCCAGCTACTCGGGAGGCTGAGGCAGGAGAATGGCGTGAACCCGGGAGGCGGAGCTTGCAGTGAGCCGAGATCGCACCACTGCACTCCCGCCTGGGTGAAAGAGCGAGACTCCGTCTCAAAAAACAAAACAAAACAAACAAACAAACAAAAAAATTAGCCGGGCGTGGAGGTGGGCACCTGTAGTCCCAGCTACTCGCGAGGTTGAAGCAAGAGAACGGCGTGAACCTGGGAGGCGGAGTTTGCAGTGAGCCGAGATTGCACCACTGCACTCCAGCCTGGGCAACAGAGCAAGACTCTGTCTCAAAAAAAAAAAAAAAAAAAAAAAAAAGACAAGAATATGGAATAATTAAGAAACTCCTACAACTTAGTAATAAAGACAAACAACACAATTTTAAAATGGGCAAGCGAGGCCAGGCACAGTAGACTGCTGTAATTGTAATCCCAGTACTTTAGGAAGCCGAGGTGTGTGAAGTGCTTGAGGCCGAGTTTGAGACCAGCCTGGCCAACATGGCAAAACCCCGACTCTACTAAAAATACAAAAATTAGCCAGATGCGGTGGCACACACCTGTAATCCCAGCTACTCAGGAGGCTGAGGCACAAGAATTGCTTGAACCCAGGTGGCAGAGGTTGCAGCGAGCTGAGATTGCACTACTGCACTCCAGCCTGGGTGACAGAGTAAGACTGTCTCCAAAAAAAAACCAAATGAGGCAAGCGCAGTGGCACACATCTACAGTCCCAGCCACTAGAGAGGCTAAGGCAGGAGGACTGCTTGAATCCATGAGTCCCCGTCCAGCCTGGACAATACAGAGAGACCCCGTCTCAAAAAGGAAGGAGGGATGGGAAGGGATGGGAAAGGCTGGGCATGGTGGCTCACACCTGTAATCCCAACAACTTTGGGAAGCCAAGGCGAGAGGAGAGAATCACTTGAGCCCAGGAGTTCAAGACCAGCCTGGACAACGTAGTGAAACCTTGTCTTAACAACAACAAAAAAAAAAAAAGAAAAGAAAAGAAAAACACAAAAAAATTAGCCAGAGATGGTGGCATATGCCTGTGGTCCCAGCAACTTGGGGGGCGGAGGTGGGAGGATCACTTCAGCCCAGGAGGTCAAGGCTATCATGCAGTGAGCTGTGACTGCACCACTGCACTCCAGCCTGGGCAACAGAGTGAGACGCTGTCTCAAAAAACAAAAGTGCTGGCATGGATATGACAAAATCAGAATCCTTACACATTGCTGGTGGGAATGTAAAATGGTGTAGACACTTTGGAGAATAGTCTCACAGTTTCTCAAAAGGATAAACACAGAGCTCCATATGACCCAACAATTCTACTCCTAGGTATGTATCCAAGAGAATTGAAACATACTTTCACAGAATAATTTGTACATAAATGTCTACAGCAGCATTATTCATAAAAGCCAAAACTCAGAAACATCCAAGTATCTATCAACTGATGAATGAATAAATAAAAGGTAATATTCCCCACATAATGAGTATTATTTGACAAAAGAAAGAAATGAAGTACTCATACATGTTACACAGATAAATCTTGAAAACATGGCTAAGAGGGAAAAAGCTAGTCCCAAAAAAGGACCACGTTTGTATGATTCCATTTATATGCCCAGAATAGGCACATCTATAGGAACAGAAAGTACAGTAGTGGTTGCCTAGGTCTAGCGGGATGAGAGAAAAATGAGAAGTGATTACTAACAGGTATAGGGTTTCCTGTGGAATAATGAAAATATTCTAAGTGATTGTGATGACAGTTGTACAACTCCATGAATATACTAAAAAACATTAACTTGTATGCGTTAAGTGGGTGAGTTATGTCTCAATAAAGCTGTTACAAAACAATAATGCAATCTATATTTGCAAAGGAAGGTGCTAAGAAAAGATTGTTTTTTAAGGGTTTTAGCATCTGTACTTTGCTTTACCAAATGTATTCACACATTTGCATTTGACCCTCACAATCTTGTATTGTAAGTTATATCATCTTTTACAAATAATCTGAGCTGGAGAGACAGTAACTGATCCAGGTAACACAGTAGGGAAGTGGCTAGGGAAGAACACACAAATGCCACCCTATTTCCATCATGCTACTGCCTCCCAAATTATGAAAAGTAAACTTTATGGTACATCACAATGGCTACTACTTTTACAGAGGATCTCATATGTGCCAGGCAGTTCTTAAACATTTTTGAGCCTGGCACTTCACAGGCACTGAAATATTTATTGAACAATTTTCACTTATTTCTCATAACTCCATTTATAGCTGATGACACTAAGAAATTAACTGTATATTGTAAAAACAAACATAAAATTTGTTTTTAAGGGGCTTGCTGTAAATACAGTTCTCAATAATGGGGCTGGGGGGCCGTTAAGATCCAGACAATAGAGGAGCAATGACATGAAGTACAGAGATTAAAACAAAAAGTCCTTTCAAAAGGGGGAGTAAACTCAAAATACCAGAGGATAATTTTTAAGCTTATACAATACCTAGTGGGAACCAAAGAAATAGAAACCCAGTGATCAAGCAATCAGTCAAGAAGAAACCAAAATGCAAGCCAATATTTAATATTTAGCTTTTTATTAATTTTTCATTAATTTTCTTAATGAAAATCCATAAGGTATTCCTTTATATCCAGTGAACCACCAAACAAATCACAAATAATTAAAACTAACACTAGAAGGGGAATATAGGGAAACAGGTCCACTCATCTATTGCTGATACACTTGCGTATAGGTACCAGCTTTTTTTTTTTTTTTTTTTTTTTTTGAGATTACAGGCGTGTCCCACCGCACCTAGCTAATTTTTGTATTTTTAGTAGAGATGGGCTTTCACCATGTGGGACAGGATGGTCTCGATCTCCTGACCTCGTGATCCGCCCGCCTCGGCCTCCCAAAGTGCTGGGATTACAGGCGTGAGCCACCGTGCCCGGCCATGATGTTTTGATACAGGCATGTAATGTATAATAATCACATCAGGGTAAATGATGTAACCATCACATCAAGCATTCATCCTTTCTTCGTGTTACAAAAAAAATCTAATTATCTTTTTTATTTATTCTTTTTTTTTTTTTTTGAGATGGAGTCTCGCTCAGCTGCCCAGGCTGGAGTACAGTGGCGCAATCTCGGCCCACTGCAAGCTCCTCCTCCCGGGTTCACGCCATTCTCCTGCCTCAGCCTCCAGAGTAGCTGGGACTACAGGCTCCCGCCACCACGCCCAGCTAATTTTTTTGTATTTTTAGTAGAGAGGGGGTTATACCGTGTTAGCCAAATTGGTCTTGATCTCCTTACCTTGTGATCCACCCGCCTCAGCCTCCCAAAGTGCTGAGATTACAGGCAGGAGCCACAGTGCCTGGCCGGGTACTAGCGTTTTAAAAGAGTACTATAATGACATACAAGATTAATAAAAATAACAGTACCTTGGCCAGGTGCAGTGGCTCACGCCTGTAATCCAGTACTTTGGGAGGTCTGGAGTTTGAGACCACCCTGGGCATCTCTACTCTGTCTCTGTGTGTGTGTGTATTTTTTTGTATATATATTTTATATATATATATATATATATGGTTTTGTTTTTTTTTTTTACCCCAAGCATGATGGCTCACACCTATTGTCCTAGCTACTGGGAGGCTGTAGCAGGAGGATCACTTTGAACCCAGGGCTGAAAATTGCAACAAGCTATGATCGTACCATTGCACACCAGCCTGGGTGACAAAGCAAGACTCTGTCTCTAAAAAATTAAAAATTAAAAATGGCAGCACCTTTTGATTACATAATCTCATGACAATTTTTAAAAATTTATGAAATAGAGGGAGAAATTATTTATACAAAGAATAATAGTGATAATGGCTAGACATGTTAACTACCACCAATGTATACTGTAATATAAACATTACATGAACTATCATTTAATCCTTAAAATAACTGTTATCCTTCCCATATGTAAGCGAGGAAACTGAAGCTCAGAGAGCAAATAACTAGTCTTTGGAAGTATCAGGATTCAGGCTCATTAGCACTTAGACCCTACATATCCAGGGTCATAACTGCTTTGAGGGCAGAATGAGCACAAGTGGAAATGCCCAGTAAGCACCGGAACTCAACAGAAAATCAGGGTTAGAAGTAGGTATGAGCATCATTAGCACATACCTGGTAAGTTCAGCCATGAAAGTGGAGACCACCCAAGAAACAGTGTGGAAAATAAGAAAGGCTGGAGAACAAAATGTGAAAGTGGCCCAGAAGAAAATTAAGAGAGGCCAAGAATGGTAGGAAGAAAACCAGGAAAATATAGTAACACAGACCTTGTAAATTCTATAAAGAAAACCTCCCTGGATTTTGCTGCCAGAAAGATTTAAGCAACCAACAATGCTTTGAAAACCACTGTACAGCTCATGTCTATAAACACTCAAAAAGAGGTGCTAGCTAATGTGGGCAAAGTGGAACCCTCATGTGCCACTGGGGAAATGTAAAATGGTACAGTCATGGAAAACAGTATGGCAGCTCCTCAAAAAAGTAGAATGAGAACTGCCATATGATCTAGCCATTCCACTTCTTGGTATATACCCTAAAGACCTGAGAGCAGAGACTTGAACAGATATTTATACACCCATGTTCATGGCAGCATCACTCTCAATGGCCAAAAGGCAGAGGCACTGTAGTGTCCATTGATGGATAAATGGATAACCAATGTTGTATATACATAAAATGAAATATAACTCAGCCTTAAAGGAAATTCTAGTCAGGCGCAGTGGCTTACGCCTGAAATCCCAGCATTCTGGGAGGCCAAGGTGGGAGGATCACTTGAAGCCAGGCAAGACCAGCCTGGGCAACATAGCAAGACCTCAAAAAATAAAAATAAAACTTAGCCAGGCATGGTGATGCACACCTATGGTTCCAACTACTAGGGAGGTTGAGGTGGGAAGATCCCTTGAGCCCAGGAGTATGAGGTTGCAGTGAGCTATGATCATGCCACTGTAGTCCAGCAACAGAGCAAGACTCTGCCTCTAAAAAATTTAAAAATAAAAAAAGAAAGGAAATTCGGACACATCCTACAACATGAGTAAACCTTGAAGACACTGTGCTTGAAGCCAGTGATAAAAGGACAAATACTGTATGATGCAATTTACACAAGGTACTTAGAATAGTCGAATTCATGGAGACAGTAGAACGGCAGTTGCCAGGGTCTGGGCGGGAGCAGGAGTTAGTGTTTAATGCAAGCTGGTCCAACCTGTGGCCCAGGACAGCTCTGAATGAGGCTCAACACAAATTCATAAACTTTATTAAAACGTTGAGTTTTTTGTGTGGTTTTTTTTTTAAGCTCATCAGCTATCGTTAGTGTTACTGTAACTTATGTTTGGCCCAAGGCAACTCTTCTTCCAATGTGGCCCAGGGAAGCCAAAAGATGATTTAATGGCTACTGTGTTTCAGTATGGGAAGATGAAAACCATTCAGGAGATGGATGGTGGTGATGATGGTTGATCAACAATGTGGATGTATTTAATGCCACTGAACGGTACACTCCAAACAGTTAAAATGGGCTGGGACTGGTGGCTCACACCTATAATCCCGACACTTTAGGAGGCTGAAGTAGGAGGACTGCTTGAGCCCAGAAGTTCAGGACCAGCCTGGGCAACACAGCAACACCCATCTCTACAAAAAATAAATTTTTAAAAAAATAGCTGGGCACAGTGGTGTCTGACTGTAGTCCTAGCTACTCAGGAGGCTGAGGTGGGAGGATCCTTGCACCTAGAAGATGATTGCACCACTGCACTCCAGCCTGGGCAACAGAGCAAGACTCTGTCTCAAACACACACACACACACACACACACACACACACACACACACACACACACACAGCTGAAGACACTTAACAACCTTCTGGTTTAAACACTGAGACTCTGAAAAAAAAATTTTTAATAAAGACACTGAACAAGCATCAGAACCAGAGTCAAATATGGCTGCAATGGCAGAATTACCAAACCAGCAATTTTTTTTTTGGAGACAGGATCTCGCTTTGTCACCCAGGCTGGAGTGCAGTGACACAAACAAGGCTCACTGCAGCCTCAACTTCCTAGGCTCAAGTGATCCTCCTGCCTCAGCCCCAAAAAGTAGCTGGGACTACAGGTGTGTGCCACCACGCCCAGCTAATTTTTGTACTTTTTGTAGAGATGGGGTTTCATCAAGTTGACCAGGTTGGTCTCAAATTCCTGAGTCAAGCAACCTGCCTGCCTCAGCCTCCCAAAGTGCTAAGATTACAGGCCATGCCCGGCCACTAGCAATTTTGTAAAAAACACGATTAATATGCTAAAGGCTTTAGTGAAAAAGGCAGACAACAAGCAAGAACAGAAAGATAACATAAGCAGAGAGATGGAAATTCTAAGAAATAACCAATTAGAAATGCTAGAGAAAAAGACACTGTAACAGAAATGAAGAATCCCTCTGTGGATCTATCAGTAGGCTAAACACGGCTGAAGAAAGAATCTGAGCATTAGGATATGACAATAGAAACTTCCGTAACTGAAAAGGAAAGAGAAAAAAATACAAAAGAAAAAAAAAACAGAAAATATCCAAGAACTATGGGACAACTACAAAAGGTATAACATATGTGATGGTAATATCTGGAAAAAAGAGGAAAGAAGCAATATTTGAAGTAATAACGACGGAGATTTTTCCAAATTGTTGTCAGGCACCAAACCATAGATCCAGAAAGTTCAGGAAACAATGCCAATAAAAAGCCAAGCAATGACCTCCCCACTTACCCCCCACCAAAAAAAAACACCACTGAGCAATATCATAGTCAAATGTCAGAAAATCAAAAACAAAAAAAAATCTTAAAAGAAATCAAGGTGGGAGGGAACCTTACCTACAGGGTAGCAAAGGCAAGAATTACATCTAACTTCTTAGAAACCATGCAAGCAGGAAAGAGTAGAATGAAATATTTATAGCACTGAGAGGGGGAAAAATAACACCAACCTAGAATTCTGCACCCTGAAAAAGTATCCTTCAAAGTGAAAGAGACAAACAAAATTGAGGGGATTTGTTTCCAGGAAACCTATGTTGCCAAAATTATTTCAGAAAGAAGGAAAATGATCCAGGTAGGAAACACAGATTAGAGGACTGGAGAGGGAATTAAGTGAAGATTCAAAAAAAATTGATTTTTCTTATTCTTAATTAAAAGTAGTTTGTTCAAAATAATAACAATAACAATGTACTCGATTAAGTATGCTTCCTTATGTATTTATGCGTGCTTATAAGTAAAATGAATGGCAACAATGAGACAGGAAGGCGGAATCAGAAATATTTGTTATTACTGGTAAAGGCATACCTTGGAGATATTACAGGTTCAGTTCCAGACTATCGCAAAAAAGCAAATGTCACAATAAAGTAAGTCACACGAATATATTGGTTTCCCATATGCAAACATTATTTTTACACTATTAAGTGTGCAATACCATTATGTCTTAAAAAAAAAAAAGCACAGACTTTAATTATAAGTATTTTACCAATAAAAAAATGCTAATGAAGTGAGCACATGCAACTGGAAAAATGGCGCTGATACCCTGGCAAATACGGGGTTGCCATAAACCTTCAATTTGTTCATTAAAACACACACACACACACACACACACACAAACACACAGTATCTGCAAAGTGAAAGAAAGTGAGCCACAATAAAACGAGGTATAATACCTGTATGTGCACTACCTCTGTAGTGTTATTTGAAAGTGGACATGGATTAACTGCAAATATATGTTGCAAACTCCAGTGTAACCCTTTAAAAGCTAAAAAAAGTTTAACAAATATGCTAAGAAAGAAGATAAAAATGGAAATCATATAAAATGATCAATTAAAACCAAAAAAGGCAGAAAAAGTGTATGTGACAAAAGCACAAACAAAAAAATATTTGGGAGGCCGAGGCGGGCGGATCATGAGGTCAGGAGATCGAGACCATCCTGGCTAACATGGTGAAACCCCGTCTCTACTAAAAATACAAAAAAATTAGCCGGGCGTGGTGGCAGACACCTGTAGTCCCAGCTGCTCTGGAGTCTGAGGCAGGAGAATGGCATGAACCCAGGAGGCAGAGCTTGTAGTGAGCCGAGATCACACCATTGCATTCCAGCCTGTGCAACAGAGGCAGACTCTGCCTCAAAAAAAAAAAAAGGCAAAACCTGGAAAACAGCAATAAATATCACAGATATTAATACAACTATATCAATAATCACATTAAAGGTCAATGGTCTAAATACACCTATTAAAAGAGCAATTTTCAGAATGTATCAAAAAATAAGACCCAACTATATGTTGTCTACAAGGAACCTAGCTGTTGCCACCTTCAAGATCAAGATGGCAGCGAGACTTGTTGCATTCCTCAAGAATGCCTGAGCCAATGTGTCCTTAACCATCACCAGCTTCTGTGATTCTGCCCCTACTCAGCCCCTACACCAAGTAGGCCATCATGATCAATCAGGACACACCCTACAACTACCCAGTGCCCCTTCTACATGATGAGAACATGCCTGATGTGTCCAGCCACCATCAGGACCCCCCAGGTGCTCTAGGGCCCAAGCTTGGAGTGGCTGAGAAAATTGTGAGCACCTCCGTTGACAGGGAAGAAGCCGTTCCCCTGTAGCTCCCAATAAAAATACAAAAACCAAAAATAAGAAAACAAAGCCACTTTAAATATAAAGACACACGTAGATCAAAAGTAAAGGAATGGGGGGCTGGGCTCACACCTATAATCCCAACTCTTTGGGAGGCCGAGATAGGAGGACTGCTTGAGCCCAGGAGCTCAAGACCAGGCTGGGAAACACAGCGAGACACCATCTCTACAAAAAAGAAATTTTTTTTAATTAGCTGGGTGTGGTGGCACACACTTGGAGGTTACACTGAGCTATGACTGTGCCACTGCACTGCAGCCTGGGCTATAGAGCAAGTCCCTGTTTAAAAAAAAAAGAAAGGGATGGAAAAAGATATATCATGTTAACTCTAATCAAAAGTTAACAAGAGTAGCTGTATTAATTGCAGATAGAGCAGGCTTCATAACAAGAAAAGTTATCAAGGCTAAAGAGAGGTATTACATAATGATAAAGGAAGAAATATTCCAAGAAGACATAACAATCCTTAATGTGTATTTGCCTAATAACAGTGTCAAAATACATGAGGCAAAAACTGATAGAACTGCAAGGGAGAATAGATGAATCTACTATTATAGTTGGAAACTTCAACACCCCTCCATCAGAAATGGTGAAATCCAGCAGGTAGAAAATCAGTAAGGACATGATGGAACTCAATAGCACCATCAATCAACTGGGTATAATTGACATCTATACATTATTTCAACAACAGCAGATTACAGTTCTCAAGTTCATACAGAACATTCACCAAGAGAGCCCACACTATGAGCCTTAAAACACATAACAGAAATCATACAATGTACTCTCAGACCACAATGAAATTAAACTAGAAATCAATAACAGAAAGATAACTGAAAAATCCCCAAATACCAGAAGATTAAATAATATACTTCTAAATAACATGGGAGTCAAAAAAGAAATCTCAAGAGAAAGTTGAAAGTATTTTTAACTAAATAAAAAAAAATACAATTTTTTTTTTTTTTGAGGCAGTCTTGCTGTGTTGCCCAGGCTGGAGTGCAGTGGTGCAATCTACATTCACTGCAACCTCTGCCTCCCAGGTTCAGGCAATTCTCATGCCTCAGCCTCCCGAGTAGCTGGGATTACAGGCATGTGCCACCATGCCCCGGCTAATTTTTGTATTTTTAGTGGAGATAGAGTTTTGCCATGTTGGCCAGGCTGATCATAGCTCACTGCAACCTCATACTCCTGGGCTCAAGGGATCCGCCCGCCTCAGCTTCCCAAAGTGCTGGGATTACAGGTATGAGCCATTGCACCTGGCCTTGAAAAATACAATTTATCAAAACTTGTGGGATACAGCAAAAACAGTGTCTAGAAGGAAATTTATAGCATTGAGTAATACACTAAAAAAGAAGATCCAAAACCAATAATCTGATCTTCTATCTTAGGAAACCAGAAAAAGTAGAGCAAATTAATTCCAAAGTAAGCATAAGAAAAGAAGAATTAGAGCAGAAATCAATGAAACTGAAAACAGGAAATCAAGAGAGAAAAAGACAAAAGGTGGTTTTCAGGAAACAACAATAAAATCAGCGCAACTCTAGCCAGGCTGAGGAGAAAGAGAAATGAGAGAAGACACAAATTTCCAATACCAAAAATGAAAAATGACATTACTACAGATACCATGGGCATTAGAAGAATAAGGAAATATTATCAACTATTCTATGCTCAAAATGTTAATAACCTAAATGAAATGGAACAATTCCTTGAAAGAAACAATCTGCCAAAATGTACACAAAAAGAGATAATCTTAAGGGCCTATAAATTTAAAATTTGAATAATAACCTTCTAAAATAGAAAGCACTAGGCGCACATGGGTTCACTGGTGAATTCTACTGAATATTTAAGGAAAAAATAATACCAATTCTCTAAAATTGCTTCCAGAAAATAGAAAGCAGCAGACGGAATTTTTTTTTTTTTTTTTTTTTTTTTAAGACAGAGTCTTGCTCTGTCGCCCAGGCTGGAGTGCAGGGCGTGATCTCAGCTCACTGCAAGCTCCGCCTCCCGGGTTCACGCCATTCTCCTGCCTCAGCCTCCCAAGTAGCTGGGACTACAGGCGCCCGCCACCACACCCAGCTAATTTTTTGTATTTTTAAGAGAGATGGGGTTTCACCGTGTTAGCCAGGATGGTCTTGATCTCCTGAACTTGTGATCCACCCGCCTCGGCCTCCCAAAGTGCTGGGATTACAAGTGTGAGCCACTGCACCCGGCAGTCGCAGACAGAATACTTTCTAATTCATTCTATGAGGTCAGCATAACCATAATACCAAAATCAGACAAGGACACTACAAGGCAAGTACAAATCAGTATCTCTCATGAACACAGATATAAAAATCCTCAACAAAATATGGGAAAACTGAATCAATACATAAAAATAATTATACATAAAAAGCATTATATATAAAAAATTATATACCACAACCAAATATTTATCCCGTATTTAAGGCTGCTTTAATTTTTTTCTTTTTGAGACTCTTTTTGAGTCTCAAAAAATTAGGTGTAGCTTTTTTTTTTTTCTTGTATTTTTAGTTAAGAAAGTGGTTTCACTGTGTCACTCAGGCTGGTCTCAAACTCCTGGCCTCAAGTGATCTGTCTGCCTTGGCCTCCCAAAGTGTTGAGATTACAGGTGTGAGCCACTGTGCCCAGCCAAGGCTGCTTTAATAATCAAAAATCTGTCGCCGGGCATGATGGCACACACCTGTAGTCCCTGCTACTTGGGAGACTAAGACAGGAGGATTGCTTAAGCCCAGGAGGCCAAGGCTGCAGTGAGCCAAGATCATCCCACTGCACTCCAGCCTATGTGACAAAGTGAGACTCTTGTCTCAAAATAAATAATTTTTTAAATCAATTAATTAACATGACCCATCACATCAGTAGGTTCAAGAAGACTCACCTGATCACATCAACAGATGCAGAAAAGGCATTTAATAAAATCCAACACCTGTTCATTTCAAAAAACACTCAGAAAACTAGGAACAGTAAGAAGCTTCCTCAACTTGATAAACAACATATATCAAAAACCTACAACTATCATCATAATTGATGGTCAGAAATTAAAGCTTTCCCACTAAGATCAGGAAGCGGGCAAAGATGTTCCCTCTCATCATCCTTTTCCATCATATCATACTGGAAGTCCTAGCTAATTCAATAAGAAAAGGAAATAAAAAGTATACAGATTGGAAAGCATAAAATAAAACTGTCTTTGTTGACAGACAACATGATGGAGAAAATGTGAAGGAATTGAAAAAAAAAAAAAAAAAAAGTCCCAGAACTTATAAGCCATTATACCAAGGTTACAGGCTACAAGGTTAATATACAAACATCAACTGCTTTCCTATATACCTGCAAGGAACAAGTGGAATTTGAAAATAAAAAAAAAATTATTTATATTAACATATCCAAAAAATGAAATACTTAGGTATAAAACAAAATATGTACAAGATCTATATAAGGAAAACTATAAAACTCTGATGACAGACCCCAAAGAAGAACTAAACAAATGAAGAGATATTCCATGTTCATGGATAAGAAGGTTCAATATTGTCATGATATCAGTTCTGCCTAACTTGATCTACAGATTCAATGCAATCCTGATCAAAATCTGACAACACATTTGATAATCAACTATTATCCAAAAATATATAAAGAAGGCTGGGCGCTGTGGCTCATGCCTGTAATCTCAGCACATTGGGAGGCCGAGGTGGGTGGACCACCTGAGGTCAGGAGTTTGGGACCAGCCTGACCAACATGGTGAAACCCCATCTCTACTAAAACACAAAAATTAGCTGGGCGTGGTGGCGGGCACCTGTAATCTCAGCTACTCCGGAGGCTGAGGCAGGAAAATCACTTGAACTCAGGAGGCAGAGGTTGCAGTGAGCCAAGACTGTGCCATTACACTCCACCCTGGGCAACAAGAGCGAAACTCCGTCTCAAAATATGTATCTTATATTATATATATATAAAAATATATATAGACACTTAAAACTCAAAAAAATGAACAACCTGATTAAAAAATGGACAAAAGACCTGAGCAAACATTACAGACAGCAAGTAAGCATTTGAAAACATGTTCAACATCATACATCATTAGGGAACTGCAAATTAAAGCAACAATGAGATAGCACAACACATCTATTAAAATGGCCAAACTCAAGACACATCACCAAACACTGTCAACAATGTGGGGCAAGAGGAACTCTCATTCATTGCTGGTGCGAATATAAAATGGTACAGCCACTGTGGGCAGTTTCTTCCAAACAGCAAACATACTCTTTCTGTACAATACAGTAATCATACTCCTTGGTATCTGCCGAAGTAAAGTGAAAAAACTTACGTCCACACAAAAACCTGCACACGGATATTTACAGCATCTTTATCCACAATTGCCAAAATTGGGAAGCAACCAAGCTATCTTTCAGTAGGTGAATGAATAAATTTGGGCACATCCAGACAATGGAATATTATTCAGCACTAAAAAGGAATGAGCTATCAAGCCATGAAAAGACATGAAGAAAACTTAATGCATATTATTACGTGAAAGAAGCCAATATGAAAAGGCTACATAAACAATGTATGACATTCTGGAAAAGACAAAGCTATGCAGACAGTAAAAGGATTAGTGGTCGCCAGAGGTTGCAGGGAGGTAAGGATGAATAGATGAGGCACAGAGGATCTGTAGGGCAGTGAAACCATTCTGTATGATACTACAATGGTGGCTACATGTCCTTATACATTTTTCAAAACTTTTAGAATATGACTGGGCACAGTGGCTCACGCCTGTAATCCCAGCACTTTGGGAGACCAAAGAAGGCGGATCACCTGAAGTCAGGAGTTTGAGACCAGCCTGGCCAACATGGTGAAACCCTGTCTCTACTAAAAACACAAAAGTTAGCCAGTCTGGTGGCAAATGCCTGTAATTCCAGCTACTCAGGAGGCTGAGGCAGGGGAATAACTCGAACCTGAGAGGCGGAGGTTACAATGAGCCGAGATCACACCACTGCACTCCAGTCTAAAAAACTTATAGAATGTGTAACACCAAGAGTACACCCTAAAGTATGGACTTTGGATGATAATGTGTTGGTGTAGGTTCATCAACTCTAACAAATGCACCATTCTCCTGAGGGATGTTATCACAGAAGTGTGGGGACAGGAGTATATGGGAACTCTCCTCCATATTTTTTGCTCAATTTTGCTGGGAACTTTTTTAAAAATGGTGAAAATGCAAACTTTATGTTATGTATTTTCCCACAATTTTAAAAGATTTGCTAAATAATTGGTCATTTATAGAATTTAAAAGCAATGTCGTATCTCATTTTGAAAGGAGGTAAACAAAATACTTTTCTAAGAAAAGTTTTCTTCCCTTTGCTTAAACATTTGTACTTTACTTGCAAAGACAAAAAAGCAAAATAACTCAGCTTGTAGTGTTTTATTTCTGCACTAAACAATATAATTCTAAAGGCTTCTAAGAACAAAGAACTTTATTACATTGAACTAAAAGCCAGCTGAATTGTTTGTGATAATAACAACAAAATCTAAAGACCCTTGATATGGGAAATGGCTATAAAGTATACCCTTAGTATGCAGCTATTAAAAAGAAAGAGGTAGACCTATTAGTACTACATGGGACTCAGTGAAAAGAGATGAATGAAAAAAGAACGGCACAATAGTATGGTGCTATTATATTTATATAAAACACACATACCCAGCATATATATGCAAATATACAGAAAAAAAATCAAGAAAGGAGACACAAAACCAGTAACAACAGAAGATGGAAAAGGATTTGGAAAAGGTGATCAGAATGGATTTTAGCCTTCTCTATAATTTTTTTCAAAATAAATATCACATATTAATTTTTTTTAAAAAACTAAGACTTTCTATCCCAAACCAAAAAAACAAAGTCAGTTGAATAAAAAAGTTTACAATATCCTACCTCTACAGTCAAGACTTCAAAACCAAGCCAGAGTCCATAAAATAGGCTACTATTCATTAACATTTAACCACTTATTCTGTGTAAGTTTAGGACTTCTACACTAGAAAACTTGCAAAAACAAAACACTCCACAATTTCAAATTACCCAAAGTCATTTTCTATGGGAAAGAGAGGAAATTTTTTTTTTTTTTTTTTGGCAGTCTCACTTTGTTGCCCAGGCTGGAATGCACTGGCATGATCTTGGCTCACTGCAACCTCTGCCTCCCGGGTTCAAGCGGTTTTCCTGCCTCAGCCTCCTGAGTAGCTGGGATTACAGGCGCCCGCCACCACGTTCAGCTAATTTTTGTTTTTCAGGTTTTTTTGGTTTTTTTTTTTTTTTTTTGGAGAGATGGGGTTTCACCATGTTGGCAAGGCTGGTCTTGAACTCCTGACCTCAGGTGATCTGCTTGCCTCGGCCTCCCAAAGTGATAAATGCTGGGACTACAGGCATGAGCCACTGCACCCGGCCGGGATAATTTTAGTATGATTCTCATTTTACATGTGAAGAAACTGGAGCTTAGAAAGGTGAGATAATTTGCCCAAGGTCAGACAGGTAGTCAGTGGTCAAACCAAGGTTCTATCCCACTTCTGACCACCTTAATGACCCTCTTCCTAACCGCTATGGCCAGACTGCCTCCCTGCTTCCCAGCTGCTTCATCTCAAGATGACTACCTCACACTCATCTAGAAGGAATAAAGAGTTAAAAGTAACACATATAAAGAACCAAGCGCAAGTGACAATTTAATAGCAGGGACTCAGCAAGCAAAATAAAGACACACCTGCCTCCTGCAAGTGGAGGTGAGTAAGCACGGCAGGCTGCTGAAGGTTTACACTAACCATGAGGCACTTTACTAGTAACTGATACCAAAAAGTGAAAAATGTTAGTTAGGCCTGACAATATGGTAAACAGAGAATGGACTCTAGTTTCTTCTAGAGATAGATACAAACATGCCCACCAATATTTATCTTTAATCCTCACAACAATTCTGCTAAACCAGCTCGCTCTCTCTAACCCATGTCCTCTACAATCCTTTCTCATCCTTTTCTCACAACCCTGAAAGATTATCAAGCTTGGCTCTTTGAAGTTTGATGAAGTTACATTGCCTATGCATTTCAAACTCCTTGGCTCCACTGAAAATCACTAAGATCGTATTCAAGGCAGTTAGTTCTTAACCCTATGCTTCTGGGATCAGCAGTGTGCTCCTGCTGCCACCAAATCCCCTAACCCTCCTCAATGAAGGCCATGGCAGAGGCAGAGACAGGACCAGAACTGACAGGATTTGCCACCAGAGTGTCACAAAATGAACTCCAGTACTAGCCCCAGCCTATGTGTCATTATGTCCCTCCACGGCTCTTGTTTCTGATGGCCTCTTTTTAATTTATTGGTCAAAGTAAGGCTTTTAATATTTTTTTATGTATAAAATAGTCCCTCCCCTCTCTTGGGATAGGCCATGTATTATAAATGCTAAACTCTACTCTCTTCCTTCCTCGAGACAGATTTGGCTCATAATCTATTTTGATCCACACCCCTTTTTCCAGATTGTTTTTAATGTTCTGTACTTGGCTGGAGTCAATGTTAACATTTTCTAGCAAGCAAATGATCCCATTTCAAAATGGTAATTATCCTTGAAATCATTCCCATTTCTGGATATAAAAAATGAGCTACCTAATGTAAAAGAGTTGAAAATCTCTAAGAAATTCCTGAAATTGACACATGAACACTCCATATTGAAGGAGGGGGAAAAAATCATATATTTGCTAACTCTTAGCAAAATGAAACTCCCCTATTGTAATTTTTAAAATATTTTGAATACTAGCTGACGCTTATTCAAAACACATATCTGGTACTTGGTTATTTGGACGTATCAAGACACCAAAAGAATAATCCAAAATAGCAGATAATACCAGCAACCTAAAAATAAAACAAAACAAACATTTGCTGGACTGGCCAACATGAGGAGCACTTTAAGCCCAGAATATGTAAAAATCCTGGACACGATATTAAAGCACCTCTTTAAATGCAAAGCTAGGCTGATAAAAACAAGAAAATTCTCACAGCTACCTCCATCCCTACCCTAGAAGTTTGTTTCACTGGATGCTAAGTTCCGCCAAGGTGCAGAATATTATCCATTCTGTTCTTTGGTAAATACCAAGTGCCCAGACAGTGTCTGGTACAGAAGAGCTCAATAAATATTTGCTGAACATTGACTACAAATGTACTGAGGGCATTTGGCCATTCTCATCAAATTAGAGCATGGCAGACAAAGATTGGTTGCCACAAAATCAAAAACAGCAAACACAAGAGGAAATAAGTTTTCAGAAAGAAACATCAAAAGATCAGAGCAGAAAAGCATGCAACCACTGGTATTACCTACAGAATATATGGTCCGTATAGCTGAAACAACACATTATAGAAAATATACTAAATATAAGATCTAAACAGAGTACTAGAAAGAGACAACTGAAAAAGCAGGTGAGAAATATCAAAGCAAAAATGGCTGAGAATTTTTTTTTTTAATTGAAGAAATATACCAGGCCAGGCGCGATAATTCACACCTGTAATCCCAGCACTTTGGGAGGGCAAGGCAGGATAATCACTTGAGCCCAAGAGAACAGCCTGGTCAACATAGCAAAACCCTGTTCATAAAAAAATACAAAAATTAGCCAGGTGTGGTGGCTTGCACCTGTAGTTCCAGCTACTCGGGAGGCTGAGGTGGGAGGATCACATGAGTCCAGGTGTCCGAGGCTACAGTGAGCCAGGATAGCACCACTGCACTCCAGCCTGGGTGACAGAGCAAGGACCTGTCTCAAAAAAAAAGAAAGAAACCAACCCTCAGGCAGAGAAAGGATAAGAAATAAGAACTCTACATAAATAATTCTTAGTGAAATTGAAGAACAAGGAGAAAAAAAGACTTTAAAAAATGAAAGAAAGAGGTTAGAAGCTAGAGATGACCTGCAGAGAAACGACTGACATCTAACTTCTTATCACTCTCAATACCAGCAATGGAAAAAGAAGATGAAAGTGCTGTCAAAGTGCTAAGGGAAAACAATCATCGAGCCAGAACTGGGTATTAGGCAAAACAACCTTTTAAGAATGACAATATAAAAGTATAGGTTGAGCGTCCCTCATCAAACAATCCAAAATCAGAAATGCTCCAAAATCCAAACATTTTTAATACCACAAGTAAAAAATTCCACCTTGACCTCATGTGACAGACCACAGTCAAAATGCAGGCACACAACACAGTTTATTCCGCGTCTCCAAGGGGAAAAAGACCCTCCCAGCCCCCTGCATCTGCTGCTGTTTAATAGCGGTTACAGGTATTCCAGTGATACAACTATGCTGCTTAGTTACCCTCCACGCATTATTTTTTAATTGTATTAATGGTACGCCATATCCCTTACTGTTAAGTACTTACATGTGAATAATCGTAAGAATATGATTGCTTATTGATAGCCTATAAATTCATGTCAGGAACAATAGTGATGTCTAGCAACCGCAGACTGTCAACATGGATGGCTGAGATGGTGACACCTTTGCTTTCTGATGGTTCAATGTATACACACTTCTTTCATATATGAAAATATTGTATAAAATTACGTTCAGACTGGCCGGGCATGGTGGCTCATGCCTGTAATCCCAGCACTCTGGGAGGCTGAGGCAGGTGGATCACGATGTCAGGAGATGGAGACCATCCTGGCCAACATGGTGAAACCCCCTCTCTACTGAAGACATAAAACTTAACTGGGCATGGTGGCGCATGCCTGTAGTCCCAGCTACTCAGGAGGCTGAGGCAGGAGAATCACTTGAACCCGGGAGGCGGAGGTTGCAGTAAGCTGAGGTGACACCACTGCACTACAGCCTGGGCGACAAAGCGAGACTCCATCTTCTCAAAAAAAAAAAAAAAAAAAAAAAAACTTACCAAGTGCACTAACTCATCAGTTGAGAGTCAAATTATAAACTATAATTTAGCTATGTGTGGCTTTCAAAAGGCACGCCTAAAACGTTAAGGCCACAAAAGAGCTTGAAAGTAAAAGGGCAGAAAAAGATATATAAGGCAAATAGTAACCAAAAGTCACTTGTCATAGTTACATAACACCTTGACAAAAGATACTTAAGTTTTCGGCCTATATATATACTTTAGTGGGAAAATATTCACAGAAATGAAGATTTACAGAATGACAAATTGTGCAAGTCACAGGAAGGTTTAAAATTCTTAACTTGCTTGGGCAACGGGGCTCACACCTCTAAATCTCAACACTTTGGGAGGCCAAAGTGGGAGGATTGCTTGAGCCCAGGAGTTAAAAGACCAGCCTGGGCCGGGCGCGGCAGCTCACGCCTGTAATCCCAGAACTTTGGAAGGCTGAGGCAGGTGTATCACGAGATCAGGAGTTCGAGACCAGCCTGGCCAACATGGTAAAACCCCATCTCTACTAAAAGTACAAAAATTAGCCAGGCATGGTGGCGGGTGCCTGTAATCCCAGCTACTTGGGAGGCTGAGGCAGGACAATCGCTTGAAACCGGAAGGCAGAGGTTGCAGTGAGCCAAGATCACGCCACTGCACTCCAGCCTGGGCAAAAGAGCAAAACTGTCTCAAGAAGAAAAAAAAAAGACCAGCCTGGGCAACACAGTGAGCCTGTCTCTACACACACAAAAAAATCTAAACTTTACAGATGAAAAGCAAAAACTGAGTGCTACAGAATCTGACAAATCCCATCATAGAAGGTACAGAACCTCCTCAACTTACCATGGGGTTGGTTATGTCCCAAAAAATCGACTGTAAGTTGGAAATTATATATATATATATATATATATATATATATTTTTTTTTTTTTTAAGAGACAATGTCTCTCTCTGTCTCTCAGGCTGGAGTGCAGTGGCGCAATCACAGCTTACTGCAGCCTCGACCTCTTGGGCTCAAGCAGATCTTCCCACCTCAGTCTCCTGAGTAGCTGGGACTCCAGACACACGCTGCCATACCAACCTAATTTTTTAAATTTTGTGTAGAGATGGGGTCTCCCTATGTTGCACAGGCTGGTCTCAAACTCCTAGACTCAAGCAATTGATCCTCCCACCTCAGACTCCCAAAGTGTCGGGATAACAGGCATAAGTCACTGCACCTGGATGAAAATGAATTTAATACCCTGATAAACTCATCACAGAGCTGAAAAAGCATAAATTGAGCCATCATGAAGTCCAGATGCTCCTCAACTTACAATGGGGTTATGTCCCAATAAGTCTATCATAAAGTGGAAAAATCCTAAGTCAGACTATGGCAAGTCAGGGACATCCGGTGTTGTATTCTAACACCCACCCCCATCCCCCACCAACTAACAGAACAAGCAGAAAAAAATTAAGGATACTAGTTTGAACAGAGATGGAAAAGCCTCACCTTATAATCTGGAAATACACATTCTTTTAAACACACATAGAATAGTGATGAAAATCTGCACAAACTAAAACTAGCCTCAACACATTTCAAAGAATCAAAATCGCATTAGACCACATTTTATTAACACTTTTTTTTTTTTTTAAAGAAACAGGGTCTTACTCTGTCATCTAGGCTGGAGTACAGTGGTGCAATCATAGCTTACTACTGCAGCCTCGAACTCCTGGGCTCAAGCAATCCTGCCACCTCAGCCACCTGAGTAGCTGTGACTACAGGCACAAACCACCACGCCCAGCTAAATAAAAAAATATATATATGTAGAGCTGGGGTCTCACTATGTTGTCCAGGCTGGTCTCAAACTCCTGGGCTCAAGCATCCTCCTGCCTAGGTTTTCCAAAGTGCTGGGAATACAGGTGTGAGCCATCACACCAGCCCTATTAACACAATTTAAGTTTGTCATCAATAACAAAGATTTTAAAAAGATATATATGCCAAGATTTGAAATCATAATGAAAATCTGAATATATTCAGAATTAAAGATAAAAATTATACATAGCAAAACTTATAGCATATAGCTAAAGTGGTGCTTAAAAGGAAATTACTACTTTATTTAGATATGTATGTACATATAAGTATATAAAAAGGTTGAAAATTAATGACCTAAACATACTGTTTAAGAAGTTAAATAGCCCTCCCCCTCCCCCTCCCCCTCCCCCCTCTCCCCACGGTCTCCCTCTGATGCCCAGCCGAAGCTGGACTGTACTGCTGCCATCTCGGCTTACTGCAACCTCCCTGCCTGATTCTCCTGCCTCAGCCTGCCCAGTGCCTGCGATTGCAGGCGTGCGCCGCCACGCCTGACTGGTTTTCGTATTTTTTTGGTGGAGACGGGGTTTCGCTGTGTTGGCCGGGCTGGTCTCCAGCTCCTAACCGCGAGTGATCCGCCAGCCTCGGCCTCCCGAGGTGCCGGAATTGCAGACGGAATCTCGTTCTCTCAGTGCTCAATGTTGCCCAGGCTGGAGTGCAGTGGCGTGATCTCGGCTAGCTACAACCTCCACCTCCCAGCCGCCTGCCTTGGCCTCCCAAAGTGCCGAGATTGCAGCCTCTGCCCGGCCGCCACCCCGTCTGGGAAGTGAGGAGCGTCTCTGCCTGGCCGCCCATCGTCTGGGATGAGAAGAGCCCCTCTGCCCGGCTGCCCAGTCTGGGAAGTGAGGAGCGCCTCTTCCCGGCCGCCATCCCGTCTAGGAAGTGAGGAGCGTCTCTGCCCGGCCGCCCATCGTCTGAGATGTGGAGAGCGCCTCTGCCCGTCCGCGATCCCATCTGGGAGGTGAGGAGCGTCTCTGCCCGGCCACCCCGTCTGAGAAGTGAGGAGCCCCTCCTCCCGGCAGCCACCCCGTCTGAGAAGTGAGGAGCCCCTCCGCCCGGCAGCCGCCCCGTCTGAGAAGTGAGGAGCGTCTCCGCCCGGCAGCCACCCCGTCCGGGAGGGAGGTGGGGGGCAGCCCCCGCCCGGCCAGCCGCCCCGTCCGGGAGGGAGGTGGGGGGCAGCCCCCACCCGGCCAGCCGCCCCGTCCGGGAGGGAGGTGGGGGGCAGCCCCCGCCCGGCCAGCCGCCCCGTCCGGGAGGGAGGTGGGGGGCCAGCCCCCGCCCGGCCGCTGCCCCGTCCGGGAGGTGGCGGGCACCTCTGCTCGGCCGCCCCTTCTGGGAAGTGAGAAGCCCCTCTGCCCAGCCACCACCCCGTCTGGGAGGTGTACCCAACAGCTCATTGAGAATGGGCCATGATGACGATGGCGGTTTTGTGGAATAGAAAAGGGGGAAAGGTGGGGAAAAGACAGAGAAATCAGATTGTTGCTGTCTCTGTGTAGAAAGAAGTAGACATGGGAGACTTCATTTTGTTCTGTACTAAGAAAAATTCTTCTGCCTTGGGATGCTGTTGATCTATGACCTTACCCCCAACCCTGTGCTCTCTGAAACATGTGCTGTGTCCACTCAGGGTTAAATGGATTAAGGGCGGTGCAAGATGTGCTTTGTTAAACAGATACTTGAAGGCAGCATGCTCCTTAAGAGTCATCACCACTCCCTAATCTCAAGTACCCAGGGACACAAACACTGCAGAGGGCCGCAGGGTCCTCTGCCTAGGAAAACCAGAGACCTTTGTTCACTTGTTTGTATGTTGACCTTCCCTCCACTGTTGTCCTGTGACCCTGCCAAATCCCCCTCTGCGAGAAACACCCAAGAATGATCAATGAAAAAAATAAAAATAAAAAAAATAAAAAAAAGGAAGTTAAATATTAGTGATTACAAATATGATAGAGATGCAAAAGATAGTAAGTCAGAATTTTATGCCAATATATTTGAAAATACAGACAAGAATAAACAAACTTTTTAACATAAACTACCAAATGTGACTCAGGAAAAAACAAAGATTTTAATAATCCTATAAATATTAAAACATCCAAATAAGTAATTTAAAAATCTGAGACAGAAAACACTAGGCCCCAATGGTCTTACCAGCAAGGCTTACCAAACCTTCAAGGAACAGATAATTCCCTTTTACATAAACTCTCAAGAGACAAATGAGGAAATACTACAATTTGTTTTATTGGACTAGAATAATCTTGATAATAAAACTCATCAAGGTTGATATAAAAAAAGGAAAATTACAGGCCAATCTCACCATGAACATGGACACATAAATCATAAGGCATTAGGTAAGTTAAAAACAGGAAAAATACAGCATTTCTTTTTTGAAAAAAAAGCAAGGACAAAAGATTTAAGTGAGCTTTCCTCTAAATAAGATATACAAATAGCCAATATGATATTTAAAAGATAATCAGGCTGGACGCAGTGGCACATGCCTGTAATCCCAACACTTTGAGAGGCCAAGGTGGGTGGACTGCTTGAAGCCAGAAGTTCGAGACCAGCCTAGGCAACAAAGCAAGACCCCTGTCTCTACAAAAATTGTAAAAATTAGCCAGGCATGGTGGTGTGTGCTTGTAGTCCCAGCTACTCGGGAGGCTGAAGCGAGAGGATTCCTTGAGCCCAGGAGTTTGAAGCTGTAGTAAGCTATGATCATGCCACAGTGCACTTCAACCTAGGTGACAGAGCAAGACCTTGTCTCAAAAAAAAAAAAAAAAAGGTAATTGCTTTTTAACATGCAAATAGCCAACAAGCTATGTAAAAAGACACTCATCAGCATTAGCCATAAGGAAAAGGCAAATCTTCAAAATGTTAAAGTTACCACATTATCCAACAATTCCACTCCTACGTATACACCAAGAGAAATAAAACCATGTCTACCCAAAGACTTGTATGCAAATATTCACAGAAGTATTACTCACAACAGCCAAAAAGTAGAAATCCAGTAATAAAGAGACAAAAATAACAAAGCAGAGTGTTTTTCCTATTCTTTCCCTTAACAATCAACACAGGATACTTATGTGACCACACATCATGCAATCAGTTCTGCAGCAGACACCAGGTGGGTGTCCTCCAATTCAATTCCAACACCATCTACCTGGAGATAGAGTCAGATCCCACAGGGTGAGGACTCAGTCCCACAAGACTGCCCTCGACTTCTGACGCCAATCACAAGCTCCAGGTTGTTTTACCTGTGCTTCCCCCGCAACAGCTATAAACTGGGGTTCCCATAACCCACTTCTTGGGTTTGATTAATTTGCTAGAGTGGCTTACAGAACTTAGGGAAACAAGTTTACCAGTTTATCATAAACAATATTACAAAGGATACAGATGGAGAGATACGCATGGCAAGGTAAGAGGGGAGGGGCTCAGAGCTTCCATGCCCTCTATGGGCACACCACCCTCCAGGAACCTCCATGTGTTCTAGAAGTTTCTAGAACCCAGTCTTTCCAGATTTTTATGGCAGTGACATTACTTGGGCACAACTGATTATATCATTGGCAGTTGATCAATTCAATGTTCAGCAAATCTCCTCTCACTGAAGGCTGGAGGTGGAGCTGAAAGTCCCAACCCTCTAATCATGGTCTTTCCAGTGACCAGCCCCTAACCTGAAGCTACCTAGGTCAGCTAGCCATCAGTCAACTCATTCGCATACAAAAAGACACTTATCATTTTGGAAAGTCCAAAGATTTTAGGAGCTGTATGCCCGGAAACTATGCCAAGGATGAAAATCAACTATATATTTCAAAGGAAACAAATGTCCATCAACTGATGAATGGATAAATAAAATGTGGTATATCCATACAATTGAACACTATTCAGCAACTAAAAAGAATGAAGGACTGATACTGATACATGCTAAAACATGGATGAAACTTGAAAACATGCTAAGTTGAAAGAAGCTGGTCCCAAAAGACCACCTATTGTATGATTCTATTAATAAGCAATGTCCAGAATAGTCCAATGGGTACAAGGTGGTTTTGTTGTCGTTGAGGGGGTGACAAAAATGTTACAAAGTTAGATTGTGGTGATAACTGCACAGTTCTGTGAATATATTAAAATCCATCAGTTGTACACTTTAAATTGATCAATTGAATAGTCTGTGAATTACTTCTCAATAATGTTGTCATTAAAAAAAAAAAAACCCCGAGATATAAGTTTACATCCACCAAACCTGCAAATATTAAAGTCTGACAATACCAAGGGCTAGCAAGGATGTAGGACGGTGCTGGTAGTGAGGTAAAGAGGTACAATCATTTTGGAAAACAATTTGCACCATCTAGTAAAGTTGAAGATGTACATGTCGCACTACCCTGCAATTCTCTACATGGGTGGTACCCTGGAGAAATGCATCTGCACTTGTTTAAGGCAGCGTTCCTTCTTACTAGAAACACTTATATTCTCCAATGGCAGGACAAAGAAGAAAATGAGACATATTCAGTCTGCAATGTAACAGAGAAGTGAAGAAGGATAAACCACAACCACACGCACCAATGTGGGCAAACCTCTCCGTCTGCACGCCTTCCCTTCCCGGCTTTACCACCACGTCCCACCAACATCATCACTTCCTGGCCTCTCTCTTGCTTTGCTATTTCTGATTAGGGAAACCACAACCCCAGTTAAATGAAGCAATGCCTACTCTCCTTCCAGGAAAAATAACAAATCGTGCTGTCTTCACTGCAACTCAGGACTGCTACCCTCAGGTAGGCCATTCCATTCACACACATTCTTACTTTCCCACAGAGTATGTCATACTTCCTCCTCTCTCCTCACACCCCGCCAGCCCTGACACCCCCTCATTCTCACTGACTGCTGAGAACTCTTCCATTTCACCAAGAAAAAAAAAAGCCAACGTCCACATGCTCCCACTATCCCATCTCCCCTAGTCTGCTCTCCCTCCTCCTACCAGGGAGGAGCCCATGGATGCCAACTCTCCACATGGGCACCCACCCACTTCCTGCTGCCTTCCCAAGAATGTGGCTCCAGCAAGGGTCACCTCTTCTGATTCATCATGTCATTCATCCTCTGGAGAATTACTTCACCAACACTGCAAAAATGGTGTGGTTTCTCCCACCTCAACACCTCAGGATCCCAAATATCCCTTCATCACTGTGGCAAATCCCATGACGGAGCTCTACTTGCCTTTCTCTTCTCTCAATCCTTGTGAATGCTCCCTTCCAGGCTTTTCCTGCACCACCATGTGGGAACAGCTCTCAAGATCGTCGATGAATTCCACGCTGCCAGAGCCATGAGACGAGTCTTGGTCCTTATCTCAGGTGACCTCACGGCAGCAGCACTGGCAGAGGTCCCCGCTCCATCCTCCGTGACAACACTTTCCTAAGGCCTCAAAGCTGCTCCTTCCACCTTCTAGGCTGCCGTAGAGCCTCATTCCTTCAGTGCCTCACTCAACCTCGGGACTGTTAAATGCCACCTAAATATTGAAGACTCCTATTTCTTTTTCTTTTTTTTTTTTTTTTTTGAGACAGAATCTCGCTCTGTCACCCAGGCTGGAGTGCAGGGCGCGATCTCAGCTCACTGCAAACTCCACCTCCCGGGTTCATGCCACTCTCCTGCCTCAGCTTCCAGAGTAGCTGGAACTACAGGCACCCACCACTAAGCCGGCTAATTTTTTTGTATTTTTTTTAGTAGAGACGGGGTTTCACCATGTTAGCCAGGATGGTCTCATCTCCTGACCTTGTGATCCGCCCGTCTCAGCCTCCCAAAGTGCTGGGATTACAGGAGTGAGCCACCGCGCCCGGCCCAAAGACTCCTATTTCTATCTGCAGCCTAGATCTCTCCCTTGAGCAGTGAACACCCCAATCCAGCATATCTCCAATCTGCTCTCCAAAAGCTTCAGAAACTGAACATGCACAAAACCCAACTCCTGATCTTACTTCCACACGCTGTTCTTCCCAAGTCTTCCCTTTCCTTATACATGGCAACGCCCACCAGCTACAAAAATCCCTGGTATCATCCTTTACTCCTCTCTCACACCCACTCCAATCTGCCAGCAAATCCTGTCTGCTCTTCCTTTTCAAGAAGGATCCAGCAGCCAACCTCTTCTCACTCCCACCCCTGCTCCCCTTCAGTCCCAGCTGCCATTACTGCTCTCCTGGATCACTGCCAGAGCGTCCAACCTCCCTCCAGCAGCACAGGACAGTGGGACCTTTAGAAACCACATCATGTGACACCTCTGCTCAAAACACCAAATGACTTACCCATCTCACTCAGAGAAAAAGACAAAATCTTAACAATGGCCAGTGTGACCTACGCCCTCCCCCCATCTCCCCCATCCATCTGGCCTACCCTCCTCCCACTCTCCCTCAGGCTCCTCACTCCAGCCACACTGGCCTCCGCTGCCCCTCCAACACAGCAGACATGCCTCCTTCTTAGCACCTTGTCCTGCTGACCCTCCGCCTATAATGCTGCCCCTACCCCACTGCCACCCACAGCCTTGTGGCTGGGTCCCTCCACTCCTTCTGTTGACTGCTGTATTTCAATCTGCAGACAAGCACTCCCCCACACCCCACCTCTCCTGGTTTACTTTTCTCCCTGTTTGTATTACCATATGGCTACTGTATCTTTCATTTATCTGTTAACTGTCTTTCCCCTACCAAAATGTAAGCTCCATGAAAACAAGGACTTTTCATCTGCTTTGCTTACTGTTAACATGCCCAGCAGTAGAACAGTGTTTAAGACATGGTAAGTACTCAAACATCTGAATAAAAGGATCACAGAAACAATGTTGAGTGGGGGCAAAAAAAGAACAAAGTGACTCCATTTACATTGTCTAAAGGAATGCAAAAATGAAGTCACATTATATAAGGATACATTTATACTTTGCAACACCATAAAGTAAAGCAGAAAAATGATACATACAAGGTATTTGCCTTGGGGAGGTCAGAAAGAGGGAAGTGGTGAGACGAGGACACAGGGAGCCAAAGGTATGGCAACCTTCTATTTCCTAAGCTGGTTAGTGGGTACACAAGTGTCAGTTCTAATGTTTAATATCTGGGCACATGCTGATATATACTCTTTGAATTCATAGTCCAATTACAAGTTAAAATAAAAAAACAGATTAGAGGCCAGGCATGGTAGTTCACACCTGTTATCTCAGCACTTTGGGAAAACAAGGTGGGAGGACTGCTTGAGCCCAGGAGTTCAAGACCAGCCTGGGCAACATCGGAAGATCTTGTCTCTACAAGAAAAAAAAAAAAAAAATTACCTGGGTGTAGTAGCATGTGCCTACAGTCCCAGCTACTCGGGAGGCTGAGGTGAGAGAATCGTTTCAGCCAGGGAGGTCAGTCAAGGCTGCAGTGAGCTATACTGCACTCCAGCCTGGGACTCTATCTCAAAAAAATAAACAAAAACCACTGCACTCTAGCCTGGGATTACACCACTGCACTCCAGATTACACCACTGCACTCTAGCCTGGGACTCTATCTCAAAAAGATAAACAAAGACAAAACAGATTAGAGCAGGCATTGACAAACTACAACCCACAGGCCAAATCCAACTCTCTGTCTGCTTTTATAAGTAAAGTCCTATTGGAAGACAGCCACCTTCATTTGTTTACAGATTGGCTATGGCTGCTTTCACACTACAAAAGCAGAGATGAGTCCTTGCAGAGACCATTTAGCCTCCAATGCCTAAAATATTTACTAACTGGTCCTTTACAGAAAAAATCTGCAAACCCTCAATAGAGCTGTCTGGTTATAATGCAGAATTTGTAAAGAAATTAAGTGCAAAATCAAAAAGATCCAATCATCTGTTAACATATATTGATCCTTCAAGGCGTATGTGATTATCCACACTATGTTGAAAAAATGATTCTATATAAAATGTGAGACTCCACAGCAAAGTTACCCTACAACGTCCTGTGTGCCAGAAAAGAATAAACTTAAAAGATGTTTTAGAAAGCAAACTGCAAACCTCAAATTTATGATCTCTACTCCACCAGCAGAAATTATGTTATATATGTTCTAATGTTATATTCATATTCACAGTTATATACATTAAAACATATATAACATACTCCAAATTTGGAGGAAGAAAATTTGCATATCAACACTAACTCTGTAACCTCCCCAACACTGAAACCACCATCACCCTGACTTCCGCAGAGCAGCTGGTTAGACCTCGAGGCCTCTCTATGATCCTATAATACTCCATTTCTCTCCTTGAGATCATTCACTGCACCTTGGAGGTGTTTCTGTACTTTTGTTACAAAATACCATACCTATGATGGGAGGATCTCATAGCTGCTGAGTCCATCTAAGGGTGTAATAACAAGAAGTCCACAGTGAAAAGGGACAGTCATTCACAGAGTGTTGTTTACTCAGAAGGGGCAGGGTCTCACTTGCAGACAAAAGAGACAGATGAGACCTGTCCATTGTCCAAAGGCAATACAAACCCTGTGTATCTCTATGTCAACAAAAAAGAACTCCTCAACTACTATACAGTGACAAAAAACTGACACATACTACTACCAAAAATAAAATTCCAGACGTTAACCACTTATTCTGAATTCTAAGTAAAATCCAGCTGTGATGTCACTCTTGAAACAAATAGCACTTAAAACTGTGGTCTGGAACATCACAATCCTATGGAATCACCGGGGCTGAGATTTCTCTGCTCCTTCTGGTTCCATTCTTCTGCATGGCCTCCATTTTTCTGTAAGAATAAATGCGCTGGGCGTGGTGGCTCATGCCTGTAATTTCAACACTTTGGGAGGCCAAGACGGGCGGATCACTAGAGGTCAGGAGTTTGAGACCAGCCTGGCCAACATGGTGAAACTCCATCTCTACTAAAAATAAAAAATTAGCTGGGTGTGATGGCACACGCCTGTAGTCCCAGCTACTCGGGAGGCTGAGGCAGGAGAATCGCTTCAACCTGTAAGGCGGAGGTTGCAGTGAGCCGAGATCGCGCCACTACACTCCAGCCTGGGCGACAGACTGAGAGTCCATCTCAAAAAAATAAATAAATAGAAAATAAATGACGTCTAAGTGTTGTTGCAGCCCAAAACCATGATTCTCACGAATGGAAGCCTCAGTCAATTGTCAAGACTAGTCAGTGTTCCTCCCGCTACGCCCATCTGAGGACCAAAGCCCAACCAATCTGACCAGCCAACCATGGAGCAGGCAGTGTGAACTGCCCTGATTAGGGTCTCAGTGTGACATGTGTTCTCAGGCAAGCTCTTTTTTCTCAAAGTGTGTCTCTGCCACCAGAATTTTTGTTCAGATTTACATGTAGGTATAGGAAACCCAAGGCTCCAACTAACAGTCCCACACAGCTTTCTCCAAGTCTGTCTGACTCAACATCAGTCTGCAGCCGTTTTAGTCCTGCTCTCTAATGTTCCTAAAAACAATCTTTCATTCATCTTTTCTTGGGCCATCAGATTTCACGGTAGTCAATCTCTGGGGAATTCAAATCACTTCAAGTCACTATGTATTTCCACTGTAAGAAATTCTGGAACTAATAATCCCGTGGTTTTCCCCAGAGTTACTGTGAAGTACAAAATCAGAGCCTCCTTATATCTGTAAAAAGATGTTCAGAACCTATCGAACTTTAATTGCATAAGTTCAGTCAACTGTATAGTCTTCACTAATGCATCTAAAACAGGTCAACTCTAGCCAGCCGTAAGTGACAATTAGTAAATAGCCTCTACTCAGGGTAAAGCCAGCTCTTTGCCCAGTCTGTGACATGACAATGTCCTAGCTAGGGCCGGGTGCAGCGGCTCACGCCTGTAATCCCAGCACTTTGGGAGGCCAAGGCGGGCGGCTCACTAAGAGATCGAGACCATCCTGGCTAACACGGTGAAACCCCGTCTCTACTAAAAATACAAAAAATGGCCAGGCGCGGTGGCTCACGCCTGTAATCCCAGCACTTTGGGAGGCCAAGGCGGGCGGATCACAAGGTCAGGAGATGGAGACCATCCTGGCTAACACGGAGAAACCCCATCTCTATAAAAATACAAAAAAAATTAGCCGGGCGTGGTGGCAGGCACCTGTAGTCCCAGCTACTCGGGAGGCTGAGGCAGGAGAATGGTGTGAACCTGGGAGGCGGAGCTTGCAGTGAGCCGAGATAGCGCCACTGCACTCCAGCCCGGGCGACAGTGTGAGACTCCGTCTCAAAATAAATAAATAAATACAAAAAATTAGCCGGGCATGGTGGCCGGCCCCTGTAGTCCCAGCTACTGGGGAGGCTGAGGCAGGAGAATGGCGTGAACCCGGGAGGCAGAGCTGGCAGTGAGCCGAGACCACGCCACTGCACTCCAGCCTGGGTGACAGAGCGAGACTCCGTCTCAACAAAAAAAAAAAAAAAAAAAAGAAAATGTCCTAGCTAGGCATAGAGATAAGATACCTTTCCACATACTGTCAAATGCCCTTTTACTTGCTTCTTTACCACGTAGCCAACCTACCTGGTATCCAAATGTCAGTCTGTAATCTTTCAATACCTGAAATAAACTGAGTATTGATCTAACTAGCAACTATCTCCCTCCTCATAAAACTAAAGGGGGTGAGAAGTAGGAAAGGGGGCTTCCATGACAAATAAATCTAAGCCAAAGTCAAAAGGCCAAAACAAAATCTCCAGTCAACCTAGATCCATAATGCAGCAGGAGAAACACCCCCTCCCACTTGAAGTAGCATCTATTTCAAGAATGCCGGAAACATTTTGCAAAAACCTACAGCAAGCTTCGGACGGGTCTGGAACCAGAGAGTCAGTGTCTGAGGTTTGGTCAAAGGATAACTGTTGTGTAGGGAGCTATAAACAGCTATCTGTCATTACAAAACGGCTTCAGTATGGGAAGAATGGCACTGCTTTTTAAGACTCCTCAAACTAAGGAGGCAAGTCGAAGTAATCATTTCTTATAAATGAGTAACAAAGTGTAACTATCTTATTCTTTTGCAAAACTTCTGGCAATCTCAACCACCCAAAGTTTAAACAAATCAACCAACTGACCAGCAAACAGAAGCTCTTTCCTCCCAGGCCCCATTGACACCATGTACAATTCTTAACAGCTTTGTCGTCTCTTGTTTGCCTCTTCCTCTAGACTGCAGGTCCTTAAGGGCCTGTTCATCAGTGAATCCCTAATACAGTTCCTAGCAGAGTAAGGACTCAATTAATGTATTTGCTGATGAAATAAATGGATATTAGAAGTAGATGGTGGTCACTGGTAGTTCTCAACATAGGCACAGGCCGAATTTCAGGATGAAGAATAAGAAAATGCCTCCATGACCTTTTGTAACTTCAGATATTAACATTTAGCTGCTAAAAATTTATAGTTTTCCTAATATTCTTCCATTCCATAAACTAGATAATCTAAATTTTAATATGAGCAAAAAAGATCTACCCTTCTCTCTACCACTGCATCTCATCTCCCCAGGAGAAAAGAACACTTCTCTGCTGGGATCAGAGTCTAGGGCACAGAAGAGTCCAACTTACCAGTGGGCAGGATCACTGTGTTAAAGGCTGAGCATACTGTATGCCTATCTGTGCCCTCAATGGGCAGAACTGGTAAACTGATCCAGGGCTAATTCTCTGGGAATAGGTCTTTATTAAAACAAAAACAAAAACAAAAAACAGGCATGGTGGCTCACGCCTGTAATCCCAGCACTTTGGGAGGCCGAGGCGGGCGGATCACTTGAGGTCAGGAGATCGGGACCAGCCTGGCCCACATGGTGAAACCCCATCTCTACTAAAAATACAAAAATGAGCCAGGTGTGGTGGCACGCACCTGTAATCCTAGCTACTCAGGAGGCTAAGGCAGGAGAATCACTTGAACCCAGGAGGCGGAGGTTGCAGTGAGCCAAGATCATGCCACTGCACTCCAGCCTGGGTGACATAGTGAGACTGTCTCCGAAAAAAAAAAAAAAAAGTTGAAGCTGGCATCTAAAACCAGACCTGACCACTGACTGACAAAAGGAGGGCAAAAGATACTAACTCAAAAATTACAGTAGTGTAAGATTATTCAGCACAGAAGCAAACTCTAAATATCTAAGAATTTTGCTTAGTTTCAGCACAGTATGGTAATGTATTTTCATGAGGTTAAGAAAAAAAAGTCCTAAGATATTTTATAAAATCAATTAACAAATGCTTCTAAAGTTCAGTCTTCAGGCATCTGAAAAATGGTTAAGTATACCATCTAAATAATCCCCACTACTAAATAATCTCCAAGGCAGGATCTAGGTACTGCAAAGACCAAGTTCACAGATCACCGAAAGGAACCCTTAACTCACAAACAGTCCCTAAACCTGTGGTGTAAAACAGTGGTTCCAAAATTCAGCTGCATTTCAGTATTGTCTGAGAAGCTTCTAAAAAATAGATTCTCGTGGCCGGGCATGGTAGCTCACACCTGTAATCCCAGCACTTTGGGAGGCCGAGGCGGGTAGATCACGAGGTCAGGAGTTCAAGACCACCCTGGCCAAGATGTGAAACTCCATCTCTACTAAAAATACAAAAAACAGCCGGGCATGGTGGCGGGTGCCTGTAATCCCCGCCACTAGGGAGGCTGAGGCAGAGAACTGCTTGAACCCAGGAGGCAGAGGTTGCAGTGAGCCGAGATGGCACCACCACACTCCAGCCTGGGCGACAGAGCTAGACTCATCTCAAAAAAAATTAATAAGATTCTCAATCCCACCATTTCCAGAGGTGGAGTCCAACATCCATGGTCTTAAAAAATTTCTAATTATTCTAATGCAGGCTTATTCTAATGTAGGCCAGTCTCACATCTATCTAAGTGCAGGATTTCTCAACCTCAGCAGTGTTGCTATTTGGGACTGGATACTTTTGCTGGCGGGCAGGGAGGAGGCTATGCTGGACACTGTAGGATGTTTAGCAGTATCCTTGGCCTCTACCCTCCAGAAGCACACTGCCCACTCCCAGAGGTGTAACAAGCAAAAATATGTCCAGACACTGCCAAATGTTTCCTGGGGGGTGAGGGGGGAACCACCCCCAACTGAGAACTCTTGAACTAGAGTAAATCAAAAGACAATCATTTGAAGTTAAGAAAGGAAAGAAATATGAAAGCTGTTTAAAGCCAAGAGGCCAGATCTTTTTTTCAGTACATTAGAAAAAGTAGCAGCCAATACTGGGGTGCAGACCATAACTTCTAAGGACCAAGTCAATGCTGAGTTTTAGTTGAGCAGATAGAAGAGCTTTATTTTCACTATCATTTACTCTTATTTAGTAAAATACTGTAAAATTTTAGACCAAAACACACACACACACAAACACACACAGAGGCTGCCTCTCAAATACTGAAAATATAGAACTAGACAATGGAAGTTGTCATAGAAATAAAATACCGATCGTGACACTTGTTTTAAAGAGATGTTTATTTGTAACAAGCACATAATCTACCAAATAGGTGCAAAGCCCTATCTTTTTTTTTTTTTTTTTTTTTTCTGAGACTGAGTCTCGCTCTGTCTCCTAGGCTGGACTTGGCTCACTGCAACCTCCGCCTCCCAGGTTTAAGCGATTCTCCTGCCTCAGCCTCCCAAATAACTGGGATTACAGTCACACGCCACCATGACCGACTAATTTTTGTATTTTTAATAGAGACAAGGTTTCACATGTTGGCCTGGTCTCGAACTCCTGACCTTAAGTGATCCGCCAGCCTCGGCCTCCCAAAGTGCTGGGATTACAGGCGTGAGCCACTGCGCCCGGCCAAAGCTTTATCTTAAAAAGCTAGGCAACCTCATCCTGTCAATGTTACTTCTATTCATTTTCTGCTCAGCTATGGTCTGATTCTCAAATTCTCAATTAGTTCATTGAAACTAACAACTTTTTGCTTGTTGACTTTGCTTTGCTATACTTTACACAAAGGCTAGAGTTCTAAACCGAAAACAATCTTCTTCCTGTCCTTAAGTTCCACCAGCAAGATACTCATCTCTACTTAAGACTGAGTCCATCAAAACACACATCTCCAATACAGCAAACCAAGTCCCAAGTAAACACAACAATACCAGGGGAAGGTGCACGCAAGGTTTCGAGCACCATGGAGGAGAGTATCGGGCAAGCGGTAAAGGATTGTGAGTTTATTTCTGACTGAGTGCAGGCATTTTGTTCAATGTTCTAGACTCCCTGACCAGACATGCTGAAGTGGAGAATACCTTCCAAAGTATCCCTCCAGGACAAAAGCTATTTCCCAAACTATCTTTGCTGAAGAATACTGCAATCCACGGCACCCTTACAGTTTTCAGTAACAAGGAGGACTTACACTAAGAAACCCTAGTTACTGATTCGGGTGGCAGTCACCCAGAAACTAGTATCCAAAAGCACATGAGGAACAAAGCCCGACTTAAGCTTGTGATGGGCTTTTCTGTATTTAACCATCTCTTTAAACATTATGAGGCGCTACTACTCATTAATTACTCCGGTAAATGTTCCTAATTTAAGGAATGGTCAAAAACCCTGTCCTGAAAAAATTAAAATAACTTATAGTTTTACTTTTTCAGCCCAACTGAGTCTTACACAGAGCTTTCTAAAGGCAGTCACCAAGAGTCGGGACTCAAATGCTCATCTGACTTCCCAATAGTACCTAAACATTTAAAAATCAAATTTAAATTAAACAATAATAGCCATTAACTAGCCTAACCACTAATCAGCCACTGAGGTGACTGTATGTGCCAGGCACAGCTCTAGCTGTTTTACATGTATTAGGGCAATTATCCTGACAAACTTATGGCTGGGACACTTATTATTATTCCCATACTACAGAGAAAAAAAAAGAGAAGCTGGGTAACTTGCCCAAGGTCACAGAGCTAAAAAGTGGTCACTGACTCCACTCCACAGTGAGGAAAACCCAACCACCACCATAACTGGGTCTCATACACTTGCTACTTGAGGCACAGTTCGGTGGTTGGAAACCTGGAGTCCCTGTCCCCCTTGAAGCCTATCTGCAACATGACCTTGAGGACAAAATCAAAGTAAACGTCCCACGAATAAAGGACACCACCCCGTCAACAAGTGCTGCGAGGATGAAAGGGAACGCCTGTCAAGCACCCCCTCCCATAAAAGCAAAACAGACCCAAAGCCCCACAGAGAAAACGTGAAGTACCAGGAAAATGACATTAAGTCACGCGGTTGAAACGTCAGGGCACGGAGGTACATCCAAAGACCCATCCCGTTCACCTATAATTAAAAAGTCTAAATTGTGATCACAGCCAGCAGGACCTCAACAGGAAACACCTCCAAGTAAACAGTGAATGGGCTTCTTTAAGAGGGAGGGACTTCAAGCCACAAGAAGGACCACCCACCCCCCCCACCCCCGGCTCAAATACACCAGGGAGGCATTCGAGACAGTTTACATACAAGCCACCTCACAGGAGTTAAAAAGCCACTGGGAAGGGTACTGGGAGCCTCGGAACTGGCTGGTGTGGATCCCGATGACTCTGCGGCGAATTAACAGAAACCCACAAAACTTGTTTCCCGAAGAGCAGAGTCCAACAATGGTCTTCGCGACTCTTGACGGCGAGTTGCTGCCTCAACTTGACGCGCTCCCCGAGGCCCCCGGGAGGCCCAGCGGGAGCGGAGACCGGGCGCGGGCCGGGCGGGGGGCGAGACTGCGGGCCGCGGCCGGCGGGCGGGAAGGCTGGAGCCAGAGCCGGGTCAGGGGCGCGCCTCGCCCGCCCGCCGCGCCAGGCCGCGAACGTCAACGAGGCACAAAGTCGCCGCCCCGACCGCGTCCCGCTCCCGGCGCCCGTCCTGGCGGGGCCCCCGGCTAACAGGAGCGGACGGGGAGCGGCCGGGAAGGACTCGGCGCCGCGCCTCCCGGGCCCGCGGAGCGACGAATTCCGGGGGGGGAGGGGAGAGGGGCCGGGACGTTCCCTCCCTGAGCCGCTGAGGCCAGGTGGAGGGGCCCCGCGCCTGCCCGCGCGCCTCGCACACCCCGCGCCGCGGCCTGCTCCGGCGCCTCCCCTACCCCCATTACCTGGAGGTGCCCACGACCCGCCGCTAGTTGCGCTCAGGCGGGAAACGCGCTCACCGACACCATCAGCGAAGCGCCCAAAATGGCGGACGTATCAAGCAGGCCTTGAGTTCCCCCCCGCCCGCCCTCTGGCCGCCTCTCAGCCAATCGCGGCCCTGCCCCCGCCCCCAGCTCCAGGCTCATTGGCCCCTCTCTCCCGCCCCCTACTACCTATTGGATCGCCTAGCGGCTCCTTTGACTACATTCCGATTGGCCCGCAAGCCTCGTCAGTCAAGCGCGAGGGGCGCATTCTTTTCCCATGGACTTGACGGATCCGGAACCTCTAGGACCCCGGAGCCTGAGAAACAAATCAGAAACGGGGAGAAACCTGGCTGGGACCCCCTACGCCGTAGCAACAGCAGGTCCTCCGCTTGACGGACGCTTCGGACCACCAATCCGAGTGGCCAATGCTTTTTAAAACTAAATTGAGCCAAGCCCATCATGGCCGTGGAGCCGGAGCCGTGAGGGATCCAATAGGGTGGCGAGCTGGCCGGGCGGGGCGGGGGCGGCGGGGGACACCGGTGGTGACGTGAGCCACAATATGCGCCGGCTGCAAAGGTTAGGCCGGGCTAGGGAATCAGCTTAAGTGGAGGAGCGTTCGTTTAGTATGTGAGAGGTAACGGGATCGATGCCTGCATTCTCCACAGGGGAATTTTTATCAGAATGATTTCCCATTGCGATCTCTTTACCTGAAAGAGGTGGCTGTCCTCGTAGCGGGGTCAAGGTGAGGGATCGCGGAATATCCCTACCTGTGACGCACCGCCAAGAGATAAGTGCCCTTGTCCTGGGAGAAGGACTTAGACGAGAACTTTTGGGGTTTGGTTTTGTTTGAGACGGAGTTTCCCTGTTGTCCCCCAGGCTGGAGTGCAGTGGTGCGACCTCAGCTCATTGCAACCTCCGCCTCCCAGGTTCAAGCAGTTCTGTCTCAGCCTCCCGTGTAGCTGGGATTACAAGTGCACGCCACCATGCCCGGCTAATTTTTGTATTTTTAGAAGAGACGGGTGTTTCACCATGTTGGCCAGGCTGGTCTCGAACTCCTGACCTCAGGTGATCCGCCCACCTCAGCCTCCCAAAGTGCAGGGGTTATAGGGGTGAGCCACCGCGCCTGGCCTGGGGTCTTTTTTGAGACAAGGTCTTGCTCTGTTGTCCAGGCTGGAGTGCAGTGGGGTGATCATGACTCACTGCAGCCTCCACCTCCTGGGCTCAAGCAGTCCCCCCACCTCAGCCTCCCGAGTAGCTGGGACCATAGGCACGCACCACTGGGCCCCGCTAATTTAATTTTTTTGTAGAGACAGGGTTTCCCTGTGCACACGAGCTTCTAAATGCTCCCCCGGGCTTCCCGTTCCCCGCCATATCTGTGCCTCCCAGGTAGGACCGAGGTCCCGGACATCAGGACCCCCGCCCCAAGAGCCAGCCCAGGACACCGAGACAGCCCACGGTTAGACCCCATGCTAATAACCTGCCTTATTCCAAAATGGATTTGAGGCGCCTCTCAGAGTCCCATGAAAATCCACAGGAGGTCACGGCGCGGTCACGCCTGTAATCCCAGCACTTTGGGAGGCGGAGGCGGGTGGATCACGAGGTCAGGAGATCGAGACCATCCTGGCTAACACGGTGAAACCCCGTCTCTACTAAAAATACAAAAAGAAAAAAAAAATAGCCGGGCGCAGTGGCGGGCGCCTGTAGTCCCAGCTACTCAGGAGGCTGAGGCAGGAGAATGGCGTGAACCCGGAAGGCGGAGCTTGCAGTGAGCCGAGATTGCACCACTGAACTCTAGACTCGACGACAGAGCGAAACTCTGTCTCAAAAAATAAATAAATAAATAAAAACAAAAAAGACTGGTCTCATAAGATTATGATATTGTAGTTGTACTGGACTTTTTTTTTTTTTTTTTTTGAGATGGAGTCTTGCTCTGTCGCCCAGGCTGGAGTACAATGGGGCGATCTCAGCTCACTGCAACCTCTGCCTCCTGGGTTCAAGCAATTCTCCCTGCCTCAGCCTCCCCAGTAGCTGTAATTACAGGTGCATGCCACCATGTCCCACTAATTTTTGTATTTTTAGTAGAGATGGGGGTTTCACCATGTTGACCAGGCTGGTCTTGAACTCCTGACCTCAGGTGATCCACCCACCTTAGCCTCCCAAAGTGCTGGGATTACAGGCGTAAGCCACCGCGCCCAGCTGTACTGGATCTTTTCTATGTTTAGATACACAAATATTTACCATTGTGTTACAGCTGCTTTCAGTATTCAGCACAGTAACATGCTGTATGGATGTGTAGTCTAGGAGCGATAGGCTATCCCATATAGCCCAGGTGTGTAGTAGGCTAGACCATCTGGGTTTGTGCTAAGTATACCTGTGATGTTTGCAAAGGACAAAATTGCCTAACGATGCATTTCTCAGAACACGTCTCTGTTGTTAACTGTACTAAGCCATTTTATATATGGGACTTGAGAATCCTTGGGGGTCCCAGAAGCAATCTCCCACGGATACAGAGGGACAACTGTATCTACCAGCCCGTGTACGCGCCACGAAAAGTACTGTGCTTCTGGGGAGGCTGCAGACAGGGCAGACCTTTCTCACATTGATCCTGCTACTCAGAGAGGCATGGAGGAACATAGTCAAGCCGGAAGCCAGCCTGGGAGGTGTGCTCTGTGTGGGGGTTAGGGAGGGGATTCACAGGCTGATCACCTGGGCAGGGCGGGAGCGGCCATGCCAGGGAAAGAGGCCGAGGCAGCAAGGTGGAAGGAGCACACCCCGTGGAAGGCAGGGTGGGGCTGATCTCAGGTCTGGGGCAACAGCTCGAGAAGCAGGTGCAGAAGGGACCATGGAGGCTTTGGAAGCCAGGCGGAGGAACCTGGGTTTATGCTCAGACCATGGGAGCCAAGGAAAGCTTCCGGGCAGAAGAAGGGCTGGCCATACTCTAGAGAAGATGGCTGGAAGCGAGAGCAGGGAGCACCAGGTGTAGCACAGGGCCAGAGGGGCAGCTTGGAGCTGGACTAAGGAGCCCAGGAAAGGTTTCAGAGAGTCCTGGGACTGGCTGGTGCCTGAGAGGGAGGCTGGGCCATGGGCAGGAGGGGGCAGCCAGGGCTGGGCTCCCGTCCGTCCTTCCGTGCTGGGGAGCCCAGGGAGGACCCAACACCCCCACCGACCCTTGCATCCCTATACTCACTCATCATCAAAGGATTTGCCAGTATCTGCACCAGGCTCCTCCATCCCTGACTCTGAGGTGGGTCACAGGGCCATATACATTATAATGAAATCATATAGTACCTTGCCCAACGTAAGTGGGCCCCTAAGGTCTCCACTTATGGTTTGCTTCTAACCTAACCAGAAGGTTGAAGTCAGGGAGGACTTCCTGGAGGAGGAGGTATCTGAGCTCAGCCTGGGTCCTGAGAGCCATGGGGAGCTACTGACAGGCTTTAAGCAGAGGAATGACTTAGAAGCTTTGCATTCTACACAGATTGACGTCTCTACCCTAAAACTTCTAGATTTCAGGGATCACCACCTTCTGTCTTTCCTCCTGATCCTTTTGTAGTTTAATGTTTCATATTAATATTAAACTTTTCAATCCATCTAGACTTTAAAAAAAACCCCATAAATATATGTACCTGCTATGTACCCGCAAAAATTAATAACAAATTATTAAAAAAACACACATGTAACTGAATAGTTTCAAACATATTCAAAAGCAGAGAGAAGAGCAGGCTGCATGCTCAAGCACCCATCACCTGGCTATCATGACTTAAATTTTGGGAACAGACTCAGAGCTGCCAAATTTTAATTTTTTTTTTTTTTTTTTTGAGATGGAGTCTTGCTTTGTTGCCCAGGCTGGAGTGCATTGGCACAATCTTGGCTCACTGCAACCTCTGCCTCCCAGGTTCCAGCGACTCTCCTTCCTCTGCCTTCTGAGTAGCTGGGATTACAGGCACACACCACCACGCCCAGCTAATTTTGTGTTTTAAGTAGAGACAGGGTTTCACCACGTTGGCCAGGCTGGTCTTGAACTCCTGACCTCCAGTGATCCGCTTGCCTTGGCCTCCCAAAGTGCTAGGATTACAGGAATGAGCCACCACACCCGGCCCCCAATTTTAATTCTGTAATGATTTTTTTTAAGTATTTACTATTATCATAATTTCATAAAAGAAAGGACATGCTAACACACACATACACTAACACAGGAAAAACTAGCTCTGAATAAAGAAGAGCTTAAATTGAAGAAGTTCAGGCCGGGTGTGTGGCTCACACCTGTAATTCCTGCACTTTGGGAGGCCAAGGTGGGCGGATCACCTGAGGTCTGGAGTTTGAGGCCAACATGGAGAAACCCCATCTCTACTAAAAATACAAATATTAGCTGGGCGTGGTGGCGGGCGCCTGTAATCCCAGCTACTCGGGAGGCTGAGGCAGGACAATCACTTGAACCTGGGGGCGGAGGTTGCAGTGAGCCGAGATTCTGCCACTGTACTCCAGCCTGGGTGGAAGAGCGGAACTCTGTCTGAAAAAAAAAAAAAAAACAAGAAGTTCAACTTGAAGGGAAAAATGCCGTATTGTCTTTCCCTTTGTTATGTCACCAGGGCACAGTCCATCCCAGGCTGGCGCTGATCCACGGGCTGGAGAGGGGCTGCCCCAGAAGAGGACATGCCAGGAAGGGCTTGGCTGGTGTTCAGGAGCCCAGGCCAGGTCAGGTCAAGAGGTGTTGAGGCTGGACGGGAGAGGCCAGCTAGGGGCTCATGTAGGATATGAGGGGTCGGCCCATTTCAACGTGGAAACTGAGCTCTTCTGCTTCTCTTTCTTCTTCACTGCATTAAGATTCAATACCGCTTGGGAAGCAGGTATTTCCCTTCCTATAAAGGATGGTTGGGAGCCTGAGTGTTGGGAGAAAGTGTAGCCGCTGAGTTACTAACAACTAGGGCTGCCGTCAAGCCTATGGGGAAAGAGAGAAGAGGACATTTGGAAGGAGAGAGATCAAGCTGTGGCACCCTGGGAGAGGACCACAGAAAAGAGGCCAGTGAGGGGGTTCCCCGGTGGCATCTGAAGGTGTGGCCCAACCAGGAGGTCCAGAGGCTGCCAGCCGAGTGGCCCAGGAGAGGGAACCTCACAGGGGCTGAGTGGGACCCAAGCCCTAGCCACCGTCCTAACCACCCACATTTCTCGGGAACAAGACCTCCCACAGTGGCCTCCCCGGCAGTGGAAATAGCCAAACTGGCAACATGGACTTTCTTCAACTGCCCGGGCGATGCTGCCTCAGTGCCCCAGGGCAGGCAGGAAGCTCCCACACCCATTCTGGAATGAGGGGTTGGAGGAAGGCTGAGCTGAGCAAAGGACCCATCTCTGCTCTGGTTGGTGGGGAGGGAGCCCATTATACAAGAGACCCCTCAGGGCTCAGTGAGGGGTGACAGAGACTTGGGGAGTAGTGGCTGTCACTGCAGAGGTGAGAGGGTTTGGAGAGAAGGTACATGCCTTTTTGGCCACATTGAGTAGCACCTGGTAGCCAGTTAGTAACGTGTATTGGATAAACAAAAGATTAAACGGATGCAAAAAAAAATGTTGGCTTTGCTTCTTTTTACCCAAACCTCAGTTCCCTCAAGTAGATTCTGGGAACACCCCCTACCTGGCTGGACTGTTGTGAAGTTTAAATAAGCCAGGTTAACTTCACCTCCTCCTTTAAGACACAGCTCAGACACTGCCTCCTCCAAGAAGCCCCCTCTGGCTTCCTGTGTGAATATGACGGCCCTCTGGGCTCTAGGGTATCTTAGAACAATGCTTCCTTATGGCTTTGGAACCCCGCTGTCTCCTGGATTGGGAGCAAATGCAGGGGAGGAGCCACACCTGACTAATCTCTGGGTCTCCCAGCACATAAGTGGCATAAGGGCAGGGCTGTGCCCGCTTCAGGCACTTACTGAAGGATGTACTTGGCAGAGGGTAGGCAGCCGGCGGATGAGCCCCTCACTCTCCCCAGCTGACTGCGTGGGCGGGAAAGGCGGGTTCAGGAGACCCAGCCTCCCTGGGCTGTCACCACCTCTGCACATCCAGCCCCATTGATCAAGGGTTCAATTTTTGGGGTCCTGTTGGGAGGCCAGGAGACTCTCTCCAGGCACTTCTTCCAGGTCTTTGTGTTAGGGTGTGTGTGTGTGTGTGTGTGTGTGTGTGTGTGTTGTTTGTTTTATTTTATTTATTTATTTATTTATTTATTTATTTATTTATTTATTTATTTTGAGACGCAGTCTCGCTCTGTTGCCCAGGCTGGAGGGTGGTGGCATGATCTCGGCTCACTGCAAGCTCCGCCTCCCGGGTTCACGCCATTCTCCTGCCTCAGTCTTCCTGAGTAGCCGGATTACAGGCGCACGCACCATGCCTGGCTAATTATTTTGTTTTTTTAGTAGAGACAGGGTTTCGCCACGTTGCCCAGGCTGGTCTTGAATCCCTGGCCTCAAGCGATCCGCCCGCCTCAGCCTCCCAAAGTGCTGGGATTACAGGCGTGAGCCACCGTGCCCGCCCAGCCTAGGGGTACATGAAACTTTTTTTTTTTTTTTTTTGAGACAGAGTTTCACTCTGTCCTCAGGCTGGAGTGCAGTGGCGTGATCTCGGCGTACTGCAATCTCCGCCTCCCGGTTCAAGCGATTCTCCTGCCTCAGCCTCCCGAGTAGCTGGGATTGCAGGCACGCGCCACCACACCCAGCTAATTTTTGTATTTTTAGTAGAGACGGGCTTTCACCATGTGGGACAGGATGGTCTCGATCTCCTGACCTCGTGATCCGCCCGCCTCAGCCTCCGAAAGTGCTGGGATTACAGGCCTGAGCCACCGTGCCCAGCCATGATGTTTTGATACAGGCATATAACGTATAATAATCACATCAGGGTAAATGATGTAACCATCACATCAAGCATTTATCCTTTGTGTTACAAAAAAAAATCTAATTATACTTTCCTACTTATTCTTTTTTTTTTTTTTTGTTGAGACGGAGTCTCCCTCAGTCGCCCAGGCTGGAGTGCAGTGGCATGATCTCAGTTCACTGCAAGCTCTGCCTCCTAGCTCTGCCTCCTGGGTTCATGCCATTCTCCTGTCTCAGCCTCGCGAGTAGCTGGGACTACAGGCGCCTGCCACCGTGCCCGGCTAATTTTTTTTTTTGTATTTTTGGTAGAGACAGGGTTTCACCGTGTTAGCCAGGATGGTCTCGATCTCCTGACCTCATAATCCGCCCGTCTCGGCCTCCCAAAGTGCTGGGATTACAGGCATGAGCCACCGCCCCCAGCCTATTTATTCTTAAATGTACAATAAATTATTGTTGACTCCAGTCACCCTGCTGTGCTACCAAATACGGATCTTCTTCATTCTATCTAACTGTATTTCTGTACCTGTTAACCATCTCTCCTCCACCTCACCCCCCAAACCCACTACCCTTCTCAGCCTCTGGTAACCATCCTTCTACTCTCTATCTCTATGAGTTCAATTGTATTAATTTTTAGCTCCCCGGCCGGGCATGGTGGCTCACGCCTGTAATCCCAGCACTTCAGGAGGCTGAGGCAGGTGGATCACGAGGTCAGGAGTTTGAGACCAGCCTGGCCAACATGGTGGAACCCCATCTCTACTAAAAACACAAAAATTAGCTGGGCGTGGTGGTGGGCGCTTGTAGTCCCAGCTACTTGGGAGGCTGAGGCAGGAGAATCGCTTGAAACTGGGAGGCAGAGGTTGCAGTGAGCCAAGATTGCGCCACTGCACTCCAGTCTGGGTGACAGAGTAAGATTCCATCCCGAAAAAAAAAAAGTTTAGCTCCCACAAATAAGTGAGAACACGTGAAGTTTCTCTTTCTGTGCCTCGCTTGTTTCACTTAACATAATGACCTCCAGTTCCATCCACGTTGTTGCTTTGTTATAAATGACAGGATCTTGGTCAGGCGCAGTGGCTCATGCCTGTAATCCCAGCACTTTGGGAGGCTGAGGTGGACTGATCATGAGGTCAAGAGATCGAGACCATCCTGGCTAACACAGTGAAACCCCGTCTCTACTAAAAATACAAGAAATTAGCCGGGCGTGGTGGTGGGCACCTGTAGTCCCAGCTACTCAGGAGGCTGAGGCAGGAGAATGACATGAACCCGGGAGGAGGAGCTTGCAGTGAACTGAGATTGCGCCACTGCACTCCAGCCTGGGCGACAGAGCGAGACTCCGTCTCAAAAAAAAAAAAATGTTTGGTAAAATTCAGCAGTGAAGCCATTTGTTCCTGGGCTTTCTTTGTTGGGAAACATTTTATTACAGTTTTCATCGCATTACTTGTTATTGGTCTGTTCAGGTTTTTGTTATTTTAATTTTTTTGAGATGGAGTCTGGCTCTGTCGCCAAGGCTGGAGTGCAGTGGTGCAACCTCGGCTCGCTGCAACCTATGCCTCCCAGGTTCAAGTGATTTTCCTGCCTCAGCCTCCCGAGTGGCTGACATTAGAGGCACCCGCCACCACGCCCGGCTAATTTTTATATTTTTTCAGTAGAGATGGGGTTTCACCATGTTGGCCAGGCTGGTCTCGAACTCCTGATCTCAGGCCTTCCAAAGTGCTGGGATTACAGGCGTAAGCCACCGTGCCCGGCCTGTTCAGGTTTTGGATTTCTTCATGGTTCAATCTTGATAGGTTGTATGTGTCTAGAAATTTACCCAGTTCTTCTAGGTTTTCCAGTTCATTAGCATATAGTTGCACATAGTTGCCTCTAATGATCCTTTGAATTTCTGTGGTATCAGTGGTAATGTCTCCTTTTTAATCTCGGATTTTATTTATTTGGGTCTTCTCTCTTTTTTTCTTAATCTGGCTAAAGGTTTGTTGATTTTGTTTATCTTTTCGAAAAAACTTTTTGTATCATTTTGCATTGTTTCCTTCATTTCCATTTCATTTATTTCTGCTCTGGTCTTTGCTTTTTTGAGACAGAATCTCACTCCAGTTACCCAGCTAGAGTGCAGGGTGCATTCATGACTCGCTGCAGCCTCCACTTCCTGGGCTCAAGTGATTCTCCCACCTCAGCCTCCCAAGTAGCTGGGGCTACAGGCACACACACATCACCACATCCAGCCTATTTTTTTTTTTTCATATTTTTAGGAGAGATGGGGTTTTGCCATGTTGGCCAGACTGGTCTCAAACTCCTGAGCAGGTAGGAGTTGAGCCACTGTGCCCATGAGCCTGGCCTGTTCTGATCTTTATTATTTCTTTTCTTCTACTAATTTTGTGTTTGTTTTTCTCGTTTTTCTTTTCTTTTCTTTTTTTTTTTATGACAGGGTCTCGCTCTGTCACCCAGGCTGGAGTGCAGTGGCACCATCCTGGCTCACTGCAACCTCCACTTCCCGGATTCAAGCAATTCTCCTGCCTCAGCCTCCCAAGTAGCTGGGGCTACAGGCACACATCACTACTTCCAGCCTTTTTCTTTTTTTTGTTTTTTTGTATTTTTAGGAGAGATGGGGTTTTGCCATGTCGGTCAAGCTGGTCTGAAACTCCTGGCCTCAGGTGATCTGCCAGTCAGGCCTCCCAAAGGGCTGGGATTACAGGTGTGAGCCACCACACCTGGCCTAGTGTGTTTTTATAGGTAAAGTGTGTTTCTTGTATGCAAGAGATGGTTGGGTCTTGTTTTTTGATCCATTCATCCACTCTTTTTTTTCTTAAGACAGGATCTCACTCTGTCGCCCAGGTGGGAGTGCAGTGGCTCCATCTTGGCTCACAGCAACCTCCGCTTCCCAGCCTCCAGTGATTCTCCTGCCTCAGCCTCACAAGTAGCTGGGATTACAGGTGCGTGCCACTACCGCCTGGCTAATTTTTGTATTTTTAGTACAGATGGGGTTTCACCTTGTTGGCCAGGCTGGTCTTAAAACTCGTGACATCAAATGATCCATCCGCCTCAGCCTCCCAAAGCGTTGGAATTACAGGCGTGAGCCACCGCTCCTGGCCCACTCTTTTGATTGCAGAGCTTAGCCTATTTACAGTCAATGTTATTATTGATAAGTGGGGACTTACTCCTGCCATTTTGTTGTTTTCTGTTTGTTTTGGGTCTTCCATCCCTTCTTTTAGTGAAAGTGATATTTGTATTTTGTATTGCTTTTTTTTTTTTTTTTTTTGAGACAGAGTCTTGCTCTGTTGCCCAGGCTGGAGTGCAGTGGCACAATCTCGGCTCACTGCAGCCTCCGCCTCCCAGGTTCAAGCAATTCTCCTGCCTCAGCCTCCCAAGTAGCTGGGATTACAGGCGTGCACCACCACGCCCGGCTAGTTTTTGTATTTTAGTAGTTGAGGTTTTGCCATGTTGGCCAGGCCGGTCTCAAACTCCTGGCCTCAAGTGATCCACCTGCCTCAGCCTCCCAAAGTGCTGGGATTACAGGCATGAGCCACCGTACCCAGCCTATATTTTGATTATTAAATGCACTGTCACCCAGCAACAAGCTTGACTGTTTTCTGACCTCCCTCCACCATGCTGAGGGAAGTCAGGCCCTTCTCCACTGATGCGATGTGCATTTTCTCCCTTCCCTCTGAAGACGGCTGTTCCCGCCTGGCCTTCAGGACACGAGAACAGCTCAGCTTCCCCACCGAAAATGCCTAGATTACTGTCTCCTTCCACGGACTGGGGACCCTGCAGAGGCAGTGACCAGGCCTTGTCTGTCTTCTCCAGCACCGCAGGGATGGGCCCACAGCAGGCGTCAGGTGTGGCTTGCTGACTGTTCCTGTGAGGACCCAGGGATTCCCTCCCTGCCAGGGGCACGTGGTGTGGCAGAGTGGGCTCAGCAGCCCCATCCAGCGAGTCAACACGCAGTCATGGGGCTCCTTGCCCTCAGGAAGAGCAGCAGCCTTGGGCTGGCACAGAGAGGTCAGATGGAAGCCAACACAGGTTCAGAAGAGCCCAGAGCCCAGGCATATATTCTGCAGGGCCCAGTGAAAAATGAAGGCACAGTCCCCTTCTTAAAAGTGACTAAGAGTCAGCTGGGTACAGTGGCTCATGCCTATAATCCCAGCACTTTGGGAGGCCGAGGTGGGCGGATCACGAGGTCAAGAGATCGAGATCATCCTGGCCAACATGGTGAAACCCCATCTCTACTAAAAATACAAAAATTAGCTGGGCGGGTGTGGTGGCGCGCACCTGTAGTCCCAGCTACTCGGGAGGCTGAGGCAGGAGACTCACTTGAACCTGGGAGTCGGAGCTTGCAGTGAGCTGAGATTGTACCACTGCACTCCAGCCTGGATGACAGAGAAAGACTCCGTCTCAAAAAAAAAAAAAAAAAAAAAAAGACTAAGAATCTGAGGAAGACGAACAGCAACAGCGTGATGAAGCCCAGGGCCCTTTCTGACGGCACAGGCCACACGCACATAAAGCCGGCCCGGCCTGCAGCTCAGGGATGCATCCCAGGGGAGATATCCACCTCTGCCCAAGGCCCCAGCCCTTCCCTGCAGGAGCCGGACAGAGGGACGCCCGGGTGCAGGAGGACTCTCATGGTGGTCCGGGGGTCGGCATTCCCTCCACGGGGACACACAACTCAAATGCACACAGGGCACGAAAGAATGGCAGTTCTGTTTTACAAAATTAAGTTTATAAATATTTCTCCACTGTACAAAGTTCTCCCAGCCCTGCCCACCCCATCACAGTTCACATTTCTCATGTTTTTAAAATCCCAATTATATTTATTTTTTAAATCATAAAATATATTTTTTTCTTTGTTCATATTTAAAACTATTTACAGGGGCACAGAGAAGCCAGAGTGGCCCGGCCGAGGTCAGGATGAGTCCGTGCAGGGGGACGGAGGGGGCGGGAAGAGATGGAAGTAGCTCCTCTCGGTGGCGGGCGAGGGCGGGCAGCTGTCCTCCGCCGACAGGTACTGGCTGTGGGGCGTGGGTGGGGGTGGATAGGGGTCTGAGTCCGAGTTCAAATCCAGGTAGTACTTGCTGGCCTTCCAGCGGCTGGCGCTGTAGTCGCTGTCACACACGTCGGTGCTGCAGGGCGTCGTCGGGGGCGCCATTCCTCGAATGATGTAGGGCCTGAAAGGGACACACACAGAGGAGTGGGATTCGGTAGGCACATCCGCCCTGGTGGGCACAGCAGCCCCGGGGCTGTGAACGGGAAAGGCCTGTCCACTGGCCAGCTCCAGAAGATGCAGGCCGGACTCTGGACCCACCCCGCTGTGTCGCCAGGGCTCATCACTTACCCTCTCTGAGCCTCAATGGTCCCACCTCTACCATGGGCATGCCCGCACCTGCCCTGCAGCCTGCCAAGCCTGGGCCCTGGCAAGGCTGCCTCTAAGGAGAACGAGGCCTCTAGAGCCTGCTAGCTGACCTTGGCCAGGAACTTACTTGACCTCTTCGAGCTTTAGTTTCTCATTGATAAAAGTGGGGATGAAATAGTACCCATTTCGAAAGTGAAGGATACATGAGATTCTGCCTGGAAGGTGCTAGAAACAGTGTCCGACAAAACAGGAGACTGGACAACTGTTCACCTAACACTGTTACTGTAAATGTTGGCAACCGATAGGGTTTGGCTGTGTCCCCACCCAAATCTCATCTTGAATTGTACTCCCATAATTCCCACGTGCTGTGGGAGGGACCCAGTGGGAGATGATTGAATCATGGGGGTGGTTCCCCCCATACTGTTCTCGTGGTAGTGAATAAATCTCACTAGACTTGATGGTTTTACAAGGGGAAACCCCTTTCGCTTGGTTCTCATGCTGTCTGTTCCCTGAAGCCATGTAAGATGTGACTTGCTCCTCCTTGTCTTCTACCATGATTGTGAGGCCACCCCAGGCAGGTGGAACTGTGAGTCCGTTAAACCTCTTTCCTTTACAATTACCCAGTCTTGGGTATGTCTTTATTAGCAGCGTGAGAACAGGCTAATACAGCAACCAATGGGCCCGGAACACTTCCATCCTGAGTTCAAGCAACCTGACTCGCAAGATGGCTCCTGACCTCCCATCCTCCCAGAGGCTACCTGCACCCAACTGTGGCCCAGAAACGCCGCATCCCACTGTGTGAGTTCAGACTCGGAACTGTGGTGTGTTTAGGAGCCCCCGTCCTGTCACAGAGGGGCCTGCAATGGGTGGGAAGGTGCAGCCAACACCGGGTGTTGAGAAAAGTGCAGCAGGACAGGATACTCCTCTTGGGGCCCAGCTGCTGTGAGGTCAGACGGCGGGCGGGGGGAAGATGTGTCCGCGGTGGGCCCAGAGCAGGACGGGCATGAGCAAAGGCAGGAGGTGGGACGAGGAACTAGCGAGACTGGGCTGCCCAGTGTGGATGTGACCATTCTGGAGACAGTGGTCTGTAAGGCTGTGGGACAGACTGTGACAGTTTGATATAATACTGAGGCATCAGGGAGGTGGCCCGACCCGGAGTGGGGTGGAAATGGAGGCTGCAGTTCCGGCTCCCCAGCCAGGCCTGGGAGTTCGTGGAAATGGCCACTAGGTGGCAGGCGGCACCACACTCGGGAGGCCCTGCTGCTCCAGGGACCCAAGCAATGAGGAATGCGTGGTCCAGAGGTGTCCTGGCCCAGGCCCAGCCTATCCCACCCCTTCACCTGCGGGGGTGGGGCCTGGTGCGGCTGGCGGGTGGGCCACGTTGCCTGACACCACTGGGTTAAAGGTCAGGAGGCTCACCCTGCCCATCCCAGGCTCTGATCCAGCCCCTGCGGAGACCAGCACACCTGGGTCCCACCTCTCCACACTCTCAGTTGCCCCTCCCCAACCAGGGAGGTGGGGCCTGTGACCCCAACATGGGCAGCTCGGGGGGCTGGTGTCCAGCTGAGCAGCCCCGTTGGCTTCCCGGGCTCAAACAGGCCACTGTGGCAAGTGAGCAGCCCGGACCATCCTGGTGACGTCACACGATTAGGGGTCTACGGTGGGTGCTGCAGCAGCCTTCACAGACTTGTCCCATCCTAAGAGGACAGAGCCACCAAGAGGGGGCATCTCAATGGCTAGGTTTCCACAGCCGGACTCAAACACACAGTCAGACTCTGGAGCCCAAGCCCCCGGCCCCTCGACGCCACAGCCATTTCCCAGCTTAAAAGTAACCCCCATAGGAGCAACTTGAAGAGCAGCTCAGAACGTGGAGTTCTGCTGATTTCTGAACCCAACATGCAGTGCCCGCTGAGCTTGTCTGGGGAGGCAGCCTAGTGTGGTTGGCAGAGCAGAGGGAGGCAGGGCTGGGCCCGGCACCTGCCCACTAGCACCCAGAATACCTCCCCTCATCAGTGGCATGGGGATTAGGCCCCTCCACCACGGGCTGGCGGGAACCCAATGGCCATGGAGGGCTGCAGGGGATGTCCTACCTGTACGGTCTCGCAGTGGCCGGAATGTTTGAAGAGTAGAACATGTCCATGTTGTACAGGGAGGGGTCCGTGGCCGGGGAGGGCGGCGGGTTCAGGATCTGAGGAGAGCCAAGCCAGGGTGACTTAGAGCCTCGCCAGCCTGGGCATTCCTTCCTTCCTCCCACACCCCTCGGGCTTTCCTTGCAGAGAGGGCTTCTGGCCCCCCTGCTTCCCAGGACCCCTTCCTCTGGCCAGTTGGCAAAACCTGGGGACAGGAGGGGAGGCAGCAGCCACCTGCCCCGAAGGTCATCTCAGTGAAAGGCAAAGGGAACCCAGGCACTTTTGGCCCAGGTGCCCGCGCCCTTCCAAGTACCTGCCTTGTGACCAGATGCTGGGCTGTGAAGGCGGGGACAGGACTTCGGCCAGTTCCCTTTGTGGCTGGCCCCCAGCAGTAGGAGATGTCCCCACAGGCCCTGAGTGTCCTCCACACCAGTTAGCACCTCACCAGGCTCCTCAGGGACCTTCCCAGGAACTCTCCTTCTGACCTTTCCTCCTGCCCCTCCTCCCTCCATCACACACAGTCTAACTCCTGCAATGACGCCCTTGTTCCGAACACTCAGGGGCTCTGCGTCCCTGCTGAAGCCCTGACACAGAAGTCACCACGCTGAGGGAGGGGCCACAGTCCCACTCCAGACAAAGGCACCCCCTTCACAAGGGCCTGTGCTGGCACCAGCCCCAAAGCGGGGATAGTAAATAGACAAATTCACCACGTGAACGTGCCCCCCAGGTCCAGGCAGCACACAACCAGCCCTACAAAGGGAGGAAGGGACCAGGGGCCCTGGGCCCACACACCCACACAGGTCTGCACCTTCCACAAGTGCCACTGACGGCACCCCAACCCAACATGCAGCTTCCCAAAGGGTGTAGGGCTTATGTGGGTCTCCAAGGCCATCCTGGAAAGCATACAGCCAGATCCGAGCCCCTGCGGAATAATGGGAACAGAACTGTCAGTTATGCCCGAGGGACTCAGTTCTCTCAGGCCCCCTAGGGTGGTACAAGAACACTGCCTTTCACGCCAGACAGACCCGGGTGAAGTCCTGTTTTACCACCTTCTGGCTGCAGCAGGATCCCTGGGGAGGGAATTTACCTCAGCCTCAGTTTCTTCAACTTTAAAATGGGCTTGACCTAGCACTTTGGGAGGCCGAGGCGGGCGGATCACTTGAGGTCAGGAGTTCGAGACCAGCCTGGCCAACATGGTGAAACCTCATCTCTACTAAAAATATGAAAATTAGCCGGGTGTGGTGGCGGGCACCTGTAATCCCAGCTACTTGGGAGGCTGAGGTGGGAGAATCCCTTGAACCCTGGAGGCAGAGGCTGCAGTGGGTTGAGATCGCACCACTGCACTCCAGCCTGGGCAACAGAGTGAGACTCTGTCTCAAAAAATAAATTTAAAATTAAATAAAATAATAAAATAAAGTAATAAAATGGGCTCGAGAAGGCCTGCTTCCTGGGGCTATCCTGATGGCTGGTGAGTAGCCTCTGGGGAGTGGCCAGGCCCTTCCCCTGCCCTTTAGGAAGCCGCACTGGGCCCTGCTCTTTCTGGAGAGGGTCCTCTTTGGCCCAGAGAGCCAGTCTGGGTATTCCTCAGGATTTGACCCCAACGTTGAGAGGGCATGAGACTGGGGGCACTGGGGAAGATGCTTCAAAGCAGAGAGCAGGCAGGGAGGCAGCAGAGAGGGCTTCCTACAGCTGCCCAAGCCCCAGCCTATGGGGTCTGTTTCCACCTCTTCCCATGAACTTGACCAGGCCTGGTTTCTCTCCTACATCCCAAGGCAGTTTGAGATTCTGCCCAAATCTGCACTGGGCAGACTTCTGGCAAGATCCACCAGTGCAGCGCCTCGGCAATGTCTCAGATGTCCCGTGAACCACGGCCAGGCCCTATTCAAAGAGGACTGGATCTCGGCCCAGGGTGGGGGGTGGGGGGTGGGGGCTGGGGAGGCCACTCGGCTCATCTGCTATTCCTGCGTTGTTGTTGTTTTGACTGAGTCTCGCTCTTGTTGCCCAGGCTGGAGTACAATGGCATGATCTCGGCTCACTACAACCTCTGCCTCCCAGGTTCAAGTGATTCTCCAGCCTCAGACTCCCGAGAAGCTGGGATTACAGGCATGCGCCACCACACCCAGCTAATTTTTTTGTATTTTTAGTAGAGATGGGGTTTCACTATGTTGGCCAGGCTGGTCTCGAACTCCTGACCTCAGGTGATCCACCCGCCTTGGTCTCCCAAAGTGCTGGGATGACAGGTGTGAGCCACCATGCCTGGCCTATTCCTGCATTCTTAGAGTTCTCTGTACATCTCACTGTTCAATTTCTGCTATTCCAGTCCCTGGTAATAAGCCTGTAGACGGAACTTTCTCTGTTCAAATTCTCATAGAGTTTCTGCCTCCTGATAGACCCCGACTAATTCACGCCACCCATAAGCCATCAGCCAAGAAACAAGCTGGATGCCCACCTTGCTCATCAAATCTAATTACATCCCAGAAGAATTAAAGATGTGAACGTAAAACGAAAGGAGGAGGACGTTAAGAAAGAGAGTGTGGGCTGGGCATGGTGGCTCACGTCTGTAATCCCAGCACTTTGGGAGGCCGAGGTGGGTGGATCACCTGAGGTCGCGAGTTCGAGACCAGCCTGACCAACATGGAGAAACCCCCGTCTCTACTAAAAGTACAAAATTAGCCAGGCATGGTGGTGCATGCCTATAATCCCAGCTACTCGGGAAGGTAAGGCAGGAGAATCACTCCAACCCGGGAGGCGGAGGTTACAGTGAGCTGAGATTGCGCCACTGCACTCCAGCCTGGGCAACAGGAGCAAAACTCTGTCTCAAAAAAAAAAGAGAGAGAGTGTGAAAATAAGTTGTTTTTTATGATCAGAGCAGGGAAGGCCTTTCTGAACATAACCAAAAAAAAAAAAAATATATATATATATATATATATATATATATATATATATATATGCCATAAAAGAGGAGATTGATAATTTCTTTTCTTTTCTTTTTTTTTTTTTTTTTTGAGACAGAGTCTCGCTCTGTCGCCCAGGCTGGAGTGCAATGGCGCGATCTCGGCTCACTGCAACCTCCGCCTCCCATGTTCAAGCAATTCTCATGCTTCAGACTCCCAAGTAGCTGGGATCACCATACCCGGCTAATTTTTAAATTTTTACTAGAGACGGGGTTTCTCCATGTTGGCCAGGCTGGTCTCAAACTCCCGGCCTCAAGTGATCCGCTCATCTCAGCCTCCTAAAGTGCTGAGATTACAGCTGCAAGCCATCACGCTGGGCCCAAAGGTTCTTAAACACACAAAATGATGCTTACATCATTCATGATAAAATAAATATAAATGAAGATCTTAACATGATACCATTTTTACTCTATATTAGACAGGTGGAGAGAAAGGGTGCCAGGGACCGTTTTGCCAGTGTGGCCCTCTGCTGAGAAAAGATGGACTGTCCCTTTCAGAGGGCCACTTGGCAGGAGTGGTTGAAACAGCCAAGGTTCAACCGCAGCAGGAGAGAGGACCATGATGCCCTCCAGTGGGGGCCCAGCCACGCCTGACAAGGAGTGCTGTTCAGCCACCAAGAATGTGACGGCTGTGTCCTCAAAACAGAACAAACTTCAGGGTGCGGGGGAAGCAGAGTAGAAGGTGGTTGTGAGTTGGATGGCCTGGCCCCACTGCCTACCAACCGAACGACCCAGGCCAGTGGTTCATGCTCAGTTCTTCAGCCTCCTTGTTGCAAAATGAGGAAAACAATAGCACCTCCTCCCGGAGATGGGTTACGGTAGAGCTCTAGGCAGGGTGCACACGGCAGCTGGGAGCCTCCGAAATGCTCAGAACAGCAGCTTTTATACATCGTTAGCAGCAAAAGGCAAGGCTCAATGTTGACTCTTCAGATGCTATCTTTCGGGCTTACGAAAACACATATGTCAGCCCAGGCGCAGTGGCTCATGCCTGTAATCCTACCACTTTGGGAGGCTGAGGCAGGAGGATCACTTTAGCTCAGGAGTTCAAGACTAGCCCAGGAAATTTAGTGAGGCCTCACCTCCACAAAAAATTTAAAAATTAGCCTGGCATGATGGTGCACACCTGCCATCTGAGCTACTTGAGGGGACTGAGGCAGGAGAATCGCTTGAGCCCAGGAGTTTGAGGCTGCAGTGAGCTGTGATTGTGCCACTGCACTCCCACTGGGTGACAGAGGAAGTTTGTCTCAAGAACAAACAAAAAACACTTATGTCAATCTGAATAAGGTGAAAGAATCGTTATCAGTGTCTTGCTTATGATAGGAATGGAAGTCATGCAAGATGGCAGGCAGCACTGGGGGAAACCAGGCAGAGGATAAATGGGTCTGTGCTCTTTCTCACAACTGCACATAAATCTACAATTATCTTCTGGCTTGGAAAACAAAGTCCACGCTCTTGTATGCTTGCATATGTACAGATGACCCCTGGGGGGACATAGAAGAAACACACTGCAGGAGGCCATGCCTCCCAGGGAGTCCTGCTTGGCGTCATGGGGGCGGAGTCTCTTTGGACTGCAGACTCTTCTGTATCTTTTGAATTTTGTACCATGAACATATATTTAAAGGATGCAAAATAACTTTGCTAATTTAAAAACAGCTGGCTTCATGCAGAGTTTCTTTTAGGGGCAGGAAAATGTTCTAAAATTAACTGTGGTGAGGGTTGCACACATCTGTGAATACACTAAAACCCACTGAACTGTACCCTTTTTTAAGTGGGTGAGTCATATGGTTAAACAATAAAGTGATTTAAAAAATTAGCTGGCTGCTCAGTGCCATCTCTTATTGCCTGATTAAGATCCTCCCAGCTCCCAAGGGAGAACAGGAAAAGAGAATTCGTGAGCTGCCTGCTGTGTGCTCGGGGGCCCTGCTTGGGTTCCTAGCACTCCTGGCTGGTTAAGCTGGGTTGCAGCAGCAGGAGCAGGGAAGAAGGGCAGTGGGTGTTTAAACTCTCGGCTTCTGGTTACCAGTTCCCTTTGTCCCTAAACAAAGCCAGGCCCTGGGGCCTCCAGAACACTCAGTTACTGTCCAGGAAACCAAGAAGAACCCTCTTCTGCTACTTCCTTCCCAGGGCCCACCACAGTCAGGTGCCATAAGAAGACAATACCCCAGGCCAGGCACGGTGGCTCACGCCTGTAATCCCAGCACCTGGGGAGGCCGAGGCAGGAGGATCGCTCGAGTCCAGGAGTTGGAGACCAGCCTGGGCAATATAGTGAAACTTCATCTCTACAAAAAATGTAAATATTAGCTGGGCATGGGGATGCATGCGTGCAGTCCTAGCTACTTAGGGGCTGAGATGGGAGGATTGCTTGAGCCTAGAAGGTAGAGGCTGCAGTTAGCCATGATGACACCATTGCACTCCAGCCTGGGTGACAGAGCGAGACCCTGTCTCAGAAAAAAGAAAAGAAAAGAAAAGAAAAAGGCCAGGTGCGGTGGCTCACGCCTGTAATCCCAGCACTTTGGGAGGCCAAGGTGGGCGGATCACCTGAGGTAGGGAGTTCAAGATCAGCCTGACCAACATGGAGAAACCCCATCTCTACTAAAAATACAAAATTAGCTGGGCGTGGTGGCACATGCCTGTAATCCCAGCTACTAGGGAGGCTGAGGCAGGGGAACTGCTTGAACCTGGGAGGCAGAGGTTGCGGTGAGCCTAGAGATCACACCATTGCACTGAAGCCTGGGCAACAAAAGTGAAACTCCGTCTCAAAAAAAAAAGAAAAAGAAAACAAGAAGACAAGACCCCAGATGTGAGGGATACCCAGAAGGGCAGGAGGAACCAGCCCCAGCAAGGTGGGGCTCACTGGCGAGGCCCCAGAGGAAGCAGAAGGGGGCTGGACTCACCTTAGGGGCATACAGCTGCAGGAACAAATGAAAAGCATACAAAGCATGTCAAGTCAGCCCCCGCTGTTTACACTCAGGAGTTCACATCTCGGCACCAAGCTCGCCTTGGCATCCTGGGACTGTGCTCCCAGAAACGGGGGTTCTCCCCAGCCAGCCCCAGTGATCCTGGAGGGCAGCGGCAGTTTATTCTCCTCACAGTCATTTCACTCAAGGCGTGGCTCAGCTGGAGCCAGCCCCTCACCCTGCCAAAAGCTCCAGGGAGTATTTTAGCCACGAAAATCACCCTGTGTTTGTCTGTCATGCACAAAACCATCCAGCTGTTTTCCAGGAAGCAGCCAGCCCTGGGTGGGAGAACAGGGTGTTTGTGGAGGGAACCCTGTGGGGAGGCTCACAGAGGGCAGACAGGCCTGGTGCAGGCGGCTATCGATGGGCTGGGCCGTGCGGAACACAGACGGCCGCCTGGATGCTGACGGAGCCCAACAGCCACTCTAGGAGGTGGATTTGGGTGAGATTTTGGCTCTTTATATTTTTGTGTAGTTTTCAGATTATCCACAATCAACAATGTCATTAAAGAAGGAAGCAGAAGGGTTTGAAAAGGGAAGAAAGCAAGCATGCCTCAGAGGCGGTGGCACAGCCCCCAGGAACCCGGGAAGCCTCCGGTGGCCAGCACTGACGGTGGGAGGGGCCCACAGCCCCATCCCGCCCCGCCCCTCCCCGGCCCCGCCCCTCACCGGCGGGTACAGCGTGGCCTTCGTGCTGGACGAGCTGCTGGACGAGGCCCCTGTGACGTGGTTCCGGTCGTAGAGGGGCACCCCGCCCCGGCCCCCCATCAGGCTCACGGAGCTCATCATGGACTTTCCGCATGCGATGCCTGGCAGGGAAGGGACGGGGGAGGTCAGGTGGCTTCCAGGCTCAGCCAAGCCGCCCCACAGACATAGGGCGCTCTCCTCTGCTCCCACTACCCACGAGACTCAGACCAGGGCGGTGTGTCCTGTTGGAAATGTGCCCCGCTCCCTGAGCCGCAGGCCTCTCTGGCCACTACTAGAGTGAGCTCCCCGGGGCTCATCTGTGAAACGGGAGACACATGGTACCTCCTCCAAGGGGCCTGCGACTGGGGCAGGGAACCCAGGCGGGGCAGCACAGAGCACGCCAGGAACAGACAGGGCCGCGTTCTCTGGGGGCTGCTGCGACTGTGATGGTGCCACCACTGTGGGCTCCTAGGAGCTCTTGAGAAGCCAGATAACCCCGCTCCCCAGAGAGAATCAGGTTACATCTATACCCTGCCATCCAACAGGCTCCCAATGAGGCCGGCTTGGGGTGACAGTGGGACAGGACAGGGGAGAGGGAACTCAGGGCTGGGCAGGCAGAGGCAATCCTCAAGGTGGCCTGGAGCTGTGGGGGCACCTGCAGACCTCACAGGGACTCCACCTTCTTAGACATACCATGGTCACCCATGTGATACAAACCAGCATGGTGCAGCTCTGCGGTGCGGCTGCCCAGCCATCTACAAACACAGCCTGCGTTCCTGGTGCCTGGGCCACGTAGGAATTGTAACTGCTCAGCCACAAATCCCAGCTGCACTCAAGACAAAGCTGCTGTATGGTACAGAGTGATTCCTTCAGCTCTGGAGAGAGCCCAGCCGCCCCCACATTCATTTCTAGGGTACATGAGGATTTGTGGACAACACAGCACATGTCCTACTAGAATATGAAGGTCAAGTCCAAGGAGCTTTCTCCACACCTACAGTGCCAAAGGGTGGGTTGCTACAGCCATGCAGGCCTCTGTGTTGAAGGATTCTGATGCCAAGCACAGGCTCAGTGGGAAAGGCTGAATGCTGTGATCGATTAGCAATGTCTGCCACATGTGCAAGAGGGCCTGGGGTAGCACATCCCTGCTCCACTCCCCAAAGCTGCCCAGACTACTCTCCTGCCTCCTCCAGATCATTCCATATCTCAGGCTCCTTACCTGTGAAGGGGCCATGCTGGGAACCGCCCGGGGCTATGAAATTGAGGGGCACGTGCGGGGTCCCGCTGACATACTCGTGCGGGAAGGGCCCGTTGGCCCCCGCATAGCGCTGGCACACCACGCGCTGGCACACAAAATAGACACCACCCATGACGAAGAGAGAGAGGATGATGCCAATGACGGGCCCGATGGCACTGCTGTGGGCCGGGCTGTCGTCTGAGGGCGGCTTGGTGATTTCTGCCAGAGACAAACAGAAAGAGGTGGCCAACATTAACCCCAACGGAATGGGCCCTCCTTGGGGGCAGACACCGTGCGCCCTGAAGGGGCTGGCTTTGCCACTGGTGGAGGGTGGGGAGAAAGTGGGGGAGCTGGGAGGCTAGGCCTGGGGAGCCTGGCCAACCTCAGGGTAACGTGGCCCTTCAGCCTGCACGGTGCACCCTCCTCCTCCTCTGACCCCCGCCGCTGTCCGACTCCCCACAGCCCTCAACACATCCCTGCCAAGGCAGCCTGGTATTCACTCCTTCGCCCAGGGCCCTCGGTGGTGGCAGAAGTGAGCGCGCCCTGGCCAGCCCAGGTGATGTTGGTGAACGAGCAAAGCCAGGCAGCCCCTGGTGCCGCCCACCAGCCACGGGAGGGGCAGGGTCGGCTGGGTGGGCTCCTTGGGCCACTCCACTATCAAGGCTGCCCATAGGGAAGTTTCCAGGCTCCAGACTCAACTTTGGCAAAAGCCACATTCACTCTCCCACAGGGCCGGCCCAGCGATCCTGAGGGCGTCGATGAAGTCAGCGGAATGGAAGCGTGCGGGCTCTGGCGGCGAGGCCTGGCTGCGCATCAACAGCGCCCCCACAGCTGGGGCCCACGGCACAGGCCCGTCAGACTGGGAACTTGCCCAGCAGAGGAGGCGACCCTTGGTGGCCCCCACCACTGCCTTCAGGCCTCAAGCCTGACCTGGCACGAAGGTGCCAAAGGGCACAGGGAGTCCCTTGAGGAAGCCCCCTTCTCCCCCCAACAGACTTCTCTCCCGACTGCAGCCATAAGAGAGGAGCTCTCAGCCCAGGTCCCTCTGCAGCGAAGGAGTGGCCATGTCCCCAGACACAATGACTCATTGCTACTTCCTATCTGAACTCAGCTCCCTTCCTGCCTGAATCAGACAGCCTTTCAGGAGCCACTGCCTCTGGAAAGTCTTCCCTGACTGTCTTGGCCTCCTATCCCCTAGGCCCTATATCCGTGACTGTACAGGTCATGCTATTTGAGGAGCATGTGGGATGTTGTCATGTACATGTGTGTGCACATGACATGTGTGCATATGTGAACATCACTCCTCCTCAGCCAGACAGTAAGCTGCCAGGGAACAGGACCACTGCAGCCCTCGGGTAATCTTGCTGCCTGACAGACGCTGCTCAGCAAGGTCCCGTGGGTGGGTGCGTGCTGCAGGCACCTGGACACCATCAGCCCCGCCCACTGAGGCAGACTCTGTAGCCGCCGAGCCCACAGCTCACAGTCTGTCCTCCTGGCCGCTGCCCTGGGAAAGGCTTCCCTGCCTCCCGCAAGGAGCCTCCCAGCCGCCTGAGTCTCCCACACAGCCCCCAGCCCCGCTGGAAAGGCACGTCTCCTCCCCTAAACTCCACGTTCCTGGGGGAACCCAGCCCGGACGCCCCTTCCCCGTGCCAGAAGCTGGCTCACCACACATGAGCTCGTCGGAGCCGTCGATACAGTCGGGGAAGGAGTCGCACTGCTGTTTGATGAGGACACACTGGCCGCTCGCACACCGGAACTGGTTGGGCAGGCAGATGGCTGCAAGGAGAGGCCATGCACTCAGAGAGGCTGGAGGGTGCCCCCCAGCCCACCATGCAGGGCACAGCAACCAAGGTCTGGACTCCAAACAGAGAGCAGACAGATGGGACCCTTTCTAGGACCAGCGGGGAGTGGTCTAGTACAGTCTCCACCCACCCTCGATGACCCTGTGGCGAGGCCTATGCCACGCAGGGGAGGGACTGCCAGGGCTGAGACCTCAACGCACCTCCTGCCTGCCCCCCAGGAGGTATGTGTCAGGTGCCTACTGTGGGGAGGTCTACGCCATGCAAGGAGTAACAGACCCCGCCCAAGGCTCTACCAGGTTGGTGGGGGGGTGGGTGCCAAGGACAGGAATGGCCACGAGGAGCCTCGCCTCCCGAGAGTGGGGGCTGTGGAAGGCAGTGGTGCTCAGCAGAGCTTGAGGGGAGGGGAGGGGAGGGAGCACAACCCACTGGAGGTGCAGGCAGCCCACACGGGAGCAGCACAAGGCCACAGTCTCTGGCCAGGGAGGAAGAGCAAGCCAGGGCGCTGACGGCTGCCTCCACCCCTCCCCAGACGCCCACCCAGAGGGAGCCATAGCCACGCCTGCCCCCAGAGAACTTGCTCAGTTCCCCACCTGCCCTGCCCCCGGTGTCCTGCCCTGGGAATGGGAGATAAGGGGACCCTGTCCTTGTAATGGATGGGATGATTTTCTGGTAACCAAGCAGGGAAGAAAGCTTCTGGAACAGAGCATGCAGCCAGAACCGGCGTAAGGGCCTGCCACCAGCACCGCGGGGCACACGGGAGGAGAAGCTAGAGCGGGACGAGGGGGCTCAGATGGCTCCAACGTCTGCCCCTCCAAATCTCAACGGAAATGTGACCCTCACTGGGCGCAGTGACTCACATCTGTAATCATGGCACTTTGGGAGGCCGAGGTAGGTGGATCACTTGAGGCCAGGAGTTTGAGACCAGCCTGGCCAACATGGTGAAACCCCATCTCTATTGAAAATACAAAAATTAGCCGGGTGTGGTGGTGTGTGCCTGTAATCCCAGCTACTCGGGAGGCTGATACAGGAGAATCGCTTGAACCTGGGAGGTGGAGGTTGCAGTGAGCCAAGATCATGCCACTGCACTCCAGCCTGGGCAACAGAGCGAGATTCTGTCTCAAATAATAGAATAGGAATAGCATGGCATGGCATGGCATGGCATAGCATAGCATAGCATAGAACAGAATAAAATATGACCCCAAGGTTGGAGGTAGGGCCTGGTGGGCAGTGTTTGGGTCATGGGAGCAGATGCCTGGTGCCCTCTCCGCAGTAGCAAATGGGCTCTCACTGTGAGTTCACATGGGAGCTGGTTACTTAAAGGAGCCTGGCATCTCCTCTCAAGGTGAGGGCAAGAGGGAGAGGCGCTCTCTCTCTCTCTCCGTTGCTCCCTCTCTCACCATGTGATGCACCTGCTCCCGCTTCGACTTTCACCATGAGTCAAAGCTTCCTGAGACCTCACTAGAAGCTGAGCAGATGCGGGTGCCATACTGGTGCTGCCTACAGAACCATGAGCCAGACAGACCTCTTTCCTTCATAATCTACCCGGCCTCAGGTGCTCCTTCATAGCAATGCAAAATGGACCAACACAGGGACAATTCCTAACCACGGCTCCTGCAAGCTGAAATCACACACACAGCACATGCTGGGCCAGGATGCGCAGCAGGGCTGGGGAAGCTCTGTCTGTCAAGGGCCAGACGTGAGGTCTGGGGCTTTGAAGGCCGTAGGTCTCCAGCATAACCACTCAGTTCTCTTGCTTTTGGCATGAAAGCAGCCACAGACATTGTGCAAATGAATGAATGGGCATGGCTGTGCACCAAGAAAACTTTATTTACAAAAGTAGGTGGCAGGCTGGATTTGGCCCCTGGGCCCTTAGTTTACCAGCCCCTAGTCTACAGCCTCCATAAAATTCTCCAATGGTCAATGAGCTGGAAGGACTTAACCACTATGCCTTTATAGAAAAACATGCAGGGAGGTTACTCCCAGGCCCTCATCTTCTACGAAATGTCTGCTCTTTGTGAATGAGGACGTAGGACAGTGGCCAGACTGCATGTGAATTATCTAACAGAGCCGGTGGCTCTGGGAGAGCGAGGGCATCAACAGCTCCTCAGCAGTCCTGGGCCCATGGTGCTGACAACATGTGGCAGGCAACCAACCAAGCAGGTCCTTCATAAAAGGAAAACTCAGGCCGGGCGCGGTGGCTCATGCCTGTAATCCCAGCACTTTGGGAGGCTGAGGCGGGCGGATCACCTGAGGTCAGGAGTTCGAGACCAGCCTGGCCAACATGGTGAAACCCTGTCTCTACTAAAAATACAAAAATTAGCCAGGCATGGTGGTGCGCACCTGTCATCCCAGCTACTCGGGAGGCTGAGGCAGGAGAATCGATTGAACCCTGGAGGCAGAGGTTGCAGTGAGCCGAGATTACACCAGGGCACTCCAGCCTGGGTGACAGAGCAAGACTCTGTCTCGAATGAATGAATGAATGAATGAATGAATGAATGAATGAATGAATGAAAGAAAACTCACAGGGGGCACAGAAGAGATGTGTTTCACTGTCAAGATCTAAAGGAAGATCCTGCTGGTCAGAGAGGGCCCAGGATGCCTGAGCAAATCTCTTTATACCTCCTGATTCTACATGTTGATAGAAACCACTCAGGCTTAAGCACTATCCCACAGACTGGTCAGTGGAGACAGCACTGTCTTTTGGGGGCGGATTTTCCAGGGTGTGAGCCATGGACCTCTGCAGCCCACCCCTGAATGTGCCTCAGGTTTCTGTGAAACTCCTGACCTAATGCAGGAAGGTGAGATAGACCCTCACAGTCTGCCTTCAAGCCACACTACCTGGTGGGACAGGATGGGTGGAACTGCAGAGTTTTCCTTGTTGGGCCTAAAAGACAGACTTGGCAATCTCCCTGCAAGCAAAGGTTTTCAGAGCCCCTACTCCTGTGAGGCCGGAGGCAGCCCCAAGCTCGTATCCCGGAGGGCAGGGCCAGGGTCTTGGCAGAGCCTTGACGGGGAGGGCCTCACCGTCACAGTCCGCCTCGTCTGAGCGGTCCTGACAGTCTGCCTCGCCGTCGCAGCGCAGGCGCAGGTCCACACACTGACCCCGCGCGCAGGGGAACTGGGCGGCGGAGCACACGGGGCAGCCCTCCTCGTCGCTCTGGTCATCGCACTCGGGAAAGCCGTCACAGCGCCAGGCCCCGGGGATACAGTCGATCTCCCCTGTGGCACATGCAAACTGGTCCGGGGAGCAGGTGGGCGGCTCTGGGGGAGGGACAGAGGAGAACATCACACGCAGCCCCGCCCAGCAAAACCCAGGCAATGGCGTGACTGGGCTTCAAAGCAGAAGTTGAGAGGGACTCAGCGCGGGTTTGGCATCCCTGCTGTACGGGGTGCTGCACCCGCACATCCTCCATCGCTGCGGCTCCTGTGTGCCGCTCCACCTCCAGCCCCAACCCAGAAGAGAGGCTGGGAGAATACACATTCACTGCAAGAAGACATGCATCCGTATGTTTTTCAATGCAGAAGGGAAAGGGTGCCAACTGGGAATCAGAGCTTTAAGCAGCAGGCGCTACACCAAATACAGCAGAAATGCTCCGGGTGGGAAATTCAGCCCTGACTGGAGCAGTCCTTCCTCCTCCCGGCAACACACATCTGCTCAGCCACGCCTGAGTGCCCACTGCGCCCTCCTCAGGACCAGAGGGGCAGAAAGCAGGTGGTCAGCAGCCACACCTGTTGCGGGTGTGGGACTGCTACAGAAGAAGGGCCAGGCCTCTGTGGTGACCAGCGTGCGCATAGCAAGGCAGGAGCCGGCAGAGGACCTGTCAGCACGTCCCAGGCGCCTGCAGAAGACGGGACAAAGCACAGGCAGGAGGGCTGAGGACACCCCCGGGGAGGGCGCTGAAAGGGAGGAGGGAGAGGATCATCGGAGGGTGGAGGCCACTTCCTACGTGTGACCATGGAGGCCATCCTGCCCCTCGGGGCTCCACGTCCTCAGTGCGGGCTGGGCATGCGGCAGCACTCAGGGAATAGCAGAGTCCCATGGGCTGGGGACACAGACACAAAGCGTGGGGGCACTGGCACAGAGAAGCCAGAGGAGGCCTAGGCTTCGAGGTGGCCCCCCATTTCCTAGGACTCCTCCCTCCCACTTTGTGCAGAAAATCACAGGAAACAGAGGCTGGCCTCAGGAGGGGATGCTGGGAAATCGGCCCAGGCCTCACTGAAAGCTGAGCAAAGCCCCCGCCAAGCTGAAATCTGATCAAGGTAAAAAACATCGGTTTCAAGCTGTCATGCTGCACGCAAGCCTTTGGATGTTTGGAACCCGCAGGCCTTCCCCATGACTACTGGGCTCACCCGAGTGACAGGGACTGTGTGGCATAGGGGAGGGGGCCTGATCAAAGACGAGAGTTCTAGGGTAATAAAAGGAAGCAGCTGTCCCCACTGGGCTCAGCCACAGGAGGACGTGCCAGGGTCAGCCCACGACGGCTGAGAGGAGCCAACGACAGATGTCTGCAAGCCGTGCCTGGCCATGGGGGACACGGAGGACCGGTGGCTGGAGGTTGAGGGCGACATGGGGCAGACCTGAGATGGAGCCCAAGTCTCCCTCAGCAGTTGTGAAACCGAGCAGCCTCTCAGCCTCCCAAAGCCTCCGACCTCGACTCTCAATCAGAAGCAGCCGCTGGGCACCACAAGCTCCTGTGAGCTGTAACTGGGACACTGGGGCCAGAGCCAGGGGCGCGCCCGGCTCAGGGAAGGGCTGAATGGCGGTGGTGATGGCACTGCTGAGGTGACTGTGGCCGCCTCTTGCCCAGCCTGGCTCCTGCCACTATCAAAGGGTCCATGTCCGAGACCTCAGTGAGGCCCTGTCCTTCTGTGATCTCCCTGGAGAAGAGGCCACAAGAGAATGACAAGCACCTGTGCGGTAAATACACGTCTCTCGAGCCGTGAGGAAGGGGCCTGGAGTTCCCGAGCCAGGAGGGCCAGGGCCCAGGCCAGGGGGTGGTGGATGGAAGGGCATGGCCTCTGGCATGGAGGCCCAAGGCTGCAGTTAGTGCAGCGTTCTGACGGCCCCGTTTCTTGGCCAGGGCAGTTCGGGCATCAGTGGGAGGTGCACAGACACCGTTGGGTTGCAAATCCACCTGAGCTTTTGGGCTGTAACTTGGAGAAAAGCTGCTGGGAAGCTCAGGAGGGGGACAGTCACAAAATGTCCCCTCTGCTTACGGCCAAACTCGAGGTGTGAGGCAGCACCCCGCGGCCCTACTCCCCGAGCTCCTGGGCAGGAGCCAGTCTCTCCAGGAACAAGACAAACTGCTAAAAACAACCGGCACTCCGGGTGTGGTGGCTCACGCCTGTAATCCCTGCACTTTGGGAGGCTGAGGTGGGCGGATCACCTGAGGTCAGGAGTTCAAGACCATCCTGGCCAACATGGTGAAACACCATCTCTACTGAAAATACAAAAATTAGCCGGGCGTGGTGGTGGGAGCCTGTAATCCCAGCTACTTGGGAGGGTGAGGCAGGAAAATCACTTGAACCCAGGAGGTAGAGGTTGCAGTGAGCCAAGATCACACCACTGCACTTCAGCCTGCGCGAAAAAAGCGAGACTCCATCTCAAAAAAAAAAAAAAAAAAAAAAAAAGGGTGCACAGCCAGTGTGTGCTGCTGTCTGTAGGATGAAGCTGAACCCCCAGGAACTCCCACGGGAGAAAGGTCGCTGAGCAGAGCACAGAACCAACAGGATCCAAGGCCACCTGGAGGCATGGGGGCATAGGAGAGAAAGCCCTGGACAGGCTTCACTGTGGTGAGGATACAGATGGTCACTTTATTACTACTGCCACACCCATGGCATAGCAGCTGGCATTCCTGTGCATCACGTGTCAGGGTCCAGGTGGAGTGCCCTGTTACTTGATGCCCATGACAGCCTGCCAGGTAAGTGCTCTCAATTTCACAGAGGAGGAAGTGGAGGCTCACAGAGATTCAGGCACCAGCCAGGGTCACTCAACTGGGAAGTGACAGAGCCAGGATTTGAACCCTGGCCTCTTTGGCCCTAAAGTCCAGGTTCTTCACTACCCCACTCTCCCACCACTAACACCAGGAAGCCCTAGGGGGAGAAGAGGATCAAGGGTAGAAGGAGAGAAAAAGATAGAACTACTAGGAGAAATAAACAAATCCACCATTAGAGTTGGAGACTCCACACCCCTGTCAATAACTGACAGCTCAAGCAGGCAGTCAGGAAGGAAGGATAGAGACAACCTGATGAGCACTATTAACCAACTGGATCTAATTGATGTTTCTGGAACACTCCACCCAACAACAGCAGAATCCACATTCTTTTCAAGAGTACACAGAACATTCACCAAGATAAACTGCATGATGCTGGGTGATAAAACACACCTAATGGCCAGGCACAGTGGCTCACGCCTATAATCCCAGCACTTTGGGAGGCCGAGGTGGGCGGATCACGAGGTCAGGAGTTCGAGACCAGCCTGACCAACATGGTGAAACCCCGTCTCTACTAAAAATACAAAAATTAGCTGGGTATGGTGGCGTGCACCTGTAATCCCAGCTACTCAGGAGGCTGAGGCAAGAGGATCACTTGAACCCGGGAGGCAGAGGTTGCGGTGAGCTGAGATCGCGCCATTGCACTCCAGCCTGAGTGACAGAGCAAGACACTGTCTCAAAAACAAAACAAACGAAGCAAAACAAAACAAAAAGACACAAAAACAATAACAACAAAAACACCACACCCAACACATTTAAAATAACAGAAATCATATAAAATAAGCTCTCAGACTACAGTAGAATTAAATTAGAAATCAGTTGCAGAGAGACAGCTGGAAAAGCCCCAACTCTTTAGAAACTAAGCAACACTTCTAAATAACACATGAGCCAAAGATGTCATCTCAGGAGAAGTGTAAAAATATTCAAACTACCTGAAAATGAAAATGTAACAAAATTTGTGAGATGCAGGAAACGCAGTACTTAGAGGAAAATTCATAGCACCGAATGCACATAGTAGAAAAGAAAGGAGGGCAAAGGAAGACACAATCAGCTTTGGAAACTGGATGCCACAGGGACTGTGATTTTAAAAGGATGCCAGGCAGCAGCCTAGCAGGCAGAGAATCAGGTACCTGTCCATCACCCCAAAGGAGCACCTAGGTCACACCTACCTCCACAGGTCAGCAGGTTCTGCAGGAGCACGAGGTGGACTGGGCATGAGCACCGTGGTGTCCCATCACCCTTGGCAATACAGATGTGGGAGCAGCCACCATTGTCACGGGCACATGGGTGGGCTGCTGCAAAGACAAAACAAGACAAACAGAGGTCAGGCTCTGTCTCCCACCTCAGAACCACAGCCTGGAGGGTAGGGGCCAAATGAGAACTCATGAGAACTGGCCCTCCTGCAGGCCCGGCCTCTCTGGGAGGATCCTCCCACTTATTCCTCTTGGCAGCCTACAGAGTCTTCCTACTGACACGGAAATTGACACACAAATGGATGCCGGAAACAATTACAGAAGTTGCTTGACATCACAGGCCAGCCTGTCTGCACCAGTCTCTACTGTGCCCATACCATCAGTCTGAACTGCCCACTTGTCTCTCCTCCTATTTACTTACTTTGAGACAGGGTCACACTCTGTCACCCAGGCTGGAGGGCAGTGGTGCGATCATGGCTCACTGTAGCCTTGATCTCCGTGGGTCGAACAACCCTCCTGCCTCAGCCTCTTGAGTAGCTGGGACTACAGGCATGCACCACCATGCCTGGCTTTTTTTTTTGAGACAGAGTCTTGCTCTATCGCCCAGGCTGGAGCGCAGTGGCATGATCTCGGCTCACTGCAAACTCCACCTCCCGGGTTCATGCCATTCTCCTGCCTTAGCCTCCCAAGTAGCTGGGACAATAGGCACCTGCCACTGTGCCTGGCTAATTTTTTTTTTTTTTTTTTTTTTTCACTTTTTGTAGAAATGGGGTCTCATCATGTTGCCTAGCTACTTGTAAACTCCTGGGCTCAAGTGATCCTCCCGCTTCAGCTTCCTAAAGTGCTGAGATTACAGGCGTGAACTACCACACCTGGCCCTCTTCCCGTCTTTCATTGTATAAGGGGTTGGATAGTGCCCCCCAGAAAGATACACCCATGTCTTAAGGCCTAGAATCTGTGAGCATAACCTTTTTTTGGAAAAAGGGTCTTTGCAGGTTAAGGATCTCAAGACGAGGTCATCTCGGATGATTTGGGTGGGCCCTAAACCCAATGACAAACGTCCTTATAAGAGGCAACACAGACAAGAAGAAGAGGTAAAGACGCAGACACAAAGGAGATGGACACATGAAGATGGGCAGAGGTTGAGGCGGCGCATCCACAAGTGTGGAACGCTGGCACCCACAGCACTGGAAGGGCCAACAAATAGATCCTCCCTGGAGCCCCCAGAGGAAGCACAGCCCTCCCAACAGTTTGGTCGCAGGCTTCTGGTCTCCAGCACATTGGGGGAATCCATTTCTGTTGCTTTAAGCCATCCAGTTTGTGGTCATTTGTTACAGCAGCCGTGGGACACTAATACACATGGGAATTAAAATAGCAAATGGTGCCAGGCGTGGTGGCTCATGCCTGTAATCCCAGCACTTTGGGAGGCCGAGGTGCGTGGATCACCTGAGGCTAGGAGTTGAAGACCAGCCTGGGCAAAATGGCGAAAACCCGTCTCTACTAAAAATACAAAAAAATTAGCCTGGTATGGTGGTGGGTGCCTGTAATCCCAGTTACTTGGAAGGCTGAGGTAGGAGAATCACTTGAACCTGGGAGGCAGAGGTTGCAGTGAACCGAGATCGCGCCACTGCACTCCAGCCTGGGCGACAAAAACGAAACTCCATCTCAATAAATAAATAAATAAATAAATAAATAAATAAAAAAAATAAAATAAAATAAAATAAAATAAAATAGCAAATGGACCAAGTCCCTGGGAACTCGCGTTATTCTATCCAGTTAACCAAATGTGTCCAACACCCGGACAATGAGAAGAAGAGGAGGCAGCTTGGAGGGAGAGCTGACCACACCCAGGTGGAAGAAATGACAGAAGACGCTCTGTTCCCTGCCCCACCCAGAAAAATTTCACAGTGTCCTTACTCAGTCTCAAGGATTCAGTGTTCGGTTTTTTTGGGATAGGGTCTCTTTGTCACTACCACCCCTGGCCCTTTTTTTTTTTTGAGACGGAGTCTCACTCTATTGCCTAGGCTGGAGTGCAGTGGCGTAATTTTGGCTCACTGCAACTTCCGCCTCCCAGGTTCAAGTAATTCTCCCACCTCAGCCTCCCCAGTAGCTGGGAATACAGGCGCCTGCCACCACACCCAGCTAATTTTTGTATTTTTAGTAGAGACGGGATTTCACTATGTTGGGCAGGCTGGTCTCGAACTCCCAACCTCAAGTGATCAGCCCACCTTGGTCTCCCAAAGTGCTGGGATTATAGGCATGAGCCACCAAGCCCAGCCTGGTCCCTTTTTGTTTGTATTTTTTGTAGGGATGGGTTCTCACCATGTTGCCCAGGCTGGTCTCAAGTAATCCTCAGATGGTTACCATGGAGGGGAGGAAGGACTGTGGTCCCAGCTGTGGAGGCCCCTCCCCCAAGCCCTGGGACACAGCAAGGCAGTGGCAGGCAGAATCCTAAATGACCCCGTAATTTCCCACCCCAGTCCCCAGCACGGCGTCATGACCTTATGTGGCAGAAGGGATTCTGCAGATGTGATTAAGGTTATTAATCAGCCGACTTGGAGTCTATCAAAGGGGAGGCTAACCTAATCTAAAGGTGGCTGAGCCGAATCACAGGGCCCTTTAGAAGCAAATCAGAGAGACTCAAGGTGTGGGAGGGACTGACGCAGGGAGCCCCCACTGCTGAGGCAGAGAGGGCCACGGGGCAAGGACCTGTGGTGGCCTCTAGGAGCTGAGAGTGGTCCCCGACCAATAACCAGAGAGAAAACAGAACCTCGATCCCACAACTGCTACCTGCTGAGTGAGCAAGGAAGCTAATTTCTCCACAGAGCCTCCGCTGAGGGCCCAGCGTTCCTGACACCTTGATTCTGGCCCCGTGAGACCCTGAGCAGAGAACCCAGGTGAGCCACGCTGTGCCTGGACTTTGCCTTACAGAACTGAGAGACAATCCGTGGGTGTTGTCAGGCCAGTGGCTCACACCTATAATCCTAGCACTTTGGGAGGCCACAGCAGGCAGATAGCTTGTGCCCAGGAGTTGCAGACCAGCCTGGGCAACATGGGGAAACCCCGTCTCTACAAAAAAAAATTAGCCAGGTGTGGTGGTGCCCACCTGTAGTCCCAGCTACCTGGGAGGCTGAGGCAAGGTGTTCACTTAATTAAGCCCAGAGGTCGAGGCTGCAGTGAACTGTGTTTGCACCAGGGCACCCCAGCCTGGGCAACAGAGCAAGATCCTGACTCAAAAAAAAAAAAAAAAAAAGAGTTGGTGTTGTCTTAAAACGCTGTTCGTGGTGATTTGTTCTGCGGCAAAAGAAAACAACCTCAGAGGCCTCGGGACATTCGGACATGTCGCTGAACCCCAGCGGGCAACAGTTGGCATCTGGCAGAGACCACCGCCTGGCTGAGGCCACACAGGATCTTGCACTGGCCTCCAGCCTCCTCCAGGGGTCGGGTTTAGAGGCCACCCTGCCCACCCCACTGCCAGCCCCCACGTACAGAACTCCTCCAGGCTGACTTCCTCCACTGCATGGATGCCAGTGAGGTGGGCGACACGGCCCTGGATGCGAGTCCGCTTGTCCCCGGTGGTCTTCTCCACACGCTCGATCATCTGCTGCTGGCGGTCGATCCAGTAGAGATGCTTGCCAAGGATGGTCAGGCCCAGAGGCTGCACGATGTTGGCGTCCTCCAGGGTCAGGCGGTTGGCCCCTGCAAGCAGCCCGTGGGCCCCCCTGAGCAGTGCTGACCTCCAGAACTTGCCCCACACTCAGCTTGGGAGGACAGAGGTTGACAGGACTGCCAGGGAGCCTGGGGGATTCCATGCTTTGGACAGGGGTGGGAGCTGCAGCAGAGTCCCTGGAAGCAGGCCGACCCAAGACAAGCCCTCGGAAAGCCCTGCTCCCACCTGGGCTGGGCTCGGGATGAAGGCCATCAGTTCCAACGGCGGGCCTCGGTCACTGGCCCCTGCAAGCATGGCCCCTCCCTTCACCCATCTACCTCATCATAAGAGGAAAAGCCATGGGGACCTGCGCCCCCTCTCTAAGCACCAACTCTCATTTCTCTCCAGCCCTCGCAGCCTAACACAGTCCAGAGCAGAGCAGCTTCTTGCGCAGGTGCTGGGGGCAGAGGCTAGGCTGCAGTCCTGCTCCATCTCCTGCTGTGGGGCCCCAAGCAGCTCGCTCACCCTCTCTGAGACTCATTTTCTGCCTCTGCCCTGTGGGGCTCACTCAGAACCCCAGCCTACAGCTGTCAGTGTGAGGACAAAACACGCTACACACAAAGCCCCTGGCGCGGCACTGGGCTCACGGCAGGTCTCGGACAATGTGGCAGCTGCTGCCATTACTGACAATGAAGGCCGGGTGTCTGCGGTTAGGGCAGGCCCCGGGGCGCGTACCTGACAGGTCACAGCTCTCAATGCGCTTCAGGTCCGCGTCCACCCAGAACAGCTTGCCCAGTGTGTTGTCCACCACCAGGGCCACAGGGCGGATGAGGCCGGTGGTGAAGAGGACCTCGCGCTCGGTGCCGTCCAGGGCTGCGCGTTCGATCTTGGCTGCCCGGTCCTGCATGTTGGTGAAGTACAGGTACCTGCGGGAGGGTGGCGGGTGAAGGACGGGTGTGGGGATGGCGTCTCCTCGGACAGCACGGAGCCCAGGGCACCCAGCTGGGCTGTGGAAAGCCCCTGCCTCTCAGGGCTGCCCGAGGCTGACAGGTCACATTCTATACTAGTTGAACAATGCTCTCCAAATTCCCGCTCACCCCAGAACCTCAGAATGTGAGCTTATTTGGAAGCAGGGTCTTTACAAATGTCATGAAGGATCAAGATACGACCACAATGGGTGAGGGTAGGCCCTAAATCCAACTGAAGTGTCCTTCAATGGTACAGAAGAGGCCACGCCATGTGCAGCCAGACAGAGAGACTGGAGTGACAGGACCACAAGTCAAGGGGTGCCTGGAGCCACCAGAAGCCCAAAGGTTCCCTCAGAGCCTTCAGAGGGCGCAGGGCCCTGCCCACACCTCGATCTCGGGCTTCAGCCCTCAGGAACTGTGAGAGAACAAGTGTCCATTACTCTCAGCCACCTGGCTTCTGGTAATTTCTGACAGCAGCCATGGGAAACAGGTGCAGGCCCCCCACAGCTGCTAAGGACCCCGGAGCCCTGGCTGTTGGGAGACCAGCTCGGCTGGCTCCTGCACAGCCGCCTTATAGACCCGGGGCTTCCGCCCACCGAGCCCCCCGTGTGCTGCAGAGGCCGCACCACTGTGGCCGTCACTCCTACCAATGAGGAAACTGAGTCTCCAAGAGGCTATGCCACCCGCCCAAGGTCACGTGGCCAGTAAGTGACAGAGTCAGGGCTCAATCTCTGGGCTCCCGGCCCAGGACCTGTGCTGGCTGTAGCTCCCGTCTTCATGCCAGCCCCCCAGCTATCTGAGGAAGGCCATCGCGCTCCTGTCCCCAAACGTTCCCGTGCTCAGTTTGGAGCCTGAGTTTCATGTCACATGGGTTTCGGTCTCCCTCTTTCCCTGGCTTTTCTCTCTGGAGACCTCAAGGTCCTGGGTGCCTTCCCACCAACCAGAAGCTCTGACGACCAACAGGTGGGAGCGTCGGGGGCCTCTGGGAGGAAGAAGCCCAGGAGCTCCCTGTGGTGGAACAGGAGCGAGTCAACAGGCAGCCCCCATGCCGTGGAAGGGATTTCTGCACAGGGTTCAAGTTTAACAAGGATGATACAAAACCTATCAACTGCAACTCCCGTCGGCCAGCGCTGCCTTGTAACCTCTCAGCAGAGCTCCCCCTTCCCTTCCAGCCCTTGGGGCTTTCTGCTTTCCTGGAGGGGCTGTGAAAGAGCCTGTGTTTGCTTTTGGGACCCTGGAAAGCCACCCATTGGATCCCCAGGGTGGAAAGTCTCCCCAGCCTGTGAGAGGCTGGCATTCGGCAGAAGACACGGCGGGCACGCCTGGACGGGCAGCACCCCCACCCACCCGTTGGCCTCCTACCCTCGCTCCGCGTTGACGACGATGGCCCTGGGCTTGTCGCGGTCCCCACGCAGCACCACCCCCATGGCTTCCCCGCTCAGCCTGTGGACGTTGATGGTATTGGTGGCCTCGCACGTCCAGAACAGTGTCCGGCTGTAGATGTCGATGCTGAGGTCGTGGGGCTGCCTGTCTGGGTTTTGGCCTTGGCTCAGAGAGGTCAAAACAAAGGGCTGTAAGACAAAGAAACCAAGACTCCTGAGCACTGGCGGAGACCCCTGGGCACTGGCGGAGACCCCTGGCACTGGCGGAGACCCCCGGGCACTGGTGGAGACCCCCGGGCACTGGCTGGAGAGCCCTGGGCACTGGCTGGAGAGCTCTGGCAGGACAGCAGAGGCCACACTTCTCAAGTTTAGCCTGAAAGTCAAATCCCAGTATTGGTGTGGGGGTCTCTCCTCTCCAATCAGCTCCTAACTACGTGCCCGCCTGAGTATGCCAGAGCGATTAGGACAACAGCCTCTGGAAGAGCTCTTGCCGCCTCGGACTTTAGGCCTCCTCAGCCACCCGCCGGGCACCCAGCTGTGCATCACTAGACTGGCGCTCCCATGAAGGCCCCATTGACAGTCGAGAAGGGATCCAAGACCATGGGGCCCTTCCCAACACATCCCTGTCTCCTCCACCTTCCAGGACTCAAGCTTTTGGACTGCGGCCCTCACGTACTGTTTTCTCTGCAGGGCACCAGGACAGACAGTTTGGGGGCCGCCCCTTACAACCCCTTCCCCAACGGAAGGAGGCCAGGTGAGGGGAGGGCAGGTGAGGGTGGGGGTTAGGTGAAGGTGGGGGACAGGTGAGGGTGCAGGGGCGGGTGAGTGGGGGAGGTGAAGGTACAGGGGAGGTGAGGGTGGGTAGGGAAGGTGCGGGTAAAGGGATCGGTACAGATGTGGGGGTAGGTGAGGCTGGGGGCCAGGTGAGGGTGGGTAGGGGCAGGTGAGTGTGGGGAATGACTCAGAGCCCCTCTTGGGAAGGCAGGGCAGCCACGTCTCTCAGTGACTCTCAAGGACTCTCCGTCTCCACACTCTCTGGGGTCACCGTCCAGGAGATGCTCGAGCGCTGCCTAAGCCCAGCCCACCCTGTGCATCTCAGGGATGAGCCTGGGCTTTTGGGGCCTCCGACACAGCATCCCTTCGAAGGGCTCTTACTGAGCTGACGTAGGAGGAGAGGACAGCCCAGAAGCCTACTGCCTGCGGGGATCTGGTTCCTTTGGGTTACCCTGAAAGACAGCTGCATCCAAGTTCCCGAGTGATTTGGCCTGGGGCAAATGGGGCCTGGAGCACCTGGGCTCCTGCCACCCAGGCCTGAAGGAAAAGCTCCCCTCCCTCTCCATTGAGTCAGAGGGAATCATCTTAGGATGGTGCTCTGATAGTAAGTCTTTTCAGACTTTCTTTATCTAGGTCTTTCAGCAGTTAATAAAACAGGGAGACAGCAGTGGCTCACACCTGTGATCCCAGAATGTCGGGAAACTGAGGTGGGAGAATCACTTGAGTTCAGGAGTTTGAGACTAGTCTGGGCAACATAGCAAGACTCCATCTGTATCAAAAAAAATTAAACCAACCAAACAAAAAAAACAATAGCTCAGTATGGTGACGCACGCCTACAGTCCCAGCTATTCAGAAGGCTGAGGTGGGAGGATCGCTTCAGCCTGGGAGGCCGAGGCTGCAGTGAGCTATGCTCATATCACCATACCCCAGCCTGGGTGACAGAGTGAGACCCTGTCTCAAAAAAATACAAATAAAACAAAGTCTCTAAGTAGATAAAAAGAAGCGTCTTCCCCAGGCCCAGTCTCTTGGACCCAGATGGAAAGGGTGCCTCCCCCATACACACACACACACCACACACCACACACACGCGCACACACACACACACACCCCACACACACACACCCCCAGATGGAAAGGGTGCCTCCCTCCCCCATACACACACACACACCACACACACACCACACACACACACACACACACACACACACACACACACAGCCTTGCTGGGCAGCTGCAAAGACATCATCACTTTCATCTGGACACGAAGGATCATGTGTCTTTGTAGATAACAACATCCACATCACTACAGAGCTGTGGACCCTAGGGGGCCATGTGTCAAAGCCAACTGAACAAATTCCTTCCTAAAAGCCACTAGCTGTGGACCCTGGACTGGTACAGCTGCCGGGCTGAAAGACAAGCAAGATTCCAGCTACCCTGGCCAAAATCAGGCTCACCGTGGAGGGTGGGTCTGTGGGAACCAGATGCAAAAACAGACTTTGGGACAGCAGTCTGGAGAACCACCATCTGAGAAACGTGTACTGTGTGACGTGACACCCTGGCCACACTCCTCCCGGGCACAAAAACAACACAGCAAACTTTACGCGGCTGGCCAGTTTCATAAACCCTGAACTCTTTTTTTTTTTGAGACGGAGTCTTGCGTGAGACAGAGTTTTGCGTGAGACGGAGTCTTGCTCTGTTGCCCAGGCTCGAGTGCAGTGAAGCGATCTCGGCTCACCGCAAGCTCCGCCTCCCGGGTTCACGCCATTCTCCTGCCTCAGCCTCCCAAGTAGCTGGGACTACAGGTGCCCGCCACCACACCTGGCTAGTTTTTTGGTATTTTTAGTAGAGACGGGGTTTCACCATGTTGGCCAGGATGGTCTTGATCTCCTGACCTCATGATCCGCCCGCCCTGGCCTCCCAAAGTGCTGGGATTACAGGCGTGAGCCACCGCGCCCGGCCCCTGAGCTTTCATTTTAATGTAGTACAAATACTTATGGTTAGTGCAAACTTTCTTACCAGAATCCTATGCAACACCACAAACACGCCTTTTCCTCACTAGTACAAAACCTTCACCACGGAAGGAAATGTTCATAGTGGCCTTATTCACGACAACCAAAGGTGGAAGAAACCTAGCACCCGTGGATGGATAAATAACAAGAAGTGGTCCGTCCATCCATCCGATGATTTTTTTTTTTTTTGAGACAGGAAGTCTCACTCTGTTACCCAGGCTGGACTGCAGAGGCACAATCTTGGTTCACTGCAACCTCTGCCTCCCGGGTACAAGCGATTCTCCTGCCTCAGCCTCCTGAGTAACTGGGATTACAGGTGCGCGCCACCACACCCAGCTAATTTTGTACTTTTAGTAGAGCCAGGGTTTCACTATGTTGGCCAGGCTGGTCTCAAACTCCTGACCTCAAGTGATCTGCCCACCTCGGACTCCCAAAATGCTGGGATTAGAGGGTGTGAGCCACCGCGCCCAGCCTTTACAACGGGTTATTATTCAGGCTTTAAGGAAGGAAATTCTGACACAGGCTATAACACAGATGAACCTTGAGGACACCATGTCACATGAAAGAAGCCAGTCACACAAGGGCAAATATTGGTATAATTCCACTTACATGAGGTACCTAGAGAAGGCAGAGAGAGATACAAAGTAGAATGGTGGCTGTCAGAGGGAGATGAGGAGTGTGTTCAATGCGGACAGTTTCGGACATCTGCCGAGAAGGTGAAGTAGTCTGGAGATGAATGGCAGTGATGGTTACCTCGTGAACTGACTGAATGCCACTGAACTGTCAACTGCAGAATAGGTAAAATGGGCTGGGTGCGGTGGCTCGCGCCTGTAATCTCAGCACTTTGGGAGGCTGAGGTGGGTGGACTGCTTGAGTCCATTTCAAGCCCAGCCTGGGCAACATGGTGAAATCTGTCTCTACATAAAATACAGTTAGCCAGGTGTGGAGGTGCACAACTTGAGCCTGGGAGGCGGAGGCTGCAGTGAGCCAAGAGCCCACCATTGCACTCCAGTCTGGGTGACAGGGCAAGACCCTGTCTCAAAAACAAAAAAAGGCCGGGCACGGTGGCTCACACCTGTAATCTCAGCATTTTGGGAGGCCGAGGCGGGCGGATCACCAGGTTAGGAGTTCAAGACCAGCCTGGCCAACATGGTGAAACCCCGTCTCTGCTAAAAAATACAAAAATTAGCCAGGCATAGTGATGGGCACCTGTAATCCCAGCTACTCGGGAGGAGGCTGAGGCAGGAGAGTCGCTTGAACCTGGGAGGCAGAGGTTGCAGTGAGTTGATACCACGCCACTGCACTCCAGCCTGGGCGATAGAGTGAGACTCCATCTCAAAAAAAAAAAAAAAAATTAAAATGGCTGGGTGTTGTGGCTCATGCCTGTAATCCCAGCACTTTGGGAGGGTGAGGTGGGAGGATGGCTTGAGTCCAGGAGTTGAGACCAGCCTGGGCAACATAGCGGGTCTCTACAATAAAAAAAAAATACAAAAAATCAGCCAGATGTGGTAGTGTATGCCTGTAGTCCCGGCTACTAGAGAGGCTGAGGTGAGAGGATCACTGGAGCCCTGGAGGCTGAGGCTGCAGTGAGCCATGATCGCACCACTGCACTCCAGCCTGGGCACTGGGGTGAGACCCTGTCTCAAAAACAACAATAACAAAACAATTAAAATGGCAAATTTTATGTTATATATATTTACCACAATAAAAAATAAAAACAATTAATAGAAAACAAAACCTCGGCCAATTGGATGATAATTTAGACACCATCTTTTGGGGGAGCAGGGGGACTCCTAATAAAGAATCAAAGCCAGAGTCCACAGAGCGGGGAGGCTGCAGGAGGCTGGACCTTAGCAAAAGACACAGGAGGGGAAAAGCACATTTTCCAAATTAAGTGGAAAACCTTCTGGGTTTTCTTCCAAGTCTTCATCACTTCTGCCTAGCAGACACCATAAAAGAACGCAGCTCCAGTGAAACTCTAAGGCAATGTACGCCCAGGAGCTTTCTCAGCATGGGAGCCACATCCATCAATTAACACGTCCCTCTCTCCAAAGGACTCCACGTGACAGTCACCTGTAGCAAGCAAGATGAAAGGAATCCATTTCCACCACCCACACCACAGCAGAGGCAATGATCACAGCTGCCCAGGAGAGAAGCTCCAGGGAGCCAGGCATGGCTCTGAATTTCAATTCGGCTGACTTTTGCCATCAACCAAGGACACAGACCTCACAGTACAACGTAACTAGAAACTGCTGCGGGAGGAAGGATCTGGTGGAAAGGGGCGTCCAGCCTGTCTGGACGGCACCAGCCTTCAGATGGGGAGCACAACAGCGAAACCGACGGCGGACATGGCGACCCATGTGAAAGTCTCTCCAGGCGCTCAGCCTCTCTCTGCCTCAAGAAAGTACCAAGATTTCACCACAATAACACAAGCTCCCACACCAACACTCGGTGGAGAAAGAGGCCGTGTGGCTCTGTAGGTTTTTTTTTTTTGAGATGGCGTCTCGCTCTGTTGCCCAGGCTGGAGTGCAATGACATGGTCTCAGATCCCTGCAACCTCCACCTCCCAGGTTCAAGCAATTCTGCCTCAGCCTCCCGAGTAGCTGGGACTACAGGCGCGTGCCACCACACCCAGCTAATTTTCGTATATTTAGTAGAGATGGGGTTTCACCATGTTGGCCAGGCTGGTCTTGAACTCCTGACCTCGTGATCCACCCACTTCGGCCTCCCAAAGTGCTAGGATACAAGCGGGCTCTGCAGTTTTTGTAAAAGAAGGCTGCTTAGGAGCCAGGCCTGTCCTGGAATTCTACACTAATGAACCTGTTGTGCCCCATGCTGCAGACTCCAGGTGGGCCTGAGGCCGCCGTGAGCACATCATTTGTGGAACAGGCCACACAAGCCTGACTCCGCAAAGTGCTCACTTCCGCTACAGCACTTGTTTTTCTATTTTTTATTTTTTGAGATGGAGTTTTGCTCTTGTTGCCCAGGCTGGAGTGCAATGGTGTGATCTCGGCTCACCGCAACCTCTGCCTCCTGGGTTCAAGCAATTCTCCTGCCTCAGCCTCCTGAGTAGCTGGGATTACAGGCACCCGCCACCACACCCAGCTGATTTTTGTATATTCAGTAGAGACGGGGTTTCACCATGTTGGCCAGGCTGGTCTCGAACCCCTGACCTCAGGTGATCCACCTGCCTCGGCCTCCCACAGTGCTGGGATTACAGGTGTGAGCCACCGCGCCCAGCCTAGCAGTTGTTTCAAAAATGCAAATCTGGCCGGCCGCGGTGGCTCATGCCTGTAATCCCAGTTACTCAGGAGGCTGAGGCAGGAAAATCACTTGAACATAGGAGGCAAAGGTTGCAGTGAGCCAAGATCATGCCACTGCACTCCAGGCTGGTGACAGAGTGAGACTCCATCTCAAAAAAAAAAAAAAAAAAAAAAAAAAAAAAGCCAATCTGTTCCAATGCAATGATGTATTAGGACAATTTGAGCACAGCACGGTTTCACATTTGCTCATGCACAATTTCCTCCACGAGAAACATTAAGTGAATGCAAAAAACTACAGCCGGCAGGGAACTGCGCAGGGTCACACCCACACACACACCTCCGTCTCTGACCTCCCTGGGCTCACTGCTGGGGCCATGACCCACTCTTCTCCACGCCTGGGGTGAGAACTTTCCATTTGATTTCCCACAATCCTCCTTCCAGTGTTTCACAAAAACTCATGCGCTACACCCTTCCACACTCATAAGCCAACTCCAGATCTTCCCAAGGTGAAGTGCCGTATTTATTGCAGCATTAACGTTTACGAATGCACAGTATTGTGGGATATAGCTAACCATTTAATGTGCAAAAGGCACTTTGCTATTTCCCAGGTTCCTCTCTTTTCTTACATGTCATTGATGGAGATTTTGAGGGCTGTGCCCTGGCCCCGCTTTCCCTATGAGTTGTGTCATTTTTACTGTGCGATTTTGCATAGGTGTCTTTCAGAAGAGCATATACAGCATTGTAGCAGAAATGACTGTACAGTTCCCACAAAATAAAGGATAAACCTGGATTAACCAGTACCAACTACCCCTGCATGACACACGACCATTTTCTTTCTTGAAAAGACAAAAGTCCTGTGGGGTCTGACCCCACCATGACTACTTAAACAACGGGGAAACCCAGTTTCTACATATAATCACAGTCTCGGGGTTCCACGCATCTCAGGGTCATACCCTGTGACTACATAATCGAAGCCCAAGTCATCATTCACCCAGAGCCATCCTCTGTTTCCTCCCTCTGCTAAGGACAGGGGCAGCAGCCTGGAAACCAGCAAGAGGAGCGCCTTGGGAAGCACACCCCGCACCCTTCCCACAGGGCACCTGCCTGGGTCCCGTCGTCCTTGGCTCGCTTGATGTTCTGGCGCCCATCCACCCAGTAGATGAACTTGTCCAGTGGGTCATAGTCGATGGCTTTGACGTTCCTCAGTCCATGCAGGGGCAGGATGAGATCCGGGCTGTGCTGGTCGTCCGGGATCATCCGACTGATGGCAGATTTCTGGCTGAACAGCAAGAAGGTGGTGGGCGCTAGAGGAGGCAAAGACAGGGCTGCAGGTGGGTGTCTGTAAGCCACAGAGGAGCTGGAGGACGGGATAGCACGCCACTCGACAACAGGCGGCTCAGCATCTGCCCCGCTGGAGGTCCACGGGAAAGACGGGGGGACCAGGGCTGTCTCTTGGGGGTGCGCTATGGGGAATTTCATTCTCCGTGTCATATGTGTCTCTGCTGTTTCAAAGTACATGTGTTATTTTTGAAATAGATCATAAATTTATTTTTCTTTTATTTATTTATTTTTTTTTTGAGATGGAGTCTCGCACTGTTGCCCACGCTGGACTGCAGTGGTGCTATCTGGGCTCACTGTAAGCTCTGCCTCTCGGGTTCACGCCATTCTCCTGCCTCAGCCTCCTGAGTAGCTGGGACTACAGGCGCCCGTCACCACGCCTGGCTCATTTTTTGTATTTTTAGTAGAGACGGGTTTCACCGTGTTAGCCAGGATGGTCTCGATCTCCTGACCTTGTCATCCGCCCGCCTTGGCCTCCCAAAGTGCTGGGATTACAGGTGTGAGCCACTACGCCCTGCCATTCATTCATTCATTCATTCATTCATTCGAGATGGAGTTTCGCTCTTGTTGCCCAGGCTGGAGTGCAGTGGCACAAAATGAGCTCACTTGAAACTTCCACCTCCCAAGTTCAAGCGATTCTCCTCTCTCAGCCTCCCAAGTAGCTGGGATTATAGGCATGCCCCACCATGCCCGGCTAATTTTGTATTTTTAGTAGAGATGGAGTTTCACCATATTGGCCAGGCTGGTCTTGAACTCCTGACCTCAGGTGATCTGCCCGCCTCAGCCTCCCAAAGTGCTGGGATAACAGTCATGAGCCACCGTGTCCAGCCCAATAAATTTATTTTTAAATGATGAACACTTAAGACGGAAGGCAGGTAATGGTAGTGAACACTGGTGGTGGAATGTAGTGAAACTCATACCCACGACTGTGTGTGCGGTTTGCTATGTGCCTATGTGTGCACCAGTGAACTGCGGAAAACCGGGCACAGTCAACAAGCCCGAGAGAAGACACTCCTCGAGGGTGTCAGTGAGCAGCACATGCCACCACAAGGCAGCCCCAGAATCAAGCTGGGCCTCCTCTCAGTGCACTGGTACCAGGATCCGAAGAACCAGCTCTCTAGCAGAACCAGAACATCCGTTGGCCTCTCCCTCTCAACAGCTAACAGAGTCTCCTGGCCTGAGTCCTGCCTGGCTTCAGAAGCTGTGGCACTTCGAGCGCACCGTCAGCGGGCTACAGTGGCTGGTCTGAAATCCAAGTCGTTGCACCAGGTACTGCCGGCCACAGGACGGGGACTCTGAGTCATGGCAACCCCTCCTTGCCGTGGGTTACCTGCACCTCCATTTGGCTCTCTAAGGTCATGGCCCCAGGGAGGGATGGTGAGCAACAGGACCAAAGACAGCCCAGGCATGGGAAGTCCCAGACTCTGGCCCAGGCCCATCTCCTGCCAGCCTGGGCCTCGAACAGCCCCTTAACCTTTGCAAGCCTCAAGTTCCCCATCCATGCAGCTGGGACAGGCAAGACCAGCCCCGCCTGCGACCAGGTCTGCGTGAGACTCCAACGGGGCCTGGATGACAAAGAGCTTTATAAACTATCAAGTTCTGCGTAGGGAATCATAACCAGCTCGCTGCTGATGTCATGGGGGAAGAGCCCGCCAACAGGAAACACCTGTACTCCAGAGGGGCCATAGGAAAGTCACTCTTCTCATCACTGACATGAGAACAAAGAGGCCCACCTGCTTCCAAGGGTCAGGGCAAAAATTCCCCGAGCTGATGCCAGGCTGCCTGGCAAGGGTTCAGGAGCAGGGACTCTTGAGCCAGCCTGCCACAGTCAACCCCGGCTCAACCCACCCCAGTTGTATGGCCTTGGATGGGTTGCCACACCTCTCTGTGCATCGGGTTCCTTGTACGTGAAATGGGACCATGCTACTCCCCACCCTCCAGGCTTGAGGAGTAAACGAGCGCTATGGAAAGCACTCAGCACTGTGCTGGCAGTATGAGCAAGCACCCTTCCCCTGTGACTGGTTTTCACACCCAAAGATCCTGCCCAGGACCTTCCAGCTGAGGAGTTTTGGCCATTTATCTATGTCCTGATGAAGCAACAAGTCCATCCAGCCTGGACCTGGACCCCCAGGTAGCATCATGCAGCTTGTGCAGTGCACAACCTACCCAACCATCTATGTACACCCAGGAACCCCAGATGAGAAGCTCCTTTCAGCGTCAGCTCCCAGAACCAGCCTGATCTAACGAGGGAGTGAGGTGCGGGGGACCATGAGGCACTTACGGCTGCAGTTGCGGCTGCTGGGGTCCAGGGTGTAGTGTGAGGCGCAGCCGCAGCGGTGGCCGCCGGGGATGGCAAGGCACAGCTGCCCACACTGCCCGTTGTTGTGCATACAGTCATTGAGGCCATCCTGGCGGGAGGAGTGGAACACCAGGATGTCCATCACGAAGTCCAGGTGGCCCTGGATGAGGGTGCGGTTCCGGCCGCTAGTCTTGTCGGCCCGCTCAATGCTGTGCAGATTCCAGTCTGTCCAGTAGATATAATCGCTGTACTGCGTCAGACCGAACGGGTGCGGGAGATCGTCGGCAATCACGACCCGCTCCTGACCTGCATGAACACACACGGGCACGGTGTCAGCAAAGGCACAGCCAGGCCACAGAGCACACGGCGCCCTGCGGGGTGAGCCAGGGTTCAACCCTGCAGCCTAGCGACCACATGAATGCCTTAAAGTGTTTGGCCACCTTGGAAAACCAGCAAGATCCACTGAAGCGCAGGCAGGATCTAGCAAAATTAAGTGACCTGGCTACAGTCACACAGTTGCTAAGTGGCAGGGCCAGGATTACCACCCAGGCAGCGAGACTCCAGGTTCTTGTTCTCATCATGTCAGGCCTGGCTGTGCATCCTTCACTCCCACAGCAATGAGACCAGGCCTTCCATGTTATTAATCAAGCACTCAGTAAACATCCGGAGCGTTTAAGTCCAAAACACGTACCGAGGAGTGACGGCCAGGCTGCAATGCACATGGCCGCCCTCATTGGCAGGGTCACATGAGTTTCCAGGGCTTTTGCTGGTTTTCATCTGAGTCTGTCCTCACTCCGGGGTGATTAATGAGCTTAATCATTTCAGGCAACCACAGCTGTGCGGTGACTGGTTTCTCGCCTGGCAACAGGTTTGCATGCGGCCTGGATGAGCTGGGTCACGGGATGTGCTGCAGAGCTGGGTGACGGTCACGAAGTCACGTGCAAACCTTGCTACTGGCCTCACAAGTCAGGGTGCAGCCCACCCCCAGCGACAACCAGGACACGGGGTTCAACTGCCAGCTCTGCCTACGCAGTACCTGGGACAAGGCATTCAGCTGGTCGATGCCCCAGCCTCCTCATCTGTAAAATGGGCACAACCACACCCAGTGCAGATGGCGAGTAGGAGAGGCAGAGGTCAGAAGCCAAATTCTTGCTGCCCTTCCTGAGCGGTTCGACATGGCTGACGTGCTCAGAGGCTCTCCTAGGGCCAAGGTCACTGAAGGTCCCTTTGCCAGGGGACAAAAGTCAGGGCTGCCCAGGTGACCCTCTCCTCCCTTGTCTGCCCTCAAGCCAAGGGGTGCCTGGGGACTTGGAGCCTCAGAGCTTCTTTTTCTTCTTCTTTTTTTTTTTTTGGAGACGGTCTCACTCTATTGCCCAGGCTGGAGTGCAGTGGCATGATCACAGCTCACCACAACCTCAACCTCCTGGGCTCAAGCAATCCTCCCACCTGAGCCTCCCAAGTAGCTTGGACTACAGGCATGAACCACCATGCCCAGCTAATTTTTAAAAAATTTTTTTGTAGAGATGGCGTCTCACTACATTACCCAGGCTGATCTTGAACTCCTGGGCTCAAATCATCTGCCCGCCTTGGCCTCACAAAGTGCTGGGATTAGAGGTGTCAGCCACTGCACCTGGCCCTTCAGAGCTTCTGCCCCTGACCTTCTAGTCTCCCAACTTGGCAGGGGGGATGGGGGTTCCTTTGTTAAGCACAGTTGCCCCTGTCACCTGCCATATCACCCAGGACAGCTAACTACTCTAGCAGAACAGAGTGTGCGGTCCCCTTTTCTGGGTTCAAATCCTGCTCCTGTTGCTGTGTGACTTGGGATAGGTTTTTTTCAAACTTCCCTGAGCCTCATTCTCATGATCTGGAAAAAGGAGATGAGAGCACCAGCCCTGGGGTCCCGGGCGTGTGGACACTCCCAGCACAATCCCAGCACATGGTGGGGTTCAGGGCTGGGTGGGGATCGAGTGCTGGCCCTGGTATCTCTGGGGGATCCTGAACTCACCAGCTATGTGACCTAAGGCAAGTCATGTGCTCAGGCCTCAGCTTCCCCAGCAATGAAAACCACCATGTGTGTTAGGGTGAAATTAGAGTCCTGGCACAGGGATTAGCTGGGACCTAGTGCCCAGCAGGTGCACAGGAAACAGCTGTCACCAGAGCCTCTCCCGACATAACTGCAGCAAAGGCACCCAGGGGTGGACGGGGACAACTCCCACAGCAGAGGGTGAGGCTGCTGGGCAGTCGTGGGTGTGGCCACAGCTCCTGCCAGGTTGGGGAACTTGCAGGCCACAGGGTATGTGCGGCGAGGCTGGGAGGTGGCCAACGCCCGGCTGCCCCGCCCTCCATGACCAGAAGGCCCCAGCCCGGCCCTCACCCAGCATGTTGGACGACTCGATCATGTTGGTGTCCAGGTCGGTCCAGTAGAGGCGCTGGTCAGCGTAGTCAATGGTGAGGTCGTTGGCCCGGCCCACCTTGTCCACCAGCGTCATGCAGTTGGTCCCGTCCATGAAGGCCCGCACGATCCTCGGCTTGCCGCCCCACTCGGTCCAGTAGATGTAGCTGGAAGGCACAAGGGAGAAGGGCAGGCTCAGTGAGTCTGCTCTCACCGCAGGACAGTGGGTGGCGGGGGGACGCAACTGTCCCCACCTCTTCAGCTCAGCCCTCCCCGTCCTGGAGAAAGCCACGCGCAGGAAGCAGGGAAGGGCGAGACCCTCGACCCCTGCCACACACATATCCCTCCAGGGGTGGTCACTGCGCCACCTCCCTGAATTCCCACAGTGGCTCACTCGTAAGGCGAGTAAATACCCACTTACGGACACAAAAACAGATGCACAGACAGGGTGAGTGTGTGCTGGAACATCCACCTAAGCTTGGCCGGATGTTGGGGACACGGCAGAAACCAGGATGGACACAAGCACATCACAAAACAAGACCTCAGGGCAGGGGAGGCCTTGCGGGATCCGGATGTAAACTCGGCTCTGGGCTCCTCCCCCAGCAGCCCCTCCTTCCCTCTTCTTTTAGCAGATCCAGAAGAGGAAATGCACATCCTCATTCCAGAATTTTCTAAGTTTGACCTGCCCTTGCTCTAAAACCTGGACCTCTTTCTGTTGTCCTGCCATCCTGAAGTCTTCCTTCCTTCCCTAGCAGAACAGGCGACAGGCAGGGATTGGGCTGCTGCACACATCACAGGTGCTTTAAGGGGTGAGCACTGTGTCCACCACACAGAAAAGAAAACTCAAGTCCAGAAAGACGCCCCACACATCTGGGGCCTGTCTGAACCCCGTGCCCAAGGCAGGGCCCCCAGGACGCCTGGCAGCTCAAAGCACATTTGCCTCTCGAGGTGGGTCCTAAGCTGTGGCTCAGCAGCCTCCAAGAGGCCATTTCGGAGGAGCCTGAGGTCCGGGGACCTCAAAGTCAGTTCTGGATCATGGTTTTGGCAAGAGTGCAAAGCAAGGAGACCTGGTCAGGAGCCTGAGACAGCACTTCCTGGCCCAGCTCTGCTCTAACTGGGTATGTGACCTTAGGGAAGTCACTCGGTTTCTCTGAGCCTGTTTCTGCATCTGTAAAATCGACACAGATACCCACCCTACGCAGGCTCCATGGACACTTCGGTGAGACGGCCCAGGTGAAAGCAGCCAGCACTGTGCCTGATACAGCCTCAGCACCCGCTCCACGAAGGAACTCCATGACCTCTGAGGGCCCTACCAGTCCTGGCCACCATCAAGGCTAATGACGTCAGTACAGCTCTAATCACCGAGGGCCACACGGACAGCCTGCCACCTTGCCCAGTTGGCACCCCCGCACTGTCTCATACGAGGTGAACACAAGGACGCACGGGACAGGCAAACACTTACCCCTTGGTGGGATCCAGGGCCAGCGACCTCGGGTTGTCCAAGTCCCTCCACACGAGGACTTGCCGGAACTGCCCGTCCAGCCGCGCCACTTCGATTCTGTTGGTCCCAGTGTCGGCCCAGTAGAGGTTCTTGCCCATCCAGTCAACGGCCATGCCCTCGGGGTAGTCAAGGCCAAACTCCACCACGTGCTCCACCGAGCTCCCGTTCATGAAGGCGCGGCTGATGGTCTGGCAGCAGGTGAGGAGGAAAAGGGCCACATTTTAGGAACCAGCATCTTTTTTTTTTTTTTTGAGACGGAGTTTCGCTCTTCTTGCCCAGCCTGGAGTGCAATGGTGCGATCTCGGCTCACTGCAACCTCTGCCCCCTGGGTTCAAGCGATTCTCCAGCCTTAGCCTCCCAAGTAGGTGGGGATTACAGGCACATGCCACCACGCCTGGCTAATTTTTTTGTATTCTTAGTAGAGATGGGGTTTCACCAAGCTGGCAAGGCTGGTCTCGAAATCCAGACCTCAGTTGATCCACCTGCCTCAGCCTCCCAAAGTGCTGAGATTACAGGCGTGAGCCACCACGCCAGGCCAGAACCAGCGTGTTTTGTAGACATCTCCCGAGATGCTTGGCCACTGGCAGCAGCTACTGAACACATTCTGGACCAGATCACCAGCATTCAAGTTTTTAAATGAATGTTTGAAATGCAGCAAGACACCTTTTTGGAAAAAGCAACTTGGAGATTTTATATATATTTTATATAAAATAATATAAATGTGTATTTATAAATGTATATTATATATCATACATTAAAAAATATACATTACATATATTTTAAATATATACTTATAAGTATGTATTATATATTATTTATAAATATATATTTTTATATTATATATTTTATTATATATTATATAATATATATTTTATATTATATATTATATATTTACTTATAAATATAATTTATAAATTTTATTTATAAATATATATTTTTATATTATATATTATATATTTATAAATATATATTTTTATATTATGTGTGTGTGCGTGTATGTGTGTGTATATATATATATATATATATATTTTTTTTTTTTTTTTTTTTTTTCCCCAGATAAGTCTTGCTCTGTCGCTCAGGTTGGAGTACAGTGGAGTAATCTCAGGTCACTGCAGCATCAACCTCCTGGGGCTCAAGCAATCCTCCCAACTCAGCCTCCTTGGTGGCTGGGACTACAGCTATGCACCACTACGCCCGACTTATTAAAAAAGTTTTTTGTAGAGATGGGGTCTCACTATGTTGCCCAGGCCGGTCTCAAACTTCTGGGCTCAAGTGATCCTCCTGCCTCACCCTCTCAAAGTGTTGTGATTACAGGCATGAGCCACTGTGCCCGGCTGTAACCAGCACACGCAAAATAAAAGAACAGTTAAGCCTAAAAGCAAACATCTGTGCAGTGGAGTATTTCATACATTTAAAAGATTGTGCCAAAGAGTTTGTCACAGCGCCATCAAATACCTGTTGTAATGTCAAGTGAAAAAATCAGGATACAGAATTCTGCGTAGCATATGACTGTGATGAAGAGAAATGCTATCTTAGAGAAAAAAGACTTAAAGGCAATATGCTGAGGTGTCAGCAACGGTCGTCTCTGGCTGGAGAGGTTATGGACAATTTTTACTTTCTTTTTATACTTTCCTATATATATTTTTTTTTCTACAAAGAACCCTTGTGACTTAAAGTCATAAAAAATCTTTTAAAGCTATGTAATACAAACAGTAGAATAGGCTGGGCATGGTGGCTCACGCCTGTAATCCCAGCACTTTGGGAGGCTGAGGTGGGTGTTTGAGCCTAGGAGTTTGAAACCAGCCTGGGCAACATGCGGAAACCCTGTCTCCCCAAAAAAAAAAAAAAAAAAAAAAAAATCAGCCAGGAGTGGTGGTGTGTGCCTGTAGTCCCAGCTACTAGGGAGGCTGAGATGAGAGGATCACTAGAGCCCAGGAGGTCGAGGCTGCAGTGAGCTGAGATTACACCACTGCACTCCAGCCTGAGTGACAGAGGGAAACCCTATCTCAACAACAACAACAACAACAAAAAGCAGAAAACAAATCATAGAATAATAAATGAGCAAACATTGTAGTTGTCCAATACTTTAGAACAGAGGTCAGCACACTTTTTCTGTAAAGGGGCGGATGGCACATGTTTTAGGCTTTAGAGCCCATACAGATCTGTCACAACTCATCTCGGCAGAACAAAAGCTGCCACAGACAATCCATAAACAGATGCGCTTTGGTTACACCAATCAAACTTTTTTTTTTCTGAGACGGAGTTTCACTTTGGTTGCCCAGGCTGGAGTGCAATGGTGCCATCTCAGCTCACCACAACCTCCGCCTCCCAGGTTCAAGCAATTCTCCTGCTTCAGCCTCCTGAGTAGCTGCGATTACAGGCAGGCGCCGCCATGCCCGGTTAATTTTTTTTTTTGTATTTTTAGTAGAGACGGGGTTTCTCCACGTGGGTGAGGCTGGTCTCGAACTCCCGACCTCAGGTGATCTGCCCACCTCGGCCTCCCAAAGTGCTGGGATTACAGGTGTGAGCCACCGCACCCAGCCACCAATCAAACTTTCTTTACAGAATCAGAAGGCCAGCCCACAGACTAGTTTGCTAAACTCTTCTTTAGAAGGCAAAAAGTTTTCCTAGGCCGGGAACGGTGGCTCACACCTGTTATCTCAGCACTTTGGGAGGCCGAGGCGGGCAGATCACCTGAGGTCAGGAGTTCAAGACCAGCCTGGCCAACATGATGAAACCCTGTCTCTACTAAAAATATAAAAAAAATTAGCTGGGTGTGGTGGTGCATGTCTGTAGTCCCAGCTACTCAGGAGGCTGAGGCAGAAGAATCGCTTGAACCTGGGAGGCGGAGGTTGCAGTGAGCTGAGCTCACGCTACGGTACTCCAGCCTGGGCAACAGAGTAAGACTCTGTCTCAAAAAAAAAAAAAAAAAGTCTTCCTGTATTTGTCCTGGATGTTTACATTTGCACTATAAATGAAGAAAGAGTCTGCTGAGCAAACGGGCACCGACAAGGGAGTGGGTGGGGTGTCTGAAGTCAAGCTCAACGGACAACAAATATTTCACATTCACACAAGCATTTCACAAAAGCCCTTATGTGTGTCTACCGGACTTGCTCATTATAATCATCTTTTTTTTTTTAAATAGGCTTGCTCATATTTGATTAGCTTGAACTGCGTTACAATAAATACGATAGTGCTTTAAGAAAAGTGTCTGAAGCCTTTGAGGCAGGAACAGAGGCAAGGTTTTCCCATAAAGGCTGCCTGTGTGCACGTTCTGGCCCACGCTACCTTCAGGCTGACGTCTGTCCAGTAGATGTGGTTGTTGGACACATCAAAGTCCAGGGCTGAGGCCTCCTTGACGCCCGTGAGCGGGATGGCCACGTCGTTGTTATTGGTCTCGAGGGAGATCCTGTGGATGGCGGCTCTGCTGGTGAAGACCAAGAAGGCCTCAGGCACGATGCAGGTCTTCATGTCACTCAGCAGCTCCAGGCCGATGGGGCAGCCACACCGGGTTGCGTGGGGTGTGAAGAAGCACAGGTGGCTGCACCCCCCGTTCCTGTCCGCACACGGGTTGGTTCCTGGAAGCGAACACAGAGGCTCCAGTCTAAACATCAACAGCCCAGCAGGGAAAGGGGTGCGGCCAAGCCACACAATGAATGCTGCCGTGAGCCACACAGCTCAGGGGTGCCGAGCTCAGGACTCACCCCCGGGTCAGGTCCGACCTCATGGCTGGGTTGGCCAGGCTAAACCCTCAAACACACACGCACCTTTCACCTGAAAGCCAGGATGTGCCAAAAGCTCCAATGTGCACAGCTTTATTCCCGCCACACATCAAACAGGGACAGTAGTGGGGGTGGTGGGAGAACACCTGGCAATGGCAACCAAGTTCTCCCCTGGTACAGCCAAGGGTATCAGTAACAGCAGTGCGGGCTCTGACTGGACCTTGTCAGGCGCCAGGCACTGGTCCCAGGGAGTCACCTGTCCGAACTCACTCCATTCACCTTGGAGGTAGGAGCTATTCTCATCCCCATTTTTCATTCAAGGAAACTAAAGTGCAGCAAGGCTGCTGAAAGGAGCATGGTCAGGAAGTCAGGGAGCAGCTCGGCAAGAGTGCCAGCCCAGTGGTCCAGCCTCCGGGCCTGCGATCTGGCCCAGGAAGAAAGCAGTGAACGCCTCAGGGCAGGGACCAGGCAAGTTGCCCCTCAGGGCCTTGGCTCCTGAGAGTCCCAGCTAGGCCCTTCCTCCGATTCACAGACATTCCCAGCAACCCTGAAAACTCACATTGGCCCAGCATGGCCAAAGCTGCCTCTTTTTCACATAGTACAGACCGTTCGTTTATTTTTGGCCAGTCTGTTAATTTCACTCATCAACCAAAGTGCTGTTAAAATTGGCTTTAATTTAGTGTTAAATATTTCAGCCAAAAAAAGAATCCTTTTTCCCATCTCCTTTAGCAAACCACGGGGTGAGAGGGGAGGGGGAAGAAGCCCAATTTCTCAGCTTTAAATCACACCCCCATGGAGGCACCCTTTTGTCTTATCTCTGGGGTTTATTTTTTGTTCTTTGAACAATCACTCACAGGTCAGTCTCACCTTCCATGGTGGATAGTAAATGCTTTTTTTTTTTTTTTTTTTTGAGACAGGGTCTCTGTCTGTCACCCAGGCTGGAGTGCAGTGGCATGATCTCAGCTCACTTCAACCTCTGCCTCCAGACTCAGGTGATCCTGCCACGTCAGCCCCCTAAGTAGCTGGGACCACAGGGATATGCCACCATGCCGGGCTAATTTTTTTTTTTCTGGTAGAGATGAGGTCTCTCTATGTTGCCCAGGGAAGACACTCTCAAATTTCTGGGCTCAAGTGATCCTCCTGCCTCAGTCTTCCAAAGTTCTGGGATTTCAGGCATGAGCCACCACACCTGGCATAAATGTTCTTTTTTTTTTTTTCTTTTTGAGACAGAGTCTCGCTCTATTGCCCAGGTGGAGGGCAGTGGTACGATACGGGCTCACTACAACCTCTACCTCCTGGGTTCAAGCAATTCTCCGCCTCAGCCTCTCGAGTAGTGAGATTATAGGCGCGTGATACCACACCCAGACTAATTTTTTTTTTTTTGGACTTTTTTTTTTTTTTTTGAGACGGAGTCTCGCTCTGTCGCCCAGGCCGGACTGCGGACTGCAGTGGCGCAATCTCGGCTCACTGCAAGCTCCGCTTCCCGGGTTCACGCCATTCTCCTGCCTCAGCCTCCCGAGTAGCTGGGACTACAGGCGCCTGCCACCGCACCCGGCTAATTTTTTGTATTTTTAGTAGAGACGGGGTTTCACCTTGTTAGCCAGGATGGTCTCGATCTCCTGACCTCATGATCCACCCGCCTCGGCCTCCCAAAGTGGTGGGATTTCAGATGTGAGCCACTGCACTGCCCCGGCCCCAGCATGAACGCGTTTTTAAAGGAGGCTGGGAAAACTAAATTCATGGATTGCATCCCCTACATGAGGACTGCAGGGTGCGATGAAGGCCATGAAGGAAGCACTCACTGCTCCAGGGGTCGCCCACACTGCCTCAGCTCCAGGCTTCCACGGGGCTGTGCTTTCTGCCCCAACCTGCTCCCTCAATTCCCAGCTCCCTCGTATTTTAAAGCCGGGGATCTGACATCACATCCACCCGACGGGCAGCAGAGTCAACCCGGGCATCTCACCCAGGACTGCAGGCAATGCAGCAGCAAGCATCACGTCCTCTGTCCTCTCATCCTTCATCAGCAAAGATTGACTGAGTGCCTCTGACAAGCAGGTGCAGTGTGGGACCCCGGCAGGACACAGAGTCCCTGCCCGCGAGCCCCAGGCCTGTCCCTGCCGCACCTGGATGCTGCTCTCTCCAGTGTAACTCTGTCACCTTTTCAGGAAGAGACAAATCATTGTGCCAGACAACGACCTCCTCGGGGAGCGTCCTGAAGATCCTGGCTTTCAGGTGGAAGGTGCACATGCGTGGGCCACAGGGGCAACAAGCACAGCCCAGCCCAGGCAGACCCAGGAGGGAGTCCTGAGCTTGGCACCTGTGAGTTGCACGGCTCTGCGTCCTGCTCCCCAGTGCGAGTAGGGCAAGGAACTACATTTGCAGACGGGGTCACTGTGGGCACGAAGGCTCCCGGCCAGGGCCGGGCACACAGCAGGTGCTCAACAAATGTTAGTCACTTTCTAACCATTGTTACCGACATTCCTAGTCCATAACCACTCCCTAATCAGCTCCCTTGGTCCCTTCCCATCTGTCCTTGGCCAGATACTGTCACCTTTCCTGTCCTGCCCTTCCCCAGGTCGGGGCACCTGAGCTCAACACTTATGCCCAGGCATGGACCCGTCACTTCCTCCTCATGCAAGTCTGCATGGCTGAGCCATGGCTTGGGACCCCCCGGACTCACCGACGACCTTGGCCACATTCACAGCTTTGAGCCCCATCAGGTCGGGCAGCTGGTCAATGATGACGTCCCGGCTGGCCTTGACCTTGTGCACCCGCTCGATGCTGCGGCGCTGCCAGTCAGTCCAGTAGATGAAGTCCCCCAGCAGCGTGAACCCAAAAATGTGCGGGAGCTTGTCCTCCAGGAGGGTCCGCCTCTTCGTCCCATCAACATTGATCACCTGCAGGACGGCAGAAATATAGGTCTGGATGGGCCAGGGCCACACCAACGAGAGCCAACCCGGACCCTGCCTGGGGCCTGAGCTGCCCCAAACAAGACGGGTTCAATGCCCAAGAGCCGCAACTTTACCTGCACCTTGCCAGGTACCATAAAACACCAGGTAGCATGGTTCCCCAGGGGTGCTGGATAAATGACGCTTTGTTTGTTTGTTTTTTGTTTGTTTGTTTGTTTGAGATTTTGAGACAGCGTCTCACTCTGTTGCCCAGGCTGGAGTGCAGTGGCAAGATCTCGGCTCACTGCAAGCTCCACCTCCCAGGTTCAAGCGATTCTCCTGCCTCAGCCTCCCGAGTAGCTCGGATTACAGGTACCCGCCACCACACCTGGCGAATTTTTGTATTTTTAGTAGAGATGGGTTTCACCATGTTGACCAGGCTGGTCTCGAACTTCTGACCTCAAGTGATCCACCCTCCTCAGCCTCCCAAAGTGCTGGGATTCCAGGCGTGAGCCACCGCGCCCGGCCATGATGTTTTCACTAGGATGCCACGTCCCCAGCTGATAGAGCAGTGACAGGGCCAGCTGAGGATCCCTTTCCCATAGCACCCCCTACCTGTGCTGGGATGAGAAGCAAGATTTGGAACAGACCAGGCAAGCAGGTGTCCTCTCCCGAACCACTGCAGGCTGACAGGCAGCGGCTGCCTGGAGAACCAGGGCGTGCTCCGCAGGAAGGAGTCCTGGGATCAATTAGCAATGCCTGCCCCAGGTGCAGCAATGGGCGGAGGGCTCCAGATCACACCCACCACACAGAGCAACTGCAGGACCTGGGGCAGGACCTGGAGCAAATATAAGGACCTGGGGCAGTTATGAGCAACTGCAGGGCCTGGGGCAGGACCTGGAGCAAATGTAAGGACCTGGGGCAGTTATGAGCAACGGCAGGGCCTGGGGCAAAGTTCTCCCGCTTCTCTGTGAACTCATTTCCCGCTGGGTCAGGGCCGGATGAACTCTGAGGGCACTTCTGGTTCTAAGTCTGAGCCTGCAGGTCTCAGATGCTTTCCACCCTGTCTCCTCTGAGATGTAGCAGCTAAATATTTTTCTTGAAGAGTCAATGCTGATTAAAAGCAACCACCGCAAAAGCCACCGAGGAGAAAATACTGTCAAGGTAAAAACACCTGAACCAACGGAAGCATACAGCCGCGTGAGATAGGACGTGGTTCTGATGATCCATGAGCCTGCAGAACTGTATGTTAACAGGAAGGTTGAGTTAGGCGCAACATCCAAGTTCTCCGGCTCTCAGGACAGGATGAAAGAGACACAAGGCCATTAAAGGCAAGCTTCCACAGGCCTCCTGCTACCAGATTACATTTCCAGCTTACCAGAAAAGCGACAAGTCCTCTGTTTTGCAGGTGGCAAAACTGTAAGGCAGATGGAATGCATGTTAAGAAACAAAGACTTCGGTCATCTGTTGTTGGATGGCACAGGACAAAGCTGCTAGGGCCAGGCACAGTGTGATCCCAGCCTGTAATCCTAGCACTTTGGGAGGCCGAGGCAGGCGGATCATTTGAGGTCAGGAGTTCGAGATCAGCCTGGCCAACATGGTGAAACCCTATCTCTACTAAAAGTACAAAAAAAAACGAGCTGGGCATGGCGGCACACACCTGTAATCCCAGCTGCTCGGGAGGCTGAGGCAGGAGAATCGCTGGAACGCAGCTAGCGAAGATTGCAGTGAGCCGAGATCATGCCATTGCACTCCAGCCTGGGTGACAGGGTGAGATCTTGTCTCAAAAAAAAAAGCTGTTAGGAGAGCGGGAAGGGGACTGGAAGCTCTGGGACCCAAAGCCAGGCCCCGCCTCAGCTCTGCCCCCAAGGGGCTCTGGGTCCTCGGCAAGTCCTTGCACCCCCATGGGTCTCAGTTTCTCCACCTGTAACTGAGGGGCTCAGATTAGCCCAGTGGCTAACGTCACAGAAGAAACAACAAAACAGCAAACAACGGCCTGGCCCCAACCTGGAGCAATTAAGTCAGAATCGGATAGCCCAGGGCCCAGGTATGGTATCATGATAACAGCTCCCAACAGGCGGTTCTGATGAGCAGGCGGGCGGGAACATGGTTAGACCAGCCCCTGCGACCGTGCCTGGAAGTCTGAGCTCTCCACCCATGCCTGGATGCTCCGGTGTGCAATGAACAGCAGGTGATGGAGCCCTGGTCCCAAAATCATCTAGGGTTCTTCACATTTTTGCCTCCACAACAGGAAGACACGCAAAGGCCATGAATGCACACACCTGTGTGTGACACTCAGAAAACATCTGAGGGGTTGGCCCCATCCCAGCAGCACAGAACCACTCCAGGGAGGGACCCAGCCCTGGCGTACAATGAAGAAGTGCAGGCTTCTCCAAGGACACCCAGCGTGAGAGGAGGGGCTCACAGTAGCGGGCGAACCCTTTCCCCTTCTTCCACTCACAATAACAGGGCTGGGGGAGGGACATCGGCACAGAACACAAACACCACAAAGAAAAGAATCAGCATTTAGAAAAAGAAAGCAATCCAGGTTTCGATCTACCAAAAGGTCACTATTACCTCTTAAATTTTATTCTATTTTTGTAGAGATGGGGTTCCACCATGTTGGCCAGGCTGGTCTCAAACTCCTGTGCTAAAGCAATCTGCCCATCTCGGCCTTCCTTCCAAAGTGCTGGGATTACGGGTATGAGCTGCCACACCTGGCCAGAGGTCATTATTTTTATTTTTTATTTATTTATTTTTTTTGAGACGGAGTTTCACTCTTGTTGCCCAGACTAGAGTGCAATGGCGTGATCTTGGCTCACTGCAACCTTTGCCTCCCAGGTTCAAGCGATTCTCCTGCCTTAGCTGGGATTATAGGCAGGCGCCACCATGCCTGGCTAATTTTGTATTTATTTATTTATTTATTTATTTTTAGTAGAGACGGGGTTTCTCCATCTTGGTCAGGCCGGTCACAAACTCCCGACCTCAGGTGATCTGCCCGCCTCAGCCTCCCAAAGTACTGGGATTTACAGGCGTGAGCCACCGCGCCCAGCTCAGAGGTCACTATTATCTCTTGGAGAGATTTTTCTCTTCTTGCTCTATTTCCACACTTTCTTAATTTTAATACCAAACTTCCAGACATGTTGAACTGAAGTGAGGCAAGGAAGTCCATTTCCCTGGCTTCATTGAAGAGCAATAAAAAGGAGCCCACAGAGGGCCCAAGGCAAACAAGGGTGCTGGGCAGCGGCCGGCAGCCACTTCCTCCCTCTCTACCCTTGCTCCACACTCCCAGGTGGCCCCAAAACAAAGTGAGAGGAGGCGACGGGCTGTTCCACCCGGCTGGGGCTGGCTGTAGCCTCGGCAAGCGCAAGACGCTGGCTCTGGGCCGGCAGGGCCTGCGGAATCTCCTGGATGGGCAGAGCCTCCCACAGAGACCCCTATGGTGGCTCAGAAGCCACTCCCTGAACCTCACCACTTGCCACCTGGATTCCAGAACCCAGGACACTCCCCCAAGCCCCCTACTTTCCACCCAGATCGCAGAATCCCAGGGCACCCGGTGGACCCGGCCAACTGGGAAAACATCAGGCTTGCAATGAGCAGCTCTCAGTTGCTCTAATACTGGAGGAAGGAATCCCAAAGTGGCCTTCTGAGGACAACTTTCAGCACATCTTGACCGGCCCAACCCATCGGCAAAAGCCACTCTGCTGGGTCAGGCCTCCCCCAGACCTGGGGCAGGTTCCCTCTGGGCCGACTCAGGAGGCCTCTGCCTTTCCTGGAGCCAGATATTTCCAAGAATGCCTGAGCCGAGCCAAGCCTCTGGGCGTCAGGGGACAAGATGCAGAGAACGTGCCTGTCCTGGCTCCTGGGAGGGAACAGAGCCAAAACAGAGTTCAGAAATAACAGGGGCCAAATTTAGGACACCCAGGAACGCCAGTGCCGGAAGAGAACTTGGGAGATGAATTTTCCAGGACAGAGGTCAGCAAACTTTTTTGTAAAGGATAGAAAATATTTTCAGCTTTCAGGCCATAAGGGTCTCTGGAGCAGAAAGCAGCATGGAGAGCACGTGACTGAACAGGCATGGCTGTGTTCCAATACATGTTTTTTGGTTTTTTTTTTTAAAGAGGCAGGGTCTGGGCTCTGTCACCCAGGCTAGAGTGTAGTGACACGATCTTGGCTCGCTGCAACCTCAAACTCCTGGGCTCAAGCCATCCTCCCACCTCAGATGCCTAAGTAGCTGGGACCACAGGCGTGAGCCACCACACCCAATACTTTTTAAATATATATTTTTAAGAGATAGGTTCTTGCTCTGTCACCCAGGCTGGAATGCAATGACATGATCATAGTTCACCTCCTGATCACTTGAGCCCAGCCTCAAACTCCTGGGCTTAAGCGATCCTCCCACCTCAGCCTCCCAAATCGCTAGAGGCACACACTACCACACCCGGCAAAACTTTATCAGTGAAAAAACAAAAACAGGCTGGGCTCCGTGGCTCGAGCCTGTAATCCCAGCACTTTGGGAGGCCAAGATGGAGTTCCAGAAAAGCCTGGGCAACATAGAAAGACCCTGTCTTTACTAAAATTAAAAAAAAATTAGCCGGGCTTGGTGGCACACACCCGTAGTCCCCGCTACTCAGGAGGCTGAGACAGGAGGATCGCTTGAGCCTGGGAGGTCAAGGGTACAGCGAGCCATGCCATAGCACTGCACTCCAGCCTGGGTGACAGAGCGAGACCCTGTCTCAAGAAATTATTTATGGACACTGAAATTTGAATTCCATATAATTTTTTTTTTTTGAATTCCATATAATTTTCATGGGTCATGAAACCTCCTTTGGCTTTTTTTTTTTCAAGTAATTAAAAAATGTAAAACCCACTCAGCTTGAGCATGGTGTGAAAACAGGTGGCAGGGCTGGATCTGGCCCGGGGGCCGTAGCTCTCGACTCCTGCTCTAGTTCTGTGCACTTGTTTTTCAGGAAATGAAACTAGACCCGAGAGGCTGTGTCTGAGGACAATGAGATGGTCCAGCCAGAGGCCACCCAAGGGTCCAGCCCTGTCCTCTCCGAGCTGCCAGCTTCTGTCCCATTCCCAGGGTGAGCAGAGCAGGCGCACGCCCCCCTGACCAGCACACCAAGGAATGGGCCGGCCGCCGGCTGCCAGCTGGGAGGGAATGACGGGAGATCCCAAAGCAGCCCACCCTAGCTGTGCTCTGAGGGGCAGGGCTGCTGCCGTCCTGCAGGCTGACTCTGGACAGTCGCCTGCTGTGCAGTGTTTTTATGAAGAACCCTGTGTTTCCTCTGACTCGGCTGTGCAAACAGACATGAGCCCAAGACCCACCCTCTGACAGCACGTGTTTAAAGGGGAGAGTTCTGTTGTCTGAGGGAAGAAGTACCCCACTCTGTTGAACACAAAACCCAAAAGGAAACAGCAACAGTTATCTTGCTTCATGTAATAAAAAAAGATCTTATACACATGTGCGCGCACGCAAACACACACACACACACACACACACACACACACACACAAACACACACAGCTCTGCAGTGCCAAAGCCCAGGGATATAGCCTCTCCCCAGATCCCTGGGAGCACAGTGCAGCCAACAGACCCTGTCCCATCACTCCCGCTGTAAGTGATGTCACCTCCACCCACTTAGCAAAAGTCAGGGGTGCCTGTCAAAGGGCACGAGGTTTGGGGGTCACTCCTGACCCAGACCTGGTACGTCCTGAGTCCCCGTCAGGGGTCAGCACGGAGACCCCAACTCAGGCTGGACCTCAGAGGGTCTCTGCTCTGGGAGACCAGGCCGGCTCACAGACAAGCGAAATGACAATGATGATGGTGATGATGACGACGGTGATGGGAACTCGGGCCAACCGAGCGCACAGACCCTGGAGGGGCATACAAGGGCCACAGCTTCCAGCCTCCAGGCAGGGACCAGGTGTCGCCATTTGGAAAGAGGACCTTCCCTGGAAGGCCAAGGAAGCAGGATGTCCCCACCATGGCATACGGCTGGAGTGACCCCGGCTTCCAGGGGAGAGGGCCGGGGGCAGCTGGGCACATGGGGCTGGGGTTCGGGAGAGGGCTGGGCTGTCCCTCCAGCATGAGGGCACGGCCAGCGGGTGGGAAGAGTGGCACTGGAGCGTGGGCCTCAGAGACCCACAGAGATGCCAGACCCTGCCACTTTCACACACAGCCATGTCTTGTGGCACAGGATATAAAAGCCATGGCGGGGCAGAGGAGAGAAGGGCAGGGTAGAGGGGAGAAGGGCAGGGCAGAGGGGAGACGCTCCCAGCCAGGCCTTCCCCTGGCTGAGCCCAGGTGGGCGGGGAGGCAAGAACGTGAGGGCTTGGTCCTGAGGGGACATGCTGGAGGCTCACAGGAGAAGCTGAGTGTGGCTGCAGGTGTCCCAGGGGCCAGAACTTCCAACCCCCGGGGCTCTAGACTCAGGAAGAGGGCTAAGGAGGTGTCCTGGGGCAAAGCCAGCACAACACTGGAATTCCTAGCCCAGGAGGCTGGAAAAACGGTGAGAAGAGGCAGCTATGTGAAGCAGAAGGGAAGTGGGGATGCAATCAGGGGACCTCAGCCCACGACCACTCGGGCTTCACACGTGGTGGGGCAGGACTCGGATGCGGCTCCAAGCAACCTGTAGGTGTCAGGACTGCCCTGGGTGGGCCCCAGCAGGTGGGGAGGGTGCCCAGGGCTGGAACCACCGCCACTCCCAGCTGTCACTGATGATGGCAACAGCTGGTCGCAGGATGGGGCTAAAACCCTGTGTGTGTCAGTCAGGCTGCTGGGGCGGCCTGGAAGCTGATTCCCAGGACAGCTGTCACAGTCAAGGCCAGCAGGAGGGGCCTCCCAGACCCATCCGCCGTCTCCGCTCCACTCTGTAAATCTGTTGTGGGCGTCTCTAATGCCATCTACATGAAACCTCATTTCATAGACCTTTGTTCTTCTCCCAATTCATCAAGGGATCAGCCACAGCTGCCCGTGAAGTCCTCTCATGCACTGGATGCTGAAAACCTGGAGCCTGATTGTGTTCAAAGGCAGAGCCCGGCTAGCCCCGCAGAAAGCACCTTCCTCCTAGCGCCCAGCTCCACACAGCCCAGCTGCGCACACCACCACGTGGAACGGAATCCTCTCTCCCACCACTCCCCAGCAAAGGTGAGCGGCAAAACACGTCCAGGGCTGGTGTGGGCTCCTCAGCACCTGGGTTGGCCACCTTGTTGCCTCCCGACATAGCATCTTAAAAATGTTCCCATTGTTCCAAATGTGTCTCCTCCCTGACCCCATTTATACCTCCCCCAACCATCCCTTCCACCTGGAGTCCAACTGCATCCTCAAGGAGCCGTGGCTCCTTGCACCTCAGCTGTCCCCAGAGTCCCCAGAAGCCACCACAACCCCAGCAGCAGCCACTGTCCCCGCCATTGCCTGGGACACAGCTGGCACACACTGCGTACTCAGCGGGTGTTTCCTGAACGAGCCTGCAGGCCCAAGACCCTCATGTGAGATGGGGGTCCACAGCAGGAACACTGGCGCATCCACCCCTGAACAAAGTGCCAGGAGGGTTTGCTCCTGGCGCTGGGCAAGGACCTGAGAAGCAGCCATGACTCGCAGAAGCCTGAGGACATACCCAAGAGCGGTGGCCACTTGCAGGAGGAAAAGACGCACCAAACTCCAGCAGAAAACACAGAGCCAGCATCTCCACGGGCACATCCGAGGTGTCCCGGGGCAGGAGGTGCCAGCAGCAATCTCGAGGCTAAGTCAGCTCTGGACGTGCAGGTGGATGGCAGGGCGGGTCTGGGCATCCACCTGCACCTTCCCAGAGAGTGCGCCACCAGGGCCACAGAGGGTAAAGAAAGGGACCCATGATGAGGTAGTCTGAAAACGCTTATGCAATGTATCCCCCTCTTAGAAACAGCCTGTGTAAGCATATAAAGGGCGCTGAGAAGGCCTGCAGTGAGGCACCCCAGCAGTCCCCAAGTTCTGGCCACCAAAGACACCCGTGCCCTGCGCCATCACTCCTCATCCTTCAGTATCTATTCTCCTTAGGCCCCCAGTGATGAGCTCCAAATCGTCAGGTAATGAGCTTCCAGTGCATGACCACAGGGTGGCCTGCTCCACGATCCCCCTTCTGCTACTGTGACGCCCCCCCACTTCAATTCCTCGGTTGGTCTTTTTATCTTTTTTTTTTTTTTTTTTGAGATGGAGTCTCACTCTGTGGCCCAGGCTGGAGTGCAGTGGCGGGATCTCGGCTCACTGCAACCTCCGCCTCCCAGGTTTAAGCAATTCTCCTGCCTCAGCCTCCCAAGCAGCTGGGATTACAGGTATGCACCATCACGCCTGGCTAATTTTTGTATATTTAGTAGAGACGGGGTCTCACCATGTTGGCCAGGCTGGTCTTGAACTCCTGGCCTCAAGCAATCCACCCACCTCAGCTTTCCAAAGTGTTGGGATTACAGGCGTAAGCCACCACGCCCAGCCACCTCGGTTGCTCTCAATGTGTTCCAATCTTGCTTTCCTGTCCTACCATGCTCAGAGGGTGTCTCTCCCTGGCCCATTTTGAAAGCCAAGGATGTGACCTCCGCCTGTTCCCTCTCTCCGCCCTTCTACCTCCTGACCTCCGTCCCTTCTGTGTGTCCAGCACCATGGCCTGTAAGCCTCATATTCCCTATAGCAACCCAGCACTGTGTATAGGGCTTTGAGGATGTACAGACAGATTCTTAAAGTGGGAAATCGGGCCGGGCGCGGTGGCTCACGCCTGTAATCCCAGCACTTTGGGAGGCCGAGACGGGCGGATCATGAGGTCAGGAGATCGAGACCATCCTGGCTAATGTAGTGAAATCCCATCTCTACTAAAAATACAAAAATTAGCCGGGCGCGGTGGCAGGCGCCTGTAGTCCCAGCTACGCGGGAGGCTGAGGCAGGAGAATGGCATGAACCCGGGAGGCAGAGCTTGCAGTGAGCCGAGATCGTGCCACTGCACTCCAGACTGGGCAAGAGAGCGAGACTCCACCTCAAAAAAAAAAAAAAAGTGGGTAATCAACACGCAGTGCTCACGTCATTGTGACACGAAGGCCCCAGCAAGTGTAGTTCCTGGGGGTGAGCTCCTGCGACCCCCCTGTTCCTGGACAGCTCCGCTTCCTCCTGACTGCATTTCTCTTGCTTTGTCTGACTTTGCCAGACCCTCTGAGTCTTCTAACTTCCCAAGGACAGTATGGAGAATCTGGAATTCCTTCCTTTCACCTGAGACACCTTCCCCATTCCCCAGAACCCCCTGTCCTACTCCAGTCTGGACCACTGAGATATAAAGTGACTTCAGGACCAAACCACAGACATCGTGTATCCAATGTGGACAAAACGCTCCTGTTTTGAGCTTCGGTGTTCTCATCTGAAAAATGTGGGAGCACCCTGGGCTACATCCACAACACTAGGAGGCGGTAAGGATTGGAGCTTGGTCGGCTGTGGGGTCAGACGGCTCAGAGACCCCCTGCTCGCTGTGTGACATGACACAGCTGCTGTTCCCTAAACCTCATTTCTCGTTCGCAAATGGGGACTGTGCGACGTATCTCAAAGTGCTGAGGTGTGGCAAGCCTGGGACAAGACGCTCAGCATCCTAGTTATCAGGGAAATGCGAGGCAAAGCCACATGGGACACCCACTAGGCTGGCTGTGATGAATGTTTTAATAAATTTTTATTTATTTTTATTTTTGTTTTATTTTAGATGGAGTTTCACTCTTGTCACCCAGGCTGGAGTGTAGTGGCGCGATCTTGGCTCACTGCAACCTCTGCCTCCCGGGTTCAAGTGATTCTCCTGCCTCAGCCTCCCAAGTAGCTGGGATTACAGGCGCCCGCTGCCACACCCGGCTAATTTTTATATTTTTGGTAGAGATGGGGTTACACCATGTTGGCCAGGCTCGTCTCGAACTCCTGACCTCAGGTGATCCGCCCGCCACGGCCTCCCAAAGTGCTGGGATTACAGGCGTGAGCCAGAGCACCTGGCTGAATATTTTTTTAAATGGAAAAGAAGCGTTTGTGAGGAGGTAAAGTCAGAACCCTCACACACTGCCGGTGGGGATGCAGAACGGCGCAGCCACTGTTGAAAACAGTTTAATGGTTCCTCAGTAAGTCAAACCTAACATTACCATAGGACTCAGCAATCCTACCCCTACACATATATCCAAATAATTCACAACAGGTGTTCAAACAAAAACTTGAATTCAAATGTTCACAGCAGCATTATTCACAGGAGACAAAAGGTGGAAACCACTGCCCACCACCCGATAAACAGACAAACAAAATGTGCTGTGGCCATACAATGGGATGTCATCCAGCCACAAAAAGAAAGGAACTTTTTTTTTTGTTTTTTTTTTCAGACAGGGTCTTGCTCTGTTGTCCAGGCTGGAGTGCAGTGGTGCGATCATAGCTCACTGCAGCCTTGACCTCCTGGGCTTAAGCGATCCTCCCACCTCAGCCTCCCAGGTAGCTGGGAACCACAAGTGCCCACCACCACCACGTTCAGTTAACTTTTAAAATTTTTTGGTAGCTGGGGTCTTGCTAGGCTGGCCAGGCTGGTCTCAAACTCCTGCCTCAAGTGATCGTCCCGCCTTGGCCTCCCAGAATGTTAGGATTACAGGCCTAACCCACTGCACCCAGTCAGGAATGAGGTTCTGATAACGTGCGACAATGTGTGGGTGAATCTGGAAAACACAATGCTATGGAAAGAAGCCACACGCAGGGACCACATATTGCAGGATTCCAGTCACACAAAACGTCCAGAAGAAGTGAACCCCCAGAGACAGAAAGTAGATTAGTGGTTGACAGAGGCTGGGAGAGAGGGGAGAATGGGCGTGAGTGCCGGTGGGCATGGGGTTTCCTTCAGGGCAGAAGAAAGTGTTCTAGAAGTAGATAGTAGCAGAGATACCTGCACCACATTGTCCTCATACTAAATGCCCTGAATTGTTCACTTTTTAAAATTTTTTTTATTTATTTATTTTTCAAGACAGAGTCTTGCTCTGTCACACAGATTGGAGTGCAGTGGCATGATCTCAGATCACTGCAACCTCCACCTCCCGGGCTCAAGCGATTCTCCTGCCTCAGCCTCCCGAGTAGCTGGGATTACAGGCACCTGCCACCATGCCCGGCTAATTTTTGTATTTTTAGTAGAGACTGGATTTCATCATGTTGGCCAGGCTGGTCTCAAACTCCTGACCTCAGGTGATCTGCCCACCTCAGCCTCTCAAAGTACTGGGATTACAAGCATAAGCCACCACGCCCAGCCTGAACTGTTCACTTTAAAATGGTTAAAATCATCAATTTTGTGCTATGTTTATTTTACCACAATAAAATCATTGAGCTGCGTGTGACGGCTGATGCCTGTCATCCCAGCACTTTGGGAGGCCGAGGCAGGTGGATCGCTTGTGCCTCAGGAGTTTGAGATCAGCTTGGGCACCACAGCGAAACCCCATCTCCCCCCACAAAAAATACACAAAAACTAGCTGGGTGTGGTGGTATGTGTCTGTAGTCCCAGCTACTCAGAGGGTGAGGCAGGAGGATCACCTGAGCCCAGGGAGATTGAGGCTACAGCGAGCCGTGATTGCGCCACTGCACTCTCGCCTGGGTGAGCGAGCGAGACCCTGTCTCAAGAAAACCACTGCTGAGACAGTACATGGAACAACGCCTGTCACAGGCCTGGTGTGCCACAGACACGCGAGTCCCTGACCTGCTCCCACGGGTAGCGGGGATGCGTGAAGGCAAATCATCCTCAGCGGCCCGCAAACATGGGCCTTGCCAAAAACAAAACATTTACAAGGAGCTCCAGCAGGAAATGGCCACACCTGCAGCTCCTAGGGTTTTCGTGGGAAGGGCGTCCACTCAGCCTCCCCCATCCCTGGGTTCCCCACCCTGAAGGTGCTGAGACTCCTCCCGCTCAGAAGCAGGGTCTGAAATCCTGCAACACAGACACACACTCGTGTTCTCCATCCTGCCCTGCCCTGCAAGCTGCCTGATTCGGGCCTCCCCTGGGAGCCCTGAGGAGAGCAAAGGTGACCCCGATGGTGACGTCAACAAGGACTGATGCAGCTCAGGAAAATCCTTCAGAAGTTGCTGGAAACAGAGGGAGGCATCCACCCCGAGGAGAGGCACCAATGTCACCTCAATGGGTGACGATGGTGCGATGGGGACACATGTAACATATCACTGGCACCAAGAGAACCTCAAAATATGCTCAACAGAGGCTGGGCGCGGTGGCTCACGCCTGTAATCCCAACACTTTGGGAGGCCGAGGCAGGTGGATCATGTGAGACCAGGAGTTCCAGACCAGCCTGACCAACATGGTGAAACCCCCTGTCTACTAAAAATACAAAATTTAGCCAGGCGTGGTGGCGGGCACTTGTAATCCCAGCTATGTGGGAGGCTGAGGCAGGAGAATGGCATGAACCCAAGGAGGCAGAGGTTTCAGTGAGCTGAGATCGCGCCACTGCACTCCAGCCTGGGCAACAACAACGACAACAAAAACAAACAATCAAACAAAATCAAACAAAAACAAACAACAAACAAAAAAGCTCAAGAGAGGCTCCACAGGTGAGCAAAAAGCTGCCAAAGCACGCCCATGGGACGAGGCCACTGAAACCCGACCACAGCGGCAGGGCGAGGCTGCGTCCACAGGACGAGGCCACTGAAACCCGACCACAGCGGCAGGGCGAGGCTGCGTCCACGGGACGAGGCCACTGAAACCCGACCACAGCGGCAGGGCGAGGCTGCGTCCACAGGACGAGGCCACTGAAACCCGACCACAGCGGCAGGGCGAGGCTGCGTCCACGGGACGAGGCCACTGAAACCCGACCACAGCGGCAGGGCGAGGCTGCGTCCACGGGACGAGGCCACTGAAACCCGACCACAGCAGCAGGGCGAGGCTGCACCCAGCAAAGGGAGAACAGACATCTATGGAAAAACAAAACTGCCTTCAACTGCTTAGGAACCAATCACCAAACTCAGGCCAGCAGCTGCCTCTGGCTTCAACAACACCCATGTTTTCTGTCTTAAGCAGGGCAGTGGATATGTGATTAACTTTTTGTCTTAATTTTGTATTGTGAAATAATTTAAATCTCACAGTAAGTGGCAAAAGCAGTGCAGAGGATTCCTGTGTCCCCTTTGCCCGGGCTGGCCTCAAACTCTTGGACTCCAGCGATCCTCCCACCTCAGTCTCCAAGTAGCTGTGTCTACAGGCACCTGGCCGAATGATAACATCTTACGTAACCACAGGACGTTGTATAGCGCTACCCTCTCAAGGCGTTTTTGTCAGAAAGTATTGTAACTATTTTCTCAAGCATTCCATGTGGCCAAATAGCAGAGCACAGGCACCCATCGGTGCCTCGCCAATACGTACATCTGGCTGCAGGGGGTGGCTGGGCCTGGCCTCCTGGATCAAACATGTCCACAGGAGCCTCACCTCGATCTTGTCTGTCTTGGCGTCTCCCCAGTAGAGCTTCCCCTCCTGCAGGTCCAGGGCCAGGCCGTTGGGCCACCCGAGGGAGGCATTGACCAGCACACGCCGCTCCTGCCCATCCAAGTTGGCACACTCGATTTTAGGGTTCTCTCCCCAGTCTGTCCAGTACATGAGGCTGGAGAAGAAGCAGAAGTCCATGACCCCATGAGTCTGTCTGGTCTCTGCAGCATCCCCAGTGCCAAGAGCAAGGCCTGCCCCCAAGCCGGCCCCCATCACATGGCTAAATGTTGATGTCAGTAAATATTGGTGTCAGTAAATGTCGGTGCTCGTAAATGTCGGTGTTGGTAAACATCAGTGTCAGTAGATGCTGGCGTTGGTAAATATCAGTGTCGGTAGATGCCAGTATCAGTAGATGTCAGTGTCAGTAAATGTCAGTGTCGGTAAATGTCGGTGTCGGTAAATGTCAGTGTTGGTAGATGCTGGCGTCGGTAAACGTCGGCGTTGGTAAACATCGGTGTTGGTAAATGCTGGTGTTGGTAAATGTCGGTGTTGGTAGATGCTGGTGTTGGTAAATGTTGGTGTCAGTAGATGCCAGTGTCAGTAGATATCAGTGTCAGTAAATGTCAGTGTTGGTAAATGTCGGTGTTGGTAGATGCTGGTGTTGGTAAATGTCAGTGTCAGTAGATGCTAGTGTCGGTAAACATCAGTGTCAGTAGATGCCAGTGTCAGTAGATGTCAGTGTCAGTAAATGTCAATGTCGGTAAATGTCAGTGTTGGTAAATGTCAGTGTTGGTAAATGTCGGTGTTGGTAGATGCTGGCATCGGTGTCAGTAGATGCCAGCGTCAGTAGATGTCAGTGTTGGTAAATATCAGTGTCGGTAAATGTCGGTGTCGGTAAATTTCAGTGTTGGTAAATGTTGGTGTCGGTAAATGTTGGTGTTGGTAGATGCCAATGTCAGTAGATGTCAGTGTTGGTAAATAGTGTTGGTAAATGTCAGTGTCGGTAAATGTCAGTGTTGGTAGATGCCAGTGTCAGTAGATGTCAGTGTTGGTAAACAGTGTTGGTAAATGTCAGTGTCGGTAAATGTCGGTGTCGGTCAATGTCGGTGTTTGTAAATGTTGGTGTCAGTAGATGCTGGTGTCAGTAAGTGCTGGAGGACTGAGCATGCCAGCGGCAAGCCCAGTGACCAGAGTCCCTGGGGGCTCCCCTGGGACAGGGATGCCCACTTCCACCCTGTGCGGGTTTCACCACACCAGCCCTTGGACTCTCAGGGGCCAAGAGCTCATCTCCCATCCCAAAGGTCAGTGGACAGAAATGACCCTGCCCAGGGTCTGGGGCAGCCTCACATCTGACTAGTGGGCTGGAGGAGCTGAGCACCTAGAGGGAGGAAGGGGCAGAGCAGAACCTTCTGCACATAGCTGAAGGGCTCCCCTATGCAAAGGACAGGTGACTTGTTCCCTGGGGCCCCCCAAGGAGGGAACCCAGATCCTGGGGTGGCAGCTCAGGGGTGAAGGTTCTGAGGCCCCAAGTCACAGCCTCTGCTTCAGCTGTGTCTGACCCAGCCGGCCAGCCCCTCTGCCTCCCGCTTCCAGCTCGGTGCCCCTCCCTGGACCCCACGACCTCACAGGTCAGACTGCCAAGCCCATGTCCCTGGGATCCTCAGACTCATGAAACCAGGGCTAGGAGGGGCCTTGGAGTCAGCTTCCCCATCCCTTCCTTTTTCACAGATGAGGACACCGAGGCCCATGTAGACAGTGACTTGACCAAGCTCCTGACCTCAGGGCCGTGTTCCCTTCACTGTAGCTGGCAACCAGTTCCTGGGCCTCCTCTTGCTAAAGCCCCTGGGGACCCCACTTCTTACCCTCATCCACCCTCCTCGGGGCACAACCCAGCCCTTCAGCCACTGCCATGGAGCAGCCCTCTCCCACATGCCTCCGTGCCCCAGGGTCCACGGATGGCTGCTCGAGCCCCGCCCTCTGCCTGCTGTGCTCCCGCTGCCTGCTGCACTCCCGCTGCCTGCTGCCTGACATGCTGGCTCCTAGACACCAGTCCACTTGCAGGAAAAGCTCCCCGGCCAGCACACTCACAACCCCCAGGGCTGGGCCACGAGCACAGGCTCCACAGCCCACAAATCCTCTGCCCGCCGCTGCCCGACGGGTGCCCTGGGCAAGTTACTTCACCTTCTGAGCTTCAGGTCCCAGGGCCATGAACCTGGAAACACACCTGGTGCCCACTAAGTGCTCCACAGAGGGCAGCACCGCTACTGACCTCCCAGCTCCTCTGGGACTTCCCATCGGCACCCACAGCTCCACTGCGCCTCCTCCATCAGGGTTTTCCCATTCAGTGTTCTGGGTTATGAGCCCCCAGGAAGGCCCCTGGCTACTACCCTCTGAGCCGCTGGGGCGGGTCTCAGAAAGTCTCCCCTACCGACCGACAAACTATCTGCTTTCACAGATTTCTATGCTGGAAAGCTGGAGCCACGCTGCCAGGCCCAGCCCCACACCTGCCACATCCTGCTGTGTGACCCTGGGCAAGTCCCTGAGCCTCTCTGGGCTTCAGTGTCCTCAACTGTACAACTGTACCTACCCCCCTGGATGAAAAGACCCATGGTGTGCAAAGTGTTCAAAAGAGGCCTGGCCTGACCGGGCGTGGTGGCTCATGCCTGTAATCCCAGCACTTTGGGAGGCTGAGGCAGGTGGATCACCTGAGGTCAGGAGTTTGCGACCAGCCTGGCCAAGACGGTGAAACCCCATCTCTACCAAAAATACAAACATTAGCCAAGCACAGTGGCAGGCACCTGTAATCCCAGCTACTCAGGAGGCTGAGGCAGGAGAATCACTTGAGCCCAGGAGGCAGAGGTTGTAGTGAGCTGAGATCACACCACTGCACTCCAGCCTGGGCGACAGAGTGAGACTCCATCTCAAAAAAAAAAAAAGAAAAAAAGAGGCCTGGCCTGTACTGTGGTCAGTGTCACAGAGGCTGCCCTTACTGTCACTACTGTCATCCTGGAAATCACCCAGATGGACCGTTCCATTCTACAGATGAGGAAACTGAAGCCAGGGGAACAAAGGGCTCCCTCCAGGTCTCCAGGGCTTTCTACGCATGGACCCAGCAGCAGCACCGGACCACTGGGGTGCTTGTTAGAAACCCAAGTCTTCAGCCCCGCCCTGGAGCTCCTGAATCACCGCTCTGGGGGTGGGGCCCAGCTGCCGGTGTTTTAACAAGCCCTCCTCCGGGTTCTGATGCAAGACAGTGTCCCAGAATGACAGGTCCAGGTCAATCTCCCTCTCGCCTGTGCTTGGCCTGGCCCTGGCTCCAGGCCCCAGCCCCCGCCCGTCTTACCCCATCACGGGGTGCAGTGCGATGGCTCGGGGCTCGTCCAGGTCCTCCGACACCAGGATCTTGCGGGAGGTGCCGTTGAGGCGCGTCACCTCGATGCGGTCCGTGCCCGTGTCGGTCCAGTAGAGGTTTCGGGCCACCCAGTCGACCGCGATGCCATCGGGGTCGTTGATCTCGGTGTTGACCAGCGTCTGCGCCCCAGACCCGTCCAGGTACGCCCTGCGGATGGCCCGCACCTCGTCATCTGTCCAGTAGACATAGCCCTCTAGCGGGTCGTAGTCGATGGCAATGGCGTGCCGGATGTCGTCCACCTGCAGCACGATGTCGGTGAAGTCCGGCGTGTCCAGCGAGATCCTCCGTAGGTCCGTCCGCCGGGCCAGCAGCAGCACCTCCTCGGCTCCTGTGGAGACAGGTGCAATGGGGTCAGGGGTCAAGGGCCTGCAGCAGGCACAAGTCTAGGCCTGGGGTGGGCCGGGCAAGGGAAATACTCAGCCAGGCCCCCAGGGCTCTCCTTGCAAAGGCTGGTGATGTTAGGTGACACGCACCCAGCCCATGCTACATGGTCACTCGTTCATCCTCATGACACCTCTGGGAGGCTGGCACTGTTTGTTTCCTCATTTTACAAATGAGAGAACTGAAGCACTGAGAGGTTATGCACGCAGCTGAGAGCCACACAGCCAGGCCATTGGGCTTCAGCTGCTGGGTGGGAGCTGCCTCACAGTCCCCCTTGTCTCCTGCCAGCCCCTCTCCTGGCCACAAACCAGCCCCAACCACAAGTCCCGCCGGGTACCAGGCTGCAGACCCAGCTGCTGGCCATGCTGCTCAGCGTCCCCAGCATGCCCACCTTGCAGGGGCTCACCCTTCCTGCCCAGCTCGACGCCACTTCATCGCTCCCTCCTCTCCACCACCCGAGGGCGGCTTCAGGCCCCAGCACCGTGCCGGGGGGCTCCTAGGCAGGGCCAGACACACCCTTCAAGTGAATCGCCCTCTTTGCTCAACTGCCCAGATGCTCCCAGGCCACCGAGATGAAGGGAAACCCTGGTTCTGAGGCCTGAGACCCGGGGGCACTTTCAGGAACACCAAGAGCTAACACAGAGTTTCACGACCACTTGACACACCAGGCAACACAGGTGCGAGATGAGAAACACCTCCGGGGCATGCATTCTGGTCACGGCTAGACCCAGGGCCCTGGCTCCTTGGATGGGGCTGCACCGCGGCCTCCACACAGCTGGGCCATCAGAACACAGTGATGACCCCCAGTAACTCAGACCTCGTTTCTAAATAGGGTCCCACAGAGAACAGGCAAGGCACTGTCCACACACTTCCAACGAAGTTTCAGAACCACGCCACGAAGCACCCACCCCACAGCCACCTGGGTCTCTGCTGCCCCCCAGGGCCAAGCCTGCTGCTGGCTGAGCAGCTTGAGGTCACGCCCCTCCACGGCACAGGTGGACAGGGTTCAGAGTGGCACTTAGGCAGGTGGATGAGGGGAGAGCCTGGTCCTCTCAGGATGTCCCTGCAGACAGGCTGGACACAGCTGGGGACAGGAGGATGCTCAGGTGATTCTGGTCTCAAATAAAAGCCCCCTCTCTAGCTGAGGGCAGGATTTGCCAGCCCCTAAGACTTGCACGTGTTGAATCCCCAAGGAAAGTTCCCTCTGCTCTGGGCATCTGTGCCCTGCCTAACTCACCAGTGTGACCTGACAGCGTACAACCGGCACAAGAGAAGCTTAACTCAGGCTCCCTCCGTGGCCACAGCAACACTCTGAGAGCATCTGAGCAACAGGGCCCAGGGATCCGCTGTGGACGGGGTCCCGCCGCTCAGGCCCAGAGGCGTGCAAACCCAAGGACTCCTCACCACCCACTCCACAGGACGCACGGAGACCCCCCAACCTTTCAGCCATGGCCCTCAAGTGGGCTTCAGTTTGGGGGGTGGGGGGTTACAGGATTCTCTTCTGAACCCCCGTGGCCCACCCTCCACATGCTCCTGACCCCCAGGGCCCGAGGCTCCACACACAACGGTATCAGCATTTCTGACTGTGTCCTAGGACCCCCAGTTTGGATTTATCAGAGCTTCCTACAGAAATTGCAAGTGGAGACCCATGCAGACTTGGGGCCCCCAGGGTGCCCCATAATCCTGACAGATCCTTCCTGAGGTTGCTGGGATCAGGATGTGGCTCCCTCCCCAGGTTAGGGCATCGTCTACTCATTTGTTCCAGACCTTTCTGGTCTCAAGGATGCACAGAGCCAAGAAGGTCAGGGTCAGAGACCCCTCCCAGCATCCTGTGGCCATGCCCCTGCACAGGGGCCCAGGTCACAATCTGCAAAGGGGCCCGGGGCTGAACCAGCCCAGAGCCTCCCTGATGCCCTGGCCCCTAGACCTGGCCCTGCAGCCAACTGCCAGATCTCCTGAGTGCCCTGCCAGGCTGCAGCCTTCAAACAACAGATGGTCCCCTGTGCCCAGGCTCTGGCTCTCGCCAGGAGGAATGCAGAGACTGTTCCAGGATCCCGGCATCCAACGTTTCAAGGAAAGACAGGAGCCCCTCCTGACTCCTGCTCCAAGCCCCGGAGTGCATAATCTGATTCCTCCACTAGAGGGCGCCCACGTGATGGCAACAGCGACACGGGCCCAGGGCTGGGGAAACTGAGGCAGGCAGGCTGGGGAGAGGCAGAGGCAGCACTTAGAAGGTTCCCCAAGTGCCCAGCTACAATGGAAATCTCTGAGAGCCAAATTTAGATCTGGTCAGGGGCATCTGATTTGGTGTGTATTGGTAGGGGGAGGGGAATCTGAATTTCAACAAATTTTCTCCCTCTAGGCTCCACTCCCAAAATGTTCTGTTGACAATGGACCTGTCCTTCAAGGCCCAGGTCACACAGCACCGCCACCTCCTCCTCAGGGAAGCTGTTCCTCCCGCCACCTCCTCCTCAGGAAAGCTGTTCCTCCCCACACCCCAGTGGATGGCCGCCCCATACCAACAGTCGGCCTCATGGCGAGGGCGCCACCCTCACTGGGGTCCTGGCACAAGCCCCCTGCTCTCCACAGCCCCCAGCACAGAACCACATCCACAGCAGCACTACATCCAGGGATGAGCAGGGAGAATCCGAGACCGAAACCTCTGGGGCCTGCTGGGTGACCTCGGGCAGGTTCCTGCCCCTCTCTGGGCCTGTCTCCTCATCCAGTGAATAATCAGCCAGGCTTGGCGATGCCCGAGTCCCTGTCTAGCTATGACTTGGAGGGGACCAGAGACTCCACTTCACGAAAGGTCCCT